>NC_000001.11:201934587-203184587 GCF_000001405.40 Homo sapiens
CTACTATTCTGCTTCCCATTAGAACAAAACTGAGGAAAAACGAGACTTATCTAGATGCTCCATCTCCAATCCTTATCCATATTCTCTCTTTTGAGTCCACTATTCACCACAGTGAAATCATTCTTGCCAAGGTTCCAATGGCTTCCATCTTACCAATTACTGTGATTGATTCTCTGTCTCACCTTATTAAACCTCTCAGCAAGAATGGATGTGGTACAGTACTCTCTCCTTCTGGAAATCCTTTCTCACCTGATTTGGTGAAACCACTCTGAATTTCCTCTACCTCTCAGTCTCTTCATTGGCTCCTTCTCCTCTGCCAACACCTAAATGTAGGTATAATGAAGGGCTGGGGCCTCAGCCCTCTGCTCTCCTCCATTCACATTTATTCCCTAAGTGATCTCTTCTAGGCTCATGGCTTTCAGTAGCATCCACAGACTGATGAATCCCAAATTTAATCTCCCATCCCCTCTTCCCACTGAGCCCCAGACTTTGAGTAGGGGAGAGATGTGATCTAATTTATGCCTTTAAAAGGCTCATTCTTCCAGCTTTCAGATAAACAGACTGTAGGAGGGCAAGAGTGCAGAAATGAGACCAGTTAGAAGGGTGTTTCTGTCTCTCAGGTGAGAGCTCAAAGATGGTTTGATGAGAAATGGAAACTGGCTGACGCATTGGGGGAAAGGGAAGAGTCGGGGTGATCCGTACTGCCTAAGCTATTTGGTGAATTTGATGTCCTTTTTTTTTTTTTTTTGAGACAAGATCTGGAGTGCAACCCCTGTCAACCCAACATTTCCCCTTGGGGGTCTACTAAGCACAACAAACTTAACTTGTTCAAATCAGAATTCTTCACCTCCCAAAACCACTCCTTCTCTGCTGTTTCCCATGGCAGTAAAGGACATCAAATTTGGCCGGTCATGGTAGTTCACACCTGTACACCTGTAATCCCAGCACTTTAGTTTTATTTATTTATTTATTCATTTATTTATTTATTTTTGACAGTCTCACTCTGTCACCCAGGCTGGAGTGCAGTGGCATGATCTTGGCTCACTGCAACCTCCACCTCCTGGGTTCAAGCGATTCTCCTGCCTCAGCCTCCCGAGTACCTGGGATTACAGGTGCCCACCACCACGCCCAGCTAATTTTTGTATTTTTAGTAGAGACAGGGTTTCACCATGTTGGCCAGGCTGGTCTTGAACTCCTGATCTCAAGTGATCTGCCCGCCTCAGCTTCCCAAAGTGCTGGGATTACAGGCATGAGCCACCACACCTGGCCAATCCCAGGACTTTGGGAGGCCGAGGTGGGCAGATTGCCTGAGGTCATGAGTTCGAGACCATCCTGGCCAACATGGTGAAACCCCTGTCTCTACTGAAAATACAAAAAATTAGCCGGGCGTGGTGGCAGGCGCCTGTAATCCTGGCTACTCAGGAGGCTGAGGCAGGAGAATCACTTGAACCCAGGAGGCGGAGGTTGCAGTGAGCCGAGATCACACCATTGCACTCCAGACCTTGTCTCAAAAAAAAAAAAAAAAAAAAAAAAGACATCAAATTCACCCAATAGCTTAGGCAGTACTGATCACCCCGACTCTTCTCTTTCCCCCAGTGCATCAGCCAGTTTCCATTTCTCATCAAACCATCTTTGAGCTCTCACCTGAGAGACAGAAACACCCTTCTAACTGGTCTCATTTCTGCACTCTTGCCCCCCTACAGTCTGTTTATCTGAAAGCTGGAAGAATGAGCCTTTTAAAGGCATAAATTAGATCACATCTCTCCCCTACTCAAAACACTCCAATGACTTAGAATAAAAAGTCATGGCACTTAGAATAAAAAGTCAAACTCTGCTGCCCTAAAAGTCCCCACATGATCGGAACCCTGCTTACTTCCAAGGCCTCGTCTCCTCCAGGCTCCTTCCCCACTCCTCCTGCTCTAGTTTTGGGGCCTGGCTTTTCCTCTGACATGCTAACCCTGCCCCCACCCCAGGGCCTGTGTCTTTGATGTTCCCTCTGCTTGGAAAGCTTTTCCCCACATCTTCCCAAGGCTAGCTCCTTCGGTCCATTTAGAATCTGCTCAAATGGGCCAGTTGTGGTGGCTCACACCTGTAATCCCAACACTTTGGGAGACCGAGGCTGGTGGATCACTCAAAGTCAGGAGTTCGAGACCAGCCTGGCCAACATGGTGAAACCCCCTCCCTGCTGAAAAATACAAAAAAATTAGCTGGGTGTGGTGGCAGACACCTGTAATCCCACCTACTCGGGAGGCTGAGGCAGGAGAATTGCTTGAATCTGGGAGGCAGAGGTTGCAGTGAGCCAAGATTGCGCCACTGCATTCCAGACTGGGCAACAGAGTGAGACTCTGTCTCAAAAAAAAAGAATCTGCTCAAATGTCACCTCTTTTGGTAGTGAAGACCCTGACTACTTTGTTGGAAGTGGTCTCCCATTGATATGTCATATACTCTTCCCTTAACTGACATTACTCTTTTTTAGAAGATATATGTCATATGTTACATGTTATGTGTATGCATGCTACATATGATCTGCATATGGAAATATATATATTGTCTGTCTCACCCATTAAAATGTAACCTTGGCCAGGTGTGGTGGCTCATGCCCGTATCCCAGCACTTGGGAGGCCAAGGCAGGAGGCTCACTTGAGCCCAGGAGTTCAAGACCAGCCTTGGCAACATAGGGAGACCCCAGTATCTACAAATAATTTAAAAATTATCTGGGCGCGGTGGGACACACCTGTAGTCCTAACTACTTGGGAGGCTGAGGCAGGAGGATCCCTTGAGCTCAGGAGTTTGAAGCTGCAATGAACTGAGATTGCACTACTCTACTCCAGCCTGGGCAACAGAGTAAGATCCTGTCTCAAACAAACAAACAAAAAAAAACAAAAACAAAAAAACAAAAAACACAGTGGCTCATGCCCGTAATCTCAGCACTTTGGGAGATTGAGGTGGGCAGATCATTTGAGCCCAGGAGTTCGACACCAGCCTGGGCAACATGGTGAAACCCCATCTCTACTAAAAATACAAAAAAATTAGCTGGGCATGGTGGTGCACAACTGTAGTCCCAGCTACTCTGGGGGCTGAGGCGGGAGGATTGCTTGAGCCCATGAGATGGAAGTTGCAGTGAGCCAAGATCATGCTACTGCACTCCATCCTGGGGAACAGAGTGAGATCCTGTCTCAAAAACAAACAAACAAACATAGACTGTAACCTCTATGAGGGCAAGAACCTTGTCTCTCTTGTTCACTACTCTATCCTGGCATTTAGAAAGTACATAATAGGAACTCATTAAAGAGCTGGCAAATTAATGATTTAATGGAGTCCTCCTCCCTCCTTGTAAACATAAAGCATGATTCATGAATTCTGTGTATAAAACGAATGAAGAGAATGGGAATGGGAGGAGCGGATAGGAGTGAAGGGAAGGGAGGAAACTAATGTTCATGGGCCTTTACTACTAGGTTTCCAACCCAGCACTCTGCTTAGTGCTTTATGTGGATTATTTTGCTGAAACCTCATAACTATCCTATGACTAAGCATTGTAATTTCCTTTTTTTTTTTTTTTGAGATGGAGTTTCGCTCTTGTTGCCGAGGCTGGAGTGCAATGGCACCATCTCAGCTCACCACAACCTCTGCCTCCTGGGTTCAGGCAATTCTCCTGCCTCAGCCTCCCGAGTAGCTGGGATTACAGGCACGTGCCACCACGCCCGGCTAATTTTGTATTTTTAGTAGAGACGGGGTTTCTCTATGGTAGTCAGGCTGGTCTCAAACTCCCCACCTCAGGTGATCTGCCCGCCTCGGCCTCCCAAAGTGCTGGGATTACAGGCATGAGACACCGCGCCCGGCCGTAATTTCCATTTTATAGGTGAGGAAACTCAGGCTCCAAGACGTGAAGTCACTTGTTTGGGTCATTCAGCCAGCAACCAGCAGAGCTGGATCTGCACCCAGGTCTAGCTGGCCCCTGAGGAGACTATTCTAACCACTAGACTCATATAGTCTGCACTCAGAGCTTCCCTGGGAATTTCTGCCTGAGGATGTAGCACCTTTCACCTGCCAGTCTCAGGGACAGGGGTCCTGCCAGCCCTGCCGGCTTGATCTCAAAGGAAGGCCTATTGAAGTAACAATCAGAAGGAGCCTGTGGGCTGTCCATGAAAGGGTGGTGGAAGGGTGTGGGAACAGGAGGTGCTTCTATTCCTAGCTGTTTGTAAACAGCATCCCGACAACCCGGCTTGTTCTTTCTGCAGTGGGCCCCAGGGACAGCTGAAGCCAAGTTCTCCCAAAGCAGCCTTGGCTTTTCTGAGCTTGTGCTGGGGTGGAAGCCTGCAGACAAGGAGAATCCACCTCAAAATCTTCTCCTAATCTCCTTTCACTCTGTCTTTTTCCAACCCAGCAACTCAGTTTGGGCCCCTGAGCCTGTGACATAAAATAAATTAGGCAGAGGCTCAAAGAAATCAGGCTGCTGGGGCCAGGCAGCGAGTAATTACATAAGCCCTGCCTCCCTGCTTTCCTTCCTCCCCTTCCCCTCTCTCTTCATCATTCCTTCACACTCACTGATGGTTTTTTTTTTTTTTAATTTCGTGAGAGATAAAATAATGTTGATTTGGCAGATATACAGGTACAAACTCTGAAGAGTTTAGAGTGAGGAAAGAAGGTCTCTCGTGATGTGCCAAACACTTTCAATGCCTCATCCTATTTAATCTTCACTATAACCCTTCAAGGATGATTTTATCATCCCCACTTGACAGGTGAAGTAATTGGGCCTCAAGAAGCTATGTTAATGAGATAGCATCGATAAAGCCTTTGGCTCCAGAAGGCACTCAATCAAGTTAATGTTCTTTCTTCCTTGGGTAACTTATTCCAAGTCACTGGATCAGTAAGGGGCAGGAGCAGAATTCAAACCTGGACCTATCTGATTCCAGACACCCCTGGGCTTTCTGTCTCACCGCACTGCCCAGACACTAACAAGCCATTGGGAGAACTGATGAACCGAATGGAGACCACTGCTCTTTTGCTGGTTAAACAAAAGTGGTCCAATAAATAAGGAAGGGCCTGATCTGGAAAGGCCTGCATTCTATGGCTCAGGATATTCCTGTTTATCCAACTTGGCAGGCATGTAAATATTAGCGTCGCCACTCCTGTCCCCCATGCATGGCGCTGTGTGTTGTTCCTCTGCTCCTGCTGTGTGTGTGTGTGTGTGTGTGTGTGTATACACATGTGTGTAGACTGCCTATCTCTTGGTGTGCTTCATTCAGGCTCTGCACACTCTGGGCCCAGCTGTAGATATGCTGACACGGTCTGACAAAGATACTCTAAAGTCTCCTGGGGGAGAGAAAGAGAGACTGAAGGAGGATAGACAGATAAGACCGGGGCTTTGTCCTCACCTTCTTGTCCCAGCCTGGGGACCATGAAGCTCCCAGAATCCCTGAAGCCTCCAGCCTTCTCTGATGCTGGGAGCAACCTCCCCTTGGTTAGTGGGACTCAGACCCCACCTCTTAACCATCTATATCCCGCTCTCACTGGTGAGCCATCTTATTTTACAAGTGCTCCTTGGTCCTGTCCATCTGTCCTGCCTCCCTCTTGCATTTTCCATCCAGCCAAGCTCTTTTTTTTTTTTTTTTTTTTTTGAGATGGAGTCTTGCTCTGTTGCCAGGCTGGAGTACAGCGGCACGATCTCGGCTCACTGCAACCTCCATCTCCTGGGTTCAAGGGATTCTCCTGCCTCAGCCTCCCGAGCAGCTGGGACTACAGGCATGCGCCACCACACCCAGTTAATTTTTGTATTTTTAGTAGAGATGGGGTTTTACCATGTTGGCCAGGCTGGTCTCGATCTCTTGATCTCGTGATCCACCCGCCTCGGCCTCCCCAAGCACTGGGATTACAGGCATGAACCACGGCACCCGGCCTAACCAAGCTCTTATACCTACTGTCCCAGTAAGGAGAAGGCAGGCACCCAGAGGGCAGCACTGAGGGTGGGAGCAGGCACTAATGCCTCACTTGCTCAAAGTCTTTTTTTTTTTTTTTTGAGATGGAGTCTTGCTCTGTCAGCCAGGCTGGAGAGCAGTGGCTCGATCTCAGCTCACTGCAACCTCCGCCTCCCGGGTCAAGTGATTCTCCTGCCTCAGCCTCCCAAGTAGCTGGACTACAGGCATGCACCACCACGCCCAGCATTTTTTTTTTTTTTTTTGAGACGGAATTCTGCTCTTGTTGCCCAGGCTGGAGTGCAATGGCACGATCTCGGCGCACCGTAACCTCCGCCTCCCGGGTTCAAGCAATCCTCCTGCCTCAGCCTCCCTAGTAGCTGGGATTACAGACATGTGCCGCTATGCCTGGCTAATTTTGTATTTTAATAGAGAAGGGGTTTCTCCATGTTGGTCAGGCTGGTCTTGAACTCCCAGCCTCAGGTGATCCACCCGCCTTGGCCTCCCAAAGTGCTGGGATTACAGGTGTGAGCCACCGTGCCTGGCCATTTTTTTTTTTGTATTATTAGTAGAGATGGGGTTTCCCCATGTTGGCCAGGCTGGTAAAATTCTTTTTTTTTAATTTAATTTTTAATTTTTTAGAGATGGGGTCTTGCTATGTTGCCCAGGCTAGTCTCGAGCTCCTGAACTCAAGTGATCCTCCTGTCTCAGCCTCCCAAAGTGCTGAGATTACAGGTATTAGCCATCACACCTGCCCTCAAAATTCTTTAAATATTATATACATACAGAAGAAAACGTATAATAACAATATTTAAAACAAACACCTGTGGATTGTACCACCTAGTTTAAGAAACAAGCAGTTGCTTTTTCAAACTCTGGATGGAGGCAGTTTCAAATTTCAGGGCGAGATTTTAACAGTCTAACCCTCTCCGGTGCCTGCTTTTGCCTCCCTGGGTCAACAGGCCCCCGTCACCTCTTCTGCCCTCTTCACCCTAGCCTCCAGGGCTATTTTGGGTGTGTACCAGTTGGGGTTAATCTCCTTAAGCATTGAGCCGTGCTGCTCAGTGCACTCCTGATAGGTCCCAACCCTCTGCAAAGGGCATTCTGAGGGTTAGGCCGCCGGCCTCGGGCCTTCCCGGCCCCGTAGAGATACCATGGACACTGAGCTGTGAACTAGAACCGATGGGGGAGGGGGCTGCTGAGGCTGTGCAGGCAGTGGGAGTGGAAGGTCAGGAGGGCTCAGGCCCAGCAGCCGCTATTAGTAGGTTGCTTCGGGTTTGCTTCTCGAGTTTACCTCTAGGGAGAGCTTTCCTCCACCCCCACCAGCTCAGCTGCCCTGACCCTGGCTGGGTACAGGCGCTAATCCCCAGCCCCTGCTAACACCAGGGAGAAGGGAGGGGGAGGCAGGCTGGAGATTTTCTTTCCCACTTGGGAAGGAAAGAGGACACACAAGTTGACCGGTTGGGATCCGGTTCCTGAAACCTGAGACAAGGACAAGAGTTTCACTGAACCGTTGGCTACAGCTTGCCCAGGGGCTTTGTCTTCTACCTGGGCTGAAGGAGAGTTCCCGGATGATTAGGGCGGAGCTACACTGGCTGACAGGTCTGGCCCTTTAAAGGGAGGGAGAGAAGCTGGGGTCAATTCTTCCAAGTCCCACCTCTACCCTCCCCAATCCCCTGCTAACATTCACTCAACAAACAGAGGCTGAAGGCCTGCTGTGTGCTGGGCCCTGCATTTGCATTTTGCCCTCCAAGTCCCACAAGCTGGTGAGTGAGACAGCCCAAGAAAACAGATGATTATACAAAAGTCATGTCCCAAGGGCTTTGGTACAGACTGGTATTGGAGCGCTCAGACAAGGTGCCTGACCTTGAGGGAGTCCTGGAAGACTACCTGGAGGAAGTGGTACCTGAGACAGGCAGAACAAATAGGAGTTGACCTGGAAGAGGCAAGGGTGGAATATTCATGAAAAAGATGGTAAACAATCAGGAGGATCTCTGGAATATCCCATCCCTTGGAGGGAGACCCTGGAGGGAGAAGCAGGCCAAGGGCCCTCTGGCAGCCTAGACTCACTTTGCACAATAGCCAGAGTATGCATCTTGGGGCTGTCCTTCTGGGGAAAAGACAGACCTTAAGACTGTCTTAAGGCCAACCTCCCAATGTTGGTTTCTTTCTTTCTTTTTTTTTTTTAAATTTTATTATGAAAATTTTCGAACATACATACAAAAGTAGAAAAAATAATATAATGAACACCCATGTAGACCCATCACCCAGCTTCAACAATTGTCAACTGGTGGCCAATCTTGTTTCATCTATATATACCCCCACCCAGATTATTTTAAGGCTAATTCCCAAAGCCAATAAATTTTTCCCATAAATATTTATGTATTTATGTCTAAAAGAAAAGAATCCTTTAAAAAGTATATCTGCAATGCCATTATCACACCTAAAAGAAATTAATAGAAATTCCTTAACAGCATCCACTATCTAGTCAGGATTTACTTTCCCTAATCCACACTTAGTTTTTCTAGTTATGTTCCTACTCATGGGGGCAGGGAGATGAACATTTGACAGAAGACTATTATATCAGCCAATATAAGAATTTGTGGTCTCTGCTCTGTAGCACTCTCTGATGGTTCTATCCATGTGTGTTTTGCATGGAATCTAATTGGATTACAAATTCTTCAGGGCAGGGACTGACATTACTGTCTTTTTTGCACCCTAGTATGGCAGAGAGGAAGAAGCACTGATCTCAACTAATTAGCTGTGTGACTTTGGGAAGGTTATTCAACCTCTCTAAGATAATAGGAATAAAAATACACATCTCCCAAGAATCGTAAGGCTTAAAGAAAAGGTGAATGTGCTCGGCATGTAGAAGTTTCTTAGTAAATGCTCATCTTGCTTTACTCTCTGTTTTGACCACTTTTCAGTTCCTCACATGGAGTGAAGGCCACCGTCAGTGAGGGCTGCAGCCAGGCCAGCAGCCTGGAGTCCACCTGCCCCCAGCACGGTGCTGTGTCTGTGGTGTTGGTGGTCCCCACTCTGAGCACCCAGGGGTTGCTTGTTTACTCGGGCCACTCATTAAACTGACAGGTGAGGCTTGCACAGCCCTCAGGAAACTGAGGGAAGAGAGGGGCTGGACAGGAGTAGAGATTTGCTTTCGGCCCACTTCACCGGTTTCTGGGTTCCTTGACTCAGATGAAGTAATAATTTCATAGCTGGCCTTGACTGAGTGTTTATGACACGCCAAGCTCTGTGCTAAGTGCTCTACCGCAGCACCGCTTTTAGTGTTCACAACCCTGTGAGATGGGTACTACTATCCATATTTTGTAGGTGATGAAACTGAGGCTTAGATTAGGTAACTTGTGACTTACACAGAGACACCATTACTCAAACCAGGTTTTTCTAATACTTAAATCCAAGTTCTTGGCCACACACTCACTATTTTGTTAATGGTGCCAAAGAAGCCACCTTCTAGGGTTCATTCTCACCCAGATTTACAGAGATGACTTCTGCCCAGGCTCAGCATGCACCCCGAACTCCAGCCAGCCATTATGCCAATGTACGTCCCTGGACAGGGTGAGGAAGAGTGAGGGGATCAGAACAGCCTACATCCACAAGGGAAAACCGGACCTAAAGGCATCTCCTTACATCAAGGATGTACACACAAACACACACACCACTTCTATTTCTTGACTCGGGCTCTGTCCGCAGAACCAAGTGTGGACCTGGCAGGGGTGAGAGAGGTGAGGCAGGGGAGGAGACACTTGTCACGGTATTAACTGGCTGAATAAAAAGTCTATGATAGTGAAATTTCCAGGAACAGGAGAATCCTTCACACTCTTGCTTGTGATTAGACTGCTTTGTTTGACTTCAGCCTCAGGAGTACCTTTCTGAGCACTGGAAGCTACCGGACACAAGGCAGTCATGGGCCCAGAGCCTGCGACTGGGAGTGGGGAAGAGCAGAGTCAACGATTTCCAAGGGTGCCAAAGCCTTTGGCTGCATTTCATTTCTTTCTGTATGATTCCTGATAGCTGTGTTGGGGTACCGGGCCCTCACAGTAAGTGCTACCACTTTTTCTGTAAATGTTTTGGTTTTATTTATCATTATCATAGCTGCATCTGGGGCAACCACCTTGTGCATACAGGACAATAAATTCCTGAGCCTCCTGGCTTCCCTCCTTCCTCCCTCCTTCTCCCTCTTCTTGGCAAAGGCTTAAACATAGGTGGTGGGGCGGGGGGGGGCGGTAGGGACAGAGACAGAGTTCCAGCTCCTCTTTGCTTCACCCCCTTCCCTCCTCCTCCCTTCTTTCCCATTGCTACACTAAAGGAGTCAGGGCTGTGTCCACCAATATGCTCTGTGACTAGCAGTCAACACAATTTCATACCCAGCCAGTCATTCCGCAGGCATTTTGGATGATAATGTTCCCATTCTCAGTTCCTCTGTGAGAATGTGCATGTCATTTGAAGCTCTGTGCCTCAGTTTCCATAGAAGTAAAACAAAAAGCAAGAATTGAGACTGATCTTTTTCTTGCAAGAATTCACAAGTAATGGATAATGTACAAGAGATGTGGCTGAATAAGAGAACTAGAACAAAGACTTGAACAATTTTCCTATGCAACACTCTTTCCCATGGACAAAGGTATCCCACAAAGTCATACTTCATCGGAGGCTAGTTTGTCCAAAGAAAACTCACATACCAATGCAATAGTGACAAAAAAAAAATTCCTCCATGCCAACTCAGGAAAACAGAAAGCAAGTTGTGCTTAAGCCCATTGTAGGTGTGGGCAGATGCTTCCAAAACCGTCACCCCTTTTCCCTCCTCTATGACTATCTTCAACCCCCAGCAAAGCGGCCTCGCCAGCTGCTAAAGGGTTAATTACCAAAAAGAGGGCATGCTCCCTCCAGAGGCTCCTCTGGAGAGTGCAAAAACAAAACAAAACCAAAAACCAACTAACCACAACAAAAAACATCTTCCCTGGGAATAAATTTGAAGCTTATCAGGTCTTTAAGCCACATTTCCCAGCCCATAGACTCCTGGTCCCTGTCTCCCTTTGCTTTGGGAAACTCATTTACCCCCAAGCCTCCTGAAATGATCCATGTGCCGTGAGATGCCCATAGGGTTGGGGACTTGAAAATGAGTTATTCTCCCACAAAAAATGGCTTAGCTTTGTCTTTTTGGGTGGCTGACAGGAGACATAAAGTATCACTCTCTCTTTTTACCCCTCCTCACAATAGGATGGAATGAGTGTGGAGAAAAACAAAGGTATTGTGGGACCAGGATGGAGTCAACTTGACAATGGACTCTTCAAGGACACCTTCCAGCTCCCATTCTACTAGTAGCTCTATTTGATTTTGTGGGATGTTGTGTTCCTCCAACATATCCGACTTCTGCTTATAAAACAGAAATTAGGAGTAAGAGATTCGCACCGCTAGTTCAGTGGATAATCATCAGTTCTGAAGCATTAAAATCCTTTGCCAACAAGAACGTTTCTTCTAAGGAAGGAAGCATCCTAATCATGAAGCCAGGGTCTCCAGCCCTCCCCTGTCTCCCTCCTCCCCTCCAGGGCTGTGCTCACTCACATCCATGGACATCTCCCTCTGCATAAGTTTCTTGGTCTCCTTTTCACAGAAGTTGAGCATGGCCTCCCGGTTGTACACACCCGTGGACTGTTTCTCCGTCTGGTTTCTCTGCCGCAGCCCCACGGGAACACTCCCGTCTGGGTCCACCACGTCCAGCTCCTTCTCCAGCTCCTCCATCTCCTCGGGAGACAGGGTCTCCAGCAGGCTGTCGATGTCGGGGTCTTCACTCACCTGCCGGCGATATTTGGCTACTCTAGACATCTTGGCAAAATGGGCTGTGGCTGCCAGGGGCTATCAGAGTCCTGGTGGGCAGGGAAGGGAGAGGGGTGAGCTGATCTGGATGCAGCGAGTGGGCTGAGGAGCAAACCTCCTGCTGGTCGAGGACTGCAGCTCCTTGGCCCTTCTGTGCTACAGGTGCTGAAGTGTTCACTGGACGCAGCAGCCTCCCTGAAGCCCAGGGCTAGTGGACCCCGGCTGGTCTAATCAGCGGCCAATAAGACCCGACAACTGCCAGGCCCGGAGAGGAGAAGCCAATCCCCAAGCTGGGGGCGGGCCTACCTCGCTGTCAGAGCTGTTTGAAACTTGAGGACATTCCAGGGAATCTTGGAGCGCTGCGTGACCAAATTTAGTACAGAGCAGTTTAGCCTTTTAAAGACAAGGGGCCACGCAATGAGAAAAAGATACAAAAATGCGTAGGCTGGCAGAAGCAGATCACAGCCACGGAGAGCCAGACAAGCAGGGACGAGGCCATGAGGGCCGGTGAACTCGCCAGCCCGGGGCACGTTCAAGAGCGTATTTTACTACTCCATCACCGGGTGGACGTATCACTGTGGTCAATGTGTGGTTCATGGACTTCCTTCTACAGTATTTGGTAATGTGCTGGGGGGCTCCCAGGTGTATACAGCTCCAGGAAAGTCTAGATTCAAGATGAGGAGCTGTTACTCCTAACCCCCTGCCTACCCATTTTCTTTCTACCCAGGTTCTGCCAAGGAGGACCTGAAGGCTGAGCATCAGAGGCTCCAGGATCCTTTGGCCACTTCTTAAGAGAGAGACAGGAGACAGAAAGACAAACTTAGAGATAGAGATAGCTAGGCAGGAGAGGGAGAGAGAGAGAGAGAGAGAGAGAGAGAGAGAGAGAGAGAGAGAATAAATCCTTACTGTGTACCAAAACTGAAAACTGGCAGGCTGTTTGGGAAAGAGAGAAGGATCTGCAGAAGTCGGGAAACTCTTAAAGGGCTGTCACTTTCCATGAAGTTCCAAGGCTCTTGGGAAGAGGGTTCAAACCTCCCCCTGTTGTCATCTGTTTCTTCCTCTGCCGGGCATCTGTAGACAGACCTCCTTTGGGAGCACAGAGGCAGGTCACCACCCACATATAAATCCAGAGCACGATTTAGTATGTCTTCAGGGAAACAGAATTCTGGGCCGTCGGGAGAGATACGATTGCAACAGGTCTGGCATGTTTCATAGAAGGGCTTTCCACTGCTCATCCATCATGCTGCCCTGCACAAGTCACAGAGACATTCAATCCCCTGCCCCCCTTCCTCCTGCCACAAAATCCCTTCTAGAAGCCCTGGTGTAACCCATCAGGGTAGATGCTTCGATCTTTCCTGGCATCTTTCCATCCTAAGCCAGAGAGAGACAGTCACTTGATCAGCATTTGCTGAGTCCAGGGATCGTCTGGGACTAAAACTTGGCCGTGCCATTTAATGTCCACTAGTCCAACTTTAGGTTAAGGCTGAAGAGGGGAATGGTGTCCACTGGGGGGACTGAAGGGCAGAAGGAAGGCAGGCAGACTTGATAGGAAGAGTGGAAGAAGACTTTAGGGAAACCTGGGGGTTGTCATTTTAAGAGTCAGTAGCCAACTTATTGGTCAAACCGTAGGTATATATTTATTGAGTGATTTATCAAGTGCCTATTATATATCAGGCATTGTTCTAAGAGCAAGAGATATCACTAAAGATACAAAATCAGGCCAGGTGCAGTGGCTCATGTCTGTAATCCCAGCACTTTGGGAGGCCAAGGCAAGAGGATTGCTTGAGTCCAGGAGTTCAAGAACAGGCTGGGCAACATAATGAGACCCCCATCTCTCCAAAAAAAAAAAAAAAACAAAATTAGCCTGATGTGGTGGTGAGCATCTGTTGTCCCAGCTACTCAGGGGGTTGAGGTGGGAGGATTGCTTGAGACCAGAAGGTTGAGGCTGCAGTGAGCTGTGATCACGCTACTGTACTCCAGCCTGGGCAACAGAGTAAGACCCCATCTCAAAAAAGAAAGAAAGAAAGAAAGAAAGAAAGAAAGAAAGAGCGAGCAAGCACAGGGGCTATGGGAAAACACAACAAGAGGAGGCTGAATAGAAGTATGATTTAACAGTGAAGAGCTTGGGCCTTTGAGGCCAATAGACCTGTATTTGGTCCTGGTATTGCTACTTACAGGCCATGTGACTTGGGCAAGCTACCTTCTTTTCTGAGACTTGAGTTCATCATCTGTAAAATAAGGACAACAGTTATACCAACCTTATACAATTGTTGTGAATATTAAATTAGGTCCTACACATGACAACATTTCATTGATATACCCAGTACATGGTAAACACCATATTTATTATTAATTATTATAATTATTTATTTATTTATTTATTGGGAAACTCTGTTTCACTCTTATTGCCCAGGCTGGAGTGCAATGGCGCGATCTCGGCTCACTGCAACCTCCGCCTCCCGGGTTCAAGCAATTCTCCTGTCTCACCCTCCCAAGTAGCTGGGATTACAGGCATGAGCCACCATGCCCGGCTAATTTTGTATTTTTAGTAGACATGGGGTTTCTCCATGTTGGTCAGGCTGGTCTTGAACTCCTGACCTCAGGTGATCCACCTGCCTCGGTCTCCCAAAGTGCTGGGATTACAGGCGTGAGCCACAGCGCCTGGCTATAATTATTTATTTACTCTTGTCCTGGGTTCTTTTCTTCCCATCCCACCTTTTCTCTCATCTTTTTATTTCTTTCTCTCAAGAGTAAACACCCTCTAAACACACACACACACACACACACACACACACACACTTTCTCACCTGGTTCTCATTCATTCATTCAAACATTTATTCAGATACTACTATTTATATATAGCATCCTGCCAGGCACTACAACATTGTCATTACAACATTGTTATTCTCTTAAACATGTATAATTCAATGGGGTAAAAAATAATAATAACTACACTGTAAGGCAAAGTGAAGCAAGCTAGAGAGGTACAAGGAGTCTTGCAGAGAGGTCCAACTGTTAAAAAACCCAGTGGAAGACACATTAATTTTGTGGGGAGGAGTCAGGGTGGTCATCTCAGAGGGCATAACAAAGGGTTTCAGCCATGCTGGAGTGGGCTTTTAGTTAGGTATGTTGGGTGGACATGGCACTCCCTATGCCCATCCCCTCCCCCTGTACCCCCTTTGGGTCAGCTGGCCTTCACCCTCAGTGTTGCCCAGAAAAAAGCATCATCTTCTGGGGTCCCTGGCTCTAGGACCTCAGCCAACCTCTAGCCTCCCAGTCAGCTGAAAGCAATTCTCTTTCTAGTTTCCAAGGACTCTTTCTCAGGCTTTTTGCCAAAAATATTCACTGCTCCCTGAGGAGCAGTCAGGGCCTAAAAGCAAATCACTACCTTCAGCCCCAGGGTTAGCCCTGTACCATCTGGTTTCAGTGGTTTTCTTTTTTGGGCCCAGTGGTCTCTGCTCCAGGAAGACACTCAAAAAAATAAATCCATAGCTTTCAAATGTAAAGGGCAGGACTCATGCCTCCTAACCAAAGGTTTCTACACATTAACCCCAGTATCTTCTCTGTGTCAGGTCTCCCAATTCCAAATCGCTGGTTCTTCTGACATGACTCAGTCAGAAGCTTTTTACTCCCTGGAGCCCCAAGAGCTCCCTGACACTGCTCACAGACTCCAAAAGTCTTCCCTTGAAAGGCATCACAGCTGGAGCTGGAGGATTTGGGAACCCAGAGGCCAGGGAGTACAGCCACCTCCAGCCCCTACAATGAGAGGCCACTGCCCGACCCACTCTGTAGGGAGCACTGGTTGTTCCAGCTCAGAATCAACTTCCACCTGAAACAAATCCATCCTGGGTATCAGGACCCTGGCCGTTGTCTATTCCCCAGAGAAAAACAAGCACTGTTGTCGCTAGAGGGATGGGGAGAGAAAAGAAGGAAAAGAGACTCAAAGCTCCAATCAAAATGTGGTGCAGGGCAGGAGGGAAGAATGAGGATCCAGAACCAATTTAATTAATGCTTAGGTGGCTCTCAGTTGGGCTGAATGACCCCAGGAAAGTCACATTTTCAGGAATATAGGGTGGCAGTATAGTATAGCAGATAAGACTACAGGCTCTGGAGTCAAATGACATGGGCTCAAATCTGAGATGTGTGACCTTAAGTAAGTTATTTAACCTCTCTGAGCCTTAGGCAATGGAAAATGAGGATATTAAGAGCATCTACGAGCTGGGTGCAGTGATGTGTGCCTGTAGTCCCAACTACTTGGGGTGCTGAGGCGGGAGGGTTGCTTAAGCCCAGGAGTTTGAGTCCAGCCTAGGGAAAATGTGAGACTCGTCTCTAAAACAAAACAAAACAAAACAAAACAAAACAAAACAACAACAAAAAACCAGACCGGGCATGATGGCTTATGCTTGTAATCCCCACATTTTGGGAGGCCGAGGAGGTGGGATGAATGTTTGAGGCCAGGAGTCAAGATGATCCCAGGCAACAGAGTGAGACCCCATCTCTTAAAAAAAAAACCTTGTCCAGGCACAGTGGCTCACATCTGTAATCCCAACACTTTGGGAGGCCAAGGTGGGCTGATCACTTGAGGCCAGGATTTTGAAACCAGCCTGGCCGACATTGCAAAACCCCACAAAAACTAGCCGGGTGTGGTGGCACACACCTGTAATTCCAGCTACTTGGGAGGCCGAGGCACAAGAATCACCTGAAGCTGGGAGGCAAAGGTTGCAGTGAACCAAGATCATCCCACTGCACTCCAGCTTGTGACACAGTGAGACTGTCTCAAAAAATAATAACGAAAATAAAATAATCTAAAATTTAAAAAAACCCTAATTCATAGTTATGGAATTATTGAGCATATTAAATAAGATAATGCATGCAAAGTACTTAACAGCATCGGACATATTTTAAGCACTCACTGATGCTTGCTATATAGTTAAATTATATAGCTATATGTATGTGTATATACATGCAAAGATCAGGAGATATGCTGACATAGAATGACTATGGCAGGGTCCTGAAAGAGACCACAAAAGAGAGAAGTTTTCACACTGGTTCTTTCCTTTTGGGGGATGCTGACAGTTCCCCTAGAAGGCAGCAGACTTTGCCTCTGGGAGCAAGCCACTGGCCTGGCCCAGCACTCCTGAGATGAGCAGAAATGGGCAGAGGAGAGCTCAAGACAGAGCACAGGCCAGACTAATGTCTTCCTGAGAGGAGAGCAGTGGGAGGAAAAAGGGGGCAGCAAAGAGACAAGAGATTGCCTCCTTCACCTCCACCAATGTTACCTAAGCTAAAACCCCTCTGTCTACCAAATCAGCCCTGGTCACAAACTAAAACCCAAACCCAACAGGAGGCTTACTTATCCACGCCAATCTGAATTTCTCCATGACATGGACCAGGTGGGACTGTGGGTTTGGTGCCATGTACATGACCTGTGACTTAGTGGATGGAGTTCCTTAGGCCACAGCAGCCTCTGGCTCAATGAAGCTTGATCTACTGAGTACCTGGACCACATGGGGCTCTAGCAGCAGTCCTATCTTGAGCCCAGAACAGTAACTTTCAATAGAATATACACTGGTATGTTGAATCAGAAGTTCAAACGCCCTTCACCTTTATGGTGACTTTTCTCTCAAGGACCTCCACTGCTTTCTTCTACTATGCCTTCGTATCATTGACCATTCCATCAGTGAGGGCCACCACAGTCCCTCAGAATTCTTTAAGACTAACTAGGGGGAGATTAGAGTACCAATCCTTCTAAACCTTTCAAAAGGCTTCTTTTGAACCCTTTTCAAAAGATTTCTTCACTTAGCACCCTGGAACCAAATGGAAGTGAATATTTTTGAGAAGACGTGACATCTTTCTCCTGGGCCTTGCCCAGCCAAAAATGTTCTGTTATCTGTTGCAATTAAAAGAGAGCAAAGAGTAAGAAGTCTCTTTCCTTAAAGTTTCTTTGGCCACTTGAGCGGAGCTTCCCAGAGCAGTAAACTCCTTTAGGATAGGGACTGTTGGAATTAAATGAGCTGGGGAACCACAACCTAGAAACTGGACTTCAGCTTTGTAAACTCCGAAACTCATTATCACTGTGATGGTTAATTTGATGTGTCAACTTGAGTAGGCCATAGGGTGCCCAGATTAAATGTTGTTCTGGGTGTGTCCATGAGGATGTTTCCAGATGAGAATAGCATTTGAATTGGTAGACTCGGCAAAGTAGATTGCCCTCCTCAGTGTGGCTGGGCATTGAAAAGGCCGAAGAAAGAATTTGCCCCTCTTTTCCTGCCTCACTATTGAGCTGGGATATCTCATTTCACCTTCTCCTGCCCTCAAACTGGGATTTACATCATCAGCACCCCTGGCTCTCAGGCCTTTGGACTTGGACCAAACTGCATCACTGACTTTCCTCCATCTCCAGCTTGCAGACACAGATTATTGGACTTCTCAACCTCCATAATCATGTGAGCCAACTACTCATAATAAATAAATAAATAGGCTGGGTGTGGTGGCTCATGCCTGTAATCCCAGCACTTTGGGAGGCCCAGGTGGGCAGATCACGAGGTCAGGAGTTTGAGACCAGCCTGGCCAATATGGTGAAACCCCCATCTCTACTAAAAATACAAAAATTAGCCAGGTGTGGTGGCGCACACCTGTAGTCCCAGCTACTCGGGAGGCTGAGGCAGAAGAATCACTTGAACCTGGGAGGCAGAGGTTGCAGTGAGCCGAGATCACGTCACTGCACTCCAGCCTGGGCAACAGAGTGAGACTCCATCTCAAAAATAAATAAATAAATATTAATTTTATGTATATATATATATATATATATAGAGAGAGAGAGAGAGAGAGAGAAACAGAAACAGAAGGATATATATATATTTGCACACAATAAGATATATATATGTGTGTGTATATATATATCCTCTTGGTTCTGTTTCTCTGGAGAACCCTGACTATTCCTGGTGATTTAGTCAAAATAACTGATCTCACAAGAGGCAGATACATAAGCCAGTATTAACTACCAAGTGGAGAAGAATAGTTATAAACACAGGCCAGGGTATTCTCTTCTATATCGAAATCTATTCAGAAGCCAAATAAGAAGAAGAAGATTGCATAATAAATATGGAATAAGAACAAAGGGAGGTAGCTAGAGCTAGAGCTAAGGGATATTTTATCTGGGTCCTGGTGAGAGTGCAAATCTCTAGTTACTAAAATATTTATACCCACCAGGTCTTCGGTGCTGACTAAATGTCAGATTCCTGCCCTCTGAATTCCTCCATGTCCCCTCTCCCACATTCTCTCTTTGGCCTGTACAATTAAATAGAGTTAACTATTCTTAATTACAGTCACATTCTGAACACGTCTTCTCCACCTTACACACCCAAATCAGATAACTAGTATGAACCATTCTCACGTGCAAGACACATTTATTGATAATCTTTAGTTCCATGGAGGGTTCGATTCATCTGCTTACTTTATTTCCAAGCTTTTGGAGAGACCCTCACTCCTCTTTGCAGTCTTCCTTTATTTATTTATTTATTTGAGGTGGAGTCTCGCTCTGTCACCCAGGCACAATCTTAGCTCACTGCAACTTCCACCTCCCACGTTCAAGCCATTCTCCTGCCTCAGCCTCCTGACTAGCTGGGATTACAGGCAACACGCCAGGCTAAATTTTGTATTTTTAGTAGAGACGGGGTTTCACCATGTTGGTCAGGCTGGTCTCGAACTCCTGACCTCGTGATCCGCCCGCCTCGGCCTCCCAAAGTGCTGGGATTACAGGCGTGTGCCACTGCGCCCGGCCTCTTCCATTATTTATGACATTGACTTTTCCGTAAAATAAATATATACATATTTTTAAAGTTAATTACAAACGTACAGAATGGAGAGGAGCACTTTAACAGCCATCACATGATTGGGATTTTGTTGACAGTAAACTAAAAGCTCCATGGGTCCCAACCTTTTTTTTTTTTTTTTTTTGACAGTGTCTCACTCTGTCACTAGAGTGCAGTGGCATGATCACAGCTCCCTGCGGGGTAGATCTCCTGGGCTCAAGCTATCTTCCCGCCTCAGTCTCCCGAACAGTCAGGGCTACAGGCACGTGTCACCACGCCCGGCCTGGTCCCCATAAGTCCCCTCTTCTCCGAGCCAAACATCTTCACACCTTCTGGTGATCATTAGTGGAGAGGCCTGTGAGAGGCTCTGGTGTCAATGTCCCTGAAATCGAGGGCTCCAAATTGGTCATGGCTCTCCAGATGGCCCAAACAGTTCCAGTTCACAAACATTTATTGAGCATCTACTACATTCCAGGCACTGTGGTTATTATAAATCACTGAGACACTGTTTGCCCTAAAGGAGCTACGTGTATTTGGTAACAGCTTCACAGTAAGTGACGAATAAGATAGCATTAATCCACATTTGACAGCAAAAGTACCAAAAAAGAAAGAAAGAAAAAGAAGAGAGAGAAAGGAAAGAAAAGAAAAGAAGAGAAAGAAAGAGGCCGGGTGCGGCGGCTCACGCCTGTAATTCTAGCACTCTGGGAGGCCGAGGTGGGCGGATCACGAGGTCAGGAGTTCGAGTCCAGCCTGATCAACATGGCGAAACCCCGTCTCTACTAAAAAAACATAAAAATTAGCCGGACCTGGTGGCGCCCGCCTGTAGTCCCAGCTACTCAGGAGGCTAAGGCAGGAGAATCGCTTGAACTCGGGAGGCGGAGGTTGCAGTGAGCCGAGATCTCGCCGCTGCACTCCAGCCTGGGCGACAGAGCCAGACTCTGTCTCAAAAAAAAAAAGAAGAAGAAAAGAAAAAGAAAGAAAGAAAAAGGATGGAAGGAGAGAAGAAAAGGAAAGGGGGAAGGGAAGGGGGAAGGGAAGGCGGAAGGGAAGGGAAAGAAAGAAGCGTATTTAGGCAGTATCGCGTTGATTTCAGTCCACGGAACCTCTGGTGACCGGGTAGTGTGACTCCGTCATTGGTAGCCCCCCGCCCACACAGCCGGGACTCGCGGCCTTTGAGGACGTGGGCAGGGCCAGTCTCGCCACGCCGCGGCCAATGCCCCGACCACACGCTGGCCACAGGAGTCCTGGCTCCCATTGGCTGCAGCGGGAAATGGTGAACCAATGCTCATAGACCTTAACGCCCTCCTCTCGGGATCACTTCCGCCTCTGGGGTCAGGCTCCGCCCAGCTTGCCCGGCATCACTCGCGGCATTGGAGTCAAGATGGAGGAGTACGCGCGAGAGCCTTGGTGAGCTTCACCGCTGTCTTTGCATTTCTCTTGCCCCCCTGCCCACTGCCCTCCTTCTCCCTTGTCCAGGCTCCCAAGGTGCAAGCCAGACTCAACCGCAGCCTCGTCGACTTGGGCCTGGTAACTGGGCAATGCGGTCTTTCGCGGCCAGTCGGCTTCTTAGCCCTGTACTTAGTACCTCCCCGGCCGCGTGAGCCTCCCTCTCCCAACCCAGCACCCGTGTGACCTTGTGATGGATGGTAAGGAGGTCCAGACTTGAGTTTGATAGAACCTCGGAACCTCCTCCCAACGCAGGGCGTAATCGACTTTATGCGGGGCCAGTTATAATCCCCCCTGTTCGTCGAGGTGACCTTGGGCGCGTCCCTCCGTCTCGCCTTGCTCAGTTCCTGCGTTGAGGAACTGAAGAATAGGCATTTGAGGGAGTGTCATTCTTGAGGTTTTACTTGTATCATGATATGTGTCCACAGAGTGAAGCATTTTAAATGAATGGAACATAGATTTTAGCCAAGGGGTCTGGATAAGCTTCTTTATTGCGTGGGGCCTTGTTTTCCTTCTTGGAATTCTTTCTTGAGGGTAGAGGGGGACAAAAATTACCTGGGAAATAGGAAGAGGTAATAGCATGTGTTCTCTGAAAAGCCATGGACAGAAATTCATTGTTACATCCAGCGTTTATTGAGTATGAATAAACCAGACACATAGATAATTATAAAACGATGTAATTGCTGTCAGAAGTCTCAGGTTGCCAGAGTTTAAAGTTTCTAGGGTCATAGGTAAAAAATCAAATCTTGATATTTCGGTTAATCATTTGTTTTATTGTGTAAGAGCAACAACCAAGATGTCCTCAATTTGTGAAAGTGCCCAGGACCTTAAATTACTACTCTGGTATCCTAGCCTTGTTGCATGTTTTATGTTCCCCTCTCCCATAAATGGCATACAAAATATAAGTTTTAGGGTCTCCTGGCTCTTCAAACTTATCTTCTTCAAAGCAGTTATCCTCCATTCTGGATTGTGCTCAGATATGTAGGACTCAGCACACTGTAAATAGCTGTTTGATGTACTATAATGACACAGGTTAGCAGAGAGTTAAAATATTTAACTATGTTGAGTTAAAGATCTTAGAAAAATAAGGCCGGGTGTGGTGGCTCACGCCTGTAATCCCAGCACTTTGGAAGGCCGAGGCGGATCACGAGGTCAGGAGTTCAAGACCAGCCTGGCCAGTATGGTGAAACCCCGTCTCTACTAAAAATACAAATATTAGCCGGGCGTGGTGGCACGCGCCTGTAGTCCCAGCTACTTGGGAGGCTGAGGCAGGAGAATCACTTGAACCCAGGAGACGGAGGTTGCAGTGAGCCAAGATTGCGCCATTGCACTCCAGCCTGGGTGACAGAGTGAGACTCCATCTCAAAAAAAAAAAAAAAAACAACTTAGAAAAATAATGGGTTTTCATTTACTAAATCATTAGGTAGCCCCTTTGCTTTCTCTTAGTACGTATGCCCTGAAACAATATAATCAGTTACCTGGTTATCTTTGTAGTCAAAACTGCTTTGATTTTTTGACTGCCCTGTTTGATTACAGCATTTCCTCAAGTCATTTTATAGGCCAAATATTTATTGGTTGCAGTGGGCCCTGCAGTATAATCTGTTCCATTATAATCCTTACTGTATTGGCAAAGAAGATTTTATGGTTTGTGAATGAGAAATATGGTCTTTTTTTTCCCCCTGTTCTTAGCCCATGGCGAATTGTGGATGACTGTGGTGGGGCCTTTACGATGGGTACCATTGGTGGTGGTATCTTTCAAGCAATCAAAGGTTTTCGCAATTCTCCAGTGGTAAGTGGGTGAATGGTCTTATTTTATCATCACTTGCAACTTGGGTTTGATGATATTACTGGTGGTCCCATCAGTGGCTTAGAAATGTACTTCTAATATATTTTTTGTTGCTTCCTTTTTTTTGTTATAGGGAGTAAACCACAGACTACGAGGGAGTTTGACAGCTATTAAAACCAGGGCTCCACAGTTAGGAGGTAAGCAGAATTTTCATTTTAACTGAACTATTTTTTTCTGTTCCTTTGAAGATGGAGCTATTTTTATTTTTAGATTACAACAATTAGTGATTTTAGTTTGGTCTAACGGTTTGTCACAAACATATATCCCTATAGTTTCTTCTTGATTTGTAGTTTGTTTGAAAAATTAACCTGAATTATGATACCCATTTGAAAATCTTGTCTCTGTCCTTCAGACACTCGGTGATTTTTTTTTTTTTTCCTTCTCCAGAAGAAAGACAGTTATTTAAAGCTCAGGTGTGAGGCCGGGCACGGGGCTCACGCCTGTAATCCCAGCACTTTGGGAGGCCGAGGTGGGCAGATCACCTGAGGTCAGGAGTTTGAGACCAGCCTGACCAACATGGAGAAACCCCATCTCTACTAAAAATACAAAATTAGCTGGGCGTGGTGGCGCATGCCTGTAATCCCAGCTACTCAGGAGACTGAGGCAGGAGAATCACTTGAACCCGGGAGGCGGAGGTTGCAGTGAGCCAAGATCATGCCATTGCACTCCATCCTGGGCAACAAGAGCGAAACTCCGTCTCAAAAAAAAAAACCTCAGGTTCGTGAGTCAGGACCGATAGCTTCTGAGGTAACATAAAGCTGAAGAGAATGTGATCTGAAGGATTGGGGTTTCATGCAGGAGAAACCCATCAAGCCGATTGGGCTCTTCTCCAAGGTTGGTTTTGGGACATTGTGCAGAGGTCATTGGAAAATTTGAAAAGATTCTATTCATTGTACTTTGTAAACTTGGTTATTCAGAAGCTGGGAAAAGGGAGGTGACAAAAAATGTTTGTAGGTTATATTCACTTACAAAGGTATAGTCAGGGTTGGGCGCAATGGCTCACGCCAATAATCCCAGCAGTTTGGGAGGCTGAGTTAGGCAGATAGCTTGAGCTCAGGAGTTCGAGACCAGCCTGGGCAGCATGGCTGCCCATTTCCCCAGAAAAATGGAAAAATTAGCCAGGTGTTGGGGCATGTGCCTGTGGTCCCAGCTACTAGGGAGGCTGACATGGACGGATCACTTGAACCCATGAGGTTGAGGCTGCAGTGAGATTGCACCACTGCACTCCAGCCTGGGTGACAGAGACCCTGTCTCAAACAGCAACAAAAACAAACAACACAAGGGTATAGTTAGATTGGAGAGACCGTATATAAGACATGAAAAAATCTTAATACTTCAGTCGTTCCTTAGATGTTTTGGGTATCAAAATAATCTTCTCTTTGCTTTTCTTAACTCTCACAGTAATGAAGAAGTTAGTACTATTATTATCTCCCATTTTCCAGATGAGGAAATTTAGTTCCTGAGGGTTGAGGTAATGTTGTATCTTTTTCCTTTGTTCCCTGTGTAAGAATTATCTACCCTGGAAAGTAATTAGTAACTAATTTCTCTTTGTTTTTGTGTTGGTGGTTATTGTGTTATTCAAGAATGATGAGTGGTATTAAAAAGTTCACACCAAACCCAGAACCTCTAGTATATGCAGAAGCCATATAGGTTTTTGCTTGTTTTTTGAGAGGCTGCTTCTATCACCTTACGCATTTTCAGTGAGTTAAAATACCATCAGATAACTGTCACTGCCAAAAGAAGCCTGTGAAGACATAGCAACTAAATTATTAGCTGGGCCCGGTGGTGCATGCCTGTAGTCCCAGCTACTCAGGAGGCTGACGCAGGAGAATCGCTTGAACCCAGGAGGTGGAGTTTGCAGTGAGCCGAGATTGCACCACTGTACTCCAGGCGGGGTGACAGAGCAAGACTCTGTCTCTAAAAAATAAAATAAAAGGGCTGGGCACAGTGGCTCACGCCTGTAATCCCAACACTTTGGGAGGCTAAGGCGGGTGGATCACGAGGTCAGGAGTTTGAGACCAGCCTGGCCAACGTGGTGAAACCCCATGTCTACTAAAAATACAAAAATTAGCTGGGCATGGTGGCACGTGCCTGTAATCCCAGCTACTCAGGAGGCTGAGGCAGGAGAATCGCTTGAACCCAGGAGGTGGAGGTTGCAGTGAGCCAAGATTGTGCCATTGGACTCCAGCTTGGGTGATAGAGTGAGACGCTGTCTCAAAAAATAAATAAATAAATAAAATTAAAAACTAAATGTAGGCCGGGCGCGGTGGCTCACGACTGTAATCCCAGCACTTTCGGAGGCCGAGGCAGGTGGATCACAAGGTGAGGAGAGCGAGACTACCCTGGCTAACACGGTGAAACCCCATCTCTACTAAAAATACTAAAAATACAAAAAAAAACAACAACAAAAAAAATTAGCCGGGCATGGTGACGGGCGCCTGTAGTCCCGGCTCCTTGGGAGGCTGAGGCACAAGAATGGCTGAACCCGGGAGGCGGAACTTGGCAGTGAGCCCAGATCACACCACTGTACTCCAGCCAGGGTGACAGCGAGACTCTGTCTCAAAATAAATAAATAAATAAATAAAAATAAATGTAATGTGGTACTGTGGAACAGAAAAAGGACATTAGCAAACTAAGGAAATCTGAATTAAGTATGGACTTCAGTTAATAGTAATGTGTCGGCCGGGCACAGTGGCTCACACCTGTAATCCCAGCACTTCGGGAGGCTGAGGCAGTAGATTACCTAAGGTCGAGAGTTCGAAACCATCCTGGCCAACATGGTGAAACCCCCGTCTCTACTAAAAATACACCAATTAGCCGGGTGTGGTGGCAGGCACCTGTAATCCTAGCTACTCGGGAGACTGAGGGAGAAGAATCGCTTGAGCCCGGGAGGCAGAGTTTGTAGTGAGCCGAGATTGTGCCATTGCACTCTAGCCTGGGCAACAGAGCAAGACTCTGTCTCAAAAAAAAAAAATAGTAATGTGTCAATATTGGGTCATTAGTTGTGACAGATGCTCCATGCTAATGTAGATGTTGGTAATAGGGAAAAACTGGAAGAGTTTATTTTTTCTTACAAAGCACGGTGAAATAGAGGAAGAGTGAGTGGTGATATGAGTGAATTGGAATTATCCATTTCAAATCCTAGAGGTTAGCCTTTTTTAGGAAGCTATTGAGAAGTTTTTATGGTATTTTAAATTCTAAAAATACTAGGATGATGATTTTATTAATTTGGTGAGCATTTGCTAAGGTATTCAGATCAAGGTGCAGGGAGGGACAGGCAGTATGGGAAAATCATAGTTGTGTTCTGAAAGGTGTTATATTTTCTTTCTTTTTTTTTTTGAGATAGGGTCACCCAGGCTGGAGTGTGGTGGCACAGTCTTGGCTCACTGCAACCTCCGCCTCCCAGGTTCAAGTGATGCTCCCACCTCAGCCTCCTGAGTAGCTGGGATTATAGGCATGCGCCACCACAGCCGGGATAATTTTTGTATTTTTAGTAAAGACGAGGTTTCACCATATTGGTCAGGCAGGTCTTGAACTCCCTACCTCAGGTGATCCGCCTACCTCAGCCTCCCAAAGTGCTGAGATTACAGGCATGAGCCACCACGCCCGGACTTAGGTCTTATATTTTCTTTTTTTTTTTTTTTTGAAACGGAATTTCGCTCTTGTTGCCCAGGCTAGAGTGCAATGGCGCGGTCTCGGCTCACGTCAACTTCCATCTGTCCGGTTCAAGCGATTGTCCATCCTCAGCCTCCCAAGTAGCTGGGATTACAGGCGCATGCCGCCACTTCTGGCTAAGTTTTTTGTATTTTAGTGGAGATGGGGTTTCACCATGTTGCCCAGGCTGGTCTCGAACTCTTGAGCTCAGGCAGTCCACCCGTCTTGGCCTCCCAAAGTGCTAGGATCACAGGCGTGAGCCATCCGGCCCAGCCCAGGTCTTATATTTTCATAGAGAAAATAAGATAGGATTTTGACATGTCCCTGTTACTCTTTGACCACTTTCTTGCATTTTGGAAGAAGACGTTTCAGGCTCATCTTGTACTTTTCATGCCCTAGCTGTGGGCAGGGCAGCTTTTCCTGTTGTAGCCATTTCTCCAAAGAGCCCCAGTTCCTTTTAGTTGAGAATGGTATTTAGGGCCAGAAGTGGTAGCTCACACCTGTAATCCCAGCACTTTGGGAGGCCAAGGCAGGAGAATGGCTTGAGCCCAGGAGTTCAACACCCTTGACAACTTAGAGAGAATGCCTCTCTACAAAAAAATTTTTTAAAAGAAAAATCAAGAATGGTATACAATCTATATTTCTGTATATCTATACATACTGAAAATCACAAGTTTATATTGATATCTCGTATTTCCAGTTCATCCCACAGGATTCATTATTTTCTTCCTTTTCATATGTATACCTGCCTTCTTAACCTGCTTGGGCTATGGTACCCCACAACAGGCTGCCCTTTGTCAGAGTATACTCTGACACTCCATGCCAGGCTGCCTTCCTTGAGAATCTCTCTCTTGCTTAGGCTCTAAAACCTTGTTCTCGGGTGTCCAGGTGTATAGACGTTCGCCTCATCTGGCTCTGGATCCTCACACCAGGCTACCCTTTATGGATCTCCTCCTCATCCTGCTTAGACTCAAATTCTCCATTCTCATTAGTAGCCAACACTTATTCTGGCAATGATTCTCAGGGGAAGGGTCTCCTGAGATTTTAGGCTCATGAGGAAATGGGAGGGTCTTGTCAGAAAATTTTAGTGAGGTAATTCTAATATACCTAGACGTCATAGCTCTCTCCCAGGGCATAGAATTACTGAGTTAGAAGAAATAACTGGTTTGTTTTTACATAGGATGTGATGTCTAATATTGTACTAAAAATGAGGATGCTTATGCTATACTCCACTGGTACTATCCACTGGATTTATTTATTTTTTTTATTTTTTGAGACGGAGTCTCGCTCTGTCGCCCAGGCTGGAGCACAGTGGTGCAAACTTGGCTCACTGCAAGCTCTGCCTCCTGGGTTCACACCATTCTCCTGCCTCGGCCTCCAGAGTAGCTGGGACTACAGGTGCCCGCCATCACACCTGGCTAATTTTTTTTGTATTTTTTAGTAGAGACGGGGGTTTCACCGTGTTGGCCAGGATGCCCTCGATCTTCTGACCTCATGATCCACCCGCCTCGGCCTCCCAAAATGCTGGGATTGTAGGCGTGAGCTACCGCACCTGGCTGTTTTTGTATTTAGATAGAGTTTAAGTGCAAAGTAATCTGCTGATTTAAGGTTGTTTTAAATTCATATCTGAGGAATAAAGGATGGACAGGCAATTTCCATCCCTTTGATGTTCCATAGTTCTAGCTATTTATATCATTCATTTGCCCCTTCAGCATGGATTGGCTTACACCTGTAATACGTTCCAGAATAGCTGGATTTCTTTTGTTTTCCCATCGGTGATTTTCATAGAGTAGATGCTCAATGACATATAATGCAGAAAGGCCAAAAATAGAGGTAAGTAAAGCTATGAAAGAAAAGAAGAACGAAAGAGGAAGCAGAGTAGTTTGATTTTGTTTATTGCTGCTTAAACCAGAGAGATATGTTATTCTGGAAGGGTGATTTGCTTGTTTTTACACATATGCAGCCTGACTGTTTTAGGCTTGGCTTCTTTTTTGTTTGTTTGAGATGGAGTGTCGCTCTTGTTGCCCAGGCTGGAGTGCAGTGGCACGATCTCGGCTCACTGCAACCTCCGCCTCCTGGGTTCAAGCGATTCTCCTGCCTCAGCCTCCCCAGTAGCTGGGATTACAGGTGCTCGCCACCACACCCGGCTAATTTTTACATTTTTAGTAGAGGCGGAGTTTCGCCATGTTAGCCAGGCTGGTCTTGAACTCCTGGCCTCAGGTGATCCACCCACTTCAGCCTCCCAAAGTGCTGGGATTACAGGTGTGAGCTATGGCACCCGGCTGGCTTATTTCTTATAGGCTTTGGGCCGTTGCTAATTTTCCAGCTGATATAATACAATCCAGCTTTATTCGAAAGATAAGTATTCTAACTCTTGTTCGGTGTTTATTCAAACTTGTGTTTGCATGTATTTGTTTGGACTATAAATTTTGAGACTATAGTGAGTATGTTTTTGACTATAATATTTTAAATGGAAGATGAAATTTAAATTAGTATTTGCTTGTTTCTTTTTACAATAAAATAGGTAGCTTTGCAGTTTGGGGAGGGCTGTTTTCCATGATTGACTGTAGTATGGTTCAAGTCAGAGGAAAGGAAGATCCCTGGAACTCCATCACAAGTGGTGCCTTAACGGGAGCCATACTGGCAGCAAGAAGTAAGTAGTCATTACAGACATACTAGTAGAAGCCACACTTTTAGGAAAACCTCATCTGCCTCAATTGAATGACATCTGTAATATATAAAACTGATTATTGACCAGGCACATTGGCTCATGACTATAATTCCATCACTTGGGAGGCTGAGGCAGGTAGATTGCACAAGTCCAGGAGCTTGAGATCAGATATAGGGAGACCTGGTCTCTACAAAAAAAAAAATTTAATTAGCTGGGTGTGTTGGTGCATGCCTATAGTCCCAGCTACTCATGAGGCCGAGGCAGGAGGATCACTTGAGCCACCGCACTCTCACCTGGGCAACAGAGTGAGACCCTGCTTCAAAAAAAATAATAATTATAAAACTGAGCATTGTTTAATTTGGCATAGCATAAATATACAGTATATGGTGATTTGAAAAAAAAGTAAGGGGATCTATTTATTTGGAATATTTGAGAATGAAAGAGCATGGAATTCTAACCCATATATTACAGTGGTTGAGAGCACTTCAGGTCCCAGTTCTGCCATTAATTAGCTGTATGACTGGTCAGTTTACCAAACTTTTTATGCTATAATTTCTTCACCAGTAATCTGGAGTTAATTAATAATTACACCTGCCATATAGAGTTGTTATGAATAAGGAACTTAGAACCATCTTCTGGATCCTCAGGACAGAGAATTCCTTTGAGCTTAGTGGTTTAGACCAAGGGATTTGCAAACTATTTCTGTAAAAGGCCAGATAGTGAATATTTTAGGCTTTGTGGGCTGTGTGGTCTTTGTCATAGCTACCTAAATCTGCTGTCATAGCATGAAAGCAGCCATGGATAATACATAAACGAAACAGTATGGCTGTGTTTCAGTAAAACTTTATTTATTTATTTATTTTATTTTATTTCTTTTTTTTTTTTTTTTTTTTTTTTTTTTTTTGAGACTGAGTCTCACTCTGTCGCCCGAGCTGGAATGCAGTGGCGCAATCTCGGCTCACTGCAAGCTCTGCCTCCCGGGTTCAAGCGATTCTCCTGCCTCAGCCTCCCGAGTAGCTGGGACTACAGGTGTGTGCCACCACGCCTGGCTAATTTTTTGTATTTTTAGTGGAGACGGGGTTTTACCATGTTAGCCAGGATGGTCTCGATCTCCTGACCTCGTAATCCACCCACCTCGGCCTCCCAAAGTGTTGGGATTACGGGCGTGAGCCACTGCGCCCGGCCCTATTTATTTATTTATTTTCTTGAGACGGAGTCTTACTCTGTCACCCAGGCTGGAGTGCAGTGGCACAATCTCGGCTCACTGCAACCTCTGCTTCCTGGGTTCAAGCAATTCTCCTGCCTCAGCCTCCTGAGAAGCTGGGACTACAGGTGCCCGCCACCACGTCAAGCTAATTTTTGTATTTTTAGTAGAGACGGGGTTTCCCCATGTTGGCCAGGCTGGTCTCGAACTCCTGACCTCATGATCTGCCTGCCTCAGCCTCCCAAAGTGCTGGGATTTATGGCCTTTCAGTAAAACTTTATTTACAAAAATAGGCAGTGGGTGGACTGTGGGTGGCTGTAGTTTACTGACTCTGGGTCTTAGGCAATAAGAAAGAGTTTGGGAGTTGGGGGAGCATGTCACCATATGGACAGTTCTCTTCTTTACTATCTCTTACAGTAAACTAGATTTCTGTAAAAAATAATCTCTTTGTTATTAATGTCTTCAGATGGACCAGTGGCCATGGTTGGGTCAGCCGCAATGGGTGGCATTCTCCTAGCTTTAATTGAAGGAGCTGGTATCTTGTTGACAAGATTTGCCTCTGCACAGTTTCCCAATGGTGAGTCTTTTTGCTTAAAACTATAGCTCAAACATTTTGGAATGGTTTTCTGATGTTAAGAAAGAACATACTTTGTGTGATAAAATGTGTGGTATGTATTAATATGCTGTGGTTCATGAGGACTGTGATAATAGGTAAAAAATGAACATGTTATATTTAGCCACAAAAACAAAAATTTTTTGTATAAATTTGCTGTTGATCTTTCTTTATAGTACTTAGGGTTTATCAGTGCTCATGTCTTGCAAGAAATGTCTGATCATTTTAAAGGGACTTGAAGAATGGTTCTGCAGATGTATAACAATCATGATGGTCAATTGACAATTTAGTATTGTACATCTACATGCCAGACACTGTTTTAGGTAGTGAACAGGACAGTTCCTGCCCTCAAGGACTTACATTCTGGTAGGGGGAGACAGACTAACACATTAACAGATAAATTAGCTTATTTTAGATAGTGTTGCTTGTTTTGAAGAAGAGAATAGTGGAAAGTGACTCATATTTGGGAAGGTCACTTTAGGGTTCACAGTAGAAGTATCTTAGAAAATGTGTTAGCCCGGCTAATTTTTATATTGGTTTAATTTGTTGCCTGTTGTTCCTCCTATATGATGCATAGGGTAATAATTAAATTGTGGGCTGAATGATCATTACATGGTTATAGAATGTGCTCTCAGCTGATTAGCCAGGCATAATGGCTCACACCTATAGTCCTAGCTACTCAGGAGGCACGAGAATCAGTTGAACCTGGGAGGTGGAGGTTGCAGTGAGCCGAGATCACACCACTGCACTCTAGGCTGGTCGATGGAGCGAGACTCTGTCTCAAAATGAAACAAACAGAAAACTTCTATCAAGATGGTGCATTCCTGTAGTTCCAGCTACTCAGGAGGCCACTCACTTGACCCCAGGAGTTCAAGGCCAGCCTGGGCAACAGAGCAAGACCCCATCTCTTAAAAAAAAATTTCAGTGTCTAAATGAAAATATCCCTTGACAATGGAAGGATGCAAAAAGATATTGTGAGGTGGCCGGGCACGGTGGCTCACACCTGTAATCCCAGCATTTTGGGAGACTGAGGCAGGTGGATCACTTGAGGTCAGGAGTTTTGAGAGCAGCCTGGCCAACGTGGTGAAACCCCGTCTCTACTAAAAATACAAATTAGCAGGGCATGGTGGCACACGCCTGTAATCGCAGCTCCTTGGGAGGCTGAGGTACAAGAATCACTTGAACCTGGGAGGCAGAGATTGCAGTGAGCTGAGATCACACCATTGCACTCCAGCCTGGGCAACAGAGCAAGACTCCATCTCAAAAAATATATATATATATAACATATATATGTTATATATATGCTATATATGTTATATATTATATATGTTATATAATATGTATGTTATATGTTGTATATATGTTATGTATTATATATGTTATATATTATATATGTTGTATATTATATATGTTGTGTGTGTGTGTGTGTGTGTGTGTATATATATATAGTGAGGATAGTAGTAGTGAAAATTTGACCTGGCATTTGGGAAGGAAAAAAATACGTAGAATAGTGAGACATGTTGAAAATTATTTTTGGAGCTTGGAAAAGATTCAGCATAAAGTTAGGAATAGATCATACATCCCAATTTGCTTTGATTTCCCTGAGGCACCTAGCAAGAGATTCAGTATCTTTTTGGCACAATTTTCAAGTGCACTGCTCGTTAAATGGCAGTGAGTAATCTAGATGACCCTGCAGACCCTCTCACCTTCTGTTTGTTTTTCATTCCTTACTTCTGAGTTAACACTCTGTAGTGATGGTCACTTTCCAATTTTGTTTTGACTGCTTCAGTGTGAAAGACTTTACATAAAACATCAAAACAGTTCCATATTCACAGAAATTCAGAAATGGATATAGTTAACTTAAATAGTTACATTGTCTCATAGAAATTAGCCTTGAGTACTTTGTTTTAGGCTTTTTTCCTCAGAGGGAATCTCCTTTTTATTTATTTATTTTATTTATTTATTTATTTATTTTAATTTTTTTTGAAACAGAATCTCTGTGACCCCGGCTGGAGTGCAGTGGTGCAATCTCGGCTCACTGCAGCCTTGACCTCCTGGGCTCAGGCGATCCTCCCACCTCAGCCTCTTGAGCAGCTGGGACTATAGGTGTGCACCGCTATGCCCGGCTAATTTTTATATTTTTTGTAGAGATGAGGTCTCTGCCCAGGCTGATCCTAAACTCCTGGGCTCAAGCGATCCTCCCTGCCTCGGCCTCCCAAAGTGCTGGGATTACAGGGGTGAGCCACCGTGCCCAGCTGGAATCTCCTTTTTAGTAATTAAAACTCAGCATTTATATAGAAGCAGCCTAAAAGAGGTGTATTTATTTTTAGACAAGAGATGTGTTTCTGAAAAGCTGTGTAGGGGGGAAATCTTTGAAAACTTAATCATATTTTTCCAGTGAACTTACATGAAAAAGTTTGTCTTGTTTTGTTTTTGAGACAGAGTCTCGGTCTGTCGCCCAGGCTGGATTGCAGTGGTGCAATCTCAGCTTACTGCACCCTCCGCCTCCGGGGTGCAAGCGATTCTTCTGTCTCAGCCTCCTGAGTAGCTGGGACTACAGGTGCGCAACATCACACCTGGCTCATTTTTTTTTTGTATTTTTTAGTAGAGATGCAGTTTCACCATATTGGTCAGGCTGGTCTCGAACTCCTGACCTCGTGATCCGCCCGCCTTGACCTCCCAAAGTGCTGGGAATGTGAGCCATCGCGCCCAGCAAAAAAGTTTTTAAAACAGTGAAAAAAGGTTAGACAGAACTGTATGTAAATGGCAACAGTGGTTTTCATCGGCTTATCTTTTTTTGGGGTTTTTTTGTTTTTGTTTGTTTTTTTTTTTTTAGACAGACTTGCTCTGTCTCGCAGGCTGGAGTGCAATGGCGCGATCTCTTCTCACTGCAACCTCCACCTCCCAGGTTCAAGTGATTCTCCTGCCTCAGCTCCTGAGTAGTTGGGATTACAGACACCCTCCACCATGCCCAGCTAATTTTCATATTTTCAGTAGAGACGGGGTTTCGCCATGTTGTCCTGACCTCAGGTGATCTGCCCGCCTCAACCTCCCAAAGTGCTGAGATTACAGGCGAGAGCCACCGCACCCGGCCCCAGCTTATCTTTTTTACCCAGTATCTTCTCAAGTTTTCTGTAATTAACAGATAGTTGCATTTATAGTGAAGTAAAAATATATGAGTGAAACACTTTGAAAACTTCAGAGAATTCTGCCACTGCCCTCTTTCTCTCTTCCTTCCAGATATTTTTTAGTCTACTTCAGTTTTTCTTAAAGGAGAAAAGATTGATTCATCCCCTAAAAGTCTTTTTTTTTTTTTTAAGCCACTTTGTTTTACTTAGTTCACAGGCTCTCCTATCCTTTGAAAATGAAAACTGCAAGACTTTGTTCTACAGTAAGCTAGGGGGTGTCTTCCCATTTCAGAGCTCATTCCCTACTTAATTGGTTATATAAATTGGATTACCAAGTTCTCTTAAAACATGACTAGGATACTTATACTTTGTGAAAATAATTTTAAATAGCTACTGAAAAATATGACAAGAAGTGGGAGAAACTCTTCTAATCTTGATATATGGCAGCTTGTTACAGCAATTGCTTTAAAAACTTGAAGTTTGCTTCTTGCTATAATTAATCCGTCTGACTTTCCTAGCATAGTGTTTGAAAACTGTTCATTCTGGAGCATAGCAAGCCAGTCTGTCATATGTTATACCAAATTTGAAGGTTCTCCAGTACTCTTATGGGAATTAGGCAGATCTATAAAGAAATTTAGGGTTATAGCTTTAATTTAGCACATTTTTTTGTTGTTGATTGATTTACTCTCTATAGAGATTTGTTCTTTTTAATAATATAATATTCAGGTGATTTTTAAATCCTTTTTATTTCTCACTTGCAGGTCCTCAGTTTGCAGAAGACCCCTCCCAGTTGCCTTCAACTCAGTTACCTTCCTCACCTTTTGGAGACTATCGACAATATCAGTAGGACTTCTTTCCTAGGATTTCTTTAACAGAACGAGTTGTGGTTCGAGAAGGATTTCAGAAGATCAAGTTACAGTCTGTTTTTAAAACCATAGGTGGGACAGCTATGGCCAATAGGCTATAAAGAGACATTTAGCACTTTTTTCTATTTAAAGGAACAAGCGGGGAAGGGTGCTAAAAGATAATACGTTTATTTATTCACACTTGAATTGCATTTGTGATCAAAATAAATGTTTAAATCGCTAAAGGAAAATACAGTAAGTGCTTGAAAGATGAAGGACCAAAAGGCCAAAAAACAGTGAAATATGATCATCATCTCCTTGCGGACTTCTCTGCCTGGTTTTGTGTGTTCTGTTATTCAAACAATAAAAAGCTGGTGGAACTTACTCTTTCTTTTAAGATAAGTTGTAGACTTCGATGTTTCATGCTCATGTACTTCAAATAATGCATGTTTTATAGTTAGTCCCTCATCACTTGAAGTGACTTCTGAGAATTATGCAGAGTCAACATGGATCATTTCACAGTGAGATGCTTTATGGATTGAAGGATATGGTAAAATGTTTATAGTTTACTTTGAAAGTAAAATATACTATGTCTTGGTTTTGAGGATATTGGATACAAAACTCTCTTCCTTTAGGGCTACTGAGTCTTGATTCCTGATCATCAGAAATTTCACCAGAAACAACTTGCTTCCAATATACCCAATTCTATATGAAGAATTCATGGAGAGTGTACTGGCACTGGAAGAGTTTAGTGTTTCTTGTATGCTTGAAAATAAAGTATGTACTGTTTTGAATGTGTTCCAAGTCCTCTGCATAAACGATGTATTTTGGGGTCTGGTTGGGCCTGGAAAATGGATGAGCACTTCAGAACAGGTCATTTTCCTGATATTGGAAGTGACATGTGGCCCTATAGGAGGCATGATGTTAGTTAATTACACATTTGCCTACATCTGTGGGAAATGGAGAACAAAGCCATGTGGGTACTGTAAACACACGTTTATCTTTTGGCCCAATGCCATACATATGGTAGGCATTTAATTACTGATTGTGTTTGGATAATTTGGGAATTTTCGACTGTGGTAAAATATACATAAAATAATACTTATTAACCATTTGTAAGTGTATAATTCAGTGGCATTGAAATACAGTCATAATGTTGTATAACAGCCACCATTATGTATACCCAAAATGTTCTCATTATCATCAACATAAACTCCGTTTTGTTTTTAGAGACAGTGTCTTACTCTGTCACCCAGGCTGGAATGCAGTGGCACAGTCATAGCTTACTGCAGCCTCGAACTCCTGGCTTCGAGCCATCCTTCTGCCTCAGCCTCCCACACCCCATGCTGGGATTACAGGCATGAGCCACCATGTCCAGCCTTCACAAACATAAACTCTGTACCTGTTAAATAATAACTTCCCATTCTTTCCTCGCCACAACCACTAGTAACCACAATTCTGCTTTCTGTCTGTGAATTTGCCTTTTCTGGGTACCTTATATAAGTGGAATCATAAAATATTTGTTTTTGTGTGTCCGTCTTAATGCACTTAGCGTGTTTTAAGGTCCATGTAGTAGCATGTAGCAAAATTTATTTTTAGGGCTGAATAATATTCCATAGTGTGCATATACTACATTTTATTTGATGATCAGTTAGGTTGTTTCTACCTTTTGGCTATTGTGAATTATGCTGCTATGAACATTGGTGTACAACTATCTGTTTCAACTCCTATTTTTGGTTCTTTTGGATATATACATAAGAGTGAGATTACCGAGTCATATGGTAGTTCTAGGTTTAACTTTTTTTTTTTTAAAGACACAAGAGTCTGGCCGGGTGCAGTGGCTCACGTCTGTAATCCCAGCACTTTGGGAGGCCAAAGCGGGCAGGTCACAAGCTCAGGAGTTCGAGACCATCCTGGCTAACACAGTGAAATCCCGTCTCTACTAAAAATACAAAAAATTAGCTGGGCGTGGTGGTGGGCGCCTGTGGTCCCAGCTACTTTGGAGGCTGAGGCAGGAGAATGGCGTGAATCCGGGAGGTGGAGCTTGCAGTGAGCCGAGATCTTGCCACTACTCCAGCCTGGGCGACAGAGCGAGACTCCGTCTCAAAAATATAAAAGAAAGTGCTGGGCGCGGTGGCACACGCCTGTAATCCCAGCACTTTGGGAGGCTGAGGAGGGTGAATCACGAGGTCAGGAGTTCGAGACCAGCCTGGCCAACATGGTGAAACCCGGTGGGTACTAAAAATACAAAAAATTAGCTGGTAATGGTGCCGGGCACCTATAATCCCAGCTATTTGGGAGGCTGAGGCAGGAGAATCACTTGAACCTGGGAGGGAAGAGGTTGTAGTGAGCCAAAATCACACCACTACACTCCAGCCTGGGCAACAGTGCAAGACTGTCTCAAAACAAAAAAGTAATCCACTATTGCATGCCAATTTGGCACAAGATGTCAGATACAAAGCAAAACAGATGGGGTATTTCTGATGGGCATTTCAACCTTAAAAGTGAGAAACTAACTTCACTATTCCAGTAAAGACCTAGGGAAAACCTCCTTCCTAATCTGCTTGTTTCTCCAGTTATTTATTTCAGTTATTAAAACAATTTAGTTTTTTTACTTTTTATCTTGAGCTCTACTCTAGTATACCAAATTTAGTTTTAGAATATTTATTAAACAGTTCAGCTGGGGATGGTGGCTCATACCCATAATCCCAGCATTTTGGGAGGCTGAAGCAGGAAGGTCGCTTGAGGTCAGGAGTTGGAGACTAGCCTGGGCTAGTGAGACGCTAGCCACAAAATGTAAATTTAGCCAGAGATAGGGTGCACACCTGTAGTACCGGCTGCTTGGGAGGCTGAGGCGGGAGGATCCCTTGAGTCTAGGTGGTCAAGCCTGTAGTGACCTATGATTATGCCACTGCACTTCAGCCTGGGCAACAGAACAAGACTCTTTTGTTTGTTTGTTTGTTTGTTTGTTTGTTTGAGATGGAGTGCTAGGATTACAGGCATGAGCCACTGCACCTGGCCAGCACTTTCTTTAAATAGAGACAGAGTTTTGCCACATTGTCAAGGCTGATCTTGAACTCCTGGACTCAATCCTCCCACCTCGGCCTCCCAAAGTGCTGGGATTACAGGCGTGAGCCACTGTGCCTGGCCGAAATAGTGGATTTCTGAATCAGGGTTTGGAAGACATGGGTACAGCTGCACCTGCTATTGAAAGTGCATCTGTTTTTCACATAGGAAATGTCTGCAAATTATGAAAGCATGGTCATAGCTCCACCCTGTGGCATGTTACTTATAGTTAAAATTAATTGTCCAAATTCTATTCAGGCTGGGCCCAGTGGCTCATGCCTGTAATGCCAGCACTTTGGGAGGCTGAGGCGGGTGGATCACTTGGGGTCGAGACTTGAGGTTTCACCTTGTTGGTCAGGCTGATCTCGAACTCCCAACCTCAGGTGATCTGCCCGCCTCCGCCTCCCAAAGTGCTGGGATTACAGGCATGAACCACCGCATCTGGCCTCAAATAATAATAATAATAAATTCTATTCAGTCTGTTAGATCATGGATGAGACCTTGTCTCTACTAAAATTCAAAAAATTTAGCTGGGCATGGTGGCATATGTTTGTAGCCCCAGCTACTCAAGGGGGCTGAGGCAGGAGGATTCCTTGATCCTGGGAAATGGAGGGAGCAGTAAGCTGAGATCGCACCACTGCACTCCGGCCTGGGCAACAGAGCAAGACCCTGTCTCAAAAACAAGAAAATTGAGGGCCGGGTGCAGTGGCTCATGCCTGTAATCCCAGCACTTTGGGAGGCCGAGGCGGGTGGATCACAAGGTCAGGAGATTGAGATCATCCTGGCTAACATAGTGAAACCCCATCTCTACTAAAAATACAAAAAATTAGCCGGGCGTGGTGGCGGGCGCCTGTAGTCCCAGCTACTTGGGAGGCTGAGGCAGGAGAATGGCGTGAACCTGGGAGGCGGAGCTTGCAGTGAGCTGAGATCGCGCCACTGCACTCCAGCTTGGGTGACAGAGCGAGAGACTCTGTCTCAAAAACAGAAACAAAACAAGAAAATTGACAATGGCTAACATCTTTAGCTAATAAGACAAATAATTATTGGATATTTTCCCTCCTTTTCCCTATGTTTGACATATTCTAGTCCTTTTCAGTGCATAAAGCTAGGAAATATGTAGTATATAATCCATGCACATAAACTTCTGTTTATTTCTGTATCTGTCCTTGTGTTATAAAACAAAAACTAAGTCCCTCCAACTTCAATCTGGCACCACAGGATTCATTCTAGCTGTCTCTCTTAGTTGTAACAGCAAGAAACCTGGCTTCTCATTATAATAATTTGCTCATTTGTTCAATCCTGGTTACATATATTTTGGACTTAGTAAATCATAGCTCTGAGAAATGGATTTGCCAGCTAGAACAGTGTTTGTACACAGTTGTTTTCAGTCTTCAGTATCTATTCAAAACATGTTCCAAAGCTATTTAATTATACTCCTTTCTCCCCCACTCTCTTCAGTGTGGTTATGCAATTCATTTGCAATGTGATTGTATTCATTTCCCCAGACTTCATTCCATCTTTCTCTCCACATCTTGGTGGATTTTTAAATTACATTCAGTAAAATTCACTATGGGGTACAGTTCAGTTAATTTTGATAAATGCTTAGAGATGGCTACCCACCACCACAGTTTCACACAGATAATCTTAAACTACAATCACATCACTCCCAAAATGTCTTCATGCTGCCTTTTTCTTTTCTTTTCTTTTCTTTCTGAGACAGGGTCTTGCTCTGTTGCCCAAGCTGGCATGCAGTGGTGTGATCAGGGCTCACTGCAGCCTTGACATCCCAGATTTGAGCAATCCTCCTGCCTCAGCCCTTTGAGTAGCTGGGACTACAAGCATGTGCCACCATGCCCAGCTAATTTTTTTTTTTTAATTTTAGTAGAGACCAGGTCTCACTATATTGCCCAGACTGGTCTCGAACTCCTGAGCTCAAGCAATCCTCCTACCTTGGGCTCCCAAAGGGCTGGTATTACTGGTGTGAGCCACTGTTCCCGGCCCATGCTGCCTTTTTATAGCCAACCCCTCTCCCTACTCCTTCCAACCCGTGGCAACTACTGGTGTGTTTTTTGTCTGTAGTTTTATCTTTTCAGTAGATAAATGGAATCTTACGACATGTAGTATTTGGATCTAGTTTCTGTCATTTAGCAAAGTGCATTTAATTCATTCATGATGGTATGTGAATCAATCATTTATTCCTTTTTATTCCATTGTGCAGATGTACTCTTGTTTATTCATCTCTTCACCAGTTGAAGGACATTGGAGTTATTTCCAATTTTTCATGATTATTCATAAAGTTGCTATAAACCTTTACTTACTGGTTTTTGTGTGAACATGTTTTCATTTATCTTGGATAAAATAAATAGGATCACTAGGTTGTAAGGCAAGTATATGTTTAATTTTATAAGAAAATGCCAAATTGTTTCCCAAATTGTATCATTTTACGCTCTCACCAGCAACCTATGAGGGTTCTGGCTGCTGTGTATCCTTGGCACTTGGTAGTGCCATTTTTTTTTTTATGTTAGCAATTCCGATAGGTGCTAGTGGTTTTAATTTTCCTTTCTCTAATGACTAATGATGTCCATCCTTTCATCTGTTTGCCATCTGTGTGTCTTTTTTAGTGATGTGTCTGTTCAAATCTTTCATGCTTTTGTTTTTGTTTTGTTTTGTTTTGAGACAGGGTCTGGCTCTATCACCCATGCTGGAGCATTGGTGCAGTGGTATAATCTTGGCTCCCGCCTGCAACTTCCACCTCCTGGGCTCAAGCAATCCTTCCCGCTCAGCCTCCTGAGTAGCTGGGACTACAGACACATGCCACCAAGCTTGGCTAATTTTTGTACTTTTTTGTAGAGACAGGTTTTCACCATGTTGCCTAGGCTGGTCTTGAACTCCTAAACTCAAGCCATCTGCCCGCCTCGGCCTCCCAAAATGCTGGGATCACAGGCCGGGCATGGTGGCTCACGCCTTTAATCCTAGCACTTTGGGAGGTCGAGATGGGCGGATCACTTGAGGTCAGGAGTTTGAAACCAGCCTGGCCAACATGGTGAAACACTGTCTCTACTAAAAATACAAAAAAAATTAGCCAGGCGTGGTGGTGGGCACCTGTAATCCTAGCTACTTGGGAGGCTGAGGCAGGAGAATTGCTTGAACCCGGGAGGCGGAGGTTGCAGTGAGCCGAGATGGCACCACCGCACTCCAGCCTGGGTGATAGAGTGAAACCCCGTCTCAAAAAAAAAAAAAAAAAGTGCTGGGATTACAGGCATGAGCCACCACACCCAGCCACATTTTTAAATTGTTTTTCTTACTGTTTAGTTCTGAGAGTTCTTTATATATTGTGATATAAGTCCATTGTAAGACATGTGACCCGCAATTATTTTTTGTACATTTGTCAAAAGTCTGTTTCTTGAATCTCTATTCTGTCCCATTGATGTATGTGTCTACCTTTCATCAGGGTCACACCATTGCTTTATAGTAAGTTTTGAAATGAGTATGAGTCTTCCAATTTTGTTTATTTTTTCAACATCATTTTGGCTATTCTAGTTTCTTTGCCTGTCCCTATAAATTTTATAATTAGATTGTTGTTATCTACGAAAAATCCTGCTGGGGTTTTTATTGGGATTGAGTTTTATCTGTGTTTTGCAATTTTAGCATATAGTCCTGCATATAATTTGTTATATTTAAACCTCAATATTTCATTTTAGGAAATGCTTTGTAAATAGTATTGGGTTTTTTGGTGGTTTTTTGTTGTTGTTGTTGTTTTTGTGGGGGTTTTTTTGTTTTTATTTTTTTAGACCTAGTCTCGCTCTTCGCTCAGACTGGGGTGTGCAGTGGTGTGATCTTGGCTCACTGCAACCTCCACCTCCTGTGTTCAAGCGATTCTCCTGCCTCAGCCTCATGAATAGCTGAGATTACAGGCACCTGCCACTGCACCTGGGTAATTTTTGTATTTTTAGTAAAGATGGGGGTTCACCATGTTGGCCAGGCTGGTCTCAAACTCCTGACCTCAGGTGATCCACCCGCCTCGGCCTCCCAAAGTGCTGGGATTATAGGCATGAACCACTGTGCCCAGCCTGGTATCGGTTTTTAAATTTCAAATTTCATTGTTCATTACTAGTAAATAGAAATACAGGCTGGGTGCAGTGGCTCACGCCTGTAATCCTAGCACTTTAGGAGGCTGAGATGGGTGGATCACTTGAGGCCAGGAGTTAGAAAGGCACCCAGCCTGGCCAACATGGTGAAACCCCGTCTTTACTAAAAAATACAAAAATTAGCCAGGCATGGTGGCACATGCCTGTAGTCCCAGCTACTCTGAAGGCTGAGGCACAGGAATTGCTTGAACCCTGGAGGTGTAGATTGCAGTGAGCCGAGATCATGCCCCTGCACTCCAGCCTGGACAACAGAGCAAGACCCTGTCTCAAAAAAAAAAAAAAAAAAAAAGGCCAGGTGCAGTGATTCACACCTGTAATCCCAGCACTTTGGGAGGCAGAGGAAGGTGGATCACCTGAGGTCAGGAGTTCGAGACCAGCCTGGCCAACATGGCGAAACCCCATCTCTACTAAAAATACAAAAATTAGCTGGGCGTGGTGGCACGCACCTGTAATCCCAGCTACTTGGGAGGCTGAGGCAGGAGAATGGCTTGAAGCAGGAGAATGGCTTGAACCTGGGAGGTAGAGGTTGCAGTGAGCCAAGATTGTGCCACTGCACTCCATCTTGGGTGACAGAGCAAGATTCCATCTCTAAAAAAAAAAAAAAAAAAAAAAAGTATTCCCTGATCTGTTAATTACTTTAATTACTGGGAGAGGCATGTAACGTTTCTTACTCTGTTGGTGAATTTGTCCATTTTCCCTTGTGTTCTGTTAATTTTTTTATTTTTTGATACAGGGTCTTGCTCTGTTGCCCAGGCTGGAGTGCAGTGGCATGATCTCGGCTCACTGCAGCCTTGATCTCCTGGGCTCAAGTGATCCTCCTACCTCAGCCTCCCAAGTAACTGGGACCACATGTATGCACCACCATGCCCAGCTAATTTTTGTATTTTTCTTAGAGACAGGGGTTCACCACGTTGGCCAGGCTGGTCTCAAAATCCTGAGTTTAAGCAATCCACCTGCCTCGGCCTCTCAAAGTGCTGGGATTATAGGCATCAGCCATTGCGCTCAGCCAATTTTTATTTTATTTGTTTTGAGACTGTATTATTAGACAGATAATACTCCAACATGTGAGCTAGAACATTAACAAGCAATTTATACCTAGGTATTTGTGAACTATACCTAGGTATTTGTGAATTATACCTAGGTATTTGTGAACTACTTACCATCCCAGGTTTCTGCCTCCTCGATTTGAAGTAATAATATCCTGTCTTACTCTTTCTTTTCCTTTTTTTTTTTTTCAGACAAAGTCTCACTCTGTTGCCCAGGCTGGAGTGCAGTGGCACAATCTCAGCTCACTGCAACCTCCGCCTCCCGGGTTCATGTGATTCTCCTGCCTCAGCCTCCTGAGTAGCTGGGATTACCGCCACCACACCGGGCTAATTTTTATATTTTTAGTAAAGATGGGGTTTCACCATGTTGGCCAGGCTGGTCTCAAACTCCTGATCTCAGGTGATCTGCCCACATCAGCTTCCCAAAGTGCTGGGATTACAGGTGTGAGCCACTGTGCCCGGCCAAGTTTTTTGCTTTTTTTTTTTAAACTACATATTTCCCCATTTATTGGCTTATGAGTTATATACTGTCTTCAATTTATATTACTTAAGTGGTTTCCTTTAAAACTTTAATACAGATACTTAAGATCTCACATTTATCCCTACTCTCCATCTGATAATACAAGGAGCTTAGAATGCTTTAACTTCCTGCAGCCAATTAAGCCGACTGAGTTCCTTTCCTCATGGGGGCCCAGTGTGCAATGGCTGTAAATAGCAGCTTCCTTGGTAGTGTATGCAGCCTGTTTGTTGTATGGGTTGCTCTAAGGGACCTTGGAGACAGTCCTTTCAGATGGATGTTCATGTTTCTGACCTTACACTACCCCAATGTAGGCTCCAAACTGGCATGCGAGGTGCCTTTGGAAAGCCCCAGGGCACTGTGGCCAGGGTTCACATTGGCCAAGTTATGTCCATCCACACCAAGCTGCAGAACAAGGAGCATGTGATTGAGGCCCTGCGCAGGGCCAAGTTCAAGTTTTCTGGCCGCCAGAAGATCCACATCTCAAAGAAATGGGGCTTCACCAAGTTCAATGCCAATTAATTTGAAGACATGGTGGCTGAGAAGCGGCTCATCCCAGATGGGTCAAGTACATTCCCAATCATGGCCCTCTGGACAAGTGGCGGGTCCTGCACTCATGAGGGCTTCCACTGTGCTGCCCCCTCTTAATACTCACCAATAAATTCTACTTTCTGTCCACCTAAAAAAAAAAATGCTTTAACTTCAGTTACCCCTCTCTCTTATGTACTTTTAGTCTGTTATTTTAGTTTTATCCTGATTCCCTCACATAAACATTATTAGTATATTATTAGTGTTGTTTTATACAGTTGTTTAAATTTATCTACTTTTTTTGCTCACTGTTCCTTTTTGCATCTCATTCTTTCCTTCAGTGATTCCTTTCCTTCTTGAAATAATTCCTGGCCTGGCACAGTGGCTCACGCCTGTAATCCCAGCACTTTGGGAGGCCGAGGCAGGCGGATCACCTGAGGTCAGGAATTCGAGACCAGCCTGGCCAACATGGTGAAACCCCGTCTCTACTTAAAATACAAAAATTAGCCAGGCATGGTGGCAGGCGCCTGTAATCCCAGCTACTCAGGAGGCTGGGGCAGGAGAATTGCTTGAACCCGGGAGGCGGGGGTTGCAGTGAGCTGAGATCGCACCATTGCACTCCAGCCTGGGGGACAAGAGCGAGACTTCATCTCAAAAAAAAAAAAAAAAAGAATTCCTTTAGAATTTCTTCGTTAGGAGTCTATGGATGGTAAATACTCTCAATTTTTATCTAAAAATCTGTTTTCCCTTACTTTTTAACAGTAGTTCATTTTTAATTTTATTTATTTTTATAAAGACAGGGTCTCCCTGTGTTGCCCAGGCTGGTCTGGAACTCCTTGGCTAAAGAGATCTTCCTGCCTCAGCCTCCTAAAGTGCTGGGATTATAGGCTTGAGCCACTGCACATGACCAAATAATAGTTTAGTTGGGTATACAATTCCAATTTGACAGTTGGCTTTTTTTTCTCAGTATTTTGAAGATAATGTCTCCAGCTTGTATGTTGCTAATGAGAGGTCTGCCCTTGGTCCAATTTCTTATTTTGAGACGGAGTTTTGCTCTTGTTGCCGAAGCTGGAGTGCAATGGCGTGATCTCGGCTCACCACAACCTCCGCCTCCCAGGTTCAAGTGATTCTCCTGCCTCAGCTTCCGGAGTACCTGGGATTAAAGGCATGCGCCACCATGCCTGGCTAATTTTGTATTTTCAGTAGAGACAGGGTTTCTCCATGTTGGTCAGGCTGGTCTCGAACTCCCAACCTCAGGTGATCCGCCCGCCTTGGCCTCCCAAAGTGCTGGGATTATAGGTGTGAGCCAACATACCTGGCACCTTGGTCCAATTTCTAATTGCCATTCTTTTGTAGATAATCTGTCTCTTTTCTTCCACTGCTGTAAGATCTTTATGTCTTGGTTTTCTTCAATTTAACTAAAACATGTCTATAGGTAGCTTTATTTTTATTTTTGCTAATAATTTATTGTAACTTTTTACTGTTTTTTTTTTTTTTTTTTGAGACAGGGTCTCACTCTGTCATGCAGGCTGGAGTGCAGTGGCGCAATGTTGGCTCACTCCAACCTCTGCCTCCTAGGCTCAAGCAATTCTCCTGCCTCAGCCTCCCGAGTAGCTGAGATTACAGGTGTGTGCCACTACTGCCCGGCTAATTTTTTGTATTTTTAGTAGAGATGGTGTTTCATAATGTTGGCCAGGCTGATCTTGAACTCCTGAGTTCAAATGATTCACCAGCCTCAGCCTCCCAAAGTGCTGGGATTACAGGCATAAGCCACTGCACTCGGCCCTGTAACTTTTAAATCTATAGAATCAGGAATGGAAAATTTGTGGCCATTATTTTGAAATGTCCAACATATGTTGCATTCTAAGCATTCACAAATAAATAATAAATAATGAAAATGAACTGGGGGAGAGGTGGGCTGTGCCCACAGTGTCCCCTTTCTACAATCCTGAATTCTCTGAATTCCTGAATCTCTCCACTGTAAGTTATTACAGGCCATCTACAGGCCAGTTCTGAGGCAAACTAGACAGTGTGGGAGCCATGCAGGGAGGCGGAAGTGGAAATGAGGTTCCTGGTATTCCCAGGAAGAAGTAAGGCTATAAGGGGAAATAATATAATTCCTAAAATCTTTTTTTTTTTTTTTTTTGAGACAGGGTCTTTCTCTGTTGCCCCAGCTGGAGTGCAGTGGTATGATCATGGTTCACTGCAGCCTTGACCTCCTGGGCCCAAGCAATACCCCTACCTCATCCTCTGAGTAGCCAGGACCACAGGTGTGCATCACCACACCCAGCTAATTTTTTAAAATGTTTTTGTAGAGAGGGGGTCTCCCTCTGTTGCGTAGCCTCATCTTGAACTCCTGGGCTCAAGCGATCCTCCTGCCTCAGCTTCCCAAAGTGTTGGGATTACAGGCGTGAGCCACCACACCCAGCCTAAAATCTTTTACCCTTTAGCTAAGGATGACATCCTCTTCCTCTGTCAATATTTAACTAGAAGGATCAGGCTAGGCATCTCTTCGTTGTGCTCCCCAGCATCCTTTTCTTCCCGTATCAAGCGCAGCACGTGGAAGTGTCGTGACCTGTTTTCTTGTGCGTCTGCTAAAATGTGAGTTAGGCTATGAACACCATAGGAAGAGGAATTGTGCCGGACTTATTCAAACTGTACCCCAGGCACTTAGCTTAACAACTGGTGTCTAGCAGATACTCAGCAAAAGTGCATTGCATCGAAGACTGAATAATTTCAAGATAGGAGTATTCAACGTCTAATATGTACCAAGCGCTGTTCTCAATGCTACAGAAAAGCAGGTTTCTAAGGTTTCTGGAGTTAAACAAAAAACCCTGACATTGAACTTACATGGAATATTAAAGTCATTATCTACCATAAGCATTATTTCATGAAATAAAATAATTTCAACTCTACAAAACTAGGAAGCACAGAACGGAATACTATTTCCCTTAATGAAAAACTCCCTACATTGTTCTTTTTAAAAATCTCATTTCCTAGCTGAACGGTAAAAACATCATCATTGATTAGCTCCTATTCATAGAAGGCCCATTGCAACCCACTGGTACAGAAGAGAAACAAAGTATTCAGCGGAGAATACCCTAGCTCAATAAGCGGTACAATACAGTAAGGGAAATAGAAGTGACATGCGATGGACAGCCAGGCCTTAAATTGCGCGGTGCTGATTCCTGTCCCTTAACCCAACAATAGAAAGATAGGCGTGCCTGGAGTTGCTGGGGGACGAGGCTCGATCCAGTGTGAATTCCGTGAAGTTGTGCAGGGTTTCACTGTTTGCTGAGTGTGTTAGACAGGTTACCTGGTAGAGTTCTCACATTACTTCGTGAGATACACAGATATTATGACTCTATTATACTGGTGCAGAAAAAGGCTCGGGAAGATTCATGTTTCTTGTGCGACTTGCCCAAGGTGACACACAGTTCTAACAACTGGCCTATCGCAGGGTGTGAGATCTGGAACTCAGACCTTCCCAGCCAGGGCTCAGTCCACGCCACTGCCTAGATGAGGCAGCAGGAAGGGTCAGCAGAGAAGGGTGCCCCACCGGGACGACTGGAACACCTCAGTAGGATATGGGTGGGCAAACGTGGGCCACACGATCCCACCGGCCTCTTTTGTCCTAAGTCCCGAGGCACGGGTGCAGCTAGAAGAGTGGGCGGTAAAGCGCAGGGAGGGGATGCGGTCGGGAGCAGATTTCGGGGGCGGGGCCCGCGCGGCGGGGGCGGGCCCGCGGCGCTCGGGGCGGGGCTCCCCTCGGGTTCGCGGCCCGGCCGGTGAGCAACGGCTCTGCGGCCATGGCGAGCGGCGAGCATTCCCCCGGCAGCGGCGCGGCCCGGCGGCCGCTGCACTCCGCGCAGGCTGTGGACGTGGCCTCGGCCTCCAACTTCCGGGCCTTTGAGCTGCTGCACTTGCACCTGGACCTGCGGGCTGAGTTCGGGCCTCCAGGGCCCGGCGCAGGGAGCCGGGGGCTGAGCGGCACCGCGGTCCTGGACCTGCGCTGCCTGGAGCCCGAGGGCGCCGCCGAGCTGCGGCTGGACTCGCACCCGTGCCTGGAGGTGACGGCGGCGGCGCTGCGGCGGGAGCGGCCCGGCTCGGAGGAGCCGCCTGCGGAGCCCGTGAGCTTCTACACGCAGCCCTTCTCGCACTATGGCCAGGCCCTGTGCGTGTCCTTCCCGCAGCCCTGCCGCGCCGCCGAGCGCCTCCAGGTGCTGCTCACCTACCGCGTCGGGGAGGGACCCGGGGTGAGTGCGCCCCAGACTGCGCCCGCCGCTGCCTGCCTGCCCTTCCGGCCCCCAGCCGCCCTGCACCCTCACCTACCCCACCCGGGAGGAGGGACAGGGAGGACCCTTCCAGAGCGTCCCTAGAGGGGCCTACTCCCCGCGCGCCGCCTCTAGGCCTCCTCCCCTTGCTTCCTCTTTTCCTCCCGGGCTGCCTGGTTTCCTTCTGGACTTCCTCCAGCCACTGGGCGGTGCATCCTTCACCCTTTCCGTCCTTCCGCGTCTCCTCCCTGGCCCTGGAGGCTTGTCCAGATTGCGCCGCATTCCCGCTCATCGCACACTGCCGTTTCTAACATTTTCCGTGGCTTTCTAGATGACCTGTTGTTCATGCACTTCACTTAGTGCCCTCTTGGACTTTTGGGCCGAGGTACCTGATTATCAGCCACCTTATCTCTGCTTTATGGTGGCTCTAGAATTAGCCAGATGTTGATCTAGCTCTTTGTTCTGTGTTGCCTTCTAGTTCCACGGTTAAAGCTCTTATCTTTGTTTTTGTTTCCTCCTGTGAAGTCCTGGATTTGATTAACGAAAGAATTTGAGTAAAAGTGAGAACTGGAATTAGGGTGCTATAAGCATTATAATAATTTGGCCTTCTCACTGTTGGTTAACTCTTTAATTTTTTTTCGGGACGGGGCAAATATTGGAAATAAGAGGATGGAGTTATGTGGCTTATGTCTGTAAGAGTCAGAAAATCCTTCCTGGAGAGTCCTTAGGCTGTGGCTGCCAGTTATCTCTCAGGTAGAGTTGGTTGCAAGTTTCATAGTAAACTGCTTGCTTACAGTTTAATCTTTTATTTATTTATTTGAGGCAGAGTCTCACTCTCGTCCAGGCTGGAGTGCAGTGGCAAGATCTCGGCTCACTGCAACCTCTGCGTCGTGGGTTCGAGCGATTCTCGTACCTCACCCTCCCTAGTAGCTGGGACTACAGGCGTGCGCCACCACACCCGGCTAATTTTTGTATTGTTTAGTAGAGACAAAATTTCACCATTTTGGTCAGGCTGGTCTCGAACTCCTGACCTCGTGATCCGCCTGCCTCGGCGGCCTCCCAAAGTGCTGGGATTACAGGCGTGAGCCACTGCGCCCGGCCCACAGCTTGGTTTTATACATTAGGGAGACATGATACATCAGTCAGTATATGTAAGAAGTACATTGGTTGGGTCTGAAAAGGTGGGACAACTTGCAGCAAAGGCAGGAAGACTTGAAGCGGCTTCCGGATCACAGATAGGTGATACACAAATGGTTACATTCTTTTGAGTTTCTGATGAGCCTTTCCAAAGGAAGCAAATCAGATATGCATCCATCTCAGTGAGCAGAGTAGTGGCTTTGAATAGAATGGGAGGCAGGTGTGCCCTAAGCGGTTCCCAGGTTGAGTTTTCTTTAGTGATTTTGGGGGCCCAAGAGATTTTCCTTTCACAGCCTGATAACACCACTGCACTCCAGCCTGAGCAACAGAGTGCGACCCTGTTTTAACAACAACAACAAAAAAGCAAAGATGATGAGTAAGCAATTTTGGTGGAGGGGGGATGATGGCTAATATTTAATAAGATGAGCCAGGCACTAGTCTAAGTGCTTGACATAGGTTAAATGAGTTGTCTTTCCATAAGTGGTTAATATGGTGCGTGGTACATGGTAAGTAAGCTGTGTTAGCTCTTACTGCTAACTTTTGTATTTCTTTCTTTTTTTTTTTTTTTTTTTTTTTTTTTTTTTTTTTTGAGAAGGGATCAAAAAGCTCCCTACATTGTTCTTTTTAAAAATCTCGTTTCCAGGCTGGGTGTGGTGGCTCACATCTGTAATCCCAGCACTTTGGGAGGCCAGGGCTGGCAGATCACCTGAGGTCAGGAGTTTGAGACCAGCCTGGCCAACATGGTGAAACCCTACCTCCACTAAAAATACAAAAATTAGCTGGTTGTGGTGGCTCACACCTGTAAACCCAGCTACCTGGGAGCCTGAGGCAGGAGGATCGCTTGAATCTGGGACACAGAGGTTGCAGTGAGCTGAGATCATGCCATTGCATTCCAGCCTGGGTGACACAGCGAGGCTCCATCTAAAAAAAAAAAAAAAAAATACTCATTTCCTAGCTGATCAGTAAAAACATCACTGACTGATGGCATTCAATGATCAGTCAATTGATCAATTCTTATTGACTGGTATAGTGGCACCATCTCAGCTCACTGCAGCCTTGACCTCCCTGGCTCAAGTGATCCTCCCACCTTAGCCTCCTGAGTAGCTGGGGTAGCTGGGACCAACCACAGACCTGCCACCTCCACACTTGGCTAATTTTTGTTATTTTTTGTAGAGATGGGGTTTTGCCATGTTGCCCACGCTGGTCTTGAACTCCTGGGTTCAAGCCATCTGCCCGCTTTGGCATCCCAAAGTGCTGGGACTACAAGCATGAGCCAACATGCCTGGCTTAATTGAGCAGCCAGTTCAGAGAGTTCCCATATACAGTTCAGTACCTCCTACATACACATATACACACAGATTCCCCTCTTGCTACCATTTTGCATTAGTATGACACATTTGTTACAATTAAACAATGCTGATATATTATTAACCAAGATTGAATCATTTTACATTAGTATAATAATATATTTGTTATAATTAATAAACCAGTACCGATACTGGAGTCCATAGTTTTTTCAGATTCCCTTAGTTTTTACTTAATGTCTTTTTCTGTTCCAGGAAGCCATCCAGAATTCCACATTATATTTAGCTGTCATGTATCCTCTTGGGACTGTGACAGTTTCTCAAACTTTCCTTGTTTTTGATATAACTTTGACAGTTTGTTTGTTTTTTGAGACAGGGTCTTGCTCTGTCATCCAGGCCGTAGTGCAGTGAGTGGCACAATCATGGCTCACTGCAGCCTTGATCCCCCTGGTTCAAGTGATCCTCCTGCCTCAGCCCAAGTAGCTGGGACTACAGGCGCATACAACTGCGCCCAGCTAATTTTTTGAATTTATTATTTGTAGAGATGAGGTCTCACTGTGTTATCCAGGCTTGTCTCAAACGCTTGGGCTCAAACAAACAATTCTCCCATCTTGGCCTCCCAAAGAAAGTGCTAGAATTACAGGCATGAGCCACTGCTCCCAGCCAGTTTTTTGTTTTTTATTTTTTTATTTTTATTTTTTCTGTAGAGACAGGGTCCCCCTATGTTGCCCAGGCTGGTCTCAAACTCCTGGCCTCAAGCGATCCTCCTGCCTTGACCTCCCGAAGTGCTGGCATTACAGGTGTGAGCCACTGAGCCCAGCCAACCTTGACAGTTTTGAGGAGTGTTGGCCAGGTATAGCGTAGGATGACCCTGTATTGGAATTTATCTGATGTTTTCTCATGATTAGATTGGGATTATGGGTTTTGAGGGGCAATTCACAGAGGTAAAGTGCCATTTTCTTTCTTTTTTTTTTTTTTTTTTCTTGAAATGGAGTTTCACTCTTGTTACCCAGGCTGGACTGCAGTGGTGTGATCTCGGCTCACTGCAACCTCCGCCTCCCTGGTTCAAGCGATTCTCCTCCCTCAGCCTCCGAAGTAGCTGGGACTATAGGCATATGCCACCACCCTGGTTAATTTTTGTATTTTTAGTAGACACAGGGTTTCACTGTGTTGGCCAGGCTGGTCTTGAACTCCCGACCTCAGGTGATCCACCAGCCTCGGCCTCCCAAAGTGCTGGGATTACAGGTGTGAGCCACTGCGCCCAGCCAAAGTGCCATTTTCATCAGGTATTGAGGGCGCATAGTATCCACATGATTTATGACTGTCAGCGTTAACCTCGGTCCCCTGGCTGAAGCAGTGATTATCAGCTTTCTCCACTGTGAAGTTATTCTCTCATCCCTTTCTATACTGCACTGTACCTGTTATAAGGAGACTAATTAAATTTTTCACACACAAAAACTCAAACCCAGCATCCCAACGTAGCTTCCTTATGCCTCTTAAAATAGGTCTCAGACACTGCTGTGTTCAGAACCCTTCATTAGACTTGCCCAGGCCTGCCTCCCCAACTCTGCATCTGGAGCCTGCATCTGTTTATGCCTCTCCTCATGTTGCTGCTCGTCTCCTTGTGAATGTCTCCTCCCTTCCTTTCCAGCCATCTCAATCCTGCGTGTCTTTGAAGGTCCAGCCAGAAAGTTTTCTTCCCCTATGAAATCATCCTGGAGTAATCGAATCCATTTCTAAATTCTAAATGCTATTTGTTACTGACCTATGCTCCATCCTGCCCCTCTTCCAGGTAAATGAATGGCTGTTTGCTATAGGCAAAAACTGGGTTTTGTGATAAATCATTCAGATTTTACTTTTTTTTTTTTTTTTTTTTTTTTTTTGAGGCAGAGTCTCGCTCTGTCACCCAGGCTGGAGTGCAGTGGCATGATCTCAGCTCACTGCAACATCTGCCTCCTGGGTTCAAGCAATTCTCCTGCCTCAGCCTCCTGAGTAGCTAGAATTACAGGTGCATGCCATCACACCCGGCTAATTTTTGTATTTTTAGTAGCAACAGGGTTTTACCATGTTATCCAGGCAGGTCACGAACGCCTGACCTCAAGTGATCCACCTGCGTCGGACTCCCAAAGTGCTGGGATTACAGGCGTGAGCCACTGCACCCAACCCAGATTTGCCCTTTGTTTAAGAGCTAACAGAACACAGATAAAGAATCATATAACCAGTGCCTATTATATAAAATACCTTTCTTCTGAAAAGGTAAATTTTAGGAACAGAAAACACATATTAGGCCAGGTGCAGTGGCTCATGCCTGTAATCCCAGCACTTTGGGAAGCTGAGGCGGGCAGATCACCTGAGGTCAGGAGTTCAAGACCAGCCTGACCAACATGATGAAACCCCGTCTCTACTAAAAATACAAAATTAGTCGGATGTGGTGGTGCATGCCTATAATCCCAGCTACTTGGGAGGCTGAGGCAGGAGACTCGCTTGAACCCAGGAGGCGGAGACTGCAGTGAGCTGAGATCACACCATTGCACTCCAGCCTGGGCGACAAGAGTGAAACTCTATCTCGAAAAAAAAAAAAGAAAAGAAAAGAGAATGTATATTAGGCTGAGCATGATGGCTTATGCCTGTATTCCCAGCACTTTGGGAGACTGAGGTGGGCGGGTTGCTTGAGGCCAGGAGTTGGAGACCAGCCTGGCCAACATGGTGAAACCCTATCTTTACAATACAAAAATTAGCTGGACTTGGTGGTGCACGCGCCTGTGGTCCCAGCTACTTGGGAGGCTGAGGCATGAGAATTGCTTGAACCTGGGAGGTCGAGGTTGCAGTGAGCCGAGATTGCACCACTGTACTCCAGCCTGGGCGACAGAGCGATACTCTGTCTCAAAAAAAAAAAAAAAAAAAAAAAAAACATATTAATCACTGACTCCCAGTTGAGTTCTGCTTTTCTGTGTCTTATCACAAGTCCAAATGCAGTTGCTTCAGTAGTTTTTTGTTTGATGAGAAACTACTACAGTGAAAAGGACACAGATAGGGTACAGATGACAAGATCAGAGGCTCGGTCCAAGGTCTCTGAGATGACCCATGGGATGCAGTGAGGAATGGACCCTTTCTGGTGGCTCTGCCCTGTGAAGTGGATGTCATACTTTGGCATGGATTCCAGGATGAACTAAATACACAGAGGAGAGAGCTTTCTAGTTCAAACCAGACTGGCTGGCGGAAAGGTTTTAAGGATTACCTAAAATTCTCTCATTCCAGCCAGCTCACTTCTCTGGCCAGACTGAGCTCGTGTGGGAGATGTCAGTTCTGAAATGTTCTTCTTTTCGCTTAGGTTTGCTGGTTGGCTCCCGAGCAGACAGCAGGAAAGAAGAAGCCCTTCGTGTACACCCAGGGCCAGGCTGTCCTAAACCGGGCCTTCTTCCCTTGCTTCGACACGCCTGCTGTTAAATACAAGTATTCAGCTCTTATTGAGGTAAGGAGACTAAGGTTAGGTGCACCTGCCCTTGGGATGAAGAAATGATTTCAGATCTATCAATCAGGTCACGTTTCAGTGGTAAATTATTATATCCATTCAGTGGTACTTCTGAAAAATTGCTTACTTTTAAATTCTTCCACCTACTGAAGTTGTATGTAGCCTTCCTCTAAATCCCATCAGTTGAGCACAGATTTAGTTTCTTGAAACCTTTGTGTTCTCCAAGATAGACTCCAGGCCATTATCATCACACACAGGTGGCCGGTCATGCTCTTATTCAAACTAATCAAAAGGAAACTCTCTCCAGGTAAAATCTCCTAAGCTTTCTCTGTTGTCAGGTCCCAGATGGCTTCACAGCTGTGATGAGTGCTAGCACCTGGGAGAAGAGAGGTCCAAATAAGTTCTTCTTCCAGATGTGTCAGCCCATCCCCTCCTATCTGATAGCTTTGGCCATCGGAGATCTGGTTTCGGCTGAAGTTGGACCCAGGTAGGAGACAAAGACCCCACAGGCAAGGTTGGATTGGCCTCAGAGGTGAGGAGGACTCTGACCAGTGGACCTGCTGGGGGGGTTCTTGGGCAGTCTTGGATCCTCTGTCTGAGTCCAGAGCCTTTCTGCAGCTCATGCAGCATGAGCACAGCTGGAGGAAGTGCTCTTTTTCTCCCTGCCTTTCTCACTCCCTCTCTCCAGTTCTAATCCTGCTGCCTGGAATGAGATCATCATCCCTGCTAGCAGTAGCGCTGTCCTGGGCTGCCTTACAGAGGGATGTTGGAATTTAGGCTGCAGTTTTGGGAAATGGATTTTTTTTTTTTTTTGAGATGGAGTCTTGCTGTGTTGCCCAGGCTGGACTGGAGTGCAATGGTGCGATCTTGGCTCACTGCAACCTCTGCCTCCTGGGTTCAAGCGATTCTCCTGCCCCAGCCTCCCAAGTAACTGGGACTGCAGGCATGCCCCACCACGCTCGGCTAATTTTTGTATTTTTCGTAGAGACGGGGTTTCACCATGTTGGCCAGGCTGCTCTTGAACTCCTGACCTCAGGTGATTCACCCGCCTTGGCCTCCCAAAGTGCTGGGATTACAGGCATGAGCCATCATGCCCGGCCTGGGAAATGGATCTTTATTAATATCTTTAAGTTCTAAATGCCCTTCTAGCAGCTATATCCACTTTCCTATCTTTGTACCAAATCTTCCCCATTTTCTTTTGCACGTAGTTCCTGGAAATAACAACTTTGGTATCATTTCCCTCGAAGAGGGAAGTGGACTCTCCTTCCTATCTGCAGCAGATGCATGAGTCTAAGCCTACGGTGAGAGCAATGCCTCCGTGAAGTTACATGGATCTTGTGAAGATAAAAAGGGATTTTGTAAGGTTTCCTGATAAAAGAGGTTTGACCAGGAGTATAGGTTTTTCCTGGCTCTCATATTACCTCCACCATAGCTTAGTCCCAATGTGGGAGCATCACAGGCTGGACGGTGAAGCCGTGACCTTTTCCTGGCACTGTTGCTGTTCTTTATCTCTGGCCCTGCTCCCAGTTCCTAGAGGCAGTGGTGTCCTTGACAACATTAGTTACGAGCCTCAGACTTCATAACTGGGCTCAGTGGCACTGCTGGTATCATGAGTCTTAGTTTCTGGTTATCAGTTGGAATAATAAATGGGATTCCATTGGCATCTGCTCCCAGCGCACACATTCAAAACAATACCAGTCTGGAAAGACAAAGTGCCCTCCTCTTACGAAGGGCTGTCTTCCTAATAGGCAGGGCGGGAAATAACCAAAAGGATGTCATCTTTGCAATAGACAAGCAAGTAGATAAGTAAAGGAACGTCGTTTCCAAGAATACCCTTACTAAGGTTCTACTTGTAAGAGTATGAACTATTAATGGGAAATGAGAGAACAATAGATTCTAAAGATACTGAGTGATAATGATTTCTTTTTATACTGCCTGTAATAAAATGACAACATGGTATATCGAACTAGGTGACAGAATCCACTTAACTGGTGGTAATGCCTTATTCCTTCCGTGATTAAATGGACAGTTCTTGCCTCCTGGGTCACATCGTAGGGTCTTGTGGGGGGTTATTTATTTATTATTTTTGAGATGGCGTCTTGCTCTGTTGCCCAGGCTGGAGTGCAGTGGCGCGATCTTGGCTCACCACAACCTCCGCCTCCTGGGTTCAAGTGATTCTCCTGCCTCAGCCTCCCAAGTAGCTGGGACTACAGGTGTGTGCCACCATTTCTGGCTAATTTTCATATTTTTAATAGAGACAGGGTTTCACTATGTTGGCCAGGCTAGTCTTGAACTCCTGACCTCGTGATCCATCCACCTCGGCCTCCCAAAGTGCTCGATTACAGGCATGAGCCACCACGCCGGGCCGTGGGGGTTTATTAAATCGGAGGGTCTTCTGGCAAGGTATGCCACCTATCCCAGTCCCTGTTACTGCAAGAGGAAAATCCTGGGCAGAGGGGAATTATGGGTATATCCCAGTAGGCCCTTTTATGTATAATCTCTTCTAATCCTTACACAGACTCCATGAGGATGATACTTTCTACATTTTAAAAATAAGCAAACCAAGGCTGTGGTGAGTGGCTTGTGCAGGACCACTAGTTGGCAAAACTGGAATTAAAATTCAGGTATTTCCATTGCAAATCCAGTGCTCTTTGCAATATACTACAGGTAGTGAGATTGCAGCTTGACTGAGAGCATCCTGATTTATTTTGACAGAAATGTGTGTCCTGGTGGAGGTATCTTGGATGACTGTCTTAAACCTTCTAGTTGTAACAAGCTGAAGTCCACTGGGCTGAAGGACTGTGGTAATTTTGACATCCAAGGTGGTGGTAGAACAATTCACAAAGTAATTCCTTGAAGATACTGACTGCCGTCCCATGATCTTTTTCTGTCTGGTTTCCTGTCACATCATCTTTGGCGACTTTTCTCTCCTAACACCCAGGGTTGAGGGTGGCTGCAGGGTTTCTTGTGCCTTTCTCCCTCCCTCCCTCCCTCCCTCTTTCTTTCTTTTCTTGCCTCGCTCTCTTGCCCAGGCTGGAATGCAGTGGCACAATAACAGCCCATTGAACCTCAAGCTACCAGGCTCAAGCAGTCCTCCCACTTCAGTCTCCAGAGTAGCTGGGACCACAGCTACTCTGTCACCATGCCCAGTTAATTTTATTTATTTTCTGCAGGAGCAAGGTCTTGCTATGTTGTCCAGGCTGATCTTGAACTCCTGGGCTCAAGAGATCCTCCCACCTCGGCCTCCCAAAGTGTTGGGATTGCAGGCATGAGCCACAACACCAACCTTCAGGGTTTCTTGACCTCTACTCAGGGAGCCTTCTCCACTCTGTCAGCCACCCATATTCACACCCATGCTCTGGAGTCTAGAGCCTAGACATCGTCATTGTCATGAACTGTACCATATCTGAACTTTTAAGGCCCTTGAGCCCCTTGTCCTCATTCATCCTGACTCTGCTAACCTTCCAGCTCTCTGACGGCCTCTCTCCCACTATATTCCACCATGTCTCCTCCTTGAGCTCATGGCAGCCTCCCTTCCGGCAAGCCACTCATTTCTCCTGGGCAGTCAAGACCCTCCTGACTGGGCTTCCCTCCCTGGCCCAAGTGTGTGGTTGGTTACCTCTTACCAACACCCCAAAGCCCCTTGCCCACTTCCCGCTGCTATAATGTCCCAGTCCCTTGTTATACAATTCCTTTTCTCTACTTCTATAAGTGGGTATTTGGGAGATGTAGAAAATAGTGAAACTACACAGTAATAACCACTACACCTTTCTCAATTCTTCGTGAAAAGTTGGAATTAAAGGAAAGTTGAAATAGACATGTGTGGGGTTTTCCAGAAAAATGTAACAGATGTACAGTCTTCAACTGCAGGTGTGCTTTCAAGGTTGTTCAACAGTCCTCTTATTTACCTTTCCATCTCACTCCCTTTAAGCTGTTCTAAGACTTTACTCTTCTCTTTAAGTTTGCTATCCAATCCCATCCCCTCATTTAAGCAGAAGGTCTTGTCTCCTGTTTTATTGAGAATATTAAATTCATCAGATATGATTATGTCAGTTTCCTGTCCTCCACTTAAAAAGTTATCTTCATCTGCTTTTATCCTTCCGGACTGCAACAAAGGTCCTTCCTTCTGTTTAAAGCCAAATCTCTTCCCTTACATGTCCTCTGGGACTTTGCCTCATCATTTACATCTCTCTCTTCAAATCTGCAGCCTCCCCCTCTAGACAAGCACCAGTTTCTCTAAGATCTATAGCAAAGCAAAAAACAAACTCAAGGCTGGGTGTGGTGGCTCACGCTTGTAATCCCAGCACTTTGGGAGGCCAAGGTGGGAGGATCACCAGAGGTCAGGAGTTTGAGACTAGCCTGGCCAACGTGGTGAAACCCCATCTCTCCTAAAAACACAAAAATCAGCCGGACATGGTGGTGCACACCTATAATCCCAGCTACTCAGGAGGCTGAGGCAGGAGAATCACTTGAACGTGGGAGGTGGAGGTTGCAGTGAGCCGAGATTGCACTACTGCACTCCAGCCTGGGTGACAAAGTGAGACTCCACCTCAAAAAAAAGCCAAAACAAAAAAAAAAAACAAACTCGGCCAGGTGCAGTGGCTCACGCCTGTAGTCCCAGCTACTTGGGAGGCTGAGGCAGGAGAATGGTGTGAACCCGGGAGGTGGAGCTTGCAGTGAGCCGAGATCGCGCCACTGCACTCCAGCCTGGGCAACAGAGCAAGACTCCGTCTCAACAAACAAACAAACAACTCAAAAAACCCTTAACTCCATATTCTCTTCTGGCACGACACACTGTCCTTCCCTCTGTAGCCAGGTGACTTCAGTGGCATGTATACGCACTGGCTGCACTTCTTGAAACCCCCCCACCCCACAATCATTTATTGCTACAACCCATTGGAATCCAGCCCCCCACCCTTGCCATGCCGTTGAAACTAGTAAGAGAGGCCATTCGCCTCAATACGGATAACATATGTGATGCTTTTTAGCCCTTGCCTTCATGTTCTGCTGTTTTTCTTCTGCCCCCATTGACCCTCCTCTGGCTTCTGTGACACCACCCATGCTGGTCATCAGGCCTCCTGGTTAGTCCTTTTCTCATCTCCTTCCCTGACTCCTCTGCCCAGCTCCTTGTGTGTCGATGTTGCCCAAGGCTCTGTCTTTGACCTGTTCTTTTCTTCTACATGCTTTCCTTGGAGAGCTCACCCATTCTTGTAGTTTAACATATTTTCTGTGTTCTGCAGCCAGGATGATATCTTAAAACTAAATCTGATAATGTCACTTGTTGGCTTAAAATGCTCCCATGGCTCTGAAGGTCCGGTTCTGTAACAGTGCACCTGAGGCTCTTCATGACCCGACCCTCTTGGGCATCTCATGTCCCACCTCCTGCCACTGCCTCCCTCATTGCAATCTGATCCTGTCCTCAAGTAATCCCAGACTCTCGGTGCTTCCTCACATGCATATGCAGTGTTCCATGGCTACGTCTTTGCTTTTGATATTTGGGAAGTACCTGATACTGGTTTCCCTGTATCTTTTCTTCCTGTTAGAATAGTTCCTATGCTTCAGCAAACGCAGAGGAAGTTTTCCCTCATCCGGGCCTGGACCCATCCCACTTTGCCATCAGTCTCTTTTTTTTTTTTTTTTGAAACAGAGTCTTACTCTGTCACCCAGGCTGGAGTGCGATGGTGCAATCTTGGCTCCCCGCAACCTCTGCCACCCAGGTTCAAGCGATTCTCCTGCCTCAGCCTCTCAGGTAGCTGGGATTACAGGCATACACTACCATGTCCTGCTAATTTTTTTTTTTTTTTTTTTTTTTTTTAGTAGAAACAGCCTTTCACCATGTTGGTCAGGCTGGTCTGGTACTCTTGACCTCAGGTGAACCACCCACTTCGGCCTACCGAAGTACTGGGATTACAGACATGAGCCACCAGGCCCAGCCAGTCTCATTCATATGTCTGTGTGGAAAAGCAGTTCTAAGCGCAGCCAGGGGCTCTTGGTCAAGCAGAGCCTTTGGCTGCAGGATCCCTGAGTCCATTGCATCTTTCCATTAGACTGGATCTTCTTGTTTTGTTTTTGTTTTTGTTTTTGTTTCCTCCAAGCCACCTTTGTTTCCCTATCTTTTTATTAAGAAAATTTCAAATATTTAGAAAATTGAAAGGATGATGCATTGAACACCTATAGAACCATCTACTTTGTCATATTAGTTTTATGAGTGGATTTGTTTTTATTTTTGCTAGACCATTTAAAAGCAAGTAAATCTGTGTGCCTCTCTGAAGAATAGAGGCATTCTCCCTTATAACCACAATCCCATTATTGTACCTAAGGCAGTTAACAAATTTCTATTAACATTAGTAGGTTTGGGTCGGACACAGTGGCTCATGCCTATAATCCCAGCACTTTGAGAGGCTGAGGCAGGTGAATCACTTGAGCCCAGGAGTTCAAGACCAGCCAGGGCAACATAGCGAAACCCTACCTCTACAAAAATAAAAAAATTAGCCAGGCATGATGATGTGCAACTGTAGTCCTAGCTACTGGGGTTGGGGAGCTGAGATGGAAGGATCACTTGAGCCCCAGGAGGTGGAGGTTGGATCACACCACTGTACTCTAGCCTGGGCAACAGAGCAAGAACCTGTCTTAAAAAAAAAATAAAAAAGGTTTGTCTCTTAAGGTTTTATTCAATTCCAGATTCTACTATTAGAACGCTTTCTTATCTCTCCTCTAAGTAGGGAGAAGAAAACTAACATTTACTGTATAAATGTTTGAAGGGCTTTTGTGTGTTGTCTTATTTAATCTTCACTCATTTTACAGATGAGGAAACTGAGGCTCACAGAGGTTAAATCACTTTTGCAAGATCGCATTCAGTAGTGAAGCCATAACTGCGTAGCACGGTTCCACCTCCATGAGGCTGTCTTGGGTTCTTGTTTCTCAGGTGTGGTGAGCGGTCTCTTGGATCTGTGTGGTGATCCGATCTTGCACTCCGTCACTGTGGCTGACTGCATTGTCACATTCACTTGGCGGAGGCCAATTTCCTACAGGTGCTTTCAGGATCAGGTCACTGCGATGGTCTCTAAACACCATTCTGCTTTCTCTGCTCTCTTGTCTTTAGGAGCCGGGTGTGGGCTGAGCCCTGCCTGATTGATGCTGCCAAGGAGGAGTACAACGGGGTGATAGAAGAATTTTTGGCAACAGGAGAGAAGCTTTTTGGACCTTATGTTTGGGGAAGGTGTGGTATCACATTGACTCTAGTGTCTCCTGTTAAACTGAGTCACTGGCTTCCATTCTTCCTCTTCGTGTGGCTTTTCCACCTCCTGCCTCCCAGAGCAAAGTTTCCCTGATCCCAGAAGTGAAGGAGAGGAGGAAGAGAGGAGGGTATGAGCCAGGCTTCTCACTGTTGCTGAGGAGAGGGCCTAGGAGATGAGGTTCTTTGTGTGTGTGTGTGTGTGTGTGTGTGTGTGTGTGTGTGTGTGTTTTGAGATGGAGTCTCGCTCTGTCACCCAGGCTGGAGGGCAGTGGCGTGATCTCAGCTCACTGCAACCTCCACCTCCCAGGTTCAAGCGATTCTCCTGCCTCAGCCTCCAGAGTAGCTGGGATTACAGACGCCCTCCACCACACTCAGCTAATTTTTGTATTTTTAGTAGAGACAGGGTTTCACCATGTTGGCCAGGCTGGTCTCGAACTCCTGACCTCAGGTGATCTGTCCACCTTGGTCCCAAAGTGCTGGGATTACAGGTGTGAGCCACCAGGCCCGGCAGAGAAGAGGTTCTTGAGGTGTTCAAAATGTGACCTGCAGTTGCCAAGTTTGAGATGGGGCAGCACCGTCAAGGTCCTTTGTTGACCTGTGTTTTCCCATTGCTGGAAGTTTCCCCACACTCTGTTTTTAACTTTGACATCTTCAGACTTTAGGCTCCTTAGATAAAAGGCTCCAGGTTGGTCTTTATGACCCCAAGTTGGCCTCCAGGGAACTCCATGTGATGGAGCTGATAATACATTTATCACCTCCACCCCTGCTTGGAAGGAGAGAGGGAAACAAATGCCTGGAGAGTGAGCTCCAGGAGAGCAGACACCACCTCGATGAGGGAAGTCCCAGCAAGGCAGGGGAGCCACGTGGGAGAAGCATTGAGGAGCCTGGGCTTTATTTTCCGCACTGGGCCCGAAGTCGTACTCTGCCTGTTTAGTGACTGCATCTGTTAGGGCTTGGAAATAGGCTGGAAAGGGAGGCGAGGTAGGGTCTGCTCCGGGAAGCCAGGGCCTCTTGGTGACCTCCCCGCTTCTCGGCAGGTATGACTTGCTCTTCATGCCACCGTCCTTTCCATTTGGAGGAATGGAGAACCCTTGTCTGACCTTTGTCACCCCCTGCCTGCTAGCTGGGGACCGCTCCTTGGCAGATGTCATCATCCATGAGATCTCCCACAGTTGGTTTGGGAACCTGGTCACCAACGCCAACTGGGGTGAATTCTGGCTCAATGAAGGTTTCACCATGTACGCCCAGAGGAGGATCTCCACCATCCTCTTTGGTAAAGTGCCCACCCCTCTCCTAAGGAGTCTGCCTCCCATTCTTAACCTGTGGGGCCAGTGTGATCTCCTTATGGGGTTTCAGAATACAAGTGGGTGTGAAGAGACGAGGCAGTAGTGTGTATCCAACATTTTTCTGTATGTATGAATTGTCAAACCACACATGGTTTGACAACTGACTTTTTTTTAAAAAAACATTTCCCCAGGTCATTAGTTTTTTTTTTTTTTGAGACAGAGTTTTGCTCTTGTTGCCCAGGCTGGAGTGCAATGGCACGATCTCGGCTCACTGCAACCTCCACCTCCCGGCTTCAAGCGATTCTCCTGCCTCAGCCTCCCGAGTAGCTGGGATTACAGGCATGCGCCACCACACCTGGCTAATTTTGTATTTTTAGAAGAGACGAGGTTTCTCCATGTTGGTCAGGCTGGTCTCGAACTCATGACCTCAGGTGATCCAACCTCCTCGGCCTCTCAAAGTGCCAGGATTACAGGCGTGAGCCACCATGCCCAGCCCATTAGATTTTCTTCTATAGCTGCATATATGGATGTTTTTTAATTTACTGGTTGTTTCCAATTTTCCATTGAAATATGTTGACAAATTTCCTTACACATAAATGTCTATTCATATCAGATGATTTCAACAATGATAAATTCTTAGAAACATAATTTCTGGGTCTGAACTTTTTTTTTTTTTTTTTTTTTGAGACAGAGTCTTGTTCTGTTGCCAGGCTGGAGTGCAGCGTTGCAATCTCGGCTCATTGCAACCTCCACCTCCGTAGTTCAAGCAATTCTCCTGCCTCAGCTCCCCCACATCCCACTCCCTGTAGCTGGGATTACAGGCATGCACCACCATGCCCAGCTAGTTTTTATGTTTTTAGTAGAGACAGGATTTCGGCATATTGGCCAGACTGGTCTTGAACTCCTGGCCTCAAGTGACCTGCCTGTCTAAGCCTCCCAAAGTGCTGAGACAACAGCTGTGAGCCACTGCGCCCGGCCCTGAACGTTTTAAATTACATAGTCTTTTTAGTACATATTGTCCATTATCTTCCAGAAAGTTTGTACAAATTCTGTACTTTCATTCAGAATATATATAGCAAGAGCCTGTTTGTGAATATCTTAATCAGCCATTAGGAATCCTGCAAGCAAATATTTTTATCCCATTGTACAGTTGAAGAAACTGAGGCTGAGAGAGGCTAAGCCACTTACTCAGAGTCAAAACATCTAGGAAAGGGCAGAGCTGGCTGGTTCCAAAACCCTGTGCCCCACCCCTCCACTGTTCCCTCAGTCATTGTTTTTAATGCAGAAGGAGACTTAGAGATCCTTAAAAATTTGGGGTTGATAATTTCTTTTGTCTGACAGAAACAGTTAGATGAAAATAATTCTAAGTTTTCACAGAAGATCAAGTCATTGCCAGGCATGGTGGCTCACGCCTGAGGCAGGTGGATCACCTGAGGTCAGGAGTTTGAGACCAGCCTGACCAAAATGGTGAAACCCCCGTCTCTACTAAAAATACAAAAATTAGCCAGGCATCATGGTGTGTGCCTGTAGTCCCAGCTACTTGGTAAGCTGAGATAGGAGAATTGCTTGAATCCAGGAGGTGGAGGATGCAGTGAGCCGAGATCGTGCCACTGCACTCCAGCCTGGGCAACAGAGCGAGACTCTGTCTCAAAAAAAAAAAAAAAATCAAATCATTTTCTAAAAATAAGGCCGGGGGCTGGGCGTGGTGGTTCACGCTTGTAATCCCAGCACTTTGGGAGGCCAAGGCGGGCATATCACCTGAGATCAGGAGTTTGAGCTTGGCCAACGTGGTAAAGCCCCCTCTCTACTAAAAATACAAAAATTAGCTGGGCGTGGTGGTGCACACCTGTAATCCCGGCTACTCAGGAGGCTGATGCAGAAGAATCGCTTGAACCCAGGAGGAGACGGAGGTTGCAGTGAGCCAAGATCACGCCATTGCACTCCAGCCTGGGTGACAGAGTGAGGCTTTGTCTCAAAAAATAAAATAATAAAATAAATGAAATAAGATAAAATAAAAATACAGTACTTTGATAAGGAAAGGTAACTGTCAGAAAGGTGCGATTCCCCCAGTCCTCACTTAGGAGAGAGACCAACAGCCTGAGTTAACCAAGTCCTTTGTAGCCCACAGCAACAGGGAGCTAGGGACTGAGTCAGGCTCTCTGTAACTGTCCCTATTTGCCCTGGGTCCCCAGGAGGGTAATGTTATTAAGCTTCAGGTATCTGTCGCTGTTCTTCTTGAGGCCACAAGGAGGCAGCACAGTGTCTCTGTCAGGAAAATACACTTGGATGTGGTGACAGACGTTTTCCCGAGGCTTACGTTTGATTCTGCACCAGGCGCTGCGTACACCTGCTTGGAGGCTGCAACGGGGCGGGCTCTGCTGCGTCAGCACATGGACATCACTGGAGAGGAAAACCCACTCAACAAGCTCCGCGTGAAGATTGAACCAGGTCCAGGAGGCTCCTCTGTCTGACACCCACTCCCCTCAATTGAGCTTGGAGCCCCAAGTTAATGCGAACTTCATGTTGATCAGTGCACGCTTAGAATACTTTATTTGGAGGGAGGGGCACTCCAGAGCTCTTTGTAGCCAATTCTCTGGCCCCTGGGCTGACTGAACCCAAGCCATTGCAGCCAGATAGGAGTTCTGTCCAGTCTGTGCGGTTCGTGATGACTTCACCATTGCTTTGCATTTGCACAAGTCCATATCGTTTTACCAGGCTCTTTCGCATTCCTTCATGATCATCAGGGCAGATCTGTGGATTCTGTAGAATAAAAGCATTAGCCTTATTTTACAGAGGATGGGACTGAGTGCCAGACAAGTTAAGTGTCTTGTCCAGGTCATGTACCTAATCAGTGCATGACTGCAACTGAGATCCGGGTCCTCTCTCCAAATTCAGATCTTTTTACTTCCTAACATTTTCCTTCATTCCATGTGTGACTAATCTGAAACCTTTTTATGCAATTGAAGCTCATGTTCCTTGATGCCGTTAAGTTTGCAGATGAATTTCTTAGAGACGGGTAATTAGTTTTAGCCTGGAACAGCTGTAAAAACAACACATTGGCTGGGCATGGTGGTTCACGCCTGTAATCCCAGGTCAAAGCGGGTGGATCATGAGGTCAAGAGTTCGAGACCAGCCTAGCCAATATGGAGAACCCTGTCTCTACTAAAAATACAAAAATTAGCTGGGTGTGGTGATGCACACCTGTAATCCCAGCTACTGGGGAGGCTGAGGCAGGAGAATCGCTCGACCCCAGGAGGCAGAGGTTGCAGTGAGCTGAGATCGTGCCACTGCACTCCAGCCTGGGTGATAGAGCAAGACTCCGTCTTAAAAAAAAAAAAAAAAAAACATTGATCTGGGAGGGTAGGTTGAGTATTTAGGTGGTGACCAATAGGGATGGAAAAGACACAGCTTGGTGCTCAGTGGGAAATGCTGATGGAACCTACCCACACAAAGTGTATCCTGGGACTAAGGAAATGTGTCCGCTCCTCTGGAAGGCTGGTTTCTCTGTCTTCATATTAGATCCACAGTGAATGGCCCTCTGAGATCTTGGAAGTACCTTGAGAGAGGCCAATATCTGGAGAGAGATCTTGGCCTTGAGATAGAGATCTTAAGAGAGAGAGTCTTGGCCTTGAGAGAGTCCAAGATCTGGAGAGAGGCCAGGATCTGGACACCTTCTTGGCCTTGCTGTCCCTGGGGAAGCTGAATTCTGATCTCTTCCATCGCTAGTCTTTGACTGTGGAGCTAGAGAAGAACGTTACGGGTGACAGGCTACAAAAGCTCAAATCTTGTCTGCTTTCTCCTCTGCCAGGCGTTGACCCGGACGACACCTATAATGAGACCCCCTACGAGAAAGGTTTCTGCTTTGTTTCATACCTGGCCCACTTGGTGGGTGATCAGGATCAGTTTGACAGTTTTCTCAAGGTATAGTCACATGAGGGGAGAAGGAAGAGGAGCGGATAAAGCCACTGGGCCTGATCAAGGGTAGAGGCAGGGGGCGAAAGATGTAAGGGGTTGGAGGAGGACCCAGGACACAGAGGGACACCACTCCCCACGGGGCCAGAGAGGGTCTAAAGAGCTTTCCCTCCTCACAGGCCTATGTGCATGAATTCAAATTCCGAAGCATCTTAGCCGATGACTTTCTGGACTTCTACTTGGAATATTTCCCTGAGCTTAAGAAAAAGAGAGTGGATATCATTCCAGGTAAGCAGAGGAACTGGCCCACAGGCTTCTAAAAAATAGTAGAGAATGAGATCTCATTGACACTCGGAAAGATGGTGGTGGATGGGAAAACACTGGGTCAGAGTCAGCTAGGTAGGGGCGTTTTGGGAAGCAAACCCAGAATCCTGGGATTTATTCCACAAGAATGACTTCTTTTCACTCCTCTCTGCCTCATTTTCTCCCAGTCTGTTTCCTTACTCTCTCCTCTCACCTGGACACACAGTCAGACCCTTAACTTGCCTGGAGAGCTGCCACTGCTGCCGCACCACTGCCCCAAGCTAAAACTCACAGGGCAGGAGCGGAGGCAGCACCCCTCCTACAGCCTTCTGAGTGAAGGCAACCCCAGTGGCCCTCCTTATTTCTTTCTTTCTTTTCTTTTCTTTTTTTTTTTTTTTGAGATGGAGTTTCGCTCTTGTTGCCCAGGCTGGAGTGCAATGGCACGATCTCGGCTCACCGCAACCTCCGCCTGCCGGGTTCAAGCGATTCTCCTGCCTCAGCCTCCCGAGTAGCTGGGATTACAGGCACGCGCCACCACGCCCGGCTATTTTGTATTTTTAGTAGAGACGGGGTTTCTCCATGTTGGTCAGGCTGGTCTCGAACTCCTGACCTCAGGTGATCCACCTGCCTCGGCCTCCCAAAGTGCTGGGATTACAGGCGTGAGCCGCTGTGCCCAGCCGCCAGTTTCTGCCTGGGAGGTACCACTTCCAAAGAAAAAACGAAAAATGTCCTGTCATGGAAGACACAATCCATTAGACATACCCCCACTTCTTGCTGTGACCTGAACCTTGAGTCACTCTATTGTTGGTTTGATGAAGTCCGCGTCCTCTGACAGTAGGATTGGTCAGGACTTTAGCAGCACCTACTGTTCGGTTGGAGGCTTGCATTTTAATGCGGGGACTCCGGAGCTAATGGTAGTTAATAATTCCAGAGTACTTACTATGCATCAGGCGATACGCTAAGCTTTTAATGTTTATTTGCTCATGTAATCCTCATAACCATCACGGAGGCAGGGCCTATCACCCCCACTTTATAGATAAAACTGAGGTGCAGAGAGGTGAAGTAACATGCCCGTGGCCTCCCAGCTGGTTAATGACAGAGCAGGGGTAGGAACCCAGGCAGCCTGGTCCTAGAGCCTGGGTGCTTAAGTACAGTGTGGTTGTGATCGGTAGGAGAATGTGCACGTGAATAGAGCATCCACCAACTTGGCTCTGACAACACAGTGCTAATTTGGAGCGAAAAGCACTTTCACGGTCGAAACGGCACAGTCTCTAGATGTCGTTATAACTAGGACCCTGCTGGAGCGAATAGTTACATGGGAAAGTAATGTTAAATGCTGGGGAAAGAGTTTGGGATGGAGAGAGGAGAAACTTGAGGTCTCTGGGAGTTGCTTAAACCAGTTGACCGTAACCTGGCCAGAGAATTCTGATAGTGTCTTCTCTCCTCCCAAACAGGTTTTGAGTTTGATCGATGGCTGAATACCCCCGGCTGGCCCCCGTACCTCCCTGATCTCTCCCCTGGGGACTCACTCATGAAGCCTGCTGAAGAGCTAGCCCAACTGTGGGCAGCCGAGGAGCTGGACATGAAGGCCATTGAAGCCGTGGCCATCTCTCCCTGGAAGACCTACCAGCTGGTCTACTTCCTGGATAAGATCCTCCAGAAATCCCCTCTCCCTCCTGGTAAGAAAAAATGGTGAACCAGGGCTCCTTGTGTGCACAGCTTTATGTCAGGGGCTAGAGGGAGGCTCACAAAAAGTAGTGATGCTTGCCCCTAGGGAACTGCCACGTACACTAGGGAGGCTGGCACTCCACAAGGAATGTGCCACCGGGAGGTTATGGGTTAGGGGACTGCCACGTACACTAGGGAGGCTGGCACTCCACAAGGAATGTGCCATCGGGAGGTTATGGGTTCTACTTACAAGCACCTCAAGGACAAAGTCACAAAGCCTGGCATTGCTCAAGTCCGAAGCTCCTGCAGGCGACTCTTGTAAGGCTTTTGTGTCTATTAAGTCATTTAATTCCCACAACTCCTCTGGGAAGTAGGCGGTGTGATGTTAATACCCAGGTGACAGAATGAACTTGAGGTACAAACAGTTCGCACAGAACCCAGTCATCCAGAGCTCTCAACCTCTAATGCTTTGTGGCTGCTCAGTCAACATAATATTCACCAAGGGGTTAAAAAAAAGTTAGAGCCAAGATGACTTTTAGCAGATGAGTGGTAGGAGAAAAAATGGGACAGATATTGGGGGAATATGTCTGCTTTAATCTTGCTCTGTCGACCAGGCTGGAGTGCCGTGGTGCTATTGGCTCACAGCAACCTCCACCTTCTGAGTTCAAGTGATTCTTGATTCTAGCACCTCAGCCTCCAAGTAGCTGGGATTACAGGCGTGCGCCACCACACCCGGCCAGTTTTGTTTGGTATTTTTAGTAGAGATGGGGTTTCGCCATATTGGCCAGGCTGGTCTCACATTCCTGACCTCAAGTGATCCGCCCACCTCAGCCTCCCAAAATTCTAGTATTACAGGTGTGACCCACCGTGACCAGCCACAAACCATTTCTTTCTCTTCTCCAGGGAATGTGAAAAAACTTGGAGACACATACCCAAGTATCTCAAATGCCCGGAATGCAGAGCTCCGGCTGCGATGGGGCCAAATCGTCCTTAAGAACGACCACCAGGAAGATTTCTGGAAAGTGAAGGAGTTCCTGCATAACCAGGTGGGTGACCCCTGCCTCGCTGTTCCCGAAAGCACACTGGGACCCACTCGGCCATATGTGAAGTAATCATGTGGGCAGGGCTCATCTAGGACTCATCTGAGGCACAGAGGGAGGGGCAAATGACCTGAGGACCCTACCACTCAGCCTCTTTACTAGTGTGGCTTTGAAGGCATTGCCCTAGGGACAAGAGGAGGCCTGCAGGCTTGCAGTGCTTTCTGCAATTCAGCTGGTGAGACCCCAGGGAAAAAAGCTGGCCAGAGCCAACGCAGAGGCGGGAAAGAGGGTGACAGTGTCATGTGGGAAACACAAGAGGGAAAGGGGCCAGAGGCGGAGCAAGAGGAACAAAGGCTTGGAGGATAGGTCCCTGCTGCCCTGTGACTTGGGCATGATCGGGACAGCAGCCAGACCCTCTGTCACTATGTGAAAGTTGCCCTGTTGGGGAAAGGCCCCGGGCTCTCAGGATGAACTGAATGTCATCAGATTCCGGAGCAGGGAGGGGCTGGACCGGAGACGAAGCATTGCTCTGCATAAAGTCAGGGCTGCCTGCCTGTTCGGGGATATTCTGAGCCCTTTGATGGCTTCCTCAAGGCTCTGGATTTTAGGAACTTGTGATGTCGCTGGCTTATATTTGTGTGAATTTGACCTGTGGGTTGACCTGTGGGTTTTCCTTTGCTTGACTGCAGCTGGACCGTATGCGGCTGTGAGCTTTATGTGCCGCAGCTGCTGATATCTGCTATTCACGTGGTGGCTCACCACCTACACCTTTCCAGAAGTCTGGAATCCCATTGTGTCCACCCAACTCATTCATTTTGTTGACTGTAGACGTCCCCATGTTAGTATGGATTGGGACGCGTATTGAGATCCATCTCCATGGATCTCTGGCGCCCAAGAAGATGCCTGAATTAGAGCACTTCTGATGAGAAGCTCCTCATTCCAGCTGTGATGCCCACATCCCTTTTAGCACCTAGCCATGGCTGCTGTTAGACTGGCACTGGGGGCAGCAGGGCTGGACAGATCCACCAGGCAAGCTTCTTAGGCATGTGTATGTGTGTTTCTTGCAGGGGAAGCAGAAGTATACACTTCCGCTGTACCACGCAATGATGGGTGGCAGTGAGGTGGCCCAGACCCTCGCCAAGGAGACTTTTGCATCCACCGCCTCCCAGCTCCACAGCAATGTTGTCAACTATGTCCAGCAGATCGTGGCACCCAAGGGCAGTTAGAGGCTCGTGTGCATGGCCCCTGCCTCTTCAGGCTCTCCAGGCTTTCAGAATAATTGTTTGTTCCCAAATTCCTGTTCCCTGATCAACTTCCTGGAGTTTATATCCCCTCAGGATAATCTATTCTCTAGCTTAGGTATCTGTGACTCTTGGGCCTCTGCTCTGGTGGGAACTTACTTCTCTATAGCCCACTGAGCCCCGAGACAGAGAACCTGCCCACAGCTCTCCCCGCTACAGGCTGCAGGCACTGCAGGGCAGCGGGTATTCTCCTCCCCACCTAAGTCTCTGGGAAGAAGTGGAGAGGACTGATGCTCTTCTTTTTTCTCTTTCTGTCCTTTTTCTTGCTGATTTTATGCAAAGGGCTGGCATTCTGATTGTTCTTTTTTCAGGTTTAATCCTTATTTTAATAAAGTTTTCAAGCAAAAATTAAGTTACGGATTGAGTGACTATTAAATTTCTTCCACCAGAGGTCCTCACTGTGTTTGTTCAGGAAAGGTCACTGGGGGAGGCCCAGAGAATGACAGTATTTTCCTGTCCTCAGGGAACAGCCAGGGTGAAGGAGGTGGGTGTCCTACACATGCATATGAAAAAAAATATGGCAAAATGGCACAGCTGGTGCAGGAAAATGAAAAAGGAATAGCATTCCAGTTCTCCGTGAAGCAGCTGAATTCTCTATCTGCAGCAGCATTCCCATTATCTTTTCCATCACTAAGAAAAAAAAATGGGCTGGGCACGGTGGCTCATGCCTGTAATCCCAGCACTTTGGGAGGCTGAGGCGAGAGGATCGCTTGAGCCCAGGAGTTTGAGACCACCCTGGCCAACATAGCAGGACTTCATCTCTACCAAAAAAAAAAAAAAAAAAAAAAAAAAGCCAGGCGTGGTGGCTCACGCCTGTAATCTCAACACTTTGGGAGGCTGAGGCAGGCAAATCACTTGAGGTCAGAAGTTTGAGACCAGCATGGCCAACATGGTGAAACCCCATCTCTACTGAAAAAAAAGATAGATGCAAAAATTAGCCAGGCATGGTGGCTCACACCTGTAGTTCCAGTTACTTGGGAGGCTGAAGCAGGAGAAACACTTGAACCTGGGAGGTGGAGGTTGCAGTAAACTGAGATCATGCCACTGCACTCCAGCCTGGGTGACAGAGTAAGACTTCTCAAAAAAAAAAAAAAAAAGCTGGGCGTGGTGGTGCATTCCTGTGGTTTCAGCTACTCAGGAGGCTGAGGCAGGAGGATCACTTGAGCCCAAGAGGTCAAGGCCACAGTGAGTCTTGATTGTGCCACTGAACTCCAGCCTGAGTGACAGAGTGAGACCCTGTCTCAAAAATAAAAATAAAGTGTCTTATGACTTTTTATCTACCCTTCTGCCCATGCCCAAGGCTTCACTGGGCCTCACCTGTCTTTGATCCTAGATAACTATTTGAATGGTAATCAGTAAAGTCTTTAGAACTTAGCACTAAATTCTGATTTCCTGGCCTCAACATGGGGACCTAAACAGTTAGCAATCTGGGTTTGGGAGTGGGATGAGGGGAGGGTTGGAAGAAATATTTAGTGTGTTTCATTTGCCTTTCTTAAATACAGGGCACCCCTGAAACAGGCTTTGTTCGCAGCTCTGCTCTGTCCTCGGATTTAGGTTATCGAACAGGCTTCCTCCCTCCCCTGCACAAGGGTTGGGAATGAGTCGATTTGCTTTCACTCAGCAAGAGCAAGGGACTAGTGGTGACCAAGTGGTAGACTGGAGAGGCCTCTGCCCCGTGGCACACAGCTCCACCATCAGAGAGGGTGATGTGGGTCATAGGTGAGGGATCTGGAGGCCCGGTATCGGAAGAGCTTCTCCAGGCACTGGCATTTTGACAGCAAACTGCTTCCGTGGCTCTTTCAGGACTGTTCCTGGCAATATGTTATTGGCAAGGACTATTTTAGGGCTATCCAGTTGTCTCCCCCTCTCCCCAACCTTTTATCTAGCTTATCAGTAGCTATCTTTCCTTGCTCTGTACAAAAACCTATAGCACCAATAGGCCCAGTAATCATGAAGGGTCAGTGCAAGGAAAGGCTGGAAGCCCTTCCTCTAACAGCCGTGCTGTGACTCCACTAACTTTGTGGGGTCTCCCATTACATAGCGTGGGTATCCTGAGCTGTGCAGCCTGCCTCACTCACCACCTTGGTACCTGACAGGACTACTGGATGTGCCTGTCCTTTTGTAGGACATTCTCCCATCCCAAAGATGAGGCTGTGCTGCCGTGTGGGCAAGCTCTGTGGGGAGAGGGGAGGCCAGTGGGTTGTTTTTGCCATCACAGAATACTGGGAAGCCCCTGGCATCCTGCTCCATAGCTCTCTTCACCACTATCCTGGAACCTTCTCCCCACCCCCATCCCCATGCCTCCAAGGCACTGACCTCAAATCCAAGTCTTTCTCACTTATCTCAAGCTGCCAGCCTGTAGGGATTCCTTATCTCAGCTCCATGTCAGCGGTGAGGAAGCCCCAAGAAGGCAAGGGAGCTGACAGCCTTCTCATTTTTCTCGTACATCCTCCTGTTCACCCCGCCATCCCGGGAGCCCCAGCCAGATGCTCTTCAGGGCAGGGAGCACGTGAGCAGCCCTGGGGCTAGAAGCCGGTTCTCCCACATTCCTGGGTGAGGGACTGGGTGGAGGGTGTGCCTGCCTCAGGCTCCTTGGGGGAGGCCCCCTGAAGGGCTGGGGAAAATCCTACTGAGCCCCAGGCTCTCCTGCCTGCACTGGCCCAGTGCGGGGGCGGGGGGGCGGGGGGATCCTGGACATTAACTCTCTCCTAGGCACCTGGGAGCTTCAGAGAGGAAGAAGGTAAGGTAAGAAGCAGATTCTCTGCGCAGGACTTTCTTAGTCCTCAGGCTATAGAGTTAAAGAAAGAAGTATCTGTAGAAGGTGGAGTCACCTTTTGTTTGAGTAACCGTTTCACCCACCCTGGCTGAGGGTGGCCAGGAACTCCCCAAGTTGTGCATTAATGGAGGGGGGTCACACAGATCCTACATTTTTTTGTTTTTGTTTTTTTTTTTTTGAGACGCAGTGATTACAGGTGTGAGCCACCGGATCCTACATTTCAAATGCATAAAAATCTAGATATGGGCTGGGCGCAGTAGCTCATGCCTGTAATCCCAGCACTTTGGGAGGCTGAGGCAGGCAGATCATGAGGTCAGGAGATCGAGTCCATCCTGGCTAACATGGTGAAACCCCGTCTCTACTAAAAATACAGAAAGCCGGGCATGGCAGCGGGCGCCTGTAATCCCAGCTACTCGGAAAGCTGAGGCAGGAGAATCGCTTGAACCCAGGAGTCAGAGGTTGCAGTGAGCAGAGATCACGCCACTGCACTCCAACCTGGGCGACAGAGCGAGACTCCACCTCAAAACAAAATAAACAAAATACTAGATCTGGAAGAGATCTTAGGGATTATTAAATTCAGACAACCTCATTTTTTATAGATGGGGAAACAAGCACAGACTCCAAGGGTCTCATCCAAGATCACACAGTTGCAGATGCTGGCTACAAGTCTCCTGCCTCAACCACCTGTATTACCCCATTCAGGGTCTCAAGAAGGGTCTATAAGACACTATCCATTGTGTTTCGGGCTGAGTCCATAGAGACAACCACAGACATGGGGGACTCTGCCCACAGGGAAGGCAAGGGCTCTGGCCATGGAGCTGGATGGGAAGACTCTGAAGCCCGAAGACATTGAATCCTGTGCAGGGAAAGAGCGAGGGTTTTGTGTACAACACACCTGCATACCTGGATGTGAATCTCAGCTCCACCCCTTCACCAACTCTGTGTGGCCTGGGCAAGCCATTCTAAGGGAACCCTCCACACTGCAACTTTCATGTCTATAAAATGGGAATAACCATGCATTCCTTACAGGACTTTTTTGGTGTGAGGATTAAATGAGAGAATATGTTGAAAAGTGCTTGGTAAATATATTAATACTATGCATTCCCTCTTCTTTGAATGACGTGACCCAGGTAGTCAGGCTTCTGACCACTAGAGGGCAGCAGAAGGTACTGGAAAACTGGGCCGAGTGAACCAGAGATTAGATGGGGTCCAGAGAGCAGGGATGAACTTACCCGTGTGGATTCTGGCAACTCCGGCAGGGAGGGCTCCAGCAGGCGCTGAGGGAAGAACTTTCAAGCAGAGCCGGGTCTCTTCAGGAGCGACTGCAGCAACCCTGATGCTTGGATGGAGTCCAGGCAGGTGATGGTAGTGAAGACCTTGCCAACAGAGTGGGCGCTGGAGAAGGAGCCCTTTAGTGGGGACCCTGGGGCCACGACTAGGCTGGCAGGCCCAGCCAGCACCAATTAATCCATGAGTATTGCCCAGCATTGAGCCTGGAGCACCTTCCAGCCCCTGGCCAGAGTCCTGGGTGTTCTGGGAAAAACCCCTAAACCTAGTAACTCCTCTCCCTACTAGGCCTCTTTGTTGCTGAATCTCTGGAATTTAGGGGCCAGCAGCTTTCTGACTCAGGTCAGCCAGGGGTTCATGTTCCCTCACTTGCCCTCCCCCTGCCTGGCCCATCTCTGGCCTGGCCCCTGGGAGGAATTTCCTGGGCCAGAGGGCAGCCGAAAGCACAGATGCCCACCCCAGCAACGTTCCCGCCACCTGCCCAGGCCAGTGCCCCGTGCCCAACCCCAGAGGGTGCGGGATGACAGACTCTGACAATCATTAAACCAGCCGGGCCTGATTTCCCAGCACTGCCTGCTAAGATCCGGGCCAAGTGGCACTGAATATGCAAATCACCTGGGGCCAGGAGCCCAGTCTAAAGGCCAGGAAATCCCCTCCATCCAATGAGACACCAGCTCAGGTTACTGCAGGGGACACACTATAAAGCCCTGAGCTCAGGGAGGAGCTCCCTCCAGGCTCTATTTAGAGCCGGGTAGGGGAGCGCAGCGGCCAGATACCTCAGCGCTACCTGGCGGAACTGGATTTCTCTCCCGCCTGCCGGCCTGCCTGCCACAGCCGGACTCCGCCACTCCGGTAGGATTCCCCGCCTGTCATTCCCTAGCCCAGCTCTTGGGAAACTGCAGAGGGGTCCAGAGGATTTGCAGTTCTGAACCTGCACACTCCAGTCTAGGATCTCCGAGCAAGAGCGTAGGTGTCCTGAGGGTCAAAGAACAGAGAGAGATTGTCTCTGGGAAGGCAGAATGGCCATGACGCCGCTAGTCTGGCTCCAGGGCCCCAGAGATCTGAGGAGGGAAGCCCAGCTGGAGGCTCCTGTGGTCCTGCCCTGGTCTGAGATCTTGGAGCCCTTCTTGAAGAGACGGTGTCCGCAGAGTTGCTGATCTTCCTGCCCCTGGGGGCTACTCTTGCCCAGGGTTGGGCAAAGCAGAGTAGCTGGGAGTGTAAGGAGAGGACCCTCGTCCCCTCACCAACCTCATCCTCTCTCCCCCTACCCACAGGTAGCCTCATGGCTGCAACCTGTGAGATTAGCAACATTTTTAGCAACTACTTCAGTGCGATGTACAGCTCGGAGGACTCCACCCTGGCCTCTGTTCCCCCTGCTGCCACCTTTGGGGCCGATGACTTGGTACTGACCCTGAGCAACCCCCAGATGTCATTGGAGGGTACAGGTGGGTCTCAGCGGGGTGGGATGGGGCACGGAGTGGGAGACAGATCCATCTAAGGGCCTGTTAGACAAATGGGGGAATAGGCAGGGAGGAGGGTCTCTAGGCAAATTCCAGGGCTAGAGGCTGAGACTTAGTGACTGAGGTGCTGGGGGTTGTGGGGCTGTGACAGGCAGAGGGAGGTGTCAGATACCAGGACAAGGGTGTTGTGAATGCTACCTCCTGCCCCTACTCTTGGGATGGCTCCAAGGGCTGAGGTGTGAATCCCCAGTGTGCTCCAGGAATGGGGCTGTGTGGGCTGGGAGTGGTGGCTCACGCCTGTAATCCCAGCACTTTGGGAGGCTGAGCTGAGCGGATCACCTGAGGTCAAGAGTTCGAGACCAGCCTAGCCAACATGGTGAAACCCCGTCTCTACTAAAAATACAAAAAAAAATTTATCCCAGCGTGGTGGTGGGCACCTATAATCCCAGCTACTGGGGAGGCTGACGCAGGAGTATCGCTTGAACCTGGGAGGTGGAGGTTGCTGTGAGCCGAGATTGTGCCATTGCACCCCAGCCTAGGTGACAGGAGTGAGACTCCATCTCAAAAAAAAAAAAAAAAATGGGGCTGTAAGGTCTGCTGGGTGGCCTGAGCTGAGCCTGTTTCCCTGCCTGGCCCTTGCAGAGAAGGCCAGCTGGTTGGGGGAACAGCCCCAGTTCTGGTCGAAGACGCAGGTTCTGGACTGGATCAGCTACCAAGTGGAGAAGAACAAGTACGACGCAAGCGCCATTGACTTCTCACGATGTGACATGGATGGCGCCACCCTCTGCAATTGTGCCCTTGAGGAGCTGCGTCTGGTCTTTGGGCCTCTGGGGGACCAACTCCATGCCCAGCTGCGAGACCTCAGTGAGTCCAGGCCCCTGGAGGCTGGGGAGCAGCTCCACATGTTGAGCTGAGTCGAGTTCAGTGTGGCCGTAGGCAGGCCCTGGAGCTCTGGGCCAGCTGCACAGCCAGAGAGAGCCCTTGAGGGAGGGATTAGGGGAGTGTGACCCTTCCTTCCTTCCTTGTCAGCTTCCAGCTCTTCTGATGAGCTCAGTTGGATCATTGAGCTGCTGGAGAAGGATGGCATGGCCTTCCAGGAGGCCCTAGACCCAGGGCCCTTTGGTGAGAACCCGTTTTCTCCTTCCTTCCCCAGCCTGTCTTGTCCCATCCCTGCCCCTCCACAGAGTGCTAGAGATGACCCCCTCCCCAGACTTCTTCCTCCCTCAATTAGAAAAATTGCAGCAGGTCATCAGACCCATGGGCAGCATCACCTGTCCTGGTCTGGTCCCCTGAGCCCTCTCTGAGTTCTCACCTCCTCTTCCCAGACCAGGGCAGCCCCTTTGCCCAGGAGCTGCTGGACGACGGTCAGCAAGCCAGCCCCTACCACCCCGGCAGCTGTGGCGCAGGAGCCCCCTCCCCTGGCAGCTCTGACGTCTCCACCGCAGGTGAGAGCTCTCTCTGGGCCACAACCTCCCTTCCCCGAAGTGTCCCTTGTTCCCTCTGGCTCCCAGCACCATAACTCAGGCCTTCTGGCAGGAACAGGAACAGGCTGGGAAGTGTGTCCTGAGAGCCAGCAGCGTGGTTGAGCAGAGGGTGGGCCGGCAGGGGACTTACTCTGACCCCGCCCCCCAGGGACTGGTGCTTCTCGGAGCTCCCACTCCTCAGACTCCGGTGGAAGTGACGTGGACCTGGATCCCACTGATGGCAAGCTCTTCCCCAGCGGTGAGTCGAGGGAGGTCCCCAAGAGGGCGTCCCATTTAGCAATGCACAGGGGGCCCGGCTCTTCCTGCAGCCTTTTCCTGTAGAGGGGCTACTCTCCCTAACTCCCCTCTTGCCCCTCCTTGACCTTCCACCACCGTCCCCACAGATGGTTTTCGTGACTGCAAGAAGGGGGATCCCAAGCACGGGAAGCGGAAACGAGGCCGGCCCCGAAAGCTGAGCAAAGAGTACTGGGACTGTCTCGAGGGCAAGAAGAGCAAGCACGGTGAGCTCCGGGGGCACGTGGGTCCTCCCTGCGCCGGGCTGAGCGGCTTCCTGGGGCACTGCGGGTTGTTGCAGGTATCCCTTCTCCCGTTTTCTCTGGCCTCCGCATGGCCTTTGGTAAGGCTGTGCACAAGCTGGGGGCTCTATGGTATCGGTCACCACCTAATTGCAGAGCCTGGCTTGGTGGTCCTGGAGAGGAGGAGGAAATAAGGCTCCCAGTGGGAGGCTCATGGTACCAGAGTCCTGTCCACTGACTCCAGTGTCCTGTCCACTGACTCCAGTTCTCTCTGCACTTGGCCACTGTCCTGCCCTCTGGGACACCCTCAATGTGAGGAGGCAGCTGGTGGGTCTTAGGTGGGCTGAGGAGAAAAGCAGTCACTGCAGTACCCGCACAGAGGGCACTGCGGGGTCTCTGGAGAGGCTTGCTGCATGCTGTGGCCAAGTCAGCAGTGCACTGGGGCGGGCAGGGCTGGCTGGCCTTGGGTGAGAGGGGACACCTGGATGGCAAACTGATGGAGGCTGGCCTTGCAGCGCCCAGAGGCACCCACCTGTGGGAGTTCATCCGGGACATCCTCATCCACCCGGAGCTCAACGAGGGCCTCATGAAGTGGGAGAATCGGCATGAAGGCGTCTTCAAGTTCCTGCGCTCCGAGGCTGTGGCCCAACTATGGGGCCAAAAGAAAAAGAACAGCAACATGACCTACGAGAAGCTGAGCCGGGCCATGAGGTGAGCTGGCGGCCAGGACCCTCACGATACAGCCGGACATGGGGACAGGCGCTCACACTCCCACCGCCCTCTTTCTGGCTGCCACTTGGCTTCTTGCAACAGGGCTGAGTCCTTAGAGTGAGGACAACATCTGGGTTGGTCTACTTCATGGATTAAATGACAACATGGAGAAAGTATTAGCCTGGCAGACAGCAGACACAGTGCACTTGAGCTAGCAGCAACATTTCTTGTATCGCCTGTGAGGCTTGTCCTCAGGAAGGCACCTGGAGAGTGGGAAAGGGGGCAGGAGCCGTGCCCACCCAGGGCCTGGCTTTCTCCTCGTTGAAGCACTTAGGTTGTTTTTCTCTGGGCCTCAGTTTCCTCCTGTGTCCAGGAGTACACTAGATCATCTTAAGATCCCGTCCAGCCCTAAAATCATGTACTTACTTTTTTTTTCTTTTTCTTTTTTAAATAGAGGCAAGGGTCTCTACGTTGGCCAGGCCGGTCTCAAACTCCTGGCCTCAAATGACTCTCCTGCCTCGGCCTCTCAAAGTGCTGGGATTACAGGTGTGAGCCAGTATGCTTGGCCTTTTCTTTTTTCTTCTTCTTCTTTTTATTTTTCGAGACAGGGTCTCGCTCTGTCACCCAGGCTAGAGTGCAGTGGCACAATCTTGGCTCGCTACAACCTCTGCCTGCCGGGTTCAAGTGATTCTTGTGCCTCAGCCTCCAAGTAGCTGGGATTACAGGCACCTGCCACCATGCCCAGCTAATTTTTGTATTTTTAGTAGAGACGGGGGTTTCACCATGTTGGCTAGGCTGGTCTCGAACTCCTGACCTCAAGTGATCCGCCCGCCTCAGCCTCCCAAAGTGCTGGAATTACAGGTGTGAGCCACCGTGCCCAGCTCCCTGGCCTTAAAAGTCATGTAATTTAATGATCAGACCCCAGTCACAGCCATAGGATACAAAGAAGCAAAGGCAAAGAGCCCTGTGTCCTGGGCACGGTTACAGGCCAGTGTAGGGAAAGAGCTTCTGCTTGCCAGTGTGAAGAACAGAGGAGTTTAGGAAGTGTGAGTCAGGCTCAGCTTAGTCAGGCAGAGACCAGTGGGCATGGGTTACCTGGGGGTAACGCGGGCCAGGTGGGCGGGCTGGCAGCCTGGGGCCCATTTCCTGCCAAAGCACCTCTGACCATCCTTCTCTTCACCCAGGTACTACTACAAACGGGAGATCCTGGAACGGGTGGATGGCCGGCGACTCGTCTACAAGTTTGGCAAAAACTCAAGCGGCTGGAAGGAGGAAGAGGTTCTCCAGAGTCGGAACTGAGGGTTGGAACTATACCCGGGACCAAACTCACGGACCACTCGAGGCCTGCAAACCTTCCTGGGAGGACAGGCAGGCCAGATGGCCCCTCCACTGGGGAATGCTCCCAGCTGTGCTGTGGAGAGAAGCTGATGTTTTGGTGTATTGTCAGCCATCGTCCTGGGACTCGGAGACTATGGCCTCGCCTCCCCACCCTCCTCTTGGAATTACAAGCCCTGGGGTTTGAAGCTGACTTTATAGCTGCAAGTGTATCTCCTTTTATCTGGTGCCTCCTCAAACCCAGTCTCAGACACTAAATGCAGACAACACCTTCCTCCTGCAGACACCTGGACTGAGCCAAGGAGGCCTGGGGAGGCCCTAGGGGAGCACCGTGATGGAGAGGACAGAGCAGGGGCTCCAGCACCTTCTTTCTGGACTGGCGTTCACCTCCCTGCTCAGTGCTTGGGCTCCACGGGCAGGGGTCAGAGCACTCCCTAATTTATGTGCTATATAAATATGTCAGATGTACATAGAGATCTATTTTTTCTAAAACATTCCCCTCCCCACTCCTCTCCCACAGAGTGCTGGACTGTTCCAGGCCCTCCAGTGGGCTGATGCTGGGACCCTTAGGATGGGGCTCCCAGCTCCTTTCTCCTGTGAATGGAGGCAGAGACCTCCAATAAAGTGCCTTCTGGGCTTTTTCTAACCTTTGTCTTAGCTACCTGTGTACTGAAATTTGGGCCTTTGGATCGAATATGGTCAAGAGGTTGGAGGGGAGGAAAATGAAGGTCTACCAGGCTGAGGGTGAGGGCAAAGGCTGACGAAGAGGGGAGTTACAGATTTCCTGTAGCAGGTGTGGGCTTACAGACACATGGACTGGGCTGGGAGGCGAGCAAAGGAAGCAGCTGAGACTGTTGGAGAACGCTTACAAGACTTCATGCAAGCAAGGACATGAACTCAGAACACTGAGGTCAGAAGCATCCTGCTGTCATGACACCGCTCGAGTGACCTTGACCTTGACCAAGTCTGTCCTGTTTAGGACTGATTTTTCCTATTAGGCTAGGGTTTGGACCTGATGTTCTCAAGATGTCTAGAATTGCATGGCTGGCCTTGTGGAATAGATGGTTTTGCATTCCAGCCAAGTGTGCTGTAAACTGTATATCTGTAATATGAATCCCAGCTTTTGAGTCTGACAAAATCAGAGTTAGGATCTTGTAAAGGAAAAAAAAAAAAAAACAAAACAAAATGGAGATGAGTACTTGCTGAGAAAGAATGAGGGAAGGAGTTGGCATTTGTTGAAAGTGTAGTCTTTTTCTCTTTTTTTTTTAATTGCAACTTTTACTTTAGATTTAGGAGGTCGTGCGCAGGTTTGTTACATGGGTATATTGTGTGATGCTGAGCTTGGGATGCGAATGATCCTGTCACCCAGGTAGTGAGTATAGCACCCAGTGAAACTGTAGTCTCATGCCAGGCACTGTGCTAGCCCACTCTGGCTCATTTAATCCTCTCCTAAGAAGAGAGGAGACACAGCGTCCCCATTTGACAGATGCAGAAAGAGGTTCCACAGGTGTGCCTTGATTCTGTCCTAAAACCGTTTCCCGGAAGCTTTTCCTGGTGTGGGCGCTTCTAACCTAATCCTCAATCGATTCCAGAACTATTACTCTGTTTCCACAGTGATACTGTGTCTAGGTTTTAGGGAGGACAGTTCATTGATGTTACTTAAGAATGCTTTCCAGGTGGAAAGTTCCTTAAGTTTGAGGCTTCAAATTCCATACAGCACATTAAAATCCCATTCATGAGTTTGAAATACTGCTCTGTTGTCTTGGAAATACCAATCAGATTGTTGGCTGAAGTGATGTGGATAAAGAAGGGATCTTAGAAAAACTAAAGCTTGTGTGTGGATTTCTGGAAATGCAGCTTGCTCTGGAGAAGCAAGGAATGGTGGAAAAGGAGAGTGGGGAAGTTGATTGGAGAGGAAAGTGAGGTCATGAGAGAAACCAGAATCCTGGAGCCATTTGGAAAAAGGCTTTTACTTACATTTCCCTTCTGAAGTGTGAGCCAGTTAGACAAAGGGGATGCGGGCCAGGGCGTAGGTCTAGCCTCAGAAGCTGGGGAAGCTTTCACAGCTACTTAGTCTAAAAATGACCCCATTTCTTGGAAATTATGCATTAGACTCTGGTCTAGTTTCCCTAGCCACAATATCTCGGGGTCCTTGCACCCTTAAAAGAGGTGACCCAGCTGGGCGCGGTAGTTCACGCCTGTAATCCTCGTACTTTGGGAAGCCAAGGCGGGAGGATCACGAGGTCAGAAGATCGAGGCCATCATGGCCAACACGGTGAAACCCCGTCTCTACTAAACATACAAAAATTAGCTGGGCATGCTGGCACGCGCCTGTAGTCCGAGCTACTCAGGAGGCTGAGGCAGGAGAATCACTTGAACCCAGGAGGCGGAGGTTGCAGTGAGCTAAGATCATGCCACTGCACTCCAGCCTGGTGACACAGGGAGACTCTGTCTCAAAAAAAAGAAGAGAGGTGACCCAGTGTGGCCTGAAGTCACCTAGCCAAGAAGTGGGGGAGGGGCCTCTAGAGCCCGGGACATGCTTGTTCAGCCTCCCTTGACTCCCAGCCTCTTCAGCTTCTAAAGGAGATCCTAGCAGGGAGGAGGGCTGGGAATATGGCGCTCAGCCCCTTCACCCTCTTCTGGAGGGCTGGGGGCAGGTGCTGCCCGCTGCGTGCTGACCTTTGCCCTGCCATTTGCAGTTTATGAGGCGCTTTCCTCATCCCATTATCTCATTTGATCCGCCCCACAGCTCGCTGAGGAGACCAGGTGTCCCCATTTTACTGACAAGGCTAGTGGTGGGCTGAAGTCACTGACTGGGTGAGAGCGGGGCCAGCTCACAGCATGCCTGCCTCCACGCTGCAGCTCAGTGAGACCACCTGGGCAGGTGGCCTCTGCAGGGCAGCGCCTGGGACAGCCTGGAAGACGGCAGCTCTGGGAGGGACGCCTTTCTCCCCAACAGTTCTCTGCCCTCTCACCCCTCAGGATGCTGCAGAGTCCTGGCACGGGCCCCTGGGCTGGCCTCCGTGCTGCCCTCTCTGTCGGGCACCAGTCACCCTTACCCCGACTCTCACCAGCCCAGGGGCCTCCTAGCAGGAGACGGCCCGGTCTCTCGCCCACCAGAGTCTGCATCCCCTCAGGTGTGTCCTGGGCTGGGGAGTGGGGGTGGGGAGGAAGCCACAGGGCCGGGCTGTTTATATCCCGCCCTGCCGGAGCTGCTGGTCACCTCTTATCTGCTTCTGTGGGATTGGGTGTGTCGCTGAGCAGGTCAGAGGGAGGTCACCCCTCCCGTCGTGTTTGGGTGTGCCTGAGGAGGGGCTGGGGTTGGCCCCCTGGGACAGTTCCTGGCTTATCCCACAGCCCCACCTGTCCCACCAATTCTGGGGAAGTCTGGCTTCTCCTGGGGGAAGTGGGTGAAGGGGTTGCATTTCTGAGGAGTCTGGTTTCAATCTGCTCTCTCTCTCTGCTGTTGTCTGTTTACACATCTCTCTCTCTCGCCGGGCTGTGAGCACCTCTGGGCAAGTGCTGGGGCTTACTCACCTCAGCACCTTGCACAGCGCCTGGCACAGAGGAGGTGCTCGATAAATATTTGCTAAATGGCCCCGTGACTCTCCCTGCCCTGGCCACTACCTCCCCCACACACCACACACATTCATACACACTCATGGGAACCAAAGTCACACACACTCACACTCACAAAGATAAATATTCACAAGCCCTCACTCACATGCCCCTGCACGCACTGCAGACGCTGCCTGCTCTCACACACTCGCATGGACCGTATTCACAACCTCACACACTTGCACACACCAGCGCACGCAACACACTCCCACCTCACAGTCTCACATAGCCACACCCAGGCCTGCCTGCACGACTCACCTCCTCCCTCGGGGTCCTTCTATGAAGCATTTCCTGACCTCCTCTTTGGCCCTTTTCCCCCACCAGATGGGTTCAGCCCTTGCCTCCAGTCAGGACAGGCCTGGTAATTTGCAGAGCCCAGTGCAAAGTGAAAGCCTGGGCCCTTGTTAAAGAATTATTAGGCTGGGCGCAGTGGCTCATGCCAGTAATCCCACACTTTGGGAGGCCGAGGCGGGTGGATCGCCTGAGGTCAGGAGTTTGAGACCAGCCTGACCAACATGGCGAAACCCCATCTCTACTAAAAATACAAAATTAGCTGGGCGTGGTGGTGTGCGCCTGTAATCCTAGCTACTCTGGAGGTTGAGGCAGAAGAATCGCTTGAACCTGGGAGGCGGAGGTTGCCGTGAACCAAGATCATGACACTGCACTCCCGCCTGGGCAACAAGAGAGAAACTCCATCTCAAAAAAAAAAAAAAAAAAGAACGATTAAAAATTTCAAAATGGCAACAGCAGAGAAGAGCATGAACCATGCGCGAGGTGCAGTCCTCCAAGCGCAGGGCCCTGTGGGACCACCGCACAGGTTGCACTCAGGAAGCCACCCCTGCCTCCATTTGCCACTGGCCTATAAGAGCTCCACTGAACTACCCACCATGCCTTCTACTACAGATATGTTTGCCACAGTCACAAAAAAATCAACAAGTTGTCAAGTTTTTTGCTTTTTGTTTTTGAGACGGAGTCATGCTCTGTCCCCCAGGCTGGAGTGCAGTGGTGCCATCTCGGCTCACTGAAACCTCTGCCTCCCGGGTTCACACCATTCTCCTGCCTCAGCCTCCTGAGTAGCTGGGACTACAGGCGCCCATGACCACGCCCGACTAATTTTTTGCATTTTTAGTAGAGATGGGGTTTCACTGTGTTAGCCAGGATGGTCTCGATCCCCTGACCTCGTGATCTGCCTGCCTTGGCCTCCCAAATGTTGGGATTACAGGTGTGAGCCACTGCGCCTGGCCCAAGTTGTCAAGTTTTTAAAAGTAGGAAAATTTTCTCAGAAAAAAAACCTGAATTTGTGGCTTGTCTTTTTAAAAAATTGGCTGGGCCAGGTGACTCACGCCTGAAATCGCAACAAGGGGAGGCCGAGGCAGGAGAAGTACTTGAGCCCAGGAGTTCAAGACCAGCCTGGGCAACACAGGGAGACCCTGTCTCTACAAATAATTTTTTAAAAATTAGCCAGGAGTGGTGGTGTGCACCTGTGGTCCCAGCTACTCAGGAGGCTGAGGCAGGAGGATCACCTGAGCCTGAGAGTTCAAGACTGCAGTAACCTCTGATTGCACGATCCAGCCGGGGCATGATTTGTAACTTTGAGCAAGTTACCTTCCTTTTCTGAGCCTCAGTTTCCTCATCTACAAAATGAAGATTGTTCTACTTGGAGTGCTTTGTCCTACAAGTCACCAGAGTGAGAACTGGTCTCAAAAAAATTTAAAAATAAAGATAAATGTGAAAAAAAGAATCAGAAAATTTGGCCCAGCTAGGTCAGCTCTCCCTGGACCACAATCTGTCACAGTGGAGTGAGGCTGCTCCATATAGTCTTTGCATGTAGTTTACCACCATCTCCACCATGCAGTACCTGTGTGGCCCCAGAAGCACTAAGTTTTCAACCCCTGGTTAAAAACATCTATGCTTCTCTCACCTACTGCTCCCAGACTAGGAGCATGTTTTGTACCCCCTCTACTTGGCAAAAGGATGGCTCGTTGGGCATGTCAACAAGTAAATTAATGAAGTGGGTTGGGGGGGATGGGAGGATGCTCATGAGTATGGAAGCCCAGCCAGTTCCTTCTATTATGAGGGCCTGGGGTGGACACCAGAGCCTCTGATACTTACTGGGAAGTATTGAGTTTTCTTACTTCCAAAACCATTGACTTTTAACCCAATTCAGTGCATGGCATAGCATGGGCCCTCATGCACACTGGACTATCTCTGCATGGTCTTCTGGGCTGTAAATGGCTGCTTAACCCAGAGTGTCCAAAGATGCCACCACTGCCCAGCAGTCTTGTCCCATCCCCTCTCTCTGCTGAGGGAGGAGAGTTGGCAGAACTTCATTTGTCCATGTAATAGCTCTGCATATATTTCCCCCTCAACCCATCTCTTTTCAGGAAGAACAAGCACCTTAAATTAGTCCTTACATCGGCCAAGTGCAGTGGCTCATGCCTGTAATCCCAGCACTTTGGGAGACAGAGGCAGGCGGATCACCTGAGGTCGGGAGTTCGAGACCAGCCTGACCAACATGGAAAAACCCTGTCTCTACTAAAAACACAAAATTACCCAGGCGTCGTGGTGCATACCTGTAGTCCCAGCTACTTGGGAGGCTGAGGCAGGAGAATCGCTTGAACCTGGGAGGCAGAGGTTGCAATGAGCCGAGATCACGCCATTGCACTCCACCTGGGCAACGAGAGCGAAATTCCGTCTCAAAAAAAAAAAAAAAAATTTACTCCCTACATCATAACTACCAGTGATTTGTAGGACAGAGCACTCAATGTAGAACACTCTTCACTTTGCAGATGAGGAAACTGAAGCTCAGAAAAGAAAGGTAACTTGCTCAAAGTCACAAATCATGTTGAATGGAGCCTGAGCTTCATGTTGACAGCTGACCGCTTACTGAGTATCTACTAGGTGCCAGGCAATGTGTCAAGTTATTGCTTTACATACATCATTCATTCTCTCTGTGTTCATTAACTGTCTGCTGTGTGCATGGCTCCATGCTGTGTGCAGAAGACCCAGTAGGGAAGAGGTCACCCAGGGGGAGTAGGAAGCCTAGGCTATGGCCTGGCACGGTGGCTTATACCTGTAATCCCAGCACTTTGGGAGGCTGAGGCGGGTAAATCACCTGAGGGCAGGAATTTGAGACCAGCCTGGCCAACATGGCGAAACCCCATCTCTAGTAAAAATACAAAAATTAGCCGGGCGTGGTGGCGGGTGCCTGTAATCCCAGCTACTTTGGAGGCTGAGGCAGGAGAATCACTTGAACCCGAGAGGAGAAGGTTGCGGTGAGCCGAGATCACACCACTGCACTCCAGCCAGGCGACAGAGTGAGATTCCATCTCAAAAAAAAAAAAAAAAAAAAATTCCTGGTGCAGTGGCTCAGGCTTGTAATCCCAGCACTTTGGGAGGCTGAGGCGGATGAATCATGAGGTCAGAAGTTCAAAACCAGCCTGGCCAAGATGGTGAAACCGCGTCTCTACTAAAAATACAAAAAAATTAGCCGGGTATGGTGGCAGCTGCCTGTAATACCAGCTACTCGGAAGGCTGAGGCAGATAATTGCTTGAACCTGGGAGGCAGAGGTTGCAGTGAGCTGAGATCATGCCACTGCACTCCAGACTGGGTGGCAGAGTGAGACTCCATCTCAAAAAAAAAGAAAAGAAAAGAAAGAAAGCCTAGGCTAGAGCCTAGGAAATTCCAAAGACATCTATATAAACCTCTCAACAAGGTAGAGGATAAGTGCCTCATTTCACAGATGAGCAAACTGAGGCTTCAGAGAGGTTAAGAAAAGCTTAAGCTCTCAGAGATAGTAGTAAGTTTAGGAAACCGGAGCTTGAACCCTGCCTTCTTTCTTCAATTCCACAGCTGACTCTGCTTTGAGAGGTGCTGAGCAACACAAATGTCTCCGCTGTATGGGTGCCTAAAACCCCACCATTAGATGTGCAGTTTGAGGAATGCCCTATGGATATACAAACATGCCTGGGGTGGAGGGTGGATTCAATGAGCATTGCTTTCCAGGGACCCTTGGATCCTGCAGGGTGGATGGAAAGTGAGTTTTCAGTTCTTCAGAACCTCACAGTGGCCAACCCTTGGGAGCATTGCCCTCTCATTCTTATCCTACGCTCCTCCTCCTCCTCCTTCTTCTGCTACGTGCAGGGCTGGGCTGGGGCACCAGCAGCAGCAATTAGCCCAGCTCAGCCGCCCGTTACTGGAACCTGCATGTCAACTCTGGAGCTGATCCAAGAAACCACACCCAGTGTCCTGCATGACTCAACCTCACCTGCCCCCTCCACACCTGCCAGCCTCAGTGACCCAGGCCATAGTGCCCAGGGGAAAGTCCCAGCATCCTTTGGTCAATCCTCATCTACTCCATGTGTTTGTAAGGCCAGCTGGGATTTAGAGTCTTTGTATCACAGGCTTGATTCCGGGCTGATTTCTAGCCAGGAGAGAATGCTCCAGGCGGAGCAAATGCTGGGGTTTGGAAAACTAGACTCTCCATGGCAAATGCAGACAGATGGACCTCCTCTTCACTATCATTGCTTGAAACACGAACAGCTTAAGGCCATGGGAGATATTACTTTTCATATGTCAAATTGGCAAAGAATTAAAGAATGCCCCTGATGTCTAGAGCTGGTGAGGATGTGAAGAAACTCAAACTTGACAAAAACCACTCGTCAAGGTGTGAATTGAGAGACACTTTTTTTTCGAGATGGAGTCTTGCGCTGTCGCCCACGCTGGAGTGTAGTGGTGCAATCTCAGCTCACTGCAACCTCTGCCTTCCAGATTCAAGCAGTGCTCCTGCCTCAGCCTCCCCAGTAGCTGGGACTACAGGCACACCACCACGCCCGGCTAATCCGCTTGCCTTGGCCTCCCAAAGTGCTGGGATTACAGGCATGAGCCACAGTGCCTGGCCGAGAGACATTTTCTTTCTTTTTAATTTTTTAATGTTTATTTTTATATATTTTTAAACTTTTTTTTTTTTTGAGATAGGGTCTTACTCTATCACCTAGGCTGGAGTGCAGTGGCATGATCATGGCTCACTGTAGCCTTGAGCCTCCCCCACCCCCAGGGCCCAAGTGATCCTCCCATCTCAGCCTCCCAAGTAGTTGGGACCGCAGTCATGTGCCACCGCACCCAGCTAATTTTTTAATTTAATTTTATTTTTGTAGAGACAGGAGTCTCACTGTGTTGCCCAGGCTGGTCTTGAACTCCTGAACTCAAGCTATCCTGCCTTAGCCTACCAAAGTGTGGGGACTACAGGTGTGAGCGGGATATGCTTTCTAAAGAACTATTTCACAGATTGTTTAAAAGCCTTAAAAAACATGCATATGTCTTTACACAGCAATTTCATGTCTAAGAATTTTTCCAAGAAAAATAATTGGAAAAGTGCACAAAGATATATGTACAAGGATGCTCGTTGTGGTGGTGTTATAACTGAAGACAAAAGCTAGCAACCCATGTCAACCAAAAGAGGACTGGTGGCTGCTCTGTCTATGGAATAGCCATTCTTTTATTTCTTTACTTCTTTTTTTTTTTTGAGATGGAGTCTCACTCTGTCACCCAGGCTGGAGTGCAGTGGCGAGATCTCGGCTCACTGCAAGCTCCGCCTCCCGGGTTGACTCCATTCTCCTGCCTCAGCCTCCAGAGTAGCTGGGACTACAGGCGCCTGCCACCATGCCCAGCTAATTTTTTGTATTTTTAATAAAGACGGGGTTTCACCGTGTTAGCCAGGATATTTCTTTACTTTCTTAATAATCTTCCTTTCACTTAAAAAAAAAAAGGATTGGTGACAGAGTCTCTCTGAACCTATTCTGGTTCAGGGCATGCTTTAAAAAAATTTATAAATAGGGCTGGGCATTGTGGCTCAAGTCTGTAATCTAAAATTTATAAATAGGGCTGGGCATTGTGGCTCAAGCTCTTTGGGAGGCTGAGGCAGGAGGATCACTTGAGCCCAGTTCCTGACTAGCCTGGGCACATAGCAAGACACCATTTCTAAAAATAGAAATACATAAAAATTTATAAGTAAATTTTTAAAGAAGGATTGGTGAAACAAACTACAATAGAGATATTTATTCAAATATTAGCCAGTCATTAAAGTGATGCTATGGAGCTATATTTACTGACATGTAGCATTGTCCATGATATATTAAGTGAAAAAAAAGTAGGTTTGTACTCATTTTGTATATAATGATTCTACCTTGTATAATGTTAGTGGTTATCTCTGGGTGGTATGAAACATATATTTTCTGAAAAAAGTTAAATAGAGCATATGTTATCATAAAAAAGTAAGCTATGTTCCATTTTGGGAAAGAAAAAAAAAAAAGCATCAATGGGACTGAAGAAAAGCTTCCAAAGGCTGTTATTTACATCTCTACAACATTTTAAAAGTGTCTCTAGGCCGAGCGCGGTGGCTCACGCCTGTAATCCTCGCACTTTGGGAGGCCGACGTGGGCAGATCACAAGGTCAGGAGTTCAAGACCATCCTGGCTAACACGGTGAAACCCTGTCTCTACTAAAAATACAAAAAATTAGCCAGGCTTGGTGGTGGTGGTGGTGGTGGTGGGCGCCTGTAGTCCCAGCTACTTGGGAGGCTGAGGAAGGAGAATGGTGTGAACCCGGGAGGTGGAGCTTGCAGTGAGCCAAGATGGCACCACTGCACTCCAGCCTGGGCGACAGAGCGACACTCTGTCCCAAAAAAAAAAAAAAAAAAGGATCTCTAGGGCCAGGCTTCATACCTGTCATCTCAACACTGAGAGGCCAAGGTGAGAGCAAGGAGTTCAAGTCCAGCCTAGGCAACAAAGTGAGACCCCATCTCTGCAGAATCAAAATAATTTTAGGCTGGGCACGGTGGCTCACGCCTATAATCTCAGCACTTTGGGAAGCCAAGGTGGGTGGATCACCTGAGGTCAGGAGTTCGAGACTAGCCTGACCAACATGGAGAAACCTCGTCTCTACTAAAAATACAAAATTAGCCAGGCATGGTGGCGCATGCCTGTAATCCCAGGTCCTCGGGAGGCTGAGGCAAGAGAATCACTTGAACCCGGGAGGCGGAAGTTGCCCAAAAAAAAAAAAATTAGCGGGGTCTGATGGTGTGCACCTGTAATCCCAGCTACTCGGGATGGTGAGACAGGAGGCAGAGGTTGCAGTGAGCCAAGATCACGCCATTGCACTCCAGTTTGAGAAACGAGCAAAACTCCATCTCAAAAAAAAAAAAAAAATTAATGTCTCCAGAGGCATTTCTTTCTCTTAGGTACTCAGTGACAAGAATTGTTCTTTTCAGTTTGGCAAGAAACCTCTGACTCTGAAAGATTAAAACTCTGTCCAAAGATTCACAGCAAACTGTAGTGTTTTTAAAATTTATTCTTTTGGGCCGGACGTGGTGGCTCATGCCTGTAATCCCAGAATTTTGGGAGGCCGAGGCGGGTGGATCACGAGGTCAAGAGTTTGAGACCAGCCTGGTCAACATGGCAAAACCCTGCCTCTACAAAAAATACAAAAAATCAGCCGGCCATGGTGGCATGAGCCTGTAGTCCCAGCCACTGGGGAGGCTGAGTGGGAGTATCACTTGAGCCCAGGATGCAGAGGTTGCTGTGAGCCAAGATCACACTACTGCACTCCAGCTTGGGTGACAGAGCCAGACCCTGTTTCCAAAAAAAAAAAAGAGAGAGAAGAAGTCATTCTATTAAGTGGTCCTATGTGTCAGATCTTGTTAGCGTTTTACAGATGCAAACTCTGAATCCTCACAACCACATTTTGAGGTGGGTCTATGTCATTTCCATTTTATTGATGAGAAAACCAAGGCACAAAGAATGTCAGTCAGTTGCTCAAGATTCCACAGCTAGTAAATTGTGGAGCCAGTACTCAAACTCAAGCAGTCTGATTTCAGAGCTTATGCGTGAATCTTAAGCCTGATGCCTAAATCTCTGCTAATAGAGGAGTAGTTAAAAAAATTACAGTGCACTGAAAAAAAAATGAGGTGATTCTGCATGAATTTATGTGGACCAATCTCCAAAACAGATTAAGTGAAAAAAGCAGATGTAGAATAGTGCGTATCGTTTACTGTGTGTATGTGTGAGTGACAAAGAAAGGAGAGAATCTCTGGAAGGACACAAAAGAAACTGCTAAACTGCGTTCCTTCTGGAATAGGAATGAAAGTCAGAGTAGGTGAGGAGACTTTTTATAATATAACCTACGGGACCATTTGAATTTTTTGCCATAGAAAAGTATTTTTAATGCTTTTAGCATTTTTTTTTGAGACAGAGTATTGCTCTTGTTGCCCAGGCTGGAGTGCAGTGTCTCCCAGTACTTTGGGAGGCCAAGGTGAAAGGATTGCTTGAGCCCAGGAGTCTGAGATCAGCCTGGACAACATAGTGTGACCCCCATCTCTATTTTTAAAAAGTCCAAAGATAGGTGATCTGTTAAATAAATTGTCATACCCATAAAATGAAACACTATGCAATCATTATAAACAATGATCTGTGAGTATTTAATGACATGGAATATTGTTCATTACATACTGTTAAGTGAAAAAGGCTGATTGCAAAACACTATGCACAGTATTTTTCAATTCTGGTTTTAAAATGTAGAAATAACTATTGTATACGTATGCATAGAAAACAGTCTCGAGCTAGGCGAGGTGGCTCATGCCTGTAATTGTAACACTTTGGGAGGGCAAGGAAGGCAATCAAGAGTTCGAGACCAGCCTTGCCAACAAGGTGAAACCTCGTCTCTACTAAAAACACAAAAATTAGCTGGGTGTGGTGATGCACACCTGTAATCCCACCTACTCTGGAGGCTGAGGCAGGAGAATTGCTTGAACTTGGGAGGCGGAGTGAACCAAGATCAGGCCACTGCACTCCAGCCTGGACAACAGAGTGAGACTCCAAAAAAAAAAAAAGAAAGAAAGAAAAAGAAAGGAAAGAAAGAAAGAGAGAGAGAGAGAGAGGAAGAAAGAAAGAAAAAAAAGAAAGAAAGAAAGAAAGAAAGAAAGAAAGAAAGAAAGGGAGAGAGAGAGAAGGAAGGAAGAAAGGAAAGAGAAAGAAAGAAAGAAAGGAAAGAAAGAAAGAAAAGAAAAAAAAAAAAAAAAGAAAACAGTCTGGGAGGCCGGGCATGGTGGCTCACACCTATAAATCCCGCACTTTGGGAGGCGGAGGCGGGTGGATCACCTAAGGTCAGGAGTTCGAGACAAACCTGGCTAACATGGTGAAATCCCCTCTCTACTAAAAATACAAAAATTAGCCTGGTGTGGTGACGGGCACCTGTAATCCCAGCTACTCGGGAGGCTGAGGTAGGAGAATTGCTTGAACGCGGGAGGTGGAGGTTGCAGTGAGCCTAGATCGCGCCATTGCACTCCAGCCTGGGGGAAAAGAGCGAGACTTCGTCTCAAAAAGAAAAGAAAAGAAAAGGAAAGGAAACAGTCTGGGCGGAAGATATCAGCTTAATGACAACAACTATCTTTGGATAATGATATGATGCATAATTTTTACTTTTGTCTTAATGCCTTTCCATATTGCCTGAATTTTCCTTTACAAAAAGCCTGTATTTCTGTTAAAATAAAAAAGAAGACATCGTGTAGGATGTAGTTGGAAGGGGGGGAAAAAAAGAAGAAAATGAGGCGGGAAAGGGTGCAGGGTTTGAAACATGGCGGACGACGCAGACCAGAAACGCACTACCGACACTGTAGAGGAGCCCCTGGATCTTATCAGGCTAGGCCTAGATGAGCTAATTACTTTATTTTATTTATTTATTTTTTTGAGACGGAGTCTCGCTCTGTCGCCCGGGCTGGAGTGCAGTGTCGCAATCTCGGCTCACTGCAAGCTCCGCCTCCCGGGTTCACGCCATTCTCCTCCCTCAGCCTCCTGAGTAGCTGGGACTACAGGCGCCCGCCACCACGCCCGGCTAATTTTTTGTATTTTTAGTAGAGACGGGGTTTCACCATGTTTGCCAGGATGGTCTCGATCTCCTGACCTCGTGTTCTGCCCGTCTTGGCCTCCCAAAGTGCTGGGATTACAGGTGTGAGCCACTACGCCTGTCGTAACTCACAACTTCTTAAGCTAAATGGTATTTTCAGTTTTCTCAAGCTCTTCCAATAAACATGACCAAGATGCAGAACTCTTTTTCAGGACTTGTTTTGCTCCATTATTCTCACAGATATTTTTCTGATTTTTTTTTCTTTAAATTAAAATTGGTGTTTCCTCGGGGGAAAAAAAAAGAAGAAAATTCTTCCTTCGTTTTGAAAAATAAACATTAGTAATTCAAAAAAAGTAAAATAAACAACATGTCTATATTTGGAATGAGTTAACCAAAGTATGACTCATCTATTTCTACTATGGAATACTATGCCTTCATTAAAAATGATGATTCATTGAAGAATCTGCTTTGTGCCAGGCATTGATGATATAAAAGAAACCAAGATGAGGACTCTCCCCTCTTGAGGTTATATGAGTAAACAGATGCTTAACACATAATGGGAATAATTGTATGACAAAAGTATCTATAGTGACACTGAAACCACAGAGAAGAACACAGACTCTGGAACCAGGTGCGCGGGGGTTCTGGGAAGATAAGTAGGAACTCACCAGGGCACAGAGATGGGGGTCACCTAGGCAGAAAGAACATCACGTGCAAAGGTCAAGATGCATGAAATGGTACGATTTAAACAGAGGACAGGAAGAAATTGAATAGGATAGGAGCCTAGCATTTCAGGCAGGAGTGGCCAAAAATGAGGCTGAGAGATTTGTAGATCATGAAATGTAAGGTAACAGAGTCAAAATAGCTTTTTGGTAATGTCTCACTGATGGCAATGTGGAGGGTAGCATGATGGGATAGTATTAAAGAAAGGACACCACCCAGAAAGCTGTTACAGTTCCCAAGAAAAGGGGATGAGGGCCTGAGTGGCAGCAATGACAGTGGAGATGAGGACTGGAGTGGAGCAAAGGGTCAGGAGACATCACAGAGGTCTAAAGGGCAGGACTTGGTGAGAGGTTAAGGGGAGGGCAGAGTCAAGATAACACAGAGAGTCTGACATGTGGCTGGGTAGGCCAGGCTCCGGTCCTTAGGAGGAAGAACAGATTGGGGGCTGGATCTGATTACTGCGCTTTGAGGGGCCTGAGATATTCTGTAGGCAGATATGTTCAGAGGGAGGCTTGGGTCAAAAAGTAGCTTTTAGGGTCTTGAAGCATTTAAATGATAGTTGAAGCCAAGGGTTTGAACACTAATCAGGGAAAATGGACAGAAAAATACAGGGGAAAACAGTCCAGGGATAGAGCTTCTGTATGTTTAGGGGCTAAATGGAGAAAGAAGAGCTGGTAGATTGAGAAGGTGAGATCAACTAGGTAGGAAGAAAACAAAAACCAGGGAGGATGGTGTCAGAGACACCCAAGAAGTAGAAACCTCAAGGTAGAAGTAGTCAATAGTATCAAATGTCAAAAGACGCTCATAGGCCAGGCACGGTGGCTCACACCTGTAATCCCAGCACTTTGGGAGGCTGAGGCGGGCAGATCATGAGGTCAGAAGTTCGAGACCAGCCTGACCAACATGATGAAACCCCATCTCTACTAAAAATACAAAAATCAGCCGGGCATGGTGGCGTGCGCCTGTAATCTCAGCTACTCAGGAGGCCGAGGCAGGAGAATCGCTTGAACCTGGGAGGCAGAGGTTGCAGTGAGCTGAGATTGCACCACTGCACTCCAGCCTGGGTGACAGAGCAAGACTCCGTCTCAAAAAAAAAAATGTGCTATGATGGGCACAATGTCTCGCACCTGTGATCCCAGCCTTTTGGGAGGCTGAGGCAGGAGGATCAATTGAGCCCAGGAAGTCAAGGCTGCAGTGAGACATGATCGCACCACTGCATTCCAGCATGGGTGACAGAGCAAGACCTTCTCTCTCTCTCTATATCTATCTATCTATCTATCTATCTATCTATCTATCTATCTCTCTTTCTCTATATATATAGTCCTGCTGGGCACGGTGGCTCACTCCTGTAATCCCAGCACTTTGGGAGACTGAGGCGGGTGGATCACCTGAGGTCAGGAGTTCAAGACCAGGCTGGCCAACATGGCGAAACCCCATCTCACTAAAAATACAAAAAAAAAAATTAGCTGGGCATGGTGGCACATGCCTGCAATCGTAGCTACTTGGGAGGCTGAGGCAGGAGAATCACTTGAACCTGGGAGGCAGAGGTTGCTGTGAGCCAAGATTGTGCCATTGCACTCCAGCCTGGGTGACGGAGTGAGACTGTCTCGAAAAAAAAAAAAAAAATGCCCTATGGACTTAAAACAAAAGAAATCATTTCCAGGCAAAGAGAAGATCCAGGGCACTGTCAGGAAACATTGTCTAAAGATGAATCAAGGATGTGACTGAAAATCCCTTTGTTAAGACTTCAGGGGGCTTGTCCTCCACATTAATTCAACTGTAGACTCCCTTGGTCATCTCTTAATCCTTGTCATTACCAGACACTGAACACCTTAATATTCTCAATTTCACTCTGGCCACTGCCTCTCGTTTTTATAGCTCACCTCTGTGGAATTACAACTCCAGCACTCCTTCAGTTTCACAGGGATATCTAATCCACTGACCATTCTGTCTTTTCTCTGTCCCTCATCCCTTCAAGTTTTCTCTCCCCTCTTTACCCAGATTACATTCTATGATCGGACATTACAATCACTTTCTTTCAGAAACCCTGAACTCTCTTGGCCCCTTTTGCTTTGTGTTTCTCACTTGGCAGAACCACAATCTTGATAAAATCCAACCCTCTGTCCGTTCTGAGTATGCACCTGCGCTGATTAACAGACACATTGACTGTTCTCAGTCTAAATTGGTGGTTCTCTGTAGGGAGCAGCTTTGTACCTGGCACCCCCCACCACCCCCACCGCCACCGCCCCTGTCAGGGACATCAGTGTTTGGAGACATTTTTATTATCACACCTGAGGGTAGGTGCTACAGGTATTTAGTGGGTAGAGAGCCCAGCCGTGTTAAGCATCCTGTAGCTCACAGGCCAGCTCCCCACAACAAACACTTAACTGGCCTAAAATGTCAACAGTGCTGAGATTGAGAAACGCTTCTCTAAATTATTGATCATGAATTTCATGTGGGCCCTAGTGTTACCTGACAATCATACTACCTTTCCCAAGTTGACTCACCCTCTTGTTTTCTCAGAGGAATATTTTATACCTTCTCTCTCATCAAAACTTCATCTGCTTTCCACTTCTCACTTGGTGGAGGATCTTGCCTCTTAGTTCACTGAGAAAATGGAAGCGACCAGATGAGGACTCCCTCCAATGTCTCACCCCTGCACCCACCCGCCTACCAGCCTCCACGCCTAAACCCTCTGCCTTCTCTCCTGTTACTGCAGATGACTGGCTGAGCTCCTGGCTGAGGCTAACCCCTCCGCTTGTGCACTAAATCCCCTCCCATCTCGCCTACCCAAGGACAGTGCTCCAGCAACTCTCTCCCTTCTCAAAAATTTCCTTTTTACTTGATTATTTACATTGGCATATAAACGTATTATAATTTCTCCCATCTTAAAAACAGGCTGGGCACAGCGGCTCACACCTGTAATCCTAGCACTTTAGGAGGCCTAAGGAGGATCGCTTGAGGCCGAGAGTTTGAGACCAGCCTGGTCAACATAGGGAGACTCCGGTCTTGGCTCACACCTGTAATCCTAGCACTTTAGGAGGCCTAAGGAGGATCGCTTGAGGCCGAGAGTTTGAGACCAGCCTGGTCAACATAGGGAGACTCCGGTCTCTACAAAAAATTTTTAAAAGTTAGCAAGGGCTGGGCACAGTGGCTCATGCCTGTAATCCCAGCACTTTGGGAGGCTGAGGGAAGCAGATCACTTGAGGCCAGGAGTTCAAGACCAGTCTAGCCAACATGGTAAAACCCTGTCTCTACTAAAAATACAAAAATTAGCTGGGCGTGGTGGTGCACACCTGTAGACCCAGCTACTCAGGAGGCTGAGGCAAGAGAATCGCTTGAACCAGGAGGCAGAGGCTGCAGTGAACCAAGACTGTGCCACTGCACTCCAGCCTGGGCAACAGAGCGAGACTCCGTCTCAAAAAACAACAAAACAAACTTAAGTCATGGTGGCGCACGCTTGTACTCCTCGCTACTCAAGAGGCTGAGGCAGGAGGATGGCTTGAGCCCAGGAGAGAAAGGCTGTAGTATGCTATGACTGCACCACTACGCTCCAGCCTGGGCAACAGAGCGAGACCCAGTCTCTCTCTCTTTTTTTTTTTTTTTTTTGAGATGGAGTTTCACTCTTTGCCCAGGCTGGAGTGCAATGGTGCGATCTCAGCTCACTGCAACCTCCACCTCCCAGGTTCAAGCAATTCTCCTGTCTCAGCCTCCCAAGTAGCTGAGATTACAGGCACCCACCACCATGCCCAGCTAATTGTTGTATTTTTAGTAGAGATGAGGTTTCACCATGTTGGCCAGGATGGTCTCGATCTCTTGACCTCGTGATCCACCCGCCTCAGCCTCCCAAAGTGCTGGGATTACAAGCGTGAGCCACCATGCCCAGCAAGACCCAGTCTCTTAAAAAAAAAAAAAAAACAGCAACAAAAGGAGAGTGGGAGGCTGGGGGAGGGATAGCATTAGGAGAAATACCTAATGTAAATGACGAGTTGATGGGTGCAGCAAACCAACATGGCACATGTATACCTGTGAAACAAACCTGCATGTTGTGCACATGTACCCTATAACTTAAAGTATAATAATAATAAAAAAAAACACAAAAATAATTGTAACCCATTGCCCACCCTAGCCCTGCCCGCCTTCCTATCTTCTTTCTTGGTTTTATTTTTCTCCATAGCATTTATCATGCTCAGACACACAAAATATTTATCTATTTTTGCTGTTTGTAATTGTCTTTCTCCCCCCACTAAAATGAACACTCCGTGAGGGCATGGCATTTTGCCTGCTTTGCTCACAATGTGTATCCCACTGAAGACATCCAATAAACAATTTATCGAATAAATGAATGCATCTACCTGATACCTCATCAAGAAATTGATGACCACTAATTATCATCTTTGAACCTCTGATTGGTGACCTCTGGCAAGGCTGAGGACCTTTAGCTCTAATCAATGGGCAAAAGGTTGACCTCTTTGCTACTGATTGGCTTTTCCTTTTCATTATACCCTTGGGCTGGATGGGGAAGCTGTGTGAATCAACGCTTCATAAGCCTTCCTCTCTGAGAACTAGGGCTTCCAAGGAATTGGATATGAAAAGGCAGAGAGGAAGGAGGAGGATATGAGATGCCAGACGGGGGAGGGTGGGGGGGACAGGTCCCAGAAGAGGTCAGCTGGGACCCAGGCAGGATGGCATTGTGGCTGCGGGTGCCAGAGTCAGCCTGCCTGGGTTAAGGTCCTCAGTCAGCCTTGACTGCTGGGTAATCCGTGGTAAGTACCCACTGCTCCTGCCTCAGCTTCCCCACCTCTCACATGTGGTTGATCCTCACAGCCATCTCTTGGGGTTGTTCTGAAGATGAAATGAGATCATCTATGTAAGAAGCTGGCACTTAAAAGCACAGAGAGGGCACCAAGGAACGTATGGTCTGTCCTTATTTGGGGAATGGGGGTGGAAGGCGCCCAGCAGGGCATGGGGCGTGGTATGGCAGAGCCAGGACTAAGGGTCTGTAGCCTCCTAAATCAGGGCTTTCTCCGCAGGATTTCCCATGTTCTCACCATCTACAGAGTCACTCCCCTCCACCCTGCTGCCCCGTTCCACCAAGTGGCCCTCACACTAGGTGGAGGAGCCCTCACAGATCTCTTTCCTTCAGCCTGCCGTTCTTTCTGCAGCACCAGGGCCCTGGGACCAGCTGGTGGTTTCCACCAGAGCAGCCTCGGGGTGAATTTAGTCAGGAATGTGCCCTCAGCTCAAGAGAACCCTCCCCAACCTTCCACTCCCCATACCCACCCCCGACCGCAGGTTCCCCACCCACCCGTGGCCTGGCCAGCAGCAACCTCCACTAGCTCGCTAGCTCAGTGACGGTGACGTCAGCCCTGCAGTGCAGGCTGGGCTGGTTTACCCGCAAGTTTCACCTCTCCCTGGGGAGACTGGATTACCTCACCCTGGGAGCAGAGTGAATGATTAACCAGCTTCATCCTGGAGGGCCTCAAAGGCCCGTCCTGGGGTGTAGGCCTACAGGGCAAGGGGCTGCATGGTCACATACCCTAGTATGCGGGTTCACATACCCCAGCCGGGGCTGGGGTATGTGACCGCCCCGTCCTTGGCCACTGCCCTCTTATCTGCATCACTGCTCACAAGTGTCATAAAAATTTGTCTACAGCATATATAAATATACATATGACGTGGAAGGCTTCCGATGGCAAATAACATTTTCCATTTTGCCTAAGCTTGGGTGGCTTTTTATTCATCTATTGTTGTTTTAAGTACACATTTCCATCTAAACTTAGATGTATGTTTAGGCTGGCCGCGGTGGCTCATTGCCTGTAATCCCAGTACCTTTTAGGGGGTTGAGGCGGGTGGATCATTTGAGGCCAGCAGTTCAAGACCAGCCTGGCCAACATGATGAAACCTCGTCTCTACTAAAAAATACAAAAATTAGCTGGGTGTGGTGGCAGGCGTCTGTAATCTCAGCTACTCGGGAGGCTGAGGCAGGAGAATCACTTGAACCTGGGAGGCGGAGGCTGCAGTGAGCTGAGATTGCACCATTGCACTCCAGCCTGGGCAACAGAGTGACATTCTGTCTCAAAAACAAAAACAAAAACAAAACAAAAAAAATAAACTTAGATGTATATTTAAAAATTGCTTTTTACCCCTGAAGGTCTCAGCATCCTACCTGCTCTATTCATTAGTGTTTAGATTACCCATGACACCAGAAGGACTTCCCAACCCAGAAAAAGATCCAGGAGTTGATATAAAATATAGAACTACTATAATATTAGCAACTTGGAGCAGCAAGTTCTTGACTTGGGAAAGTAGGAATTCCTCTCATTAAGAGATGTTTGCCCACAGGGAATGCTGCATAGAAAAGAATTTGGCTGGAACTCTTTTTTTCCACTATGACTCCATTCACACTTGAATTGTTTCCTTTTACTTTTCTTTTTCTTTCTTTCTTTTTTTTTTTTTTTTTTGAGACAGAGTCTCGCTCTGTCACCCAGGCTGGAGTGCAGTGGCATGATCTCAGCTCACTGCAACCTCCGCCTCTCAGGTTTAAGCGATTCTCCTGCCTCAGCCTCCAGAGTAGCTGGGATTACAGGCGCGCACCACCATGCCCGGCTAATTTTCACATTTTTAATAGAGATGGGGTTTTGCCATGTTGGCCAGGCTGGTTTTGAACTGCTGACTTCAACTGATCCACCTGTCTGGGTCTCCCAAAGTGCTGGGATTACAGGCGTGAACACAGCATGTTTCCGTTTTCAAAATAAGATATGTCCTAATTGCTGTGAATTTTTAAAAGAGAATTATTTTCCATGACACATTCTGTTTTCAGATGTACTGACTTTAGGAGTTGGTAAATAGTCCTCTAGCAATGCAAATGCAAATTATATATTAAAATATGAATTTTTTTCTCCAGAAACATCACAAGATTCTGGATTTTTAAAATCATAAAGCTAACAAATTATACATATATGTATGTAAAGATGTGTGGTGTGTATTACACACGTGTATAGGTACAAATCTTGAAAGAACACAATGGGGGGGCCAGGCATGGTGGCTCACACTTGTAGTCCCAACACTTTGGGAGGCTGAGGCAGGCAGATCACTTCAGCCCAGGAGTTTGAGACCAGCCTGGGCAACATAGTGAGATCCTGTCTCTAAACAAAACAAAACAAAACAAAACAAAAGCCTGGCATGGTAGTGCATACCTGTTGTCTCAGCTACTCAGGAGGCTGAGGTGCGAGGACCGCTTGAACCTGGGAGGTTGAGGCTGCAGGGAGCCACGATTTCGCCACTATACTGTAACCTAGGTGAGGGAGGGAGATCCTGTCTCAAAAAAACAAACAAAAAAACTATAAAAGAAAGACATTCAATAAAACACATCAGGATTGATGATCATGTATATACTGATTTATTCACAAATATTTAACGAGCTACTATTATCTATGGAGTACTGTGCTAGATACTGAAGGTACAAAGTGGGAAGAGAACAGAGTGATCCCTTCTCTCAAGGCTTTATAGCGTGTGAGATTAGCAGATGACATCCAGTGAACCGCACCATTGAGTGAGGCCTGGCTGCTAGTTAGAGATCAACTGAATCAGGAAGGATAATCAATTGGTTTGCAGGGCTGGGCTGCATGGAGGTATCCAAGGCACAGATGGAGCAGTAGCACCTTCCACAGGCCTGGGGCACACAGGGCCACTCAGCACGAGGGCCCATCCCTGGCAATGAACGTGCTCCTTGGAGAGAAATCTCACATCCCAGTATTTCTGGATCATTGTGCCTAGAGACCATAGTGGTAGGAGTGATATGGTTTGCCGTGTCCCCACCCAAATCTGAACTTGAATTGTATCTCCTAGAATTCCCATGTGTTGTGGGAGGGGCCTAGGAGGAGGTAATTGAATCATGGGGGCCCGTCTTTCCTGTGCTATTTTCGGGATAGTGAATAAGTCTCACAAGATCTGATGGGTTTATCAGGGGTTTCTGCTTTTGCTTCTTTCCCATATTCCCTTGCTGCTGCCATGTAAGAAGTGCCTTTCATTTCCCACCATGATTCTGAGGCCTCCCCAGCCATATGGAACTGTAAGTCCAATTAAACCTCTCTTTCTTCCCGGTCTCGGGTATGTCTTTATCAGCAGTGCGAAAACGGACTAATATGAGGAGTCTGCCTACTGCAACCTTGAGTGAGGATTCTCTGCAAGGACCTCAGTCCTCCAGGGAGATTGGCTCCCTCTCTGTTCTGGAAATGGCTTTGTTTTCAGCCCAAGTCCCTGGGGATTTCCCAATCTCAGTCTTTTCACTGCACAGATCCTGCCCTAAGTATTATCACTGCTGCTGACTCAGAACCTTCAGATATGGGACATCTAGTCATTGGGTTCTACTTGGTTTCTGGGATGTATATGGATCCACAACAGTACGAGGTCCCTTGGATGGCTTTGTTTGGGCACATTCCAAGCCTGCTGGTGCCATTTTCCCACACCAGTCAGATAAGTGTGAGAAAATGGCACCAGCAGGCTTCTAATGCAGCCCACAGATGGGCCACCTATCAGCTGTTTGTCAGGTGTGTACAGAGCAGATGGCTAGCCCTGTGTCAAAGGCCTGGGAGCACTAAGGCTCCCAGGAGAGCTCAGTGGCACCTGCTTGGTTCTTTGGATGGGGAGCTTGCATTTGACCCCTTTTCCACCTCCTCTTTCTCCTGTTCCCAACGTGTGTCCTGAATTTCACAGATTAGCAGATCTAGTTATCCCCACAGACAGAGATGAGGGAGAAGTCCTCTGTTCTCACAGCCTGTTGAATTTCCATCTTTAGTCACCCTGTACCATTGCCACATCTGCAGACATCCTAAATTCTAATATATTTTAATGTTTTCTATTTATTTATTTGTATTTTTTTGAGATGGAGTCTTGCTCTGTTGCCCAGGCTGGAGTGCAGTGGCACAATCTTGGCTCACTGCAAACTCCTCCTCCTGGGTTCAAGTGATTCTCCTGTCTCAGCCTCCCAAGTAGCTGGGATTACAGGTGTGCGCCACCACACTTAGCTAGTTTTTGTATTTTAAATAGAGACAGGGTTTTGCCATGTTGGCCAGGCTGGTCTTGAACTCCTGACCTCAAGTGATCCACCCACTTTGGCCTCCCAAAGTGTTGGGATTACAGGCATGAGCCACTGCACCTAGCCTGATGTTTTCTCTTTAAATAGACTCCCCTTTACATCATAAGTGAAACAAGTCAGACATGAAAGAACAATTATTCTATGTGATACCTAGAATAGGCAAATTTACAGAGACAGAAAGTAGAATGGTGGTTGGTAGGAGCTGTTAGGAGGGGATGTGGCGAGGCAAGAATGGGGAGCTAGTGTTTAATGGGTACAGAGTTGCAGTTAGGGAAGATGAAAATGTTCTGAAGATGGGTGGTGGAAATGGCTGAACCACAATGTGGCTATCCTTTTTTTATTATTATTATTAAGATGCAGTGTCTTGACCAGGCTGGAGTGCAGTGGTATGGCTCACCCCACCCTCAATCTCCTGGGCTCAAGTGACCTTTGACCTCAGCCTCCCAAGTAGTTGGGACTACAGGCATGCACCACCACACCCAGATAATTTTTAGCTTTTGTATAGTGATGAGATCTCCCTTTGTTGCCCAGGCTGGTCTCAAACTCCTGGGTTCAAGTGATTCTCAGCCCTGCAAAGTGCTGGGATTACAGGTGTGAGTCACCGTGCTCAGCCTCCACAATGTGAATATACTTTAATGCCACAGAACTGTTTTTTTAAAATGGGACCTACAGCCAGGCGTGGTGGCTCACGCCTGTAATCCCAGCACTTTGGGAGGCCGAGGCAGGCAGATCACGAGGTCAGGAGATCGACACCATCCTGACTAACATGGTGAAACCTTGTCTTTACTAAAAATACAAAAAATTAGCTGGGCATGGTGGCGGGTGCCTGTAGTCCCAGCTACATTGGAGGCTGAGGCAGAAGAATGGCGTGAACCCTGGAGGTGGAGCTTGAAGTGAGCCAAGACCGCACCACTGCACTCCAGCCTGGGTGACAGAGCGAGACTCTGTCTCAAAATAAATAAATAAATAAATAAATAAAATGGGATCTTCCAGACAGCTGAATACATGGAGGTTCCCAGAGGGTGGTGTGCCCAGGGAGGGTGTAGAAGCTCCATGCCCCTTCCCACATGCCTTGCCCTACACATCTCTCTGTCTGTATCCTTTGTAATATCCTTGATCATAAAGCAGCAAACTTGGCCGATTGCAATTCTGGCAACTCTGGCCCAACTCAACCCTCTCTTTGGACCACAGCTGAGAAACGAAACCATCTGGTATCTGATGCATCATTGACCTTAAGGATGAAGACATGCTCCACAATACTCATAAGGTCATGGGAAGAGAATTCCTTCCAGGTGCAAAATCACCTCCAAATCCAAATCACCTTTCTTGACTTGCCTATTTTGGGCATCAGCCACCTTAAATGTTAAGACTGCATTTGAGTATCTTATTCAACAATGCAGTATTCCTTCTTTTTTTTTTTTTTTTTTTTTTGAGACGGAGTCTTGCTCTGTCACCCAGGCTGGAGTGCAGTGGCGTGATCTCGGCTCACTGCAAGCTCCGCCTCCCGGGTTCACGCCATTCTCCTGCCTCAGCCTCCCCAGCAGCTGGGACTACAGGCGCCTGCCGCCACGCCCGGCTAATTTTTTGTATTTTTAGTAGAGACAGGGTTTCACCGTGTTAGCCAGAATGGTCTCGATCTCCTGACCTTGTGATCCGCCTGCCTCGGCCTCCCAAAGTGCTGGGATTACAGGCGTAAGCCACCGTGCCCAGCTACAATGCAGTATTTCTTCTGTCACTTTTTTTTTTTTTTTTGAGATGGAGTCTCCCACTGTCGCCCCGAGCTGGAGTGCAATGGTGTGATCTCGGCTCACTGCAACCTCTGCCTCCCGGGTTCAAGTGATTCTCCTGCCTCAGCCTCCCAAGTAGCAGGGATTACAGGCGCCCACCACCACGCCCGGCTACTTTTTTGCATTTTTAGTAGAGACGAGTTTTCCCTATGTTGACCAGGCTGGTCTCAAACTCCTGACCTCGTGATCCGCCCGCCTCGGCCTCCGAAAGAGCTGGGATTACAGGCGTAAACCACCGCGCCCGACCTTCTTTCACTTTTTTCACACTTCGGTGAATTCTGTGCCTACTTAACCTAACCTGTGCTGACTCTGCACAATGTTAACACACTCTTCTTTTTTTTTTTTTTTTTTTTTTGAGACAGAGTCTCACTCTGTTGCCCAGGCTAGAGTGCAGTGGCGTGATCTCGGCTCACTGCAAGCTCCGCCTCCCGGGATCACGCCATTCTCCTGCCTCAGCCTCCTGAGTAGCTCGGACTACAGGCACCCACCACCACACCTGGCTAATTTTTTTTTTTATTTTTAATAGAGATGGGGTTTCACCGTGTTAGCCAGGATGGTCTCTATCTCCTGACCTCGTGATCCGCCCGCTTCAGTCTCCCAAAGTGCTGGGATTACAGGCATGAGCCACCGCACTCAGCTCACACACTCTTTTGCGGTAGAAGATGTTGTTCTTCTGATAAATATGTTAGTCCCTCCTTGGAATCTGTGGTTTTGAAGATGGCTCCTACCTTCTCACAACATGGAAATCAACCAAGTCAACATGGAAATCAACCAAGTGTTTAAAAACGGCTGCAAGACAGACAAGATACCAGCTGGGGGTCAGCAGGAGAGCACGTTCAGAGGGAAGACCTGTCCCAACGGAATTACACTAAACCATCTTTTGGAATAAATTATTTTTCTGATTTCTATGGACAAAATGGTTAAAAGGGTACTGTTATGTCTGTCTTACCACAGTTCAGCCCTTCCAGTTGATAAACATAACATTTTGCTGTGATACCTGGAAGAATTTAGAAGTGAATTGAGAACTTTTTAAAAAGTCAGCCCATTTTACTTAAATGTAATTCCAAAGGAAACTTTATATCTCTCTGTCTCACCAAAAGTTTGATGTACTAGTTATCACTTTCTTAGCATAAATTAAAGTCAATTAACACCTATTAAATGTTTAGAAATGTTTGGCCATGTGCCACCTAAGCTCATTTTAGGAACTACCAGTAGTGCCCTTGGCCACACCTTGGGCAGCCCTGCCTTTCAGAAGGAGCCTGCAGTGTAACAGAGTGCAGGCCGGGCACAGTGGCTCACACCTGTAGTCCCAGCACTTTGGGAGGCCTAGGGAGGTGGATCACCTGAGGTCAAGAGTTCGAGACCAGCCTGGCCAACATGGTGAAACCCCGTCTCTACTAAAAATACAAAAATTAGCTGGACGTGGTGCTAGGCGCCTGTAATCCTAGCTACTCAGGAGGCTGAGGCGGGAGAATCATTTGAACCTGGGAGATGGAGGTTGCAGTGAGCTGAGATCGTGCCATTGCACTCCTGCCTGGGGGACAAGAGTGAGACTTCTCAAAAAAACAAAACAAAACAAAACAAAACAAAAACAGAGTGCAGACTGCAGAGACCAGCAGATTTCAGACTTCAGACTTCATTCTGGCATGGCCACCTAGAGCTGTATGACCTTGAGCAAGTGGCTGAACCTCTCTGAGCCTCAGTTTCCTTAGCTGTAAAGTGGGGGTGCTCAGTCCCTGCCTTGTGGGATTAGTGAGATTAACTGATGTGATGCATGTAAAGCTCGCTGTGCGGCACATGCCATCTCTCCTTCTGCTGCTCTACTATTGTTATTACTGAGAAGAGGGCAAAGCAATATTTGGTCACCTCCTCCAGGAAACCTTCACCGAGCCCCTCCTCCATTGGCCCAGAGTGTTCAGTTCTCTCTCTGCTCCTCGAATTCCCAGGGAATATCTCTAAGATAACATTCGTATCCAATAGCAACTGAGGTAAGAGACTGTGACAGTTGCTGTCGGGGATGTCTACCCTGGGTTGGCACTAGGGTGGTCAGTAGCTTTAGGGAAATGTGTAGTGGGCAGCTCTGCCACTCTGCAGGGTGGCAGGGGTATACGGTGAGCAACACACATTCAACTGGTGAGGGACGCTTGGCATCAAGTGGCTGTAGGAGGAGCTGGCTTCCCTGCCCCTCATTAGGGTCAGCACCCCAGGCCCCCACCCCAGCCAAGGGAGGCCCTTTCCAACAAGCCCCAAAATGTTGCCCCAGAGATAGCAGTCATTCACTTGCCCGGCACCTGGTGACCCCCCACTGTCCCTTTAATGTCTGGAAGGAGGCTCAGAAATCCCCCCAGTGCCGCATGTCCTACCTCACCGCCAGCTGGGCAGCTCTGCCTGGGCAGAATAATGACCATGGCAATCATCCTAACATTTTGATTGGGTTTCACCATTTACAAAACACCTTCATGTTCGTCACCAGCTTGGGTCTTCGCATGACAGTTCTGAGGTAGTCAAAGCAACTATTATTCTTCCTATTTTTTAATGAAAGAATAAAAAACTAGGCCAGGCGCGGTGGCTCATGCCTGTAATCCCAGCACTTCGGGAGGCTGAGGTGGGTGGATCACCTGAGGTTGGGAGTTCCAGACCAGCGTGACCAACCTAGAGAAACCCGTCTCTACTAAAAATACAAAATTAGCCAGGCATGGTGGCACATGCCTGTAATCCCAGCTACTCGGAAGGCTGAGGCAGGAGAACCGCTTGAACCCAGGTGGCGGAGGTTGCAGTGAGCTGAGATTGCACCATTGCACTCCAGCCTGGGTGACAGAGCGAGACTCTGTCTCAAAAAAAAAAAGAATAAAAAACTAATAGCTATGTGAAATAAGCCAGACACAAAAGGACAAAGGCTGCATCATTCCACTTACTGGAGGTGCCTACAGCAGTCACATTAATGGAAATAGAAAGCGAATGGTGGTTGCTGCGTGGTGGGAGGGAGCATGGGGAGTTACTGTTTAACAGGTAGAGTTTCAGTTTGGGAGGATGAAAGAGTTCTAGAGATGGATGGTGATGATGATTGCACAATAATGTGACTGTACTTAATGCCACAGAACTATACATTTAAAAATTGTTATAGCCAGCCAGGCATGGTGGCTCATGCCTGTAATCCCAGCACTTTGGGAGGCTGAGGCAGGTGGATCACCTGAGGTAGAGAGTTCAAGACCAGCCTGACCAACATGGAGAAACCCCCGTCTCTACTAAAAATACAAAAAAATTAGCCGGGCGTGGTGGTGCATGCCTGTAATCCCAGCTACTCGGGAGGCTGAGGCAGGAGAATCGCTTGAACCCAGGAGGCAGAGGTTGCAGTGAGACAAGATTGCACCATTGCACTCCAGCCTGGGCAACAGGAGCGAAACTCCGTCCCCGCCCCCCCACAAAAAAAGGTTATGGCTGGGTGGGGTGGCTCACACATGTAATCCCAGCACTTTGGGAGGCAGAGGCGGGTGAATCACGAGTTCAGGAGTTTGAGACCAGCCTGGCCAACATGGTGAAACCCTGTCTCTACTAAAAATACAAAAATTATCTGGGCATGGTAGTGCATGCCTGTAATCCCAGCTACTCAGGAGGCTGACACAAGAGAGTTGCTTGAACCCAGGAGGTGGAGGTTGCAGTGAGCCGAGATCGTGCCACTGCACTCCAGCCTGGGGGACAGAGCAAGACTCTGTCTCAGGGAAAAAAAAAAGGTTAAAATGATCAATTTTAGGATATGTATATTTTACCATAATTTTTTTAAAATTTCAAAACTGATAGCCAACATTTGGTCAGGGGTGGTGGCTCATGCCTGTAATCCCAGTACTTTGGGAGGCCGAGGTGGTCTGATAACCTGAGGTCAGGAGTTCAAGAACAGCCTGGGCAATATGGTGAAACCCTGTCTCTACCAAAAATACAAAATAATTAGCCGGGCGTGGTGGCGCACGCCTGTAGTCCCAGCTACTCGGGAGGCTAAGGCAGGAGGATCGCTTGAGCTGGGAAGACAGGGTTGCAGTGAGCCGAGATCGCACTATTGAACTCTAGTCTGAGTGACAGAGCAAGACTCCGTCTCAAAAAAAAAAAGGCAACATTTACTAATAATGTATTATTATCTAACCCAGCAGCCAGAGTGATCCAGATAAGTCATGAGTGAGCCATGACTCTCCTCTGCTCAGAGCCCTCTAAGGTGCCCCTCTCACTAGAGCATACACTGAGCCCCTACATGGTCCTGGGGTAACTGGTACCAGGGTCCGTGTTGGACATCCTCCTCCCTGCCCTCTTCCTCTCTCCCTACAGCAGCACTGGCCTCTTCACTTCCTCCTAATGTGCCACACATGGCCCCACCTCAGCGCCTTGCACTGCTCTTTGCTTGCCCCAGTCCTCCCCTCCACGATCACGAGGATCTGTCCCTCAATGGCTTCAGGTCTTTATTCAAATAACCCCTTTGCAGGATGACCTCCCTGGCAACCCCTCCACACACTTCCTGTAGTTCTCTTTCTCCCCAGCATTCATCATTATCTAATGTGTGAGATATTTGTGTATTTATCTTGTTTCACGTCTATCCCCCACTAGAATGGAGGCTAATGTGGGCAGGCAGTGGTCTGTTTTGTTCACTGATTTATCCCAGCCCCTAGAAGGGTACCCGGAACCTGGTGGATGGTCAAGGAATATGTGTTAACCAGGAGTGGTGACTCACACCTGTAATCCTAGCTATTTGGGAGGCTGAGGCAGAAGGATCACTTAAGCCCAAGAATTTGAGACCAGCCAGAGCAACACAGTGAGACAAAAAATAAATAAATGTTTGTTCTAAAAAAAGAAAGAAAGAAAGAAAGATTGATTTGTTGACTGCATGGAGTTTTGTTTGTTTGTTTGTTTGTTTTGAGACAGAGTCTAGCCCTGTTGCCAGGCTGGAGTGCAGTGGCACAATCTCGGCTCACTGCAACCTCCGCCTCCCGGGTTCAAGCGATTCTCCTGCCTCAGCCTCCTGAGTAGCTGGGATTACAGGCACACGCAGCCACGCCCAGCTAATTTTTATGTTTTTACTAGAGAGGGGGTTTCACCATGTTGGCCAGGATGGTCTCGATCTCCTGAACCTCATGATCTGCCCAATTCGGCTTCCCAAAGTGCTGGGATTACAGGTGTGAGCCACTGCGCCTGGCCAACTGCATGGAGTTTTTAAGATTTCCTATGGCCCAAGTACTCATAAGCATCCTGCATGGATTAACCCTGAGAGGCAGGTGGTATTATTATTCTCACTCTACCTGGGTTCCCACCTGATAATTGGTGAGGCCCTTTCAAATGTCCTTTGGCCTTCTATCCCCTGCCTTCTCTTGACTCCTTGAAGTGGGAAAATGAAACCTAAAGTGCCTCCCTCCCCAGAGTGGGCCATGTGGCGAACTCTATCCAATGTCTCAGCACCTGCCACTCTCTAGTTGCATCCTGGCCATAGGCTGAATGGGTAGGGAGTTCTCTGAGGCTGAGACCATGCTGTGAGGGAGGATAGGCGGGCCAGGGACAGTGCCAGCAACAGGGACCAGGGAGTGGTGGGAAGGTAAAATAAAGGCAGAGGAAACTTCTCCCAATTGAGGCACACCTACCCAAGGCCTCTGCCCCTACCCAGACTCCTGACTTTGACCTGCCTAAAATAAATCCGGGGTCTGCAAATGGCCTGGAGGCTGCAAATGGCCTGAAGGCTAGTGGTTGGAGGGCAAATAAAGGCAACTCATGGCACTGCATGCTGCCCCTTGGTGGGCAGGTCCCAGGTCCCAGGGTACCAGCCCCCCTGGGGTGTGATGTGGGCAGCCTCTGAGCTAAGTGAGGTGCAAACAAGAAACCTGGGTTGCCTTTGCCCTCTGTCCGCCCCTTGTCCTCTGTTTACATCCTCCCTTCCCGTAAATGAGTTGGGTGCTGGGCCCCACTGGCCCTGATCCAGACACACCTGTAGGACAGGTTGGGCAGAGCTCTTGGGGGTGGAGAGCGGGTGGCAGTACTGGCAGGTGTTTCAGGCCCTTGGGGAGCAAGCTCTGTTCCTTTCCATGGCAGTGCTGCTGCCAGGCTCTTGCTGCCTTGGGCCAGGAATTCTTGGCCAACTCCAAAAGGATGGGATGGCTCTAGGGGGGGCTACCTTGCCCAAGGAGTGCCAGGAAGTTGTGTTCAAGCCCTCAGAGGCAAGAGGACCAAAGGCTCTTTATCTTCAGTGGGCATTTCCCAGCAGAAATCTGAGGTCTAGAGCGAGACAGAGTAGAATTGACAATAAGATCCACACTTGAGCTGCTAGCTGCCTTGATGGGAGACCCCACTGTAACAAGATGTCCAGGAGGAGGTGGCGGTACTGGGCACCCTGGGTGGCTCTGCCTCTCTCTGGACTTTGTTCTGCAGTCAGGTCAGTTGAGGAAGCAAGAGTGAACCTGGAGTTTGGGTTTCTGGAAGGAGCAAGGGGGAAAGGCAGACTTGGGCAAGGGACATAGGTGTCAGATGAGGCAAGTCTGAGTCAGAAGGCAGAGCCTGTGTCCCAGAGGAAGAGAAACACCAGTGTCCAGCCTCCAGGCCACTTGCAGCCCCCAGATTTATTTTAGGCAGGTCAGAGTCAGGAGTCTGGGTAGGGGCAGAGGCCTTGGGTGGGTGTGTCTCAACTCAGAGAAGTTTCCTTTGCCACCAGAGGATTAACTGACCAAGTTTACCTAAGATGTGTTTTCCACCTGATCTCTTCTGTCTCTCTCAACAACAATGATGACTGTGTACTCAGTCAACAAATATGTAGTAACTGCTTACTATGTGCCCAGCCCTTTGCTGGGTGCTTAGATCACAGCTGTGTTCATTGGTGACTTTACCAATCCATGGCATCATCTCGGTGGGGCACTGTCCTGGTCAGCTCCTTCTCCCATTCCCTCCATCACTCCTCCACCCTCACCTGCAGCTCCTGCATCTCTTGACTCTCATCAAATGATCTTGCTGTCTTCTTCACGGGAAGGCCATGACCTCAAACAGGAAATCCTTCAGTTTCCCACCCTGCTGAATCTGTACCACCTTCCCTCCAGAGGAGTAGAAGAGGTGTCAACCCTGCCCCCGTGCTGGCGGTCCCAGTCCTGCTCAGCTTCTCTGGACAGGAGATTAGCACACAGAGGCTCAGCTCTAAGACCACCTAGAGGCCTGCTTTAGGGGGTCCTGCTGAGTAAGGCAGAGGCTCAGGGTGGCCACAGTGGAGAACTGCTGGCTTAGCCTGCTTCCTGCATTGTGCCTGAGATGCCTGTGGCAAAGCTTTGCAGTCCCCACACCTGATTCTGTATGTCCTGGGACACAATGACTTGGATTTCATCTTTTTTTTGTTTTTTCAAGCCAAAAATTAGGATTCAGTTTATTCCAACATTGAATGTATCAGGAAAACCAAAGATAAAGTGACAGAGGTACATTAGGCACACTGTATACAGATTTCATCTTTACTTGACCTTTGCCAAAGAACTATGCATATTCTGGTGATGGTGGTTTTCTTCAACAGATCTTTACGGGGAAGGCCCTCTCATTTCCTCCACACCTTTCCTCTAGTGAAAGCGTTCTCAACCTCCAAGGAGTGTTGGGATTGTCTCCCCAGGTCATATCATCTGTCATCCATATGGGCTGTTAGCTCTGCGATTTTTGTTCTCAGTCCCCAGGCTGTCTCTCAGCTCTAGAAGGAATTGTTCAAGGTCCTCCAGGTCCATGGCTCACTGCCTACTGCCTTTTCCTTTTAGGGTGGTAAATTATGGTAAAGTAAATATATGGGGAAACTAACAATAGATAAGGATTATTCAGGATTTTTTTTGAAACAGGGTTTCACCTGTCACCCAGGCTGGAGTGCAGTGGTACAATCTCGGCTCACTGTAACCTCTACCTCCCAGGTTCAAGAGATTCTTGTGCCTCAGCCTCCTGAGTAGGTGGGATTACAGGTTCCCACCACCACACTGGCTAATTTTTTTTTTTTTTTTTTTTTGAGACGGAGTTTCACTGTTGTTGCCCAGGCTGGAGTGCAATGGTGCGATCTTGGCTCACCACAACCTCCGCCTCCTGGGTTCAAGCGATTCTCCTGCCTTAGCCTCCTGAGTAGCTGGGATTACAGGCATGCACCACCACACCCAGCTAATTTTGTATTTTTAGTAGAGACGGGGTTTCTGTCCATGTTGGTCGGGCTGGTCTCGAACTCCCGACCTCAGGTGATCCGTCTGCCTCAGCCTCCCAAAGTGCTGGGATTACAGGTGTGAGCCATCGTACCTGGCCTTAATTTTTGTATTTTTTAGCAGAGATGAGGTTTCACCCTGTTGGCCAGGCTGGTCTTGAACTCCTGGCCTCAAGTGATCCACACACCTCAGCCTCCCAAAGTGCTGGGATTACAGACATGAGCCACCACTTCTGGCCCCAATATGTCACTTTTACAAAGGGAAACTTATGCCCTGCTTTTAGGCAGAGAGAGGGCGGAGAGCTAGCTTCTCCTGTGTCAGCTATATCTCAGTTGCCTTCAGCCCAAAATAATTATTTTGCCATAGTCTGATGCCCTTCACAGGTTAGTCCTATTCCTAACACAGGCACCCTGGAAGGCTGAAGCCCTCTGTACAGCTCTTGCTCCCTCTAGAAGAGATTTTCTAGCTCTCTTTGCTGTTCCCCGACTCTTTAGAGCCATGACTCTGCCTGTCTCCAGCACTTATTGCTCCATCGTTCTTTCTTAAGCTGGGTTTCCCCTGATCTCTCAGAATATATCATCCCAGAGTCACTAGAAAGAATGGGAGCAGACGGGAAAGGGTGGGGAGAACTACCCCTATTACGTAGGCATGTGTTTTGCATATGTTATCTAAGTCTTTCAACAACCCTGTGAAGTAGGTACTATTATTATCCCTTTCTACTTATAAGGAAATATAAGAGTCATATAGGTTGGGCCGCTCACCCAAGGTCAAGTTGTTACCTTGCAGTGGTGGAGCCTGGACACCAGCCCAGGTCTTGTAGACCAGAGCTTCTCAAACTATTTGTGAAGGACCAATTTTGAAAAAAAAAAAAAAAAAAAAAAGGACCAATTTTGTTTTTGCTTTGGTTTAGGTTGTTTTTAATTTCCAGTCTAAAATTATTGCAAAGCATAATAAAAATGAATTGCTGGAAAAATGAAAAGAAGGAAAGGAAAGGATATACAAATTATAAGCCCATTTTGTTGTTGCTGTTGTTGTTGTTATTGGGTTGAACAGATGTAACATTTTTCTGTCAAATTACTTTAATAGTTTCTAAGCATGGACTGGTACCAACCAGTCTGCAGACCACATCACAGGCTGCATGAAGAGAATCTCTCTGGGGATGGGCTGTGTGGCTCAGGCCTGAAATCCCATCACTTTGGGAGGCTGAGGCAGGCGGGTTGCTTGAGCCTAGCACTTTGAGACCAGCCTTGGAAGCACATTGAGACCTCATCTCTATGAATAATTGAAAAATTAGGTGGGAGCTGGGCGCGGTGGCTCATGCCTGTAATCCCAGCACTTTGGGATGACAAGGAGGGCAGATCACTTGAGGTCAGGAGTTCGAGACCAGCCTGGCCAACATGGTGAAACTCTAGTAAAACTACAAAAATTAGCAGGGCGTGGTGGCTGCACACCTGTAATCCCAGCTACTCTGGAAGCTGAGGCAGGAGAATCACATGAATCCGGGAAGCGGAGGTTGCAGTGAACCGAGATCTGCCCACTGCACTCCAGCCTGGGCTACAAAGTGAGACTCCACTTCAAAAAAAAAAAGAAAGAAAAAGAAAAGAAAAGAAAAATTAGGCCAGGTGCAGTGGCTCATGCCCGTAATCCCAACACTCTGGGAAGCTGAGACAGGCGGATCACTTTAGGTCAGGAGTTCCAGACCAGCCTGGCCAACATGGTAAAACCCCGTCTCTACTACAAATACAAAAATTAGGCCGGGCGCGGTGGCTCACGCCTGTAATCCCAGCACTTTGGGAGGTTGAGGTGTGTGGATCACAAGGTCAGGAGATCGAGACCATCCTGGCTAACACAGTGAAACACCATCTCTACTAAAAATACAAAAAATTGCCGGGCGCGGTGGCTCACGCCTGTAATCCCAGCACTTTGGGAGGCCGAGACAGGTGGATCACGAGGTCAGGAGATCGAGCCCGTCCTGGCTAACACGGTGAAACCCTGTCCCTACTAAAAATAATAAAAAAATTAGCCGGGTGTGGTGGCAGGCGCCTGTAGTCCCAGCTACTCGGGAGGTGGAGGCAGGAGAATGGCGTGAATCCGGGAGGCGGAGCTTGCAGTGAGCCGAGATCACGTCACTGCACTCCAGCCTGGGCGACAGAGTGAGACTCCGTCTCAAAAAAAAAAATACAAAAAATACAAAAAATTAGCTGGGCGTGGTTGCAGATGGCTGTAATCCCAGCTACTTGGGAGGCTGAGGCAGGAGAATGGCATGAACCCAGGAGGCGGAGCTTGCAGTGAGCCGAGATCCTGCCACTGCACTCCAGCCTAGGCGACAGAGCGAGACTCTGTCTCAAAAAAATAATAAAAATAAATAAATGTTTTTGTTGTTGTTGAGACGGAATCTCGCTCTGTTCCCTGGGCTGGAGTGCAATGGCACGATCTTGGCTCACTGCAACCTCTGCCTCCCGAGTTCAAGTGATTCTCCTGCCTCAGCCTCCTGAGTAGCTGGGATTACAGGTGCCCGCCACTGTGCCCGGCTACTTTTTGTAGTTTTAGTAGAGACAGGGTTTCACTATGTTAGTCAGGCTGGTCTTGAACTCCTGACCTCAGGTGATCTGCCCGCCTCGGCCTCCCAAAGTGCTGGGATTACAGTCGTGAGCCACCGCGCCTGGCGAGACTCACTCTTGAGGTTGGCCCAGGTTACCGAGGAGTATGTCACGGTCTTCAGGTTTTTTGATCTTAGAAAAGATTGAGAGTAACTCTGTCTATCTGTAAGAGTGTACATTGCCAGAAAAATGTCTGGAAGGACACTCACTAATAGGCTGTCAGTTGCTATCTCTGGGGGTAGAATTTAATATGATTTTTCATTTCTTCTTTCTACCCATTGGGCACTGATTGAATCATATAATAGCCATGTACTTTTTAAAAATAGCAGCTTCTTTGAGATTTAATTCACGATACCATAAAATTCATCCTTTAAATGTATACACTTCAGTGGTTTCTAATACATTCACAGAATTGTGCAGCCATCACCACTAGCTCGTTTCAGAACATTTTTATCACTCCAGAAAGAAACGCTGTGCCCATTAACAGCCACTCCCCATTTCTCTCTCCCCTCAGTCTCTGGCAACCACTAATCTACTTTCTGTCTCTATAGATTTGGATATTCTGGACATTTCACATAAATGGAATCATACAACTTACGGTCTTATGGGATTGGCTCTTGCATTTGGCATATCCTTTTCAAGTTTCCACCATGTTGTTGGATGTACTTCACTACTTTTTATTGCCGAATAATATTCCAACCAAGTTCTACTGTTACAAATATTTTGCAAAAAGTTGGTGGGGGCCAGGCGCAGTGGTTCACGCCTGTAATCCCAGCACTTTGGGAGGCCAAGGAGAGAGGATCACTTGAGGTCAGAAGTTCGAGACCAGCCTGGCCAACAGGGTGAAATACCATCTCTACTAAAAATACAAAAATTAGCTGGGTGTGGTCATGGGCACCTATAATCCCAGCTACTCGGGAGGCTGAGGCAGAGAATGGCTTGAACCTGGGAGGTGGAGGTTGCAGTGAGCTGAGATCAGGCCACTGCACTCCAGCCTGGGTGACAGAGGGAAACTCTGTCTCAAAAAATAATAATAATAATAATAATAATAAATTTTTTATTTTTTATTTTTATTTATTTATTTTTTTGAGACAGAGTCTTGCCCTGTCGCCCCGGCTGGAGTGCAGTGGTGCAATCTTAGCTCACTGCAACCTCCACCTCCCAGCCTCCTGAGTAGCTAGGATTACAGACATGTGCCACCACGCCTGGCTAATTTTTGTATTTTTAGTAGAAAAATGTTGGTCAGGCTGGTCTTGAACTCCTGACCTCAAGTGATCCACCTGCCTCAGCCTCCCAAAGTGCTGGGATTACAGGCGTGAGAGCCACTGCACCCGGCCATAAAATAATTTTTTAAAAAAGCTGGTAGGGGCTGGGCATGGAGCTTCATGCCTGTAATCCCAGCATTTTTTTTTTTTTTTTGAGGCTGAGTTTCTCTCTTGTTGCCCAAGCTGGAGTGCAATGGTGTAATCTTGGCTCACTGCAACCTCCGCCTCGTAGGTCAGGTTCAAGCGATTCGTCTGCCTCAGCCTCCCAAGTAGCTGGGATTACAGGCACGCACCACCACGCCTGGCTAATTTTTGTATTTTTAGTATAGACAGGGTTTCTCCATATTGGTCAGGCTGGTCTCGAATCCTGACCTCAGGTGATCCACCCACCTCGGCCTCCCAAAGTGCTGGGGTTACAGGCGTGAGCCACCTCGCCCAGCCTCATCCCAGCATTTTGAGAAGCCAAGGCAGGAGGGTGACTTGACCCCAGAAGTTCGAGACCAGCCTGGGCAACATAGTGAGACCTCCTCTCTACAAAAAATTTAAAAATGGGCTGGGCGCGGTGGCTCACACCTATAATCCCAGCACTTTGGGAGGCCGAGGCAGGCTGATCACATGAGGTCAGGAGTTCGAGACCAGCCTGATCAACAAGGCAAAACCCTGTCTCTACTAAAAATACAAAAATTAGCCAGGTGTGGTAGCACATGCCTGTAATCCCAGCTACTCGGGAGGCTGAGGTAGGAGAATTGCTTGAACCCGGGAGGAGGAGGTTGCAGTGAGCTGAGATCACGCCACTGCACTCGAGCCTGGAAGACAGAGCAAGATTCTGTCTCGAAAAAAAAAAAAAAAATTAAAAAATGCGGGAAGATTGCTTGAGCCTAGGAGGTCAAGACTGCAATGAGCTGTGATCATGCCTCTGCGCTTCAGCCTGGGTGACAGGGAGAGACACTGGCTCAGAGAAAAAAAAAAAAAAAAAGCTGGTGGGCTTTGAGTTTCGTGTACGAGTAGAGAATGTATCTAAATTATTAGCATCATTATCACTCAAAGATGTTTCTATTGAGCAGCTTTTGGAAGAGCTGCTGGGGACACTCATGTGGACATGACAGAAAATAGATCTGCCTCAAAAAGTAAAAAAAATAACAGATGCAGCCAGGCACGGTGGCTCAAGCCTGTAATCCCAGCACTTTGGGAGGCCGAGGCGGGCGGATCACGAGGTCAGGAGATCGAGACCATCCCGGCTAACACGGTGAAACCCCGTCTCTACTAAAAATACAAAAAATTAGCTGGGCACGGTGGCAGGTGCCTGTAGTCCCAGCTACTTGGGAGGCTGAGGCAGAAGAATGGCGTGAACCCGGGAGGCAGAGGTTGCAGTGAGCTGAGATTGCGCCACTGCACTCCAGCCCGGGTGACAAAGCGAGACTCCCTCTCAAAAAAAAAAAATAATAATAATAACAGATGCTGGTAAGATTTCTAGATAAAGGGGAATGCTGATACACTGTTGGTGGGAATGTAAATTAGTACAACCGTTGTAGAAAGCAGTGTGGGAATTCCTCAAAGAGTTAGAAACAGAAATACCATTCGACCCAGCAGTCTCATTACTGGGTATATACTCAAAGGACTAGAAAGCATTCTACATAAAGACACATGCATGCGTATGTTCCTCACAGCACTATTCACAATAGCAAAGACAAAGAATCAACCTAAATGCTCATCGATGATAGACTGAATAAAGAAAATGTGGTACATGTATACCATGGAATACTACGCAGCCAAAAAAAAAATAATGAGATCACATCTTGCGCAGGAACATGGATGGAGCTGGAGGCCATTATCCTAAACGAACTAATGCAGGAACAGAAAACCAAATACCACATGTTCTCACTTACAAGTGGGAGCTAAATGATGGGAACACATGGACACAAACAGGGGAACAACAGACACCGGGGCCTCCTTGAGGGGGAGGCTGGAAGGAGGGAGAGGAGCAGAAAAAAATCACTATTGAGTACTAGGCTTAATACCTGGGTGATGAAATAATCTGTACCACAAACTCCTGTGACAGAAGTTTACCTAATAACTAAACTGCACATGTACCCCTGAACCTAAAATAAAAGTTATTTTAAAAAAACAGATCTGGGCCGGGTGCGGTAGCTCATGCCTGTGATCCCAGCACTTTGAGAGGCCGAGGTGGGTGGATCACCTGAGGTCAGGAGTTCAAGACCAGCCTGGCCAACATGGTGAAACCCCATCTCTACTAAAAACACAAAAATCAACCGGGTGTGGTGGCATACACCTGTAATCCCAACTACTCGGGAGGCTGAGGCAGGAGAATCGCTTGACCCCAGAAGGCAGAGGTTGCAGTGGGCTGAGATTGCACCACTGCACTCCAGCCTGGGCAACAGAGCAAGACACCATCTCCAAAAAAAAAAAGATATGCCTTTGAGTAGCTTACACTGGGGCTGGTGAGGGACAGATAGTAAACAAGTACAGAAAGACACTGGATAATCTCTGGTGGATAAGGGCTTTGAAGACAAGATGGCTGGGTGAAGTGCTGGAAAGTGGGGTGGGGTTGGGAAGGGGATCTATTTTAGATAGGGTGCTGGGCAGAGGCTCTCTGAATAGGTGAGATTTGAACTGAGACCTGTCTGGTGAGAAGCAGAGGAAAGAGGAAACAGCAGGTGGGCCTTGAGACAGGAGCAAGCTGGGTGTTTTGGGGAAACAGGGAAGTTGTGTGCCAAGGCCAGTGAATACATGGTGGCACCCGACGAGACTGAGGAGGTAGCCACAGGGGACCAGAATGCATAGGCTCTTGCACGCCAGAGCAAAGAGATGGGGTGTTATTCTATGGGAGATGAGAAGCCACAATTTTAAGACAGGGAGTCATCCAATCTATTTTTTTTTTCTTTTTTCTTTTTGAGACGATGTTTCACTCTTGTCACCCAGGCTGAAGTGCAATGGTATGATATTGGCTCACCGCAACCTTTGCCTCCCGGGTTCAAGTGATTCTCCTGCCTTAGCCTTTCAAGTAGCTGGGATTACAGGCGTGTGCCACCACACCTGGCTAATTTTTTTGTATTATTAGTAGAGATGGGGTTTCACCATGTTGGCCAGGCTTGTCTTGAACACCTTAACTCAGGTGATCTGCCCGCTTTGGCCTCCCAAAGTGCCGGGATTACAGGAGTGAGCCATCGTGCCCGTCGTGCCCGGCCTTTTTTTTTTGAGATGGATTCTAACTCTGTCACCCAGGTTGGAATGTGGTGACACAATCTCGGCTCCCTGCAGTCTCCACCTCCTGGGTTCAAGCTGTTCTTCTGCCTCAGCCTCCTGAATAACTGGGATTACAGGTGTGTGCCACCATGCCTGGCTAAATTTTGTATTTTTAGTAGAGTCAGGGTTTTACCATGTTGGCCGGGCTGGTCTTGAATTCCTGACCTCAAGTGATCCTCCCGCCTCGACCTACCAAAGTGCTGGCATTACAGGTGTGAGCCACCTCACTTGGCCTGATTTCCATGTTTAAAAGCTCACTCTGGTGGCCATGTGAAGATAGACAGGAGCAAGAGTGTAGGTGGGACAGCCGTTAAGAGGCTACTGCAGGCCTCCAGGGTGGAGACAATGGTGCCTTGGACCGGGATGGAGCAGGGGAGGTAGTGAGAAATGGACAGGCTAGGATTATATTTTGGTGGTGGAGCTGAAAGAATTTGCTGATGAATGAGCTGTGAGGCATAAGAAATACAGGCGGCAACAACAGAGTCCAGGCGTTTGCTGAGAGGATGGTAATGCAACAGTGAGCACAGGAGGCCAAAACATCACACTCACAGAAGACCAATGGTCACTGAGGTTGCTATTTTTTTTTTTTTGAGACAGAGTCTCACTCTGTCGCCCAGGCTGGAGTGCAGTGGTGCAATTTCAGCTCACCGCAACCTCTGCCTCCTGGATTCAAGTGATTCTCCTGCCTCAGCCTCCCAAGTAGCTGGGATTACAGGCGTGCCCCACCATACCTGGCTAATGTTGGTATTTTTAGTAGAGACAGGGTTTCACCATTTTGGCCAGGCTGGTCTTAAACTCCTGACCTCAGGTGATCCGCCGACCTCTGCCTCTCAAAGTGCTGGGATTACAGGCGTGAGCCACCACGCCTGGCTGCAGTTGCTATTTAGATCTGGAAGGCTTTTCCCAGCTTAGCGTGGTCAAGATAGGGATGGGCCGAGGCTGGCACTGATGCTAGACTTCCGTGCACAGGGCAAGTATGGACAAGCCCCAAGTGGCTTTGTGAGGCCCACACAGTGAAGCTTGGGAAATGGGAAGTGGGGCTGCGCCCAGATTCTGGTATCTATGACAACTAAGGCCGCTGCACATCCTCATGGCTCTCCCAGAGACCTCAGGTGAGGCCCTTCTGTGTTCCTCAAGCACCCATGCCACCTGCGGGGTGGGGCAGGACCCTCCTACCCAGCCCTGGGCCTCCTGGGGAACCATGGGTGCACAGGGGTAACCTGAGCCAGCCTCTCTGGGGCATGGGCGGGCGTGGTGGCGTGGGCCTGGCGCCAGAGAGTGGAGCAGAATGTCAGCTCTGTGAGCCGCACCGGGTGCCAGCACTCTGCAAACAGACTCTAGTCACCAGATAGACTGGAGTCACGAACCTAACAAAGCGCTCAGCTGGGCAACTGTAACTGCAGAGGGCGGGGCCGCACAGTGCTGCCTAGTGCCTCCTGCCTTGATCTGGTCAGGGTCATGGGAGGAGACAGGTTCCCCAGGAGGGCCCATTAACAAGATTAATTGGGGTGGCCTGGGGGACTCTGGGATGCTCACTGGAAACATATCCTGGGGGAATGAGGTAGGTGGGGAGCCAGGAAAACTGCCCCGTCTGGTTTCCTTCCCTACAGCCCTTTATCTGGAGAGACAAGCTCTACTATACTACAAGGGGTTAATTTAAGAAGGGGTTGCTGGGCATGGTGGCTCATGCCTGTAATCCCAGCTCTTTGGGAGGCCGAGGTGGGTGGATCACTTGAGGTTAGGAGTTTAAAATCAGCCTGGCCAACATGGTGAAACCCCATCTCTTCTAAAAAAACAAAAATTGCCGGGCAAGGTGGCTCACACCTATAATCCCAGCACCCTGGGAGGCCGAGGCGGGTGGATCATCTGAGTTCAGGAGTTCGAGGCCAGCCTGGCCAACATGGTGAAACCCTGTCTCTACTAAAAATACAAAAATTAGCCAGGTATGGTGGTGCACGTCTGTAATCCCAGCTACTCAGGAGGCTGAGGCATGAGAATCACTTGAACCTGGGAGGCAGAGGTTGCAGTGAGCTGAGATCACGCCACTGCACTCCAGCCTGGACAACAGAACGAGACTCCATCTCAAACAAACAAAACAACATCATATTAAAAAGAAAACCCGGGCCTATTTTTTTTAAAGACCCACTGCAGAAGTGACCCTTCTCATTGGTGGCTGGTGAAATTGTTCTTGCCAAGGTTTGGTATGACCAGGTAAAAAGCTTTCAATGCTCAAAGTGAGGAAGCACAGAAGTCATGTACCCTGCATTGTAGCTGACCAGAAGGTAAATCAAGAACCACTGAGCATGGTTGGGTGCTGTGGCTCATGTCTGAAACCCTTGCACTTTGGGAGGCTGAGGCAGGAGGATCGCTTGAGCCCAGGAATTCGAGACCAGCCTAGCAACATAGCGAAACCCTGTCTGTACAAAAAAAACTAAAAAATTAGCTGGGTGTGGTGGTACATGCCTGTGATCCCAGCTACTCAGGAGGCTGAGGTGGGATGATCACTTGAGCCTGGGAAGTTGAGGTTGCAGTGAGTCATGCTCACACCACTGCACTCCAGGCTGGGCCACCCTGTCTCAAAAAACAAATAAAAAACAGGAACCACTGAGCATAGGTCACTGGAAGGGAGATTTTGTCTTAATAGAAGAATTCCAACAAGGGGATGGGCAATTTTCTGAGAAGGGGACATGGGTGTTTGTTCATGCAAAGCCTGGATGTCAAAGGAACAAACAAAGTCTGGGGAACCAACCAATCTCATTGCCAGCTACCAATGTGGACCATGCCTGCTGCAGTTACACCCACAGTGCTGTAATTCTCAGTCCCTCTGGTCATCTCTGTTCTCCTACAAGCCCAAGCCTACTGTGATGGGGTTTCCTCTCCCTTGATCTACCCTCCTACTGTCTCCCCACCCTCCACCAAACACTCTTCACTTTCTGGCCTCAGTTAAATTTAGCCCAGCCCTGAGGGTGCTGCTTCCCTTGGAGCCTGTGTAGCCTGTGAAATCCAGTCATGCCCTCAGGGGCCAGAGGTGAGGCAGACTGTCTTCCCTGTCATCTCAGTAACTGTGACTTCCATCTACTAGGTTGCTGTAACCAAAAATCAAGATGTCATCCTTGATTCTTCTGTATCCCTCATTCCTCCTTTTTTTTTTTTTAAGATGGAGTCTCACTCTATCACCCAGGCTGGAGTGCAGTGACGCGACCAGAGCTCACCACAACCTCCACCTCCCAGGTTCAAATGATTCTCCTGCCTCAGCCTCCCAAGTAGCGGGGACAACAGGTGTGTGCCACCACGCCCAGCTAATTTTTGTATTTTTAGTAGAGACAGGGTTTCACCGTGTTGACCAGGCTGATCTCGAACTCCTGACCTCAAGTGATCCGCCTGCCTCAGCCTCCCAAAGTGCTGGGATTACAGGTGCAAACCACCATGCCTGGCCGCCTTAGTGTACTTCTATCTTCGAACATCGTTCTGGGCATTTACTGTGCCCTTTCAACCTGAAAACTGAAGGATATTTAGTTCAGTTTTTGGAAATTTGCTTGGATTGTTTCAGTGGTTTTTTGTTGTTGTTGTTTTTTTTGAGACGGACAGAGTCTCACATTGTCACCTAGGCTGGAGTGCAGTGGCGCGATCTCAGCTCACTGCAAGCTCTGCCTCCCGGGTTCATGCCATTCTCCTGCCTCAGCCTCCCGAGTAGCTGGGACTACAGGCGCCCGGCACCACGCCCGGCTAATTTTTTGTATTTTTAGTAGAGACGGGGTTTCATCGTGTTAGCCAGGATGGTCTCGATCTCCCGACCTCGTGATCTGCCCGCCTCAGCCCCCCAAAGTGCTGGGATTACAGATATGTGCCACTACGCCCAGCTAATTTTTGTATACTCTTTGCTCTTTCAAGAACCCCTATTTATCAGAAGTTGGGCTCTTCACAGCAAATTGTCTAATTCTCTTTTCTTTCCTGTTTGCATCTTGTTGTCTTTCAACTCTAATTTCTGGAAGATTTCCTCAACTTTGTTTGTAACCCTTTATTGAGTTTATATTTTCTGTTTTCATGTATCTAATTTCCAAGAGCTCTTTTTATGTTTTTGGTTATCGTGGGGGTTTTTTTGAGGCAGGATCTCCCAGACTGGAGTGCAGTGGCGCGATCACGGCTGACTGCAGCCTCCACCTCCCAGGCTCAGGCAATCTTTCTGCCTCGGCTGCCCAAGTAGCTGGGACTACAGGGACATGCCATCATGTCCAGCTAATTATTTTTGTTTTTTTGTAGAGATGAGGTCTTACTTTATTGGCCAGGCGGACCATGTCCTATACATGTTATTTTTTTACAGCATTCTACTCTTGTGCCTTTGTTTTCTATTGTTGCATAACAAATTACTCCAAAAGATAGAGACTTAAAAAAAAAATGAACATTCATTGTTTTACAGGTTCTTTTCTTTTCTTTTTTTGAGGCAGAATCTTGCTGTTTCACCCAGGCTAGCTAGAGTGCAGTGGCGTGATCTCAGCTCACTGCAAACTCCACCTCCCAGGTTCAAGCAATTCTCCTGCTTCGGCCTCCCCAGTTGCTGGGATTACAGGCGCCTGCCACCATGCCCAGCTAATTTTTGTATTTTTTAGTAGAGATGGGGTTTCACCATCTTGGCCAGGCTGGTCTTGAACTTCTAACATCATGATCCACCTGCCTCGGCCTCCCAAAGTGCTGGGATTACAGGCATGAGACACCGTGCCTGGCCTTTTTTATTTTTTTGAGACGGAGTCTCACTCTGCCGCCCAGGCTGAAGTGCAGCGGCGCAATCTTGGCTCACTGCAACCTCTGCTTCATGGGGTCCAGTGATTCTCCTGCCTCAGCCTCCCGAGTAGCTGGGATTACCAGCATGCCCCACCATGCCCGGCTAATTTTGTATGTTTAGTAGAGATGGGGTTTCACTATGTTGGCCAGGCAGATCTTGTACTGACCTCAAGTGATCCACCTGCCTCGGCCTCCCAAAGTGCTGGGATTACAGGTGTGAGCCACCGTTTCTTTTTGTCAGGAATTCTGGTGGGGCCTACCTCGGTGCGCTTAGGCTTGGGGGTCCCTCCTAAGGCTGCAGTCATCTGAAGGCTTGATTGGGGCTGGAAGATCCACTTCCAAGGGGCCCAGAAACACATCTGGAGAGCTGACGGTGATTCTTGGCCACAGTTCCTCCCAGTGGAGGCCTCTCCAGAGATTGCTTAAGCGTCCTTCTGACACAGCCACTGGCTTTCCACAAAGTGAGCAGCCTCAGAGGGTTCAAGTTGAAAGTGGCAATGTCTTTTATGACTTAGCCTTGGAAGCCACATGTTGTCACTTTGCCCACGTTCTATTGTAAATTGGGTTGCTTCTGGCTTTGCCCCTGCTGTCTTAAGATGTAGTGTGTCAGAGGGACACAGGAAGCAACTGAAAGAGCTCCCATTGGTCAAAGCCTAAACAATCTGAACAACAAAACCAAGTAGTGTTGGATGACAACGCAGAATATGACACAGACATCCACAAGTCCACACTGATGTAAGTAAATGACTGCCCTATTGGATGATGCCCACACCCAGCCCTGCTTCTCCAACCCCATTTCTAATCATGAGAGGAATAGCAGACAAATCCCAACTCTGGGGCATTCTCCAAAACGAATCTCCAGGAATCGTCAAAACTGCCAAGGTCATTAAAAACTAGGAAAGTCTGCCGGGTGTGGTGGCTCATGCTTGTAATCCCAGCACCTTGGGAGGCCGAGGCGGGCAGATCGCCTGAGGTCAGGAGTTTGAGACCACCCTGACCAACATGATGAAACCCCGTCTCTACTAAAAATACAAAATTAACCGGGCATGGGTGGTGCATGCTCATAATCCCAGCTACTTGGGAGGCTGAGGCAGGAGAATCGCTTGAACCTGGGAGGTGGAGGTTGCAGTGAGCCGAGATCGCGCCATTGCACTCCAGCCTGGGCAACAAGAGCGAAACTCTGTCTCAAAAAAACAAAAACAAAACGTCCAGGTGCAGTGGCTCATGCCTGTAATCCCAGCACTTTGGGAGGCTGAGGTGGGAAGATCACCTGAGGTCGGGAGTTTGAGACCAGCCTGACCAATGTGGAGAAACCCTGTGTGTACTAAAAATGCAAAAAAATTAGCCAGGCGTGGTCACACATGCCTGTAATCCCAGCTACCCGGGAGGCGGAGGTTGTGGTGAGCTGAGATCGTGCCACTGCACTCCAGCCTGGGCAACAAGAGTGAAACTCCATCTCAAAAAAAAAAAAAAAAAGACATAACCAAACAAAACAAAAATCAAGGAAAGTATGAGAAACTGTCACAGCCAAGAGAAGCCCGAGGAGACATGATGACTAAATGTAATGTGGTATCCTGGATGGGGTACTGAAACAAAAAAATACACATTAAGGAAAAACTCAGAAAATGTGAATAGTTGGGCATGGTGGCACACACCTGTAGTCCCCGCTACTGGAGAGGCTGAAGCAGGAGGATCCCTTGAGTCCAAGAATTCAAATCCAACCTGGGTAACATAGCAAGACCGTCTCGACAAATAAATAAATTTGAATAAAATATGGACTTTAGTTAATAGTAATGTATCAATATTGGCTCACTAATTGCGACACATGTACTATACTAATGTGGGATGTTAATAATAGGAGACACTGGTTATGGGGTATATGGGAACTGTTGGTATTCCTTTTTCAATTTTTCTGTAAATCTAAAATTATTATTATTATTATTATTATTATTTTGAGATGGAGTCTTGCTCTGTCTCCAGGCTGGAGTACAGTGGTGTGATCTTGGCTCATTGCAACCTCTGCCTCCCGGGTTCAAGCAATTCTTCTGCCTCAGCCTCCTGAGTAGCTGGAGTACAGGCGCGCACGCCACCATGCCCGGATAATTTTTTGTATTTTTAGTAGAGACAGGGTTTCATTGTGTTAGTCAGGATGATCTCGATCTCCTGACCTCGTGATCTGCCAGCCTCAGCCTCCCAAAGTGCTGGGATTAGAGGCGTGAGCCACAGCACCTGGCTGTAATTCTAAGATTATTACAGGCTGAATACAGTGGTCACACCTGTGGTCCCAGCACTTTGGGAGGCCAAGGCAGGAGGATTGCTTGAGTGTAGGAGTTCCTGATCAGCCTGGGCAATACAGCAAGACCCTGTCTCTAATAAATGAATAAAATCATCAAAGATGTTTATTATTAAAAAAAGAAAGATAAATCAGTTATGTCACTTTTTTGCTTAACACCTCAATAACTTTCCATCATAGTTAGAATAAAATCTAAACCCTCTAGCCTGGCCCAGAGAGGCCAACAAAACCTGGCTATTAGCAGCTTTTCCAGTCTCATTGTGACTTCTCCCTGGCCATTCTGCTCCACCTCCTTAAAGCTGTGTGAGCAGGTCATGCTGGGTCTCACCCTAGAGCTTTGTCTGTCTGTTTCTTCAGCTTTCTAGTTAAAACGTCACTTTCCAGAGGGGAGGGGGTGGAAGTAGAGGGTAGGGTCTCTGACCTCCTAAAGTAGTCATCAGACCCATGGAGATAGCTGAGTCACTGCAAAGCCTTATTGACCATCTGATGTTTTTCTTGTTTATTCATTTGTCTGTGGTTGCCTCCATTCATTGGAATGTAAATCTCAGGGTGGGGGCATGTCTTGTTTACTGCTTTAATCCCTAGAACCTGGAAAATCTGGCATATGAAAAGATCTCAATTAATATTTGTTGATTAAAGCCCAGCGCACAGTGGCTCACACCTGTAATCCCAGCACTTTGAGAGGTCAAGGCGGGTGGATCACCTGAAGTCAGGAGTTTGAGACCAGCCTGGCCAACACAGTGAAACCCTGTCTCTACTAAAATTACAAAAAAAAAAAAAAATTAGCCAGGCATGGTGGTGTGCACCTGTAGTCCCAGCTACTCAGGAGGCTGAGGCAGGAGAATCGCTTGAACCTGGGAGGTGGAGGTTGCGGTGAGCCAAGATCACACCACTGCACTGCAGCCTGGGCAACAATGTGAGACGCTGTCTCAAAAAAAAAAAAAAAAAAAAAAGCAGAATAAAGACAGGATTTTCGAAAAACTTTCAGGTTCAAATATTCTGTTGTCGGATTCTGTAGCTCTGTTTTTTGTTATTTCTTCCTTATTTACTGTTCTTTCTTTTCATTATCTCATGATGTTGCCCCAGTGGGTGGTTTTCTTTCTTTTTTCTTTTTCTTTTTTTTTTTTTTTGAGCGTTTTACTCTGTTGCCCAGGCTGGAGTGCAGTGGTGCAGTCTCGTCTCACCGCAACCTCCGCCTCCTGGGTTCAAGCGATTCTCCTGCCTCAGCCTCCCAAGTAGCTGGGATTACAGGGATGCGCCGCCATGCCCAGCTAATTTTTGTGTTTTTAGTAGAGTCGGGGTTTCACCGTGTTTGCCAGGCTGGGGGTGATCCACCCACCTCGGCCTCCCAAAGTGCTGGGATTACAGGCATGAGCCACTGCGCCTGGCCAATTGGTGGTGTTCAAACTGTGCTTTACAAAGTTGTGAGTTTCAGAGGCTATTGCTGTTAAGGGTAAGCCCTGGGGAAGACACTGGGCAGAGTGGCTTGAGCCTTGCTTCCTTCTCACCCTGATCCCTGACTCTGGGTTTGTTTGTTAGACTTCCCTGTAAACTGGCATCTGGAGAAAGAATTCTAAGGCTCAACAAGTGTGAAAACTCCTGAAGTGGATCTTTTAAAATTCCAGGCTAAAGTTATTGAGGCTGCCAATAAACACATGAAAAGATACTAATGTCATTAGCCACTAAGGAAAAGCAAATCAAAACCACAATGAAATACCACTTTACACCTGTTAGGATGACTATAATCAAAAAGACAGACAATAACAAGTATTGTCAAGGATGTGGAGAAATTGGAACTCTATATATTGCTAGGAGGAATGTAAAATGGTGCAGTCACTTTGGAAGTCTGGCAGTTCCTTAAAATGTCAAACATAGTGTTACTACGTGACCCAGCACTTCTAGTCTTAGGTGTATTCCCAAGACAAAACAAAACATATGTCCGGCTGGGCGCGGTGACTCATGCCTGTAATCCCAGCACTTTGGGAGGCCGAGGTGGGCGGATCACCTGAGGTCAGGAGTTCGAGAACAGTCTCAACATGGAGAAACCCCATCTCTACGAAAAATACAAAATTAGCCGGGCGTGGTGGTGCATGCCTGTAATCCCAGCTACTCGAGAGGCTGAGGTAGGAGAATTGCTTGAACCTGGGAGGCGGAGGTTGCGGTGAACCGAGATCGCGCCATTGCACTCCAGCCTGGGCAACAAGAGTGAAACTCCATCTCAAAAAAAAAAAAAAAAAAAAAAGTCCACAGAGAAACTTACACACAAATGTTCAGAGCAGCATTATTCATAATAGGCAAAAAATGAAAACCCAAAATCCTTCAACTGACAAATAGATAAAGAACATGCATATACCTCTAAAATAGGAGATAATTCAGCTATAAAAATCAAGGAAGTGGCCGGGTATGGTGGCTCAAGCCTGTAATCCCAGCATTTTGGGAGGCTGAGGCAGGTGGATCACTTGAGGTCAGGAGTTTGAGACCACCCTGGCCAACATGGTGAAACCCTGACTCTACTAAAAAATACAAAAATTAGCCGGGCGTGGTGGCGGGCGCCTATAATCCCAGCTAGTCCAGAGGCTGAGGCAGGAGAATCACTTGAACCTGGGAGGCAGAGGGTGCAGTGAGCCGAGATCACGCCACTGCACTCCAGCCTGGGCAATAGAGCAAGACTCAATCTCAAAAAAAAAAAAAAAAAATAGAAAAAAAAAAAGAAGGAAGTATGGATGAACCTTGGAAGCATTATGCTAAGTGAAAGAAGCCAGTCACAAAAGACCATACATTACACGGTTCCATTTATATAAGATGTCCAGAATAGGCAAATCTATAGAGACACAAAGTACATTACTGGCTGCCTAAACCTGGGAGGAGAGGAGAATGGGGAGTGACTGCCAATGGGTACAGGTTTTCCTTTTGGAGTGATAAAAATGTGCATGGGTTTCATTGTGGGGTGATGAAAATGTTCCAAAATTAATTGTGGTGATGGTTGTATAACTCTATGAATACAATAATAGAATTGTAAACTCTATTACTTATTTATATATTTATTTGAGATGGAGTTTTTGCTCCGTTGCCCAAGCTGGAGTGCAGTGGCGCAATCTGGGCTCACTGCAACCTCCGCCTCCTGGGTTTAAGCAATTCTCCTGCCTCAGCCTCCCGAGTAGCTGGGATTACAGGTGCCTACCACCATGCCCAGCTAATTTTTTTATTTTTAGTAGAGACGAGGTTTCACCATGTTGGCCAGGCTGGTCTCAAACTCCTGACCTCAAGTGATCTGCCTGCCTTGACCTCCCAAAGTGCTGGGATTATAGGTGTGAGCCACTGTGCCCAGCCTGCAAACTTAAATACATAAATTTTATGTGAGTGATATCTCAGTAAAGCTATTTTTAAAAATAATTATCAAAGCCACGTTACATGGAGAGTAACTCTGGGGCTTCAATTCCTTATTCTTTTTTTTTTTTTCTTTTTCTTTTGAGACAGGGTCTCTCTGTGTCGCCCAGGCTGGAACGCGATGGTACCATCACGGCTCACTGCTGCCTTGACGTCCCAGGCCCAGGCAATCCTCCCACCTTGGCCTCCCGAGTAGCTGGGTCTATTGGTGCATACTACCATGCCCAGCTAATTTTTTGTAGAGATGGAGTCCCCCTATGTTGCCCAGGCTAGTCTTGATCTCCTGGTCTCAAGACATCCTCCTGACTTGGCCTCCCAGAGAGCTGGGATTACAGGTGTGAGTCACCTCGCCCAGCCATTTCTTTATTCTTTTACACATTAAAGCAGACCCATAAGAGACGATATTAGAATAACGTTGTCCCTCTTCCCCTCTGAGTGAATGGCCTTCTGTCTGGTATTGTTATTAGAATCCTCAAGGTTTTTTTTTTTTTTTTTTTCTTGAGATGGGTCTTGCTCTGTTGCCTGGGTTGGAGTGCAGTGACATGATCTTGGTTCACTGCAACCTCTGCCTCCTGGGTTCAAGTGATTCTCTTGCCTCAGCCTCCCCGGTAGCTGGGGCTACAGGCATGCACCACCACGTCCAGTTAATTTTTGTATTTTTTTAGTAGAGATGAGGGTTTAACCATGTTGGCCAGGCTGGTCTCAAACTCCTGACCTCAGGTTATCCACCCGCCTCAACCTCCCAAAGTGCTGGGATTACAGGCATGAGCCACCGTCCCTGGCCAGAATCCTCAAGTTTTATAAGGTGATGTCAACCTGATCTCTAGGTGAATAGTCTGTTAAGTCATACAGTGCCGTATGAGAGCACTGCTTGTCTCTTACGTGGCTGCATCTGCAGCACCTAGAATAGTGCTTAGCAGATAATAATAGGAAGTAATGTTTGTTGACTGAATGAATGTTAAATTGCTTTTTTTGTAGACTCAAAGATGTGCTGCGTAGATCCTCCCTCAAGGAAGGACTCGCTGCCCAGGTGTGGGGAGTGAGGCCACCAGATAGCTCCCAGCTGTCAGCTCTGTCATAGTCTGCCTCAGTTTGAGAGAGCCTGAGGTCATGCCTCCCCAGGGCAGCCTGGATCTAGTGACTAAGATAAGGCTAGAAACACCTGGCCATCACAGCCCATGGTGGGACGACTCTGATAGGCAGTACTTACTGCAGAGATCTCCACTGATTGGTCCAGTCTTCACAGGCCTGCATGGCAGCTCAGCTTCTCCCTCAGCCCAGTCCTGCCTCCTGTCTTACTTTTAGAAGTGTTGATCCCTAACAAATGTCTTCTATTCCAGCTCTGTCTCAGTGTCTGCTTCCAGAGAACCCATTCAGGAATGGCCCAAGAAAGCAGGTAATAAGATGGGTTTTGGGAGCTGGATGCCTCACTGCCTAGCTGGCAATGAGGACCTCATCCCTGGTGGGAAGTGGGGTACGGAGGGCTATTGGCACAAGGTGGCAGCATTAAAACTTTCACTGGCGGTAAATCCAGAAGGCATACCAGAGAGAGAGAATGCACTGGAGGGTGTGCGGTCCCAGGAGTCTGACCGGTGTGGAGGAACTGGTATCAATTAGGAGAGGGCTCCTGAATGGCACTTGCTTAACCTCCTACTTCTGTAGAAAGATGAAAAACAGCTGAGGGGACTAACAAGCAACTGAAAATCAGGTGTGAAAGTCAGAAGGTCTTGGCCCAGTGCGGCGGCTCACACCTGTAATCCCAGCACTTTGGGAGGCCGAGGTAGGCAGATCAATTGGGGTCAGGGGTTCAAGACCAGCCTAGGCAAAATGGTGAAATCCTGGCTCTACAAAAATTAGCTGGGTGTGTAGGCATGGTGATTCATGCCTGTAATCCCAGCTACTCGGGAGGCTGAGGCTTGAGAATTGCTTGAGCCCAAGAGGCGGAAGTTGTAATGAGCTGAGATCGAGCCATTGTTGCCTGGGCAACAGAGTTAGACTCTGGCTCAAATAATAATAATAATAATAATAATAATAATAATAATAATAATAATAATAACAATTAGCCAGGCATGGTGGCGGCACGTGCCTATGGTCCCAGCTACTTGGGAGCCTGAGGTGGGAGGATTGCTTGAGCCTGGGAGGTGGAGGTTGCAGTGAGCCGAGCTCATACCACTGCACTGCAGCCTGGGCATTAGAGCCAGATACTTTTTCAAAAAATAAAATAAAATAAAAAATTTAGAAAAATCTGGGACCCTAACCCATGGGATGGAAACAACTATGAGTGGAGACATCCGGGTGAAGGTTCCTGAAGATCCTGGTATCCCAGGCTACTCTGAATCTGCAGATGTGATCCACTCCTCCATATTGTGAGCTAGCACTGCCTCCCCACCAGCCCTTGCTCAAAGGCAATGCAGAAGCCTCACTCCAGCAAGACAATGAGTGCCCCTTCAGGACCACCTCCTTTTCGGGCTACACTAAACCTTTAAGTCTTGGAGTAAGCCAGCTGGGGAGGTGCTGGGCCTAATGACAGAGAAAAGGAGATTGTGTTTCAAACCAGCTGCAAGAATCAGCATTGCTAGCAGTCCCAGGGGAGTTTGGGTGGAATGATTCCGAGGATGCTTGATTGAGGAGCTGGAACAATTGGATAGGAGACCGGGCATGGTGGCCCACACCTTTAATCCCAGCACTTTGGGAGGCCAAGGCAGGAGGATGGCTTGAGCTCAGAAGTTCGAGACCAGCCTGAGCAATATAGCAAGACCTTGTCTCTATTTTTTTAATTATTTAAAATAATGTTTTATATATTTTTATATATATATATATATGATAGGAAAATTTATTGACTTTATTGAGCTCTACCGAGATACTGGATTTAGTGAGGATCTCAGGAGAGTGTATGAACTTGCCATAATGATGGCTTCTAGAAGCTGGAAAAAGCGTCCACAGTGAATGAAATTGCAGTACCAGAATTACTGTAGCAGGTGGTGAAGGAAATGATTAAAAAGTGCAGGGGGCTGGATGGAGTGGCTCAGGCCTGTAATCCCAGCACTTTGGGAGGCCAAGGCAGGTGGATCACGAGGTCAGGAGATCAAGACCAGCCTGGCTAACACGGTAAAACCCTGTCTCTACCACAAATACAAAAAATTAGCTGGGCATGGTGGCATGCACCTGTAGTCCCAGCTATTTGGGAGGCTGAGGCAGGAGAATCATTTGAACCCGGGAGGCGGAGGTTGCAGTGAGCCGAGATCGTGCCACTGCACTCCAGCCTGGGCAACAAAGCGAGACTCTGTCTCAAAAAAAAAAAAAAAAAAAGTGCAGGGAAGGGGACATGCTCAAATGATATGCTGGGTGCTACCAGAAGACCCATCAGATGTTTAGGTTCCATGGGAAGCCTGCAAGGATGCACCATTTACACCAAGACCATCAGGAATGCAGTGTTGAGAGGGACACCAGCAGCACTCAGAAGTTCAGTGGCAGCTTTCCTCTGTAGGCTGAGGCTCCCAGTAGGAGAGGCCTGTTGTTGATATCAGTGGAAATAAGAGGACTCTGAAACAATGGAGACCAGGTGGCTGCCCTGGTGACAAAAAGCCAGATTGTAGCAGACATTGTAAACACTGGCAAGGTCAGAATGGCAACCAAGGGAGCGTGACCTGCAGATGGCTAATAGAACCTGATGTCTGTGGGGGCAAAATGCATGCACAGCAGACAGGCTTGTATTGTAGAAGACATCAACGATGACTAGAAGGCCAAGGGTGGTTGCCCCATTAAAAAGTTACAATCTGGGCCGGGAACAGTGGCTCAAGCCTGTAACCCCAGCGTTTTGAGAGGCCGAGGTGGGAAGATCAGTTGAGGTCGGGAGTTCAAGACTAGCCTGCTCAACATGGCGCAACCCCCGTCTCTACTAAAAATGCAAAAATTAGCCGGGTGTGGTGGCTGGTGCCTGTAATCCCAGCTATTCAGGAGGCTGAGGCATGAGAATCACTTGAACCCAGGAGGCGGAGGTTGCAGTGAGCCGAGATTGCACCATTGCACTCCAGCCTGGGGGACAGAGTGAGACTCCCTCTCAAAAACAAAAACAAAAAAAAAGGAAAGAAAACAGTCTCCACCTCATACTGCCCAGTTAACAGATGCTCAGCCAAGAGGTTTTTTAAAATTTAGGACATATCAGTTTATCAATTCCTCTGGTATAGGTCATCTACCCTGGAGCACCCTGGACCCTGTGAGAGGTCACCTCAGTCCCTTCTCAGTGTGCTTTGGTTCCAGATAGGGACCCCAGAGATGCCCAGGCAGGCCCTGAATATGCCAGTCTGGAGCTCAGCAGACACCTGGGCTGAAATTCTAGGTTGGTGATCACAGCTGGTTGCTCAGGGTGTGTGGATGGGTAATACCCAGGGAGTGAGCTTAGACAGTGAGGAGGGGCCTTATGCCATGACAGACACACCTGAGGTAGAAGCCTGCTCAGCTGGGGCTGAGAGACTGACTCCTGGGAATCCGAGTGGGATGGCTTACTCAGGAAGAGCCAACAGCTTTGACCAAGGCCAGCATGGTCTGGTAATCCTGCACATAGACTCTGGGTTCCATCTCTACTATTATTACCATCTGGGTGACCGAAGACGTATTACTTGGTGTTTACAACTAATTGATCACAAGCAGTTACAGATTTCTTTGTTCCTTCACTCCCACTGTTTCACTTGAATGGCCTTAAAAAAACAAAACAAAACAAAACAAAGAAAACAACCTATTACTTAATGTTGTATGCCTTGGTTTATTCACCTACAAAATGGTGGATATCCACCTGTAAAACAGGTACTTCTATTGTTTGTAAAAATCAAATGAGGCAAAGCACTTAGAATCATACACTATACATTGTAAGAGCCAATGAGTGTCTGCTGTTGTTGCTACCACTAAGGTGAGGTACTTATAAGCAGAACCCAAGGTGACCTTACCTCCCTGTTCACCGGGCAGTCCTGGCTTAGGCCTATTGTTCCAGTGTAAATGTGGACAGTGGCCTCCTTTCACTTTCAAAAGTATCCTGGTTTGGATAATAAATTATATGGCCAACCTAACATGATCTAACTTAAAATTAAAATTCTATGACATAGGATGGGTGCAGTGGCTCATGTCTGTAATCCCAGCACTTTGAGAGGCCAAGGTAGGCAGATCGCTTGAAGTCAGGAGTTTGAGACCAGCCTGGCCAACATGGTGAAACCCCATCTCTACTAAAAATACAAAAATTAGCTGACTGTGGCTGCACTTGCCTGTAGTCTCCGCTACTCTGGAGGCTGAGGCAGGAGAGTTACTTGAACCTGGGAGGCAGAGGTTGCAGTGAGCTGAGATCGCGCCACTGCACTCCAGCATGGGTGGGAGAGTGAGAGAATCTGTCTCAAAAAAAAAAAAAAATTCTATGAGATAGAAATTGCTATCCCAATTTACAAATGAAGAATTATGGGCCGGGCGTGGTAGGTCACGCCTGTAATCCCAGCACTTTGGGAGGCCGAGGTGGGTGGATCACCTGAGGTCAGGAGTTCGAGACCAGCCTGGCCAACATGGGGAAACCCCATCTGTACTAAAAATATAAAAATTAAGGCTGGGTGCGGTGGCTCACGCCTGTAATCCCAGCACTTTGGGAGGCTGAGACAAGCAGATCACCTGAGGTCAGCAGTTCGAGACCAGCCTGGCCAATGTGACAAAACCCCGTCTCTACTAAGAATACAAAAAAATTAGCTGGACGTGGTGGTGCCTGCCTGTAGTCCCAGCTACTCAGGAGGCTAAGGCAGGAGAATCGCATGAACCCGGAAGGCAGAGGTTGCAGTGAGCCGAGATCGCGCCATTGCACTCCAGCCTGGGTGACGAGAGTGAAACTCCGTCTCAAAAAAAAAAAAAAAAAAGAACGATGAGGCCCAGGGAATGCCATATATGCTAGGCGGCCAGTCTGGGTTCTTAATGACATTTTTGCCCTTCACGTCTAAGGCCTCTCAATCCCTAACTGGAGAGCAACCCCAGGAAATTCACAGCATGTTTGTGGGGAGAGCCAGTTAGCTGAGGAAGGAGAACCCTTGAGCGGTGTGGGGAGAAGTGGCCACCCAGCCTTGGCCAGAAGAGCTGCAGCAGAACCCAGATGCTGGGCGGGCCGGTGCCGGACCTTGACGGTTGGCTCTGCCACGCCAATACACACAGGCACTCCCAGGCAGCCTCAAGGTCCCTCCTGATTCTGTCGCTACCCTGGCCAGCCTTCCTTTTCTTATTACTCATTCTATTCTACACATTTTTTAAAATGTTATCTTCACTTTGGACCTTCTTATTCTTTGGCCACACCTAGGGCATCTTATCTCTCTAAGAGCAAGGTCTCTGAGGCACTAAACGGCTGGCTTTAGGATTCTGGGAGTGAGAAAACTGTGGGTGAGGCCAGAATAACAAAGTTGGCATTTATTTGACATTTGCCAAACTCTTGCCATGAATTATCTGATTGCATTCTTCCACTTCCCTAATGGAATATGGACACCAAATGGAAACCTGAGGCTCAAGGGGTGTGCTAGGTCATCATCAAATGGTGCAGCCAGGATTTGGACCTGGACTTGTCTGAGGTACCTGGATTAACTGCTGGGCTACAGAGCAGTGTGGTGAGGGAGATACAGGAGGTGCCTGGCCAGGCGCAGTGGCTCATGCCTGTTATCCCAGCACTTTGGGGGGACCAAAGTAGGTGGATCACCTGAGGTCAGGAGTTCGAGACCAGCCTGGCCAACACGGTGAAACCCCGTCTCTACTAAAAATACAAAAATTATCTGGGCATGGTGGCAGGCGCCTGTAATCCCAGCTGCTACTCAGGAGGCTGAGACAGGAGAATCACTTGAACCCGAGAGGTGGGGGCTGCAGTGAGCCGAGCTCACACCACTGCACTCCAGCCTGGGCGACAGAGCGAGACTCTGTCTCAAAAAAAAAAAAAAAAAAAAAAGAGGGCCATAGATGTACTAAGGTTTCTCAGAAGTGATTAGAGAAGCTTCAGATGGGTTTTACGCAGTCATTCAACAAGCATTTATTGAGTACCTACTGTGTGCCAGGCAGTGAGGACACAAAGATGAAAGAGTCCCAGCCCTCAAAGAGCTCGCCGTCTGAGTGGACATGTCAAGTAAACAGGCTATTGCCGAGCAACGTAAGTGCGATATTAGAGGTGTGTACTCCGCATGGAGGTAGAGGGAGTGATTACCTCTGCTGTGTGTAAAACACATATTGATTGAGAGCTTTACCATGGGCCAGGTGCTGTGCTGAGCGTTGAACAAGACACAGGACGGAGTGGGGAATGCTTTGCAGCAGTGACAGCCTGCACAGTGGCATGGAGGCATGGGTCACTGTGGTTACCTGGGCAAAGGGGGCTAGGCCTCATGCTGGACACTGGGGTGCAAACAAGGGCACAGCATTGGAGAATGAGGCTGGGCCCCATCTTGGAAGGCTTTGGAGGCCTGAGGAAGGGGCTTGGGTGTTACCTATACATGGAGGCCTTCCCAGCCTTTTGGAGGATGAAGACTTTTTCAAAAACAGTTAAAAACTTCTGATGAGCCGGGCGCAGTGACTCACGCCTGTAATCCCAGCACTTGGGAGGCTGAGGCAGGCAGATCACAAGGTCAAGAGATCGAGATCATCCTGGCTAACACGGTGAAATCCTGTCTCTACTAAAAACAACAAAAAATTAGCCGGGTGTGGTGGTGGACGCCTGTAGTCCCAGCTACTCGGGAGGCTGAGGCAGGAGAATGATGTGAACCCAGGAGGTGGAGCTTGCAGCGAGCTGAGATTGCACCACTGCACTCCAGCCTGGGCGACAGAGTGAGACTCCATCTCAAAAAAAAAAACAAAAAAAAACAACTGATGAGCTTCCACATGCTTGGAATTTGGCTTTTAGTGTCTTTTTTTTTTTTTTTTTTTTTTTGAAACAGAGTCTTGCTGTGTTGCCCAGGCTGGAGTGCAGTACCACGATCTCGGCTCACTGCAAACTCCGCCTCCCGGGTTCATGCCATTCTCCTGCCTCAGCCTCCCAAGTAGGTGGGACTACAGGCGCCTGCCACCACACCTGGCTAATTTTTTGTATTTTTAGTAGAGACGAGGTTTCACCGTGTTAGCCAGGATGGTCTCGATCTCCTGACCTCGTGATCTGCCCACCTTGGCCTCCCAAAGTGCTGGGATTACAGGCGTGAGACACTGTGCCTGGTCTAGTGCTTTTTTTTTTTTTTTTTTTTTTTTGAGACAGGGTCTTTCTTAGTTGCTCAGGCTGGAGTGCAGTGGCACAATGACAGCTCACTGCAGCCTCAACCTCCTGGGCTCAAGCAATCCTCCTACCTCAGCCTCCCAAGTAGTTGGGACTACAGGCACACACCACCACACCCAGCTAATTTTTAATTATTTTTAGAGACAGGGTTTCACTATGTGTTGCCCAGGCTGGTCTCGAACCACTGTCTTTTTTTTTTTTTGAGACAGTCTTACTCTGTCACCCAGGCTAGAAGTACAGTGGCACAATCTTGGCTCACTGCAACCTCTGCCTCCTGGACTCAAGCGATCCTACCACCTCAGCCTTCTGAATAGCTGGGACTGCAGGCATGCGCTACTGCGACTGGCTAAGTGTTGTATTTTTAGCAGAGACAGGGTTTTGCCATGTTGTCCAGGCTGGTCTTGAACTCCTGGTCCCAAGTAATCTGCCTGCCTTGGCCTCCCAAATTGCTGGGACTACAGGCGTGAACTACCGCACCTGGCCGAACCAGTGTCTTTATATTGAGAAAATACATGCGTACTGAGGACTCTCTCAAATGGTCAGTTTCTCTCCTGCACTGCTAACAGCTCCTCCTGCAAGTCTGTCCCTTCTGTCTGTGGCTCCTCCCCACTCATTATAGCCAGAGGGTCTTTCAAACATGCAAATCTGGTGCTGTCCACCCCCTACTTAAAGCTCCACCACAGCTTCCCTTTGTCCACAGGGTCAAGTCCAAGCTCCCCTCTCTGCCCTGTGCTCTGGCCTTTGTTTACTGATAAACTGCTCTGCACAGGTGTTGACATGCTGTTGCTAATGTCACTTCTGTATGTGCTTTTTTTCCTTATTGGCACCCCCTGCTTCAAGGGGGAATGAAGTCAGGAAGTGAGGGGTCTGGCCAGCTTCTAAAGATGCCTTAGGAAGCCTTCCCATGGCTCAGACTTACACACATCTCTATAGCTAACAGAGGGAGGGCACCGGTGGGAGGCAGCAGGCACAAGTCCTTCAGGGCATGTCATGCTGTGCCCGTTGTCCTGCCCTGGCTCCTGCCCCTACCCCAGGGTGTAGGGAGGGCCCTGGCTGTCCCTTGTCTATGGGGCCTGGGCCAGTGCACCACCTGGTATGAAGTGAGGCCAGGTGGATGTCAGCCTGTGGCCTCCTGGACTTTGCTGGAGCTCTGCGTCCTGCCGGGATGGTGAGGAGGCAGAACCCTGAGGGCCTGATCTGTCCTGCAGAGTGACTCAGTCTCCCTCTCACACATCTGGCTTCAAAGTTCTGAAGGTGACTTGGTCCTGGGTGGCTGAGGAGTGATTTCTTAGGTCAGAGTAGACCAAGGCACATAGGAGGGCCTACTTCTCTCCGGTAAACTTCTCTTCTGGCACTAAAGGGTGCTGCGGACTGGGATATTCTCAGAGGAGGCCTGACATCCGGGTCATGTTCTGGGGTCCCAGGGGTCCCATTTAAGGCTTTAACCTGTGGCTCAGGTGATAAGAGGAGACTCAGGACCAGTCCCTTAACAGGTTGGTGGAACTGTGAGTAGAAATTTTTTTTTGCTCCGCCCCTACCCAAAGTGGCTTCATTGAGATTCAGCCTATCTCCCACCCTTCCTGTGCTGTGATGAGGGACTCTGGGGACTGGGAGTGAATAGGCCCTGCTGAGTGCAGGGAAGACACACTCTGGCCTTCCTCACGCCAGGCTGGAGACCTGGCACTGGGCTCTGCTCCTAGCAGCCTGGAAAGCTGTTATTCTAGAACCTGATAACTGCTTGGGCTGGGCTGAAGATAAGAGGCAGCTGTTTGAAGTCCAGAGAGATAACAGCTTCAGAGAAATTTGATAAGAGGAGTGAGATGCACTGGGTTAAGCTCACCAGTCTCGCCTGTTTGCCTTTTGCCAGTTTATAATCATAACCAGCACTGTACTCTCAAGTCAGACTTCCCAGCACCGCGAGGAACCTCAGTGTCACTGTCTCTTAATGGTAGTCTGTGCATCTCTCCTGAGGTCCGCGCCTGGGCCTGCAGGCCTCTGTGCTTGTTCTATGAAATGACCCTCAGCCCCCAGCCCTGCCTTTCCAACCTCATTTCTTTCCTGCCCATTGGTTCTTTTTCTCAAATGTATTCACTCCTGCATCCATTCATTTAACAAATATTTTATGAGTGCCCACTTTGTGCCAGGCACCATTCTGGGCACCGGAGATGCACCGAGGATGCCACCAGGCATGGTCTCTACTCTCACTGGGCTGTGTTCTGGGTAGCCGGAGACAAAAGATAAATCAATAATTGTAGTGGGTGCTGAGTGCAATGGAGGAAAGTCTAAGAGGGCTGTGGTGGGGAGGGACTATGGGGACAGCACAGGGTGGCTTTAGAGTGGTCAGGATGACCTTCCTACAAATACCCTGGGGGATAAGAATGAGCCATGCCAAAACCTTCCTGGAGAGGAGAGAGCCAGCGCAAAGGTCCTGGGGCAGGAGTGAGCATGATCTGGGGGTTAAATAGAAGCTGGAGAGAAGAGGATGGTGGGCAGAGGCCTGATGAGGACAGTCAGACAGGCCTAGATAAGAAGTCTGGAGATGATGATATGCAGAAAACCAACCCACAGGAAGGTGAGTCAGAAGGAATCTGGTCTATGTTTTGAAAAATTTACTTTGGGCTGGGCGCGGTGGCTCACGCATGTAATCCCAGCACTCTGGGAGGCTGAGGCGGATGGGTCACAAGGTCAGGAGATCAAGACCATCCTGGCCAACATGGTGAAACCTCGTCTCTACTAAAAATACAGAAATTAGCCGGGCATGGTGGTGTGTACTTGTAATCCCAGCTACTTGGGAGACTGGGCAGGAGAATCGCTTGAACCCAGGAGGAGGAGGTTGCAGTGAGCCGAGACTGTGCCGCTGCACCCTAGCCTAGCGACAGAGCAGGACTCCATCTCAAAAAAAAAAAAAGAAAGAAAGAAGAAGAAAAACTCACTTTGGCTGCCATGTGGTAGCCAGGGCAGAGAGACAGGCATGGTGAGCAGGAGGGTCAGCATGGGAGGATGGATGCTGGCTCTGGTACTGACTCTCTGTTAGACCTTGGGCCAGACACTTAGCCTCTGTGCTTCTGTTTTCATAGCTATAAAACAGGGTTTCTCTTCACCTGTCTTCTGGTGCTGCCCTGGGTGCTGCCCCAGGTGAAGAATGCTGTGGTGAAGGAGACAGACCCTGCCCTTATGGGACTTCCACTCAAATGGAGGAGTCAGACCTCAAACCAGAGAATCCACAGGGAATGCCAAGTGCTATGTGAGAAATTAAAATAGGATGATTGCTAGAGGGTGACAGGGTGTGATTAGAGAAGCCCACTCCAAGGAAGTGACATTTAGCCTGAGACCCGAATGATGCTGGAAGGGCCCTTGAGGAAAGGAGCTGGAGGGATGGCCTGCTTTACTGGTCTGGAAAGGTCAGACAGGCTGTGGCCTGTGGGAAGTGCTCTGCAAATGTTTGGAGTTTTTTTGTTTTTGTTTTTTTGAGACAGAATTTCAATCTTGTTGCCCAGGCTGGAGTGCAGTGGCACGATCTCGGCCCTCCACCTCCTGGGTTCAAGCGATTCTCCTGCCTCAGCCTCCTGAGTAGCTGGGATTACAGGCACCCGCCACTACACCTGGCTAAGTTTTTGTATTTTTAGTACACATGGGGTTTCACCATGTTGGCCTGGCTGGTCTCGAACTCCAGACCTCAGGTGATCCATCTGCCTCGGCCTCCCAAAGTGCTGGGATTACAGGTGTGAGCCACCGCGCCCGGCCTGCTGCTGTTTATTTGAAGGGCCCCCATGCCCTGACCTGAAGCTGCCCACATCTGGACCTGCCTCATTCAGGGAATTCTGAAGTCTTCTGGATAGATCCTTAGCAAAGTCCTTCCATCGCCCCTCCCCCAACGCCCTGCCCCACCCTGCCAGTCACATACAGGCTTGTTCTGAAGCCTGTGAGGAAACTGTCCCTCTCAGCCCCACCTCCATGCCCAACCAGGCCGCCCCAGCACAGCCTGCCTGACTCCTGGAAACAGATGGAATCTTAGATCCAGTTTAATCCTTCCCATTTTCCATATGGGGAAACTAGGGCCATGTGTTTTATCTAATATTCCTTTTCATATAGTCTTTTTTTTTTTTTTTTTTTTGAGATAAGACTCCTGCTCTGTCACCCAGGCTGGAGTACAGTGGTGCGATCTCGGCTCACTGCAACCTCTGCCTTTCCAATTCAAGTGATTCTCCTGCCTCAGCCTCCCGAGTAGCTGGGATTACAGATGTGCACCACCACACCTGGCTAATTTTTGTATTTTTAGTAAAGATGACGTTTCACCATATTGGCCAGACTGGTCTCAAACTTCTGGCCGTATATGATCTGCCTGCTTTGGTCACCCAAAATGTTGGTTTTTGGGGTTTTTTTTGTTTTTTTTTTTTGAGATGGAGTCTCGCTCTGTCCCCCAGGCTGGAGTGCAGTGGCGCGATCTCAGCTCACTGCAAGCTCTGCCTCCCGGGTTCACACCATTCTCCCTGCCTCGGCCTCCCAAGTAGCTGGGACTACAAGCGCCCACCACCATGCCCGGCTAATTTTTTTTTGTATTTTTAGTAGAGGCAGGGTTTCACCATGTTAGCCAGGATGGTCTCGATCTCCTGACCTTGTGATCCACCCGTCTCAGTCTCCCAAAGTGCTGGGATTAGAGGCGTGAGCCACCGCGCCCAGCCAAAATGTTGGGATTATAGGCATAAACCACCATGCCTGGCCCCCTTTTCCTATATTCTTTCTTTCTTTTTTTTTGTTTGAGACAGAGTCCTGCTCTGTCACCCAGGCTGGAGTGCAGTGGCGCGATCTCAGCTCACTGCAACCTCCGCCTCCCAGGTTTAAGCAATTCTCTGCCTCAGCCTCCCGAGTAGCTGGGATTACAGGTGCATTCCACCATGCCTGGCTAATTTTTTGTATTTTTTTTTTTTTGAGACGGAGTCTCGCTCTGTCACCCAGGCTGGAGTGCAGTGGCACGATCTCGGCTCACTGCAAGCTCTGCCTCCCGGGTTCACGCCATTCTCCTGCCTCAGCTTCCCAAATAGCTGGGACTACTGGCACCCGCCACCATGCCCAGCTAATTTTTTTTTGTATTTTCAGTAGAGACGGGGTTTCACAGTGTTAGCCAGGATGGTCTCGATCTCCTGACCTCGTGATCCACTCACCTCAGCCTCCCAAAGTGCTGGGATTACAGGTGTGAGCCACCGCGCCCGGCCATTTTTTGTATTTTTAGTAGAGACAGGGTTTCACCATCTTGGTCAGGCTGGTCTTGAACTCCTGACCTCGTGATCCACCCACCTCGGCCTCCCAAAGTGCTGGGATTACAGGCATGAGCCACCACACCCGGCCTCCTATATTCTTTCAACAATAGTCATTGAAATATTTATTGAATTCCTACTGTGTGCTGTTTTAGGCACTGAGGATACAGCAGAGAACAAAACACAAAAATCTTGTCCTCCCAGCCTGGGAAACATGGTAAAGTCTTGTCTCTACAAAAAATACAAAAGTTAGCTAGGCGTGGTGGTGCCTGCCTGCAGTCCCAGCTACTCAGGAGGCTGAGGCAGGGGGATAACTTGAGCCTGGGAGGTTGAGGCTGCAATGAGCAAAGACCGTGTCACTGCACTCCAGCCTGGGTGACAGAGTGAAAACCTGTCTCCAAAAAAAAAAAAAAAAATTCTGTCCTCATGAGGCTAATATTCTACTTGGAGCAACTGACAATCAAAATACAATTAACAACAATTATTGTGGTTATTGTTACGGGCGTGGTGGCTCACACCTGTAATCCTAGCACTTTGGGAGGTGGAGGTAGGTAGATACCTTGAGCCCAGAAGTTTGAGAACAGCCTGGGCAACATAGGGAGACCCTGTCTCTACTTAAAAAAAAAAAAAAAAGTCCGGGCACAGTGTCTCATGCCTGTAATCCCAGCACTTTGGGAGGCCGAGGTGGGTGGATCACGAGGTCAAAGACCGAGACCATCCTGGCCAACATGGTGAAACCCTGTCTCTACTAAAAATACAAAAATTACCTGGGCATGGTGGCGCACACCTGTAGTCCCACCTACTCGGGAGGCTGAGGCAGGAGAATCACTTTAACCCGGGAGGCGGAGTTTGCAGTGAGCCGAGATCACGCCACTGTACTCCAGCCTGGCAACGAAGCGACACTCCATCTCAAAAAAAAAAACCTGAAAAAAAATACAGTTAACAATAATGAAACACACAATTATGTCAGGTGCTGATATGTTCCCTGAAGAAAAACAAAGCAGAAGAAAGAAAAGGATGGAGATGAAACGGGTGAGGGTAGGCTTCGATGTGTTCTCCTCTCAGATGTTTTGGTTAAGAGAAGGTTTCAGTGCTGGCCTGAGGATAGAGCTGTGGAACCACCTCAGAGAAGAGACTTCCAGGCAGGGCTCAGAACACAATTCCCCAAAGTAAGGCATGCTGAGTATTTTGAACTAAAGGAGATGGGAAGGCCTCGGAAGCAGAGTCTCTCTGACCTCCTGCCCTGCTGCTCACCTTTCTCTTTCAAGGCAAGTCACAGAAACCAGAATTCCTCTTCCCCAAGGCCATAGAAACTAGAATCCCTCTCCCAGAAAGCAAAACCTAGAGAGGTCATTTTCCCTCTCTCCCTTCTCCCTTAAAGACCCTCATCCCAGAGGGGTCCTTCCTCATGCCTAGGAAGAAGAAATGCTACACAGGCTGGGCACAGTGGCTCACGCCTGTAATCCCAGCACTTTGGGAGGCCAAGGCGGGCAGATCACTTGAGGTCAGGAGTTTGAGACCAGCCTGGCCAACATGGTGAAACCCTGTCTCTACCAAAAATACAAAAATTAGCCGGGTGTGGTACCATGCACCTGTAATCCCAGCTACTCAGGAGGCTGAGGTGGGAGAATTGCTTGAACCTGGGAGGTGGAGGTTGCAGTGAGCCAAGATCATTCCACTGCCCTCCAGCCTGGGCAATAGAGTGAGACTTCATATCAAAAAAGAAAAAGAAAGAAAGGTTACACAGAGAAGCCAAGGAGAATCAAGCAGACAGGCCTTGCTGTTTCCTCTCTCAGTCACTGAGCATTAGATCATACCCCTTCATCCAATCACATTTCTACACAGCTACCATTCCTCATCAACCTTTAAGCATAAACTCAGACAGTTTTCCCCAGGTCTTTGGGTCTTCATTTCTGAAGGCTGTCTCAAAATTTTTTAAAAATTTTATTGAAATGAGGTCTCCCTATGTTGCCCAGGCTGGTTGTGAACACATAAAACTTTGATCAAATAGTCCAGGCCCAGTGGGTCACACTTGTAATTCTAGCACTTTGGGAGACTGAGTGGGAGGATTGCTTGAACCAGCCTGGGCAACATTGTGAGACACAGTCTCTATGAAAATTAAATTTAAAAAATTAGCCAGGCATGGTGGTGTGCACCTCTAGTCCCAGCTACTCGGGAGGCTGAGGTAGGATGATCACCTGAGCCCAGGAGGTCAAGGCTTCAGTGAGCTGAGATCCCACCATGCACTCTAGCTTGGGCTACAGAGTGAGGAAAAACAAACACAAACAAACAAAACCCAACTTTGATTAAATAAATCTGTTACGTTTTCTCTTGTTAACCTCCTGGTGGGTGAGAAAAGTGATCACACTTTTCTGCCTTTATAAAGGCCAGCAGCTGGAATGTGCGGCTCCTGTGAGGAAAGCCAAGGGGGCCTGTGCAGATGGAACAGAGCCAAGGGTGCGGGGGTGGAGATGAAGTCTAGGGCAGGGGCAGATAGCACCGGGCTTTTGTAGGACTTTGGCTTTTACAGGTAAGATGCAGAGCCATGGAGGGTTTGAACTCTCTGGCTGCTGTCGGGGGGCCTTGTGTCCTGTCTCTTGAACAGAACACTAATTTCCTGGGGGCAGGACGCACACCAAAGCCCAGTCAGGGGCTCTGTTCTGGTCAGCGGGCCAGCCTTGACCCCACAGTCCCACAGCCAGCCAGACCTGAAGGTGGGACAGAGGTCCCTGGACTGCCTTTTTGGGAGGACTAGTTTTCTTTCTTTTTTTTTTTTTTTTTTGAGATGGAGGCTTGCTCTGTTCCCCAGGCTGCAGTGCAGTGGTGTGATCTCGGCTCACTGCAACCTCTACCTCCCAGGTTCAAGCAATTCTCGTGCCTCAGCCTCCTGAGTAGCTGAGATTACAGGCGCATGCCACCATGCCCCGCTAATTTTTGTATTTTTAGTAGAGACGGGGTTTCGCCATGTTGGCCAGGCTGGTCTTGAACTGCTGACCTCAGGTGATCTGCCCACCTCAGCCTCCTGAAGTGCTGGGATTACGGGAGTGAGCCACCGCCCGGCCTGGGAAGACTAGTTTTCATGTGTATTTGTAGTAGGCCTGCTTTTGATGCTATCTCAGTGCATTGCATTGAACTCTGCATTTATTCATATCCCGGGCTATCAGCTTTTTTGTTTGTTTGTGTGTTTGTTTGTTTGTTTGTTTGTTTGTGACAAAATCTTGCTCTGTTGCCCAGGCTGGAGTGCAGTGACGTGATCTCGGTTCACTGCAACCTCTGCCTCCTGGGTTCAAGTGATTCTGCTGCCTCAGCCTGCTGAGCAGCTGGGATTACAGGCGCATGCCACCATGCCTGGCTAATTTTTGTATTTTTAGTAGAGACAGGGTTTCACCATGTTGGCCAGGCTGGTCTCAAACTCCTGACTCAAGTGATCCACCCATCTAGGCCTCCCAAAGTGCTGGGATTACAGGAGTAAGCCACTGTGCCTGGTCAGCCACCTTCAGCCATCACTGGCTTGTCAGTTCTTACGTATTCCACTTCCGCTTGATTGTAAGCTTCCTCCGGGGAAGGACGGGGTCTCCCAGACATTTGAATTAACGGTGATCTTTGCAAAAAGCCAGGAACCCCTGTGGGTGATTGCTGGCAGGGAGACAAGCTACACAGGAAAGAGCAGGGATCTGTCTGTGGCCTGGGGGTTAGGAGACCTAACAAAAGTTTTCTCACTCGGAGGCTCGGTCTCCCCATCTGTAAAAGGATATGGACTGGACTACATGGATTTTTTTTTTTTTTTTTTTTTTTTGAGAAGGAGTTTCGCTCGTGTCGCCCAGGCTGGAGTGTAATGGCACGATCTTGGCTCACTGCAACCTCCGTCTCTCAGGTTCAAGCAATTCTCCTGCTTCAATCTCCCCAGTAGCTGGGATTACAGGCATGCGCCACCATGCTGGGTGAATTTTTGTATTTTTAGTAGAGACGGGTTTTCACCATGTTGGCCAGGCTGGTCTCGAACTCCTGACCTTAGGCGATCCACCCGCCTCAGCCTCCCAAAGTGCTGGAATTACAGGCATGAGCCACCGCACCTGGCCGATTCTTTTTTTTTTTTTTTTTTTTTTTTTTTTGAGACGAAGTCTCCCTCTTGTCCCCCAGGCTGGAGTGCAGTGGCAGGATCTCAGCTCACTGCAACCTCCGCCTCCCGGGTTCAAGTGATTCTCCTGCCTCAGCCTCCTGAGTAGCTGGGATTACAGGCGCCTGCTACCACGCCTGGCTAATTTTTGTATTTTTAGTAGAGACAAGGGTTTCACCATGTTGGCCAGGCTGGTCTCGAACTCTGGCCTCAGGTGATCCGCCTGCCTTGGCCTCCCAGAATGCTGGGATTACAGGTGTGAGCCACCACACCTGGCCAAGGCCGATTCTTAAATTATGTTTGAAATACTAACAGAATCAGGCCAGGTGTGGTGGCTCACGCTTGTAATCCTAGCACTTTGGGAGGCCAAGGCCGGTGGATCATGAGGTCAGGAATTCGAGGCCAGCGTGGCCAAGATGGTGAAACCCCGTCTCTACTAAAAATACAAAAATTAGCTGGGCGTGGTGGCGCATGCCTGTAGTCCCAGCTACTTGGGAGGCTGAGGCAGGAGAATCACTTGAACCGGAGAGGCGGAGGTTGTGGTGAGCCAAGATCGTGCCATTGCACTCCAGCCTGGGCGACAGGAGCGAAACCCCGTCTAAAAAAAAAAAAAAAAAAAAAGAAATACCAACATAATCTATAGATACCTCCAGAATAATGAGTTGGTGCACAAAACTTTGCGTGTGACTGAGAGGAACAGGTTCACAAGCCCCTAAATTTGTCCCTAAGAGCTTGTCCAGTTCTAATAATGTGATTTTTGTGCACCGATTGTAGCACTAGCCCAGAAAGGCTCCAACCTTGGAGGACAGACTTGGTTTTAATCTCCAGGTGAGTGATTTAGGACTTGTTTTTGTTGCGTTCTGGAAAAGGTGTGTGGATATGTTTTTGGAGGCAAAGGAGGAGTTTGTGGTCTGGAGCCTGCATGTTTTCAGCCTCCAGGCCTGGTTACGTTGGCTTGATGGAGAAGGGAAGGCCCACGTGGGAGTGGAGCCAGCCAGTCTTTCCTGTGTGGGCGATGCAGGGGACGGTGGGGAGGGCCACAAGGTGGAGGAGGAGGAGGAATCGCGAGGTGGGAAGGGGCTGGGTGGTGACAGGCAGAGGGCTAGAGAGCTGTGGGCAGAACAGGGACCCCGTCCCATGTGTCTCTGGGCAGAGATTCACTCCACGCCAAAGCAAATAGGGAGAAGAGGCCCCTGTGAGTCTGAAGGGTGGTTCCCCCCTTGACTGAAGATCCCGGAGATGGGGGGTGGCCCTGGGCCAAATCAGGCACCTCCCTTTCTCACCAGGTAGTGCCTCCCTGCACGTTCACACCCAATGCTGTGTTGTCAGGGGCTGTAACCTGAGCCCTGGGTGCCAGGAGGGGGAGACCCACCCGGTCCTCCTCCTGTCCCCCCCAGCTCCCTTCCCTCTCCAAGGGCTCACACAGGCCCAGCCCATGGAAGAAATGGTGTTCTCAGTGGGTTTGGAACAGGTAAAGATTAGGAGCAGATGACAGGTTGTCAGTGGCTTCGAGGGCAACTACATAATCCCCAGCACCCAAGCTGCAGTGCACTTTGATCCAGCCTCTGAAGGCTTGATTATGAGACACAGCCCATGTTTCCATAAAGGGGAGAACAATTGTTTCCAGCACAGACAAAGGACTCTTTGTATAGCCCTGGGACCCGAGCCCCAGGAGGCACTCGGGGAGAGGAAGGACAGCCCCACCCCGGGTAGGGAAGGGGGTAGGGGCAGGGCAGTGCTGGGTGAGGCAGCTGCCTGGCTCCCATTGAGCTTGCCCATGATGGGCAAAGGGCATTAATGATGTCCCGCTGCTGGCACAGGGGCCTCAGACAGGGGTGAAAGGGGGCTTTTTTCTGAATTGCTCCAGCCTCATGCTCAAAATGCATGCAGTTTTATCTTTGTCGAGGCCGATGTTGGGGTATCTAGTGCCCCCCTACATTTGGGGAAGGGCTGGCTCCTCATTGGCAGGTTTCCACATCTATCAAACAGGCAGCAGGGTAGGGAGCAGGATTTGCTGTGCAGAGTGGGAGTTAGAACTTAGAGAGCATTTGGAAGTAGGCATGAAGAAGGGGCACGTTGGGATGGGGACGAGGTAGTGAGTCTGGATGCAGCAGTGTGTGTCCCTTGTGGAGCTGCCTCCTCCTCCTCCCCCCAGCCCTCACAGTTTCCCTGGGGCCTGAACATAGGATGACCTCAGAGTTTGCAAAACAAATCCGACTGTTGGAGAGCGTGAGGACTTTGCTTTGCTCCCCTTTCCTGCTTGGGAGAGAAGTCTGGATTGGTGAGGGCTTCTGCCCCCCTCATCCATTTGTTAGTTAAATCCAGCCCCTTCCCTGCCTCCCATTCCTTCTGTCCACATGTCAGGAGGCGTGGGCTGGGCCCTAGGCTGGCCTCCCAGTCAGAGGCAGCCATAGTGCAGGGAGTTGGCTTGACCCTGAGAAATTCCAGAAACACATCTGTTTAGGAGGATGAAGGCCAGGTTTGGGATCTTATTGGGGCTGCACCTGTGGAGACCAGAATGGCTCATTTTAGGGGGAAGGTAAGTAGAAAGTGTTAAATGCCAGCTCCTCAAAATCACTAGTACAATCTACTGATATCACAAAGCACAGTTTATTGCTCACCTTGGTGAGGGAGACAGAGATTTGGCAGTCTCTCCAAGTGGGGAAGGTAAGGTTGTTGGAAGTTTGGTTTAAGATGGATCTTGCAGTGCAGGGGCTTTGATTAGGACTGGGTAAGGATCGCCATTTCACAGTCAAGAATTGGTACAAACATCAAGGCCAGGATTTTTGAGACAAGGGATTCAAACAATGTTAGGAAGCAAGCTCAAAGTAGATGCTTCCATTGAAGATTTGATGGTTTTGTGGGAAGTTCCCCTAGTGAACAATCAGGTCTTTTACCTGGGCGGAGTCTATTGGAATAATAAAGTTATGCTAATGAAGACCATGGACTAGCAAAGTCACGTTAATGTAACCATCAGTTGTGTCTGTAGTAGGTAGTTTCCATTTTAGGTGTAAGTTTAGAGGGTGTGAGGGTAAAAGCTCTTTAGGGGCTGGTCTGGAGTTTGGGGTGGGGAATGGCAGGAGGGTCTATGGTCCTGAACAGCAATGACCAGACTGCAGGGCAGAGGCAGAGACACGTTAGACTGGAGAACTGGAGGGAGAGGAACTCCAGCTGACCCCAGGAGAGGTCAAGACTCAAGCATGTGAGCTGGAAACCAGGCCTGCAGGTGCCAAACCGGTCCCTGCCCGTGAAGACAGGCTGTATTGACTTTGGCAGCCCCACCCTAGCCTCCTCCCACCCCAGAAGGGCTTGAAACTGACACTGGGCCATGAAGGGGGCTGGAGATGTTCCCAACCCAGTCCTGCTCAGGCCGGCCATGGCTGGCTGCTACCCTGGCAGAGGGAGCCAGAGGGTGTGTATGGGGGAGGGAGGGAGGGATGTTCCCCTGGGAGGCAACTGGTGGAGTCCAGGGCTGGGGGCCATCAGGAATATATGAGTGGCCTCTTGATCTCAGACTGAGGACCCAGACAGACTAGGCAGTAGGTGAGAACAGATGAGTTTGGGGGACATCAGCTGTTCTCTTTATGGTGTAACTATGATTTCTTTTTTTTTTTCTTTTTTTGTGAGACAGAGCCTTGTACTGTTACCCAGGCTGGAGTGCAGTGGTGTGATCTCAGCTCACTGCAACCTCCGCCTCCTAGGTTCAAGCGATTCTCCTGCCTCAGCCTCCCGAGTAGTTGGGACCACAAGCACACGTCACCATGCCCAGCGAATTTTTGTATTTTTTAGTAGAGACGGGGTTTCACCATATTGGCCAGGCTGGTCCCTATGATTTCATATGAGCTGAAATCTACATATGTACTAGTCATCACAACACATCATTTTATTGATAAACTGAGGCATGGGGAGCATCGATGACTGATCAGGCAGATGGGTTGGAATTCAAGGTCCAGTCTGTGGCTTCAAGGCGAACTCTGCTGTGCCCCTTGGCAGCATCCTCCTGGGCTACTCAGGCATCTCATTCCTGCAGATGGCAAGAGGGGAGCTCAGATCACTCCTGTCTTGTCAAAGGGAGGAGGCGATAGCCTGAAACAGATCTGGGAAGAGGAAAGAGAATGAAGAGCGTGAGAAATGAAGAAGAGGGAGGGCAGTCAGTCCAGAGAAATAGGCAGGGACAGAGACAGGGAGGAAAAGATGAGAGGAGATGAAGAATATGTGTGTGTGTGTGTGTGTGTGCATGTGTGTATAAAACTATTACCAGCTTTCCAAATTTGATAAGTCATGTTCATTTCTATTGCCCCTTTTCAGAAAAAGATGGGAACAAGTGAAAGGGGACCTAAGAGGGCTAGTTAGGGACACAGGGAGAGCACAGCAGAGGGAAAGAGGCAGCTAGGAAGACAGGACAGAGGGGTAGAAGGGGTGGGGGAGATAGACTGAGACATCTGCCTTCTCCTCTGGGCCAGCTCTCTCCAGCTCGTCACCATGGTGATGGCTGCCCAAGGACTTTGTCCAGCTTCTGCTGCCCATGGGAAGTTATCTGGCCAGGATTTTGCTTTGCTGCAGGCTGAGAGATGAGGGCAGAGGTAAGCAGGGAGTTTAATGGGTCAGAGATACTGAGGGAGGAATCAGTGGGACAGGGCCATATGGGTGCCCTGGGCTCTGAGCAATCGGATTCGAGGGATGCTCTCCTCAGCAGAGTACTTTCTGTCTGGTGACAGGGGACTTTCTATTTTCCCTAAATGGAGAGAAATAGAATGCCTGGACCCTATGAGAAGGTAAGAGCCACATTCCTTGAGAAGGCCAATTGTGGGGAAGGGAAGGGAGGGGAGGAGAGTGAGACCTGGGCTGGACCCTGAGGTGTCTCAAGCACCAGATCCTGACCTTCATGTCATCTCTCATCTATGCCTCGGCCTCCCCAAAGGGACTAAATTATAACCACAGCAAAACATAGCAGCCATTGTACTGAAAACACACTTTGGGCTACTCAGTTAAGTGCCTTATTTTAACTTTATTTCTATCTTTATTTATTTTTAGTTTTATTTATTTAGTTAGTTTTTTGAGATAGGGTCTCACTTTGTTGCCCAGGATGGACCGCAGTGGTCTCATGAATCATAATTCATTGCAGGCTGGAACTCCTGGGCTCAAATTATCTTCCTACCTTGGCCTCCCAAGGAGCTGGAACCATAGGCATGCACCATGATGCCTAGCTAGTTGTTTCATTTTGTTTTGTTTTTTGTAGAGATGGGATCTCCCTATGTTGCCCAGGCTGGTCTCAAACTCCTGGGCTCAAGCCATCCTCCTGCCTTGGCCTTAATTTCATTTATAAAATTTGTAACACCCTAACAAGCTAGGTATTATGATGCCCATCTTACAAATAAGAAAACTGAGTCCCAGAGAAGTCGAGGTCAAGGTCGAGTAACTGTCTTTCTTTTTTTTTTTTTTTTTTTTTTTTGAGACGGAGTTCACTCTTGTTGCCCAGGCTGGAGTGCAATGGCACGATCTCGGCTCACTGCAACCTCCACCTCCCGGGTTCAAGCGATTCTCCTGCCTCAGCCTCCCTAGTAGCTGGGATTATAGGCACGTGCCACCACACCCAGCTAATTTTGTATTTTTTAGTAGAGATGGGGTTTCTCCATGTTGGTCAGGCTGGTCTCGAACTCCCGACCTCAGGTGATCTGCCCGCCTTGGCCTCCCAAAGTGCTGGGATTACAGGCATGAGCCACCGCACCCGGCCGAGGTCAAGTAACTTTCTCACATGGTCTAGGATTCCTTTAAAGACTATCAGTCCTGGCTGGGCAAGGTGGCTCACACCTATAATCCCAGCACTTTGGGAGGTGAAGGTGGAATGATGACTTGAGCCCAGGAATTCAAGACTAGCCTAGACAACATAGTGAGACTCTGTCTCTTAAAAAAAAAAAGTTTAAAAATTAGCTGCAGTACCAGGCATGGTGGCTTACACCTGTAATCCCAGCACTTTGGGAGGCCCAGACGGGTGGATCACCTGAGGTCAAAAGTTCAAGACCAGCCTGGCCAACATGGTGAAACTCTGTCTCTACTAAAAATACAAAAATTAGCCGGGCGTGGTGGCGCGCACCTGTAATCCCAGCTACTCAGGGGGCTGAGGCAGGAGAATTGCTTGAACCCGGGAGGTGGAGATTGCAGTGAGCCAAGATCGTGCCACTGCACTCCAGCCTGGGTGATAGAGCGAGACTCTGTCTCAAAAAAAAAAAAAAACAAAACAACAAAAATAATAATAATAAAATTTGTGATCCATGAAAACTCCTTATATGTTCAACTCATCCCTTCAGAGACTATTCCCAGCACCTCTGCCCTGAGCAGGGAACCTGGCTCCCCTGAAGTCCTCACTGTGCAGTCCTAATTAGGGAAAAGGAGTTGGGCTGGTGGGACCAAGGGAAAGCAGAAAGAGACAGCAGATAAGCTGTAAGTCTGCCTTTCTTCATGGCTAGGACACATAGCCCTCCTGCAATAAATCTGCCTTTTTTTTTTTTTGAGATGGAGTCTCGCTCCAGTCACTCAGACTGGAGTGCAGTGGCACGATCTTGGCTCACTGCAATCTCTGCCTTCCTGGTTCAAGTGATTCTCCTGCCTCAGCCTCCCGAGTAGCTGGGATTACAGGCGTGTGCCACCATACCAGGCTAATTTTTTTTTTTTTTTTGAGTTGGAGTCTCGCTCTGTCGCCCAGGCTGGCGTACAGTGGCAAGATATCGGCTCACTGCAACCTTCACGTCCCAGGTTCAAGCGATTCTCCTGCCTCAGCCTCCCAAGTAGCTGGGATTACAGGCGTGCACCACTACACCTGGCTAATTTTTTATATTTTTGGTAGAGATGGGGTTTCACCATGTTAGCCAGGCTGGTTTCGAACTCCTGACCTCAAGTGATCCACCCACCTCGGCCTCCCAAAGAGCTGGAATTATAGGCATGAGCCACTGCACCTGGCCAGCTTTTTGTATCTTTAGTAGAGACAGGGTTTTGCCATGTTGGCCAGGCTGGTCTCGAACTCCTGGCCTCAAGTGATCTGCCCGCCTCAGGCTCCCAAAGTGCTGGGATTACAGGCATGAGCCACTGCACCCAGCCAAATCTGTCTTTCTTTACCTACAACTGTCTTAGTAAATTCTCCTTACCACCTGCGCGATACTGGCCTCAAATAGTCGCTAGTCACATGAGACACTCACTTCTCTTCCCAGCAGCATCTCTGGAGGGAGGCTGACTCTCCTCATACTCCAGGCATCTTGGCCCCTGCTATTAGCATCACTTCCAGAGGGTCCTGTAGGGCACCTTCCCTCCCCTTTGTCTATCTTGACCATCTCTTTGTCACTCTTCTCTACCACCTGCTGGTGACTCACCATTATTCCTTCTGGATTTGGGGACCTGAAAGGAGTCTCTTTTCTCTTCCTGCCATTATTCTGAGGGACTTCATTGTCCATGAAGATAACCATCCAACACCTTAACCTCCTTGTTCCTTGACCTCCACTCTACCTTAGTCACTTTTCCATAATCACATCCTCTATGTTGTCATCACTAGGAACTTACCTACCACTTAAATCTTAAATTGAGATATTCCATGACCTCTCCACTCACCACAGCTACCTTTCTTTCTCTTTCTTCCTTTCTTTCTTTTTTGAGACAGGGTCTTGCTCTGTCACCCAGGCTGAGGTGCAGTAGTGCCATCTCTGCTTACTACAGACTCGACCTCCTGGGCTCAGGCAATCCTCCTGCCTCAGCCTCCTGAGTAGCTGGGACCACAGATGTGCACCATTATGTCAGCTAATTTTTGTATTTTTTGTTTTTAGAGATGGGGTCTTACCATGTTGCCCAGGCTGTGTCCTCTCTCTTTCTTTCTTTCTTTCTTTCTCTTTCTTTCTTTCTTTCTGTCTTTCTCTCTCTCCTTCCTTCCTTTCTTTCTCTTTCTTTCCTTCCTTCCTTCTTCCTCTTTTTCTTTCTTTTCTTTCTTTCTTTCTCCTTCCTTCCTTTCTTTCTTTCTCCTTCCTTCCTTCCTTCCTTTCTCTCTCTCTCTCTTTCTTTCTTTCTTTTTTCACGTAGTCTCGCTTTGTCCCCCAGATTGGAATGTAGTGGCGCAATCCCTGCTTACTGCAATCTCCACCTCCCGGGTTCAAGCGATTCTCCTGCCTCAGCCTCCTGAGTAGCTGGGATTACAGGCATGCACCATCACGCCCGGCTAATTTTGTATTTTTAGTAGAGATGGGGTTTTTCCATGTTGGTCAGGCTGGTCTCGAGCTCCCGACCTCAGGTGATCCACCTGCCTCAGCCTCCCAAAGTGCTGAGATTACAGGCATGAGCCACCATGCCCGGTGTGTGTCCTTTATTTCTAAAGCATAAGTTTGAGACCTCCAGTCCCACAATGCTTCTGTTTTGTCCCCATCTATCAGGCACTTCCTGCCTTGGTTCCCTCCTAATCCAACTTAGACTGTCATTTCAACCCCTTTCCAGCCCCTTTGCCCCTCATCTCTTTGCTTAGGTTAATGTTCTTAATTGCAAACCATAGAATCCATTCTATTTTAAGCAAAAGGGGGATTTTTTTTAAGGGATAAAGATAGCTCCCAGAATTGTTGGGAAGGTCCAACTCACAGAATCTAGGCTGAGCTTTCAGGAAAAAAAGCCCCAAAGCACATCGCAGAATTAGGCTGCCTCTGTCCCAGGACCACGTGTACCCTCTGCCATAACCCATGCTGGCCAATATGGGTCTGTTAGGAGCTTTTCCTGCCACATTGGGAATGGAAATGGCTTTTACTCTTACTTAATACTTCAGTATTGCTCTACTTTTAAGAACAAGCATTATTTTTATAATTAAAACTAATTTTAAGCATCTTCACCCATTGTCTACCTCTTTCTCCATCCATTGCTACCAGCGCTGCTACTTTCTTTGTTTGTTTGAGACGGAGTCTTGCTCTGTCGCCCAGGCTGGAGTGCAGTGGCACAATCTCGGCTCACTGCAACCTCCGCCTCACGGGTTCAAGTGATTCTCCTGCCTCAGCCTTCTAAATAGCTGGGATTACAGGCACACACAACCACACACAGCTAATACATGTTTTTTGTTTGTTGGTTGGTGGTTTTTTGTTTTTGTTTTTGTTTTTGTTTTTGTTTTGGTTTTAAGGAGTGGAGAATTATTATTATTATTATTTTTGAGACGGAGTCTCGCTGTTGCCCAGGCTGGAGTGCAGTGGCGCGATCTCGGCTCACTGCAAGCTCCGCCTCCCGGGTTCACGCCATTCTCCTGCCTCAGCCTCCCGAGTAGCTGGGACTACAGGCGCCCGGCACCACGCCTGGCTAATTTTTTGTATTTTTAGTAGAGACGGGGTTTCACCGTGGTCTCGACCTCCTGACCTCGTGATCTGCCCGCCTCGGCCTCCCAAAGTGCTGGGATTACCGGCATGAGCCACCGTGCCTGGCTAATTTTTTGTATTTTTAGTAGAGACGGAGTTTCACCGTGGTCTTGATCTCCTGACCACGTGATCCGCCCGCCTTGGCCTCCCAAAGTGCTGGGATTACAGGCGTGAGCCACCACGCCCGGCCAAGTAGTGGAGAATTTAATAGGCAAGAAAGAAGGAAGAGGTTCCCCCCGTACAGAGACAGAGGGAGGGAGGCTCCAAGCCGAAAGAGGGAACCCCTAATATGTGTATTTTTAGTAGAGACAGGGTTTCACTGTGTTGTCCAGGCTGGTCTCGAACTCCTGACCTCAAATGATCCCCCTGCCTTGGCCTCTTAAAGTGCTGAGATTACAGGCATGAGCCACTGCGTCCGGCCCAGTACTACTACTTTCATTCAGACCACTGACACTTCTTGCCCAGCGTACTGTAGTAACCTGCTAACTGGTTTTCCCATCCCTGTAGCCCCTCTAATTTATTCTCCACACTGCAGCAGAGTCATCTTTCTGAAGCATACCTCTGATCTCATCACTCCTACTTAAAACCCTTCAGTGCCTCTCTGTTGTCCTCGGGATAGGCCTAGACAGAGCCCTTCACGGTCTGACTGCAGGTCTCTCGGCATCGTCCCCCCGCAACCCCACCTGCCATCTCCACTCTATTGTGGCCTTGCTGGACCACTCTGTGTCTCTGGGCCTTTGCCATCACATTCCTTCTGCTGGGAAAGCTCATTTTCCCTGTCTTTGCCTGATGAATTCCTACCCTTTGCCTAGAGAAGTTTTTGCTGGGATGGCACCTCTTCCAGGAAGCATTCCCTGATCACAACCCTCTGATTGGTTGCCCCTGCCAGCTATTTCCACAGAGCTCTCTGCCACTCTGTCTTGCCATTGCCTCTCTCCCCAGTCAGACCATAAGCTCCTCAACTGTGAGGATCGTGGCTCGTTCACTGCTTTAGGCCCACCTCATAGAGTCTCATGGGGTTTGATACATGTGAAATGAGTGAATTAATGAATGTTGCCCAAGCTTACATAGCTAAGAAGTGCTAGGCAAATCCAGCTAAGTTGTTTTCCAAAACTCACATATTTTCCTTCGTGCCATGCTGCTTCTCTGAATAGGTCAGGACAATCTAGTTCTTAGGATTATTTTTTAAAAACATCCTGCCAGGCACAGTGGCTCATGCCTGTAATCCCAGCTCTTTGGGAGGCCGAGGCAGGCGGATCACCTGAGGTCAGGAGTTCAAAACCAGCCTGGCCAACATGATGAAATCCTGTCTCTACTAAAAAATTAGCTGGGTGTGGTGGTGGGCGCCTGTAATCCCAGCTAATCAGAGGCTGAGGTAGGAGAATTGCTTGAACCCAGCTAATCAGAGGCTGAGGTAGGAGAATTGCTTGAACCCAGGAGATGGAGGTTGCGGTGAACTAAGATCGTACCACTGTACCCCCAGCCTGGGCAACAAAGCAAGACTCCATCTCAAAAAAAAATTGTTATTGAGTAATAATGATATACAATAAACTGTATGTATTTAGAGTGTACACTTTGATAAGTTTTGACATATGTATACACCCATGAAACTAACACCACAATAAAAACAGTGAACATGTCTATCACCCCCTAAAAGTTTCCTAGAAAATGAAGGAACAATGGATTTTAATGTTACAGAGGACAAAAAGTTCATTGATAGGGTTTCAGAGTCTACATTGCAACTAACCTCTAAGATTTCTGTTTCTGCTGGACGTGGCAGCTCTTGCCTGTAATCCCAGGCTGAGGTGGGAAGATTGCTTAAGACCAGGAGTTCAAGACCAGACTAGGCAACATGGTGAGACCCCATCTCTACAAAAAATACAAAAATTAGCCAGGCATGTTGAGCATGCCTGTGGTCCCAGCTACTGGAGGGGCTAAGGTGGGAGGATCGCTTGACCCAGGGAAGCAGAAGTTGCAGTGGGTTGAGATTGTGCCACCACACCTCACCCTGGGTGACAGAGGGTGACCCTGTCTCAAAAAAAAAAAAAAAAATGCTATTAAAATACTCCTCACTCTTTAAACTGCAAATCTGTGTGAAGCTGGATTTTATTCATGTACATCAACCAAAACAACATTCACAAAGGATTGAATGCTGAAGAAGGTACAAGAATCCAGCTGTCTTCTATTAAGCCAGATATTAAAGAGATTTGGAAAAAAGTAAAACAATGTCATTTTTCTCACTAAGTTTTTCTGCTTTTGGAAAATGTAGTTTTTTAATTTAAAAAAGTTATTTATGTTAATGTATAATGGGTTTCTTACTGTGAATCCCTTCCCTATGCATAGGAAAGCACTTTACTACCGGGGCCATAAATGGTTAAGGTGAGAGATGATCCCAAACCCAGCTCTTGTCTATTTCATACTTTCTCACAGAGGTTGCAGTGAGCCAAGATCGTGCCACTGCACTCCAGCCTGGGTGACAGAGTGAGACTCTGTCTCAAAAAACAAACAAAAAAACACCCCATACTCCCTCATTCTATCCCATGTGTCTTGTCATCGCCCCTAACCTTTTTTTTTTTTTTTTTTTTTGAGATGGAGTCTCGCTCTGTGGCCCAGGCTGGAGTGCAGTACCACGATCTCGGCTCACTGCAAGCTCCACCTCCCAGGTTCACGCCATTCTCCTGCCTCAGCCTCCGGAGTAGCTGGGACTACAGGCGCCTGCCACCATGCCCGGCTAATTTTTTGTATTTTTAGTAGAGACGGGGTTTCACCGTGTTAGCCAGGATGGTCTCGATCTCCTGATCTCGTGATCTGCCCGCCTCGGCCTCCCAAAGTGCTGGGATTACAGGCGTGAGCCACCGCACCCGGCCTTACCTTTCTGTTTTTTGATAAGGGTTCTCGATGGTTGCCCAGGCTGGACTGCAATGGTGCCATCATAGCTCACTGCAGCCTCAAACTCCTGGGCTCAGGTGATCCTCCAACCTAACCTCAGCCTCCCGAGTAGCTGGGACCACAAGTGTGGTCCATCACATCCAGCTAATTTTTAAATTTTTTGTAGAGATGAGGGTCTCCCTATGTTGTCCAGGCTAGCCTCAAACTCCTGGACTTAAGTGATCCTCCTGCCTAGGCCTCCTAAAGTGTTGGGATTACAGGGATAAACCACCACTCCTGGCCAGTTTTAATTTCTAATTTGATAAATAGCAATAGATATAACCCACATAAACTGGGGATTTTTGGAGTCTTCAATAGTTTTTAAGATTTAAAGGGGCCCTGAAACTAAAAAGTTTGAGAACCACTGATATACAGACCACAGGTTGAGAGAAGGCCCTTAGGATGGATGGCCTGTGTTTGAACTTGGGCTTTGCTCCTTGCTAGTTTGTAAGAGAACTTTGGGCAAGTTTGTAGTCTCTCTGATCCCTAGTTATCTCATCTGTAAAATGGGAATGATTGTAATGGTACTTACTATGAAAGGCTGTTGAAGATTAAGTGAGTTAACACATGGAAACATTTGGGAAGAGTGCTGGTATATAGTAAGTGCCCAATAAATGTTATTGTCACCATCGTCATCGTCATCAGCAGCAGCAGCAGCAGCAACAGCAGCCCTTCCTGAAGTATGAGAAATGTATATAGATGCTGGAGGCCAAGCTGGGGCATGCTAAGTACGAAGGCAAGCCCTGCTGAAACCACCCCTGCTACTATGCCATGTTTGGGCCCAAAGGCTTTGGGCAAGGTAGAGCTGAGAGTCACACTTTCTTCCTTTTTTTTTTGAGACAGAGTCTCACTTTATTGCCCAGGCTGGAGTGCAGTGGCGCCATCTCAGCTCACTGCAACCTCCGCCTCCCGGGTTCAAGCGATTCTGTGTCTCAGCCTCCTGAGTGGCTGGGATTACAGGCATCCGCCACCACTCCTGGCTAATTTTTGTGTTTTCAGTAGAGACAGGGTTTCACCATGTTGGCCAGGCTGGTATGGAATTCCTGACTTCAGGTGATTTGCCCACCTGGTCCTCTTAAAGTGCTGGGATTACAGGTGTGAGCCACCTCGCCCAGCCAGAGAGTCACATTTTCAAGCAAACCCAGGTGGTGGAAACTCCATCCTCATTGGCCACCCACTGAACCACTGTTTAGGCAGATGCCAGGCCTTACACTCAGACATCCAGGGCTCCCTTTTAGCCCCTCATGCCCTCAATAAACCTGAAGAGTGCATGGCGGCGGTGGTGGGGGTGGCGGCGGTGGCGGCGGATGGGGAACAACCCAAGTGTCAGTAAGGGTTATCCTGCCTCCTTTTTTTTTTTTTTTTTTTTTTCTGAGGTGGAGTTTTGCTCTTGTTGCCCAGGCTGGAATGCAATGGCACGATCTCAGCTCACCGCAACCTCCGCCTCCTGGGTTCAAGCGATTCTCCTGCCTCGGCCTCCCGGGTAGCTGGGATTACAGGCATGTGCCACCAAGCCCGGCTAATTTTGTATTTTTAATAGAGACAGGGTTTCTCCATGTTGGTCGGGCTGGTCCCGACCTCAGGTAATCCGCCCGCCTTGGCATCCCAAAGTGCTGGGATTACAGGCATAAGCCACGGCACCCATCCAGGTTATCCTGCCTTCTATGGGTTGAGAACTGCCCCAGTTACTAAGTAGAACATAGAAGTATATGTAGGTTTCTGTTCTTATAGGCCAAGGCAGGAGGATGACTTGAGCCCAGTAGTTCAAGATTAGCCTGAGCAACACAGTGAGAACCTGCCTCTACAAAAAAAAAAAAAAAAAAAAATTAGCCAGGTGTGGTGGCACATGCCTTTGGTCCCAGCTACGCAGGAGGCTGAGGCAGGAGGATTGCCTAAGCCTAGGAGGTTGAGGCTGCAGTGAGCCGTGATCACATCACTGCAGTCCAGTCTGGGTGACAGAGCAGGACCCTGTCTCAAACAAACAAAAAACCTACAAAACAGTTTATTAATTTCCTATAAAGTTAAACATACATTCTTCCTCTATTTTTGTTTTTTTGTTTTTGAGACAGGGTTTCACTATATGTTGCCTAGGCTGGACGCCAGCTCCTGGACTCAAGTGATCCTCCTGCCTCAGTGTCCTGAGTAGCTGGGACTATAGGTGCACAACACTGCACCCTCTTCCCTTTATTTTTATTTATTTTTTGAGACAGTTTCTCTCTTGTTGCCCAGGCTGGAGTGCAATGGCACGATTTTGGATCACTGCAACCTCCACCTCCTGGGTTCAAGCGATTCTCCTCCTTCGAGTAGCTGGGATTACAGGCACCTGCCACCATGCCCAGCTAATTTTTTGTATTTTTAATAGAGACAGGGTTTCATCATGTTGGCCAGGCTGGTCTCAAACTCCTGACCTCAGGTGATCCACCTGCCTCAGCCTCCCAAAGTGCTGAGATTACAGGCGTGACCCACTGTGCCCAGCCTATTTTAATGTGACGTACAAAGCCCTCCTTTCCCATCATGACTTCATAAGCACTCCATCAAAGAACAGTTGTCTTTTAGTATCTGTGGGGGCCTAGTTCCGGGAACCCCCCAACCCCACCGCCCAGGATAGCCAAATCTGCAGATGCTCTAGTCTCTCATATAAAGTAGTGTAGTATTTGCATGAATGGGACACACACATATCCTCTCACATACTTTTTTTTTTTTTTTTGAGACAGTCTTGCTCTGTTGCCCAGGCTGGAGTGCAATGGCGTGATCTGGGCTCACTGCAACCTCCACCTCCTGGGTTCAAGCGATTCTCCTGCCTCAGCCTCCCTAGTAGCTGGGTGACAAGAGTGAAAATCTTACAGGCACCTGCCGCCATGCCTGGCTAATTTTTGTGTTTTAATAGAGATGGGGTTTTGCCATGTTGGCCAAGCTGATCTCAAACTCCTGACCTCAGGTGATCTGCCTGCGTCGGTCTCCCAAAGTGCTGGGATTACAGGCATAAGCCACTACACCCTGCCTCATATACTTTTTTTTGTTTGTTTTTGTTTTTGTTTTTTTCAAACAAGGTCTCTTTTGCCCAGGCTAGAGTGATGTGATTCCAGCTCACTGCAGCCTTGACCTCCTGGGCTCAAGTGATCCTCCCACCCTAATATCCCAAGAAACTGGGACTACAGCTGTGCTCCAATTTTTTTATTTTCTGTAGAGCTCCTGTATATTTTAAATAATCTCTAGATTACTTATAATACCTAATATAATGTAAATGCTATGTAAATAGGTGTTATACTGTATAGTTTAGGAAATAATGACAAGAAAAATAGCCTGCATGTTCAGTACAGATGCAGCTATCCATTTATCCCCATATATATATATATAGTTTTTTTTTTGCGACAGAGTCTTGCTCTGTCACTCAGGCTGGAGTGCAGTGGCGTGATCTCAGCTCCCTGCAACCTCTGCTTCCCAGGTTCAAGCAATAATCGTGCCTCACCCTCCCAAGTAGTGTGCCACCATGCCCAGCTAATTTTTTTTTTTTTTGACACAGATTTTCACTCTTGTCATCCAGGCTGGAGTTCAGTGGTGCAATCTCAGCTCACTGCAACCTCCACCTCCCAGGTACAAGCGATTTTCCTGCCTCAGCCTCTCAAGTAGCTGAAATTACAGGCGCCTGCCACCACACTCAGGTAATTTGTATATTTTTAGTAGAGACAGGGTTTCACCATGTTCGCCAGGCTGGTCTCGAACTCCTGACCTCAAGGTGATCCACCTGCCTCGGCCTCCCAAAGTGCTGCCTACAGGCATGAGCCACTGAGCGTGGCCTCCCCCAGTATTTTCAATCCAAAATTGGTTGAATCCATGGATGCAGAACCCATGGATACAGAGAGCTGACTGTGGAATTTATTTTATTTTATTTGTTTATTTTTAAATAATAGAGATTGGGTTTCACCATGTTGCCCAGGCTGGTCTGAAACTCCTGGACTCAAACAGTCTGCCCACCTCAGCCTCCGAAAGTGCTGGGATTACAGGTGTGAGCCATTGTGCCCAGCCTATAATTTCAAAAAGTTAAAAGCATGTCTCCTACATAAATAGTGGGCCACATCAAAGATTTATTTAATGTATCCTGGCATGATGGCTCACACCTATAATCCCAGCACTTTAGGAGGCCGAGACAGGAGGTTCACTTGAGTTCAGGAGTTCAAGACCAGCCTGGGCAACATAATGAGACCCCAACTCTACAAAAAAAATTTTTAAAAATTAGCTGGGTATAGTGGCTTACACCTGTGGTCCTAGCTACTCCAGAGGCTGAGGTAGGAGGTTTGCTTGAACCCAGGATGTCAAGGCTGCAGTGAGCCATGATTGTGCCACTGTACTCCAGCAGCCTGAGCAACAGAGACCCTGTCATTTAAAACAAAAATTTGCAACCTATCAATTTCCTACAAGTTAACATCAAATTTGCAAAGGTCTGTAGGGCTCTACTCCGTAATTAAACACACAGAGCTGTTTTTGTTTTGTTTTGAGACAGTCTCGCTCTGTCACCCGGCTGGAATACAGTGGCATGATCCTGGCTTACTGCAGCCTTGATCTCCTGGACTCAAGCGATCCTCCTGCCTCAGCCTCCCAAGTAGCTGGGACCACAGGTGCACACAACCACACCCAGCTAATTTTTTATTTTTAGTAAAGACAAGGTTTTACTGTGTTGCCCAGGCTGGTTGGCCTCCCAAAGTGCTGGGATTGCAGACATAACCTGTCACCCAGGCTGGAGTGCAGTGGTGGGATCTCAGCTCACTGCAGCCTCCACCTCCCCACCTCAAGCAGTCTTCCTGCCTCCTGTCTTTCCCAGCTGACAGCACATCAGCTAATTTTTGAATAATTTTGAAAGACATGCTGACATTTTTTGGTCTAATTTCTGAATTCTGGATAATTTTTCTTAAGAAGGCACACTAAAATACTCAAGGTTCAGCGAATTCCATGCTCCTCTGTCTCCCTCAACATAGAGCTTCTTTCTCACTGGGCCTGAGGTGCTTCTCCCCTCCTTAAACCTGTCTATTTCCTGCTTTGGCCTGGCTGGTTCTACAAGTCTTCAGGCCTGAGGTCAGGGGTCGTGTATCTGACCACCCCCAGCCTCATCTGGGTACCAGGCCTCCTCTGGATTCAGGCACTTCCTTGGCCCCAGCAACACTCCTGGCCTTCTTCCAGCCCAGCATCCCTGCCAGTCCTTAACAGCATCTGTTTGCTCATTGGCCTCCTCCGGAAGCCTGTGGGCTTCCACAGGGTGGGGCTGTTTTTCCATTTCTGTATCCCCAGGGCCTAGCCCAGTGCCTGGCACCCTGTGAGGCTTAATAAATGTTTGCTGAATAAATTGAATGAGGTGCTGGCTAGGCGCCTCCTCGAGGTCTCTTCCAGACTTCTTGATGAGTCTTCATTTATGGACTGGTTGCCATGGTTTTTTTTCTCTCTCTCTCTTTCTTCTGTCTCTCTCTTCTCTCTCTCTCTTCTGTCTCTTTCAGACCTCCTCCCACCTCCCCACACACTGCATTGAAATCCCAGCTGGGGGCCGTAGAGAAACAGAGGCAACCCCCTCCCTTAGAGGGTGCCAGGGGTGAGGGTGAGCCTGCACTGTCCTTGGGGCCTGGCGGGCCCAGGGATCAGGTTGCCTGCATCTGGGAGGAGGATTCTTAGGTCTCCACAGCTTTACCGTGGGTGCTTTGGGGCTTGGCAGTCTCACAGGTTAGAGGTGGGCTGGCCCTGCTGAGGCCTCAGGAGGATTTAGACACAAAGAGCCTGATTGTATGGTAATTTCCTCCTCACCTACTAGCTGGGCCTATTGAATTCTTCTTTGTACCTGCAGTGCCTTTTCTTTTGGGCTTACTTAAATGGGCCACCCCCAGATTTCCTAGCAGGGGACCTCTTCTTCTTGGGAGGTACTGCCGCAGCTTGCACCATTCCTTTGGTCCTTCTCCCCACAGGTTTCTTATTTATTTATTTATTTATTTATTTATTTATTTATTTATGAAATGGAATCTCTCAGTTGCCCAGGCTGGAGTGCAGTGGTGTGATCTCGGCTCACTGCAACCTCCATCTCCCAGGTTCAAACGATTCTCCTGCCTCACCCTCCCAAGTAGCTGGGATTGCAAGCGCCCGCCACCATGCCCAGCTAATTTTTGTATTTTTAGTAGAGACGGGGTTTCGACATGTTGGCCAGGCTGGGCTCGAACTCCTGACCTCAAGTGATCTGCCCACCTTAGCCTCCCAAAGGGCTGGGATTACAGGTGTGAGCCACTGCACCCAGCCACAGGTCTTTTTATTGTTGCACATTCCCCCCTAACCCAGGCCAGGGTGAGCCAGGGTATTCCACCCATATCTCTTAACACAGCTGGGAAAATGAACAAAGGGATGACAAAAGGAAATAATTAAGAAGTAAAAAGGGCTGGGCGTGGTGGCTCATGCCTGTAATCCCAGCACTTTGGGAGGCCAAGGCGGGCGGATCACGAGGTCTTGAGTTAAGACCAGGCTGACCAAGATGGTGAAACACCATCTCTACTAAAAATACAAAAAAATTAGCTGGGTGTGATGGCGGGCACCTGTAATCCCAGCTACTCGGGAGGCTGAGGCAGAGAACAGCTTGAACCCAGGAGGCGGAGGTTGCAGTGAGCCAAGATCATGCCAGTGCACTCCAGCCTGGGTGACAGAGCAAAACTCTGTCTCAAAACAAACAAACAAAGAAGTAAAAAGAAGGCCAGGTGCAGTGGCTCGCACCAGTAATCCCAGCACTTTGGGAGGCCAAGGCGGGAGGATCTCTTGAGCCCAGTAGTTTGAGACCAATCTGAGCAACATGGCGAAACCCCGTCTCTACAAAAACTTAAAAAAATTAGCCAGATGGCTGGGTGCGGTGGCTCAAGCCTGTAATCCCAGCACTTTGGGAGGCCGAGGTGGGTGGATCACGAGGTCAGGAGATCGAGACCATCCTGGCTAACACGGTGAAATCCCGTCTCTACTAAAAATACAAAAAATTAGCCAGGCATGGTGGCGAGCGCCTATAGTCCCAGCTACTCAGGAGGCTGAGGCAGGAGAATGGTGTGAACCCGGGAGGCAGATCTTGCAGTGAGCTGAGATTGCGCCACTGCACTCCATCCTGGGTGACAGAGCGCAACTCTGTCTCAAAAAAAAAAAAAAATTAGCCAGGTGTGGTGGCGTGCACCTGTGATCCCAGCTACTTGGGAGGCTGGGTTGGGAGGATCACCTGAGCCCAGGAGGCAGAGGTTGCAGTGAACCAAGATCACACCACTAGACTCCAGCCTGGGCGACAGAGTGAGACCCTGCCTCTTTTTTTTTTTTTTTTGAGACGGAGTCTCGCCCTGTCACCCAGGCTGGAGTGCAGTGGCGTGATCTCAGCTCACTGCAACCTCCACCTCCTGGGTTCAAGCAGTTCCCTGCCTCAGCCTCCGGTGTAGCTGGGATTATAGGTGTCCGCCACCACACCCAGCTAATTTTTGTATTTTTAGTAGAGGCGGGATTTCACTGTATTGGCCAGGCTGGGCTCGAACTCCTGACCTCATGATCCACCCGCCTTAGCCTCCCAATGTGCTGGGATTACAGGCATGAGCCACCATGCCTGGCCTGAGACCCTGTCTTAAAAAAAAAAAAGTAACAAGAAACCTTTGGTTGGTGAAACTGGGTTTCCTCCAGGTTTCTCTGACAGAAGGGTGACTATAAAATTTGTCCTTCAACCTGGACATCTGGCAGGTAAAAGGGGGTGCTATCAATAATCGTGACAGGACAACAGCATAAGCCGTGGTTGTCCTGGGCACTTTAGGATGTATGGTCAGTCAGGCCCCTTTCATGGGCACAGAACCCCAGGGAAACATCTGTCAGAGGAACAGTCCGTTTCTTTCATGTATTCATTCCACAAACGCTTACTCTTACCTCTCTTGGGAATTCCAGATAACAAGAGGTCCTTGGCCTAGGGAAGCTTACAGTCTAATGGAAGAGACAATTCATCACAAAAAGTGTGCAAAATGCTAAGATAAACAGCAGGAAAGGAAGCAGAGTCCTATGGGAGTGTATAGGAGGGGCACCTCACCCTGCCCCGAGTAGGGTGTTGGCCCTGACTTGTTGCTCATGGGAGGTGAAGCCTGAGTTGGGCTCTGAAGGAGGAGTAGATATCTGCTGGTAAAGAAGAGATTTCGTGGCCGGGTGTGGTGTCGCACGCTTGTAATCCCAGTTACTTGGGAGGCTGGGGCAGGAGAATTGCTTGAACCCGGGAGGCGGGGTTGCAGTGAGTCAAGATCACGCCACAGCACTCCAGCCTGGGCGACAAGAGCAAAACTCCGTCTCAAAAAAAAAAAAAAAAGAAGAAGAAGAGGTTTGGGTGAATAGCAAAAAGTTCTGGTCCGAAAAAACCTGCCTGTGTAGAGGCACAGACAGAAGGAGGTGCATTTGTTTTTGGAGTAACTGGAAAGCTCCTGTCTCTTTCTGTCCTTCCTCTTAATCCCGTCCTGAGCCCTCTACTTCTGGAAGAGGAGCCCATCACTTCCGTTTGTCACTTTGGTCAGAGGGGTGCTTCCTCACCGGTCTTCAGAAAAGTTTGTTGAATAGATAGATAAAGCCAAGAAGTGCCCTACACTCTTCTTCTGTGATGTAAGTGCAAAGTTTCGAACCTTGGTTTATCATTAAGAGTTATTTTCTTTCTTTCTTTCTTTCTTTTGAGACGGAGTTTCACTCTTGTTGCCTAGGCTAGAGTGCAATGGCATGATCTTGGCTCACTGCAGCCTCTGCCTCCTGGGTTCAAGCAATTCTCCTGCCTCAGCCTCCCGAGTAGCTGGGATTACAGGCATGTGCAACCACGCCCGGCTAATTTAGTATTTTTAGTAGAGATGGGGTTTCTCCATGTTGGTCAGGCTGGTCTTAAACTCCCAACCTAAAGTGATGCATGCACCTTGGCCTCCCAAAGTGCTGGGATTACAAGCGTGAGCCACCGCACGCAGTCTTTTTTTTTTTTTTTTGAGATAGAGTCTAGGTCTGTCGCCCAGGCTGGAGTGCAGTGGTGTGATCTCAGCTCACTGCAACCTCTGCCTTCTGGGTTCAAGTGAGTCTCATGCCTCAGCCTCCTGAGTAGCTGGAATTACAGCTGCACGCCACCATGCCCAGCTAATTTTTGTATTTTTATAGAGTCAGGGTGTCACCATGTTGGCCAGGCTGGTCTCAGACTCCTGACTTCAAGTGATCTGCCCGCCTCGGCCTCCCAAAGTGCTGGGATTATGGGTGTGAGCAACCACACCCGGTGGAGTTCTCTTCTATAATATTTATACTTCATCTTTCAAAAATTGAGCCCATATTGCTGCATGCCAAGCATTGTGTGCCCGAGTGATGCACAGGTCACTTCATTTAATCTTCACAACAATCCTGTGAGATAGGTAACCTCATGCCCAAATTACAGAAGAGGCTCTGTGAGGTCAGAAACTGGCCCAGGTCTCACAGCTGACTAGTGAGGAGCTGAGATTTGCTAGGATGACCTGACACTCTGAATTCTCTAAATTCCACCTCCTTAACACAATACATGTAGTCAGGGAAGGCCTGACTTTATATTATTCATTGGCCCCGAGAGCTGACTCAGACTCCTGTGGCAGCCCCAGGAGTCCTGGGTTTCAGAGGGAGTGGGAGGTGGGCAGCAGAGGGGCCCTCGAGTTTCGATAACCCCCCTGCACTTAGGCTACAGGCTGCATTGTATGATAGCGACAGACCCAGACCAGAATCCCTTCACCCTCCTCTCTAGGGTGGAGCCCCTTCCAGCAAAGCTGGCCCAGCCCTGTGATGTCACACCACTGGGCAGGGCTTCTGGGGATTGGTGACACCCAGCTGACGTCAGGGAGGTGGAGAAGCCGCAGGTCCCTCTTATCCCCAGGGCAGTTCAGGGGCTTGACTGCATTTTAGCGATGATTGTAGTTACAGATTGCTCTCCGAAACACTGGGCAGGAAAAGCTTGCTGGTGTTCTGCTTTTGGCTCTGGGATTTGAACCCATGACTGGCTCAGGAGACTTGAGATTACCAACGTGCTTTGTGTCCCCAACAAGTCACTTGTCCTCTCTGGGCCATCTCTAGAGCACAGCCTCCTAATTCAATAAAATGAAGAGGCTGGAGGAGAGATTGCCAAGGACTCTTTCAAGAGGCCCAGATAGGAGAGCAGGAGGATCGGGGGGTGGGGGGGTGTTCTGAGTTGGCCCTGTCATGGCCCTAATCTGTCCTTCCCCCATCCTTCACTCCCCCTCTTATCCCTGGTGGCCCCGGAGTGAGAACGTGACTCATCCAGCTCCAGGCACCCAGTTTCAGCCTTGCCCCACCCCTGCCCCGGGCCTCTCATTTGCTGTTTACCCCCCAGGAGCAGGTGCACCTGGGTCACCTCACCGCAGGAAGGAGAGATATAAGGCTCTAGGGCACAGCCTGACTCCACACCCACAGATTGCCCAAGGCCAGCACAGGGGTTGGAGCTCTCTAGAAAGGTGAGGCACTTGGGGAGCATAAAACAGCTCCAAGTGGGCCCACCACCCTGTCCAGCTGCTGAGCTCAGCCCGCTGCCTCTCATCTCTTCCCATGGGTTTGTCTTCATTCACCCACTGCCCCTAGAGCAGCCCAGGCCCCGCCCTCAGCCTGAGGACCCTGTGCAGAGCTCAGCCAGTTCCAGGAGGGGAGGGCCTCTTGAAGGCAGTCGGGGGCCAGGGGAGCTGGTGCTCACATTGAGGAGCTGTGGAAGGCAGGCCTAGGCCCACACATCCTGTGCTAAGAAGAGAGGACAGGGTGTGGAAGGAGGGGTTGGAGTGGGAGACCCATAGCCTGATTCAGCCCCGAATGGAAAAGTGAAGTTATGGGGGGACTGAAAGGTTTGGTGACAGATACTGGGATGTGAGTCTGGAAAGCGGCTTTGAGTCATGGCTTGGCATCTACCCTCCCTTTGTGACCTTGGCCATGTCCATTGCCCTCTTATCCCCATCTGTACAAGGCAGGCGCCTCAGTGTTCCCATCTGTACAAGGTAGGGGCTCAGCTGGATAAGCCTAGGCTCCTTCTAACCCTGGCACTCTGTGGTTACCCAGGTGGGCATCCCCACCCCAGTGCCCAACCTTCCCCTATCCCCACTAGCTCCCGCATCTCCCCCATGGAGAAAAAGAAACCTCGCTGGGTCATGGAACATGGGAAGGGTTGGCAATTCCTGTGTGAGGCAGCCCAAGGCAACCTCGGAGCCCTCCTGCAGATACCCAGGGGGCCTGCCCCGCCCCTGGCCCAGGCTCCAGACCACAGAGCAGACAACAAAGGCAGGCAGGTGGAAAATTCCCTCTGGCTCTCCGCCCAGGCACCCTGGATGGCAACTGTGCCAGCCTGGGCGGGCAAGAGCCGGGAGTCCAGGATACCAACAGGCAGCCTGGCAGCCCCAGGGAGCTGATAAGGGGCCTGTCAAGGTCTCCCCAGTTCAATTGCCCCCCACTGCTCAGACACAGAAATTGTATTCTACTCAGGTGGACAAACAGGTGGGAGGAGGAGGATGGGGAAATATGTGGTTGTTTGAACTTCTCAGAAGTTGTAGCCCTGAGCCAAGAAGATTATGCCAACTCCTCCCACTACCCTGAGCTGAGTGGTCCCTGGGACTCTTAATGGAGGACCGGGGGCTGCAGCTAGTTTGGCGGACAGACAGAAAACGGATTTCGTCAAGTGTTCCTGTGCCTGCTGGGCTCCTGCTGGCTGCTGGTCTCTGCCCTGTGACCTTGGGCAGTGTGTATGCTCCTGGAGGGCTTGCTTTGCCCATCTCTCACCCTGGAATAACTGTCTGGGTCCTGCTCCCTGGAAGGGCATGAAGCCACACCCATGTAAGGCCTAGGAGAAGTGAAAAGCCCTGTGTGTACATGTGACTTGAGGCCGGGAGGCAGACCACTCCCAGAGCCTGCATGTTCAAGGATTCCTTGCATCTGGAAAGCCAAGACAGGGACCCCTCCTGCCTGCCTCTCTTCTGCTTTCTGCTCCGACCCCCTGAGCTGGTTACCATGGCAACAGTTCCCTGCCTATCTCTCCAGAGGCCTTTCACAGAATCCAGAGTTGGTTTCTACAATGTTTACCCACAAACACTTTCTTGTTGCCAGTCAGTTCGGATGGCACTTCCAGAACTGAGGAAATACCTTTGTGACTTCGCCAGGTCACAGCCAGCTGGCCCCTGGAATCACTCCCCAGTAGGGTGCCATCCTTCGGGCTCTGGAGAGCTGAGGAGTCAGGGTGTGGCCAGGTCAAGGTGAACCACATGCTGCTGGGAAAACTACCCAAAGGGCACGTCCCACTGACCCGCAGTCAGCAGCCTGCAAGCGTCATTGCCTCTACAGGGAACATTGTCCGTCTAGGCTGGCAGAAGAAGGCCCTAAAGATAAGGCAGGGCATGAACCCAACTCCATGACAGCCAATTAGCTCCACTCCAAGAACCCAACCGCTGTGACTCACTGACAGCCAATCAGGAGGCCCAGGGCCAGATACTTTTTTCAGCTAGACACACCTGTAACCTGCTAGCCATCTGTTGAACCACACCCCTGCCCCAACCATTCTAGAAAGAAATATAAATCTCTTTTACAGCTGTAAATGGAGAGCTCTGTAACTCTAATATGGAGGGAGATACACGCTGATCTATATTGAGCTCAGAGACAGACACAAATGCATAAACATGCACCTGCACAGATGAAAATCTAGCTATCAGCCCTGCTCCTTCCTGCCTCCACCAAGGTCACCACCATCTCTATTCTCCTCCACCCTCCTGGGTCAGAAATTGGCAAAAGAGAAAAGGACATTGCAAGAGACCTAAATATACCTTTCCAGTGCACAGTGGCAGCTTTCTGTGAACTGTTAGGCCAACAGTGGTCCAGACATTTTCCCTCATCCTCTGCAAAAAACAACAAAACCAAACAAAAACATTGACTGGGCATCATTCGTAGGTTTACCTGGGAATACTAGTGCTTGGAGGGGACTGAGAGTACCCCTAGCAAAGCCCCATTTTACGGATGAGGGCTAGGCCCAGAGGGAGGGTTTCTCCTTCCAGAGGAGGGCTCAGTGCTCGTGATTGTTGGCAAGGGCATCTTGCCAAAGTTCCAGGATCCAGGTCAGATATTGGCCCCATGGTCCCACCCTGGAGGATTTCCTGTAGGGGGGTGCCCCCCAGCTGGCCACAGTGGATCAGGCATGTCCAGAGGGAGACCTGGGAAAGGGGCACTATGCTTGTGTGTCCTCCAATCTTCCTACTCTAGGCCCTGCCCAAAGGCTGGGAGAACAGGGATCTTCTGTTGACTATGAGGGAAAAATGCTAGTTCATAGGTCCTAGTTGAACTAGCGCCTATGATTCCGGGGTCTCTGGGATGCCTGGGATCATGGCAGCATGGCCCAAGGTCCTGCAGCAATTTGAGTCAGAGCCACATTACCAGGCTGCAGGACAGCAAGCCAAGACCCCCCAGCCTGGGAGTTTCAGGGTCTATGAACTAGCGCCTAGGTGCTAGATGAACTAGCATTTCAGTGCTCTATGCCAGAGGGACCTCAATAGAGGGAGATGCAGACAATCCAAACTTGTTTCAGTGTAACCCTCAAATTTTCGAGCCCTCCAGATGCAGGGCACTCATACTACCCAGTATTGAGACTCTAGACATGACCTTGACTGAAGGCTGCCACGTCTTCAAGCAGAGACCTGCTAAAAACGAAAACAACTTATATGCATGAAGTGCATACTTTGTGTCAGGAATTATGCTAGGCACTGGGGAGACAGACATGACCTAGGTTCCCAGGCCCCTGCAGGTTGTTCTCATGTAGGGTGTATAGGGTAGTTTCAGCAAAGGGCCTCCCTCAGCCCGCAAGGCCACAGGCCCCCAAACGGGCAAAACACTGCCCCTGCAGATTCACAGGACTTTTGTGCTGGTTTAGACAGGAGAGAAACAGAATGAACCCCAGGAAGATTCAGAGGGGTCAAGATCTGACCCCTACAGCCAAGGACAGCCAGAGGTAGGAGGACCTTTGCTCATGGGTAGAAATCATTCTATTCATGCATAAATCAAGTCTCACCCAAGATGTTGGGCAGCCAGCTTGGCCTTGCCTGTTCTAGGGAATAGAGGCTGGGCTCCGATTCCAGAGCTAGGGGCTGGGGTGGGATCTCTGAGTCTTTTTTTTTTTTTTTTTTTTTGAGACAGAGTCTCACTCTGTCACCAGGCTGGAGTGCAGTGGCACGATCTTGGCTCACTGCAACCTCCGCCTCCCAGATTCAAAAGATTCTCCTGCCTTAGCCTCCCAAGAAGCTGGGATTACAGGCGTGCGCCACCATGCCCAACTAACTTTTATATTTGTGGTAGAGACGGGGTTTCAACATGTTGGCCAGGATGGTTTTGATCTCGGCCTCCCAAAGTGCTGGGATTATAGGCATGAGCCACCATGCACAGCCTTGTAGTTTTAGCAGAGACGGGGTTTCACCATGTTGGTCAGGCTGGTCTCGAACTCCTGACCTCCAGTGATCCACTAGCCTCTGCCTCCCAAGGTGCTGGGATTACAGGTGTGAGCCACCGCGCCTGGCCCCCTGTGTCTGTCTTTAACCTCCTCTGCATACAGGAAATTTCCTCCGTCTCTCCCACAGGGAGGTGTGGCCAGGGAGCTTTGCCCCCTCCCTTTGAAGCACTCTCTGCCTCTTCCCCACCCCCAGTATGGGGTAATGGCTAAGGGGGACATAAAATAGACTCATCATTTTAGGAGGGGAAGAGGAAACCCTCAAAGCCATTCCGGAGTCTTTGGGATGCCTGGGATCATGGCAGCACGGCCCGAGGTCCTGCAGCAGTCTGAGTCAGAGCCACATTACCAGGCTGCAGGACAGCAGGCCGAGACCCTCTAGCCTGGGGTTTCAGGGTCTGCTGCACCCTGTAAGCAGAAGTGCCTGAAGGCATTGGACAGTGCTCTTAGTGGGACTGGGAGAATGAGGCAGGTGTGTGAAGGAGGAGTGAATAGAGGGAGTGAGGAAGGAAATTGACATTCATCAAGAACATGCTTTATGTCAGGAATGCACCACTCAAGTTTCATAATTTAATGTTCAGAGCAACCTTGGAGGTGCATGTTATTGTCCTCAGTTACAGTCAAGAACTGAGGTTGGGTAAGGTGTGGTGGTGCTTGCCTGTAATGCCAGCACTTTGGAAGGCTTAGGCGGGAGGATGACTTGAGCCTGGGAATTTGAGACCAGCCTCGGCAACACAGCAAGACTCTATCTCTATTTTAAAATAACATAATTGGCCAGGCACGGTGGCTCATGCCTGTAATCCCAGCACTTTGGGAGGCCGCGGTAGGCGGATCACAAGGTCAGGGCATCGAGACCATCCTGGCTAACACGGTGAAACCCCGTCTCTACTAAAAATACAAAAAATTAGCCAGGTGTAGTGGCAAGTGCCTGTAGTCTCAGCTACTCGGGAGGCTGAGACAAGAGAATTGCTTGAACGTGGGAGGCTGAGGTTGTAGTGAGCTGAGATCAGGCCACTGCCCTCCAGCCTGGGTGACAGAGCGAGACTCTGTCTCAAAAAAATAAATAATAAAATAAAATAATTATTATTAATTTTTTTTTTGAGGCGGAGTCTTGCTCTGTCACCCAGGTTGGAATGCAGTTTCACATTCTCGGCTCACTGTAACCTCTGCCTCCCAGGTTCAAGCAATTCTCGTGCCTCAGCCTCCCGAGTAGCTGGAATAACAGGTGCCTGCCACCACGCCCAGCTAATTTTTGTAATTTTAGTAGAGACTATGTTGGCCAGGCTGGTCTTGAATTCCTGATCTTAAGTGATCTACCCATCTTGGCCTCCCAAAGTGCTGGGATTACAGGCATGAGCCACTGTGCCTGGCCTATTTTAAAATAATTTTATTTTAAAATATTAAAAAAAAGAAAACTGAGGTCTGCCGGGCATGGGCCTATAATACCAGCAGAGGCAGGAGGATGATTTGAGCCCAGGAGTTGGAGGCTGCAGTGAGCTACGATCGCGCCACTGCACTCCAGCCTGGGCGAGAGTGAGTCCTCGTCTCAAAAAACAAAAATCAAAAACTGAGATAAAGACAGGTTAGCCGGTCGTGGGTGGCTCATGCCTGTAATCCCAGCACTTCGGGAGGCCGAGGCGGGTGGGTCACGAGGTCAGGAGTTTGAGACCAGCCTGGTCAACATGGTGAAACCCCATCTCTACTAAAAATATAAAAAAATTAGCCAGGCGTGGCGGCGGGCGCCTGTAGTCCCAGCTGCTGGGGAGGCTGAGGCAGAAGAATGGCGTGAACCTGGGAGGCGGAGCTTGCAGTGAGCAGAGATCGCGCCACTGCACTCCAGCCTGGGCGACAGAACGAGACGCCGTCTCAAAAAAAAAAAAAATTAGCCAGGCGTGGTGGCAAGCGCCTGTAATCCCAGCTACTCGGGAGGCTGAGGCAGGAGAATCCCTTGAAGCCGGAAGGGGGAGGTTGCAGTGAGCCGAGATTGCCCCATTGCATTCTAGCCCGAGCGAAAGAGCGAAACTCCGTCTCAAAAAAAAAAAAAGACAGGTTAAGTGATTTGCCCATGGCTACATAGCTGGGAAGTGAGGAGATGTGGATTTCTGTGGATCCAATTTCATGTGTCTAGGATGACCCATCAACTCCAGAGAAGGGCAGGAAGAAGGTGCCGCTCTTAGGCTCAGAGGGACTCAGAGGTAGAAGTTCAACCATCCTTTCCCTCCCCACCCACCCAACCGGCCCCCTGAAAGCTGTCCAGGCAGATGCTGCCCAGGGAAGGGTTAACCCTCCTCTTTGGCTCTGCCCTGCATTCTTTTGTGCTGAGCTCTCTGGCAGCTTGTGTCAGGACATCAGGGCAAGAAGGCAGAAAGGACATGGCTAGGGCACCTGGCAATGAATAATCTGTTTGTCGTGGCCGTGCTGCCTTGTGGCTGTGTGGGATGGGGTGGGGATGGCGGCAGTGCCAGGACTTGGGGTCAAGGGCTCAGGGAGGGGGCCAGCCAGCTTGGAGGCAGGACCTGAGACTCCTCTATGTTTAGTGCTTGCTCCATCTCCCAGACAGCCACCTAAACAGGAACTGTGGCAGCTTTCCACGTTTGCCCCTGGCTGCAGCCAAACCTATCTCAGCTACAGCCTGGGACTTGGATCTCCCTGTAAGATTTCTATCCCATCCCTCTCCACCTGCCCCAGGGCTTCAGAACCAAGTTCTAGACTCCAGAGGGCCCTGCAGCCTGCCCCTCCAGCTACCAAGGATGAAAATCTGGTACAGGCATCTGTAGGGGACAGCCAAATGTGCCTGGAATCACTGGGGAAGGGAGATATGAGAGGATGCAGGGTGCCCTGTGGGGTTTCCCAGGCTCCTCCAGCCTCACCCCATTCCTGCCCTGGCTCAACTGCTTGGTCTTGTGATTGCAGGGGCCAGACTCTCTCCTCCAGCTGAGTGATGCTGGGCTCCACCCAGCAGCTGGCTCTTCCTGGAGTCTTTCCTCCCCACCAGCTCTCTTCCTGCCTGGAACTTCTGCCCCAGCTCCTTTCTACCAGACTAACTCTCTCACTTCCACTCAAATTCTGCTCCTGAAGAAATCCCTTCTAGAACTTCTCAGGAAGCCTTCTTTGACTCACCCAAGCCTGTCTGATCCCCTTGGGCTCTCCTGCCTGCTGCCATCCTCACATACCTCCACCTGTTACTGTGGCCAGTGCCTACTCCTTATGCATTTGATGTTATGCTTGCTGACTGTGTCTCACACCTGGATTCTGTGTGTGTGTGTGTGTGTTCTGTCTCTTCCAGAGGACAGAACAAGAACCAACGGGTGGATTTTCCTTGAGTCACATTTCTGATAAGGGAACAAGTTCGGCATGATCACAGCCATCTAAACATTGGAATGGGCTATCTTGAAAGTAGTGAGCTATCAAAGGAGGGGTTAATAACAAATGCTTCTGGGTAGCAGTGATGTGTCTGCCACATGAAAGGCTTTCAGTACACATTTGTTAAACAAATAACAACCTGCTGGCTTTCTCTCCTCCCACAGCCACTATGTGTCTCATAAATGCTTGGGGTTTTTTTCTGTTGGGGCAGCCAGTTGGGCCCCAAGAGGCAAGTCCCTGCCTGTAGTTATTCTGATATTGAAAGGGTCCTTACTGAGAAACTAACCTGGAGAGCAATCCTAGTAAGCAGAAGAGGACCTCTCTCCACCCATCTCTTGGTGTGGACTTGGAAGAGAGTAGGTGTTTATAGAGAGCTCCTAGCACTTGGTGCCAGCTAGGAGATACGATACGGGGGCTCTGGGATCTGGGAGGTAGGATCATGCCTTGTCAGCTGGATCCCTGGGCTCCTTGTAACCAACTATGCTTGTATCTCTTTAGCATCCTTGAGGATTTCATTGCATCTGAACATTCCAGCCTTGCCTTAGCTGTGCTGTAGGCCAGTGAGGAAAGATGGTGAAATGTGCTCGAAACATTGCATGCAGGCAGCTAGCTGCCATGGCTGGGGAAGTCACAGCGTGGGGAGGATACCCCTTTCCCCCAAGGAAAGGGGCATCTTGGGGCAGGAGCAGAAGACAGTTGAAAGACTTTCTGCTGACCATCTTGAAAGGTTTTTTTTTTTTTTTTTTTGTGACAGTCTCACTCTGTCACCCAGGCTAGAGTGCAGTGGCACAATCTCAGCCCACTGCAACCTCCGCCTCCCAGGTTCAAGCGATTCTCCTGCCTCGGCCTCCCCAGTAGCTGGGACTATAGGTGCACGCCACCACACCTGGATAAGTTTTGTATTTTTAGTAGAGACAGGTTTCAACATACTGGTCAGGATGAACTCCTGACCTCAGGTGACCTGCCCACCTTGGACTCCCAAAGTGCTGGGATTACAGGAGTGAGCCACCCAGACTTGAAAGTTGTTAAGTGTTACCTTTGTCGAGGAAGCCAGAAGTTTCCTCCCACCCCCATTAAGGAAATTTTGGCATTTTATAACAGGTAGGATTTTTGAGCAGTTTTTTGTTTCTACTTACTATTTACTTGTTCTTTTTTTTTTTTTTCGCCCCCTGAAACACATGTATCAAGCATCTACTGAATGCCAGGCACTGAGAACCAAGATAGGGAGACACAGGACCTGCTCACCAGAGGTTCAGTGACTTCCTGATCTGGGAGCTCCAGGGGCACAGTGTTTCTCCCTCTGTCCCCTCCTACAAGCATCCTCCCACCCCCACCCCTCACCATTTGAGTGCAATGGGAATGCCTAGTATAGTAGTTCTCAAACTCTAGCCTTCATCAGAATCCCTGGAGGACTTGCTAGAAAACGCCTAGAAGCTGGGCCCACCCTGTTTCTGATCTAGCAGGTCTACGGTGGGGGTTGAGAATGTGCATTTCAAAACAGTTTCCAGGTGTTTCTGACCCTGATGATCTAATAAAAAACCACTGATTTACAGTATCTTACAGTCCATATTACCTTTTAAAATGCCTTCACAATGACTGCATTTTATTACCATAGCATGCTTGGGGGGTCTTCAGGCCCAGGAGAATACCCCTTACCTTTTACTGAGGGGAAACTGGAAAGACAGAGCGGTCTCATGATCTTATGACTTCATCACAATTTATAGCTATATTACTTGCAATTTGGCTTTTTCAGTGACTGCCTCGTTCGCTTGAATGTGAATTTCTTTCTTTTTTTTTTTCTTTTTTTTGAGACGGAGTCTCACTCTGTACCCCGTATCCCAGGCTGGAGTGGAATGGCATGATCTCGGCTCACGGCAACCTCCGCCTCCTGGGTTCAAGTGATTATCCTGCCGCAGCCTCCCAAGTAGCTGGGATTACAGGCACGCACCACCACACCCAGCTAAATTTTAGTGGAGACGGGGTTTCACCGTGTTGGCCAGGCTGGTCTCGAACTCCTTACTTCAGGTGATCTGCCTGCCTTGGCCTCCCAAATGCTAGGATTACAAGCGTGAGTCACTGTGTCTGGCCTCAAATGTTAATTCCTATTTTTTTTTTTTTTTTTGAAACAGAGTCTCGCCAGGCTTTAGTGCAGTGGCGTGATCTTGGCTCACTGCAACCTCCACCTCCCAGGTTCAAGCGATTCTCCTGCCTCAGCCTCCCAACTAGCTGTGATTACAGGCGCCCGCCACCACGCCCGGCTAATTTTTGTATTTTTAGTAGAGACGGGGTTTCATCATGTTGGCCAGGACGGTCTCAATCTCCTGACCTCGTGATTCGCGCACCTCAGCCTCCAAAAGTGCTGGGATTACAGGTGTGAGCCACTGCGCCCGGCCTCGAATGTGAATTTCATGAGGGTGGAGGCCATGCTGTGTTTTTCACTCTGTTTCCCAAATGCCTAGGACAATGCCTGGCACATAGTAGGTGCTCAACAAATATTTTCAAAATGAGTGACTGACCTATTCCTGAAATCACAGGGCTAGTTAGTAGCCGAGTTGGGACTCAGTCCCAGATCTCCTGACTTTTAGATGCATGTTTTCCCACTAGTGGCCCTTCACCTGTCCCCTGGAGCAGCACCCAAGTGCTACTTGGGGCCAGGGGCCCAGAGCTTGGAGGAGAATGACACAGTGAGATCTGGTGGGTCAGACTATCTATGCTTCCCCCAGCCTTAGTCCGTGTCCAGTATAGGCCAGACCCATGTTCCTGTTCAGAACTGGAACCCGGGCAGGGGAAAGAACTTGTCTCAGAATTTGCCCTCTCTGCCTCTTTGGCTGCCTTCTGCTTGTTCAGTTTCCAAATCTGTAAAACAGGTAGATATAATGATAGTACCCTACCTCATAAGGTTGCTGTGAGAATCAAATGAATTCTAGCCAGTAGGTAACATGTATATAGTGCTTATTATATGCCAGATATTATTGTAATGACTTACATAGATGAACTCATTTAATCTTTTTTTTTGAGACTGAGTCTTGCACCGTTGCCTGGGCTGGAGTGTAGTGGCGTGACCTAGGCTCGCTGCAACCTCCATCTCCCAGGTTCAAGCAATTCTCCTGCCTCAGCCTCCTGAGTAGCTGGGACTACAGGCACGCGCCACCATGCCCGGCTAATTTTTGTATTTTTAGTAGAGACAGGGTTTCACTATGTTGGCCAGGCTGGTCTCAAACTTCTGACTTTGTGATCCACCTGCCTTGGCCTCCCAAAGTGTTGGGATTACAGGCGTGAGCCACCATGCCTGGCCTTTTTTTTTTTTTTTTTTTTTAGATAGTGTCTTGCTATGTTGCCTAGGCTGGAATGCAGTGGCTATTCACAGGCGAGATCACGGCACACCATAGTCTTGAACTACTGGCCTCAAGGGATCCTCCTGCCTCAACCTCTCAAGTAGCTGGGACTACAGGTGTATGCTACCACACCTAGCATAACTTCATCTTATTTATTTATTTATTTTGAGGCAGAGTCTTGCTCTGTCGCCCAGGCTGGAGTGCAATGGCACAATCGTGGCTCACTGCAGCCTTCATCTCCTGGGCTCAGGTGATCCTCCCACCTCAGTCTCCTAAGTAGCTGGGACTATAGGCATGCACCACCATGCCCAGCTAATTTTTTTTTTTTTTTTTTTTTGGAAACAGAATTTTGCTCTTTTCACCCAGGCTGGCATGCAATGGCGCAATCTCGGCTCACTGCAACCTCCGCTTCCCGGGTTCAAGCGATTCTCCTGCCTCAGCCTCCCTGAGTAGCTGGGATTACTGGCACCCGCCACCACGTCCAGCAAATTTTTTTGTATTTTCAGTTGAGACAGGGTTTCACCATGTTGGCCAGACTGGTCTTGAACTCCCGACCTTAGTTGATCCACCCGCCTCGGCCTCCCAAAGTGCTAGGATTACAGGCGTGAGCCACCACGCCCGGCCTTAATTTTTGTATTTTTTGTAGACACAGGGTCTTGCCATGTTGCCCAGGCTGGTCTTGAACTCCTGAGCTCAAGATAGCCTCCTGCCTCGGCGTCCCAAAGTGCTGGGAGGGGACAGCCACCACACCCAGCATTTAATCCTAATCTTCACAACAAGCCTGTTATTATCTTCACGTTGCAGATGAGGCAACCGAGGGACAGAGGTTACATACTTGACCAAAGTCACATACACAGTTAGTAAGTGGCAGGGCCAGGAATTAAATCCAGGCAGTCTGATTCCAGAGTGTGCTCTTGGCTGGAGAATGCATGGCACATGGAATCTGCTCAGTACAACATTCGCTCATTTTTTTCATGGGTGGCACTTCCACACCAGCTCAGATGCCCTCAGTGCCACCTCAGTGCTTCCCTCCCACCCGGTTCCAACTAAGTACCTTTTCTTTTCTTTTTTTTGAGACGGAATCTCGCTCTGTAGCCCAGGCTGGAGTGCAGTGGCACAATCTCGGCTCTCTGCAACCTCTGCCTCCCAGGCTCAAGCGATTCTTCTGCCTCAGCCTCCTGAGTAGCTGGGATTACAGGCGTGTACCACCACACCCAGCTAATTTTTGTATTTTTAGTAGAGACGGGGTTTCACCATGTTGGTCAGGCTGGTCTTGAACTCCTGACCTCGTGATCCGCCCACCTCCACCTCCCAAAGTGCTGGGATTACAGGCGTGAGCCACCGCGCCCGGCCCCAGCTAAGTACCTTTTCTGTAGCCAGCACTGGGGAAACTCCCAGGGAGAGGAATGGGGAATTCCTGGGATCATGGAGAGACACTCCCAAGGGCTAGGAAAGCCTTCCATCTCTGCCTGGCATGCTTCTGAATAGGGGAGATGGCTCCAGCTTGTCCAGAGAGAGGAATCTTCCTAAAGTAGAACTACAGGTAGGAGAAAAGTACTTTTGGGGGACCCATGCTGGGCACCCTCCAGGGGGGTGGAGGGGAAGAGTAGGCACATCCCCCATCCCTTTAGTCTCAGCCCCTGGGAACCCACCCTGTCCCCTATCATCTCTTTTCAGATGGCCTTCTCAGACAGCCACAGAAGGTCTGTGGGCAGGACCTGGGCAGAGTGGGATGGGTTAAGATCCGATGGGGTGAAGGGCTGAGGCCAGGCCCTTAACTACCATCACTGGACATTTGGTTCCACCTAGTGGCCTCTGATGTTCCAACCGTTCTCACAGAGACCGGCACAAGGGGGTGCCCTTTCAGGCATTCAGTGTTTATTGAGCACCTACTCTGTGTGAGGCCAAATGTGAGGTTTGATGGAGGCATATCCATGAGCATAAAGAGGCTGGGCACGGTAGCTCACGCCTGTAATCCCACCATTTTGGGAGGCTGAGGTGGGTGGATTGCTTGAGCTCAGGAGGTCTAGACCAGCCTAGGTGATACAGGCAGACCCTATGTCTACCAAAAAAAACACAAAAGGCTGGGCATGGTGGCATGTGCCTGTGGGCCCAGCTACTTGGGAGGCTGAGGTGGGAGGATCAGTTGAGCCCAGGAGGAGTTGAGGCTGCAGTGAGCCTAGATCCTGCCACTGCACTCCAATCTGGGTGACAGAGCGAGACCCTGTCTCTGAAATAAAATAAAATAAAATAAAATAAAATAAAATAAAATAAAATAAGAAGCAGAAGGTCAGGCAGGGTGTGTGCACCTGTAGTCCTAGCTACTCTGGAGGCTGAGGTGGAAGGATTGCTTGATCCCAGGAGTTCAAGTCTGCAGTGAGTATGATCATGTCACTGTGCTCTAGCCTGGGCAATAGAGCAGGACTCTGTCTCTGAATTTTTTTTTTTTTAAAGAGCAGAGAACTAACATTTATTCTGCTCACACGTACCAGCCCTGGGCTTGGGTCCATACTGTATTGGCACGTGCCTGTGGAGCACTGAGGATCCCACAGCAGAGACAGGACTGCCAAGTGCCTGGCCTGGTCACTTGGCTTCTCTGGACTTCCGTTTCCACTCCTGAAAAATAAGAAGGTTGGTGTAGATTATCTCTAGCATCTCTTCCTATGTTAGAATTCTGTGAAGTCACACAAAGGAGTGGTTAAGAGTTTCAGCTTTGGGCTGGGTGAGGTGGCTCACACCTGTATTCCCAGAACTTTGGGAGGCTGAGGCGGGTAAATCACTCGAGCTCAGGAGTTTGAGATCAGCCTGGGCAACATGGCAAAAAGCCTGTCTCTACTAAAAATACAAAAATTAGTCAGGTGTGGTGGTGCACATCTGTGGTCCCAGCTACTCTGGAGGCTGAGGTGGGAAGATTGTTTGAGCCTGGGAGGCTGAGGTTGCCGTGAGCCAAGATCATGCCACTGCACTCCAGCCAGGGCAACAGAGCCAGACCCTGTCTCAAAAAAAAAAGAGTTTTAGCTTTGGAGTTGGACAAACCTACATTTGGATCCCAGCTGTCATTCACTAGCTGTGTGTTCTTAGGAAAGTTGCCTTACCTTTCAGAGTCTAGGGTAATAATATAAAGATTAAGTGACAATTATAGCAAGCATTTAGCACAGAGTGTGGCACTTGGTGAGTGGTGATGCTGCAGATGATGGATGATTCTAGTTACCCAAATCCCCAAATAGCACACCTCTCATCTCCTCTCCTCTCCCCTCCCCTCCCCTCCCCCAACTTCCTTTCCTTTTCTCTTTCTTTTTTGATGGAATCTTGCTCTGTCGCCCAGGCTGGAGTACATTGGCCGCAATCTCAGCTCACTGCAACCTCCGCCTTCCGGGTTCAAGTGATTCTCCTGCCTCAGCCTTCTAAATAGCTGGGATTACAGGTGCCTGCCACCACGCGTGGCTAATTTTTTTTTTTTTGTATTTTTAGTAGAGACGGGGGTTTCACCATGTTGGTCAGGCTGGTCTTGAACTCCTGACCTTGTGATCTGCCCACCTCAGCCTCCCAAAGTGCTGGGATTACACACATGAGCCACTGCGTCTGGCCCTTTTTTTTTTTTTTTTTTTTTTTGAGACAGAGTCTTGCTCTGTTGCCCAGGCTGGAGTGCAGTGGCATGATCTCGGATCACTGCAACCTCTGCCTCCTGGGTTCAAGTGATTCTGATGCCCTAGCCTCCCGAGTAGCTGGGATTACAGGTGTGCACTGCCACATCTGTCCAATTTTTGTATTTTTAGTAGAGATGGGGTTTCACCATGTTGTCTGGGCTGGTGAAGGTGGTAGGTTTCAATGACAGCAGCATAATGCCGTGGGAGTTGGGAGGAGGGAATGATCTGACTCACTCTGGGGCAGGTCTTCGAGTTAATTCTCCAGTGGATTCTCCTAGGCATCGTGTGGTCCGTCCTCAGAACTGTGCCTCCCTAATGTGGCTGAGTGGATTCACTACCCACCCCATGCTTGGGCTCTGCCTCGACCTCTCCCTCCCATGCACAGCCAAAGCCGCTCAAAGCTGCTGGTTTTCCTTGACTCTGGGCTTCTCTCCATCACCCACTGCCTCCCAACAGAACCCCCGGTCTCTGCATCCTCCTGTTCCAGATTGCTAGGACCCCAGCTGCCCATCAGGGACCCCTCTAAAATAACTTAGTTGAGTCATTGTTTGCCTACTTAACAACCTGTGATATTCTCCATTGCTTATGGGATAAAATCTAAACTCCTTGGCTTGGCATACAAAGTCCTTTACAGTCCAGTTCCTCCTCTGCTGATATTTCCAAGCTCTTTGTCCCAAGTGCCCATGCTCTCTCCCCACCTCCCTTGCACTCTAGTCCCCTCGACAGACTTGCTCTCTTGCGGGAACATCACCCACTTCCACATCACCCAGCCTTTGTGTGTGCTGTGTCTTCTGCCTAGAGCACCCTCCCTTCCCGTAGTCTGTCAGGCAAGCTCACAGCCATTTCTCGGGATCCATTCAAATGTCACCTCGCTTGGGAGGCCTTCCAGATCCCCCCCAGATTTTCTTGGGTTCCCTCAGCATCATGACCTTTGCCTTTCATAGCATCTATCATGCTGAACTTACACATTTACTTCCTTCTCTGGACTGAAAGCTCATTGGTGGCAGAGATCCTTTACATTTTTGTATTCTGAGTGTCTGGAACACAACACGTAGTCAGTAAAGACGTGTTATTGCAAATGTCCACACATCTTGTGTCTGGCTCAGAATATGGTGTTTTAGGCCGGGTGCGGTGGCTCCCAGCACTTTGGGAGGCTGAGGCAGGCGGATCACCTGAGGTTAGGAGTTTGAGACCAGCCTGGTCAACACGGTGAAACCCTGTCTCTACTAAAAATACAAAAATTAGCCGGGTATGGTGGCGGGCACTACAGTAACTGTAATCCCAGTTACTCAGGGGGCTGAGGCAGGAGAATCACTTGAACCCAGGAGGCGGAGGCTGCAGTGAGCCAAGACCGCGCCATTGCACTCCAGCCTGGGCAACCGAAAAAAAAAAAAAAATTAGAAATCTCTGGAGTCAGATCTGGGTTGTGGGCCTTGCTCTGCCTTGTATCAACTATGTGGCAAGTGACTGACCTCTACAAACCTCAGATTTGTGATCTGAGATTAATCAAGGGTTAATTGAGAAACCAGCTGAGTGCTAGCACCTAGTAAGTGTTCAGTAAGTGACAGTGATGGTTATTGCTGAGTTTTGAATGGAGGAGCTGCCTTAGAATCAGGAGACCTGCGCCCCAGTTCCCATTCTGCCCCACCTCCCTGTGTCACCCTAGGCAGGCCACATTTCCTCCCTAGTTTCAGGGGCCTGAAGCAGATGCCCTCTTAGGGCCCCACAGCCTGACATGCTGTAGGGCCTGAGAAGCGGCGTCGTGGAGGACGAGATGTGTGAGGGCAGCAAAGAGTGCTATGTGTCCAGCAGAGGGCCCTGCCCGGCCTGTGGCCGGAGGCTGGGAGGGAGGGCAGGCGAGTGATGCCAGACGCCTGACTGGAGGCGGATCCAGCCGGCCAGCTGCCTCTCTGGAGCCCAGCTCTTGGGCCCCCTGCACTCACCTGCTCTTCCTGGGCTGGCTGTCTCCTGCTCATCCAGCCATGCGGTGGCTGTGGCCCCTGGCTGTCTCTCTTGCTGTGATTTTGGCTGTGGGGCTAAGCAGGGTCTCTGGGGGTGCCCCCCTGCACCTGGGCAGGCACAGAGCCGAGACCCAGGAGCAGCAGAGCCGATCCAAGAGGGGCACCGAGGATGAGGAGGCCAAGGGCGTGCAGCAGTATGTGCCTGAGGAGTGGGCGGAGTACCCCCGGCCCATTCACCCTGCTGGCCTGCAGCCAACCAAGCCCTTGGTGGCCACCAGCCCTAACCCCGGCAAGGATGGGGGCACCCCAGACAGTGGGCAGGAACTGAGGGGCAATCTGACAGGAGCACCAGGGCAGAGGCTACAGATCCAGAACCCCCTGTATCCGGTGACCGAGAGCTCCTACAGTGCCTATGCCATCATGCTTCTGGCGCTGGTGGTGTTTGCGGTGGGCATTGTGGGCAACCTGTCGGTCATGTGCATCGTGTGGCACAGCTACTACCTGAAGAGTGCCTGGAACTCCATCCTTGCCAGCCTGGCCCTCTGGGATTTTCTGGTCCTCTTTTTCTGCCTCCCTATTGTCATCTTCAACGAGATCACCAAGCAGAGGCTACTGGGTGACGTTTCTTGTCGTGCCGTGCCCTTCATGGAGGTGAGTGTGTGTTCTGTTTGAGCTCTGCTGGGAGGCTGCAATCCAGGGAAGGGACTCAAAGTCTCCATCAGGTCTTTGGAAATGGAATTTGTGGGTGTGCAAAACCTGAGTCTTGGAGCTCTGACTTGCTCCTCCTTTACCTTGGAGAAGGAGACAAATACGGTATTGGTTTCTGGTTGCTCTCAAGAGAAGTAGGCAGGCCAGGGGGACAGGCGGGTGTGTGGGGCCCCTGGGTTCCAGCCCCAGCCTGATCTTCTGCTTCGGGAGCAACCTCAAGGCAGGCCTTTGCCACTTTCTCCAGACCCTAAGCTGCCCTCTCCCTTCCTCAGCCCTTCTCCCCTGTCCCACCCAAGATACCTCTGTCCTTTGTTGTGACTCCTCTTCTTTCCTCTGTACCCCCTGCCGCTGCCCTGCTCCCACAGCTTCCTTCGCTGCTCCTCCGTCTCCTGCCTCCTGAAGGAGTGCCTGAAGGGAGAGCCCAATTTCCTTCACACCCCTCTGGATCAAGTCAGCATCCACTCCATGAGAATACAAGCACCAGAAGCAAAAGACCGCTCCGTTCTTCCCTCCCTGCTGGGATTCTCATTGTTATCGTTGTCATTTCCATCAGCAACTTCCTAGATCCTCTCTGAAAGGGATACCTGGTTCTGGGCACTGGAACTAATGGGGGGCTCTAGTCTTAGCTCTGCCACTGACATACTGGGCGTCACTGGGCAGGTTGCATTACCTCTCCAATTTCTTTATCTCCCAACCAGGGCGGGTAGACCAGATGGTCCTTCCAGCTGGCCTGTTTCACAGTTCTAAAGTATACCACTATGCCCTTACTTCTGGTAGCGTCTACGATAAGTCCATGGGTGTCAAAGGATATGTAGAGCATAGAGAGACAACTTAAAACACTGCAGAAACATACTGATGTGTGCATTTATGCAAGACACAGCAAGGCCACCCTCTCTCTCTCTGTAAGACAAAATAAGCAAACAGTCTTTCAAATTTTGGCTGCATGGAGTGTAATGGAGTGACTGTGGTCTCCCTGTGAAGCTGCTGTTCCTTCGTGAATGATGCTGCATGACAAGGGGGACTTGCCTGGCCGGAGAAGGGCTCAGGATCAGCATTACGGACACAGGTCCTATTCCAAGGTCTGTCCCCACCTCACCATGTAACAATGATGATGTCATAGTTGGACAGACTCCCTGTGTCTCAGCAGTGGGTACAGTCCTTTCCTGTCCTTCCCAACCCAGGGAGACTGACTAACAGTGGTACAAAGTTACTCCACCCTGAAAGAAGACCCTGTGCCAGGCACAGTGGCTCATGCCTATAATCCCAGCACTTTGGGAGGCCGAGGCAGGTGGATCACTTGAGGTCAGGAGTTCGAGACCAGCCTGGCCAACATGGTGAAGCCCCATCTCTACTAAAAATAAAAAATTAGCCGGGTGTGGTGGCACGCACCTGCAGTCCCAGGTACTCAGGAGGCTGAGGCAGGAGAATCGCTTGAACTTGGCAGGCAGAGGTTGCAGTGAGCCAAGATTGCGCAGCCTGGGTGACAGAGTGAAATTCTGTCTCAAAAAAAAAAAAAAAAAAAAAAAAGACCCTGCAACTGGAGAGAGGCTTTGCATTCTTAGTTATCATCTTGTGCTCACGACCCAGGTGAGCTGTGCATGCTTAGACACAGGACTCTGAAATTGAGCAGACTAGATTAGAAACTGGGCTTTTCCCATCACTAGCTGTGTGATTTGGTAGATTACTTTAACTACCTAAATCTCAATTTCCTCATTGGTAAATTGGGGATAATAATAATAATAGCTATCTGGGTGAATTCTTAAGGGATTAAATGGGTGATGTCTATACAGTGCTTAGAATTAAAATGGTATAGAGGAGAAGGGGAAAAGGGCAGACACATACGACCTCTTGTTTGCATGTGGCTGGTAGGTCAATGAACACCTGGCCCTACCTGACTGTGGGTCCTGACATATGTAATGTCCTCCTGGGCCAGCCCCTCCACACCTCCTGGAGGATAGAGATGATCCACAGGCTGGTAGACAGTCTTCCTTCTAGGCTGGGTGGTGGGACAGGTGGAGGGAGAAAACACTCTTTCTTTTTTTGAGACAGAGTCTCACTCTGTCACCCACAACACCCTTCTTCTTTATTTGAGACGGAGTCTCATTCTGTCACCCAGAGTGGAATGCCGTGGTGTAATCTCAGCTCATTGCAACCTCCGCCTCCCAGGTTCAAACAATCCTCCCACCTCAGCCTCCCAAGTAGCTGGTACCGCAGGCGTGTGGTACCACGCCCGGCTAATTTTTGTATTTTTGGTAGAGACAGGGTTTCATCATATTGCCCAGGCTGATCTCCAACCCCTGAGCTCAAGCAATCTGCCTGCCTTGGTCTCCCAAAGTACTGGGATTGCAGGCGTGATCCACCGCGCCCAGCAACACCCTTTTATAGGGAGGATCTCAGGATGGTCCTGAGGAGGGAGCAGGAGAGGGCAGCTTGGAATAAAACTTGAGATATTTTTGAGATGTAAAATAGAAGGGCAGGGCCGGGCACGGTGGCTCACCCCTGTAATCCCAGCACTTTGGGAGGCCGAGGTGGGCGGATCACGAGGTCAGGAGATCGAGACCATCCTGGCCAACATGGTGAAACCCCATCTCTACTAAAAGTACAAAAATTAGCTGGGTGTGGTGGCGCACACCTATAATCCCAGCTACTCGGGAGGCTGAGGCAGGAGAATCACTTGAACCCGGGAGGTGGAGGTTGCAGTGAGCTGTGATTGCGCCACTGCACTCCAGCCTGGGCGACAGAGTGAGACTCTCGGAAAAAAAAAAAAGGAGAGAGAATGGCGTTTCTACCCAAGCCTGAAGCCTGTGCCTCTGCAGGCCTGGGCTCCCCTGCCAAGAGAGGGGGTTGGGGTTTCCACAAAGAACACTTGGTGGCTGTGCTAAAAGCTGGGGATTGTGTTCCCCCAGCCAGAAGAGGGAAGAATTTGGACAGGAGGGGGATCTGAGCACAATCCCTGAGTGTGGCTGAGCAGCGTCTGATGGTGCGGGAGGGTCCCCTCTTCCTTCCTGCTCTTTGGCACTCTCCTCCCCTGCCGCTCGGGCTGCTTCCTCTTGGCTCACAGGGTGGTTTTCCACGCGCTTGATGAATAGAGTGCGGGCATGGTGGGCACTGGCTGCTCAGAGGGGGGCCACTTCCCCACACAGCCAGGTCCTGGGCTTCTCCGGACAGGGCCAGGAGCAGAAACGTGCGTGTGTGTGTGTGTGTGTGTGTGTGTGTGTGCACGCGTAAGCCATGTTCCCCAAGACCATTCATCCCAGGCATGCAGATAATGGGGTGTGGGAAGTGGAAGGACCTGCAAAGATCCAGAACTTCTATGTCTTTATCTTGGTTCTTCCTTGGAGATGATTTTCCAAAGTCTGTCAGAGAGCATCAGGGTCTATGGGAGCCAGGCCATTCATCCCCCAGCCTGAGAGGCAAAGAACAAGGGGGAAGGAGGCAGACATGTGTGTAAACCTCAGCTCCGCCATTCATCAGCAGTGTGGTCCTGGGCAATTCACTGTTCCTGCCTGAGCTTGAGCTTTTTCAATGGTAAGGTGGTTGATTGGGAATGTGATGACACGTAAAGTGCCCGACCCATAGGAAATGCTCATTAAATGGAGTTGTTACCATTATTATAATTCCTTCCTTCTTTCCTTCCTTCCTTCCTTCCTTCCTTCTTTCCTTCCTTCCTTCCTTCCTTGTTTCCACAGGGTTTTGCTCTGTCACCCAGGCTGGAGTGCAGTGTCGTGATCTTGGCTCACTGCAGCCTCAGCCTCCTAGGCTCAAGCCATCCTCCTACCTAAGTTTCCCGAGTAGTTGGGACCACAGGCGTGCCTCACCACGACAGGCTATTTTTTTGTATTTTTAGTAGAGACAGGGTTCCATCATGTTGCCCAGGCTGGCCTTGAACTCCTGGGCTCAAGTGATCTGCCTGCCTCGGCCTCTCAAAGTGCTGGGATTACAGGTGTGAGTCACCGCACCCGGCCCATTATTATAATTTCTATGCTTATCACTCAATTCATGGTCTAACTGAGCCAGAAGCCAGGTGTCCTTCCTTGTCCCCATAGATTTTGACCAAGTGCTTCTCTCTTCCCTCACATCCTGCCCACAGGTCTCCTCTCTGGGAGTCACGACTTTCAGCCTCTGTGCCCTGGGCATTGACCGCTTCCACGTGGCCACCAGCACCCTGCCCAAGGTGAGGCCCATCGAGCGGTGCCAATCCATCCTGGCCAAGTTGGCTGTCATCTGGGTGGGCTCCATGACGCTGGCTGTGCCTGAGCTCCTGCTGTGGCAGCTGGCACAGGAGCCTGCCCCCACCATGGGCACCCTGGACTCATGCATCATGAAACCCTCAGCCAGCCTGCCCGAGTCCCTGTATTCACTGGTGATGACCTACCAGAACGCCCGCATGTGGTGGTACTTTGGCTGCTACTTCTGCCTGCCCATCCTCTTCACAGTCACCTGCCAGCTGGTGACATGGCGGGTGCGAGGCCCTCCAGGGAGGAAGTCAGAGTGCAGGGCCAGCAAGCACGAGCAGTGTGAGAGCCAGCTCAACAGCACCGTGGTGGGCCTGACCGTGGTCTACGCCTTCTGCACCCTCCCAGAGAACGTCTGCAACATCGTGGTGGCCTACCTCTCCACCGAGCTGACCCGCCAGACCCTGGACCTCCTGGGCCTCATCAACCAGTTCTCCACCTTCTTCAAGGGCGCCATCACCCCAGTGCTGCTCCTTTGCATCTGCAGGCCGCTGGGCCAGGCCTTCCTGGACTGCTGCTGCTGCTGCTGCTGTGAGGAGTGCGGCGGGGCTTCGGAGGCCTCTGCTGCCAATGGGTCGGACAACAAGCTCAAGACCGAGGTGTCCTCTTCCATCTACTTCCACAAGCCCAGGGAGTCACCCCCACTCCTGCCCCTGGGCACACCTTGCTGAGGCCCCAGTAGGGGTGGGGAGGGAGGGAGAGGCCGCCACCCCCGCCGGTGTCTGCTGTTCTTTCCCCATAGGTCTTGCTTTGTTGCCTGTCTTGCTGTCTAGGGATGGACTTGGTTCCTCTTGTCAAGGTTTGGGAATGTCAAAGCCCCCTCCCCACACAGGGCCTTTCCTGTCCCTTGTGGGGCCTTCCAACCCTGTCCTTTCCACTGGTGGGCGGTGATGCTTCTAGGTCCTTAGAACTGCCCAGAAACTCTGAGTCCCAGCAGCTGGGAGCCAGAACTTTGCCTGCCCTCCCTTGGTTCCAGTCTCTCTTCTCTCTCTCTGCCTTGGAACCTGACCATACTTTAGTTGTGCCCTTCCCAGGCATCATCCTCCTACCACCAACCTGGGGCCCCATCTTGGAATGGGGGCTCCTTGGGGCCAGCCCAGTGTGGCTCACCACACTCTTCTTTTTTTTTTTTTTTTTTTTTGAGATGGAGTCTTGCTCTGTTGCCCAGGCTGGAGTACATTTGCCTGATGTCAGCTCCCTGCAACCTCCGCCTCCTGGGTTCAAGCGATTCTCCTGCCTCAGCCTCCTGAGTAGCTGGGATTACAGGTGTGCACCAACACACCCGGCTAATTTTTGTATTTGTAGAAGAGGCGGGGTTTCACCATGTTGGCCAGGCTGGTGTTGAACTCCTGACCTCAAGTGATCTGCCTGCCTTGGCCTCCCAAAGTGCTGGGATTACAGGTGTGAGCTGCCACGCCCAGCCCCAGTACACTCTTCTCTGGACCAGATCTGTCCCAGTCCTGGATGCCTCCTCCTACTGGTGCCTTCTTTTCTTCCAGAGGATTTCTCTCTCCTTCCTCCTCCTTTCTTTGGGATCCCTGGGTTGCCCTGTCCCAACCTCCTTGTTAGGTGCTTTCCCATAGGAGGCCCTTCTTGAGAAACAATAAACTAGGTAGAACTACCCCTATGCCCATCCACTTTCTTGTGCCACATTCTGGCAGGGCCCAGATGCAGCTGGGCCTTCCTGGCCTGGCAGTGCCTAGGAGAATTTCTCCTGACCTGGCCTGGCCTGTGGCTGATGTTCAGAACAGCCTTGTGGCCGATGTTCAGAACAGCCTTGTGGCCCTGGCGACTCCAAGGGTTTTATGGCTTTTGAGGGACAGAGAGGATGGAGGGCTTGGGGAGCCGGAGGACCTAAGTCCTCATCCTGGCCTAAACCCCATGCTCCTTGGGAAGTCAAAAGCCTGGAAAATATCTCCTCTGGAGCCTTCATCTCTGCTATGCCCTCTCTCCACAAAGCCCCCCTTGGAGGGAGTCCAGTGGTCTTTCCTCTGTGAGCCCCAGGGCTTCCCAGCCTTTGTCACTCTGAGAGCTGCTCTTGTTCAGTTTCTTAGAATGGACTGTTTTGCCTGTAGACGGCCCAGCTGCCTGCCCTGGCCTGCCCCCACCCAGCCCCCACTGCACCACCCTTCCCGCCAGAGCTCCCACTGCCCCCGGCAGACCCTTCATGCAGCTTCTCCTGTGGGGTCTTGCCCTTGAAGTGCCACTTCCCCCAGCCCCACCTCTGGTCCCTTCCAGAGGGCACCCTTAGCCTTGTAGGTCCCTGGGAAGCTGGCACAGCATCAACCAGAAGTGATGCCTCAGCCAGGCCACCAGTCGCTCCCCGCCTGGGAGCTCAGCTTTCCTCAGAACCACCCCCCCTGTCTGAAGCTCTGTCCTGGGTCCCACCAGACTTCTGCCCACCAGGCCTACCTACAGCATCCACATGGGGCCTCAGGAAGGGCCCCGGGGGCCCAGGGATGGGCAGGGGCAGGGTTTCCAAGCGCCTGGGGCTCCATTCTCCTCTGTCCACCCACCCACACCCCTTGGCCTCAGCCTGCCCTGTACCCAAGCTTCCCTCCCCCTCTCCTGGGGATCTTAACGGCCTTGTTCTCTCTCCCTGGCACCCACCCCCAGGGCGGGTGATGCCGCCAAGAGAGAGGGAGGCCGTTGCTAGGTGATGGCGCCGCCATGCACACACCCTTTGTGCTGGGGAGTGACACCCACCCGTTTCTCAGCAGACCTGTTGCCACGGTGACTGAAGCCCCCAGCTCTGTCTGTAGAAACTTCAGATGGGTGGGGGAGCAGGTTGGAGAGGGGACCAAAGGCAGGCCTGTCGTGCTGAAGCTCTTGGGGACCGTTTCCTCGGCATTTCCCCAACTCCTTCTCCACCCCCCTGCCAGGCCCGGAAGTACCACCAGCTTCCTAAGGGATGCAGGAAGGGGCCGGGTGAACTGAGGTGAAGTCCAGGGCAGGGGAGTCAGACCCCTCAACATCCTGTTTAGGGGTCCTCCTCCACAAAGGGTGCCCTCCACCTCTCCCTCCTGCTGGTTGGCCGGCTCAGAGATGAAGGGGGAGAGATGGTGGCTCCAAGGCTCTGCCACCGCCACCTCCCAAGCCTGCCAACGTGAATGGCTTGCAGAATCAGTCAGCAGGCCAGCGGCCTTGGGAAAGAGCCACTGTCCTCGCAGCCTGGGCCAGCTGGGGGAACAATGTAGGGTTTGTTGCTTAGGGGTCCCAGGCTTGCGGGGGGGTTGGCACATGGTGGGCAGTGGACTTGAGCTGGGATGGTCTGAGGGGGCACTGACACGCTCACCCGAGGGCAGACTTCAGACCAGCCCTCAGATCCTGATGCCAGGTTACAGGGCTGAGGGGAGCCTGAAATCCACTGGGTCTCCCTGCTCCACTTGGGAGTCACCTTCTCATCACCTATCCTGGAACTGAATGCAATTACTTAAACTCAGTCTCAGCTTCCTCATCTGTAAAATGGGAATAATCTGTCCTTCACAGAGGATTATGGTCATTTAATGAGACAAGATACATAAAGCACTTTGCATGGTGCCCCGAACCTTTTATTCCTTCCTCTCCTTTGGGAATTCAATTCTCTAGTGTTAGGAGCAGGCTTGGCCCAGGGATTCTTAAATGCATCCAGGTTTTGGCATCAAAGGGCCCCAAACATGACAATTTACCTATACTCATGGTCTGTTCCCATTCAACTTTAATAGGTTATGTGTGTTTTTTTTTTCTTAAGAGCTGGGTGGGGGGGTCTCACTATGTTGCCCAGGCTGGCTTTGAACTCCTGGGCTCAAGCAGTCCTCCTGTCTCAGCCTCCTGAGTAGCTGGGACTACAAGTGTGTACCACCATGCCTGGCTGAACACTTTTTTTTTTTTGAGACAAGATCCCACTCAGTCACTCAAGCTGAGTGCTGTGGTGTGATCACAGCTCATTGCAGCCTCCACTTCCTGGGCTCAAGCGATTCTCCTGCCTCAGCTTCCTGAGTAGCTGGGACTACAGGTGCGCACTACCACGCCTGTCTAATTTTTGATTATTTGTAGAGATAGGGTCTCACTATTTTGCCCAGGCTGGTCTCAAACTCCCAGACTCAAGTCATTCTCCTACCTCGGGCTCCCAAAGTACTGGGATTACAGGCATGAGCACCTGGCCCCTGAACAAATTCTTTAAGTCATATTAGCACCTGCTGCACGCCGGCACTGTGGAAGGAGGATGCTTGCTTGCTTCCTGGTAACCAGCTCTCTTATCTCAAACCTCAATCCTCAGTGAGGATCACAGGATCTGAGAAAGGCACCTTGGCCTGGAAACAGCCCCAGATGAGTGAGATTGCTGGTCCTCTCCCGGGATCCCAGGCCCAGGAAAACCTAGCCATGCTTGCAGTCAGGAGAGGGCAGGGGATAGAGCCCTGGCTCCCATTCAACCTCCTTAGCCAGGAGGACATGTCCCATTTTGCTTAGGAGTTGGGAGGTACCCTAGAATCACTTAGCTTCAGATGCCAAATTCCATCCACATTCTTTCCTCCAACTCTCTGGCAGTGGGGAACTGCCTCTCCAGGCAGGGAACTGCTCTGACAGGTCTGATGACTGCCTCCAGGAGGAAGCCCTGGGCACCAATGAAGGTGAGGGGCTGGAGGGCCCAGGACGGGGAGTCAAGGTCCCCACTCCCAGGACTAAGGGACAGTTTGGCTCCTTTTTCCTGCAGTGGGAGGGGTGAGAAGGGCTGGGGTGTTCTGCAAGGGCCTGCTCCATTTTCCAGGGTGAAGGAGAGGCCGAGGGAGGTGGAGCGGGAGGAGGTGGGGCTTACTGTGAAACTGGGTCAAGATGGCCTCGGATTTGAGCAGGCAGGGTCACCAGGCTCTGAGGCAGCAGCTGTGAGCAGTGCCGAGGGAGGACCAGCTCTGACGGTGAGGTCGGGTGGGGGACTAGAATCCAGCAGAGGAGCGAGGGCAGGGCTCCTACCAGGAAACCCATAGCATTGACACTAACTGAGAGGCAGCAAAGGCGGTGACACTCCCCCAGGCTCTGTGGGCCCAGCCCTACCCCTGAAGCACAGTTAACTGGTTCTGGGGTAGGAACTGGGGGCCGGAGGGACAGGGTTCTGGTTCTGGCTCAACCTTGGCTGCTGGTGAGATCCAGGGCCTGGGAAAGAGGGGCTGAGGCCTGAACTGGGCCTAAGGAGAGTGCAGCTCAGTTCGCACACAACAGCACCCAGCCCTGTCCCCTTGCTGCCTCTACCCAGCCCTGGGCAGTTCCCTCAACAGAGCTCTGCAGCCCCAAGTGGCAGCTGCTGGCTCAAAGCTGGGACTACATGAAAGTCTGAAAAGAGAATGAGAAGGAGGTGGCGCAAGAGCCTGGACGCACGTGTGGGAGGCCGTTTTGTGCAGCGCCATTGTGCTCCCCGGGCGGGCATGTGCTCGCGCTCCGTGGCTCTGTTGGTGCCCAGCGTGCGGGGGTGTGCTGGTGGCCCTGTGGGCCTGTAGGGCAACCCATGCCAACTGCGGAAAAGTAACCAGCACCATACACCCCCCCCAACACAAAACTGGTCATTTATTTTTTTTGTTGTCATTGTTATTAGGAAGCAAAAAAATGTACAGTTACAAGAATCATTTTCCAAACAGAGGTTAAATATGAGCTGAAAAGTGTAAAAAAGGAAGAGGAACATCACTTTACAAATCATTAAATTAAACAAATAAACAAACAGAACCCAAAGAACCAACCCCCCATGCTGAGTTCTCTCCTTGTGCAACTCTGCAAAATGAGAACAGAAAATGAAGTGGGCCGTGGAGGTGGGGGCCCTGGGGAGGGGCGGGAGCTGGGAGCCAGGAACAGGCAGGAGGGGGCTGCTGGGGCATGGACGCTGGCTTTCTGCCCCGTGTGCCTGGTGGTTTCTGGTACCTGGTCGTCGTACCTGGTGGCTCTACCCAGGCTGGGGGTCGAGGGGAGGGGCCCCCAGAGGCCCCTGCCAGCCTGTGGCATTCAAGCACTGCCAGGACAAGCCAGATTGGGCGGTGGAAACACACGGGACAGGGAGGCGGCCACCAGTGCCCAGGCTGGTACCTGCCGCAGGTGCCAGCCTGCACCTCTTCTGATCTGAACTTGCCCCAAGTCCACCTGCGTCTCCCTCCTTCTCTCCAGACTGCCCCCTCCCAGATCCTGAAAGGCCCCTGCAGCATCAAATGGTTGATTTTAGTCTTTGCTTAAATTAAAAAATTAAAATATATATACATATATATACTGTACACACAGGACAATAACAGAGAGTGTTGAAAAGGGAGGTACAAGAGCGGGCCGGGGAAAAGCCAGGGGCGGGGGCTGTGGCCCAGGGCTGCTGGGAGGGAGGCAGGGCTGGGTGATGGGACAAAGGCAGCGGGGAAGGGTGAGAAGTTAGGGGACCAGAATGGGGGGCAATTTATTTTACAATAAAAACAGGAGTTCAAACCTCAGCAGAACAGGACTCTGGGGTCCCCAGAGGGCCCTCCTCACACTGGGTGAGGAGGGGTGGGCTTAGGGGGACGACAGGGGTGGGCGGGGAGCTCGGCTTCAGGTTTAGATGATGACGGTCCCTGGTCTGAGGGAGAAGGGCTGGAGTCTCAGCTTCTCCGTGACTTCGAGTGTTGAATAAGCCACTGTAGGGTGATGTCTGATAGGAGAAAAGAGAACAGCTTATAAGGCCTGCAAGTACTGGCCGTGCTGGGGCAGCAGAGAGGCCCAAGAAACCAAACCTAAGGGTATCAGAAGTCCAGAGATGCCAGGAGGGGTGGCGCACACCTGGAGTCTCAGCTACATGGGAAGCTCAGGTGAGAGGATTGCTTGAACCCAGGAGTGGAGTTGGAGGCTGCAGTGAGCTATGGTCACGCCACTGAACTCCAGCCTGGGTGACAGAGCGAGACACTTTCTCAAAAACAAACAAGAAGTCCAGAGCTGGCAAGCGCCACATGGCCCTGAATGAGTAGTAGCGGAATTCAGGTGCTGGGAAAGAGACAGAGCCACAGCATGTCAGAGCCAGCAGGGACCTGAGAATCACCGGGTCCAGCCCTGGAATCTTAGAAACGAGGAGGTGAAGCCCAGAGCGGGGATCGATTTGCCCGAGATCACACAACCGCTTGGCGACAAGCTGGGATAGTGCCCAGAATCTGGGCCACCTGGCTGCCTTTTCTACCCAAGAGCCACAGGGCTTTGGACTTCAGGGAAAGTTGTGGAGCGAGAACCTGAGAGCCACTAAAACACTCAGAAATGCCTCTCCCCTCTCCTCCCTTTCCCCCATCCTACGCACCAATGTTGTCCTTTTCTTTGCAAGAGATGGAGTAGCAGCAGATCTCTCGGTCCTGGATGGCAGACAGATTCCTGGGGGAAACCAGAGTAGAGTCCGCTGAGGCTACGAACGTCCAGGGGGCCTGGGGCTAGGGGACAGCGGGGCCTTTTTCTTACCTAAGAGGCTACAAAGGGGAGGGTGAGGTGCCTGAAAAGGTCGGCTCTGCTGCCACCGTGTGGCTAATACTAAGAACAGCAGCAAGCCTAGGCTGTTGGTCTGGTGGTTGGGGAATTGGGAGAGCAGAAAGTAATATAGAGTCACCCAACTCACATTTTCTCAATCAGCTCCTTCTCATCCAATGCTCCCGGAAGGTCTCGCTTGTTACCCAGGACTAAGACCTACGGAGAAGGGAGGGTGAGGATGAGGTCTAGGGCAGCCGTGCCCAGGTTGTCTGGGTGGTGAGCTGGCCTCCTGGGTCCCGTTTCCTCTCTGCGCCCCTACCATGCCTGGCTTTTACCTGCTCCCAGTGACTTCCCAGCCGAGCTCCCTCCCCATCCCGCTCCCTCAGGTCTGCTGACCGGGATGCCCTGCAGCTGAGGTTTGTCCAGTAGGTTGTGGAGCTCGTTCTTAGAGGCCTCAATCTTCTCCTGGTCAGCAGCATCCACCATGTACCTGGGGAAAGAGGCAGGGTGGGGACAAGCATGTTGACACCACAGGCTGAGGTGGTGCAAGGAAGAGAAGGAGCTGCTGCTTGGAGGTGAAAGCATCTGTTGCAGCTTGGTCACCTCGGGATCCATGGGCTACCTGGCCTGGCTCAAGGCAGGTGCTCCGCGGATGTTTTCTGAGTCTATGGGAGTGAACAGCTGCAGGGACTCCTTAGGCCTGCCATTAGCCTCCAAGTGCTACTCTGGGGAAGCCGTTACTCATGTGGAAAAGCGTGGGCCCTTTGAGATTAGCTGTAAGTCCCTCTCAAAGTGACCCACTTATGTTTTCATGGAAAGACTAAATAAGGTTAGAGTGAAAAAAGCAAAGGAAACCTTAGAAGATTTCTTTTAGCAAGATACTTTTTGTTATCAGGTTAAAAAGCAACCTATTGTGTATTCTAAACAATCTATTGTTTGGGCATATATATATAGAATAAATTTTATTATTATTATTAATATCATTTTTGAGATGGAGTCTCGCTCTGTTGCCAGGCTGGAGTGCAGTGGTGCAATCTCAGCTCACTGCCACCTCCGCCTGCCAGGTTCAAGCGATTCTCCTGCCTCAACCTCCCAAGTAACTGGGACTACAGGCACATGCCGCCACGCCCGGCTAATTTTTTGTATTTTTAGCAGAGATGGGGTTTCACCATGTTAGCCAGGATGGGCTCAATCTCCTGACCTTGTGATCCACTCGTCTCGGGCTCCCAAAGTGCTGGGATTACAGGCATGAGCCACCGCATCCAGCCTATTATTTTCTGAGGCAGGGTCTCACTGTCACCCAGGGTGGAGTGCAGTGGTGCAATTACAGCTCACTGCAGCCTCGGCTTCCTGGACTCAAGAGATCCTCCCACCTCAGTCGTCTGAGTAGCTGGGACTACAGGTGCGTGCTACCAGGCTCAGCTAATTTTTGTACTTTTGTAGAGATAGGGTTGCACCATGTTACCCAGGTTGGTTTTGAACTTCTGACCTCAAGTAATCCGTCTGCCTTGGCCTCCCCCTGTGCCCTGCCATTTTTCTTTTCTTTTCTTTTCCTTTTTTTTGAGACAGAGTCTCGCTTTGTCGCCCAGGCTGGAGTGCAGTGATGCGATCTCGGCTCACTGCAAGCTCCGCCTCCTGGGTTCACGCCATTCTCCTGCCTCAGCCTCGCGAGTAGCTGGGACTACAGGCGCCTGCCACCACGCCCAGCTAATTTTTTTTGTATTTTTGGTAGAGACAGGGTTTCACTGTGTTAGCCAGGATGGTCTCGATCTTCTGACCTCGTGATCCGCCCACCTCGGCCTCCCAAAGTGCTGGGATTACAGGCGTGAGCCACCGCGCCCAGCCCATGCCCTGCCATTTTTCAATGTTTAAAATTTATTTTATTTTATTTTTTTAAAGACAGGATCTTGCTATGTTGCCTAGGCTGGCCCTAAACTCCTGGGCTCAAGCAATCCTCTTGCCTCAGCCTCCCAAGTAGCTGGGATTACAGGTGTGTGGCACCATGCTCAGCCAAAAAAAACATTATTTTTAAAAAGCAAGAGAGGGCTGCGCGCGGTGGCTCATGCATGTAATTTGGGAGGCCGAGGCAGGCAGATCACCTGAGGTCGGGAGTTCAAGACCAGCCTAACCAACATGGAGAAACCCTGTCTCTACTAAAAATACAAAAGTGGCCAGGCGTGGTAGCGCATGCCTGTAATCCCAGCTACTTGGGATGCTGAAGTGGGAGAATCGCTTGAACCTGGGAGGCAGGAGGTTGTGGTGAGCCGAGATCGCACCATTGCACGCCAGCCTGGGCAACAAGAGCGAAACTCCGTCTCAAAAAAAAAAAAAAGAATCATTTAAACCACACAAAATTCAAGACAGTGGTGACTTTGGGTTGAGGGGAGGGAGACAAGTCAATGAAGAGGATGCACAGGTGCATCTGGCTGGTTAATAGTCTATAGTCTGTTTCTTAGATTGGGTAGTGAGTGCCCAGGGCATTTATCCAATAAGAAACAAGTGGCATGCAAAATAAACGCAGGCCCTGGACCGACACTGTGTCATGAACCAAGGATTATGTCTAATAAAACCCTGCGCCTCTGAGGTCCTCGAAGGTAGCAGGGCTAGGGGGGCCGGGTAAGGCTGGAGTCTGGCGATGCCTCCCGTGTACTTACACGATGGCGCTCACTCCTCGGCAGTAGCGCTCCCACATGCTGCGGAAACGCGGCTGTCCCCCAATGTCCCAGAGCTGAGCAAGAAGAGGGTGAGATAGCCTCAGTAGTGGGCAGGCCACCAAAACGTGTCTTGGGTCTCAAATGCCCCCTCCTACCCTGCCCTACTCTCCTCTGCCTCCCCGGCTTCCTCTCCAGTTCTCCCCCGTCTCCACCCGCTCTCCGTCTACCTTAGAAGTCTTCTACTGTCTTTTCCCAGCTCCTCAGCAGGGGGACCCTGGCCTCTGCCCCACTTCAGCTCGCTCCTCCCAGGGGCCTCCGTTGCCCTCCCCAACACACACACACACACACACACACACACACACAAAAACAGTCCTCTGCACCCCCCAAGCTTCTGGGCCCTCACCTTGATAGTCACATTCCCTTTGGTGATTTTGCGCATGTTGAAACCCACGGTGGGGATCATGTCCTCGTTGAACTGTCCTGACTGGAAAGAAGACTCAGAATGGGAAACAGTGCAAAAATCGATATGCCCCCACCGCAGACCAAGAGGCTGCGAGAACCATGCAGAGGCCAGGCCAGAGCTTCCTAGACTTCCCACTGTGGGGTACTCTTGCACATCCTGTGCTTTCAGGCAGGATGGGCTATCACCAACCTATGTGTCCCGCCTACACCTGGGGATGCCCTGTGAAAAGACCCGCTTTTGTCAGACAGTCTCAATCTCTTTGCCTAGACTAGGGGAAAATTCTTCCTCAAGTCTAACCTACATCTCTCTGTAGTAACTGACGCCACTTTCTCTCCAGTGGAGAGGAAGAAGAAATTACCTTCCAGCAAGAGAACTTGAAGCAAGTCATGTTCTAATAGTTAAGGAGGATCTCAAAGAAAGCAGATGAATTTTCAAACTAAAAAATCAAACTTTTTAGGGCAGAGTATATTGGTCATCCTGAAAATGCAGTGCATGCCAAGCAATTTCTGGATTATCCATGGTTCAGTTTATTTGTACTGTACTCCAGTTATTGGGAAGGATAACCTACACTCTATATCGTCTGCTTATTTATCTATGTGTCTCCTCACTAGAAAGAACACTTCCTGGGAGAGGACCCAGGTCTATAGTAACACCATTAGTAAATGTTTGCTGAATACTGGGGGTTTGACTGTAATTCCATTTTCCAAAATCCATTCTGTATTGTCTCTAGGATTTCTGGATTCTTCTAAACTACCTACAGTCTTCAAATAAGGCCAGACCCAACTCCCTCCCAGGTCATATCTCCATGTTCACAGGTAGGACACTTCTGCTTATCCCTTGGAAGCAGGCTAAAGAGATGGGGCTCGGCCGGGCGCGATGGCTCACACCTGTAATCCCAGCACTTTGGGAGGCTGAGGGGGCAGATCACGAGGTCAGGAGTTTGAGACCATCCTGATCAACATGGTGAAACCCCATCTCTACTAAAGATACAAAAAATTAGCCGGGTGTGGTGGCGTGTGCCTGTAATCCCAGCTACTTGGGAGGCTGAGGCAGGTGAATCGCTTGAACCCAGGAGGTGGAGGTTGCAGTGAGCCGAGATCATGCCATTGTACTCCAGCCTGGGTGACAGAGCAAGACTCCGGCTTGAGAAAAAAAAAAAGATGAGGCTCATTCAACATTGAACCTGAGGGTGATAGCCCTGTTCCTTTTTTTTTTTTTTTTTTTTTTTTTTTTTCTGAGACAGAGTCTCGCTCTATGGCCCAGGCTGGAGTGCAGTGATGTGATCTCAGCTCACTGCAGCCTCTGCCTCCTGGGCTCAAGCGAGGGTCTCCTGCCTCAGCCTCCCCAGTAGCTGAGACCACAGGCATGTGCCACCACACCCAGCTAATTTTTGTATTTTTAGTAGAGACAGGGTTTCACCACATTGGCCAGGATGGTCTTGAACTCCTGACCTCAAGTGATCTGCCTACCTGGGCCTCCCAAAGCGCTGGGATTATAGGGGTGAGCCACGGTGCCCGGCCAAGCCCTGTTCCTTTACCATGCCTTTTTCTCCCACCAGCTGGTAGGAATAATTTGCCTTGGGTTACATAAAGAGATCAGGGGCCCTGACCATTAGCCAAGATGTAGGAGATGATTGGCTCTTATTTGGTGCCTCCATGTCCACATGAAGACCCCTGATATCCCATCTGAATAGACTGCTTTGATTCCCTTTTTTTTTTTTGAGACGGAGTCTCACTCTCTCGCCCAGGCAGGAGTGCAGTGGTGTGATCTCGGCTCACTGTAGCCTCTGCCTCCTGGGTTCAAGCAGTTCTCCTGCCTCAGCCTCCCAAGTAGCTGGGACTACAGGCGCGTGCCACCATGCCTAGCTAATTTTTTTTTTTTTTTTTTGTATTTTTAGTAGATTCGGGGTTTCACCATGTTGGCCAGGATGGTTTCGATCTCCTGACCTCGTGATCCGCCCACCTCGGCCTCCCAAAGTGCTGGGATTACAGGCGTGAGCCACCGCGCCCAGCCCAATTCCCTTTTATCTGCAGGAACCACCTATTCATCAGGGCCTTAGGATGATATAAGAACTGAGTACCCAGGACTGACACCCAATGACAAGGTCCAGCAGCGGTTTCCAACCTGAGGTCCACAGTTGGGCTTCAGAGATCCCCTGAACCCCCTGAAACTGTACACAATCTGTGTGTGTGCAAAGTTTTGTTTGTGTGTACATTTTTCTGGAGAAAGGGTCTCTCACTTCTTTCAGATATCAAAAAGTTCTGAGAGCCCCCAAAGTTAGGAACCACTGAGGAAGAGGGAATGGCTTCTTCTAGCTAAGCAGGGAGAATTAAGTGTGCTGTAATTACCCAAACCCCGGCAGCCTGCTGCAGTCTACCCCATCCCCAACAATAGAGTCTGAGGAAGGAGGCCCAGTTCTTGTTTGTCTCTCATCCCAGGGGGTGCTTGGATAAGAAACTTGAACTTCTCTGGACCTCAGTGTTTCTGAATGTAAAACTGGGGAGAAGGGTTTCGGTCTCCTAGGAACTGTAAATAAGACTCACAACATGCTTGGAAATGGTTTCGATATAGCATGGGGAACCATCACTGCTCTTTGGCAACTAGAAGATCCACAGGCTACCAAGTAAATGAGAAGCCCAGCCTGGCAGAATGTGACCTTGGCAGAGGGGGATGCTGGGAGGACCTTCAAGGAGCCAGGCTCCCCGGCACCAGTAGGTCTTGTTCAGCTGTGAATCGGAGCTAAGGTGGAATCAGATTATGACTTAATTTCCCTGCTAATGCCTCCCTGTCTCATAGGCTCCTCATTTAAGGTTGGAAGTAACCTGAAGTCATGCAGCCCAACCTCTTGTCTCAGACTTCAGTCCCTTCTGCCCCATCCCCTCTTGGGTCAGTTCCAACTATCAGAAAGTTCTTTATATTGAGTTAACAATCCGGCCGGACATGGTGGCTCATACCTGTAATCCCAGCACTTTGGGAGGCTGAGGCAGGCAGATCACCTGAGGTCAGGGGTTCGAGACCAGCCTGGCCAACATGACGAAACCCCATCTCTACTAAAAATACAAAAATTAGCCAGGCATGGTGGTGTATGCCTGTAATCCCAGCTACTCGGGAGACTGAGGCAGGAGAATTGCTTGAGCCTGGGAGGCGGAGGTTGCAGTGAGCCGAGACTGTACCACTGCACTCCCAGCCTGGGTGATAGAGCAACACTCTGTCTCAAAAAAAAAAAAGAAAAAAGAAAAAAAAGAAAAAAAAATCTATCATTCCTAGAATGTCCACCCATTGTTCCTAAGTCCCCTTGGGCACTCCAAGACTAGTTATTCCATAGGACAGTCTTTGACACTTTTAAATATTTGAAAATGACCCTGTTGTTTCCTAGGACAAAACATCTCCCACTTTTCTAGCATCACAACTTTTTCAGAACTCAAAGGATGTTTTAGGTTCCTTTTTTTTTTTTGAGACGGAGTTTCGCTCTTGTTGCCCAGGCTGGAGTGCAGTGGCGGCACGATCTTAACTCACTGCAGCCTCCGCCTCCTGGGTTCAAGCAATTCTCTTGCCTCAGCCTCCCAAGTAGCTGGGATTACAGGTGGCCACCACCATGCCTGGCTAATTTTTGTATTTTTAGTAGAGATGGGGTTTCACCATGTTGGCCAGGCTGGTCTCGAACTCCTAGCCTCAGGTGAAACCCCCACTTTGGCCTCCCAATTGCTGGGATTACAGGCGTGAGCCACCATGCCCGGCTGATGTTTCAGGTTCTTAGAAGCAGTGTATATAATTTCTTTCCAGCTCACATTAACCTGCTGAGCAGCTAGACACACTAAACTCAATTTCTATTTACAGCCAGACCTCATAGGGTGAGTAGAAAAAACCCAATGGCGAAAGATCTGAGACAAACAGAGGCCAAATGAACAGGCACAGGTAATTCAGAAATTCAGTGGTAGGCATGGGAACAGAGCCCAGGGGTCCCAACTCTTCGTTTCTTTCTGGAAGACACTCAACTGTGATTATACACGGGGTGGGCAGCAATGCCAGTGTGGTAGCCCCAGAGGATCTGAAAACACTGGAGTGACCGGGACACTGGAATTCCAACTGCAGCCCACATGGGGTGGTTTTCCTTGGGAAGCCTCTCTAAAGAAGGGAATTTAGCTTGCCTGCTCTTTTAGAATGTGCCAGCGGAAGTGGCAAATTTAAGATTAAAAAGGGGACCTTGTGGGCTGGAGATGGGGTGCTTTTCCTGTATATCACAGGAACTCTTGACCCTGGCAGGGGAATTTGGGACTCTTGGGTTCTGTTTCTGGCCTGCTATAGTCTCCAACTCTCTGGATATGATGCTGGTCTAGAGGGGGCCCTCCTGTCAAAGGCTCAACTGCAGACCCAGAAACCGAACCCACCCGGGTACCTGTGGATCCCTGTCCCAGAGCACAGCTATAGTAACACCCTGGGGAACGAGGAGATACCTAGGCCCAGCTGCATTTCTCAGACCTAAACGCCTAGAACCCAAGCCACCTAGGCCTGCAGAGTCAGGTCAGAGTCCAGGTGTTATGTGCCTGCTCTGGGAATCCAAGAGCCTAAGTCAATGCCAAGTTTAACCAGAGGGTCTCTGACCCCAAGGGCAGAGCCTAGGCAGACAGAGCCCAGGGGTGTTAGCTCCGAAAATTACTGTGCCAAAACCGCAGCATTGGCCTGAAGATCCTGCCCTGTCAGGTCAGGAGACAGGAGACACTGGGTCGAGAAAGGGCAGAGGTCATTTGCAGAGCATGTTTGGGAAAGGAAGCCAGTGTTCAATTGTGTAACCACAGGATGCCCGCCCCTCGAGCTTTCCATCTGCCTTCATGCCTCAGGTCCAATGAAGTGACGTCCCCTGCCTTCTAGGACGCTGAGAACTGTCGAGGAGGCCCATCTTCTGCAAGGTGGGGCAACAACACGGACAGGTAGAGGTACCTAGGCCGGCTGGATACATTCCTCTGCTGACCTATCTCATCAGTATCTTTGGTTACTATCTGGCCAACTCACAGTTGTGGGAAACCTCAGCTTTGGGACTGGGGCCAGGTCCCTGGACAACCCCAGCCCCTGTCCCATGCTTCCTCGACCCACAAGCCCTGTCTAGCCTGGCTCTGACAGGCAGGCCGCAGCCATTACGGCAGCCTCAGCTCACACCCATGGAGCTCATCTTCCCCTTTTTTGAGAGAGATTTTAACTCCTTCCCCACCACTCCCCTGGCGCTGAAAGACTTACAATCACCCACTTCAGTGTTGACGACCCAAAGCCCTTAGAGCCACTCTCCCAAGGCCCCAGTGGGCCGTGCCCCTACACCTCATCCTCTCTTGTCGGGAGCACCTGCTCCTGCAAACTTCTGAGCCAGACGGAGTCTCCAAACTCCCGTTACCATGCGATCCTCCCTGGACCCCCGGCTAGACACTGCGGGTCGGGGAGAAGTTGGGGAGGAGTCTGGGCTTGAGCCAAGGGCCTCAGCTGACTCCTCTACCCCGGGGGATACCTCCCCTCCCCCTCAATAGGGCCGGGGCTTCCTCTTCCGGCAAGGAGGGGTTAAGCCCTCTGGGTGGGGCTGGGCTTGCCCAAACCCCCTCCTCAAGCCTCTCGGCCGCCCCGTCCCGTGACCCTCTACCCGCGGGACAGGAAGGCCCGTGCACTTTCGCCCCGTCATGCCCCCTTGCGCGGGGGCCAGAGGGGGCCCGTCTCAGCCGGCAGCGGGTCCCTCCTGCTTCGAGAGCCCCTCGGTGCCGCCTGCCCCGTGGCACCGGCCCTGTCTGTTCGTCCCCCTTCCCCTGCCCCCAGCCGTGCAGTACCGGCCCGGGTGAGAGAGCGGGTCGCGCGCCGCCCCGGTCCCCCACGGCACGGGCCGTACTAGGCCCCAAGCGCTCGGGGCCGGCTCCTCCCCCGCCCGGCGCCCGGCCGTGCCCGGCTATGCCAGGCGGCGACCCCGGCTCAGCAGGGCGCGGCGCGGGCGGGGACAGGCCCGACCCGCGGCCCGCGCCCGGGGACCCCGCGCCCGACGCCCTCGTACCGCGATCACGTTGACGAAGGTGGTCTTGCCCGAGTACTGAAGCCCGACCAGCGTGAGCTCCATCTCCTCCTTCCAGAATAGGGCCTTGAACCAGTCCAGCAGCTTGTTGAACAAAGCGATCATGGTCGCTGCCGCCGGCCCCGCCCGGTGCCAGGTCCCCGCCGCCCCTCGCTGCCCTCGCGCTGCGGCCCGGAGCGGCCCCTCCCCGGTACGGCCCGGGTCCCGCGGCTCGGTGCGGGCGGAGGCTCGAGCGCGGCTGCCGACGACTCGCTGCCCCGGAATCGGCTCGCCGATGGGTGTGGCTTCCGCGCCCTCCTCCTCCGCCGCCGCCGCCGCCCTCCCTCGCGGCCGGGCCGTGTCCTGCTCGCACCCGAGCGCGCGCTCCTCCCTCGCTGGAGCCGGGGGGCCAGGGGCCGCACCCGCAGGTGGGGTGAGCAGGGAATCCGCAGGTGGGGTGAGCAGGGAATCCGCAGGCTTCAGCGGCGGGGGTTGACCGGCAGCTGGCGTCGAGAGGCGCTTGGGAAATGGGGTCTAATTTATTTTAGACCCTGTCCCCGACTGCCGCGCCCTGACTGGCACCCCCTTTCTTAAAGGGTGGTGGGCTCGAGGTGGGTGAGGTTCCGGTTAAGCAGGAGCCTTTTCAGGTTGAAGGAGAGTGGGTCACCCACTTCCCAGGACACGGAGATGAGATCTCTACGACAGGGAGGCAGATGGAGGCTTTTTTGTCCCTGAACCCTTGCCTCTGAGCATTCCTGGGTACAGTCCCATCCTCTCAAAATGCACCCAGTGCAGAGGGACAACCGTATTCGGGTCTTTTAATACTCCATCTTGTTTTGTTCACCACAATTTACCCCGACCACTTGTTAGGAAGCCTCTGGCCCCAAGTGAAACGGACGCTTGAACTTGCTCCGGATTTTTACCAGCATCCCCAAGATACCCAAACAGATACAGTCCTGGCAGGGGGTTTTCAGTGAGGAACGTCTGTGACAAAGGAAAATGTTGCCCTGTTTTGGTGAAAAGCAGAGTATTCTTCAGGAGGAGAAGTGATAGTTCTCCTCTTGAAGTGGGTCTGGAGTGCCTGCAAAGATGCCTTACTCCTGCCCCTCTCCTTGCAAGACCCACCCATAGGACCTGCTCAGGCAGGCTGACAACCTCAGCTGGCAGTCCCGGGTAGGCTCAGGCTTCGGGCAGTCCCCAGCCTATGCTGGCTGCCCGTTGGGGTTTGGTTTTCAAATGTAGTCATATGTAGTCTATTGTTTTAGTCAAAAGTGGGTAAACTATCAATATCAACCATATCTGTCCAATCAACTGGAGTTAGATGACCCCAAATAGTCAAACAGTTACCAAAGTAGAAGAATCACAAGGTTTCGGCTAGCATAATATTGTTTTTTTTTTTTTTTTTGATGGGGTCTCACTGTGTGGCCCAGGCTGGAGTGCAGCGGTGGGATCTCGACTCACTGCAGCCTCCACCTCCTCGGGCTCAGGTGATTCTTCTACCTCAGCCTCCCGAGTAGCTGGGACTACAGGCATGCGCCACCATGCCAGCCTAATTTTTGTATATTTGGTAGAGACGGGGTTTTGCCATGTTGTCCAGGCTGGTCTCGAAGCCCTGAGCTCAAGCCATCTGCCTGCCTCAGCCTCCCAAAGTGCTGGGATTACAGGCATGAGCCTGGCCAATATTCTGGTTTATTAAGCACCATCTTTCTAACCTCTGCCCTTTATAAGTCCTCCTCTAGCTCCTAAGATAAAGGCTATGGACTGAATGTTTGTGTCCCCCCAAATTCATAGGTTGAAGTCCTAATCCCTAAAGTGATGGTATTAGGAGGTGATTAAGTCATGAGGGTAGAGCCTTATAAAGGGGGCCGGTGGGATTAGGGGGAAGAATACCAGCCCACAACCTTTTCACCATGCAAGGACAGAAAGAAGGCTCTGCCTAATAGCCAGACACTGAGTCTGCAAGGGTCTTGATCCTAGACTTCCCAGCTTCCAGAACTGTGAGCAACACATTTCTTTTTTTCTTTTTTCTTTTTTTTTTGAGATGGAGTCTTGCTCTGTCATCCAGGCTGGAGTGCAGTGGCATGATAGCTCACTGCACCCTCCACCTCCAGGGTTCAAACAATTCTTCTGCCTCAGCCTCCCGAATAGCTGACTACAGGTGTGTGCTACCACGTCCGGCTAATTTTTTGTATTTTTAGTAGAGACAGCGTTTCACTGTGTTAGCTGGATCTCCTGACCTCGTGATCCGCCTGCCTCGGCCTCCCAAAGTGCTGGGATTACAGGCATGAGCCACCACGCCAGGCCAGCAATACATTTCTGTTGTTTAGAAGCCACATGGTTTACGGTAGTGTGAATTGTTACAGCTGCCTGGGTAGGCTATGAGGGTCCACCCTGTCTCACTTCCTAAATTGACTTTGGTTTCACCTTACTTTATGTCCTTGGAAGTGCTAGAAAAGTGCATATCCCAAGGGCAAAGATTTGCAGCCTGCCTGTCCCTGGTCTGCAGTCTTTCTCTCTTGCTACAAAGAGGCCCCAGAGGGCCAAGAAGAAGATGGAAAGAAGGAATGAGTCAGTCATCCAAGAAGTCTTTATTTTCCCACTTGGTTACTGTTCTGGAGCTTGTACCCTCTGAGCTCTGAGATGGGGTTGGGGGGACAGTGCCAGGGAGGGCCTGTGGGGCTGTGCAGTTGCTTCCCTCTGGGCTGGCTCTGAGCCCAGGGCAGGATCAGGCACTTGAGAGCCCCCCACCGAGCCTCATTGGCATAGACAGTCGTGCCTCTCACAGGGCTCAGGGGAGGTGGAGGTGTGGGCAAGTCCATCCCCAAGGCTGTAAGGAAGGAGCAGCTCCTCCATAAGGCCAAGCAGAAGCATTAGGGAAATCATCCTCAGTTTTAGCACTGCGTGTTCTTCAGGAGAGAAGTCCTGAGTGAGGAGGCCCAGCTGTTCTCCAGATCCAACTCCTCGGGGGTTTCCACAGAGAGCTGGTATCAAGGCAGCTGTCAGGGGCGGCGTGCCTGGTGATGCGGCATCTTACCTTCATCCCCATCTCAGAATGGGCAGCCAGTCTCAGATTCAAGGAGGAGGAATCCTGAGGTGTGGCGTTCAGTCCTGAGGTAGACCTGAGGTCCCCTGGAAATTGTGTTGATGCTGAGATGGATGAGGGGTGCTCATTCTCTCAGGTAGACAGTGAGGAGTCCTGGTTCAGCCGAGCCTCCATGTCTGCATGGATGGTTATGACCCTGATTGTTTTTGGAAACAGCCAAGCTCTCTAGGTGTACTCAGCAAATGCAAGGTATAGTGGGTCCTGCATACCCAGGGTATTATTTGAGCCATGGAAGCAAAACAGAGACTGCTTAGCCTCCCTAAGAGTAGTTGGTGGGAGTGGCCAGCAACCATGGAGGCAGGAGCAGCTCCTCTTTGCCTCTGAGTAGTCCCCACATGTTCCCTCTTCCAGAGATTTCAACTGCCAGGCCTGGTCACCTCTGTAGCCTACTCTTATGACACATGGGTGGAGGCAAGGGTAACCAGAGTCCTTGTTCTTTCTTTTGATTGGGGTCATCCAGCCCTTCCGATGTGTGGTCAGGGAGCAGAGTCACTGATAGGATGTTGAGACTTGGAGATCAGGACCAGACTTTTCCCCATTCTTGCATCTGGCCTGTGCTTGGGCAGGACCTCGGGTGAAGGATGATCTTGGAATCACCCTTTTGTCAGCCCCAGGAAGGAGTGGCTGGAGTGGCTTCTAGAAACTTCTCTCATTACTTTTCCCTCATGGCAGCTAAGCACTTATGTTCATGTTATAGAACAGGAAACTGAAGCTCACAAAGAGTGTCTCAGAGAACACCAGGACACCTGGGCTTCTTTCTTTGTCTGTCATAAATGCCAGCTCCTGTCTTTAAGTTCAGAGAGACATTGGAGGTTCCCCTTACTGTCCATCTGGGGCCAACAGAGGAAGCAGAGGAGTGGCCAGTGTTGAAGACCTGGAATCCGGCCCCTTGTCCTTACTGCTGCTGCTTCCTGTGACTGCAAGCACCACTAAGGAGGCACTCCTTCCCCACACCAACCCAAGGGGTACCCCCAGATCACTCGGCCCACTTTCCCCAGACCCACCTTCCCAGGCTTGAGGGAGGTAGGCACCTGGGCCACCGGAGGGTGGCAGGGGTCAGGGGCTGGGTTCCTCAGGCAGCTGGCCTGCATACAGGGCCAAAGTGTGGTGCAGGAACTGGTACTGCTCTGCCGTCTGGATCATCCCCCCTCTGCAAGGAGAAACACACAGACCATGAGTGAAGGAGGGTCAGGGTGCTGGCTGAATGGCTCCAGTCAAACATCCCTGTGGTCCTACTGGGAAAGTCCTGACTTTCTCAAAGAACATGCCAACTCCTTTGCCTATATTCATCTTTTCACTTTTTTTTTTTTTTTTTTTTTTTTGTGAGACAGAGTCTCACTCTGATAGCCAGGCTGGAGAGCAGTGGTATGATCTCAGCTCACTGCAACCTCTGCCTCCCAGGTTCAAGTGATTCTCCTGCCTCAATCTCCTGAGTAGCTAGGACTACAAGTGCCTGCCACCTTGCCCAGCTAATTTTTGTATTTTTAGTAGAAACAGGGTTTCACCATGTTGCCAGGGTGGTCTTGAACTCCTGACCTCAAGTGATTGGCCCATCTTGGCCTCCCAAACTGCTTGGATTGCAGACATGAGCCACCATGCCCCACCACCTATATTCATCTTTTCTACTTTCTACTCCTCATTGCTGCCCCTCAGATCTGCTGTGAGAGAAGTCCTCTGCCCCTTACACGTGCTGAGGGGTGATGCCCCATGTTGACACTTGGTCTTCCTTGATCCACTCAGCTCCTGGGACAAAACCAGATCTCTGAAGCCTTGGGTCGGGCCAGGAATACTCCTGAGCCTCAAGTTTCCTTCTTTCTAATAATCTTAAAAAGTAAAAATAATGATTCCATACATTTGTATAGTAGTTTCCATTTCCAAAACATTTTCATATAAGTTAACTCATTTCTTACAACAGTTTTCTGGGGGAAGGAGCCATTATCTCTGTCTAGATAAAGAAGAAGTGGGGGCTGGGCACAGTGGCTTAAGCCTGTAATCCCAGCACTTTGCAAAGCCAAGTGGGCATTGTTGAGCCCAGGAGTTCGAGACTAGTCTGGGCAACATAGTGAGACCCCCATCTCTATTATTAAAAAAAGAAGAAAGAAAAAAAAAGAAATGGGGGCTCAGAGAAATCTAGTGACATCTCAGTGAGACAGATGTCAGAATCTGAACACCGGCTCTGCCTCCACCCAGTGATCTTCTTTGCACTACTTGTTGCTGCCTCATATCATGTTTAATTCCAGGCATCCAAGCCAACATTCCAGACAGATATTCTTTTTTTTGTTTTTTTTTTTTTTTTTTTTTGAGTCAGAGTCTTGCTCTGTCACCCAGGCTGCAGTGCGATGGCACAATCTCGGCTCACTGCAATCTCCACCTCCTGGGTTCAAGCAATTGTCCTGCCTCAGCCTCCTGAGTAGCTGGGATCACAGGGGCCCGCACCAGGCCTGGCTAATTTTTGTATTTTTAGTAGAGACAGGGTTTACACCATGTTGGCCAGGCTGGTCTCGAACTCCTGGGCTCAGGTGATCCACCCGCCTCAGCCTCCCAAAGTGCTGGGATTACAGGTGTGAGCCACCGCACCCGGCCATCCAGATAGATATTTTTTCCTGGTTGTTAGTTGTAAAATAAACAGCTCTAAGCAGAAAGGGTTTCTTCCTTTCTTGCAGGAGTGCTTGATGGTGATGGGCCTAGCAGAACTCTGGGGCCCAGAGGCACTGATGCCATCCGTTAACGTTGTTGGCCTTGTTTACACCCACAGACCCACCTGTCTAGCCGCAGTTGGCACACAATACCCAGAATGTCCACTTCTCCTCGGGCTTTCAGCTGTTGACAGCCAATTCGCGTGGCGATGAAGCAGCCCGTCCGGCCAATCCCTGCACTGGAGATAGCCAGGGAGGGGACAGGGAGGTCATGGGAGACCAGGGAATATGAGAGCCAGGCCCCAAACTATGGAGAAAGAAATGGGACCTGCAGGTGCTATATTTTGGGGATAGGGCTCTGGAGATGGAGGCAGGTAGCAGTACTCTGCTTTCCAGTCCCCTTGGGGGCCCTGCTGGAGGCAGGTTTTAATTGGCATGGGAGGAGTTTACATTTCTTACCAGCCTTACTGTAAGCCTGTTGCAGGCCACCTTTTGGTCCCTGTGGACATTTTGACGATCTCCCTTCTGCTGAGTCTACAGTGGTTTCCAACAGACAGTTTCCCACTTGTGGGTGTGCTGACCCTCGAGCCCTCCTTATCTAACCTTGACTTCCTCTCAGCTCAGACTCATCTTCCACGCAGCCCACGCCCGGCCCCTCTGTTTCCCACCTTGGCGCCCTCCCACAGTCTTCTCTCCACTCTGTTCTGCTTTCTCTATCGTGCCCTCTCTTTATTTCAAAACCCCCTAGGCCTCCCCTTCCTCTTGCGTGAGCCCCTAATGACCTCCCTGCACATGTCCCAGTGCTACCTGTGGGTGGGCTGGGAGGCCCCTGTGTCATGCCTTTTGCCTCTGTGCTCTGTTTTATTTAGGATATGCACTCCCAAATGGTCCCTTTCTTTAGTCTTGTCCCCTACGACACCCCCTCACTCTGGCCCAATCCATTTTTCACTCTATAGCCAAAGTGTTCTTTTAAAATGGCAAATCCAAGTGTCTTAGCCAGTCCTCCAAGTCCCCTCATCATCTGACCTTCACTGGCCTTCCAAACCCATCTCTCATCATTACCCCACACACAACCTCTGGGCCTAACCTGTAACCCTGCTCCCAGCAGTGTATCCATTTTCACATTTCTTCTCTGGGCCTTAGCATGTGCTCTTCCACTTGCCTGGAACGTGTTCCCTTCCCTCTCTTCACTTGGCTAATTCACCTTTCAGGTCTTAGCTTGGCTTAGATGGCCTTTCTCTTGGAAAACTTTCTCTGGTCAAAGTCTGGTTTAGGAGACTTGGTTCTATGGTCCCCATAATATCCCCATCACAGCTCTCATCACATTGCGTGGTATTTAATTTTTTTTTGAGACAGAGTTTTGCTCTTGTTGCCCAACCTGGAATGCCATGGTGCGATCTCAGCTCACCACAACCTCCACCTCCTGGGTTCAAGCAATTCTCCTGCCTCAGCCTCCCGAGTAACTGGGATTACAGGCATGCGCCACCATGTGTGGCTAATTTTGTATTTTTAGTAGAGACAGGGTTTCTCCATGTTGGTCAGGCTGGTCTTGAACTCCCGACCTCAGGTGATCCTCCCGCCTCAGCCTCCCAAAGTGCTGAGATTATAAGCATGAGCCACTGCACCCAGCCTAATCTGCCTTCTTTCCCACCAGCCTATAAAACTGTCTGGGAAGAAACCAAACTGCTTGGTTCATAGCTGTCTCCTTAGCAGCTAACACCGTGCCTGACAAAAATAGGTTTTCCTTTTTTGAGATGGAGTCTCGCTCTGTCACCCAGGCTGGAGTGCAGTGGTGTGATCTCGGCTCACTGCCTCCAGAGTTTGAGCAATTCTCCTGCCTCAGCCTCCCAAGTAGCTGGGATTACAAGTGTGTGCTACCACGCCTGGCTAATTTTTGTATTTTTTAGTAGAGACAGGTTTTCACCATGTTGGCCAGGCTGGTCTCAAACTCCTGACCTCAGGTGATCTGCCAGCCCTGGCGTCCCAAAGTGCTGGGATTATAGGTGTGAACCACCGTGCCCGGCCAATAATAGGATTTTCAATACATATTTGTTGAATAAGTAAATGAGTTCCCCAACAGCTGGAATCCTGTTTATGTCCTCCTGCAGCTGACTGGGATCTTCCTGATATTCCATCCCCTCTATGGATGGGGCCTGGGTGTCCAGCCCAGATGTCTGGGTTCTGCGTGAAGGAGGTAAAAAGAACAGAGCCCTTGCTGAATGGCCTTGCGAGTCATGTCTGAGTAAGGACTAGGCTTGCCTGATGCTTTTCTGCTCAGACCCTTCCCCAGGAGAGACCCAGGGGGCAGGGGAGGGGAGCACAGTCCACAGGCTGCAGTGAAGGGAGGGCCACGCACCTGCAGTGGACTACGATAGGCCCGGGGTGGGCGGCTGTCTCCGGGCTCTCCTCCACCTCTGCCACTAGGCGCAGCAGGGGCCCAGCTGATTCTGGTGTCTGATGGTCTGGCCAGGCCGAAAAGAGGATGTGCTTTACTGACCGGCGCTCTTCCTGGTACTGGATTGGAGACAAGGCATGAGAACCAAGGTCAGGGTGGAGGGCACTGTCTACCTTCTTCTCTGGTGCCTGAGGAGGGCAAGGGCTGGAATTACCCTGTGGGGGGGTCATCTACTCAAAGCAAGCTAGGTTGCAATTTTCGTGCTCATTGTTCTCCACCACTTCCCCCTTCAAAATCCCGGGAAGGAGCATTGTCCTGGGAGAGGGGAGAGACCCAAATTCAAGCCCTGGCTCTGCTTCCCATAAGCACATGACTTTGGGCAAGTCCCTTGATCTCATTTTCTTCACCTGGAAAATGGGAACAGTGATATCTTACTGGTTTACTTGCCAGGATATTTGGAGGAGAATGAGTTGATAGAGGAATGCTTTCAAAAATATAAAACACCATAAAATAATAGAAGGCATTTTAAAAGCCCTTGTGTACATGTTATTCCACATCTCTTTCTCTTTTTTTGTTTTATTTTGTTTGTTTTTTTTTGAGACAGACAGTCTCACTCCGTCACCCAGGCTGGAGTGCAGTAGCACAATCTTGGCTCACTGCAACCTCTGCCTCCTGGGTTCAAGTGATTCTCCTGTCTTAGCCTTCCAAACAGCTGTAATTTTTAGTACAGACAAGGTTTCACCATGTTGGCCAGGCTGGTCTGGAACTCCTGACCTCAAGTGATCCGCCCCCCTCAGCCTCCCAAAGTGTTGGGATTACAGGCATGAGCCGCCACACCTGGCCTTCCACATCTCCTTTAACCTCCTCTCCTTCCCTTGGCCCTGCTCCTGGATCCTGCCTGTCCCCGCCTGACCATTTACACAGATGGGTGAGTACTTCCCGGTAGTCCTATTTGGCTTATTGGCTCTGCCCTATTAGACTAGAGGCTGAGGACAGTGCTCAAGTTTCTCTTTCTGCTATAGATGTGGGTTTAAGATGGTTTAGAAGAGCAAACCCTTGGCTCCTAGTGAAGAGCCAGCCTGAGTCCCAGAGATGCTGTGGGCGGCCCAACTTCCCACTGGGCCTGGCTCCGGGGGGGTGGTACCTGGATGGTGAGCTGCCGCACAGTGTATTCTGGGCACTCTTTCATGTCCTGGATGCGGATCTGGAAGGGTCCATAGGTTTCCTCTTCTGTGGGCCAGTAGTGGACACATTTCTAGGAGGGAGGGAGCTGGGAGTCAGAAGAGGGTCAGCTGGAGCAGGTGACAGGGCAGCAGAGAGGGGCTGGTATCTCCTCCCCATCCTCCACCCCTACTGGATGGGAGGTCAGCAACAGGGAGCCTGGCTCTTCTGAGCTTGATACCTGCAAGCAGAGTGCTCACCCTATCCCGTATTTTGGCCATAGACAGCCTCCCAGGGCTATATCTCAGGGAACTTTCTGAGAGGTATGAGCTGGGGCTGGCTCCCAGGGAAACCTCTGGTTCTGAGCTGCCCTGTGTGTGGGGTGGGGGTGGGGTGGGCATAGCACTTTCTGGGTTCATCATGAACTGTGGCTCTGCCTCCTACCTCCTTGCCCTCTCGGAGCTGAGTGAGCATGACAATGAGGGACACTTCCTCTTGCCACACCATCTCCCAGAAGTCCGACACAGTGTTGGGCATGGGGCCCTGGGTGGCAATGTAGACCTTCTCCTTCCCGTCATAGCCCTGGAAGGTGGAAGCACAGGGGAAGGGGTGGGGAGCAGTGAGAGCAGAGCTCTGGGGAGATCCTAGATGCCTCAGGTGCTGGGGTCAGCCTGAAGCTGTGAACCACACGTGTAGACGTACACATGCACGAACACGCACACTCAGAAGCCACATGATGGAAAGGATACGGGTTCTGGAATGAGGATCAGATCCCTGTTCTGCTGTTTCCTGGCTGTACCACTATAAGCCAGTTACCTAGCCTCCGTAAGCCTCAGTGGTATCATCTGTAAATTGGGCATAATAATATCTATCTTGTAGGAATGTAGAGTGGATTAAATTCAGTAAGATATATTGAGAGTCTAGCCGATAGCAAGTGCTCTATAAATGTTTATTCCCTTCCTCCCCTGCTGCTTTCTTCTAGCACAAAATACCTAAACAGTGTTTAATATTTGTTCAGTGACAGTTTCACATTTACAGGTTACTACTTTTCTATGAAAGTAGTAGCAAAATGTAGCACACTCTCCCTAACCTGATTTTCTCACCTTCAGGATCCTCAGCTTCCTGCTTCTCAAGATGGTGAAATCCAGACTGCAGTTGATCCGGTATTGGCCGGCAAATGTAAGATCATGTTTCCCCATGGCTTCCCTAGCTAAGAGCTTTTCGCCTCCCTGCGCCCCTGACTGATGTCTTACCCACATTGAGTCACTAGAGAGCGCTGCTTTTACATCTCCTTAGGGCCCACAGCAGCGAGAAGCTGGCGTGGAACACCCACCTGGCCTGGAGCTTCCTATAGCTTGACGTCAATCAACCATCTTCATATAAGAGGGGCTATCTGAGGGGCAGTTAAGGTAAGTTGGCGGGGAGGTCCCATTAGTGCTGGCATCACCTATGCAGTTCTCGGGAGCTGTGAGCTCTTAAGCAGCTGGAGATTGGGTTCAACAATGCTAACTTCCTGCTAAGTTTAGAGGGTGGCATGGGAGGACTGATAGTGGAGGTTAGGGAGACTTGGTGGTCTCTCCAGATATTTTTCAACATCTGCTCCGTTTTTTAGGTTGGTGTTTTGGGGCATGTTCAGTACCAGCCCAGCTTGGTAGGGCTATGACAGCAGTGAGCTGGAGCAGGGAGGGTAGGAAATGCAGGCACCTGATCCACCAGCCATGGCTGGAAGATATTCTCAGACGTCTGAGAATTCCCCCATTCCCCGCCCACCACTGCAGCCAGGCCACTCACTCGGATGTAGTTGGCATTGATGTAATCTCCGTCCTCCTGGCTCTGTGCCCGGCCTAGACAGACACGGCTCTGGGGATCTAGGAAATAAAAATCAGCAGAGGTCAGAGGTCAGAAGGTGACCAACTAACACAGACTCAAGCAGGGTCAGAAAGAGGAGAGTTCCTGTGCTCATCACAGTCATAGCACCTTGTGTATAGCAGGTGGCCTTACACCCACTGAAGTTGTTGTTTTTGTTGTTGTTTTTAGAGACAGGGTCTCATTCTGTTGCCTAGGCTGGAGTGCAGTGGTGCGATCATAGCTCACTGTAACCTCTAACTCTTGGGCTCAAGTGATACTTTTGTCTCAGCCTTTGACATAGCTGGGACTATAGGCAAATGCCACCACACCTGGCTTGCTTATTTATTTATTTATTTACGTTTTTTGTAGAGATTGGGTTTCACTTTGTTGCCCAAGCTGGTCTTGAATTTCTGACTTCAAGCAATTCTCCCACCTCAACCTCCCAAAGTGCTGAGATTACATGTGTGAGCCACCATGTCTGGCCCCTATTGAAGTATTTTATACGCAGACAGTAGGAAGCTGTATAATGTTTTTGAGCAGGAGAGTGACATGATCAAAACAATAGTTTGGGAAGATTAACTGAGTGGTGCTGTATAGGATGGACTAGAGAAGAAAGGGAACGGAACAGCAGAGACCAAATGGGAAGATACAATATTAGATATAATATTCTAATAGATACAGTATTCTATCCTTGAGATCAGTACAGGTTTAGAACAAGATTATGCCACTAGGGATGGAAAAAGAGATGTAGAGGAAGAAGAATTTGTTTTCTAATGGTGAATATGGGATTCACATGAGCAACTTGCCAGATATCACATAGCTGTGAAGTGGGACTAGGACTCAGATTCCGCTCAGCCACGAGGCATTTGGCCTCTGCCTCTAAGGGGGAAGGATTTCTCTAAATGAAACCCAAACATGGATGAAGAAGCTGGCTTGTGAGGAAAGGAGAAGAGACTCTCGCTCTGCTCATGCCAGCCTGGTCATGGACAGAAGGTACCCTGGGGACCAGGGGAATCTCAGGCAAAGGAATTTTTCCCTTTTCTGGTGGCTGCAGGGCTGATTAGAATTAGGCCAAGAACAAGGGCTACTCCTCCCCCTGGCCTGGAATAGCGCTAATAGCACCTTGATCCGCCCATGCAGGCAGAGGACACTCCAGGAGGGTTAGCAGGAGACAGGGCCCGAGTGCTCACTGAGCTAAAGCCTCAAGCTGGGAGTAGCTTCCCTGTAGGGAGAGCAGGGGAGGGAGGGAGAGGCTCCGGGGCCTCATGCCTGCCTCCGAAAAATAGAAGGTGCTTGCTCCGGGTCTGCCAGTTTGCAGGGTCACCCCCTCCTAGCACAGTGTCCTCCCTCCCCGCCTCCACTGCTCTCTTGCTGGCCGTTGCCCTGTCTCCATCTGACTTTCTCAAAGCCATCTCTCTGGGAGCCCTCCTGGTGGTGCTTCCTTCACTGCAAGCCTTGGCTGGGCATTTCCCATGCAAGAGGAAGACAGGGAAAGGGGCTTGGTGCAAGTAGCTAAGTTGAATATCTTAGGTAAGATATTCAACTTCTCTGTGCCTTAGTTTCCTCACTTGTAAAATGGTCATCACAGTACCAACTTCATGGGATTGTTGTGAGAAATGAGTGAATATAAAGGATTGAGGCTGGACGCGGTGGCTTACGCCTGTAATCCCAGCACTTTGGGAGGCCGAGGTGGGCGGATCACCTGAGGTCGGGAGTTCGAGACCAGCCTGACCAACATGGAGAAACCCCACCTCTGCTAAAAATACAAAATTAGCCACGCATGGAGGCGCATGCCTGTAATCCCAGCTACTCGGGAGGCTGAGGCAGGAGAATCGCTTGAACCCGGGAGGCGGAGGTTGCAGTGAGCCCAGATTGCGCCATTGCACTCCAGCCTGGGTGACGAGAGTGAAAACTCCGTCTTAAAAAAAAAAAAAAGGATTGAGAACAGGGCCTGGCCCAGGGTACATATCTGCAAACATTATTATTGCTGCTGTTGTGATTCTTGCTCCTTCTTCCCCCTTTCTCTGCTGAGAGAAGATGTGCCAAGCAAGGTTGATCTTCCCTGGCTGAAACTGTGTACTTTGTCCTCTGAAGTTCTCTAGCCCCAGGGACTGTACCCGACTCCCTTCATCCCAGCAGCAGTTCTTACTTGGCAAGATGGTCTTGTATCGGTCCTTGGAGGCGTGGCCAGGGATGTCCAGGTCTTCGGGGCTGACAAAGTTTGAAGGGATCTTCTGGCAGGGGGAGGAAATGGGTGAGCAGCTGACTCCTAGCCTCCTTTTCTCTCCTTCTACCTTTTTCTAGAACAGCTGGACTCTGGCCATTCCTTCTTGACAATAGTATGTAGGCCTAGATGGGGTGGGGGCAGAAGGGGAAGCCTGGGGGCAGCCCCTCCCTCAGCCCTGAAGTTCTCTTTCCTAAGGGGCCCAAAGGGGAGACTTGCCCAGGGTGCCCGTGAGAGAATGGTTCCAGCTGGCTGCCTCTGATACAGAGGGCAGAGCGATTCAGAGGGGACCCCAATTTCTTACCAAGAATTCTTCTTCCAGTTGCTTGGGGCTGGGTGGCTGGCGCTGAAGGGCCCAGCGGGTAAGGGGGTGTCCAGCAGTGCGCAGAAAGTGTAGGGTGACCTCCCGGGGTGTGTTCACAGAGCAGATGGGTTCTACGGCCCCCAGGGACCGAACGTCCAGCATCAGAGCCACATTGGAGCCCCGCCTGCAGGCATAGCCCACCACTGCCTAGTGAGCACCCAATCATATTTGCTTTTCTTTTCTTTTTATCTTTTCTTTTAGAGATAGGGTCTCTCTCTGTTGCCCAGGTCTGGAGTGTGATGGCACTATTATGGCTCACAGCAGCCTCAAACTCCTGGGCTGAAGCAATCCTCCCACCTCAGCCTCCAGAGTAACTGGGACCACAGGTACATGCTACCACACCTGGCTAATTTAAGTTTTTTTTTTTTTTGGAGAGACAGTGTCTTGTTCTGTTGCTCAGGCTGGTTTTGAACTCCTGGGCTCAAGTGATCCTTCTGCCTTGGCTTCCCAAAGTGCTGGGATTATAGGCATGAGCCACTGTGCCTGACCATATTTGCTTTTCTTACAAGTATTACTGTTATAAGGCACCTCTGAGGGGGCCGCTCTTTATCTTTCCTTTAACCTGGTAGCCCAGTAAATTTAGGGTTTGGGCCCCTGCTGTGTGCCCTCTTTTTTTTTTTTTTTTTGAGAGAGAGGAGGTCTCACTATATTGCCTAGGCCGGTCTCTAATTCCTGGACTCAGGAGATCCTCTCACCTCAGCCTCCCAAAGTGCTGGGATTTTGGGCATGAGCTACCATGCCTGGCTCAGCCCTCTCCCTTTGTCAGCCAGAACAGGGCAGCCTTGAACTCAACTGCTCCTTCCAGCTGCCTGCCTCTTCCCACTCCCAGCCAGGCCCTGTGGCTCCGACATGCATCCAGCACCAAGAAGGCTGTGGGCCTTGCCTGGAATTTAGGGAGCAGGCTCATGGTTGATATGAAACTCTGTGCTCCAGACATGCAAAAGACATGCAAATGAGCACTACTGGTTTCCTTTCCAAATTGGAGTCAACAACTGAGGGCCCTCTGGACCCTGCTGTCAGAGCTGGAGGGGCAGATGGAAGGAAGGGAGGAGCGGAATGGGGGCTCAGGGCTCGGAAGACCCCTCCCCCAGGGAAGATCTCACCTCTCCTGCAGTCGCACATGCTTCTTGGCTGGCGTTTTTTCAGGCGGAGGCTGGGTCATGGCTGCCCCCAAAGACAAGGTCAACGGCTGTGCTCTGGAGCGCCCCCCATGGGCTTGGACCATGCTGAGGTGGGGTGCTGGGCCCAGGGGAGGCTCACTCAGCCATGAGGTCTGCCTGAAAGACAGGGCCCTCCGCTGCTGTTCTCTGGCCTGCCTGATTGGCCAGAAGGAGGCTCCCATGCCAGGCCAGGTTTGCACTCTGTTTTCACTGGGGCGTCTTCTGTTCCCCAAGAGGTGGCCTCATTTTCACTAAGGGAAGGACAGGATCTATTTGGTGGGACCCAGGGCAGAAGGCAGTCTCGGGGTAGAGTAACGGCAAGATAAAGGGTAGAGATTGTGGATGAAGATAGGAAAGAATCCAGAAGGAGGAAAAGAGAGAGGGGAGAGAGGCCACACACCAGAGTACACAGGGCTCTGAGCAGGTCCAAGTGGGAGAAGGCAAGGGAGGAAACAGAAAATATGTGTTCTCTAGGACGGAAGGGAGAAAGCACGCAGAAGCCATCTCTGAGCTAACCAGTGGGCCTTCCCCTGAACAGAGAATGGAGGCCTCCAGCAGTGTTGGAGCTGGTTGGGCAGCCAGGCAGGCGGGCTCCTGGACCCCAGCAGGGTCCTCTCCTAACTGCTGCTGTTCCACTCCCAGGTCTGTTTCTGGCTTCTGGGGTCTCTGTCCAGGGAGGTAGGCTGGAGGTGTTTCCTTCCTCCTCCTGCCCATCCCCCCGTCTCCCGCCTCTGTAACCGTCACAGGAAATGGCCTCACCAAGCCCTTGAACGACAGCGCATGGTGAGGCGACAGCTGGGGGCAAGACAGGAGGCATGGAGGTGGTGGGACCATCTCCTCTTGGGGGCAGTCCCTATCTCCCAGAGCCAGGGTCACAGTGGGCGAGGTGGCGGGGGTGTTGAATCACCAAGGCAGCAGGGACGGAGGTGAGGGGACAGAATGGGCCTGGCACAGGTGTGAGTGGTAGAGCGAGGGTCTCTGGTAGCAGAAAAGGTCCCTTCAGCCTCTGCTCTCCTTGTAGCTCCCTGTGGCTTCCCTGCTCACCCCCGTCTTGGGGACATCAGGTCTGTGAGCACCCATACCCCAGCCAGGCACTGTGGCGCCCCACTCGCCCTCCCGCACTCCCTCCTAGAGATGCCCTCTTATATCCCCGGAGTTCGCACCCCCCGGGGCCACAGGACTCCCAGTCCCCCCTTCAGATACTTACTGAAGCAGCTGTGGCCCCCAGGCTGCCTCTTGCCAGCTGTCTGTCTGTCTGTCGGTCTGTCTTTGAGGGCTGAGAAGGCTCCAGGAAGCCAGCTTCCTCCCTCCGCCCCTCCTTGCTGCCACCCACGCACACCCCAGCTGCATTCTGCCCTCCTGTGCCTGCTGCCGCTGCCACCAGGGGTCGGCTGCCTCCCGCCTGTGCCCTTCTGGGGCCCAAGGCCCCGTTCCCTGGGAATGGGTGAGGGGCCAGGCCTTCCCGACCATCCTGCTTTCCCCAGCTTCCAGACCCTCTCCCCTCTTCTGTGTTTCTCCTCTGGGTCTTTGTCACATCCAGCCGCTGCCTACTTGCTGGGCACAGCTCGCCTGACCCCCAGCTCTGTGCTGTCCCACAAAGAACCCAAGGCTCTCCTGCTCAACCTGACCTTGGCCGGAGGCTTATTTCTCCTTCTCTGCTTCTGCCCCACAGCCCTCTCCCTCAAGGCCCTCTCCCTCAAGGCCCTCTCCCTCAAAGCCCTTGCTGCTTCAAGCCTTGGGAATTCATGGCCAAGCACAGACCACATCTTCCCAGAGCAGATGTGGCACAGACTCGGGGTGGGGAAAAAGAAGAAGCAAGAATCCATGCCTCACAATGTGAAGGAAAGGGCCGGGGCCAGGCCAAAAAGGTCGTCTCCACGCCTGTGCCACGGCCCAGCTCTCCACAGCCCACGGCCTGAGTGTAGGCCAGCCCAGCAGGAAGCAGATAGCAGAGTCCACTTGTGGGAGGGAGTCCGAGGGGCTTCCCCTGGGCCCTCAGCCCCCTGCAGGCCTCCTCCCAGAACCCTGACATCTACTTAGAAGACTTACAGACAGTGGACAGTCTCTGGCCCTCACACCAGGGGACTCCCATGTCCTCTTCGCTGCTGGGGTGCCTGGATGCCTGGGACCTGAAGGGTGGCCCCCAAGTCCAAGACTCCTCTGCCCACTGCCCCTGCCTGACCTTGGCAGGCTCCTTGCGGGCCAGCAGCCCAGCCGGTTCATGCTCGCTGCACGCCTCCTTTTACCTTGTAACATTTCAAACGCCCTTCCCTTCCCGGCCCCCAACATGCACAATCCACGTCCTCTTTCTTCCTCCCACTTCCCTGATTCAGCTGTCAAATGGTGACAGCAAAAAAGAAATGAGGTACCCTAGGCACAGGGGGTAGGCATGCCGGAGGGGGTGGTCGGGAGGGGGCTGGCCTTCTGCTGGCCCCTTGAGGAGGAGGGTTGAGACGAAGAACAAGAACAGCCCCCAGAGGCTCAGAAGGCCTCCCAGCACCCGCCCTTGCTCTTGGCAGTGGGGACAGGGGCTGGCTCTTTTTTGAGCCCCTCCATGGCCAGCTGATCCTGGCACCTCCTTCCCTGCAGCCTGCGTTCCTCTCCGGAGTGGGTGGGTTTCCCTGAGGAGGAGGCCGATTAGGGCTGGGAAAGGGGTTGGTTCCCGTGCTCAGGACAGACTGGAGGGAAGCAGGAACCTGGGAATCCCTAACATGCTTGCGAGCAGTGACCTGGAGACTGGCCTCTGCCTCACCCCCCACACCAGTCAGTGTTTCCACTGGTGGGTAGTGGGGGCCCTGGGGACACAGGAGGGGGCAGGTGGGGGTTGGAAAGAGGGCCCGGCTCTGAGCCTATGCTGATTGTTATCAAGAACAGGAAGCTAGGACACCACAGGGGTGGGAGGAGGAAGCGGCAAAGCCCTCCCCACACAGGTCTGCCTGGTCCCCCCAAGTTTCCAGGGTCTGAGCCCTGTTGGCTGTGAGCCCACCCCTTTCCCCCACAGACTGAGGCCTAGCAGTGGCTGGACAGTTGGAAGCTGAGCTTCACAGCAAGGAAGCTGGGAGCCAGGCGATGGGGAAGATAGTTGGGGTTGGGGGTGGGGGTAGTGGCTGAGCATTAGGCAAGACCTCTCAAAGATCCCCTGTTCCCTCTGGGTGGATGTGGGGTAGAGGGGACAGTCACTCCTTGGCTCCTGCCCACTCCTTCTTCCCCTGTGCTTAGGGATACCTGGACATCCATGGAGGTGTGTGGCCAGAGCTCATGAGGGCTGAGGATGCCAACTGCAACCTCAGATGGCACAAGACATGCGTCATCGCCCTGCACCTCCCCCTCCCCAGCCTGGCCTGGTGACTTGGGACGCCCCTCTCTGCCCTCTCTGGAGTGGACTCTGTCCCATCCGGGCTGTTGGAAGGCTCCTGGGCGTGACTCCCTCTCCCCTCCAGAACCTTCCCACCCCTGGGGCCAAAAGGTCACAGCAGCTCTCAAACTTCCATCACTCGAATCGATTTGTGTTCCTGGGTTGAGATTTAGGTTCTAGCCACCCTCGACTCCAGAGAAAGTATAGTAATAGTTGGAAATCAGAAAGATCTATGCATAATGAGTCTAAACGTAGCTTATTAACTGTGTGACCTTGGGCAAATTGCTGAGTCTCAGGCTCCTCCTCAGCTTCCTCCCTCCACTGGGGGATGATCATAGCACCTCCCTTGTCAGCCCATGGTGTGCTTTGCTCACGGAGGAGAGGTTGGGAGTCAGCAGCCAGAGGACCGAGGAGCTGGGAGGAGCTGGCTGGGGAAGTGGGTCTGGGAGCAGCACAGGGTGAGGAGGTCATGGCTGCCGGGTCTCACCTCTCACCAGCCTCCCTCTTCCTCCTCACTGCTGACTTTCTCCCTGAACCCGGGCTGCCGGGGCACTTCCAGCCGAGCACTGAGGAAGTGCAGGAAGGAGTCACTCCCAGGGGTCTCCCAGCATCCCGGGTGGGACAGAGTCCACTCCAGGGAGGACAAAGAGGGGTGTCCCAAGCCACCAGGCCAGGCTGGGGAGGGACTGGTGCAGGGCATGATGCATCTTGAGAGTCAGCCTTGTCCCATCTGAGGCTGTGGTGGGTGCCCTCAGCCCTCCCAAGCTCTGGCCACACACGTCTTGACTCTCTTGTTTTCCCCTCTAGTGATTCCCAGTTCCAGGGCTGTGAGCCGCAGCTCCCTGCCCCAAGTGTCAGAAGCGCCCCCCTCCCTAGCCCAGGCCCGGGGAAAGGCGGACATTACATCTGGAATTCCCAGAAGTCGTTGCTCTTTGCCAGCCCCTAGGGAGTAGGGAGCTCCTTGCTGGGGAGCAGTTGGCCCCCAGAGGCAAAGGCTGCCACCTTTTAACAATCCAAGGGGAGGATCCTGGGGAGAGAGTCAGCTGCCTGGGGCCAGGACTGCTGGGTCCTGCACACTCCAGCTGCTCTGCCCCCTTCCTAGCTGCCCTCCTCGGCTCCTCTCTGGAGAAGCACTAGGATCTCGGGTGGCTGTTCCTCCATCCTTCCCACCCCCAAAACCCTAGGCCAGCCTGAGCTGGCTTGTTCTGCCCCAACTTTGTAGGCCCTGGCTTGTTCCTGTTTGTGTCGGGGAGACAGAAACACCAAGAACTGGATCTGGGAAGCCTCATCCCACAGGAAGCAGGGAGACAGCAGGGGAGACAGGGTGAGTGGGGCAGGGAAGTGCTGTTAAGGGCATGGGATAAGTCCAGGCTGACCAGAGTGACAACTGCACCCCTGTCTCAAAGCTTCAACCCTGTGCCGGGCCAGCTAGGGACCTCCTGCTACCTTTTGGATGAAGGGGAACATCCCATACCCTTTACCCCTGGCTGAGAGGACCAGTAATCCAGCCCTGCTTGGCACTGGGATGCCAGGGCCAGCCTGCCAGGAGGTCCAGGAAAGTGCCTGGTTCTTTGCCCGATGCTGGAACTCAGGACCCTGGCAGGAAGGTTTTAGGATAGAAGAGTCCCTCCCTCTCTCCCAAGCCCAGAGCCAGCCAAATGGACATCTATTCTACAATGTGGCCTTTTCTTCCCAGGGGCTCCCGTCTCCCTCCCGCTCTGTGTTGTCCCCGGACACCCACTCATACATCCATCCAGACAGGTGTGTACACCCTCATGGCCCACGTTTGCACAAATGCACATGCACAGTGTCAATCCACACATGACCAGCCCCTCCCCTGCTCTCCCATGGCCTGGTCAGGGGGACCTAGGCCTTCCCCCACTCCCTGGCCACCTTCCCCATAGTATAGGCAGCAGGGGGAGTGGGCGACTTGGCTGTCCTGAGCCACCCTGCCCCTCTGCTGCCCGGTGATTATCTTCCTCCAGTGTGGGGGCTGCCCAAGGCCAGGCTTCAGGCTGTGGGAGAGCAGGGAGGGGCCGGAAGAGCGCTGCCTGGGACAGCTGTAGGCCAGGCCAGTTCACATTTGGAAGCCAGCACTCCCAGACCTGCCCCTTGCTCTCTCCTCTGCCTCCTGGCTGGCTCTCTCCAGAAGGAATCAGTAAGGTGCCCTGAGACCTCAGGGTAGCGGGGGGGAACCCCAGGGGTTCTCTAGGGAGAGGATGTGGGTTTGTCTGTGGGGGTGGTTGCTGGGGAGGAGATACAGCCCTCGTGGTACCTTTTCTTTTGCTGAATGGAGACGTTTGGGCTGGGGAGGCTGCTGCTTATTTATTTTATTTTTTTTGAAACGGAGTCTCACTCTGTCACCAGGCTGGAGTGCAGTGGTGCCATCTCAGCTCACTGCAACCTCTAACTCCCTGGTTCTAGTGATTCTCCTGCCTCAGCCTCCCGAGTAGCTGGGATTACAGGCATGTGCCGCCACACCCAGCGAATTTTTTGTATTTTTAGTAGAGACGAGGTTTCACCATTTTGGCCAGGATGGTCTTGATCTCCTGACCTGGTGATCCGCCCACCTTGGCCTCCCAAAGTCCTGAGATTACAGGCATGAGCCACCATGCCCAGCTTATTTATCAGAACCTCTAGGGGCCCTGTCTCCCGGTCCCCTAGGCTGCGCTGGGGGCTGGCAGCTGTGCATCTTAGGGCCAGGTGCCTCCTCAAGGCTCCGTCCAAAGGACTAGCTATGGAGTCTGTGCTGGGCCCCGCAGACCGCTTTTTTGTGGGGACTCTTGAGCAGGTTCTGACACACTCTGCCTCTACCTAGGCATGTGTCCTGTGTGTCTCTTCTCCTTAGATTCCGAATTAGGGCGCCTCCACCCCGCCTCTCCCCTTCTTGGTTGCTGATCAAGGCTACCAGAAAGAACAGAGTGAGATGTCCCCAGGTGAGGTGGGATGAGGGTGGGATGAGAAGGTACGATGTTTCCGCCACCTCTTGGCCAGACTGGGACCTCTTCCCTTTCACATCAGTTTCCCTGGTTGCAACCTTCCCCCGCCCGCCGCCCCCGCCTTTCAAAAGAGCACATATGCGCAGGCGCACACACGGCCTGGAAAATCTCCTGAGTCTGCAGTGCTGAGTTTCCAGGCCCCCATCCAGGGGCCGGGTGGGCGGCTCTGAGGTTTGGGGCTAGGTGGAGCGGGGGAGGAGCAAGCAGCCCCTGGCTGTGGCCTGAGCAGGGAGCTGGGCTGAGCTGGTCTTGGAGGCAGGCTTGTCCTCCCTGCTGGGGCAGGCCCAGGAGAATCCAGCTACCACAGAGGCTGCGTTGGTGTTCAGACTTCTATACCTGTGTGTTTTCCACACATCCCCTCTCCCCACTACCTGAGTTTGTTCTGAGTCCTGGGCTTCACTCCCAGGGCCCAAAGCCTTTTCTTCCATTCTCACTCCTCATCCTCAGCTGTCTGTAGGTGGGAGCACCTGGGTGAGCAGCTCGGGGTGACTCAAGGGCTCTAGTCAGGAGTAAAGCAAAGCCCCAAGTTCATTATCTTTGAGGCCAGGCCTCAGGCAGGCTTGCCTGGGTTCCAGCAGTGCCCAAAGCCAGGTGGGGGTTGGGAGGGGCAGGGGAACCAGGATGGACGCTGCTGATTCGGGGAAAAGAAGTGGGGGAAGGCAAGCAAAAGTCCCAGGTACTTGAATTGCTCCTCAGAGGATTCCCAGCTGAGAGGACCCCAATTTGGGAGGTTTGGAGCAGGGTCTGCCATCTCTGTTCTATGGAGTCCGAGGTCCCAGGTTCAAGCCCAGCTTTTCTGTTCAGACACTTGGGCTCTTCCCCTCTCTGGTTATCAGCTTCCTCATCTGGCAGTGATGAGGTGGGACCAGAGGAGGCCCAAGGGCCAGGTGGGCTCTAGATCTACAATTGCTGTGACTCAGCAGCCAAAGTATGTGCTTCTGTCCACAAGAGCGTGGTACCACATGGATATACAAAAGGAGACACACACTCAGCTGGCCATCCACCTAGGACACAGGAACACACATCCACATGGTGTCACCAAGACCACACGCACCCCCACAGAAACACTATCTATCTCGCACTCGGTGATGGAGTCAACAGACACTGTGCCCCTCCTCCAGAGCCAAGGAGTGGGACAGCCAGCTGCAAATGTGTCCATTTGCAGAGCCACCTCTCCTCTTGGTCTTCCCCAAGAGCACAGGACACTTTCCTCCCTGGAGAGCTGAGGGCTGGGAGTGGGCTACAGGTAGGGGAGGCATTAAGGAAGGAGACCACTACTACTTCTGCTGCCCTCCCTCCTCCCCCTCACCTTGCCTAGTTCACAAGACAGGAGGAAAGAGAGAAAGCAAAAAGTTGGAAAGAAACAGAAGTTAAGTAGCCAGACAACCTTAGCACCACCACCCGGCCCTAGGAGTTAAAAAAGTAATAATAATAATATCAACCCCTGACCTAAACTACTTGTGTTATCTGTGAATTCCAGACATTGTATGAAAAAGCACTGCAAAACTTTCTGTTCCGTTAGCTGATACATGTAGCCCCCAGTCACGTTCCCCACGCTTGCTCAATTTATCACGACCCTTTCACGTGGACCCCTTAGAGTTGTAAGCCTTTAAAAAGGCCAAGAATTTCTTTTTCAGGGAGCTCGGCTCTTAAGACGCAAGTCGGCTGACGCTCCCGGCTGAATAAACCTCTTCTTTCTTTTTTTTTTGTTTTGAGACAGAGTCTCACTCTATCACCCAGGCTGGAGTGCGGTGGCACGATCTCGGCTCACTGCAAGCTCCGCCTCCCGGGTTCACGCCATTCTCCTGCCTCAGCCTCCCTAGTAGCTGGGATTACAGGCACCTACCACCATGCCTGGCTAATTTTTGTATTTTTAGTAGAGACGGGGTTTCACCATAATAGCCAGGATGGTCTCGGTCTCCTGACCTCGTGACCCGCCCGCCTCGGGCTCCCAAAGTGCTGGGATTACAGGCGTGAGCCACTGTGCCCGGCCTCTTCCTTCTTTAATCTGGTGTCTGAGGAGTTTTGTCTGTGGCTCGTCCTGCTACAGCATCAGGAAGAGGTGGGCTTGTCTGCAGCCTGAGAGTCACAATCCCTTTCCACCTTCTGGGCCTGGAGCCAGCCTCCGCCTCTCTCCCTTCAAGAGCCTTGCCAAGGCTGGAGAGAGCGGGGGTCAGGCTCTGGGGCTAAGAGGCAGCCCCTTGCTTTTGCTGCCTGCTGCCTGCTGCCTGCTTGTGCTTGAAACTCTGCCCTTCCCACCCATGCCCGCCTTCCTTGCCTGCCAGCAAGCAAGGCAAGGTGGGCTAGGGGACTGGCTCCTCCCCTTGCTGCCTCCCAACTTTACTCTGCAGCTATCAGGATGAGGCTCCCAATCCTGTTCGCTGCCCTGCTCTGGTTCCGGGGTTTTCTGGCAGAGGTAAGGTGGGCATGGGGGAGCAGGCCAGCGGGTGGGGTCCCCGCTCTCCAGGGCACATCCAGATCTCCCAGCGCTCCTCGGGACCCCACAGCTGGTCTGCATTAGGCGAGGAGAGGCCACTCCCTTTCCACCAGGGCCAGCACGTGGCGCAGCGAGCGAGAACAGATTGCTCCAGCCTGCCTGGAGAACAGATGCGCCATGGGCATGCTTCCGGGAGATGCCCCTTGGCCATGTGTGGGGCTGTCAGACACGGCAACAGAGCCTTCTCTTGGATCCTGGCCCTGCCCCACCACCCAAAGTGCTGGGATTACAGGCGTGAGCCACCGCACCCGGCCTCTTCCTTCTTTAATCTGGTGTCTGAGGAGTTTTGTCTGCGGCTCGTCCTGCTACAGCATCAGGAAGAGGTGGGCTTGTCTGCAGCCTGAGAGTCACAATCCCCTTCCACCTTCCACCAGTAGCCTTCCCAGAGGCCTCTGTCCATTTCCCCAACTCTCTGCCTCCTTTCTTCCTGCAGGAGGAAGCATGCCTCTCCCTGGAAGGGAGTCCAGGCAGGGAGAGTGCAGGTAGGTGTCTTCAGCGGGGGAGGGAGTTCTGGGGGTGAAGAGTCGGGGGTGTGAGGCCAATTTTTCCACACCAGACCCTGGCTCTACCCTGGCTTTTTCTTTTTTTTGGCCTTCCATTCTTCTTTAAGGCAGAAAGGCTGTTAGTGGGTTCTGAAAGCACCTCCTTTTCCCCAGGCCCACCCCTGAACGTGAACATCACCAGCCAGGGGAGACCTACTAGCCTCTTTCTGAGCTGGGCAGCCCCGGGGCCAGGCAGGTTCACCCATGCCCTCCGCCTCACATGTCTGAGCCCCCTCAGCTCTCCTGAAGGGCAGCAGCTCCAGGCCCACACCAATGCATCCAGCTTTAAGTTCCAAGATCTGGTGTCAGGGGGTCGCTACCAGCTGGAAGTGACTGCCCTGCGACCCTGTGGGCAGAATGTCACCATCACCCTCACTGCTCGCACTGTATGAGGGCTGCAGGCTGAAGGGGCGGGGTTGTTGCCTGGGGTTGGGGCAGGAGGTGGCTGCCCTGGAGTGCTGGCAGGGAGCGCAACTTCTCTGTAGATCATGTCTAGTACAGTGACCTATTTAGGAGCACTACAGGCAGAGCGGTGATGCCCCTGTGGCACTGACCTTGGTGTCTCTGTCTTCCGCTGATGCAGCCCCGTCAACTGTCCATGGACTGCAGCTCCACATTCTGGGAGCCCATCCAGCCTGGAGGCCTCATGGGGTGATGCCCCCGGGAAGCAGGATGGCTACTGCCTTCTCCTCTACCACCTAGAATCCCAGACATTGGCACATAATATCTCCATGCCCCTGGGCACCCTGTCCTACAATTTTGGCAACCTCTTGCCAGGTATTGAGTATATTTTGGAAGTTAACACCTGGGCTGGCAACCTCCAAGCAACAACCAGCCTCCATCAGTGGACAGGTAAGGTGGGCACTTGGGCAAGGCCCCGGGTGGCAGCCAATCTGGGAGTGGTGGGAATGGTGGAAAGTCCAGAGCCTCATAGCCAGCCATGTTCCAATGTGCCTGGGCTTCTGTGCTCCCTAGTGCCAGGGTCCCTGCCAGCATCCTGCTCCAGGGGCCTTTCTTGAGCCTGACATTTTCTCTCCATCCTTCCTCCAGCCCCTGTGTCTCCAGATCACCTGGTACTGCATACCCTGGGCACCAGTGCCTTGCAAGCCTCCTGGAACGGCTCCAAGGGGGCTGCCTGGCTCCACTTGGTGCTCACAGACCTCCTAGGTGGCACCAATCTGACTGCAGTATTCAGACGGGGAGTCTCCCATCACACCTCCCTTCACCTGTCTCAGGGCCCCCCCTATGAGCTGACGCTCAGTGCTGCTGCCAGGCCCCATCGGGCAGTGGGGCCCAATGCCACAGAGTGGACCTGTGAGTGCCTGGGGGTAAAGGAGACACAGCTGAGACTTCCCATCTCTTCTCCGTGGGTCAAGTAGCCAGGATACAACTGGCGGGGCGGGGGGGTGTCTTTGGAGGCTCAGAGGGAGTGTGCCTCCAGTTGGCTGGTGGTGGGTACCTATCTGAGGGGATGATGGTGGTGACAGTAGTTATCAATTGAACCCTTCTGTGTGCTGGACTCTGTGCTAAGCTGGACTCTGGTTTTGTTTTGTTTTGTTTTGTTTTTGTTTCTGTTTTTTGAGACAAAGTCTCACTCTGTTGCCAGGCTGGAGTGCAGTGGCATGATCTCGGCTCACTGCAACCTCCACCTCCTGGGTTCAAGTGATTCTCCTGCCTCAGCCTCCCGAGTAGCTGGGATTACAGGCACGCACCACCACACCCAGCTAATTTTTGTATTTTTAGTAGAGACGGGGTTTCACCATGTTGGCCAGGATGGTCTCGATCTCTTGACCTCGTGATCTGCCCGCCTCGGCCTCCCAAAGTGCTGGGATTGCAGGCGTGCAGCACTGCACCCGGCCTGTGCTAAGCACCTTCTGTGTATTGTTTCATTGAATCCTCAGAACAGCCCTATGTAAGTCATATTATCCCCATTTTATGGCGGAGGGAGCTGAGGTTCAGAGAGAGGAAACCCAACCTTTCCTGCGTAGCCTGTGCGTGGGTGAGCTGACCTGAACCTGGGTTGGATGCCTGCAGAGCCCATGTAGGCTTTGCCATGGCTTCACTGACTTTTTACTTAGAGAAGCCCCATTGTGCAGTGGTTGAGGGCAGACAAACCAGACTGCCGTGTTCTGAGTTTTGTTTCTGCCACCCAGTGGCTATGCATCTCTGGACAAGTGCTTACCCTCTTTCTGTGTTAGTTTCCACATGTGGTATTCAGAACCATGCTGGCAGGTGCACATTTAATCACTTGATGTGTTTATTTCTGTTATTGTCCGTGGCCAGATGGTAGCAGCCAGATGCCGGTGTTCATCCAGAATGTGGCAAGTGGTGGCCGCTAACACTGGGACAAGGCGTGGCCCAGTGCATAGGGAATGAAGCCGGCACAGAACCAGTGGGATTTCTCCCCTCCGCTGTTTAGGTCTTCCTGCACATATTTCTTTATTTTCTCCACAGATACCTCTGCCCCCCCTCGACCTGGTTTGACTCCCCTGCCCGCCAAGCTCTGGGCAAGCTGGAAGGTAGGGCCAGGTGTGCAGGATGACTTCCTGCTGAAGTTAAGTGGGCCAGTGGAGAAGAATATCACTCTAGGCCCTGAGGCCCACAATGTCACATTCCCAGGGCCCCTGCCCACTGGGCACTATGCTCTGGAGCTGAAGGTCCTAGCGGGGCCATATGACGCCTGGGCCCAGGCCAGTGCCTGGCTGGACGGTGAGTCCCCGCTGGTAGGGAGCAGGGCAGTATCCTGCCCAGGGGCATCTGCATCCAGAGGCAGGTGAGGTCTCACTCTCTGGGGCCTGTCTCGCCTCCAGATTCCGCAGCCAAGTCCAGACAAGGCAGTGGTGCCAAGCGGCAGCTGGATGGGCTGGAGGCCTCCAAGGAGCCCGGGAGACGGGCCCTGCTCTACACAGAGGGAAACCCGGGCCTCCTTGGAAACATCTCTGTGCCACCTGGTGCCACCCACATCACCTTCTATGGGCCAGTGCCTGGGGCCCGCTACTGTGTGGACATTGCCTCATCTCTGGGAATCATCACTTACAGCCTCATGGGCCACAAAAGTGAGTGCCAGCCACTGTGTTCCCTGGCCCTGCAGCTGGAAGGCCTTGCCAGGGGAGGGAGGTCAGAGCAGGAGAGAGACTCAGAAGAGCTGGGCAGGGGGCACCAAAGGGCTGCAGGCAGTGTATGGACCCCTCACCAAACTGCCCTTCTCTTCAGGTCCCCTGGCACCACAGTCCCTGGAGGTTATCAGCAGGGGTGGCCCCTCTGACCTGGCCATTGTCTGGGCCCCAGCACCAGGACAGCGGGAAGGCTACAGGGTCGCTTGGCACCAGGAGGGCAGCCAGAGGTCACCGGGCAGTCTTGTTGACTTGGGCCCGGACAATTCCAGCCTGACTCTGAGGAGTCTGGTGCCCGGCTCCTCCTATGCCATGTCAGTGTGGGCCTGGGCAGAGAACCTTGGCTCTAGCATCCAGAAGATCCACCCCTGTACTTGTGAGTTCCTGGCTGCAGCCTGTGAGAGGCCAGCCCCAGGTGGTGGGCTGGGGGACTGGCATCCTCTACTCTGCACTTCTGTGTGCCATATATATATATGTTTATATATCTATAATTATATATTATATATAATTATATATTATATATAATATAATTATATCTATAATTATATATTATATATAATATAATTATATATCTATAATTATATATTATATATAATATATATTATATATAATATATAATTATATATAATTTATATAATATAATATATAATATATAATTATATATAATTATATAATATAATATATAATATATAATTATATATAATTTATATAATATAATATATAATATATAATTATATATATTTATATAATATAATTATATATAATATATAATTATATATAATTTATATAATATAATTATATATAATATATAATTATATATAATTTATATAATATAATTATATATAATTATATATTATATATAATTTATATAATATAATTATATATAATATATAATTATATATAATATATAATTATATATAATTATATATAATATATAATTATATATAATTTATATAATATAATTATATATTATATATATTATATATTATATATAATATTATATATAATTATAGATATATAAACATATATATATATTTTGAGATGGAATCTCGCTGTGTCACCCAGGCTGGAGTGCAGTGGTGGGATCTTGGCACACTGCAACCTTTAACCCCTGGGTTCAAGTGATTCTCTTGCCTCAGCCTCCCGAGTAGCTGGAATTACAGGCGCCTGCCACCTTGCCTGGCTAATTTTTGTATTTTTATTTTATTTTTTTAGTAGAGATGGGGTTTCACCATGTTGGCTAGGCTGATCTTGAACTTCTGACCTCAAACAGTCTGTTCACCTCGGCCTCCCAAAGTGCTGGGATTACAGGCATGAGCCACTGTGGCTGGACTGTGTGCCATATATATATATATATATATATATTTTTTTTTTTTTTTTTTTTTTTTTTTCCAAGACGGAGTTGCTCTATCACCCAGGCTGGAGTGCAGTGGCATGATCTCAGCTCATTGCAACCTCCGCCTCCAAGGTTCAAGCAATTCTCCTGCCTCAGCCTCCCGAGTAGCTGGGGTTACAGGTGCCTGCTACCACACATGGCTAATTTTTGTATTTTTAGTAGAGATGGGGTTTCACCATGTTGGCCAAGCTGGTCTCGAATTCCTGACCTCATGATCTGCCCACTTCAGCCTCCCAAAGTGCTGGGATTACAGGCGTGAGCCATCGTGCCCGGCCTTGTGTGCCATATTCTTGACTCAGAAGGCCATGAGTACAAGATGAGGCCTTTCATGAATCTATTTGCAAGCAATTTCTACCTCCTTCCATCTGGTTAGCTATATACCCACCATCTATCCACTGTCCATCCATCCATCTATCCATCCACCATCCATCCATCCATCCCACAATTATTTAATGAATGACTCCCATTTTCTTGGCATGAAACCAGTTGCTGAGGCCAAAAATGATGAATAGTCCTCAGTGCCTCAGGAAGACAAGTAAACAGATGGCATATGTGTGTGTGTGTGTGTGTGTGTGTGTGTATATATGATTTTATATATCATAATACCTGTTAATGCACTAATTGGAATGTGCATAATGTATTAGCTTGAACCATATGAAACTCCATTCCTATTGGTTAAAATGGCTGAATCTCAGGAATTTTATGTGGTTCAGTCTAATCTTCTAGGACTCACAGAAGGGACACCTGCTTAAAAAGTCAGAGGAGGTTTCCCGGAGAAGAGTGAGCTGAGTGAGAGCAGGCTGGTGGGGGGCAGGGTGGGGTCCTGCCCAGGGTCATCTGCTGGGGCTGGGGAGGATGGGTGGAGAGGACCTTAGCAGGAGGCTAAGTGTGCACCAAGGTCCTCAGGCCAGAGACAGACTGGACGGGAACTGAACGTCAGCAGGTGAGCTGGAGACCGGGGCCCTAAGAGGTGTGACAGGGTTGGCGCCATGCCCTCAAGGGGCGGACAGTCAGGGAGGAAGCGGGGCAGCAGGTGTCTGGGCAAGCATCTGTTTAAGAGGGTTTCCTGGGAAGGAAAGGAGGGTGGCCTTTGAGCCCTGTGGAAGTGGGGGTTTTAGGTGGGGAGGGCTGGGAGCTTGCCTGGAGACTGAGGAGATGGGTGTAGCTCATGGGGAGGAGAGGCAGGGAATTCAGGTGACTCCACATCTGTTTCTTCCTTGTCCTTCCCCCAGTCCCTGCTCCTCCTGCCAACTTGAGCCTGAACCTTGCCACCCAGCCTCCTGCCCTGAAGGCTTCCTGGAGTCCCCCACCAGTGGGGGAGGGATGGCTTCCAGGTGCAGCTTTATAGCCTGAGGCCTCTGACTCTGGAAAGGGCGGACACTCTGGCCGCAGAGGTCCAGAACTTCTCCTGGGCCTAGCTGTCACCGGGCACTGAGTTCCTGGTGCAGCTGACCACCCTGCGGGGGCTGGATCAGAGCAGCAGCACCAACGCCACAGGCTGGACACATGAGTGCCTTCTGATGGCCCTCCCCTACCTTGCTCCTTGGATTCCCAGGGGGCTGCATGTCCCCTTGGCCTCTGTGGTCTTCAGGCAGGCAGCTGGGCTGATGGTGGGGCATGTATCAGCTTAGGGTTGTTCCCTCGGTCCCTAGGCACTAGGTAACCCCACTCCCCTCACTGGGACTCCCCCAGGGCCCTGGCCCTTTAGGCCTTCTAGAAGGTGGGCAGATCCTTCTTAGAAGGCGTTTGCTCACTTGTACGGCGGCACTGGGCATGATATTCCTCATGCTCTCTCATGGCTGGCAGTAGGGAGGTGGGTGGTAGTGGGCCACAAGTGGTTAATCATAACAATAGCAAGGCTGGGCGCAGTGGCTCACGCCTGTAATCCCAGCACTTTGGAAGGCAGAGGCGGGTGGATCACTTGAGATCAGGAGTTTGAGACTAGCCTGGCCAACATGGTGAAACCCCATCTCTACTAAAAATACAAAAATTAGCTTGAGGTAGAGGTTGCAGAGCTGAGATTGCACCATTGCACTCCAGCCTGGGTGACAGAGTGAGACCCCCTCTCAAAGAAAAAAAAATCATAACAGCAATAGCTAGCGTTTACTGGGCACTCAGCCAGGTCTTCTACCTGTGTGCTCTCATTAAGTCTCATAACACCAAGCCTAGGACGTAGTTACTATGGTTTTCTCTGTTTCACAGATGAGGAGACTGAGGCAGAGAGACAGAAAATAACTTGCGCCAGGTTCCTCAGCACAGTGGGGAGTTGGGATTGAAGCAGGCAGTGTGACCAGCTCCATGCTCCTTGCCTTTACTCAAGTGCAGGACACACAGTGAGGTTTTCTCCTACCCGGAAGCCCTGGGGGCCTGTAGAGTTGGTTTGGGAAGCCCCTCTCATGAGGCCTGAGTCTTCCTGCTCTTTCTGCCTGCGGAGCCCTTGGTGGAGCTGAGGGATAGATGGGCCTCCCCACCCTGAGCGCATCCCTCTCCAATGTGGTGGCTCCTTCTACCCCTACCCTGGGCCTCCCCTCCCAGCCTCCTCCTGCCCCTGTCACTGTTGTCTGGATCTTGCCTGGAGTACAGGCTGGGAGGGAGCTGGAAGGAGGTCACCCTGGAAGTCAGGAGACCTGGGTTCTAGCTGGGGCTCAGCCCCTAGAGCAAACCTTGGCCCTCTTTGAGCCTCAGTGTCCCCATTTATAAAGAAGTGTTGACTTTTGGGCCAGGCTCATGTGGCTCCTGAGTTCAAGTGAGTTCAAGCTCTGAGGGTGGAGGGGTGCTGCCTGGGCCCCCAGATACCTGCCTGTCCATCCACATAAGGGCCTTTTTTTTTTTTTTTTTTTTTTTGAGACAGAGTCTCCCTCTGTCTCCCAGGCTGGAGTGCAGTGGCATGATCTTAACTCACTGCAACCTCTGCCTCCCAGGTTCAAGTCATTTTCCTGCCTCAGCCTCTGGAGTAACTAGAATTACAGGCACCTGCCACCACGTGCGGCTAATTTTTGTATTTTTAGTAGAGTTGGGGTTTCGCCATGTTGGCCAGGCTGGTCTCGAACTCCTGACCTCAAGTGATCCACCCACCTCAGCCTCCCAAAGTGCTCGGATTACAGGCATGAGCCACCACACGTGGCTGCACATAAGGGTCTTTTTTTTTTTTTTTTTTTTTTGAGCTGGAGTGTCACTCTGTTGCCCAGGCTGGAGTGCAGTGGCGCGATCTTGGCTCACTGCAACCTCTGCCTCCGGGTTCAAGCAATTCTTCTGCCTCAGCCTCCTGAGTAATTGGGATTACAGGTGCCCACCACCATGCCCAGCTAATTTTTGTATTTTCAGTAGAGACAGGGTTTCACCATATTGGCCAGGCTGGTCTTGAACTCCTGACCTCAGGTGATCCACCCGCCTCGGCCTCCCAAAGTGCTGGGATTACAGGCATGAGCCACCGCACCCGGCCATAAGGGTCTTTAAAAGCTCCTTTGTGCAGGGGCTGGGAGAAGGGACACAGTTTAACACTCATGCTGCCCAGCCTAGCTCTGCCTTGAGAGGGGTGGGATGTGGCGAGAGTAAGTGATTAGTTCATCTGTTCAACTCAGGCTTAGCCTGGACTCTGCTGCCTGGGGTCAGTGGCAGGCCCTGCTTTCCAGTGGAATCCTGGGCTCACAGGATGCCCTGAAATGGTGTCTCTAGCTCCTGGGTGTTTCTTGATAGGGCCAAGGATGGAGGGAGAAATTGGGGTTCTTTTGGAGAGGGGGGAGCCAGAGATTTAGTGTAGATCGTTTCTCCCTTTTCTCCACACCCTCCACATCTTGCTCTCCTCGCAGGCCCGCTTGCCCCTCCTCTGGTAAATGTGACGAGTGAAGGTCCCACCCAGCTCTGGGCATCCTGGGTCCATGCCCCCAGGGGCCGAGACAGCTACCCGGTGACCCTGTACCGGGCAGGCACCAGCGCCGTCGGAGCCAAGGTGGCCAGCACAAGCTTTTCAAGTCTGACTCCAGGCACGAAGTACAAGGTGGAGGTTGTCACGCAGGCTGGGCCCCACCACATTGCAGCAGCCAACACCTCTGGCTGGACCCATGAGGCATGGGGAAGGCAGCGATGCAGGAGAGGTGAGCAAGGCTGCCTCAGAGAGCCCCGGGTCTTCCCTCAGTGGTGCCCCCTTTAGCCCATTTTCCATCTCCACACCCCAGGGCCCTGCAGGGGTCAGCAGGCCCTGGCATCAAGCATGGGGCTCTGAGGACTGGGGCTGGCGGCCTGGCTGATTGTTCTTCCTCCCTCCTTCCCTCCTTCTGTAGCCCTGCACACACCCAGTGAGTTGGTGTCCATGCATGCGAGCACCGCTGTGGTCAACCTGGCCTGGGCCAGCAGCCCCTTGGGGCAGGGGATGTGCTACACCCAACTCTCAGAGGCGGGGCACCTCTCCTGGGAGCACCCTCTGGTGCCAGGCCAAGCCCACCTCATCCTGAGGGGCCTCACACCTGGATGCAACCTCTCCCTGTCAGTGCTGTGCCAGGCAGGGCCGCTGCAGGCGTCCACTCAGCGCGTGGTACTGCTTGTTGGTATGCTGACGTCAGCGGCGGGGAGGACGAAGGTGCCCTGAGATGCAGGTCTGATTCAGGTGGGCAGCACTGCCCGCTCGACTCTGAGCCACTGCTCTCTCCAGATGGATGCTGCACCCACTCTGCTCGGGGTTATGCCCCTTACGCTTCTCCAGGTGGGCAGTCATGTCCAAAGGAGATGTTTTTCCGCCTGGCTGATATCCCTTTCCATGGGCATAAATGTCCAGTCCCTCTATGCCTGCGGATTTCGAGAGCCCTTCACCCAGAAGCCCTGCTCATGGGGGTGCACTGACCCCCACCCAATGCAGAGCCTTTTGATTCCCACAGAGCCTGGCCCTGTGGAAGATGTGCAGTGCCAGCCTGAGGCCACCTTCCTGGCCCTGAACTGGACAGTGCCCGCCAGGGATGTGGGCACCTGTCTGGTGGTGGCAGAGCAGCTGGTGGCAGGAGGGAATGCTCACCTTGTGTTCCAGGCCGACACCTCCAAAAATGCAGTCCTGTTGCCCAACCTGGTGCCTGTCACTTCCTATCACCTCAGCCTCGCTGTGCTGGGCAGGAACGGTCTGTGGAGTCGGGTGGTCACTCTGGCATGTTCCACATCTGCCGAGGGTAGGCAGCTTCTGCTGCCTCTGAGGCCCCCTCAGTTCCGTGTCTTCCTGGGGATGTCACTCCTCTAGTCCTGGCTGCCTGGGTTTTTCTCTGTTCCCCAGGGCCCAGCCCTTTCCTCTGGCCCTGATCTTGCTAGTTTGATACCATAGTTTTGAGCCTTGTGTCCTGGTACCCTAGCCCAGGAACCTTCTAGTCCTTATTTAATTATATCCATTAGCCCAAAGTGTTGGGATTACAGGCGTGAGCCACTGCACCCAGCCTTGGTTCGTTAGCCCCAGGCACTGGGGCTATGAAGGCATGGTCCCTGCCCTTGAAGATGGGTTGCTAGGCACCCAGTCAGGTCCTCACTCTCCTCTCCATCCCCAGCCTGGCATCCCCCAGCGTTAGCCCCGGCCCCTGAGCTGGAGCCTGGGACAGAAATGGGAGTGATGATCCCGCGGGGTATGTTTGGCAAGGATGATGGGCAGATCCAGTGGTACGGCATCATTGCCACCACCAACATGTCACATGAGTCCTGGGCCTAGGAGGGGATGGGGAGACCCTAGCCGTGGCATGGAGTAGGTGATGATGGGGGTTAAGATGGGGACTGAGACTGGTAAGATGAAATATGTGAGGCTGGTGTCAGTCTCGGAGCAGAAAGGGGGACCAGAACGTTCTGGAGGAGAGTGCTAATATGAATGGTGGGTACACGATAGAGAGATAGGGTAGCCCCTCTGTGGCAGGAAGAGAGGCCTCGGCCCCACTGCCCACCCTGCTCTTCCCGTTCCCCACTCCTCTCAGTGCCTCAGCCTTCCTGGGAAGCCATCAACCACATGTGGCATGACCACTACTACAGAGGACATGACTCCTACCTGGCCATCCTGCTCCCCAACCCCTTCTACCCGGATCCCTGGGCTGTGCCGAGATCCTGGACAGTGCCTGTGGGTACAGAGGACTGTGGCCACACCAAAGAGATATGCAACGGGCAGCTCAAGCTAGGTTCCCAGTATAGGCGAGCACTAAGGCTGAAGGGAGTGATGAAACTTACAAGTTTCATTTGTGGTTCGTAAAGAAACAAGAGATCTGGACTGACTTATAAACAGAATGCATGTGATGGTCCATTAAGTCATTTTGACTGAGCTTCCTGGCAGACAAGGCAAAAACCTGAACACCCATCTGTTACACGGTTCTTTTTTCAAAAAGGAAAGTGGAGTGTGTTGTTTCAGCTTGCCAGGGCAGTTCCCAGGATATCCAGGTACTTATTTTTTTCTTTTTCTTTTTTTATTCTCCTTTCCTTTTCTTTTTTTTGTTTTTGAGGCAGTCTTATTCTGTCACCCAGGCTGGAGCGCAGTGGCTGATCTCGGCTCACTGCAACCTCTGCCTCTCAGGTTCAAGCGATTCTCCTGCCTCGGCCTCCCGACTAGCTGAGACCACAGACACAGGTCAACATGCCCAGCTAATTTTTGTATTTTTAATAGAGACAGGGTTTCACCATGTTGGCCAGGCTGGTCTCCAACTCCTGACCTCAGGTGATCCGCCTGCCTCGGCTTCTCAAAGTGCTGGGATTACAGGGGTGAGCCACTGTGCCAGGCTCAGGTACCTATTTCTAGAGCTTCCTCTTACTGTCAGGCACAGAAGATGGGGCTTGCTGTGAGATGGCAGATAGCATGACACGTAACCTCTGCCAAGCTTGCCCAGCCTGCCTTATTTTGTTATGGTTCTGTTCTGTTTTGTTTTAGGCTTTTAGCAACCTGTGGCTGTGCTTTTTAGCTTCTGTCTCTAGTAATAAGCAGACGAGGGATGAGGAAGGGGCTTTACTGGCCCAACCAGAAATGGAAACTAAGAACCCATGACTGCCTCTTCTCTCCCCCGGACACCCCTGCCAGGGAGCGCTTGCTATCTGAGTGTCTATTGCTCGCGACCCAGATTGCTGGGAGGGACTTCACCTTATTTGCCTGCCCTTCCCCAACAAAAGGTCCTGTTTCTCTGCCCAGGTTCAGCGTTGCAGCCTTTACCAGGTACAGCCCTCCTGAGACCATTAACTCCTTCTCAGCCTTCTCGGGTAGGGTGGGCACTGGGCAAGGGCTCCAGCTGGGCCCTGGAGATGGGGAGGAGAGCTGGGAACCCTCTTGTGTGGCTCATCACCAACCAGTAGCAGGAGGGACTGAGCTTAGACTACTGGGATAACAAGTCCTGCCGAGCAGAGTGGGGAGACCCAGAGCCAGCGACGAAGGTGCTCTTGGCACCAGACTCGGCCTGGGCGAACTGAGAGTGCAGGCAGGAGAGTCTGAGGCATTGCGGTGGTCTGCTGCTGTCCACACTCACGCTGCCCCTCTATACCCGGATGCTCCCAGGCCATCCGGGCTCTAGAACAGCTCTGACCAATAGAAATGTAAGGCAAGCCACATAAGTAATTTAAAATGTCTTTTAAAAACTACATTGAAAAGGTCAAAAGAAACAGGTGAAATTAATTTTAGTGACTTTTTATTTAAACCAAAATATCTAAAATATCAACAGGTGACCCATTAAAAACACTTTTTTTTAATGTTTTTATTTTTTTGAGACAGAGTCTTTCTCTGTTGCCCAGGCTGGAATGCAGTGGCATGATCTCGGTTCACTGCAACCTCTGCCTCCCAGGTTCAAGTGATTCTCCTGCCTCAGCCTCCTGAGTAGCTGGAATTACAGGCTAATTTTTGTATTTTTTAGTAGAGACAGGGTTTCACCGTGTTGGCCAGGCTGGTCTTGAATTCCTGACCTCAAGTGATTCACCTGCCTTGGCCTCTCAAAGTGTTGGCATTACAGGTGTGAGAAACTGCAGCTGGCCAAAAACACTTCTAATGAGATATTTTACATTCTTTTCTTTCTTACTATGTCTTTGAAATCTGGTGTGTATTTTACACTTACAGCAAATCATAAGTTGGAATTGCCACATTTCAAATGTTCGGTAGCTGCCGTATAGGACAGTGCGGTTCTAGAAAGTCCAGGAAACCAGGCCTCTGCCCTCTTTCTTTTCTTTTGATGGTGTCAGGGAAGGGAGGTGGGGTCTTTGGGGCATCCTGAGGAGCTGGGTGCAGGGAGGGGTTGCTGGGTGTTCCCAGTTCCCATCCAGATGTTCCCCCCAGGCAGCCATCTCTGGCCTCAGTTTGATATCTGGGACTACTAGTGTAGATGGGGTTTGTCACTGTACCCTTCACCCAGAGGGTCCCAGGTCTAGCAGAGCTTGGCATGACCTCGCAGGGTTTGTGGGACAAGGCTGCTGTGTTCCACTCTTCCCTTCTCTCCACAGAGCCCTGGGCCGGTGTCTCCCTGGCATCAGTGCCCCTGCCGGTAATGGAGGGCCTCGTGGTGGGCTGTGTCCTCACCATCTGTGCTGTGCTGGGCCTGCTGTGCTGGAGGCGGGTGAAGGGGCAGAGGTGAGTGGGAGGGAAGGCTGGGGGCTGGGGAGAACTTCATGACCAGAGTGGGCCAGCTCCCTGCCCCTGGGGCTGCCTCCCACGTGCCCCCTCACCCTTTGCAGGGCAGGGAAGAATCCATTTTCCCAAGAGCTGACAGCTTACAACCTGCGGTGAGTGCATTTTCCTGCACCTCCCTGCCTTGTGGGGGCCATGGTGGCATTGCTGAAGCTCCTCTGGCCCCCATTCTGCTGTGACTGTGTCCCAGTCAGGGGGTTGCAAGGCTCTGCCAGACCCCCATTCTTCCTCAGCCACCACACCTCCCCAAATGCCTTTTCAATGCCTGGACCTCTCGCTCCCCACTCCTCTCTGCCCATGTGGCCTCTTCCTCCTCCAAATGCACTCATACATAAGTCAGGGCTTTCCAGAGAAACAGAACAAACAGGGTGTATGTGGAGAGAGGAGAGAGGAGAGCAGGGAGAGAGGAGGAAGGAGAGCAGGGAAAGAGAGGACAGGAAGGTGGGGGAGATGAGAGGAGAGGAAAGGGAGAGAGGGGGAAGAGACAGATGTTGAGGAATTGGCTCATGTGATTGTGGAGGCTTGGTGAGTCCAGGAATCTGGGGTAGACCAGCAGGCCAAAGGCTCTGGGAAGCGTCTGGAGGCAGCCTGCTAATAGGATTCCTTCTTGCTCAGAGAAGGTCAGTCTTTGTTCTATGAAAGCCTTCGACTGATTAAATGAGGCCCAGCCACATTAGAGTTTACTCAGTGAACCACTTTAAATGTTAATCTCATACAAAAAACACCTTCATGGAAACATCCAGAATAATGTTTGACCAACTTTCTGGGCACTGTGACTCAACCCAGTTGACACCATATTAACCATCATGCATGCCTTCTCCAGTTCCCACCTTCTCCAGTTCCCACCTTCTCCAGTTCCCACCTTCTCCCTGACCAACCTCGTAGACGGTATCAGGCCATAGCTCTTTTCCTCATGTCAACCTCCTGTGGGGCTGACATTAACTGAGCACTGGCTGTGCACAGGAGCCCTCCTCAGGACCTAGGGAGGGAGACTGTGAGACTCACGCGTGTGTGTGCACATGCGTACATGTCCCCTGTCCCTTCTCTGTTCTTCCACATTGGTGGTTTGCAGCCCAGGCTGGGCGTTGGAGGAGCTTGCTGGAAATGCACGCTGCTCCACACCCAGGGTGGAATTCAGGATCTGCGTTTCCAACAGGCCCCCAGGTGATCAGGTTGTGCTGCCAGGACTCTGAGGTCCCCTGCTTTGTACCCGTCACCCAGGGGAGGGCAGGGCAGGACTCTGCAAACCTAAGGCTGTGGGGGCTACCCTCTCCACCTCCCACCAGGTAGACCCACCGGCCCATCCCTATCCACAGCTTCAGGCAGAGCTATGAGGCCAAGAGTGCTCACGCACACCAGGCTTTCTTTTTGCAATTCGAGGTAAGGCCTTTACCACCCTTGGGCTCAGAGGAGGGAAGACTGGGACCTGTCTGAAGGTCTGGAGGGAACTCCCAGTTGCACACTTGCCCCCACTGCCCCTCACCTGGCATGGGGTGAGATGGGTCTACTTCAGCAACCAGTGCCTGCCCTTGATCCCTGCAGGAGCTGAAGGAGGTGGGCAAGGAGCAGCCCAGACTGGAGGCTGAGTACGCTGCCAACACCACCAAGAACCATTACCCACATGTGCTTCCCTGTGAGTGCTGGGGGCAGGAGAGGAGGCATGGCAGAGGGCTAGGGCTTGGCATGGGGGCAGGGGGTTTCATGTGCCCAGCCCTGAATGCACAGCTTTCACTCTCTGCAGACGACCACTCCAGGGTCAGGCTGACCCAGCTGGAGGGAGAGCCTCATTCTGACTACATCAATGCCAACTTCATCCCAGTAAGGGCCACCAGTGAGGCTGTCCATGGGATCTGGGATCTGCTCGGGAGATGGGCTGGTTTGCAGGCCACACTGGCCTTTGTTAGCTGTAACAGCTCTCTAGGAGATCACCAGCTTGGGCTTCATGAGCTCAATCCAGCAGGTGTCTAGCAAGGGTCTACTGTGTGCTGGGCTCTGTGCTGGGCCTGCAGGAGGCAGAGCTGAGTTAGCCACATTCCCCACCTTCAAAGGAGCATGTGGGCATGTGTGTGACATTCACCACACACTGTGACAAGGGCTGTAATAGAGGAAAAAACACTGTACTCAGGGCACATGGAGGAAGGAGAAATTTCATCCACCTGAGGAATTAAGAAAGGCTTCCCAGAGGGGACATTTGGTTTATTGAAGGATGAGTAACATTTTGATAAGTGATGAAAGAGGGAAGGACATTCTATTGACTGGAAGGAGCAGCCAGAGAACAGCCAAGCAGTAACGTTCAGGCAGTGTGTGTGTGTGTGTGTGTGTGTGTGTGTGTGTGTGTGTGTGTGTGTGTGGTGGGGGGTGCGTAGGGGTGAGGGAGTGGGGAGGTGCTGGGTGGTGGGAGATGTAATGGGAAAGATAGCCTGGGGCTGAATGAAGGAGGGGTTGATTGTTAGGCTGAGGACTTTGGACTCTATTTGGTGGGCAATGGGGAGCCACAGAAGATTTTTGAGCATGGAAGAAACACAGTTTGGTTTTAGGAAGGTGACTCTGGGTGGGTGAAGAGGGTGGTCTAGGTGGGCTATTTAACTCATGTCAGTAGCTTGTTGTTTTCATCGGGGTTTTTCTTGTCCCTTTGGGGTGGGACAGGGACGGGGGTGGTGTCTCTGAAGTCAGCCCTCCTGGTTTGCATTCTGGGTGTACACGTGTTCGTGTGTTTGCACACATGTAGGTGTGTGCACAGCATCCTCACTCCTGGAGGTCAAATATTGGAAATCTGCTGTGTGTTTGACACCAAACATCGCCCATTAACATGTTCCTGACCTCTGCCCCCTACACCCCAGGGCTACACCCACCCACCCACCCACAGGAATTCATTGCCTCTCAGGCGCCTCTCAAGAAAACGCTGGAGAACTTCTGGCGGCTGGTGCGGGAGTAGCAGGTCCGCATCATCATCATGCTGACCGTCGGCATGGAGAACAGGAGGGTGATGCGCCTTACAGGCTCCTGGAAAGGCCACCAGGTGGCGCACGTTCTCCTTGTGGGAATGGCCCCGTTGGCATCTTCCCGCAGGGAAGGCGGGGCAGACTGGAGTGAGGCCAATCAGGCCTGGAGGGTGGTGGAACCACCTCCCACCCAGACCCAGGATGGGGTGGTCCCTGGGATGGGGAGGCAGTGGGAGGAACCAGGTATGTAAGCTCCAGCTTGGCTTAGTTTCTACGGGCTTCTTGCCCTGGGCAGAGAAGGCACCAAGGGGTAGGGACTGCCCAGGGCCGGTGTCAAAGGTACCATCATGGATCCTTCCTTTCGATAAGCCTGGCAGATGCAGGGCCCTGGGACACGCAGAGAGGCTGCCGAGTCTGTCCTCTTGCTGGAGCAGTGAGCCCAGGGCTGCTGGCCGCGGAATAAGGGCTGTTCTGTTTGGCACAGCAAGCTGGTGGCTGACTCAGAATCCTGAGGGTCATGAGAGGTCTGAGGGCAAGGGTGCCGGAGCCCAGGCAAGGGAGAGCAGCTCCTGGAGGAGGGAGCCTTGGAGCTGGGTCATTACAGAGAGCAGAATCCCAGCAGGGTGTCAGGGACCAGAAAGGTGGGCAGGGAGGGGTGGGACTGGGTAAAGCAGGGGGCAGCAGTGATAGGGCTGGGCTCACAGCCACCCTTCCCCTCTCCAACCTTCTGGTCCCAGGTGCTGTGTGAGCATTACTGGCTGACCGACTCTACCCCGGTCACCCATGATCACATCACCATCCACCTCCTAGCCGAGGAGGCTGACGATGAGTGGACCAAGCGGGAATTCCAGCTGCAGCACATGCGTGCCCCAAGGATGAGGGGGTGGGACAGGCATTAGAGCTGAGACCCCTGAGAAGGTTGCCTCACTTCCTGGGTCCCTGGAGCCCTCTCTTTCGGAGGACCACAAGTACTCAGCCACCACCCAGGGAAGTGTGTGTTAGGGAAGGGGTAGGGAGGTACAGAGAAGGTTAAGGGCTTATCTGAGGCTGCACAGTGAGGGAAAGGAAGAGCACGAGAGACATGATGGTTCCTGACCTCCCCCATGCCAGCTCCGGGCTCCTGCCTCACCCCATGCCCCCTGTGCCCAACTGCCTTCCCAGGTTGTGCACTCCTGGGACAGGAAAGCAAGGGACCCGAATCACTCCTCTGCTTGGGCACTCTATATGCAGAGATTACCCAGGAGGCTAGAGAAGGACCCGAGGGCTCAGGAAGCATCCTGATGAGAGAGACATAGCTGCCACGCTCAAGGAACAGTTGGTCTGCATCATCCCTGCCCTTAGGCAGCTGGGGAAGAAAGTGTGAGGTCTGGGCCATGGGAGCCTAGAGTTAGGAAGATAAGGAGCAGCAGCAGGGCCCCTCTGCCCCCTTGCCCCCTTGCCCCCTTGCCCCCTTGCCCCCTTCCCACCCCCTTCTCAGGTTGTCCAGCAACAGCAGCGGAGGGTGGAGTAACTGCAATTCACCACCTGACCTGACCACAGCATCCTCAAGGCCCCCAGCTCCCTGCTTACCTTTATGGAGCTGGTACAGGAACAGGCAAGGGCCACCCAGGGCATGGGACCCATCCTGGTGCACTGCAGGAGGGCAGGTGAGTGCATAGGGTGGAGAGCCCCCTGCCTGGCCTGGAGGTGTCGGGGGCTCTCGGACTGTGGGGAGAGCTGGGGACATGGGCAGCCTCTTCACCCATTCAGTTCCTCAGGGGCTGTCCCCGCAGTGTGGGCATGGGCCAGACGGGCACCTTCGTGGCCCTGTTGAGGCTGCTGCAGCAGCTGGAGGAGGAGCAGATGGTAGATGTGTTCCATGCTGTGTTTGCATTCTGGATGCACGGGCCCCTCATGATCCAGACCCTGGTGAGGGCCTCGCAGGCTGGGCTGGGCAGCTGGGACCCTGAAGGAGTGGGAGGGAGGTGGGTGGCCACAGGGCTACAAGAGGGACCAGGAAAGAGAGCTCATGGGGCATACAGAAGACCCTGGGGAGAGGGTTTCAAACACAACACCATCCTATCTGGGCTGTGCTCCCTATTCTGTGAAAGGGGAGGTGGGACAGGACCCTGTCAGCTTTGACACCATAGAGCGGTGGAGGGAAGGTTTCTCAGTGGCTCCCTCTCCCCTCCTACCCGATCCCTGCCTTGCTGGTCAGGGCCTGGAAAATCTCCCTGCAGGCCCCCCTCGCTCCTCGCTCCTCGCTCCTCGCTCCTCGCTGAGCAGCCTGATGCCCTTCCCCCTGGCAGAGCCAGTACGTCTTCCTGCACAGCTGCCTACTGAACAAGATTCTGGAAGGGCCCTTCAACATCTCTGAGTAAGTCCCAGCTTCCCTGTGCCTCCCACAGGCAGGCTCCCTGCTCCTGTTCATGGGCAGAGCCGAGCAGACTAGAACAGGGAGCTGGGGAACCTTGAGTGCCTTCTCCCTCTCCAACCCCCCCACCAGGTCTTGGCCCATCTCTGTGATGAACTTCGCACAGGCGTGTGCCAAGAGGGCAGCCAATGCCAACGCTGGCTTCTTGAAGGAGTACGAGGTACACTTCAGGCCAGGAAGTGGGTGACAGCCAAGGGCAGCCTTCCCCTGCTGAGCCAGCCCTGCAGTGGGACCTCCCAGCCTCAGGGTACCCATCTCCTTCCCAGCTCTTGCTGCAGGCCATCAAGGACGAGGCTGGCTCTTACGCACCCCTGCCTGGCTATGAGCAGGACAGCCCCATCTCCTGTGAGTCTCACTGTGGACCCTGTGGAGGGGCAGGGGGCCAGCATGGGCTGGGGGCCTCTGGCAGCTTCACCCTCACTGTCTTCCCTCAGATGACTGTTCTCAGGGGCAGTTTTCTCCAGTGTAGGAGAGCACCCCTGACGACATGCCTGAAGCCTGGCTCTTCCCTGTGAGATGATGCTGGTTTTGCCACTGTTTCCTGCCCTCTCTGACCACCTGTACTTCCCGGGCTGGGGCTGCTGGGGGCTCCCAGAGTTGTGGGCTGGGCAGGGGACACCCTCAGTCTCTGGAAGCCAATGAGCTGTGCTCTGCAGGGTGGGCCCTCTGGCTGTGATCATATGGTGCTGACTGGCCTCGCAGGGCCAGAGGAGCTCTGGGAGCTGGTGTGGCAGCACGGGGCTCATGTGCTTGTCTCTCTGTGCCCACTCGATGCCATGGAGAAGGTGAGAGTGCAGAGGACAGAGGAAGGGAGGCTCAGGAGTTAGGGCTGAGGTTGGAGGCGGGTAGTTTGTGGTGCTGTCTAACCAGGGCAGGGGCAGAGATCTCAGGAAGTTGCCTGAGCAGCCCTAACTTGGTCCCAGCCACAGGAATTCTGGCCAATGGAGATGCAGCCCATAGTCACAGACATGGTGACAGTGCACTGGGTGGCCGAGAGCAGCACAGTGGGCTGGCTCTGTGCCCTCTTCAGGGTCACACATGTAGGTGTTGGGGCCACAGGGCATGGGGTGGTGTGTGGGAGAAGAGTCCTGTGTGGGCTCCCTCTGCCCTCTCCAGCACCAATGCCGATCATGTCTTTGCCCGAGGGGGAGAGTAGGAAGGAAAGGGAGGTGCAGAGACTGCAGTTTCCATACCTGGAGCCTGGGCATGAGCTGCCCGCCACCACCCTGCTGCCCTTCCTGGCTGCTGTGGGCCAGTGCTGCTCTCGGGGCAACAGCAAGAAGCCGGGCACACTGCTCAGCCACTCCAGGTGTTGCTGGACAATGGTCTTGGGGGAGTGGACACTGGAAGCCCCTCCCTGCCCCTCTGGCATAGCCTCAGATCTCCCTGGGCCCTGCTTGGGTTATGGGCCAAAAGGACACAGTCTCACAATGCCCCTGTCTTCCCCACACCCTACCCTGTCCTCAGGAATATGGTGGGAATTTACCGCCTCCCTCCCTGGGCCCAGGCTGGCTGGCTGGCTGACCAAGTGTTCGGTGTCCCTTCTCAGTCCCTGCACCCAGGTTGGATTTTTGCAGATCCCCGGACACCCCCGCCACATCCCCGGACACCCCTGCCACACCCCCTTTAGGTACCTCATCCAACTCTAGGTCAGTTGCAGCAAGGGTGCGACCCAGCTGGGCACCTTCCTGGCCATGGAGCAGCTGCTGCAGCAGGCAGGGTCTGAGTGCACCGTGGATGTCTTTAACGTGGCCCTGCAGCAGTCTCAGGCCTGTGACCTTATGACCCCAACGCTGGTGAGAGGCGATGGGGCTGGGGTGGGGGCGTGGGGGCTCAGCTGTGGGAAGGGGTGGGAGGTGAGGGAGCTTCTGCCCAGGCCTCTAGGCAGCACCACCCGGGTAGCCACCAGGTGGCGCTGTGGACCTCTGTGCATTCTCCCAGATGGAGCCCTAGGGGTTGGGACACACAAGGGAGCCCTTTTCTGTTAGATTGGGGCAGGCGGGGCGAGCCTCCTAACCCTATGTCCATCTCCAGAAGCAGTATATCTACCTCTACAATTGTCTGAACAGCGCACTGGCAGACGGGCTGCCCCTGAGTCGGCACTGGTCACTGTGCAGGAGAGGTTTGTGCCCTGTGGGATGGGGACAGCATTCCTGACACATCCACGTGGGCCTGGGCTCCCCAGAAGGGCGGCCTCCACTGGGCCCTGTGCTGCAAAGGTAAAGGGTCTTGGAATAAAGACCTGTGGCCAAGCGTGAAGCTCAGTGTGTTCTGTCTGTCCGTCCTCAGACCTGGGCCCCGTGTGTGGGTCTTGTGGGCAAACGTGGAGCCGGGATGGAAGCTAGGACCTGGAGTCTGGTTGAACTAGGTGACCTATGGCCCCTATGGTGTTGGTTTTTCCCCTGAAGCAATCCTCTCCCTGCTAATCCTTCAGTTTCTAAATATCCTCAGACTTTGGTCTCTCCACGTCTAGTTTCCTGTGGTGCTAAGCCCTGGATTCAGAATCACAGCTCCAAATTGTTCGTCCTCTGCCCCACCACCCTGTACGCACCACGCTGTATGCAGTAGGGTTTATCCTGTTTCCCACTTCCCTTCTCCTGCCATCCCCAGCCTTCTCTACCTGCCAGAGCCCCCAGGGGCCACCCTCAGCCCCCACCAGGATGGAGGTGCCAGAGCTACCCTGTTACTCAGAAGGCAGGCGCTGGAGGCACCCCTCAGGCGGAGGTGCCAAGTTTTCCCTGCTCCTTTGCTCTCTCCTCCTTCCTCCCCTCCACATAGGAGGAGGTGGAGGAGAAAGCAGGGAGGGCATATGGAGAAAGGAAAAACCAGGAGGAGCAGCAGAGACCAGAAAAGAGGGCGGGGAGGCAGCTGTCTGTCCCACACACTCTAGGACTGCACTGCATACCATGTGCGTGATTGCTGGTGGCCACATGAGCTCCTGCCTCCCTCCCTGGTCAGGCTGGGAGTTTCCAGGTGCAGTGCCTGATGCTGGACCTTAACTGCCCCTGGTGGAAGGCCCTGGGAGGACACAGAGAAAACCTGGACAGATCAGAGCAAGAGTCCCTGAAGTGGAGTTGGGTCTCCCCAAGGGGAAGAGGGGAGAGCTCTTTGGCCAACCTGAGTTCCTACTAAGGTGCAACGGGTCAGAAGTCAGTGGAGGGTCCTTCTCAGGGCTGGTTGAAGAAGGGTACAGAGGTCGTGCTGGCTGCTCAGCCGGGAGCTTTCCCAGAATGAGACTAAAGCACTGGTGCCCTCCCAGGAGGACTAAATGTCAGTGTCCTCCATATGCCATGTTTATCAGGAGCTGAGGGTGGGCCCCCTAATGACCCTCATAAAAGCAGGCTGGAGGCTCTGCTCTGAGCTGCCCAAGTCTGTCTCAAGCAGCTGCTGCTGAGGTTGAAACAGGGCTCAACCATGGCTTTTCCACTCTGGGAAGATCTCACATTGGAGCAGCAGGAGCTGCAAATGAGATGGAGCCGAGGCTATGGTTGAGTGAAGGAAGTGCAGGCTGGCCTGCGGTAGCTTTCTTCCATAGGGCAGAGGTGGCTCTATCTGTGGGTCTTTCTGGTCATGTAGGCCCATCCTCTGGCCTTCCTAGGAGGCTCGTCTTCTTTTATTTATTTATTTATTTATTATTTTTTTTTAATTGATCATTCTTGGGTGTTTCTCGCAGAGGGGGATTTGGCAGGGTCACAGGACAATAGTGGAGGGAAGGTCAGCAGATAAACAAGTGAACAAAGGTCTCTGGTTTTCCTAGGCAGAGGACCCTGCGGCCTTCCGCAGTGTTTGTGTCCCTGGGTACTTGAGATTAGGGAGTGGTGATGACTCTTAACGAGCATGCTGCCTTCAAGCCTCTGTTTAACAAAGCACATCTTGCACCGCCCTTAATCCATTTAACCCTGAGTGGACACAGCACATGTTTCAGAGAGCACAGGGTTGGGGGTAAGGTCACAGATCAACAGGATCCCAAGGCAGAAGAATTTTTCTTAGTACAGAACAAAATGAAAAGTCTCCCATGTCTACCTCTTTCTACACAGACACGGCAACCATCCGATTTCTCAATCTTTTCCCCACCTTTCCCGCCTTTCTATTCCACATAGCCGCCATTGTCATCCTGGCCCGTTCTCAATGAGCTGTTGGGCACACCTCCCGGACGGGGCGGCTGGCCGGGCAGAGGGGCTCCTCACTTTCCAGTAGGGGCGGCCGGGCAGAGGCGCCCCTCACCTCCCGGACGGGGCGGCTGGCCAGGCGGGGGGCTGACCCCCCCACCTCCCTCCCGGATGGGGCGGCTGGCCGGGCAGAGGGGCTCCTCACTTCCCAGTAGGGGCGGCCGGGCAGAGGCGCCCCTCACCTCCCGAGCGGCTGGCCGGGCGGGGGGCTGATTCCCCCACCTCCCTTCCGGACGGGGCGGCTGGCCAGGCGGGGAGCTGACCCCCCCATCTCCCTCCCGGACGGGGTGGCTGCCGGGCGGAGACGCTCCTCACTTCCCAGACGGGGTGGCTGCCGGGCGGAGGGGCTCCTCACTTCTCAGACGGGGCGGCTGCTGGGCGGAGGGGCTCCTCACTTCTCAGACAGGGCGGTTGCCAGGCAGAGGGTCTCCTCACTTCTCAGACGGGGCGGCCGGGGAGAGACGCTCTTCACATCCCGGACGGGGCGACAGGGCAGAGGCGCTCCCCACATCTCAGACGATGGGCAGCCGGGCAGAGACGCTCCTCACTTCCTAGATGGGATGGCGGCCGGGAAGAGGTGCTCCTCACTTCCTAGATGGGATGGCGGCTGGGCAGAGACGCTCCTCACTTTCCAGACTGGGCAGCCAGGCAGAGGGGCTCCTCACATCCCAGACGATGGGCGGCCAGGCAGAGACGCTCCTCACTTCCCAGACGGGGTGGCGGCCGGGCAGAGGCTGCAATCTCGGCACTTTGGGAGGCCAAGGCAGGCTGCTGGGAGGTGGATGTTGTAGCGAGCCGAGATCACGCCACTGCACTCCAGCCTGGGCACCATTGAGCACTGAGTGAAGGAGACTCCGTCTGCAATCCCGGCACCTCGGGAGGCCGAGGCTGGCGGATCACTCGCAGTTAGGAGCTGGAGACCAGCCTGGCCAACACAGCGAAACCCCGTCTCCACCCAAAAAATACGAAAACCAGTCAGGCGTGGCGGCATGCGCCTGCAATTGCAGGCACTCGGCAGGCTGAGGCAGGAGAATCAGGCAGGGAGGTTGCAGTGAGCCGAGATGGCAGCAGTACAGTCCAGCTTCGGCTCGGCATCAGAGGGAGACCGTGGAAAGAGGGGAGAGGGAGAGGGAGAGCGAGAGCGGAGGCTCGTCTTCTACTTTCAGCGCCATGGCACCAACTGGAGGCCTAGGGTCAAGGTCTGCTCATTTCTTGGTCCAGCTATGCAGCCCCTCTAGCCCTGGGAGGTTATTGGGAGAGTGGAGAGGTGTTGATGAGAGGATCCTGGCATGTGGAAAGACAGGGTGGAAGAAATCCTGGATGCCTCTGAGGTCCCAGGTTTCTAGTATACCCTCTGGCTGGACCATGGGGAGATAGGGCAAAAAAAGGAAGGAGGGGGGCCCACAGCCTGCTCTAGCTCTGCGCGGGGGCTTGGCTCAGCATGGGAGAGACCAGAGAGAGCAAGAGGCTGCATGAAGGAAGCACAGCCAGCTCACTATGGTCTAAGGAGAGAACAGGGATTGACCTCAGTTTTAACCACCATGCCCTTTGCTCTCCAGGGCTCTGGGGCCGGCCCAGGTCAGCCACTTGGTGGGATTCCAGCCTCAGGGTGGCTGAGCTGCAGGTGCAGCACCCGGCCTCCAGGTGGCACCAATCCGCTTACTTTGAGGTGGGCTCTGACAACCAGCTGAGCTGCCCACAGTCCCTCAGACTCCCGAGGTCCTGGGAGCAGGGATCAAGGTGGTCCCCAGGCCGTAAACCTGACAGAGGCTGCAGGAGTGCATTTCCACCCAGGGTGCACTCAGCGGGTGTAACTCCACACCCGTTTCTTTGGAGTCAAGGCCCGGCCTCTCAGTGAGGAGACTGCTCCTGGTTGCCCACCGTCGGGTCATCCCAGCCTGCAGTGGAACCCTCCGCAGCCTGGCCTCTTCCAGGGTAGCCCCTCACTCCCCTCTCTCCTGTCCTAGCAGACAGGCCAGGGAGGGTGGACGAGTTCCAGCTCTGGGGATGTCCCATCAGCTGTGTCACCTTGAACAAATCATTTTGCCTCTTGGGTCTCAGTTTCCTGCAGTGTGAAACGTGGTGGAGGCATGAGGGGCAATGGGAGCCCCAAGGCCTCTTTCAGAGACCTCCTCTGGGTCCCATGTGACCTCGTGGCTGTCCCCAAAGGCAAGAGGGTCCCCAGCCCTGCGGCCAAGGCCCTGGGACACCCTATCCAAACAAATGCAGGTCTCTGACGGGCTGAGCTTTGCTCGCTTGGGTTTCTTTGCTTTCTTCCTTTTTTTTTTTTCTTTCCTGGATGAAATTCCTGCCAGCTCCGAAGGAAGGAGGGAAGAGGAGCGAGCCGCAGTGTAGAAAGTTTCCTTGACTCCTCCTCCGGCTGGGTCTCCCTCCCTTGCCAAGCCCAGCCTGTGAAACTGAATAACGAAGATCACTCAACAATGCCTGCCCCTCTCTGACTGCACCGTCCCGGCGCTCCCACCGCCGCCGCCGCCGCCCAATAGAGCCCCTGGGGCGGTCCCCACCGACGGTGCAGCCCGCCGGGACCGGGAGGAAGCAGCTGCGGCCATCGCGCCGTGCGTCCGCGCCCGGCCGCCAGGTGCCCCAGTAGCCCGACCGCCGAGATGCCCAGCCCGCCGGGGCTCCGGGCGCTATGGCTTTGCGCCGCGCTGTGCGCTTCCCGGAGGGCCGGCGGCGCCCCCCAGCCCGGCCCGGGGCCCACCGCCTGCCCGGCCCCCTGCCACTGCCAGGAGGACGGCATCATGCTGTCTGCCGACTGCTCTGAGCTCGGGCTGTCCGCCGTTCCGGGGGACCTGGACCCCCTGACGGCTTACCTGTGAGTACTGCCCGCCTGTCCCCGCCTGGTCCTGCGGGCTGCTGGCTAGCGCCCAGTCCCGGCCTCAGCAGGGCACCTGCTTGCTTGGTGCCCTGGGGCATGGGCATCCCGGAGAGGGTTTGCCCCCTTCCAAGTTGACCGTTGCGGGACTGGGGAGGGGAGAAGAGTCTGAGACTAAATACCAGGCGAGCAGGGAGACCGGGCTTCCCTGACTTGGCTTCCCCATTGGCCTCCGTGCTTGTGGGCTGACTATGGGAGCCCAGGCTTGGCGAGGTGGGTTCTGGACCCTGAGCGGGAGGGCGCGGGGCTGGCTGCTCCATCTCCTGTTGCTGCATTCTCTTCTAGCAGAGCAGTGCCCGGGATGGTGGCTGAGGGTAAAGCTGACAGAACTGGAGGTGGAGGTGAGGGGAGCGTGCCCCAGTAGGGTGGAAATAATGTCTGTTCTTCTGCCATGGTGAGGACAACAGGGCTGTCACACTGAGGCTGGGTGGCCTTCGTGGGGGCGGGGGGGGCGGGTTTCCTAGAAGCTGGGAGGGGGGCCTTATCCACTCTTGTCTCCTCAGAAAGGGACTCTGCCAGCACCATCTCCCTTCACTGGGGCCTCCTGGCTCCCCCAGGGGCCTCCCTAAAGTCATGTCCCAAGAGGCTGTGTTGGAGACACTAATTTGTGGGCAGGCGCCGAGGCTGAAAACCAGAGAACCATTTTTAGCGTCTGAGTTGGGGTGAGATGGCGCGTGAAGGGGACCCTACTGGGGGCAGCTGTCCTGTCTGTCTGGCTCATGGGAGCTTCCCCTCAGAGCTGGAGGGCTGGGGGCTCTGGCTGCTCACCACCTGGGCAGGAGGAGGGTGAGAGAGCACATTCCAGGCCACCCACCTGCACCCCCAGCCCCGCTCTGGGGCAAGGAAACCTCCTCCAGCCCAGCTCTGCAGGCTCTATCAACTTCCTCAGAGGAGCTGGGAGCAGGTGGGAAAGCCTGGTGGGGCCTTCTGCTGAGGGCTAGGATCCCAGAGTTCCTTCTGGCCTGAGAGAGGCTCCTTATGGCTTTGGGGTTCCAGCACATGGGAGCTTAGAGGAAGAGGAGGCTGGGTGAATCTTTATAGGGGCCTAGCAAGAATTTGTGGAACTAAAGATGCTCAGTGTTGGGAGTGTCCTGGTGGGAGGTAGAGGGTCCCAGAGGGCAACTCTTCATGGGGCTCCTCTCCAAATGTCCCTGTCCCCAGGTTGGGATGTCCCCCTCCACTCCAAAAGGCACAGGCTGTGGGCCAGGTAAGGGAGTGGGAAGAGAAAAATAATGTCCATCTAGAAGGACAAATGGAATCCTTCACAGTGCAGTAGGTGACGGCAGAGGCAATCATGGGAATAAAGGTACCAACTGCACAGAGCCTGGGCGCTCAGCATCTGGCAAAGCAGGGCAGGCTCCGGCCCCACCCTACACACAGGCCAGCCCCTCTTTCAGCAGTTTTCTATCCTGGGAGTATGTGACATTGGTTCATTTGAAGACAGGGTCCTGTGGCTAAAGAGTTTAGATGTGACTTCTGTGGAGCCTTTCTCTGGGTGAGCTGAAGGAAGGTCCCTTGCCTGGGTTGAAGGGGCAGGGGAGATAAGGCCTTCCAGAGCTTCCTTTCCCAGCATTAAGTCTTCCTAGACTGGTTAATGACCCTTTTTCTAGAAGGACTTGGGGAAGGAGGTACACTGTCACCTTTGGAATTCAAGCATCCTACCATCCATGCTGGCAGAAGTTTTTCCCACTAGCTTGCCACAATTCCCTCGGAGCTGTGAAGTCTGCATTTGGGTTCAGTGGAGGTGGGGTTTTCTGAGCTGGTCTGTGTCTTCCTGGGGATTGAGAAAGCCCCTCTCTCTCAAGACTCAGGGGATGCTTCTGAGAGTTGTGGAGAGAAGAGAGGGAGTGGGAGCTATAAAGAGTATGATGGGTCCTGAGGCAATATGGGGAATTTAGCAGTGGGGTCTGGAATATTGGAAGGAGGTGGCAGAGGACCGTGTCCCCTGCCCTGGGCTGGGGAGGGGTCCCATCTGGATGGTGCATGAAGGATTCCTACAGTTGTCCTGAGGGTGTCTCAGAGGAGGAATTTTCTTTCTTTGCCCTCTCTGGAGAACAGCTCTACCAGAAAGGCACCTGAAGGTGGGGTTGAGAGCTGGCATGCAGAAGAGCCAGGGTGGGGAAGTCTTGGGGCTCCTTTCTCTTTTCAGCGATGTTAGGAGATGTCCAGCTTGGCCCTGCCCCATGTATCCCAGCCCTTGCTGAGGAGAGCACAGATTCGCATCTGATGATATAATCAGCAGTGCCTCTCTCTGAGCCACTCAAACTTTGGTTCCTTCCTAGCTCTGCCACCTACTGAGAATCACTCACTGAACACCTCTAAGCCTCAGGTTCTTCATGTGTACATGGAGATGAGGAAGCAGGTTGCTGAGTGGATTAAATGAGATAATATGTTCAATGAAAGTCCCCAGAGTGCCTGACACCCGAGGGTAACTCTGAAATGGTGGCTAGTATTATCATGCCTCCTATGGGTGCTCCATGGAGGTGGAGGTAAACTACCAGGCCTCTCCACACCAGAAGAAAATTGAGCCTAGTGGGTGAGTGTAGAATTCAAGGGAATGGTTTGTGGCTGGAGGAAGAGAGCTGTGTGCTGGGGAGGTGACTGTCAGGGCAACTCTTGATCAATACTTGGCTGGTTCTGGGGACTTGGAGCCCAACCAGTTGGTGAAAATTGGGGGTTGGGGATCGGGAGGGAGAGTGGGGACTTAGGTCCTCCTGACACAGAGTTAAAATGAAAAATGTTAAAACACTTGGACATGCAGGAAGTAGCAGGCCAGAGAAGACTCGAAGATCCTTAGAAGAAGCCATAGACAGAACTATAGGAGGCGCCCAGGAGCTATGGGCTCCAGAAGGTACCCGCAAGTCCTCTTGCACATTCCTTGACCTGGTCTCAATAAAAATGACATCACATCTCTTCCCCCACTCCACGGCTGTGAGATTTTCTCCTTCTAGCCAATACCTTTCATGAGGTAGGTGCTTCCACCTCTCCATCTTGGTTCTAGGGAAGACCAGAAAGGCGTCTTTATAGCCAACTGGTATTCTTTGCCTTGACACACATGTCCAAAAACTATTACCACTTTTGGGCTCAATGCCAGCCCTGTTTGATCAAGGTTGGGAAGACGGACTTCAGATACTCACAATCCTCCATATGTCTCTCTTTTTTGCAACAGTTTCCTCTTAAACTATAGTCTCAGCGAGGCTCATTGACACTCACCGGGGTTTTGACATTCTCCCTGGTTAGGGCCTGTTCTGGAAATAGACCAAGAGGGAGATGGAGCCCCTGGCTCTGGGACATCCAATCTGATGGTGACGAGAAGGCATGATGCCTCTTGTTCTATTCTTTTTTCTTTCTTCTTAAAAAAAAAAAAAGAAGACCAGTAATGTGCTGACTTCATAACAAGGTTTGAGGGAGGCACTTCTCACATGTGAGCACGAAAACCCAATTGTCACACTTCTTAACTACAAAAGTATCACCTCTTGTTCTATTCCATTGCATGTGCACATGATGCAGAGACAGGAATACACAGACAGCACATAACTTGTTGGGCAGACAATCCCCGGAGTTGTTGCTGAGCAGAAAGATCTGGGTAGTTACTCTGGGCCCGCAAGGCTGAGCAGTGTCAGTAAACAGATGGTGCCAGAAAAGGTGTCTCACGCAGCTAGTTGTAAAAGACCTCAGGCTCATGCACTTGCAGTCACACCTAAGCACCCATTTTCATCGCCCACTGCCACCAGGGCTGAGGGAGGGGCCGCTACACCAAGCAACCCCCATTCAGACTGCTGATTGCTTTCTTACGAATTCACTCCCTTTAAGATTGCCTGTGATAACTGATAACCACTGGACTTGTTTGACAGGTTAGATGGTGTGTGCATATGTGTCTGTGTGTGTCTGTGTGTGTGTGTAGATACAGGGTAATTTGCAGGGGATGTCTACAGCCAAAATGATGGAGGCAGGATGCTGGAGGCAGAGAGTAAGAGGTTGTGGCATTTGCCACAACAAAGCAGAGTTCAAGCTATCACTTACTAACTATGTAACCCCCAGCCAGTTGATTAGCCCTTCTGTGACTTAGTTTCCTCACCTGTAAACAGGGTTAAGATCTACCTCATAGGGTTGTTGTGTGGATTCACTTAGATGATGTTTGCAAAGGGTTTGGCATAATGTCTGGTCCATGGGAAGAGCTCGATAAATGTTAGCCAGTGTTGTTATTAGGGTGACCAGGGCCAAGAAATGTCAGTCATGGAAGTCTTCCTGGAGGAGGAAGTCCTGGAGCTAGCATGGGAGGGAGGGAAGCAGTCCTGTTCTATGAAAGGCATAGGATAGGTGTGTGTGTAGTTGGGGGCTGTGAGAGCTGCAAGAAGCTGCCAAGAAGATGGAGTGAGTTCTACTGGGAACCAGAGTAATTTTAGGTTTTTTTTTTTTTTTTTTTTTTTTTTTTAAGAGTACAGTCTGAAAATCCAGGGAGGGGAGGGGAGCACCTGATGGAAGACGCCAGCATGCTCCCTTACATGGTCTAGACGGGCCCCTGCAGGGGCTACAGATGAGGAAGCAGAGAAACAGGCAGCCTTAACAGGGGAGAGCCAGCCTTGGAGAGGATGTGTTGTGAGTTGGGGGTGGGGGTGCCAACGTGCCAGGTCTCATTTCTCACTTCCAAGGCCACCCTTCCCTGGCCCAGTCTTAGTTGCCCTTTCTAATAGATTCTAAAAGTTTGACTCCTCCTTCCGGAAACTTGGGGTTTGTGAGTTCTAATCTTCAGTCTCTCAGTTGCTATGAGACCCTGTGCAAGTCCCAAAACTTCTCTGGACCTCAATGTCCAGAGAAGCCATGTTTTGGATGAAAAACTAGAAAGTGGGAGAGGCAGGGAGCAATCCACTTTGAATCTCCTGCTCCTGGTGTGGGACAGAGAAAGCTCCCCGGGAGAGCTGCTCAGCTGCAGGCAGTGAGGGAAGGGAAGGAGGGAAGGGGAGGACCCAGGCAGCACCCAGACCAGGGTGGGGAAGAGAAGGGTGAAGGAGGGGTACAGTGACTCCAGGAAGTGGGGTCCCCTGGGGCTCTCCTGTGCCAGCCTTGCTCCAAAGTGGAGCCTAGTAGGGTGGGCCCATCAGAAGGCAGACCCGGGGGGTCGCCGGAGGTGGGTGAATGTGTGGGGGAGCCAACACCCCAGTTCAAAGGAAAGGCAGGAAACAGCCCTAGGCAAAAGAAAAAGGAAACCTCTCGGCTCTGGCAGCAGCGGGCATGGGGCGCGGCCGGGTGGGGCGGCTGGCGGAGGAGAAGAAAGCCTGGCTCAGAGCAGAGTTGGCCCCCAGCCCACCCCCACTCCACCCCGCCTTCCCCCCATTCCATGGGCTCTCAACCCTGATGGCCCCACATGCGCTGCAGCCTGCTTCCTGCACTGACCCACGCCCCCCGGGGGAGAGACACACAGGGCACAGAAGGTATCCCAATGGGGAGGCCCTGCTGGGCGCAGGCTTGAGTCTCAGCTCCACTGTTGATGAGCTGTGTCTTTGGGCAAATCACTTAACCTCCCCAAAGCTCCAGTCTCTCAGTCTTTAAAATGGAAACACTAATAGTATCTACCTCAAAGGGTTGTGAGGAGAAGCAAATGAGACAAAGAAAGCAAAGGGTTTTTTATGCTATAAGGGCTTACAAAATGTTTACTATTAATATTGTTTTTCTTATTGCCTTCAGCTACAAATAAACTACTGTGAAAAGGGCCCAGCAGAGCTACTGGTGACAGGACGGGGAGTTAGGATGGCAGAGTCTCATCTTCTGGAGCCCCATCAGATCACCCTTCCTTCCCTCCCACCCTCCTCCTTTACTAACAAAGCCCGTCCCACTGACTTTCAGGGAAACAGGCCTTTCAAGCAGCCAGTTCTGCTCTTGGGCTCCTGGGCCGGGATGGTGGAGGAAGTGATCCTTCTCCCAGGGGATGCCCGGAGGAGCTGGGGCTAAGCCTGCCGCCTGGTGGGAGACTCTCCAAAGAGGAAGAATCTGGGCTTCTAGGTTAGCACTGTCTGGAGAGTACAGCTTCTCCCCAGAAATCAGAGTTCCTTGAAATTAGAGTTTCTCTGCTATAGCCCAAGGAAAAGCAGGGGTGAATGGGTCATTTGGGATTGGGAGTGTTGTTGTGGGGGTTGGGGGCAGACATGCCCTGAGGGGCCGTGAGGATCCTCCTCTGAGCTCATTCTTAATGGGCTATGTGACCTTAGGCTAGTGAGTCACTATTGGGAGCAGGGCCAAGATCAAGGAGCCTGCTGGGGCTTCAGACACCTTGGGAAGGTGCAGGAGATGGAGTGGCGGAGAAAATGCCAATCTCCCTTCCCCATGTTGGAAATGGCAACTTCTTTTAGCCAAACCGAAATGAACTCACTGACCTGGGGGCTTCTGAGAATCGTGGGGTCCCCTTTGTACTAACTAGTCCATTGGCAAAAATGGAGTGATCTCCAGTCCCTAATGACAATTCAGGTCTCTCCTCCCGCCCTTCAGACATGGGAGAACAGGTCCCAGGAGGAGAAAAACACCCGAGAGGCCAAACTTGGGCAGTGAGCAGAGAGTTATTTTGGAATCAGCAAAAGGACATGGTGGGGGGAGAGCTCAGGGGTTGGCACTGTGCCCCCCGGAGCCATGCCAGAGCAGGCCATGGGCAGGCCGGCGGCTGGCGGGTTGGAGGGGAGCTGGGCCCGGCTACTTAAGGCACCTCCAGAACTGAAGTTTCCTTTGTGTCCCATCCCCAGCCCCCGCTTCTCTGCTACAATCTTTTGTCTCCTCCAGAAACCATCAGGGGATGCCTATGCTCTGTGTCTTCAATTCTCCCCATCCCTGGGAGATCAGGGCCCTCTCTGATTAACTGTGAGATGTGAATTTGAGGCTGGGACCAGGGAAGCATCTTGCGCCCAGCTCTCTGCCTCTCCTGTCTGCTCCAGCACGGTGAGGATACCTTCCTGGTTGATATTTTCATTCCCTGAACTGTGATCTTCTTCCAGAAAGACACTAGCTCATCAGGAACGTTCATTCTTGGGACCCAGTCTTGATGGCCCCCCATAGGTTCAGAGAGACATACATAGGAATCCACCATCACCCTGATGTCTCTTCCTTTACCAATAATAGTAATAACCAGCGTTTATTGAATGATTGGCATGTGGCAGGAAGTGCGCTCAAGCACTTTATCTGCATCATCTCACATAAACCCCATGAGAGAGGTGCTAGTGTTATCCCCACTTACCAATGAGGAAACCAAGGCTTTTCAGTGCTAAGGAGCTTGCCTAAGACAACCTGCCACTAGTTGCTGGTGGGGGGATTTCAGCCCAGGCAGCCTCCCTCCTACCCACTTTATCTACTGCCTCTCAGAGGCCCACAGCTGAGGGGTTTCCAAACTCCAAGGGAATGAGCAGGACTCTGGCTGCGTCAAAATCTCAGGCCAAGCACCCTCTCAAAGCCTAGTTACAGTTCCTGTCTTTCTGGGGGAAGGATCAGTGGTTTGCCCCATTTCCCTCCCATCCACCAGCAGTGGTTTCTGGGAGCCCATCTATGGGGGCTACTTGGAGGGGAAGGTATTGGGGCTCAGCACAGAAATTGGGGACTCTGGGGAGGGTAAGACGGAATCCTTGAGTGTGGAGATTATCATCAGCGTTGATGTTGAGGACCTACTGTCTGCTGGATCCTCTGGGAGGCAGTCAGGGTGATGACTGTCAGTGAGAGACCAGCCAGGTGCACGTGAGAAGTGAACTCACTGTATCAGATAATCCTGGGAGCATCCAGGGAGGACCAGAGGTGAGGTCCACAGGCATTCAAGGGAGAAAGAGGACCGAGGTGGCCAGGGAAGGCCCAGGGGAGAGAGAAGAGGCTTGAGTCCTGAAGACCAGAAGGACTTAACTCAGGGCCAGGAGAAGGGGAAGCCATGAGCCCAGGTTAGAATGAGGAACCACATTGGGGCTTTTGTACTTCATCTCCACGACCTGTTCTGTCCCACTCCCTGGGGCAGCATGTTCTAGAGCAGGGTTTTCTGCCCTTTTTCCCTCAGGGCACACATTTTAAAAACACAGACACACACATACACAAACACACAAACGCAATCCAAGGTATTCAGTGTCCTGGGTTAAACCAACAAGGCCTCTCAGGCGAAAGGCACCCAGTCAACCCTGGGCAGCATCCAGCCATCCCAAGGGATAGGAGACCCCATCTGGGCACACACCTGGAAGCGCTGCTATAGAAGAAAGAGTGCATGTTTGCAGCCAAGCAGACATGGGTTCGAGGCTAAGTTCCAGCTCTAACCAGCTATGGCTATATGTTTCTTCACCTCTCTCAGCTTCTGTTTTCTTGCTTTCAAAATGGGCATACGGAAAGATGTTTATAATTAGACACAGTGCTTGGCACATAGCAAATGCCCAATCTATGGGAGCTATGGTTATTATCTATCTAGTCTCCCCTTGAGAGGAGGCACTTGGGAGGAGCGGTGGAGGCAGGCCTGCAGTGGCCCTTCATTTCACCTATTTGACTCTGCCTGCCTAGAGCTTGCCGAGAATGAGACCCAGAGGGTCGGTCCTAGGACACAATTCCTCTCACCCTCTGCTTCTGCCACCATCCTTTCCCCTTTGCCCTTGGAGGTGCTGGAGGAGGTGGGAGTGTCCCCGAGAGTGTCCAGACTGCATAAGGTGGCAGAAAGGTGCTGAGTGTCTTCCATTGCACCAGTGTCAGGGACTTGGATGTGGTCCCCAGGCCCAAAGCCAAGGCAGATGGACTCATGGAGGGGGAGGAGCAGAGGAGCAGTGCGGAGTCACTCTCTCCATGTAGCACCCCCAGCTCAGTGCATTGCTGGGGTTCTTGCAGGGCAGATGAAGTGCTTCTTTGTATAGGGGAATATGTGGGTGAACCAGGAAAATGGGAGCCTAGTACATGGAGGTTTATTCCAACTCCCTGTGTGATTGGCAAGTTAGAATTGCCCCCCTACCTGAGTTATTATTGGCTCCTGAGAAACAGGCCAAAGGCAGCCCCCACTAAGAAGCTTTTAGCACCTCCTATAGGAAGGAAGCCTTCCCAGTGAATCCAGTGTGAGGATTCTTTTCTCCAGGTCTCTGGACCTCTCCCAACATGCTCCATGTTCCTTTGCACGAAGAAGAACAGCGCAGTTCGGTAGAGTGTATGTAAGCCCCGGTTGCCATCAGCACACTGTGTGGATTCTGGCAATACCTGTCATCCCCACTGGTGCTGCGGTGCCCCTCATGCCCCTTGTTAATAACCAATGATAGTGCCACTTGAACTCCCAGGCTGTTGTGAGGAGCAAGCATTCATTCATTCATTCATTCAATCACTCATTTGTTCATGTGACAAATGTGGATTGAATGCTTGCCCTCTTTCCTCTCCCCTGGAGCCTTGGAGAGAGAGATAAGACAAGCGCAAATAACTGTGACCTGTTGTAGGAAGTGAGAAATACACCCAGGCAGGGCCAGATACTGCGTAGCAGGCGGGGCACAGAGGAGGGAACGCTTGTGTCTAACTGATGCTCCTAATGCGGAAGCCCCTGAAAGGCGGTTGTGGTGCAAAGGAAAACCCACAGGCCAAGGAATGGGAAGACCAAGGTTGACACTTGTTTGTCAAGTGTCAATAATCATCTCTGCCCGGTGAGTTGTTGCATGAAGCAAGATCCTCCTTGGGGGGTGTTTAGCACAGAGGGGGTGCGATTTTATTTCCTGTGAAAATACCAGGTAGTATTATGTTCACTATGTCTTTGTAGGGTGTGTGTGTCCCCATCTGTCTGTATGTTTGTCTGATTGTGATGCTCTACTTCATCAGATTCAGGGTTCCTTGTGGACAGGAGCTGTGTTTCTTTGCATCAGGAGAGGGGAACTCTTTTAGGGCAGGGGCCATGCCTCCTCCTTCAGTCTGGGAGCTTCCTGAAGGCAGGATCTGTGCTCGTGGTTCCTTTTCTTGGGATCACATCACAGACACCTCCTTCAAGCACACACACACACCTCCACACACACACACACCTCCACACACAACCTCCAAACACACACACACCTCCAAACACACACACCTGCAAACACACACACACCCAACACACACCTCCTCCTAACACACACACCTCCACACACACACACCTCCACACACACACACCTCCACACACACACCTCCACACACACACCTCCAAACACACACCACACACACACCTCCAAACACACACACACACCTCCACACACACACACCTCCACACACACACCTCCAAACACACCTCCACACACACACCTCCAAACACACACACACCTCCAAACACACACACCTCCTTCAAACACACACACACCTCCAAACACAAACACACCTAACACACACCTCCTTCAAACACACACACCTCCAAACACACACCTCCTTCAAACACACACACCTCCAAACACACACACACCTCCAAACACACACACGCCTCCAAACACACACACACCCCCAAACACACACACACACCTAACACACACCTCCTTCAAACACACACACACCTCCAAACACACACACACACCCCTCCTTCAAACACACACACACACCTCCACACACACCTAACACACACTTCCTTCAAACACACACCCTCGAAACACATGTCCTTCAAACACACACACACCCTCCAAACACACACACCTCCTTCAAACACACACACACACCTCCAAACACACACACACACCTAACACACACCTCCTTCAAGCACACACACGCACCTCCAAACACACACACACCTAACACACCTCCTTCAAACACACACACACCTCCAAACACACACACCTCACACACCTCCTTCAAACACACACACCTCCAAACACACACACACCTAACACACACCTCCTCCACACACACACACGTACCTCCAAACAAACACACACCTAACACACCTCCTTCAAACACACACACACCTCCACACACACCTAACACACACTTCCTTCAAACACACACCCTCGAAACACATGTCCTTCAAACACACACACACCCTCCAAACACACACACCTCCTTCAAACACACACACACACCTCCAAACACACACACACACCTAACACACACCTCCTTCAAGCACACACACGCACCTCCAAACACACACACACCTAACACACCTCCTTCAAACACACACACACCTCCAAACACACACACCTCACACACCTCCTTCAAACACACACACCTCCAAACACACACACACCTAACACACACCTCCTTCAAACACACACACACCTCCAAACACACACACACCTCCTTCAAACACACACACACCCTGCTTCAAACACACACACCCTCCTTCAAGCACACACACACACCTCCAAACACATATGCACACCTCCTTCAAACATACACATACACACCCTCCTTCAAACATACACACACACCTCCTTCACACATACACATACACCTCCTTCAAACACACACACACACGCACACCTCCCTCAAACATACACACACACCTCCTTCAAACATACACACACACCCCTAACACACACACCTTCTTCAAACACACACACACACCTCCTTCAAATACACACACACACCTCCAAACACATACGCACACCTCCTTCAAACATACACACCTCCTTCATACACACACACCCCAACACACACACCTCCTTCAAACACACACCTCCTTCAAACACACACCCGTCCTTCAAACACACACACACCTAACACACACACACACCTCCTTCAAACATACACACACATCCTTCAAGAACACACACACACACAGACACACAACACACACACACACACACACCCCTAGTATGGGTCTCCGCCTGCAGGGGGCGCTCAGGACAGGACTGTAAACAGTTCCAGTGTATGCATTTCATTTTTTCTCCCTTCCTCTCAGCTCCAGATCTGGGGCAACCCAGGGTTGGGAGTGTTTGAGGATGGAGGACACTGGATCAAGTGTCCAGGAATTGTGAGAGTTGAGGCAGTTAGGGGCTGTAAACTAATCCGCTGCCTTTGTGGTGGACAGAGCAGATTAGGAGACTGGGAGGAGACGAGAAAGGAAGGGAACCATTGTCTAGGACAAAAGCAAGAGAGAATGAGCATTGCGACAGGACCTGGGCTCCCACCCTCACTTACCTGGGGCCGATGAGAGCTCAGGACCCAAAGGAGTCAGAGCCGGGAACCAGATCACGTCTCAGGCCACCATGGACCCGGCCCCCCAGCGCAGTTACCTGCTTCAGCATGTGTGACTGGGTGGCCAGGATCCCTTCACAGACATGCCACCCACACAGTCACACAGGGCCCTGTGCTTGGGCCATTGCTCTGCTGTTGCCATGTTATTTTTTTCGGTTGTGTGTGTGTGTTATTTTATTTTATTTTTTCGAGACAGGATCTTGCACTGTCACCCCGGCTGGAGTGCAATGGTACGATCTCCGCTCACTGCAGCCTCAACTCCCTGGGCTCAAGTGATCCTCCCACTTCAGCCTCCTGAGTAGCCGAGACTACAGGTGCACACCACCACAACCAGCTAATTTTTAAGTTTTTTTAAAATTAAAAAACTTAAAACTTATAATGGGATCTCACTATATTGCCCAGGCTGGTCTTGAACTTGCTGGGATTACAGGCGAGAGAGCTGTGTAAATTTTTAATAATTTTATTACAAGGGGCCCCACATTTTTATTTTGCACTGGGTGCTGCAAATTATTTTATTTATTTATTTATTTATTTATTTATTTATTTATTTATTTATTGAGACAGAGTCTCGCTCTGTCACCCAGGCTGGAGTGCAATGGCGCTATCTTGGCTCACTGCAACCTCCGCCTCTCGGGTTCAAGCGATTCTTCTGCCTCAGCCTCTCAAGTAGCTGGGATTATAGGCTCCTGCCACCATGCCCAGCTAATTTTTGTATTTTTAGTAGAGACGGGTTTTCGCCATGTGGCCAGGCTGGTCTCGAACTCCTGACCTCAGGTGATCCACCCACCTTGACCTCCCAAAGTGCTGGGATTACAGGTGTGAGCCACTGTGCCCGGCCGGTCCTGCAAATTATGGAGCCCTTTCTCCCCTTAACCTAGGGGCTAGGGCAGGAGGGGATGAGAGGAAGGGGTCTCCCTCTCAGGGATGCCACAGGGGAGATGAGGCAGCCTTTGTCCAGATGGGCAGGAGGTGGCCCCAGGACTAGAGGGGAGACTGAGCAACCTTGGGTTGGAGGTGCTTCTTGGCCTGAGCGTGGCATCTGCAGGGGCCAGGGACTATGGGGTGCATTGTGCTAGAGTGGGCACAGGGGGCACACCAGAGTCTCAGTGTTTCTGGGAATGAGGCAGTTGTCAGGCTCTGGCAGGCAGGGATTCTGCTTGAAAGGGAGGGCAGAGGGCCCATCCCACAGATGTCAGATCCTGTGTGTGTTGGCCTCCTTCCCAGTTTCTTATAAATCTAGCAGAGTGGGTAAGTGCACAAACCCCAGAGCCACTCCACCTAAGTTCAGATTCTGGCTCTGCCTTTTACCAATCCTTGGGGAAAGATTTACCCTCTTTGTGCTTTAGTTTCCTCACCTGTAATAGAGGGATGACAACGATGCCCTTGTTAAATGAGTTAATATATGCAAAGTGCCTAGAACGGCGTCTGGCACACAGTAACCATTCAATGGATGTTAGCTATTATTTTTCATTTATTCAACCTGTGAATATGTATTAAGTATACACTTAGTAGTAGGCACAGCTGTGCTAGGTGCTGACACTAACTTTCACTGCAAAAAACAGAGTCCCTGGTCCAGCTGTGGAGATAAATTCTTAGTAACGCCCCAAGTGAGCGCCTGGACTTGGGAAATCCTACCACTGACCTGCAGAGCCCTGCTGGCTCAGCCTCTCCCTCCAATCTCCCACCCTCCTGCTGCAGTTTTTCTCTGTCCTGTGGAGTGAGGAGTTGCATGAGTCCTCTGGAGGAAGGAGGTGCTTCCAAAGTTTCCCTCCTCCAATTTCGTCGCAACCCTCCTGACTCCAGCAACTGGAACTTTAGGTTTGTTCTCTGGTGGAAGTGGGATCAGGAGACCCTGGGCTAGGACGCTGTCTTTGCCGCCAACATGCTGAGTGCCTTTGGACAAGTCCTCTGATGCCTTTGGGTCTGTTTCCTGTGGGGTGAGAGTTCCTGACCCCAGGATATTACAGAGACAAATGATGGTGTATAAAGAAAGATACAAAGAGGGGAGAGAGAGAGGAGAAGGAGGGGGGAGAGAGAGAGAGAAGGGGCATGAGTGAGCCAATGAAGAGGAGACTGTGATGTGAGGGAGGTGCCAGGGTCCCCTGAGATTTGCAGTGTTCACTCCGTGAGACTTGAGATCCCAGGGGCCGGGATAGGACATGGCCATCATCAGCACCTCGAGGGCTGTGTGCCTACCCAGAACAAGGCCCCCCATTAACTATGTGCAGCCAGTGGAAAGAGGAATGCCTACCCCCCCGCCAGCCGACGCCACGCCAGCCCTCGCCTCGTTGCCCACTCCCCTACTCTGAATGCAGAAGCCCAGGGTGCCACCTCCCCCTCTGCCTGCCCTGCCTCCACCTGCCAGAAAGCATTAGCTTCACTGTCTAGATTGGCATGGGGGCGCAAAGGCACCATGTTGCGGGGCCCAGGGCACCTGCTGGGGGTGGGGCTTGGGGTCAGGAAATACCTGGGCTAACCCCTGGAACCCTAGCATGCCCAGTGCCAATGAGCAAATGGCCCTAGAGCCATAGGGGTAAAGAGTGTAGTAAGAGGGGAAGGCTTGGAAGCTCAGAAACTTGGCCTGGGGAGCCCTTCTGACACCTTACTCCAGCCCCTTACCCCTAACCTCGGCTGGGACCTCCAGATGGGCAGATCAAGTCATTACACCCCACCATTTGCTTAGTGTTTGACCCCCTGGGAATGTGATCACTGGGAAGTTCTTCCTAGAGTCCCTCCTCCTTCCTATCATAGTGTCCCCAAGTTTCCCTCCTATTTTGGCCAGAGGGGAGAGAGCCCAAAGCTAACCCCTTCTTTGTTAGCCCCATAGGCAATGGTGGGGTGACCTGGGTTTCATTTCACTTTCTCCATGAGGAAGGGATCCTGGCCTATAAAGGCAACCTTGGAGACGCCACACCTGCCATCCCCAGGGATCCTGGAGGGGCTGCCTGCTGCTGAGGAGGTCAGAGGCCTCTCCCTGCTCCTCCTCAGAAATCCACACATCCACTCAGCCTGCCCGCCCCACAGTGTTCTGGGCTGCAGCTAGTCCAGGCAACATCTTTGTGAGAAATAGAAAAGGGTGCCCCTTGCCCCAGTGGCCCTACCACGTGGGGAGCGGGCAGAGTTGATGAGTGGGGCAGGAGCAGATTTTGTCCTCTGGTTGGCCCCTTGGCCAGACACCTTTGTCTAGACCAGGCCACAGTGGCATATTTCTATGAGTCAGCCTGGTCAATACTTAGTTAAAAAAAGTGATTTAAAACATATTTATAAAAGATTGCTTAAAGGAGGTTTATTCTATGGATTCCCTTGGATATCCTAAAGCCTTTCACTCGAAGTATGGTTCACAGCCCAGCAGCATAGCATCGGCATCATCTGTGAGTGTGTGAGGAATGCAGAAGCTCAGGCCTCAACCCTGACCTACTGAGCCAGAATCTTCATTTTAGGGTTTGCCAAGCACTGCCTCAAGCTTATTCATGGAATAAGTCAGATCATCAGTGGAGCTGCTGGACAGCCACTCTCTACTCCATCTCCTACAGAAATGCTTTTACCTAGTTTGTACTTAGGTGATGCACCATTGGTTTATATCCAGGTCTATAAGAAACAGCCCTATGGACATCACGGTTGATTTACTGCAAGGATGTGGTGAAGAAATGGGTTCAGACCAGAAGCCTGCTGCTCTGGTGGGGTATTTGGAAGAGGCAAGGAAGCATCAGCTTCATTTAGGATGTAAGGGGCTGACTGAGATGTCTCTTCCTCTGGGAAACCTTCCCTAATCCCTCAACTCTGGGGGAGGCCTCCCCTCTGTGTGCCTGCCCTGCCGCAAGGCTCATTCCCTTGGGTTCAGATTCCTGGTTACTTGTCTGTTTCTCAGACCAGGCTGGGACCCCCAAGAAAGCAGGGGCCTGGCCACCATTGCTCTCCTGGTATCCTCAGTGCTGGCCCAAGCCCTCTGCACATGGATGCTCAAAAATATTGGTGGAATGAGTAAAGAGATGAATGAGTGAATGAATGAATGAACAAATGACTGGCCAGAGGCTGGGAGGTACAGAGCAGAAAAAAAAAAAAAAACAAAAACCCTAGGCTGGAGCAGATGGACCTATTTGAGAGAGAGGGAGGGAGGGCAGCCCTCTTCAGACCTGGTAGTAGCACTAACCTGGCTCCACCACAGGCAGGAGCCCGAGGTGTGGCTTCCAACCCAGACGGCTGCGGTGAGGATGGAGCCGCACTGGGGAGCCTCTTAAGCTGCCAGCCAGTCAGCTCGTGGCCAGGCTTGGGTTTCATTAGAGTGAGACATCTGTTCTATAAACCCTTCCACTTAGAAGCTTTTGCCTTTCCTATTCATTCTCTTGATTTTTTTTAAAGAAAACTTCTTTTGAAAATTTCCATCCAATTCCAAACAAGCTAGGACGAACAAAGGTATGTGCCTGCCCCTAGGCTTGGATAGAGGACTCTAGCAACTTGAGGCTGTGGGTTCTTGAATCTCCACAGTGTGCCCGACACTTGCCTAGGCTCTGAAGATCCCAGATAAGTAAGACTTGAATTTTGCATTAACAGAGATTACAATTGGGTCAGAAAATTACCATTGTGTGCGTTAAGCATGAGGCAGGAGACAAGCATAGGCTGGTTGTGGGGGGACTTAGAAGGTGGGTAGGATGGGGCAGCAGTGGGAAGGAATGTGTCTCATTGTGGAATCCTGTGAAGATCCAGGGAACTGGGGCCAATGGCCAGTTAACCCTGGGAGAGAAGCCTGGCAACACCAAAGCCCATGGCCATGCCAGCAAATCTCAAGTGTTTATTGAGCATCTACTATGTGCCAGAGCCTGGGGAAAGTGCTGGGGATACACAGATGAGTATGATGAAACAATATACAGAAATAAACATCCAATTTCATTTAATGACATAAAAACTGAGAATTATTCATGAGATGCCATGGGAACCTAGAGGGGAGCCCTCAGAAAGCCTGAGGTTCACGAAGACTTTCAGAGTTTGTTTTTTTGAGACAGAGTCTCACTCTGTTACCGAGGCTGGAGTGCAGTGGTGTGATCTTGGTTCACTGCAACCTCTGCCTCCCAGCCCCCCAGGTTCAAGCAATTCTCCTGACTCAGCCTCCCAAGTAGCTGGGATTACAGGCATGTGCCACCACACCCGGCTAATTTTTATATTTTTGTAGAGATGGGGTTTCACCATGTTGGCCAGGCTGGTCTCAAACTCCTGGCCTCCAGTGATCCGCCTGCCTTGGCCTCCCAAAGTGCTGGGATTACAGGCGTGAGCCACTGCGCCTGGCCCAGAGTTTGTTTTTTTAAACTAAATATAATATACATAATAGAAAAGCGTACATATCATAAGTGTATAGCTTGGTACATTTCCATAAGCAAATACACTTGTGTAACCAGCACCTGGACCAAGAAAGAGAACATCATCAGCTTTCCAGAAGCCCTCCACCCCCATGCCCTCTGCTGGTCACTACCCACCCCCACAAAGATAGCAACGATCGTGATTTCTAACAACATAGGTAGGCTGTGCCTGTGTTTTGAACCTTATCATAAATGGGGCATTATTTTGCATCTGGCTTCTTTTCCTCACCATGTTTGAGGATTCACCCATGTTGTTGCTGGTGGTCATAGTTCGTTCATCCTCATTGTGGCATGGTACTTACTATGGGTGAATACAACCCAGTTTACGCATTCCACTGTCGATGGGCAACCAGACATGTTCTAGTTGGGAGTATCATGGCTACCACCGCTATGAGCAGTTTCGTACGGTTGTCTAGTGAGCATATGGATGTGTGTCTGTTGGTTAAGTCCCCAGCAATGGAATTGCTGGATCAGAGTAGATCCAAGGGAGTCTCAAGGGGGTGAGAATGACTTTCCTAGGTGGAGAAGTGTGGGATGGGTCACTGGCTTGGGCCAGTGATGGAGGGCGAGCAGAGGGAAGGACAGGAGGAAGCCACAGTGGGAAGAGGGGCTTGAGGACCAGCAGCACACTGAGGCTCTGCTGATTGTTCCCCGCTTACCTGGGTTAGTTTCCAGTGGCTGCCGTGACAAAGTACCGCAAACTGGGTGGCCTAAAACAACAGAAGTTTATTCTTTCACAGTTCTGGAGGCCAGAAACCCAATATCAAGATGTCAGCAGGGCCACATTCCTGTCAATGGCTCTAGGGGAGAACCCACTGCGTGCCTCTTCCAGCTTCTCGTGGTTACCACATCACTCCAATCTCTGCCTCTGTCTTCACCTCACCTTCTTCTCTGTGTGTGAGCTCTGCGTGTCTACACAAGGGCAATTGACATTGGATTTAGAGCCCACTCAGATAATCCAGGAGGATCTCCTCATCTCAAGATCTCTTACTTAGCTACATCTGCAAAGGCCGTTTTTTCAAGTAAGATCATATTCACAGGTTCCAGGGATTATGAGGTAGACACACCTTTAGGGAGGCCACCATTCATCCACCACACTTTCCCTCACTCCCATGCTAACACCCCCAGCTCATTTCCCCCCTTTGCACAGCTCTGAGGCAGGCCACTTTCTGATGGCAAATCATGTCTCTCTTGGCCAGCTCAGGCCAAGCTTCCTCCAGGAAGCCCTCCCTGACCCACAGGTACTTGAGATTCCTCCAGCACTAATGTATAAGGCTCTGTCCAGCAGTATCTGTGGGTCTGAATCTCTCCTCAGACCGAAGTTTCCTGAGGGCAGGGAACACACACTGTTCACAGGGGCACACACACTTTCTCCAGTGCTCATCCAGGGCTCTGCATAAACTGGTTCTGGCAATAAGGAACTTGGGCTGAAGTCACCTTTCCAGCAGTGTCTGGTCCAGCCAGGGCATCATGCCCAGTAACAGCCCCGATGTCCAACACTTCCCCATGTCCTCTTCTCCCCCTAGACACTGCCACCTTAGGGGTCCTGGCTGTTACTTCGTCCCAGGGCCTGACTGGTAGTCTTAGTTACACACACAACACAGGGGAGGGAGGAAGGAGCTTGGGGCAAAGGGAGGGAGTCCAGCCCTTTGCCTTTCCTTGGAGAAGGCAAGGGAGACAGGAATGCCTTTGGCTGGGAGACCCTGGCCAGAGATCAGAAGATCAAAGGATGAGAAGATCAGGGGCGAGGCAGGTGGCACTCACTTGGAGGCACCAGAGAGAAGCGGCAGCTGCTGCCTCCTAAGGGCAGGGCTGACCCAGAACGCCCTCCTCTACCCACAGCCTCCCCAGCCTATCTTTCCTAACTTTATAGCCCTGCTTCTCCACCAGGAGGGGCTCTGTTGGTTACATGCAGGTGAGGAGAGGGATGTCCACTGACATTCATGCTACACCCATGGGTTCTCCCATTTAAACCTCACAACATTATCTTATGGGGAATATTAGATACTATTTTATAGATGCAGAAACTGAGGCACAGAGAGGAAAGGAACTAGTCCAATATCAAACAACTGCTAAGTGTTAGGGCCAAGATACAAACTCTGGCAGTCTGACCCCAGAGCCACTGAGGATTACATTATAAGGGCAGGCAGAGAACTCTATTCAGTCCAACTGCAGCATGAGGGAGTGAGGCTAGGTATCAGGAAGGACTTCTTGTTGGGCAGGTATTTTAGATCCAGATCTTGGATCTAGTCTTTCTATAGCTCTGATGAACCAAATAGTTCGGGAGTTAGGGAAGAGGGCAGATGGGTGGGGCGCTATCCAGAGGGAAGGGCATACGAGAGAAGCGGCAGAACGAGAGAGGATCAGCGCGGAGGGTGGCGGGCACTGGACCGCAGAACTGGCACTCGAGGTCCCAGGGGCCGGAATGCGCTTGGAGGGAGAGGGCCGCTCAGCGAGGGCGGGACAGAACCTCTCCCGGGCTGGGAGTGCACGGCGCGGTGCGCCCAGGTAGGCTTGGGGGAAGGGTGCCGAGCTCCGGAAAGTTCCACAGGTCCTCCGCAGCCCTGGGGAGCAGGACCCAGAAACCGACGCGACGGGTGGGGCGCTACCCGGGCCGGCCCTAATCCCCTTCCATTGTTCTGGGAGCCGAGGCCGCCTCCCCACTTCCGGACCCTTTCAGCCATGGAGCGGGCGGCGCGGGCAGGGGCGGGCAGGGGCACGGCCAGGCGGGCTGGGGTGGGCAGGGGCGCGCGCGCGAGGCTGGTCCCCGCCCCCGGGGCCGCCGCTTAGCTCCCGGGTACGTGCGTGCAGCTAGGGGCTCCACTGAACCACCTGGCGTGGGTTCGCGCTGCCAATTCTTAACTTTGTGGCACAGTGGGAAGTAACTTGATATTTCCGAATCTCCGTTTCTTCATTTAAAATGGGAATAAATAATGCTTCGTTCCCTGACCTATTAAAAAGGATCAAATTAAATGAAACCAAGGATGTTCAAGAGCTCTATAAACTGCAAAGACGTGGAGTGGGGGTCTGGAGAGGCGGAAAGGTGGCGAAACCTCTTAATTTTGCTGAACCTCATCTGTAAAATGGGTCAGTGAAATCTTTAGCACAGTGTGTGATCCAGCAAACGTAGCTCTTTTTATTATATGCTCTGAACTTTATCTTCTGCTCTTTTCTCCTAGATTCAAATTGAGTCTGGGATCCTGTCCAATTTAGAAAACCCTCTGGCTAGGGTAGGGGTAAATGGTGTTTGGGTGCACCTGGGTGTGTGTGTGTGTGTGTGTGTGTGTGTGTGCGCGCGCGCGCGTTGGTGAGTTGAGTTGCTGGGTTGGGAAGGAGGGTGCTCTGATGTAAAAGAAAAGCTCCCATCTGGGATGGGGTTAGTGAGGGTGGTGGGGGTGGTGAGGGTGGGACTCTGAATAGAGGGCTTTCTCCAGTTTTCCACCCCCAGACACACCCTGCCTGTTTATCCATGAAATAAAGGCAGCAGGACAAGGAGCTTCAGCTAAACAAACAAGGCTCAGAGATGTGGTCTGACTTCACCTCCCCAATCCTTGTGCACCCTAGTTCTTCCCACCTGCATCAGCTCCACCCAGTTCCTCTTCTGGTGGCCCTGGCTGGGAGCTCAGGGATTTCCATGCGAGGAGGGAAGTGCAGTTTTTACCCATGGAGAGGTCTGATCTAATAGGATATCTCAGTCCTTCTTTCTAAGGGGCTTCCAGTCTGATAGGGTGAACAGAATTCACGCCCACATACCTCCACACACAGAAACAGTGCCCTCCTAGATGGAGCTGGAGATCAGAATGAGGGCTAGAAGAGATGCTGGTGAGTCAGGGGAGACCAGGCTTAGCAGGATTGAGTGGCCAAGTCCTCTAATGCACAGCCACTGCCGTTTTCATGTGCAGGATTCATTCCATTTCCCTCCTGCCTCAGAATCTGTCTTCCGTCCCTCTTCAATCCCTTGTCCAGGACCCGCAGGTGGGATGCCCACCCCTCGGAAGCTGTAGAAAATGAGCCTTGAAGCTGCGTGTGTATGTGACAAGGACAGACAACTGGGAGCTGTGGAGGAGCTCCCAGCCTGTCTGGGGAGACCAGCTACATGAATGAGCAGTCTGAGATTAGGAGATGACAGTTTTAATCGAGCACAGGATCGTGTGGCCTCACTTTGTGACTGAACCTGCAGAGATCAGAGTCAAAAGGCCAAAGGGATTAGTCTGAGGAAGCCCTGTGACACTTAAGTCCCAGTCCCAGCACTTGTCACTCAGGCTTGTAATTGTCCACTCTGTTGTCATTGTCCCCACTTACTTGGCTCTTTGAGGACAGGGAGCATCTGTGATTGGACTTTGCCGCTTCGTCACCTAGCATAGTGCCTGATGTATACTAGGTGCTCAATAAATGTTGAATAGACAAATGGCTGCATGACTAAATGAATGGTTGAAAGTTGGAGGCTTCTTGCAGGAGGAGGTACTTGAACTGGGCTTCAGTAAATGGTTGAGTTGGGTGGTGATGCTCAAAGGTAACATTTGTTGGTTACTTACCATGTGCTAGGCACTGCCTAAGCACTTTACCAGGGAGGAAATTAAGACAAAGACAGGTGAAGTAATTATCCAAAATCGCAGAAGCCAGTAAGTGGCAGAGCTGGAAATCAAACACAAGTCAGTCTGACAACAGAGGCTGTACCATTGCTGCCCAATAGAATGCCCTGCGATGATGGATGTGTTCTAGAACTGTGCTGTCCAATACAGGAGCCACTATCTTTATGTGGCTATTGAGCCTTGAAATGTGGCTAGTGCAGCTAAGGAACTGCATTTTAAATTTAATTTTAATGAACTTAAATATAGTCACAAGCGGCTAGTGGCCACTGCGCTGGACAGTGTAGGTCTTGCGTTGTCTCTCAGAGAGGTAGTAGAGAGCAGAGGGGGCCCAGAAGCAGTCCCCCATATTTTCATTCCTCTCCAGAGGCTCTGCTCTGTCATACTCCTGGGCTGTTCTCAGGTCACACTGTGGCTCCGGCTGGGCCTGGGAGGCCTGGGTCCCTTTAACTTCTCTGCCTGTGGGTGGCATGGCTTGGCAAGGAGGAAGGAGCCATTGAAGGAGAAGCACACACACACATTATGCAATCCCAGTGCCACGCTTTGCTCTTGAGAAGCTTCTCCTGGCTCTGGGCACAGGCAGGGGAACACCTCCCCAGGCTCTCTGAGAGCCACAACTAATTGCATGGGGGCAGGAGTGACCTTTTGCACCTGACCTGATGTAACACTTCTGACTGGGATTCAGGAACTTGTGTGGGCCACTCCAGCTTCACAGCTGTGCCGGGGAGAGCTAGAGATGTCCCCTCAGCCTGCGATGGGCCTAAGTCCCTCCCAGGAGGATTCCCCTGCAGTGCTGAGGGTGGGGACCGGCCCCAGAACTGTCTCCATCTCCTCACTCTGCCCAGGGGCCCACACCCTTGGCATGCTGTTGCTGTCAGATTAACCCCTTTCAGTAAGAAGAGGTCAGAGCAATACGATTTAACCTGAAGTTGGTTCCTGTGGTGGTGCCAAACCATGATTTCCCAAATCTAGCATTTTTGAGAGAGAGGAACCTCTCCTGGGTCTCGTCCCTCCCTGACCTTTCTCTGCCATCAGGGTTTTAGGAGCCCCACACCACATCGATGAAACACCACGATGCAGTGGACAGTCTCTGACTTCTGACTTCCATGGTCTTTTAACTCAGGGCAAACAAAACAAAACAAAAAACAAAAAACCCCACCTTTTTGTTTCTCTCCCCTGACTTTTAGGAATGTCTTCCCCTGCCTTTATCCCTCCCAGCCCCACCTGAATGAATTGGGTCACCTTCGGGCGACACTGTGGGTGCCCAGCATCTCCCTGGCTCAGTCTGACCTGCACAAGGTTTGCCTTTGCTTAGCAACTGCCAGGGACTCTCTCTCCCCTCACAAATAACCCCCCACTCCAGGCACCCCTCCAGCTTCTCTTTTACTATCTTCCCCCACATCCTGTCCTCTCCATCACAAGCCCTCCTGCCACTCCAGGCAGTCTGGGAGACATTCCTTTTACCAACAAGGGAGCCAAGAAAGGGCAAAATAAAGCAGTAGCCCTTTTATTTAAAAATACAGCATTGTTCTCACGCAGGACTCTGTGCAAAGCCAGAGAGAACAGGTTGTGCTCTTATGTGTGTGTGAAGATAGACACACTTTTTCCTGATGGAAGTACACTCCCTTGTTTGGATATTTGTGAAAATTGCAAAAAATCTGAGACAACTTTGTGTCATCTTGTGTGTTTGGAATCTCAAAGATGATAGCTAGTATTCAAGTCATCTCTGGTAAGAAGGTGCCATCTAAAGTGGGGAGGCTGTGCTAGAAACTAAGATCAATCTGGTGGGTGGAAAGAGCATCCCCCAGGATTTTAGGAGACCTACTTGTAACACCCACTCTGCCATGAACTTGCCATGTGTCCTTAGGTAACTTTGTTCCTCTGAGTCTGTTCCTGCACTAGCAAATTGAAGGAGTGTAGGTAGAGGAAAGCGCCTGCTATTCAGGGGGTGTTTGGAAATGCATGGGGTGTTTTTCTTCATTTAAAATTTTCTTTTAAGAGAGAAAGTCTCAGTCTGTTGTCCAGCCTGGAGTGTAGTGGTACTACCCTAGCTCACTGCAGCTTCAAACTCCCAAGCTCAGGGGATTCTCCTGCCTCAGCCTTCCAAGTAGCTGGGACCCTAGGTGTGTGCCACCGGGTCTGGCTAGTTTTTAATTTTGTATAGGGATGAGGTCTCGCAATGTTGTCCAGGCTCATGGGGTGTTTTTGATGGTCACAATAATAGGGAGATGCTCCAAACACTTATGAGCAAGGCCAGGGAAGCAAAAAGCTCTGCAGCGAGTGGGACAGTCCCGCCCAGTAAAGAACTGCTCATCCACAATGCCAACGGAGCCCCCACAAGTAACATGAGGTGCTCTCTGGTGCTTTCCTCTCTGAACTCAGTTCTGTGGGTTGCTCACGTCTCATCCATGCCCCAACTCATTCTGCCCGGGAAGCCTTCTCTGCTGACCCTCTCTCCTGAGTGTCTGTTGTACTCTCCAGTCTGGGCACATGGTCTAGAACCTAATTGGGAGGGCTGCAGAGCAGTTTGTAAACTACAAAGCGGAGTACATATATGGAGGTTTGCCGTCCCTTTGTGAGTAAAAAGTCCTTCCCCAGCAACATTGTCAACTCCTTGATGGCCCAGACCTTGTCCTGGGCTTTGTCTCCATCTCACACAGCACTGAGCTCAGTGCACAGAAGCCCATGGGAAAACAACTTCATGACCTTCAGGGCTGGCCGGGAACTTAGCATTCGTCTAATGGAACCAGGTCCTCTGATTCCAGATTCTGTGTTCTTTCCTCTCTACCCCATCACCTGCTTCTCTTGTTGACAGAAAAATTCAGCAAGTGTTCTCTGAGCACCAAATGGTCTCCGTGGCGGCCAGCCTGTTTCCTGGCTTTTTTCAGTGGGAGAGAACCCCACCTTTGGACTCTCAACAGTGGCCTGTCCTGCTCCTTGCCAAACCACGAGCTGTCTCCTGCCATGGCAGGATATGTGCCCGGCTCAGCCTGGCCCTCATGGGGAGGGGTTGCTGCTGAAGGTTGTCTGGGCAGCCCGTTAAGCCCTAGTCAGAGACTGAGAGGAGAAGGCTCTGGAGAAAGCTGCTGGTCCACTGCAGGAGCCAAAGGATTATTTGGAGGAGGACCTCACTTTAACTTCTCTAGAGGATGCCTAATTAAGAGAACAGGGAGCGCTGTGAGCAACAGCCTTCATTGATTGGGTGCCGGCTTGGAACTAAGCATGGGGTAGCTTCTTTATAGAGGTTAGGCCATTGTAGCAGCTGGGGGAGACATTGACACTAGGCAGTAGAAGAACTTCCCTAGAGTAAAGGCTCAGCCACAGGAACATCACCTGTGTATGAGAGTAATGCACTCATTTGGATATTTATTGAGCACCCCATTTGCCAGGCACCCTGATAGGACTGGAGGATACACAGATGACTAAGGTTAAGTCCTTGCCTTGAAGAAACACATAGTCATCTGTGTCATTCTATACTAATAATTATAATTCAGTTAGATGAGTAGAATATTAATAATAAGGCATAGTTATTGAGCACTGGGTTTTATTTATTTATTTATTTTATTTATTTTTTTTGAGACAGTTTCATTCTTGTTGCCCAGGCTGGGGTACAGTGGCATGATCTTGACTCACTGCAACCTCTTCATCCTCCCAGGTTCAAGCAATTCTCCTGCCTCAGCCTCCCAAGTAGCTGGAATTACAGGTGACCTTCACCACACCTGGCTATTTTTTTGTATTTTTAGTAGAGACAGGGTTTCGCCATTTTGGCCAGGCTGGTCTCGAACTCCTGACCTCAGGTGATCCACCCACCTTGGCCTCTCAACGTGCTGGGATTACAGGCATGAGCCACCGCGCCCGGCCAGCACTGTGTTTTATATTTATTTACTCATATACTTCACACTACAATTTTTTTTTTTGAGACAGAATCTCATTCTGTCGTCCCGTTCGGAGTGCAGTGGCATGATCTTGGCTCCCTGCAACCTCCGCCTCCTGAGTTCAAGTGATTCTCCCTGCCTCAGCCTCTCAAGTAACTGGGATTACAGGCACCTGTCACCAGGCCCGGCTAATTTTTGTATTTTTAGTAGAGACGCGATTTCACCATGTTGGCCAGACTGGTCTTGAACTCCTGACCTCAGGTGGTCCACCCGCCTCAGCCTCCCAAAGTGCTGGGATTACAGGCGTGAGTCACCACGCCCGGCCCACACTACAATTCTTGTGAGGTAGCTAGTGTCATTATTTCAATATCACAGGTGAGAAAATGGAGACTTAGAGATGGGAAGTGACATGACCAGGGTCACACAGCTAGTGAGTGTTGTCCTGGGGGGATAACAACGGCAGGTGCTGTGCTACATGCATGGTAAGTGCTCAGTAAGCACTGTTGAGTGATCATATGCAAAATACTGTGGGGACGGGGTTCTGGGAGCACCTCACAAAGGAGGGGACTGTGGGGCATAGCCAACCCCAGGGGCTCGGCTCCTGGCCACTGTAGCTGGCCTTTTCCTGAAAGCAGATCTTAAATGCTCCTATCAGACACACACACACACACAAACACATACACTCACACACATTCACACACACACACACTATGTGAGGTGATGACTATCTTAATTAGTTTGATTGTGCTGATTATCTCACAATGTATACAGAGATTAGATCATCAAGTCATATGCCTTAAATCTATACATAAATAAAATAACTGGCCTTTTCCTGGCTGCAGAGATGGGCAACCTGAGTCCACAGTGGGGCAGTGGAAAAGGGGTTTCTGCCCCTCCAGTCTTTTCTCCAGCGGGGCAGGTGGGCACAGTTCCCCCAGGTCCACCCCAGGGGACCCAGGGGCTTGTTTTTCACTGTTTCTTCTTCCCATAGGAAAAATTCAAACAGACCCAATCCCCTCGGGCCCTGGGATATGAGCCAGATTGCCTCGGCGGAGGGTCTTCTATGACCCCAGCCCCTTTCAGCTGCTCTCTGACCCCTCCATCCCCCAGCATCCTCCCTCTTATCAAACCTGTTCCCTGTCTCCATGGTGACACCACCTTACCCAGTTTCCTTGGGTGGTCTGGTTGCCTCACAGGGTGAAACTCTGAGAACATTTTCCTCATGTGCAGCCAGAAACTTCCACGTCCCATGCCCACAACTGCCCCTCTCTTCTCTCCTCTCCATTCCCCTCCTGCACGTCTCTCCCTGAGACATTTCCCATTCCCATCCCATCATGGCTGTGTCCAGTTGAGAGGACTCATAGCCCTTCTGGGTATCCCAAGGGCTCCCAGGAAGAAGGCTTCAGGATGGAGTTACAACCCATCATCTCAATCCCCTTGCTGTACATGCATAGGTACAGATAAACACATGTGCCCTCACACATGACACACACATGCCCAGCACCCTCAAAACAAGTACATCCAAGAGCCCAGCTATCCCATCCCATGACCCCCACTTCTTGTACATGTCTACAAGTTCATGCAGCCAAGTGGATGTAGCCACAACCAAACCCCAAGCACCCAAGGATCAAGGTGTCCTCTTATTTCCCCTGGGTCCAGGCAGGGCCTGAATGTTTGAGCTGTGCCCTCTGAGTTGCACAAAAAACCAGCTGCACAACCAACCTCCCAGGACAGTCATATGTCAGTAGGAACCACCAACATACCAACATGACAGAGCAACCTCTGTGTTTGGAGTTTCTGTGTGTCAGTTCCTTCCCTGTCATTGTGCAGGCACAGCCTCCCCACAGCAGGGCCCAGTGCCTCTTGCCAGGGCTCTTAGCCATTCCCAGGGCTGGTGGCATTGGCTTGGTGGCTCTCGGCCTTGAAATCCCCACTTCACCTCCCTCTTCCAGCTCTGCACGCTCCTCTTCCTTCCCCTTCCCCTGGCACCAGCCTTACCCCTTTTCCTTTTGTGAGAGAGCCAGCCCTGAATGGGGCTCCCTCCACCCCTGAACAGTTGAAATTCACCCTCCTTGCCCCACCCCACCCCCTTTACTGAGCACTGCAGCTGGGCTTTGTGTTGTTTTGGGGCAGGATGTGGGGGCGGGTGGAGGGGTTCAGGCCCCCTCCTCCGCAGGGGAGAACAATGAGGCCGCTAGTCAGGGTGGTGGGGCAGAGGGAGTGGGTGGGGTGGGGGCCATGGAGGGACATCAGAGGCTCTGCGGCCCGGCCCCTGGGGGGACAGCTGAGTGATGAGGCCTGAGTCACACGCCCTGAGTGCTCCTTGAACTCCCGCTGCGTTCCTGTCGAGACACATCCAGAAATGCACAGGGTAAATATTTAGAGGTAATCATTTTTTTTCGGCACCTCGAGCCTCCTGCCTCACTGAGAATGAGCCAGGGGTGGGACACCAGGGGGAGGAGTCCGATCTGGCCCAGCTTCTGCGCTTGGGTTTCTGTGGGTGCCACCCTACGTTCCCCTGACACTGTCCAGTGTGCTCCTGCACCTTCGCATTTCAGCCACAATCCAAGACTAGTGGGGCCTGAAAACATCCTGAGGACCAAACCCTGGCTTAAAATCCATCCACAGGCTGGGCGCAGTGGCTCTCTCCTGTAATCCCAGCACTTTGGGAGGCCAAGGCAGGAGGATCACTTGAGGTCAGGAGTTCGAGACCAGCCTGGCCAACATCATGAACCCCATTTCTACTAAAAATACAAAAATAGCCAGGCGTGGTGGCAGGTGCCCATAATCCCAGCTACTCAGGAGGCTGAGGCAGGAGAATCACTTGAGCCCCGGAGGCGAAGGTTGCAGTGAGCCGAGATCACACCACTGTACTCCAGCCTGGGTGACAACAGTGAAACTCTGGGGAAAAAAAAATCCATCAACAAACTCTCTGGGTTCTGCCTCTCTCCCACCTGAAACTATGGCCACAGCACACCACCTACAGCTTCTGCGGATCCCATTTCTAGACCGGCAAGCCCAGAGGTGTTCTGCAGGGGAGCAGGGAGGGAATGGTAGATGAGAAGCAGCGCTGGGTGCAGCATGCCAGTTCCTTGGTTCTACCCTGCACGGAATGTCTTCCTTCCTTGGAGGACATGGAGTCCAGAGCCCAGGCTTTATCAAAGATAAAACATTTGAGACTAAACAGTCTTTTTATAGATTGGAACAGGACTCCCAAGCACACGCTCTCCAGGCTGTTCCCAGCCTGCCTTTCTGGGCACACAGAAAGCACACGCATTTCTTGGGGGGAAATGCAGACACTGAGGTTTGAGGGCAACAGTGCATGTCTAGGGAAAGGAGAAAGCCTCAAGAAGGCTTGGGGGCAGTGCCCAGCTTGTGGTGGTCTGGTCTGAGCCCACCTCTGTACCCCCTCAGGGAAGGGGCAGGCAGAGACGAGAATCAGGCATTAGGAGTTTGAAGTAGGATGGAATGCAAATGTGTCAGGCACACACACACAGTCTCACACACTGTTGCTCATCCAGGCACAAACTGTGAAGAAGATGCCAACACAGGGTAGGACCCACAGAGGAAGGTACCAACTCCTCTCTACTACTTTCCTCCTTCCATCTTTCCCTCAGTGTCCTGTGGGCAAGTGTCCCAGCCCCACAGGCCTGTGAAAAGGCACCAGCCCCTCTCCCACCGGCCTGTGGGGCTGGGACACTTGCCCACAGGACCCCGAGGGAAAGGCAAGAGGAGAAAAGCAAATATGTACCTTGTCCATACTATTTATTAGGCAGTCTGTAAGCATTAGCTCACTTAATCTTTACAAGCACCCTACCAGCTTGGTGCTGCCCTATTTTTATAGATGAGGTCAACTAGGGGCCCAGAGGTCAAGGGCCCAACGTCTGATAGGTAACTGCAGAGGAGAGATGTGACCTCAGGGCCTTTTGACTTCGAAGCTCAGTGCTCCTTTCTCTCTGTTTTCTTGAGTGTAAAATGGAGATAATGATGGAAGCTAATTTGGGGTTATTGTGAGAATGGAAGGAGGTTGTTTGGGTAAAGATTAGCCGGTGTCTGACACAGAGTGGACCTGCAGTAAATGCCAGGGTAATTATTGTGATTATTTTGTGTGCGGGGCCTCTAAGAGGACAGTGACACTGAAACCACCCACAGGGTCTGTCAGATAATATGAGCTTAAGATGATTGAGGCTGTGGATCCGCAGAGGGACTGGGATCCTTACCCCACCTGGGAATCTAGTGGTGTGCCAGTTCTGTGATGTGCCAAGGTGTCATGTCTTCCAGGTGGACTAAGACAGTGGTCCCTAACCTATTTGGCACCAGGGACCAGTTTCATGGAAGATAATTTTTTTCCACGGACAGGGGTGGAGTGTGGGGGATGGTTTCGGGATGAAACTGTTCCACCTCAGATCATCAGGCATTAGTTAGAGTCTCATAAGGAGCATGCAACCTAGACCCCTCGCATGCGCAGTTCACAGTAGGGTTCACACTCCTATGAGAATCTTTTGCTGCCTCGGCTGATCTGACAGGAGGTGGAGCTCAGGCGGGAGTGCTCACCAGCCTGCTCACCTCCCTCTCTATGTTCCGCCTGGTTTTGGTCTGCTGCCCCCGGGTTGGGGACCCCTGGACTAAGGGAAGCAAACAGGTAGAGCCTGGTAGACACCTCAAAGGGCAGTGAAATGCCACTAGCTCTGGGATTGAATCAGAGGTTGGTCCCCCAAGGGGAGCCCAGGGACAGTCGTACCAGTTCATGAATACTGAATGAGCCTGCTCCATAGATTGAAATAGCAGTGATCTCTGGGCCTCAGTTTCCCCACTAGTAAAAAGAGTGGGTGAGATATTATTTGTATTTGGCGATCCTTCCCTTCCTGCTCTGAAATTCTATGAATTTTACTCTAGTTCCTCGCTTTATAGGGAGGCCAGTTTCCTTCATAATCCCAATCACAGCCAGTCCCAGGGGAGTCTCACAAAGGACAGGTGAAAGGCAGAGGGGAAAGTGGGAGACCATATAGAGAGAATCACCAAATGACCCGGGAGGCCTGACTCCCAGCTCAGTTCTTGCTCTTAGAGAGAACGCAGCTGCTGTTGTCAGACTGGCTTTGGAGTCAGAATGGCCTGGTGGGGGGTACTGTGGGAGCCTCGGAGGTCCCTCGAGGGGGGTTGGCACCTGGACAGTGCCAGATGGCCCAAGTGGGGAGTTCACAGCTCCTTTTTCCATCTTCTCTCCACCAGGGACCTCAGCATGAACAACCTCACAGAGCTTCAGCCTGGCCTCTTCCACCACCTGCGCTTCTTGGAGGAGCTGTGAGTAGATGCTTTGCAGGGTGGGAGGCAAGCATGGGCTCTGTCTAATATCTCTGGAACCAGAGCTCCCCAGGAGGTGGGGTGGAGAGAAGAGAAAGGGGCTTGGGAAGCTAAGACAGTTCTTGACAGCAGGGTGTTCTTCAGCTGACACCTGCCCCAGGTGTGAATTGACATGCTGGGCCACATGGCATGGGAAGTCTAGGATCTAGCTTTCATTCCTCTTTGAAACCAGCTCCTCTTTGCAGCATTCCCTCCTAACTTCTCCCTGGGAGTCATCTTTGACCTGCTGTCATCCCCTGTGTCCAGCCACCAGCCCCTCCCCAAGTCCTGGTGGTTCTTCTCTGGGATGTCTCTCACCTCCACCCCGCTTCTCTAGTCCCACTGCTACTGCCCCAGATGTCCCCTCACATCTAGGGGTTGAACCAGCCTCCTAACTGACAGATGCCCTCCTTCCATTCTAAATTACTCTGCACACCTTCAGGATGCATCTCACCAGCTCAAAAGCCTTCTGTAATTCCCCATGGCCTAAAGGATCCATTTCTTAGACCCTCCCTTACAGTTAAGGCCCATTTCCTCCACAAAGTACTCCCTGGTGAATCCCTGCCCACAGTGGTCACTCTCAGGTTGGGATTCTTCAATCTGGCCTTATATGCTAGGGGTGCTCAAAAGTAAATCATCTCCTGGATTAGAGTGACTGGACTGCCTGCTCTGGGGAGCCAGGTCATTCTGTCCCAATCCTTGCTTTCATCCTAGCTCTGTATTTCCAACACCTCCCAGCCCTGTTTTTTCTAATTTTCACACCACATAGATCCTTGCGGCTCTAGAAATTTTGCTTAAACTTCTCAAACTGAGTGTTACAGCTCTTTTAGAATTTGTCTAGCTCTTTTAGAATTTAAATAAAAAATAATAAACAAAGAAACTTCGCAAACTGTGAGTTCCTGGCCCCGAAAGCATTCACAATTTCACCTCTACCCTGGCCCCACTACTCCCCTAACAGACCTTGCCACCGTGACCCTAGACAGTGCTCCCCAGGGATGCGGTCAACCTGCCCCTGTTGGAGTTTTGACCCCCAGGGCCATGGCTTGGTATCCAGACCAAGTACTTGTTGAACCCCCTCTGGTAGACAGGCAAGCTCAAGGTGCTCTGGGAGAAAACAAGATAAAAGCCTTCCTGCCACCCCCAGGGAATGTCCAGGTGAGGCTGAAGAGTAGTGTGGCCAGCAAGTCAGCAGGGGAGTGTGGCAGCTGTTGGCTCAGGCACCCAGGGCATTCTGTGTAAGGGAGTGGTCAGGGTTGGCCTGGCCAGTAGGCAGGAAAGCCTTCCTGGAGGAAGAAGATTAAACCAGTTTTCAAAGGAGACGGACAGGGTAAGAGGCAGTGGAGGGGCCTTTTGAAGGGGAGATGACCCAGCTTAGATGGGAATGCAAAGCAAGAGCAAAGGCCAAGGAGCTCAGGCAGGTGACATTGGACACGACCTGAGAACTTCAGGCTGACTTTCCGTCTCCCACGACCTGAGAGGTCTGGACCCATTTTAGAGGCTCCACCTAAAGGACCTTTCCACGGCAAATACCCACCTACAGAACCCAAGCTAGGAGACCTCAGATGTCACGATGCCTTTCCACATAGTTTTTTTTTAAACAATAAATGTCAAATAAAGGGACTTTTATTAGAGATATATGTTTTAAAAATAGTGTCTGAGGTATGCCAGCACAATCTCCACATCTACAAGCCTCTTGGTAGGAACTGATGCACAAAATAATGTCCCTGGGGACTTTGGAGATCAGGCAGTGACTTCTGAATCATCCACCATTAAATTCTGCTCAGTCAGGTTTCAGCATTGAGTGTATTTCGTTGCATTTGCTCCTTTTAGAATTGGTGATTGCCCCGATAAACATGGAAACGCTTAATTAGACCAGAATGTTAGATGAATTACACCACCCCATTTCCTTAACCCTCTTGGATTAGTGAGGGTTAGCTGTGTAGTTTAGGGCCTGGAGAGACACAGACACACCCCCTGGTACTCCTCCCTCTACTGATGACACCATATGATGCAGTCCAGCAGTTGAGAGCAGGCGGTGGGTAATCCAGGTTAGCACAGGAGAGGATGTGGGGAAACTGTGGCCGTGAGCCTTCAAATTAGTCAGGTCTGGGTGAGAACACCAGGCTCTGCCATGGACTGGTTCTGTGACCCCTAGGGGACGTGGTTGACTTCTCCTAGCCTCAGTTTCCTCATCTGAAATTTGGGGAAAATAATAGGCACTTTACAGGATTATTGTGAGAACTGAGGCAATGCATGTGAAGTATTAAACGCATCGTAGATTTCAATAAATAGTAGTTTTTACCACCGCCCTCCCTTCCCGTATCTCAAGACACTTTCTTATGGAGGTCACCACCTCCTTGGGTTACCTGCCAACATCGCTGACCCTTGTCTCTGATTTCCAGGCGTCTCTCTGGGAACCATCTCTCACACATCCCAGGACAAGCATTCTCTGGTCTCTACAGCCTGAAAATCCTGTAAGTATAGGTACACCTCATTTTACATAGAGCTGCAGCACTGAGAATGGTGAGCAAATCAAAGTTTTAGAACCCAAGTCTTGGTTTACCACTGACTTGCTTATTATTTCCTTATCTTCACTTTCAGTTTCAATTGTTATTTCCATTTCTTTGCTTCACCTTGTCTGTAACAAACTTTATGATTTGTAAATAAACATTTAATTGTACCTGCTACATTCAGCCACACTAAAAGGAAGTGAAACATTTAAAAAAATTAAAGTGTATAATGACCATCGACATAGGTCTTTGTGGGACTGAGTTCAGTTACAGACCCACAGGTCTCTCCCCATGACCTCTAGCCCAAGAGACGGATAAGACTGTTTCTGGAGAGGGGAAATACAGGTGGCTTTTCTTTGGCTTTTCTTCCCCTTGCAACCCAACCTTTGTCTCTGTGGCTGCAGTACTGAGTTTCCATTCTGGCTATAAACATATTCCCTCCTTCGGTCTTCATGTTGCTTCCTCCCTGCTCCTCCTTTACCTATTCCCTTTGAAGCAAAAGGAAAGTGAGAGTTGGAGAGGACCTTTTGTTATTCCACCTAGCTTCCACTTACCATCAAACTGATGGCCCATTTCAGAGAAAGGAAGGCTGAGACACAATCTCCTCAACTCATGACTCACCTTGTTCCAACTAAGACTGTCCTCCCAAAGCCTCCTCATATGCTTATGATGAGTGAGGGCAAGAGGAATTGGGAGGAAGCGGATGCATAGGGACTGAAGGTAGATAGGAGAGGTTCCCAGGGAGGTCGCGTTGCCACAGGGTCTGGTTTGGGAAGAAAAGGAGGATATTAGGGACTGATGCTGGAGCAACAGAATGAGCATTTGGGGCTTCCCTAAAGTGGTGAGTCATTCCCAACTCTGCTACTCCCTTACCCCTGACTTGCAGGTCTCCTTTGTACAGTTGAGCAGGTTGTTCATTGCACCAGAGCATCTGGTTAAGGAAGTGAGAAGGGGCTGAATCCCGTCCTGTGCCCTGGCTTGGGGCTGCATTCACCCAGAAAGCGATATCTTTTAAAAATGTACTCAGAGGTGCTGATGGGCTAGTGGTGGTCCTGCCCGCCTTGGCCCATGAGTTCCAGGCTTCCAGCTGGTCAAGTTCAACACTCCACATCTAAGCACTTTCTCCTTTCCCTGTGTTGTTCGTCTCTGGCCCCTCTGCCTGTGAATCTCTAACTCCCAGGGCTCTCTGGTCTCTATCTTTCCCTTACTCTCTGCTCTGTCCTTGGGTCTCTCCTGTTGTCACCTTGTCTCCCCCTTCTCCTTCTCCCTGCCCCACTATTCCCTGCCTCTCAGTTCTGCTTCTTCCTGTCTCCTCTCTGTGTCTCTCTCCCCATAAACTTCTCTGCCCTGGGGAGCAGGGGAGGCATTCTGAAACAGACACACAGTGCAGGCGGCCTACTTGGTGGTGTGTCTGTGCCCAGTGGCAGGCTCAGACCTGCAGCCCGGATTAGAGAGCAGGGCTCTGTTTACTGGGCCTTCAGAAGATGTAAGACTCACGTCCCATTCCTAAGACTCCGGCTTAGAGATGAGCCTCCTCTTTCTTCTTTGCCTGCATTAGGCAATAAATCAAAGCTTCAGAGAAACCACAGGCCTCCCGCCCCCCTTTCTGCAAATGGCACCCTTGGCTCAGTGAGTAGGGCAGCAGGGGGAGGTTGTGGGCAGAAGTTGAGTGGGAGCTGAGGACAGCCAGGCTGTCTGCTCCCCACTTTGCCATTGAGCCTCATTTTGCCCCATCCTCAAAGATCACCTGGTCCCCCAAAGCCTTTGTGTCAGTCCTTGGCCTACAGAACTTCTCTACCTTAGGGATGGGTTGGGTGGTCTTGGGGAATTATCCTCTTACATGCTTCAAAGCAGAAGATTCCACCTGCATCCTAGGCACGAATTACTTTCTGATGTCTGATGTCAATTTCCCTCGTATTTCCTTCCATTGCTTGCTTTTCAGAGCTGCAAGAAAAATAGAGCAGTAGCACCATGATAATGACAACCTATTTTTGTACCAGGAGACAGTCACCTTAGCTACTCCCCAGTCTTCTCTGGGCCTGGGACCCTTATCTGAGTGGCCTCTTCTTATTTCAGAGGCTGGGCTCTCCCTGTGGGACACTCTGCCTTGGTCCTTCTCTCCCGAGGCAAAGGATTAAATAAAGAGGATTCCCTCTCTGATTCTTTCTTAAATGACTATGGCAGAAGCCCTCTCTCATGTCTTTCCCACACCCCCCCACACCCCCACCCATCCCTGCCCGATCTGGAGATATTACTCTTAAGATCTTCTTCTTCTGAGAGTTCTCTAAGTCTTCAACCCACAGGCTCTGGCCAGGCTCAGATCAAGGGAGTCAGCTACTGCAGGGAACTTTCAGTCTCACATCGCTATCTCTGTCCTGTAGAGCTGGCAAGGCCCAGACGCTAGTCTTAACCATCACTAGTCTCACCATCCCGGCTCAGCACTGGAGCTGTGCTAAGGGAAGCCATGGCTCCCTCTGCCCTAGGCATGTGGGAAAATGCCCGAGCCTCTGAGGGCTCCTGTCCTGCCTGTTTTTACACAGGGGCAGCTTTGGCCAGAGCTCCTGCATCTTGACCCGTGGACTAAGGGTGTGGGGATGCATGTGTGCGTGTGTGTGTCAGGCTTCTCCAGTCTTTATCTCAAAAGTTTCCTGTCTCGTCTCCATCACAGGTTTCTTTCCCCAGAGCTGGCCTCCCAGAGAGCTGGGTGAGGCCTGAGGCTTGGTCATCTTCTCACATCTGCAGACCATCTCCTCCCTCCTTATGCCAGATTGGCCTGACATAAGATGGTCTGGCATCTAGAAAGACTCCTGCTGGGCTTCAGTTGCTTCTTACCAGGCCCAGATCTGGGAAACTGGGGTAACAGTCTGAGGACCTGCCTCCCGTCCTGCCCTCAAGAGACTGGGCAGGAGATTTTCCCAGGTGCCTTGCTCCTGGATTGAGTCCCAAATCCTTGTAAGTCTGTGACTGTGGATTCTTAGCCCATGCCATCTTGATAAAGACTAAGGCTCTTAGAAGGCAGCTCCTGCTTCCTGAGCTGCGGCCCATCCCATATGAAACCCTGGCTCCAGGCCACAGAGGAGTGGCTGGGAGTTAGCATCTCCGGGACCCATCCCGGAGGAAATCTCCCTGAGCCAACCTCTAGTGTAGCCCTTTTCACCCTGTATGGAGCCATCTTCAGTTGACATTAGCTGTGTTTACTCTGTGCCTGGCTAGGCAGTGACCATGCCTGGCTGAGCCTGGGCTCCATTAGTGTCGATGAACTGAATTGAACTGACCCACGAAGGGAAATGCTGGTCATTTGGGAGTGCTGGGCTCTGTCCGAGCCTCACCAACCTGGCTCGGGGGAGAAGGCTGCCCTCTCTGAGTCACCCCTGTACATGAGGCAAGGCCTGCTGCCCTCATCCTTTCAAGTGATGGGATGACAGGGAGTGGATCTAGCTCTGTGGATCTCATGTGCAGTCAGAAGCCTTGAGGTCAGACTCAGAGCCTCACCAGACCCCAGAACAGATGTTAAGGAGGATCTCAGATTTCCTCTCTCTGAGCCTCCGTTTTCTCACCTTTTAAAGTGGAGGAGTCAGAATAAAATTTCCAACATTTTTAGCTATGGAAACTTAAAACAGATTCTTTGTAGTTCATACACATGATGATCGGTGTTCACACTCATACGTGTGATGTGCCACCCTTGGACCTTGTTACGACATCAGCACATTACCCCTCTACATGAAATTTTTTTTTTAAAGGAAACTTAAAATCAAAAGCATTTTGTGGGCTGGGTGCGGTGGCTCATGCCTGTAATCCCAGCACTCTGGGAGGCCAAGGCAGGTGGATAACCTGAGGTCAGAAGTTCGAGACCAGTCTGGCCAACTTGGTGAAAGCCCATCTCCACTAAAAATACAAAATTAGCAGGGCGTGGTGGCGCACACCTGTAATCCCAGCTACTTAGGAGGCTGAGGCAGGAGAATCACTTGAGCCCGGGAGGTGGAGGTTGCAGTGAGCAACCTCCTTGAGAGTTGCGCCATTGCACTCCAGCCTGGACAACAAGAGCAAAACGCCGTCTCAAAAAAAAAAAAAAGCATTTTGTGCAGACCTCCCAATACATAAAACAGATGAATGAGGTCTCTGGTTAAAGTGAGTGAAGAGGGTGGTACACTCCAGGCTGCATCTTACCTACCCACCCCATAACCCCCAAGCACTTCTACAGAACTAAAGGAGCCTTTGGAAACCACAGGTGGATCACCTCTTTTATACTTTTTGGATGTGATGTGACACTCATGGTTCCTGCCCCCAAATGCCTCTCTGGCCAGAGAGATGCTTCACATGTGTGAGGGGAGGAGTGTTGAGGACTAGACTTCTACTGGACCAACGGCTGCATGTTAGAGTCAGCTGGGAGCTTGCAAAACTACTGCTGCCTCATATTCCTTCCCCAGAGACTTTGCCCCAGAGATTTAACTGGGCTTCAGTGTGACCTGGGCATTGGGATTTTAAAAATCATCCCAGAGGTCAGGTGCAGTGGTTCATGCCTGTAATCCCAGGGCTGTGGAGGGCTGAGGCAGGAGGATTGCTTGAACCCAGGAGTTTGAGACCAGCTTGGGCAACAAATCAAGACACCATCTCTACAAAAAAATGTTAAAACCTTGTCTGTTGATTCTGATGTATAACCAGGGCTAAGAACCGCTGGATTAGATAGACTGCCTCTCCATATAGAACCAGGGCTAGAAAAAGAAGTAGGAAAACATCGTCACAAAAGCATTGGCCCGAGAGACAGGACTTGAGTCCTAGTCCTGATTCTGCCATTCATTTGCTTTGTAACTTAGGGCAAGTTACCTTCCCTCTCTGAGCCTTCACCTCCTCATCTTGGAAAACAAAGGGCTGTTTCCTTCCAACCTTTATAACCCAGTTGTAGTTCAATAAAAGAATGATGGCTAGGAAATGAGAACAGGGACATCAAGGGAAATGGGTCAGGGCCAAAGCCGACTGCCATGCTGACCTCCAGCTTGATGGGTGTTGATTCCATGAATAAAAGGACTTTCTGATAATCAGGCTGTCTGGCATAGGATGAGTTGTCTCGGGGAGACAATGAGTTCCCTGACACTAGAAGGAAAATTAAGTGCTGTGAGAAGATGTTACAGTGTCTGTATTGGGAGGAGGTACAATTCAGAAACCTTAAAGATCTTTCTAGTTATCTCTCTGGGATTTGACAAAGGAAAGGATGGAGGAATCTTAGGAGGTGATGTAGGTAAAGATGCATTGAGGGGCCCCTTGGAGCTCGGGACTCACTTGTGCAGTGACCAGATGTAGCCTCCTGGGCCCCTGGAGGGGTGGGGCCTGTGAAGAGGCATGAGCAGCCTGCGACCCCCTGTTTTCTCAGCCATCGTTTCTCTTGTATCCTTGCTCCAAGCACCCTCAGGCTTCTGCATGAGAATCAAGGCAGGCCTCTGAGATGGGAAGCGAAGGCCCACCCTTTAGATGAAAGAAGTCAGGATGGCTGGGAGGGTAGAAACACTAAGCAGGGCAGAGGGCAGGAAATGTCCTGGATGGAATGTTACCACTGAGTGAGGCTTTATGCACCTTCTGGCAGCCTCTTCCTTTGAAAGATGAAGGAATCAAGGTCCAGAGAGGGGAGAGGAAGTGACTTACTCAAGTCATCCAGTAAGTGGTAATACTGAAACGAGATACTAATAATGATAATTGATAGTATCAGTGAATGTGCTATTGAACTTGTCCTCTGTGTGAGACACTGCCATTGAGGGCTTTACAGCGGTGATTTTATTTGATCCACACAATCAGTGAATGAGGTCAGTATCATCCCCAACTTATAGATAAGAAAAGAGAAAACTAAGGCCCGCGGTTCTTAAGTAGCTTGCACACTACCCCACAGCTGGAAAGCAACAGAGCTAGGATGTGGATCAGGGCTGTCTGACTTCAGAGTCTGCATCTGTGACAACTATACTGTAAGGAAGCCCAAGAGACACAGGTTTAAATTCCAACCCTGAAGCAAAACTCTGTAACTGGAAAGGCCCCTCTGGCATTGGGTGGAGCCTGGATTGAAGGGGACACTGGAGGCCAACAGACCTTCAGGAACACAGAGTTTGCATGGAAAGGGGCTGAGCCCTCCAGCTGCTCACAGCCCTGGGCTCTGCCCCTTCCTGCAGCCAGGCCCTTCCCTTGTATGGCCCTTGCCCCTTCCCCACCCCTTGGGGTGGCAAAGAGGAACCTAATCCCAGGGGTCCCCAAAGTCTGTCTTTGTTCTTTGTTCTCCCTTCTGTAGCCTTGCCTCTATGAAGGGCTCCTCCTATCCCCACCCATTCCCACAGTGAGATCAGCATTCTTTTGTTCTTGTGATGCTGAGGTTGGGTTCATATTTGAGATTTTCACATACCCGTAAGAGGAGTTTAAGAGAGATGACATGTGACTCTGACCAGGACGTCACATAGGAGGCATGGAAAACAACTCAGGCTCATCATCTTACTGCTCAGCATTTTCTGGCCACTGCTGTATCCCACCACTATGATAGATGCTGTGGTGTAATGGTTAAGTGTCTAGACTGTGGACCCAAACTCTCTAGGTTCAAAGCCTAGCTCTGTCAGTTAGCAGTTGTGTGCACCCTCAGCATGAGGATGATAATAATCCCTATCTGTTGGAGTTGTAACAAGGGTGAGTTTGAATTAATACAAGTTCTAAGACCAGGACCTGGCACATTAGCCATTCCTATTATTAAACTAAAGGACCAGAAATTGGGCTACTCTTCCTGAAGCGTGGAATTACCTTAATGATTGTGCACCAAGGCTTCCCCCTCTGAAAGATGGATGGATACACCATAAAGGGGTAATTGAGTCTCCTAGGGTAGGGCTCACTCACTGTGCCCAGGGCAGTCAGCAACTTCCTCCCTTCTTGCTTCCCCAGCTCTTCCATGAACTCCCTGTGTGCTCTCCTTCTCATTTCTGGATCTAAAGGCCTGGAGGGTTTTCCTCCTATGTCTTTACCCAGTTCCTTCTCTTGCTCAGGGCTCTGTGCCTCAGGGGACTCCCTGCGCTTTCGAGTGCTATCCTCAAAACTTTCTAAGTCCCCTCTGATGCCTGGGGTTGGCTAGAGTCAGCAGTGCCACCTGGAGTGGCGCCCCAGGCCCTGTTTCTCCCCTTGTACATGCTCTCTGACCCTCTACCCTACACATGGGGTTCCCAGGTGCCCTGAGGAGCTCCAGGACTCCTGCCTATGGAGTCATCGTGGGGTTTTGGGACTTAGGTCCTGGTCCCCAGAGGACAGCTAGTGAGCAGATCGTTTTCATTGGCTGGCACAGCACTTCTTTGAGGGATTAGGTGAGATTGGGCCATGAGAATAGTGCAGATACACTCCTCTGGAGTACTTCGAATTGTTCCTACAGACAAAGGCTGAAAAAAATGTATTTGCCTGGGGCACTGACACCCTAAGGGCAGCCTTATCCTCATCCACATCCTCCCCTTCCATAAAGAAACCTTTAGCCTTTCAGATGAATAGACACGGAAACTGACAACCTACATTTTCCCACATCCTTCCTGACCAAACTTTAACAAAATCCCAAGTACTCTTGACTTCAGAATGTCTTCTCTCCTTCCTCTCCATGGTCTTCTTCACCCCTGCCTCCTCCTAGGGTCCCTTCTGAGATGCTCTCCCTGAACACTGGGCCTCCCTGCCCCATGTACAACACCCCAGGGACCTCAGCAGCCTCTGAATCTGCACTAACAAAGCAGGGGAGCTGGACCAGACTCTCTCTGGGGCTCTGAGGCTGGGGTGAGAAGGAGGGGTCTGGCTTGGGACTGGGGGTTCAAGGGAGGAGTCAGCACCCTCCAGCCAGCTCTGCATACCATGTGCGTCCTTAAAGCCCTTTCTCTTCTCCCGTAGGATGCTGCAGAACAATCAGCTGGGAGGAATCCCCGCAGAGGCGCTGTGGGAGCTGCCGAGCCTGCAGTCGCTGTGAGTCATTAGAGGGCTGGTCTGGGAGTCACCAGCTTCCTGGGGCCTGAGTCACAGCCCAGGGCCCCCTGCCTCAGCTTTCCCTTCCCTCTGCAGGCGCCCCCTCTCCCAGTCCACGTTCCAGACAGCATGCCGCTCCTGGCTTTGGTTTCTCCGGGGTTTTCTGTTGTCATCAGTGTGTGGCTGTGTACACTCCTATGCATATTTCAGGAAAAGAGTGCTCCCACGCCCCACTGGGGGACTGTGGGAATGGGACCTCCCTAGGTGAGGCCACCAGGCCAGCGGTCCTGGGGCGACTGGTGTTCTGCCATTGGAGCCTGGGTTTAGGGGTGGAGACTGCCGCCCAAAAGAAGCATCAGGAAGGGGTTGTCTCCTCTACCTAGCCTGCTCTTGCCCCTGGGCTCTGCTGTGGGTGGGAAGGAGGCTAGGCTCAGATACTCATTTTCTCTACTTGGGGGTGGGACTGTCCACAGGGACTCACAGGCCACCCATAACAGATCCCTCCCTCCAAGGAGCCCTGTAGTTCCCTTCTTGTCCAGCAGGGGCATCGTGGAAGCCAGACCCAGCCTGAGGGTGGAAGCGGGAGCAGGTGCTCCAGGGTGATGTAACCCAGCCCAGTGGGAGCCGCTGGGCTTCATCCACATAATGCACAGCCCAAGGCCTGGAACACAGTAGGTGCCTCATACATGCTTGATGAACCTAACTTAATTATCAGGTACAACTTCATCCGATGGGAGAGTGAACAGATATTTTGGGAGAAGTCAAAGTTGGGGGGCAAGATTGGGGCACAGCAGTTAGCTAGTGGGGGAAACTGAGTCATAGTGGGCATGCAGTGTGTCCGAACAAAGGCCTCTCATATTCTCAGACTTTGGCGCTGTTCAGTCTGTGGATGTGGAAGTCAGACAACTTCTGACTTCTCCTTGGGTGGAAGGAGAAATGAGGTGGGAAAAGGTGACTTTCCTTCTCATGACTGATATTTAGGCCCCATTCCACCTTACACAGAGGGCCAGCTGTGGGGGTCCTGGCTAGCAGCTGTGCCACACCCCCCGTGGTGAGGGCTTTCCTCTCCTACTCCTTCCCTGGGTGCCCTCTACCCTCCTGCCTCTGTGTCTGGTCCCTGGCACCCCTCAGCTGCTCGATCGATCGGCCCCAGTGGCAGAACCTGCCTCCCTGCACTCTCTCAGCTTCTGCCCCCCCTTCCCAATGAGTGCTGGGCGTCTGGCCCCAGCCCTCTCCTCTCCCTCCATCCAGCCTCACCCCTGGACAGGGCCAGGCAACCCAGTGTGCCCCTAGAGGCCAACGTCGGAAGACCAGAGGCCAGGCAAGCCTGTGCTTGCTCCCCACCCGCAGGGGCAGACTAAACATTTGCCTAGGGCACCAGCGCAGCAGGGACAGCCAAAAATAAGGGAGGAGGAGTGAGGAGAATTTGACATTTCATCCACAGCCTCAAAGAGGACTTCATAGGGGAAAAAAATTAGACTTTCACTGGACTTCTTCACACTTTTAAGGTTGTTAATTAAGTTTACTTTTTTAAAAAAAATCGTGAATCACATATTCTGAGTTCTTGGGGCTTCTAAAGGTCTTGCTTTCGGACTAGGCATGGAGCTTTTGGGCAATGCAGACAATTTTCCCTACACTTTCTGGGAAGTGGGCAGCCCTTGTGGCTGGGAGAACCAGACCATTAGCTTCCACTTTCAGCCCCATTATTCTCCTTTGCCTGGGTATAACAGGGCAGGGGACAGAGGTCAAGTCCCCCACTCCCCCAGTTATAAGGCAGATGAGAAGATTTTGCTTTTTGCAATCCTGCAAGAAGAGCACTGGCCTGTGTGACAGAAAATGTGGCTTCAAGTCCTGGCTCTGATCGTGACTACTGTGTCATTTGCCCTCTCTGCACCTCAGTTTCTCTATCTTCAAGGTGGGGATAATTATCTTCCCTGCCTCACAGGGTGTTGGGAAGATCAAATATATAGTCAATGTGAGGGGGATTTGCAAAAAAAAAAAAAAAGACTTCACACAGCTATAATGTATGATGATGTTATTGTGAGATCGTTCATCTAACCAGTCATTGATCCTCCGCCGTTTTTTTGTTTTGTTTTGTTTTTGTTTTTGTTTTTGTTTTTTGAGAAAGGGTCTGGCTCTGTCACCCAGGCTGGAGTGCAGTGACCTGATCGCAACTCACTGCAACCTCCACCTCCTAGGCTCAAGCCACCCCTCACCTTAGCCTCCTGAGTAGCTGGGACTATAGGTGTGCACTACCACGCCAACTAATTTTTGTATTTTTTTGTAGAGATGGGGTTTTGGTTTTGCCATGTTGTCCAGGCTGGTCTCGAACTCCTGAGCCAAAGCAATCCACCTACCTTGGTCTCCCCTCCCACAGTTCTGGGATTACAGGAGTAAGCCACTGTGCCCAGCCTGATCCTTTTTTTTTTTTTTTTTTTTTTTTTTAAGACAGAGTTTTTTTGCTCTGTCGCCCAGGCTGGAGTGCAGTGGTGCGATCTCAGCTCACTGCAACCTCCGCCTCCTGGGTTCAAGAGATTCTCCTGCCTCAGCCTCCCAAGTAGCTGGGACTACAGGCGTGGGCTACCACGCCCGTCTAATTTTTATATTTTCAGTAGAGACGGGGGTTTCACCATATTGGCCAGGCTGGTCTCGAACTCCTGACCTCGTGATTCACCTGCGTCGGCCTCCCAAAGTGCTGGGATTACAGGCGTGAGCCATGGGGCCCAGCTCTATTTTTTTTTTTTTTAAACAAAATTTTTTGAGGTGGCAGAACCAGAGTTGAGCCTTGAAAGACTAGTATGAATCAGGTGAAGAGGCGGGGAATAACGTTTCAGACAGAGGGAACAGCACACGCTGCAAAGGCACAAAGTTAAGAAGGAACCTGAAAGGTTCTTGTATCGGTTGGAATCCCGAGAGCTCCCCAACAGCTAACACGAAGCGGTGCGTTTTAACAAGAGCCTGGGTGCCGGCGGGCTGAGGCGTAAAATGGCGTCAGCCCCCAAAATGGCGTCAGCCCCAAGTGAGGACGGGGCAGGGGTTTTATTGTCTCCTATAAACAGGGGGCGTCTCGGTCTGACGTAACTGCTACGCGGTACCCGGATGGCCTCTTTCTCCATCTTCAGGGGTAGGTGTCTTCCAACCAGGGTAGGTGTCTTCCGGCCGGCTCTTTTCCTGCTTCTGCTGTCTTGCTGGCGTACGCAAGTAGCCCTGCGCCTGGCGACTGGGCCTGAGAAGGGAGGGGTTACTCATCCCTTCAAGCTTTCAGGCCCCGGGGACAATCTTTCAGAACCAAGTAAATTCTGAAGAATTTGGAAGGAAGTGAGTTTGGCTGGCTGAACTTGTGTGTGTGTGGTGTGTGTGTGTGTGTGTGTGTGTGTGTGTGTGTGTGTGTGGTGTGTTGGGGGACTGGTGGGAAGGGCAGTAGTGGGGAAAGATCTGGAGTTAGACGTGGTCATACCTGAAAAGTAGGGAGGACCTTGCTAAGGATTTGGACTTTATTCTTAAGACAGCGGGGAGCCACGGGAGGGCTTTTAGCAGGAAAGCAAGGTGATAGGGTTTGTGTCTTTGAAAAGTTACTTTGGCAGCAGTTATAGGGGGCAGTCTGAAGGTGGGGAAGTCAGTGAAGAGGCTCCTAAACCAAGGCAGCATGTTAGTGGCCAAAGGAAAGACAGACGGGGGCATTGGTGAAAGGAGAAGCAGACAAACTAGAAATATCTAGAAGTCATGCCAGTGAGACTCTGGAGTCGGATTGTTTGGGTTCACCTCTCAGCTTCTTCACTTACTCACTTACTGCCTATAAGATCCTGGGCAGACTACTTACCCTCTGCGTTTCCATTTCTTTATCAGTAAAATGGAAGCGATAATAGTATCTGTGTATCTCAACAGCATAGAATGAAATGATTTAATATACATAAAAGAATTAGAACAGCACCTTTTGTTGCTACTTCTACAATGATCATTAGTAGTAGTAATGCTGACTGGATGTGGGAGCTGAGGGAGAGGAGAAGTTGAGCTGACACCCAGTTCTTGGGCTTTGACATCAGGGTATACCGTCAGCAAGAGTCTGGCACGTGGTAAGAGCTTATTAAGAACATGCAGGCTGGGCGCAGTGGCTCACGCCTGTAATCCCAGCCCTTTGGGAGGCTGAGGCAGGTGGATCACCTGAGCTCAGGAGTTCAAGACCAGCCTGGCAAACATGGCAAAACCCCGTCTCTACTAAAAATTCAAAAAATTAGCCAGGTGTGGTGGTGGGTGCCTGTAATCCCAGCTACTTGAGAGGCTGAGGCACGAAAATTGCTTGAACCTGGGAGGCAGAGGTTGCAGTGAGTTGAGATTGCACCACTGTACTCCAGTCTGGGCAACAGAGCAAGACTCCATCTCAGAAAAAAAAAAAAAAACGACATGAAAGAACGAATGAACAGCACAAGGTGAGTGCTCTGGGGAGGGTGCAGGGAAAGGGGATGTGCTGAGGCCCCTCTGGGACATGTTGAGTTTGTGGTGCCTGCAGGCAGGATAACCAAGTATCCTAGAGAACCTGGGAAGTTGGTCAGTTGACCTGCAGGACATCAGTGTGTGTGTGTGTTGGTGGGAAGAGGGGAGGTCTGTAATCCATCTCAAAGATTCTGTATGTAGGTGTTATGTTCTAAGTGTTTGGAAATTGGGAGATTCAGGGAGAGACCGCTTCAGGCCCCACAGCAAGGTGCTACTCTATCTTATTCAGGTCCTTCTGTCTTAGATAGTGACAGTAAAAGCAGGCCCAGGTGGCTAGGCTGAAAGGAGACAGTGGGGAAAAATGACAATTTTTTGGACTTCCCTGTGTGCCAGCAGGGACCCATCATTCCATACCTCTGACCTTCCTCCAAGGGACTATTGTGCCCCCAGACTAATGCCCAAGGCCAGGCTAAAGCTCCCCTAAAGCTACATGAGATGTTCTACGTATATTGTCTGATTATTCCTCACAGAAACCCCTCTCTAATAATCACCGTCTCTGTTATCAGATGAAGAAATAGGGGCAGACAAGTTCAGGGCCTCTTCCAAGGTCAGAGCTGGTGAGTGGGCATGGCAGGCCTACACCCAGTTGTTGGACTCCAAAGGCTACAAGGGAAGCCGCCTTTTGATGGCTTTCACTGGGTGACCCTCCCTGCTTCCCAAGGCGTACCAGCAAATGGAAATGTCTTTCCTGTTGGAAATCAACGGATCAGGGAAGTATGTAGAGGATGCACCCCCTGCCCATGCCCCTCCTGGGGTGATGTGTTCCCAGAGCAGACCAAGCCACTTAGGAACCTGAGCAAACTCTTGTGGACATTCCTGGAGCCTCAGGGAAGGTTCAGTCTTGTGGTCCACTTTCTACCAGCTAGAACCAGATGGGGGCACAGTAAGAGGTAGGTTTGTGTGAGTGAGGAGTGGGGCTAGGGCTAGGGAATGGGGGCCAGCCAGGCATTCTAGGCCCAGGGACCCAGCTGAATGTGGTACACAAACTGTTTGGCTTGGCACCTGGGCAGGCAGCACCCAGCTCCACAACACCCTCCTCCTTGGATACACTTGCTTCCTCCCTGACCAGTTTGGGAGGGGGGAGAATGGCCATGCCAGACATGTCATGCCAGGCTTGAGCCAAGGCCAAGAGAAACCACAGGAAGCCAGCAGAGCCTGGGGGAAAATAGAAACTGGGTGGGGGTGAGGCAGGGCAAGGGGGAAACAGCATGGCAAAGCAGAAGAAGTGGGGGCTGCGCTGGTCTGGGTCCTGGGGAGCTCCGGTGGGCTGGTCCCAGGAGAAGAGTTGGAAAAGCACAGTGGCAAGACTAAAGGGGAGAAAACAGCCAAACAGCCCAAACCTGGATACTCTAGGGGGGAAATGCATAATGCGAAGGACAGCCACATGAAACTAGCAAACATTGTCTAGAGCCGGGGAAATGAATCAAGAGCAGTACCAGACTCCAAACTGAAACCCAAGGCAGAACTACCCCAACCCTCTCAGCCCAAGCCAGCCAATCCAAAACAGATTGGTTGCCTGCTGAGAGGAAAAAGGTGGAGAAGCCAGGGTGGATAGATGATGTGCTGGTGTGCTCGTGGGCCGGGGAAGGCAGCTGGGCTCAGGTGACGTGGGAAGGAGGAGTGGCTCCCTCTTAGCACATTTCAATATGCTAAGCACATTCATATATCTCATTTAATCCCCAAAGCCCTGTAAAATAGTGTCTGTTATTCCCATGTTATAGATGAGGCAACTAAAACCCAGAGGAGTTAAGCAACTTGCCTGAGGTCACACAGCTAGGATGTAACAGAGCTGGGACTTTAGTTTAGCTCCAACTCCAAAGTACCAGGTTCTTAACCCCTATCCTTTAGTACATCCCCTAAAACTATAATCTTTAGGATCCAGAGACTTGGGTTCAAGTCCTAGCTCTATCACTAGCTACGAGGCCATGGCAAGTCACTTCCTCTCTCTGAGCCCAAGGTTCTCTGTCTCTAAAATGAGAGAGTCCAGTGGGATGATTGGCAGACAGATGTCCCGAGTGAATATCATGCATAGAGGTACAGGAACTTCCTAATGGGGTTACTGGCTCTGCTCTTGAATTGTTTATGCTTACTGGGTGCTTGCCTTCTCTGGGTCTCAGTTTGCCTTACTGTGCAATGGAAAGTATCTTTTTTGAACCCTTCCAGTCTCCTGGGAATGCTGTGAGTTGAGATGAGGAGGAAAGACCTGAGCTGCTCCAGGAGAAAATGGCTGAACCATTTTGTCCAGCATTGGAGGTCTTAGGAGGGATTGGCAGTGTTCCCAGGGAGAACCAAAAGCAAGGGACCTCTGGACAAGCCCCCCTCATCTCATGCCTCTGATCGCCCTCCAAAGGACTATTGTACCCCCAGACTAATGCCCAAGGGCAGGCGAACAACAGGAACCAACACTTGGCTAGCACTTTCCATGTGCAAGTCATTGCACTTATTCTCTCACTTAACCCTCACAGTACTCTTCTGGGATGGCTACTGCTAGATGTCTTGTAATCCCCATTTTATAGACGAGCAAACTGAGGCACAGAGCCATAAAGTGACTTATAGCAGAGCCTGGGTCAGAAGTCAGGCAGTCTGGCCCAGAGTCCACGCATTTAACCAGGGTGCTGGGCTGCCTCTCAAGAGCAATTCTGAGAGGGCTGAATGAGATGACAAGCCTTGGGAAGTGGCCCATCAGTGGGGCTCAGGAACCATCGTATTTCCAGGGTACCTGCTCCCAGAGCTGACCTTGGGTTGTGAGCTCAGCTGGGGCGTGCCTGGGGCTCCTGGATTGCCCTATTTCTGTCATTACCCTAGGTATTCTAGAGTTAAGGGGAGCCTGGGTTGAGGGGATGGTTCTGGCTGCCTGGGGAGGTAGGGGATGTGAACACTGTGGTATCAGCATTGAGCCCTGGAGACCCTTGGCCTTGATCAGCACCCCCAGAGAGTCCACAAGAGAGCTTCTGAGGCTGGTCATGCCTAATAACCATCTTCTTATGAAGAGCATTAAGACATTTCTAGGAGCTTTTCACCAGAAATGGCTCTTTATCTTCCCTTGTGAGGAGTAGCAATGCAATTATAGCCCCAATTTACAGACAGACCTGCAGGGGAGGTGTAGAGCAGGAGGTGACTTGCCTGGGATTCCCCAGTGGGTTAGAGATGAAGCCGGGATGGAGCTGAGGAGGATCTTGTGGTGACAGGAGAAGGGTCCAGCCATGACTGACCTTACCACTCACAGCCTCCCGGAAGCAAATCTTCAAGAGGGCCCAAGTGGGAGCCCTGGGTGATTCCAAGAGAAGGAGCCAGTTGTGCATGAATTTGGAGATTTTTCTCAAGGAGTCATTTTCTTGGGTCTCCTGAGCACTGAGGAAAGGAGGAAGACATCATGGGGTTGGTGGTAGGGGCAGGCGGCGACAAGGAAATTGTCCTTGGGTGAAGGACTAAAGATAAGAATAAAAAACAAAGTCTTTTTGTTGTTGTTGTTGTTGTTGTTGTTGTTTTTGAGATGGAGTCTCGCTCTGTCACCCAGGCTGGAGTGCAGTGGTGCAATCTCAGCTCATTGCAACCTTCCACCTGCCGGGTTCAAGCAATTCTCCTGCCTCAGCCTCCCAAGTAGCTGGGACTATAGGTGCGTTCCACCATGCCCAGCTAATTTTTTGTATTTTTAGTAGAGATGGGGTTTCACCATGGTGGCCAGGCTGGTCTCGAACTCCTGACCTCGTAATTCGCCTGCCTTGGCCTCCCAAAGTGCTGGGATTACAGGCTTGAGCCACCACGCCCAGCCTAATCACCTGTGTCTTAACAAGCCCTCCAGGTGATTCTGACACACACTGAAAATTAAGGACCACTGTTACAGAAGAAAAGGATGTGGTATCGGTATGCTAGGGCTGCCTTAACAAAACATCAAAAACTGGGCGGCTTAAAACAACTGAAATGCATTCACTCATAGTTCTGAGGCCAGAAGTTCTAAACCAAGGTGTCAGCAGAGCTGCGCTACCTCTGAGGGTGCTGGGGTGGGTGCTTCTTTGCCTCTTCCAGCTTCCGGCAGCTGCTGGCGTTCCTTGTGGCTGCATCACTCCAGTCTCTGCCTTCTGCCTTCACGTAGCTTTCTCCTCTTTCTCTCTGTGTCTCTCTGTGGTCTCTGATAAGGATACTTATCATTGGATTTAGGGCCCACCTGGATCATCCTGACCATCTCACCCCAAGATCCTTAATACATTTGCAAAGGCCCCTTTTCTAAATAATGTCCCATTTACAGGTTCTGGAAGTTGTATATCTTCTGGGGCCTCCATTTCACCCACTACAAGGCGAGGAGGGAAAGTGGGCCTGGACCCTGTGAGAGAGCACTTGGGGGTAAGAAGCTGAGGCTAGAGTCAGGAAGAAAAACAGGAGGGTTAGAGTGGGCAGTAGTCACGAGCCGGCTGTGCCCACCATGGGGGCATCTGGCCAAGTGAGGCCCACAGCTGGTTGGAGAAGGGAGCAACAGGGGCAACAAGGCCAGAGGTCTGGGGTGCTCTCATCTAAGGCCTTGTCCTGAAGGTGCCGTCTGCTGTGGAAAAGCCTCCCCGCCAAAATCTGCCTGCAAGCTGTGCAGGTGATCTAGTGAACCCTGTTGGCACCACCCATCCTGCCTGCCAGCCAGAGGGCCCTAAGGCCCAGCTGTGCTGTAGGGCCCAGCCGAGGGGTCCCCAGGGACGCACGAGGTGGCAGATGGCCTCCCTGGCATGGCTATTTTGGGCTCCGTGATTATATGCTACTGTATTTGGATCTTCCCAAGGTTCCGGGAGTTGATTACCACATACGTTTGGGGCAGAGGCTGCTCTGAGGTGGGTGGGTGGGCGGGTAGGCAGCCCCCTGCAGCCCTCAAGGGTCTGAACATGGGTAATTTGGCTCCTGAGAGATGCTAGGAGAGTGTTCGTGGTGGGCTGGGCCAGGGGATCAGGGGTGATTCTTTCAGCCGTAAATGCCGGTCTGGGACAGAGTTGGCCCAAGTCGGGCCACCCAGGAGCAGTGCGGGAACACCTCAGCTCAGACTTGTGGGGCTCCTCAGCCTTCCTGCTAGCCCTCTCTGGCTATGGTGCTAGGGCTTTCTTGGGCCAGAATGTTCTCCTCTGACTGGGCCACTCCTGCCCTCTGCGCCCCACAGAGCTCAAGCAGGCCAAGGCCTGAGAGGCCTGAGGCAAGAGTACCCCGGGTGTTGCGAACTGATAGCTCAGATTTGGTGTAGGTGCAATTAAGCCCCCAGTCGGGACCAGGAGGTGGGTGATCCCTCCCCCATGGGGAGAGGACAGAGGCAGGCTTTCTCCTCAGCTCTCCTTCCTCTTGTATTATTGCCCCTTCCTGAGCAGCTGATGCCAGTGCAGAGCCCTGGCCTGAGTTCTGGGTCTGTCAGGAGGGAAGAGGAGACCGAACTATTGGTGTGTCTCTGTCCATCCATCCATTCATCCTTGCATCCATCCATGCATCCATCCATCCATCCATCCATTCATCCATCCCTCCCTCCCTTCATCTATCCATTCATCCATCCCCCATCCCTCCTTCCCTCTGTCCCTCCCTCCCTCCCTCCATCCATCCATTCATCCATCCCTCCCTCCCTTCATCTATCCATTCATCCATCCCCCATCCCTCCCTCCCTCCCTCTGTCCCTCTTTCCATCCATATATCCATTCCTCCATCCCCATCCCTCCCTCCCCCATCCCTCCATCCCTCCACCCATCCATCCATCCATCCATTCATCCATCCCCCATCCCTCCCTCCCTCTCTCCTTCCATCCCCCATCCCTCCATCCATCCATCCCTCCCTCCCTCCCTCCCCCATCCCTCCATCCCTCCACCCATCCATCCATCCATCCATTCATCCATCCCCCATCCCTCCCTCCCTCTCTCCTTCCATCCCCCCTCCCTCCATCCATCCCTCCCTCCCTCCCTTCATCTATCCATTCATCCATCCCCTGTCCCTCCATCCATCCCTCCATGCATCCATCCCCCCATCTGTCTGTCCATCTGTTTGTTTTTGTAAACTTTGACGAGTGCTTGAAATGCCTAACACAAGAGATACTGAGATAAATAATAAAACAAGGGCCCTGCCTTTTCAGCAGCTCTTGGTCTGATGTAGGAATATTAGATACACCAAGACCCCATCTTCATCCTTCCCTTCCCATACATTCTCCCATTCTGTGCACTTAAAATTCTGTGACAGAAAAGTCAGTGCAAGCAAACATGATGTAAAATATGTATATAAAAGCTAAAAGAGAATTGACTAAAATGATGAAAACCGGGTGAAGCCCAGTGTGTGTAATAAAAATCATATTGGTAGTTAATGTTTGGTGAGTGCTTACTATGTTACCAGGCTCTAGGCTAATCCTTGGCAGACTACCTCATTCCTTGCAACAAGCCTCTAAAGGAGGTCCTGTGATCCTTTTTTTACAGATGAGGAAGTGAGGATGTAGGGAATTGATCAGTTGGTAAAATGGTTCATCTGCATACAAAGTTCATGCATGCTGTTAGCCATGACTTTAGACTGTGCAGAAGGGCAGCTGTGAGGGACCCTTGAGGTCTAGTTCCCAAGGCTGTCTACCTCACAGCACTAGGGAAACTATAAAGTGCAGATCCCCAGGCCCCTTCTCAGACTTAGTGAACTGGAATCTTCAGGGCTGGGGCCCAAGAATCTGGATTTTTAAAAAATCTTCCCAGGTGATTCTGATGCACAGCTAGGTTTGGGAGCCACTGCTCCAATCCTCGCCACTCAAAGTGAGCTTCATTGGTCAGCAGCATCGGCGTCACTTGGGAGTATAAGTGCAGACCTGCTCACGCAGATTCTGCATTTTAACAGGACCCATCCCTCCACCCCCCAGGGGATTAGTATGCAATTCAAAATTGGGAATCACTGTTCTTTTGTTCAGGAGCTTCTGGGACATTCTGCGCCCTCTCCCAACCTCAGCTGAGATGGACAGCAATCATTATCAGCTGTCCATAGGTCTGTCCCCTAGGCCCTAAGGACTTTCTGCAGAAAGTCTCCAACCCTTAGAACCGCTTTTTTGTACCCCCGCAGTCACTTGTACACATGGGATGTAAATGTTAAGGTTTAGACTGGTTTGGTTGTGGACCCACTTGGAGGCAGTGAAAGGTACTAGATAACCTTTTGGGCGATGCAGTTGGGCAGATAAAGGTTAGACTTTGGGAAGAACATCCTAGCTGTCTATACCACACAAAGGGGAAAAGGCTAGAGTATCTTCTTGGGAAGGTACATTAGAGTCACACTCTCCTCACCTGGCCTGGGGGCAGGAGAAAGTGTATGACGATCTCACTCTGATCCCATCATGACGTTTTCTGGGAGTATCCTCAGAGAATCCCAGAGAGGTAAGAGAAGGCTCAGGCTGCAGCCAGGAAGAGTGGAGCCAGCACCTGTGGCCTGCAGCAGCCTTCCACTGGCCACACCCCTGGAGCCTTTGCCTGCCCCCTCCTCCTCCCCAGCGCCTCAGCCATCCTGATGAGAGAAGAAGGGTCGGGGGCTGGGAAAGTGTGATCTTTTTCGAGAGCGTGTGAGTAATTTTCCATCTGTTTATGAGCTGTTGGAGCCCAGGTGTCTGCCAGCCACTCGCTGGAGGGTGAAAATCCACACAGCAACCGGAAAAGGCGGCAAGCACACCAGGCTCCTTCCCTGGCCACCGGCTGAGGCTGCGTGGGTGGAGGCTGCCCTCCTAAGACCACAGGACCTTAGAATACTGGGGCTGGAAGGCGTCATGGAGGTCACTAAGTCCAACTGACTCTTTTACAGGTGAGGAAACCAAGCAGTTGAAAGAGGAAGTTACTTCCCAGTGTCGCCCAGTGAATCAGTGGCAGCGCTGCAGCTAGCTGGAACCCAGACCAGGCCTGCAGATGCTTTTTTGGCTCTGGAAGGGGATGATCTATTTATGAGCCTCTGTGACCACTGCAACCAGATGGCTCTAAGAGCAGTTGTTCTGGAATGTGACCCCATCCGGGGGACTCTCGCCAAAGTCGCTTCCCTCCCCTCACCACCCTGACACCTGTTTTGAGACTTGGAGCCAGCTCCTTCCTTTGCCCTCCCTTAAACGACTCTAGCAAGGCCTGGTCTGGAGGACTTTGAGGGTCCTGGGAGGGGTCTGGACTATGGAGAGGGAGGAGCGAGGCCCATGGTGTTTGGGGGGATGTGCTGCCGTGGCGTGGCAGTCACTGAAAGGTTGCAGTGCCTTCAGGGCCCTGGCAGCCCACAGAGAGGACATCATTGCTGTCCCCTCGCAAAGCAATCTCTTCCCCAAGGAAAAAGGACAAGTCCAGCTCTCTCTGCCCTCCCCATGTTTCCTAGAAGAATTCCACTTTTTCTCCAGAAGGTGTCCTGCCTTTATTGCCTGGTGAGTGGGGAGTGCAGCACCTTTCTGGGGCTGGAGGCCACAGAGGACCATCAGCACAGGTGACCCTGGCCCCCTCCCTATCCTGGGAGCCGAGGCACCACAGTTGGGAAAGAGGAGAGAAGGCAGGAGTTGGAATGAAGGGAAAGAGGAAAGAAACTTTCTTTGAGCATCTCCTGCGTGATAGATACCAGGTACCTTCCTCAGGCTGATCTCCATTCAGCAGCAGGGCCACCAGTACCACTCACCGAGGCTCCACTGCAGCCGACTCCTGACTTCGCTCTCTCCTCCCCTTCACAGTCCACACCAGTGGTGTCCATCAGTTCTTCATCTACAGGCGAAGCATTCTTACCCTTCTGATAAGGTGCTTTCCAGCCCTTATCTTATTTGATTGCATAGGAGCATGTGATAATGTTGCCTCCTCTTTCCTTAAAGTCCTTTCTTCCTGTGCCTTCTGTAAGGAGACCCCATTCTCCTAGATCTCTCCTCTCTAGTCACTCCTCGATTCTCCTTGGAAGCTCCTCTTCCCCTGCCCATCCTATAAATGGCAGAATTCTTTGGGAGCTCTGCCCTATCTCTGCTTCAGTTTCTCCCTGGGAGGTTTCTCATCTGCCCATGGACTCAGTAACTACCTGTGTACTGATGGTTCTCAAGTCTTAGCTTTAGCTTAGATTGGTACAATGAACGGCCTATTGGAATCTCCACTTGCATGACTCACGGGGCTTCAAACTGAACATTTCTCAAAGTAAACCCATCATCTCCTATGCATATTCCTTCTCCACATCCTCTGTTTCGAGAAATAACATCATTTAGTTCCCTAATTCGGAGACTTGGGTGTCATCCTTAACTCTTTCACCACTGCATCCAATCAATCAAGTCCCAGTGACTGTACATCCTGTTCGCTCTGGAGTAGGTCCTCTTTTCCTTACTTCCTGGTGGCCACCATTGTCTGCCCGCCATCATCACTTGCCTGGGCTGCTGTAACAGCCTCCTTACAGGCCCCCAGCTTCTACTCTGGACTTACCCCAGTCTTTTCCCCACATTGCAGCCAGATGGATCTTAAGACACGAATGTGATCATGTCACTCCCCTGCTTAAAATTCTCAGTTGGCTCCCAATTATCCTGAAGACAAAGCCCAAACTCCTTGGCTAATGTACAAGGCAACCCACAACCTGGCTCCTGCCCATCTCTCACCACTTCCCCTCCCACTCTATGCTGTAGCCAGACTGAGTAACTTGCAGTTCTCTTGGGCGTGCAGCCTGTGCTCCTGTGCTTTGCTGTTCCCTCTGCCTGATATACTTGCTCCTAGTTCTCCTTCTCACCATCCTAATTCATCCTTCCCACCTCCTACTCATCCTTTAGGTCTTACCTTGAATGTCTCCTCCTGAAGGAGGCCTTTTCTGATTCATTCAGCTGCCTCTGTGCTGCACTCCCAGAACAGCCTGCAATCCTACTGTTATTCTCTTATTTCATCCTGTTTCCCTCTATACTCTGAGTTCTACAAGGTTGGAGACTGAGTGTCCTTTTTTATTTTTTAATTTATTTTTTATTTTTATTATTTATTATTATTATTATTATTTTTTGAGACAGAGTCTCACTCTGTCACCGAGGCTGGAGTGCAGTGGTGCAGTCTTGGCTCACCGCAACCTCTGCTTTCAAGGTTCAAGCGATTCTCCTGCCTCAGCCTCCTGAGTAGCTAAGATTACAGGGGCCCACCACCACACCCAGCTAATTTTTGTATTTTTAGTAGAGATGGGGTTTCATCATGTTGGTCAGGCTGGTCTCAAACTCCTGACTCAGGTGATCTGCCCACCTCGCCTCCTACAGTGCTGGGATTACAGAAGTGAGCCACCACACCCAGACTGGATGTCCTTTTTTAAAATTCAGGATTCCCCATTGCTAGTACAATATGTGGCACATAGTAGGCACTGAGTGATCTTTGCTTATAATTGTACATTTTAATGAATGGGGAAAGAGGACCAGAGAGGTTAAGTAATTTGCTCAGTAACACACAATCTGTAAGATCTGGAGCTTGAATTTAAACTCAAGTATGTCTGATTCCTGAGTCCATGCTTTTTCTGCCATAACTCCCTGGTTCCCCCTTCCTCTACATTCTTCCTCAGAACACCCAAGAAGTTCTGAGGAAGGATGGACCTGGGGGAGAAGGGCCCTGCCCGCTCTCTGCTGTCGTGTTTCGGGGAGGTGGCATAGCAGACAGAGCTGAGAGGGGGAGTAAAAGCAGGAAAGCTACCCAAGGGGTTTAAAACGAGACGATCACAGATGACGGCCTGATATAGGCAATGCTGTTGGCTTCCAGTTGCAAGCACTGGCTCTCTGTGCTGTGAATTCACAGAGAGAAGGTGTATGAGGAGGCTGCAGGCCTCCACTGTCTGATAGTGTGTTGTCAGAGCCTGCACGCTCGTATGTGGATCACCCTAAATAAAACAGGAATGAGAAAAGAAACTCGTTATTTTAAAAAAGCGATACAGTGTCTTCTGCAGCCAACAATAACATAATTTAGAATTACCTGCTATATGAGGATGATCTATGTCCCTGCAGCCCCTGAGCCTTCATAGGGAATGGAGAGGCAGGAGCTACAGGTACAGCATTGAAGACTACATAGGGGCATTCACCATTTCCAGAGCTCCAGGTTGGGGTATGGGGGGCAGGAGAGGGAAGAAGAGGAAGCCTCAGATCCCTCCCACCCGGGAAGCCAGGAGGCTCTATTCCCCAGGCAGGACTCCCCCAGCCATTTCCCCTTTCCTTCCTGCTGTCAGCTGCAGCTGACAGGAATGAGGCTGCTGGGCTCCTCGGGGAGCCACCAGGCCTTTGGGGCCAATGCAGCTGCCTCTGCCCCCAGCCCCAGGCCAGCATCCTCCCCTGGCCCCCACTAGCCTGCCTCTCAGCTGCACATCTGCTAACTGGGGGCCTGAAGGGCCTTAGAGTAAAACCCCCCTCAGAACATCTGGAGTGTGGGGGGCTGGAGGGGAGCCCACCTGGAAGGGAGAGGAGATGGGAAAGTGGAGAGGGAAAGGGGAAAGAGAGAGAAGAGGAGGGAGAAGGAGGACTGTTGAGGGAGGGGCCAGACTGAGGGGATGAGGGGGAGATTGGAGGCAAACAAATAGTCCCCGGATTCTTAGTTCTGCCTTTTGTTGAGGTGAAATGGGTTGGAGGGGGTGTGGTGAAGGGGGTGCCCAGGGCTCCTCCAAGTCATCAAATGACACCACTTACGTCATCTCACTCCTCTGATCAGAAACCGCCCACAGACCACTGACCAGCTGGGGCAAATCTTCCCCTAAATTATACCTGTTTTCACCTTTGTGTCCCTATACCCTGCTCTCTACTCCAGCGAAGCCACTTCCCTTTCTTCCCCCTACCTCCCCAAACTTGTCCTTCTACCTCCATGCATTGGCTTAAGCTGTTTCTCAGACTAGGAAGTCTTTCCTTTTCCTTTCTGCCAAGCCTTGACTATACTGCCTGCATCAATACAGCCCTCTCCTCCTCCAGGAAGCCCCCCTAGAATAATTCCATCTGACTCTGGGCCTGCTGGGGAACACTAAATACCAGAGCCAGGCATCCTCACTCTTTATAATTATTTCTTGTCTCTTAGCCTTGGCTTTCCCATCTGTAAAGTGGGTGCAGCCCCTGGGCTCCTGTACGTGAAAGGTACCATGGGTGATTAGTGGCAGGATTGCCACCAGCTGAGCCAAATGCCCTGCTGGACCAGAGTCTGCCAGCAACTACCTGCTGCCAGGGGCATGGAGAAGAACCTGACAAGAATTCAGGTTGTGGAAAGGAACAGGGCACTGACAATACATAGCCTTTAGGTACTGCCCAGAAATCTGGTTTCGGACTTGTGGGATTGGGACACTAAATGGTAGCCTTTTGGCAGGTGTGAAAAGTTTGGAAAGGGCTCCATGCCCAGCCCATGGCAGATGGGTATGCTTCCTGTCTCCTTTCTCTCCCTGACAAGAGTCCTGAATCTGACTGTGTCCAGACTGCTTTGAGACTTGAAAGTCAGAGGGAAGAAGGAAAGTAAGCCTTAGGGAGCATTTGCTAGGTGCCAAGCATTGTGTCAGGCACATGCATGGGCACTCTCACCACACTCCTTAATTGAGGGCTTCAACGCACCCAGCAGGAAGACATTCTGACACTCTCGAGTCATGGCTCAGTCTGGGGACTCCAGACTGTGGCAGCCCAAATAATCTGTCTACTTTTAGCTGGAAGGGTGATGTTTGATTTTAGGGTCTCTGAAAATAGTGCTGCTTTTCTGTGAAAACCAGCTCTGCCATTTCTAGATAAAGTATCATAACCAAATTGTCTGAACATTCTGAGCCTCAGTTTTGTGATCTATAAACTAGGAATAACAAAGTGGTTGTTTTGAAGACTCATGAGATGACGTATAGGAAGACTTAGCACAATGCCAGGTACATCCTGAGTGCATGATAACTGATGGTCCTAATACTCTTTTTTTTTTTTTAAGATGGAGTCTTGCTCTATTGCCTAGGCTGGAGGGCAGTGGCGCGATCTCGGCTCACTGCAATCTCCGCCTCCTGGGTTCAAGCTACTCTCCTGCCTCAGCCTCCCAAGTAGCTGGGATCACAGGTGCCCACCACCATGCCTGGCTAATTTTTTGTATTTTTAGTAGAAGCGGGGGTTTCACCATGTTGGTCAGGCTGGTCTCGAACTCATGACCTCGTGATCCGCCTGCCTCGGCCTCCCAAAGTGCTGGGACTACAGGCGTGAGCCACCGCGCCTGGCCAAGATGGTCCTACTATTCTTTTTTTTTTTTTTTTTTTTTTTTTTGAGACGAAGTCTCACTCTGTCGCCCAGGCTGGAGTGCAGTGGCCCAATCTCAGCTCACTGCAACCTCCGCCTCCTGGGTTCAAGCGATTCTCCTGCCTCAGCCTCCCGAGTAGCTGGGACTACAGGCATATGCCACCACGCCTGGCTAATTTTTTTTTTTTTTTTTTTTTTTTTTTTGAGACGGAGTCTCGCTCTGTCGCCCAGGCTGGAGTGCAGTGGCGGGATCTCGGCTCACTGCAAGCTCCGCCTCCCGGGTTCACGCCATTCTCCTGCCTCAGCCTCCCAAGTAGCTGGGACTACAGGCACCCGCCACTACGCCCGGCTAATTTTTTGTATTTTTAGTAGAGACGGGGTTTCACCGTTTTAGCCGGGATGGTCTCGATCTCCTGACCTCGTGATCCGCCCGCCTCGGCCTCCCAAAGTGCTGGGATTACAGGCGTGAGCCACCGCGCCCGGCCTCTGGCTAATTTTTTGTATTTTTAGTAGAAACGGGGTTTCACCGTGTTAGCCAGGATGGTCTCCATCTCCTGGCCTAGTGATCCACCTGCCTCAGCCTCCCGGAGTGCTGGGATTACAGGCATGAGCCACTGCACCCAGCCTACTGTTCTTATTAGACTAATCTCCAGAACTGGCTCCTACCACATCATCATTTTCCACCAGGGTGGGAGCCTGAGGCAGGATGCTTTGTGCAGCTCAGGGAAACTCTGGCTGTGAGGAGCTGGAGTAGGATAGACTGGAGGGGTTCCTCACCTCTGGTCAGGCTTTGCTGCAAAACTAGTTTATCCAGGAAGGGAAAGATACTTCCTCCACCCCTGACCTCAGGAATGGTCCGTCTGGTGGTGAGTTGCCCCTGCCATGAGTGAATGTGGGTCATTCCTTCCATTATGTTTGCATTCTGCAGATCTGTGTTGTACACTTCCCCATGCCAGGTGCTGATGTGCCTGCCTTCAGTGAGTTTGTTACCAAATAAGGGCTGTGAGACATGTTCACAAATAGTACATGCTAGAATAAATATAGCTGGTGCATATGCAAAGTCCAGAATGCTGTGGGAAGGGGAGGAGCAAGTGTTTGCTGGGTGAGTGTGCCAGCACTGTGCCAGTTTTGAAGGTAGAATAGGAGTTGAACTGGTGGACGCTGAATGAGGTGGCTCATGCCTGTGATAGTATTTTGGGAGGCTGAGGCGGGAGGATCTCTTGAACTCAGGAGTTGAAGATCAGCTGGGGCTGTAACAATAGTTGAGACTCTGTCTCTACAAAAAAAAAAAAAAAAGGAAAGAGAAAAGAGTTGAAAAGACAGTTTTTGCTAGGAGGGAAAAGCCTGAGTGAAGTGTGAAGGCAGCGAATTGGGGGCGCGGGGATGGGGTGTGACATTGCTTTAGAGAATGGCAGCTTGGTTTGGTGCAGACACAGCTTCCTGTGCTTGTAGCACTGTCTGCCTGCCCACTTGAAGGAAGACCTGTGTGTAGGAGATAAATCTGCAGAGAGGGCCGTGACTTTTGATGACCAGCTAAGGACTGCCTCACAGGCAAGGGAGGTTCACCACAGGGTTTTCGTGGAGACAGATGTGTGTCCCAGAAAAGCACTTGGACCTAGCTGTCCATAGTGGACCCCAGAGCTTCTGCCATGGGCCACAAGTGAGGCCAGTTAGGAGATCACTTCAGGAGGGGTCCTGGACCACAGCAGTGGCCTTGGGGTCAGGAGGAGCGGGCATGGCCTTGAGATTCCATTACCAGGACCTGGTGACTGATTGTATAGGAAATCCAGGCAAAGGTGGGACACAGAGCAGGTGAAATGAAGCAAATAAATCCCTTTCCACTGCCTGCTCCTCGTCTCTCCCTCCCCAGCGCCCTTCCCCGCTCAGGCTGCAGAGTCCGTGGAGCACTCCCTTGCCGGCCCCCCTTAGCTCAGCTCTCCAACAGCCTGGGAGTTAATTATACACTGACGTACTTTGTTTTTAAAAACATGTTTATTTTTGCTCTGACTCATTGTAGAAAATTTAGAAAATACAAAAAATAAAAAGAAGAAAATAAAAATCACCCACAATTCTACCACCCAGACACAATGCTTGTTAACATTTCTGTGTATTTCTCTATGAGCACACATACTCTTACAAACACACATGCTTCCTTTGTGATACATTAAATCTTTACATATTATGTCAGCATCTGGTTTATTGTCTCTTTAAAATTGTGCGAGTACATCACTAGTGTAAGACTTTTAGCTTTAAATATTTAACAATTGAGATATAATTTACACAGCATAAAGTTCTCTCTTTTAAAATATGCAATTCGGTGATTATTAGCATATTTACCAAGTTGTGCAACTATCACCAATAAGTCTAGAACATTTTTTGTCACCCAAGAAAGAAAATCCTTACTCATTAGCAGTCACTCTCTATCTCATCTTCCCCCAGCCCCTGACAACCAGTAATCTGCTTTCTGTCTCTTTGGATTTGCCTGTTCTGGACATTTTATATAAATGGAATAATACAATATATAGCTTTTAATATCTGGCTTTTTTTACTTAGCATAATGTTTTCAAGGTTCATCCATGTGTATATTTATGCATGTAACAGCACTTTATTCCTTTTTTATTTTTTTTAATTTTTTTATTTTTGAGATAGAGTCTCGCTCAGCCACCCAGGCTGGAGTGCAGTGGTGCGATCTTGGCTCACTGCAACCACTGTCTCCCGGGTTCAAGCGATTCTCCCGCCTCAGCCTCCCAAGTAGCTGGGATTACAGGTGCATGCCACCATGCCTGGCTAATTTTTGTATTTTAGTAGAGACGGGGTTTCACCATGTTGGCCAGGCTGGTCTTGAACTCGTGACCTCAGGTGATCTGCCTGCCTCGGCCTCCCAAAGTACTAGGATTACAGGCGTGAGCCACCGCGCCTGACCACCTTATTCCTTTTTATAGCTGAATTATATTCCTTGGTATAGATATACCACATTTTATTTTACCTCTGTATCAGTTGATGGATACTTGGGCTGTTTCCACGTTTTGGTTATTATGAATAATGCTGCTAAAAACATTTGTGTGTAAGTTTTTATGTACACATATGTTGTCAGTTATCCTGGGTATCTAACTAGAAATGGAATTGCTGGGTCATATAGAAACTCTATGTAAAACTTTTTGAAACACTGTCAAACTCTTTTCCAAAGTGACTGCACCATTTTATATTTCTGCCAGTATTGTATGGGCATTTCAATTTCTCCACATCCTTGCCAACACTTGTTATGTCTTTTTGATTATAGCCATCCTAGTGGGTGTGAAGTGGTATCTCGTTGTGGTTCTGATTTGCATTTCCCTGATGATTAATGATGTTAAGGATCTTTTTGTGTACTTATTGGCCATTTGTATATCTTGTTTGGAGAAATGTCTATTTAGATCCCTTGCCTATTTCCTGACTGGGTTGTCTTTTCATTGTTGAGTTGTCACAATTCTTTATATATTAAAGACATAAGTCCCTTATCAGATATATGGTTTGAAAATGTTTTTCTCCCATTCTGTCTTTTGTCTTTTTCACTTTCTTTATCATATCCTTTGACATAAGTCCCTTATCAGATATATGGTTTGAAAATGTTTTTCTCCCATTCTGTCTTTTGTCTTTTTCACTTTCTTTATCATATCCTTTGAAGCACAAAAGTTTTTAATTTCAATGAAGTCCAATTAGTCTATTTTTTGGTTTGTTTGTTGTACTTTTGGTGTTATATCTAAAAAACCATTACCTAATCCGAGGTCAGAAAGATATATGCCTATGTTGTCTTATAAGGATTTAACAGTTTTAGGTCTTTAAACCATTTTAATTTTTGAATATGGTTCATACATACACAATGTAGCTAGAGGTCCAGCTACATTCTTTTGCATGTAGATATCCACATGTTCCAGCACAACATTTTTGTCATCCCAAATGCTATTCTTTAAAAATGCTGTTTTCTCCTATTGAATTGTCTTAGCACTGTTCTTGATCATCAATTGCCCATAAATGTAAGAATTTATTTCTGGACTCTGAATTCTATTCAATTGATCTACATATCTATCCTTACCATATAGGGCTATATGGTCTGCATTACTGTAGCTTTGTAATAAGTTTTGAAATTGGGAAGGGTGAGTCTTCCTACTTTGTTATTTTCAAGGTTTGACTATTCTTGCTCCCTTGCATTTCCATATAAATTTTAGAATCAGCTTGTCAACTTCTGAAAAAAGACCACTAGGACTGTGATAGTGGTAGCATTGAATCTGTAGATCAATTTGTTGAGTATTGCCATCTTAACAATATTGTCTTCCAATCCATGAATATGGGATATTTTCCGATTTATTTAGGTGTTTTTAAATTTCTTTCAACAATGTTTTGTCATTTTGAGAGTATAGGTTTTGCACTGTTTTTGTTAAATTTATTCCTAAGTATTTTGTTCTTATTGATGCTATTTTAAGTGGAATTGTTTTCTTAATTTCTTTTTTTGGAATACTCATTGCAAGTGTACAGAAATCCAATTGATTTATATATATTGATCTTATATCTTGCAGCTTTGCTGTACTCATTTACTAGATATAATAATTTCTTTGCGGATTTTTATTAAGTTTCTAATGTTTAATAGGAGCAGTCCCTGTTCATTTTTCTCTTATATTTTGCTCATCTATTTATTATATGACATGAACTTTAGTTTTATTTTATGAAGGTGCCGTCACTTCCTGCCAAAAATGTCCCACTGGGATCTTAATTGGAATTACATTGTCTATAAGTTGATTTGTAGAGGCTTTACATAATTAAAAAATATAGTCTTCTCCTACAAGATTTATTATTTCTCTTAATTCAAAACATCTTTTATGTATCTCAGTAATATTTTTATAGTTTTTGTTTTTTTTCATTAATGACTCATTTCTTGTTAGAATTACTCCATGATATTTATTGGGTTGTGTTTGTTTATGAGCTTTCTTTGGTGGCTATTGCTAATGTAAAGGGGGTATTTTCATCATTGTCTCTTTTATTTATTGTTGGAATTTAGGAAAATATTGAGGTGTATACATTCATCTTGTATTTGATCACTTTATTAAATTCTCTTATTAATCTTAAGGCTTTATCATTGATTCTCTTGGAATTTATAGATATCTAATATTATTTGTAAGTAATAATTATACCTCTTATTTCTGTTTCCTGTCTTATGCGTTAGAGCTTTCAGAACAATGACTATTAGCAATTATGACAATGAACATATTTATCTTGTTCTGGATTTTAAGAGGAAGATCTCTAGTATTTTCTCATTAAGTCTGATACTGGATATCCTTTGAGATAATAGACTTTACCATGTTGAGAAAGTATTTCTCTGTGTCAATATTTTACATTTTTTTAAATTAGAAGTTTTAAATGTTGCTGAGTGGTTTTTTTAGTATATATTATGGTTATATATACTAAACCCATTATACTATAATAGAATTTATTATTTTAACATCACAGTATTCTTTGGATAATCCCATCTTGATGGTGGTAGACTATTCTTACTGTGTTTTATTGCCAGTATTGTAATTACAATATGTACATCCTAATAAAATATTCATAAATGAGAATGGGCTATAGCTTGTTTTCTGTGCTCTCTTTGATCACTTTTGTTATTGGTTTAAACTGAGTTCCAAGAATGAATTGAGTATCATTCCAGTTTTTTCTATCCCTGGAACAATTTATAGAGCATGAAAATTATTTTTTACTTGAAAGTTTGGAAAAATTTACTGACAAATTTCCTGGCCCCAGAACCTGTGTTTGAAGAGCAAATTCTTTGATAACATTTCTAATTTCTTCTTTAGTGTTTGATCTCTTTGGTTTTCTACTTCTTAGATAGTTTTGAGCATTATCTTTTCCTGAAAACTATCCATTTCATCAAAATCTTTTCCATCTGTGCTAATATATTAAATTATTTTAAGAAAATGAGTTGTATCCTGGAAAGATGTAAATGATGCTTTGTCTCACGTCTATCATGTTTTATACTTTTTAAAGGCTTAATTGATGTTTCCATTGTTCTCCTTCTTGCCTTCTCCTCCTCCTTCCTCCCATCTCTCTTTCCCCCTTTCCCTCCCTCTCTCTTTTAGGTACTCTATCCCTCAAATTTTAGCCACCCTGGCTTCCCTGAACTCTGCACGCTATCTCCTCAACTTAGAGTGAACACAAGTTCTGCCTGAGTTCCCTCTCTTTGTCCTGCAGCCTGGACACCCTCTCCAGGCAAAAGCCTGGCCAATCATAAGGCTCACAGAATGTGCCTCCCGGCTGTCAGCAATCACGGTCCTGCGCTGCCTGTTGTCCAATGCCTCAAACCTGTTGCTTTTCACTTGTTTGAGGCAAAAACAACTGCTACTCCAATCCTGCCTGGAAGTAAAAGCCAAGAAGAATTCCCCATTATCTCATTTTATTTTATTATTATTATGGTTTTCTGAGACGGAGTCTCACTCTGTCGTCCCGGCTGGAGTGTAGTGTCTTGATTTCGGCCTCAGCCTCCTGGGTTCAAGTGATTCTCCTGCCTCAGCCTCCCGAGTAGCTGGAATTACAGGCATGTGTCACCACGCCCAGTTAATTTTTGTATTTTTAGTAGAGATGGGGTTTTGTCATGTTGGCCAGACTGATTTCGAACTCCTAACCTCAGGTGATCCGCCCGTCTCAGCCTACCAAAGTGTTAGGATTACAGGTGTGAGCCACCGCTCCTGGACTATTTTATTTTTTCAGACAGAGTCTCGCTCTGTCGCCCAGGCTGTAGTGCAGTGGCACAATCTTGGCTCCCTGCAGCCTCTGCCTCCCGGGCTCAAGTGATTTTCCTGCCTCAGCCTCCCAAGTAGCTAGGACTACAGGCATGTGTCTCCATGCCCAGCTAATTTTTGTATTTTTAGTAGAGAAAGGGTTTCACCATGTTGGCCAGGCTGGTCTCGAACTCCTGACATCCGCCTGTCTTGGCTTCCCAAAGTGTCGGGAATGAGCCACCGTGCTCTGCCAAATTCCCCATTCTTGAGTTCTTCATTTAAAAATTATCTCTCTTGATTGCCTGTAGTATATTTTCAAGTAGTTTTTCCCCCAAGAACAACAGATGGCAACTGTATTTCTGATCTTTTATATAGTTGAGAATATATTTTTTTGTGGCCAACTAACTAATATATTTTTTTGTGGCCAATATAAAATTATTGGATCACAATCTATTTTTCTCAGAATCCTGTAGATAAGGCTCCATTTCCCCCTGACATGCAGTGTGCCAGGAAATTCTGAGGTCAGCCTTATCATTTTATTCTTTCAAGGAGAGCATATTTTTTCTTTATGAATGCTTACAAGATTTTTTTTCTTTATCCTTACAACTGAAATGTTTGCCAGAATGTGTTGAGGTATTCTTTCCACTTAGTTTGCTTGGGATACAATAAACATCTTAAATCTACACTATTCTTTCAGCTCTAATGTTTTCTTTTTATTATTATTATTATTATTATACTTTAAGTTTTAGGGTACATGTGCACAATGTGCAGCTTAGTTACATATGTATACATGTGCCATGCTGGTGTGCTACACCCATTAACTTGTCATTTAGCATTAGGTATATCTCCTAATGCTAACTCTCCCCCCTCCCCCCACCCCACAACAGTCCCCAGAGTGTGATGTTCCCCTTCCTGTGTCCATGTGTTCTCAGTGTTCAATTCCCATCCATGAGTAAGAACATGTGGTGTTTGGTTTTTTGTCCTTGTGATAGTTTACTGAGAATGATGATTTCCAATTTCATCCATGTCCCTACAAAGGACATGAACTCATCATTTTTTATGGCTGCATAGTATTCCATGGCGTGTATGTGCCACATTTTCTTAATCCAGTCTATCATTGTTGGACATTTGGGTTGGTTCCAAGTCTGTGCTATTGTGAATAGTGCCGCAATAAACATACGTGTGCATGTGTCTTTATAACAGCATGATTTATAGTCCTTTGGGTATATACCCAGTAACGGGATGGCTGGGTCAAATGGTATTTCTAGTTCTAGATCCCTGAGGAATCACCACACTGACTTCCACAATGGTTGAACTAGTTTACAGTCCCACCAACAGTGTAAAAGTATTCCTCTTTCTCCACATCCTCTCCAACACCTGTTGTTTCCTGACTTTTTAATGATTGCCATTCTAACTGGTGTGAGATAGTATCTCATTGTGGTTTTGATTTGCATTTCTCTGATGGCCAGTGATGATGAGCATTTTTTCATGTGTCTTTTGGCTGCATAAATGTCTTCTTTTGAGAAGTGTCTGTTCATATCCTTTGCCTACTTTTTGATGGGGTTGTTTGTTTTTTTCTTGTAAATTTGTTTGAGTTCATTGTAAATTCTGGATATTAGCCCTTTGTCAGGTGAGTAGGTTGCGAAAATTTTCTCCCATTATGTAGGTTGCCTGTTCACTCTGATGGTAGTTTCTTTTGCTGTGCAGAAGCTCTTTAGTTTAATTAGATCCCGTTTGTCAATTTTGGCTTTTGTTGCCATTGCTTTTGGTGTTTTAGACATGAAGTCCTTGCCCATGCCTATGTCCTGAATGGTAATGCCTAGGTTTTCTTCTAGGGTTTTTATGGTTTTAGGTCTAACATTTAAGTCTTTAATCCATCTTGAATTAATTTTTGTATAAGGTGTAAGGAAGGGATCCAGTTTCAGCTTTCTACATATGGCTAGCCCATATGTTTTCCCAGCATCATTTATTAAATAGAGAATCCTTTCCCCATTGCTTGTTTTTCTCAGGTTTGTCAAAGATCAGATAGTTGTAGATATGTGGCATTATTTCTGAGGGCTCTGTTCTGTTCCATTGATCTATATCTCTGTTTTGGTACCAGTACCATGCTGTTTTGGTTACTGTAGCCTTGTAGTATAGTTTGAAGTCAGGTAGCATGATGCCTCCAGCTTTGTTCTTTTGGCTTAGGATTGACTTGGCAATGCGGGCTCTTTTTTGGTTCCGTATGTAATGTTTTCTTTCAGTTACAGCTATCATGTGCTTCTGCTCCATTCACTCTGGGTTTAATCCTCTGGAATACCTATGATTCTCAAATTCAAATTCAGTTCTCGTTTCTATCTATCTCATATTTATTTCCATAATCTTCGCCCCTTTGTCCTTTTATTCTGACTTCAAGGAGAGTGTCTCATGTTTATTCTCCCCATTGCTAATTCAGTTTTTTGCTGGGCCAGGTCTACTCATTATCACCTACAATGCAAATTTGAATTTTGCTTTTTTAATTTACTTCCCCTGCAGTCTTCCCATATCTCACCTAGTTCCATTTACACTTCAATTTGTCTTTGAAACTTGCCTTTTATTTTATTTTATTTTATTTTATTTTATTTTATTTTATTTTATGCTGTTGTTCTTCTGTCTTAGCTTTTTTTCTTTTCATGGATTTTTGTTCCTGTTTCAGAGAGGTCATGATTTCTTGTACCTTACTGAGGGTGTCAAATAACTTCTACTACACCCTCAATAAATTATTTTCAGAGTTATGATCATCTTTTTTTCTTTTCTGAGACAGGGTCTCACTCTGTTGCCCAGGCTGGAGTGCAGTTGTACGATCTTGGCGCACTGCAACCTCCGCCTCCCGGGTTCAAGCAATTCTCCTGCCTCAGCCTGCTGAGTAGCTGGGACTACAGGCTCATACCCCAATGCCCAGCTAAATTTTGTATTTTTAGTAGAGACGGGGGTTTCACCATGTTGGCCAGGCTGGTCTCGAACTCCTGACCTCAGGTGATCCTCCTGCCTCAGCCTCCCAAAATGCTGGGATTACCCACATGAGCCACCGCGCCCGGCCAGCATACATCTTTTTGTTTGTTTGTTTTTTCTCTATATATCTTCATAGGTGTTTTAGTGAGAAGGTAGCTAAGTTTTCCTCCATTTTAACTGGAAACAACTTGAGTGTGTTTGATTTGTTCCTTCATTTCCTCCCTAGGCTAGAGGAGAGGGATTATGGCTTCAGCACGGGGGTGTGGGTGTGGTGGGTACTTGTGGACCAATCAGTAAGGACTTGGAAGATGCTGAGTATAGGAGGGAACAGCACCATGTGAGGTTAGGTCAGAAGGCTCTAGAAAGAGGAGTTTTAAGCAGAGCTTTGAAGAGAGGATGGAGAAACATCTTTCAAAGAGGGGCATCAACCTATACAAAGATCCAAAGATGAATAAACTATGTACTGTGGGACAAAGAGGTAAGGCAAGAGGCACATTTGCATATGAAATAGAGAACTGGGGGAGATCTTCTGAGAAATTATGCTGGTAAGACAGTCATTTCAGGGAAGGGATCTTGAAGCCCAAGCCAAAGAGTTTGGGGTTGACTAGAAGCCATAGATAATTCTGAGCAAGAGAAAAACAAGATTCCAACCGTGGGGATGATTGTGTAGTCTGTGTGAGTGGATGGACGGATGGATGAATGGAGAAATTGATGGATGGAGGGATGTGGGGCCAGGAAATAGGGAGGCTGGGGAGGGGAGGGTTGAAACTATACAGGTATAACCTCTCCAGTTCTCATACTGGTCACAGAGAGCCTGGGAGCTCTTGGGAATGAGGGAGAAAATAGATTGTGGGAAGGACTGGAACCCTGTGGGAAGCCATGGTTGATATGGACTTTTCCCATTTCTTCTCTCCCTTCTCCTATGGTACTTTTAGAAGTGTTAATATGTGCCTGAATTTTCCCTGGTGCCTATTACTACAAAGTCTGCTAGGACAGCTTTTAAGTATCTTTAAAACTCTGGGATATCACTTCTATTCCCTAAGCCTCTGACATCACTGCCCCCTTTCTGGAGAAGCAAGTCGGGAAGATCTCCATCGGCCTCTTCCTCTACCAACCACAGCCACCCTTTGCCAGGGCAGGCAGCCAGGCCTCAAGCAACCACAGGACCCGGCTCCCAAGCACATCTCAGACAGCCCACGAAGGTCGCCAGAAACCAGCCTGATGTCTGCAATTCAATGGCTGGAGGCTGGGGGATGGATGAGATGGCTTTTTGTAGTTCCCACCCCAGGATTCCGGGATTGTCACCCACAAAGGTGGCCTTCTGCCCAGATCTGTAGGTCTGTGTCTTTGGGGGAAGCTCCTAAAGGCTACACACAGAGGCACTTCCCTGTCTCCCTCCTGGAGGGTGGGTAATTATTTTTATATATTGCTGCTGAATAAAATACAAGGAATAGCTTGGAGGAATGCTCAGGTATCATCCTTTGATGTATACAAAGGAAGCACTTTCTCTGCCCGCCCCCGCCACCACCCCAGGGGTTCTTGCACACCCATCAATGCTCCTGACAGATGGAAGGAAAGGAGAGTTGAGGCATTAGCATAGCCAGGAGAACCAGTTGGAATTGCCTTCGTTTTAATATCCCACCTTTGATCTATTGAGAGGCTGACAGTGAGGGGAAGGATCTTATTAGATGGCATAAATCAAAGCTGATGAAATCACTTTCCTCCAACAAGCTTTTCCCCTGGGTGAGGAGAGAGAGAAAAGTGCTGCTCTAGCTCCCACCTCCCCTCTCTCCTCAATTGTAAGTGGGTATGGAAAGGTTAATTCAAGGCTCCATGCACCATCACCCCCACCCCACCTCTGCAGGGAAGTGGAGTTCTCACTCCAGCTTCTGGTGGCTCAGTTGACCTCCTCTGCTCCCCATGCTCTCTGTCACCATGGGACTGTCCCACCAGGAGTACTCAGGCTCCGACTCCCCAGAGTTGTCACTTTTGGGCTCTTCAGGGCTTGTGTGCTCTGTGAGGGCCTGGTGATGGGTTCCAGATGGGGAGAGGCACTGCTGGGATGCAAGGGATGAGCCCCAAGTGTTGGATGCTGCCAAGGAATGGTTCTCAGAGACCAGGGTCTTCATAGTTCCTCAACCAGTGACCTGGGAAGTGTCTCTGGGGGCCCCCCATTGCACTGTATGTGGGGGTGGGCAGGAATCGGTGAACACCTTCTTCTTCTCCCAAGAGGACAAGGGCAGGAGAGAGGTGAACAGTGAACTCAAAGAACACCGGACTCAAAACCAATGCCTTCTCTGGCTTTGCCATCTCTTTACTCTGTGACCTTGGACAAATCACTCAGTCCCTCAGAGTCCCCTTTCCTCCCTGGTTAAGTGGGGTCCCTGTTAGCTGTCACTTCCACTGCTGTGATCTCCCCATCAAGCAATCATCTGAACAATGCTGAAAGTGCCCATAACTGGATCAATAAAAAACACAGACTGAATATCCATGGTGGGCAAGTTTCAGGGAAAGAGGGGACATAGCCCGCGTCTTCAGGGGTCTTCCCATGTAATGGGGGAGAAAAGTGACCAAAGTGGGCACTTGGGTAAAGTTGTTCAAAGCTCTGAAGTTGGCCTTTTACTATCTCCCACCTCTATCGACCATCTTTCCCAGCTCCTCATCTCTCTGGTCCAAAGCTCCCTGTGTTCCAAGTCTGTGTCTCATTTTTAGAAGCTTCTCTCAAAAAGCTGTTCTCCACTAAAAGGCTACCTAATAATACTTTCCAGATTAAAAAAAAAAAAAAAATAACAGGCAGCTTCTACACTCTAAAAAAAGAATATTATCCAAATGGTAGAATTTGGTCATCTTGAGATGCCTGGAGGTGGGGGAGTGGGGGTTGGCTACTCTGTGCCTCTGCACAACACCATGTGCTTGTAAGTTGCCCTGCCTGGGGACACAGGGACATAGCACAGAAGAATTTGTCCAAAGAATGTATAGGCTCTCGGACGGACAGAGCCACAGGGACTCTTGAAGCGAACCCCTCCTTGAGCAGGTGAAGACACTGATCCTGGAGAGAGGAAAGGGACTCGTCTGAAGTCATAGCGCCCTGTGTATCAGCAAGAACAAGACCTTTGCCAGCCTTCACATCCCCACCCCCACCCCACCAGAGTGGTCTTTCTCAACCCAGACTTCCCAATGCCTACAATTTAAAGTTCAGATCCATAAAGCCCCCAAGGACCCGCACGTTCTTTTCCCTACTACCTTTCGCATCTGACCCAAGCCCTCACTCCCTGCGTCACCCAGGACCCTCTGCTCAGCACAGATGAGTTGTTCTCCTCTCCCATGTTGTTCTTTGGTCAGTACCTCTGCACACACCCTTCTTTGCCAGAAATGCTCATTACCCTCATCCACTTGGTGAAAATTCAGTTATTCCTCAAGACTCACATGAATGTCCCCTCTTTACTCCTTCTAGGAAGTTTGTCCTACCTCCGTGGCTGAAGGTTCCACACCCTTTAATTCATTCCCTCAACTCTTGGTGCACACCATTTTCAGACACAGCCTCTCTTTTCCTCTCTCTCTAACGCGCGCACACACACACACACAATCACAATTGATTATTTGTTAATCTTCGTTGCTAGACTATGAGTTCCTTGAGGGCAGGAACCAAATTCATTCATCTCTGTATCCTTCATGTCTTGTGTGGAACGCCTGGCTAATTTCTTAGAACTGTGCCATCCAGTATGGCATGTGTCAGTTAAAATAAAATTTAAAATGCGGTTCCTCAGTCATGCTGGCCACACTTCAAGAGCTCAATAGCCACAGGGCGGATAATGAATATGTCTCTGCAGAAAGCTCTATTGAACAGTGTTGTCTTAGAGGATACCAGAGGCATACAACACCCAAGATGGAGGGATGATGGATCTGGGGAGTCCTTAGCTTCCCAGATTATATGTAGGTCAATGCCTGGCACCTGCTTGAAGGGGAGCTCCCTGTAACTGGGTCTGGAGTCCAGTCATATGGATTCTGGGCTTGGTGACTACTTCTAGTGCAGACACACTGTTTAGTCCCTTTGGCTACAGCCCCAGTTTTCAGCCCCCTAAGGGCCTCGGCTAGGAGTGTACTCTTTAACTGAGAAGGTTTCTTTTCATTAAATGGGACAGGCCTTTCAGGACAAGCTCTGATGTTCAAATCTTGATAAGGAGAAGCCTTATCAATAAGCCTGAATTGAGTGGTAGCTTTGGAGTCAGACCAATGGCTTCATTCCTCTGAGCCTCCTTTTCTGCATGCAAGATGGGAAGCATAAGGTTCCTACTCCACAGGGCTAGCATGAAGATTAAATATGATAATATATGTAAATGCTGAGCACACCTGGCAATTAGCTCCTTCTCAATATAAAAGCTAAGGTTTTTATATTGTTTTATCAAACAGCAAAGTATATAGTCTAAGAGCTTCTCTGGAAAGAGACTATGTGTTATTCAAGTTTGAACCCTAGAACTAAGCACAAGGCTGGCATAATAGTAGGCACTCAATGAATGTTTATTATATTTAATCCAATCCTATTGAATTGAAGACAAAGGGAATGATACCATCTGTAATGAGAGGCATTTCAGGCAGTCTGATAGGTAGTGAGGGAGGGATGTGGGGGCAGTAGGGCTTTATGGAAGCCTTCATGAGACCATAAAGGGCCTTCACAGAATGCAGGCTGTGTTCTCCAGGAGAGAGGCTGGGAGGGGTGTCAGTCCGCGGGAAGGCAGAAGCTCATGAGCATCCGTGCCTGAGTTGGTGGAGTCTGTGGGTACAGATTCTGTGTGTTCCCCAGTCGAGCAAGCCCTCCTGCCAAGCAGGGCCAGGACATGCCATGGGCAGGGGACCCCACAACCCCATTGGAGCCCCGTGGCCCTCCGTGCAGAAGCTGGCACCTGGCACTGGCGGCTGGTGCTGGTGTGGGAGGCTGGGCCCTGCCGCCTATGGAAGGCCCAAGGGCATCTCCTCACTGCTCGGCAGGTGCCAGCCTGCTCCCTGCTGGAATCCTTGCCTTCCCAGGCAGGCTCTCGGTCAGGGCCGTTGGTCCCTCCAGGCAATCAACGGCTCCCACGTGGAATATTTTCCCCACAGAATAACCATTTCCATAGTGGCTGCTTTTTTTTTTTTTAACTTTTAATATCCTCCCCCTTCCACCCTCCATTCTGTACTCCAACCAGAGACTGAGATGTCCCCCTCCCCACCCACATCTTTTCTCTATTCTCTCCCTTCCTGTGTTCAACTGAAAGTCAGCTATGTAGCCAAGTAGGGGTGGGGGGTTCAGAGATGAAAACCAGCCCTGGGGTCGGCCAGGAGCAAACAATCAGTAATCCTGTGTCAAATGAACTGTCTTTGTCCTCAAGGTATCTCACCTCCCAGCCTCTTTCTTCCTCTCAAACGCAGAGTTAGGAAATGAGAACAGGAGCAGGCCTAGCCCACAGCTTTTGAGGATTTTTTAGTTTGGGAGCAGAGCCGACCTCATGGGCCTGCGACCTGTGTGGTTGCCAGGGCCCTGATAGCAGAAGGGGCCTGTACCTGGTTTAGTGTTCTATTGCCATCTTGAAGTTTTTTGTTTGTTTGTTTTGGAAATAGGGTCTCACTTTGTTGCCCAGGCTGGAGTGAAGTGGTGTGAACACAGCTCACTGCAGCCTCGACTTCTGGGATCAAAAGATCCTCCTGCCGCAGCCTCCTGAGTAGCTGGGACTACTGGAGCGTGCCACCATGCCTGGCTAACTTTTAAATTTTTTTCTAGAGAGGGTGTCTTGCTATTTTGTCCAGGCTGGTCTCAAACTCCTGAGCTCAAGCAATCCTCCCGCCTGAGCCTCCCAAAGTGCTGGGATTATAGACATGAGCCACTGTGCCCAGCTGAGATTCTTGGTAAACACAGGCTTTTCATCCCCATTATGTAGCCACTCCTATTCAGGAGGGTCTTAGTGATGGGCAGCTTCAAGGAGAGAGGGAGGCAACCAGGCTGGTGTGGGAGTTTGGGCAGAGAAGCCCACTAAATTCAGCAACCTGAGTTTGTAAGTCACTGGAAGAAAGCTGGCTAGGGGCTCCCCTTCTCTGAGCTTTCAGCATCTGAAACAGAACCTTTGCCCTCCTTTCCTACTCTGCAAAACCCTGATAGGCTGGGGAGGGAAAGGGATACTTCAGGTACTAGGACTGGCTGGAGATACTTTCTTAGGATGAGACCATGTCATGGAAGAGACTCTGGAGGCATCATCTTCCTCTTCTTGGATGAGAAGTGGAATTCCTCTCTGGATGTGCCCCAGCCCTGTGGAGCCTACTTCATTCAGGCCCACCTTTCCTCATGAATTCTGGGTTTCAGTCTCTCTCTGCTCCTAAAGCCCTCTGTCCTACCATTGCCATGTCTTCTCATGTAATGTGGCTCAGAGCTAGGGAGGGGACCCAAGTCGTGGCTGACCTGAATGGAACAGAAGAGGAGGACACCTGCCCTCTTTCCCTTGCTTTCCTCGCCTCCCTTAGGGCACACTGACCTTTGAATTTAAAGTCAGCCTGCACTCAGGGAGCGGGTACTATGGCAAAGCCCTGAGCATGGAGCTTTGCACGAGTGATTGCTTTTAAATGAATATTTGATGACATCCATGGGTCAGCTAGAGGCCCACTCAGACCCCTGAATCTGTCCCCTTTATCTTGTATTTGACTAAGATCTGGTAGGATATAAGATGGATTAGAGAAATAAATCCCAGAAAGGGTCCACTAGATTGATTTAGTCCTCTGTGGGCTGTAAGGGCCCCTGGTTTCCAAATAGAGATATGCTTCTTGCATATCCATATCTTACACAAAGAACTGTGAGTCTCTCTGTCATTCCTTCGCTTTTGGGGAACTAGACTGGTAGAGTGAAAAGAAGCTCTGAGTTGTTTTGTTTTGTTTTTGTTTTTGCTTTTGTTTTTTTTTTTTGAGACAGAGTTTTGCTCTCGTTGCCCAGGCTGGAGTGCAATGGCGCGATCTCGGCTCACTGCAACCTCCGCAACCAGGGTTCAAGTGATTCTCCTACCGCAGCCTCCCAAGTAGCTGGGATTATAGGCGTGTGCCACCACGCCCGTCTAATTTTGTATTTTTAGTAGAGATGGGGTTTCCCCATGTTGGTCAGGATGGTCTTGAACTCCCGAACTCAGGTGATCTGCCCACCTCAGCCTCCCAAAGTGCTGGGATTACAGGCGTGAGCCACCACACCCTGCGAAGCTCTGAGTTTGAGTCCCAGCCCTACCACTGCCTTTGGGCATTTCTCTTTATCTCTGTGGGCTTCAGGCTCCTCATATGAGACGAGTGAGGCTGGAAGGCTCCTTCAGGCTCTGACACAGTGTGATTCTTAGTGTACGCTATTGTCCTGGGTCGCTGTCAGTGGGTCACTTCTTGCTGTCTAACCTAAAGCTCTTCTGCTACGCTTGCTCCCTGTTAGGTCCTCATCTCATTTCAGTCAATTCAGACCAGGACCCTATGTCCCCATCTCCCTGGGATGTCCTATGACCTGGCGACTTTCACACCACATGCCCCTTGGGACTTGGAGGGAAGGGTCCCCTTCCTTCCCTCCCTGCTTCAGCCTCAGCCCTTAGCTGGGGGAGTATGAGAAGCAGTTTGGCCCTCGACAGGTTAAGCTGTTTCCCCAGAGCCTAAGCAAGCCCGAACTGGCCTGTGAGGTCCCTGCTAATCTGCCCCATTACTGCAGGTAAGAATTATAATCAGAAATCACTTGAGGGGCCAGGTCCACGTGGGAGAACGAGAGGCGCTGCTGGGGGTTGTTGATTCTGTTCCAGAGCTTAATTGGTATAATTGCTCTCTTCAGCCTGCCAAGCCAGAGTCCATCAGGATTGGCTCTCCCACCCTCTACGGGGAGCTGCTTAAAAAGGTCTTTTAGTCCCAAGTGGAGGATTCTGCTGGCGGCTCGGAGACTCCTTCAGCAATCCAATACCCCTTTCCTGGCTGCCAGATGGCAGGGGAGCCTAGGACCCCCCTACCCTAGAGGACTAGAGATCCCAGGGGAGCCTGAACCCTGACTTGAAAGGGTGGGGGAATTCTCCAGAGAGCACCTTATCCTACCGGGAGCTGGGTGGGGAGATAGTAAGAGGGGTTGCTCTATAGCCAGGTGTCGACCCTTAGGTGTTCCCAAGAGTCAGAGGTTCCTGGGGGCAGGGAGCAGGTGTCCAACCAGAAAATACAGGGGAGGCTGGGCGCGGTGGCTCACACCTGTAATCCCAGCACTTTGGGAGGCTGAGGCGGGTGGATCACCTGAGGTCAGGAGTTCGAGACCAGCCTGGCCAACATGGTGAAACCCTGTCTCTACGAAAATACAAAAAAATTAGCCGGGCTTGGTGGCAGGTGCCTGCAATCCCAGCTACTCCAGAGGCTGAGGGAGAAGAATCGCTTGAACCCGGGAGGCAGAGGTTTCAGTGAGCTGGGATTGCACCATGGCACTCCAGCCTGGGCAATAAGAGTGAAACTCTGTCTCAAAAAAAAAAAAAAAAAAAAAGAGAGAGGGGAGAGAGGAGAAAGTTTAATAGAAGCCAATACTGCGCCTGTCTCCTGCTGCCTCCTCCACTCCCCTCTGTGCTTCGTGGAGTCTCCCTCTAAGGGGGTGTTTGTCCTCACTGTCTCTGGGGTGGGCAAGTCATCAAACCATACAGCTGAGGAAAGCAACACAAAAGGTTAAAGGAGGGTATTTGTGGCTACATCTGTGTGATGGCAAAGCCCACACCTTCCACATCACAGGAGCCCCCTGGGTCAGAGCTGCCAGATAAAATACAAATGTTGCATGGGACTTATTCAAACTTATACTTGCTTATCTGAAATTCAGATTTAACTGGGCATTGTCCCAAATATTACACAGGACATATTTATGCTAAAATTATTATTTATCTGAAATTCAAATTTAAATGGGTAGCATGTTGTTTTATTTGCTATATCTGGCAGTGCTACCCTGGGTCCATGCCCCACCCCCAAGCCCACCTGGCCTGAGTGTAAACGCCCCGTCTCTCTGCTCATCCCAAACACAAACACAGTCCTGGCCGATTTCTTCCATGTGCTCATTCCACCTTCTTCATTTGCCAGTTTTCTTCCTTTTCTCCTTTGGTGTGTCCCAGTTCCCAAGTACCAGGAGCAGGGCAGCAAACACCTCCCCTCTCCAGCCCTCAGCTGCTCTACCATGCCACTTAGGATATCATGAGCCAGGACAGAAGATAGTTTCTCTCTGACAGAGCGGAAAGAGGCCTGGAGGCTCAGCCCATCCAGCCCTTCCCTAAGAGGCTGAGAAAGTAAGGCCCTGTTTTAAGCCAGTGCCATGCTCGGCCCAGCCTGGCAAAAGGGCCCTTCCCAAGCTCTCCTGCCTATGGGTTACACAAAATGCAGGAGATGGACTAACCAGGACTGTAGGTTACATGTGTGAGCGTGCACATGCATGTGGCCAGCAAACGTGTGTACTCACACATACGCACATACATAGCAAAGGCCACTTCCAAGTGCCCCCTGAGCTCACAGAATAAGTTTTCCCCTTGCCCTGCCCTGACCCACTTCCTGCCTGCCTCCTAGCACCTCCTTATGGTACATGGCCATCTTCTCAGCTCAGCCACAATCTCTGCCCTGGTGTCCCACCTGGGCAGGACACCTAGGTGAACAGGTGAGCAGGTTCTTAACCTCCCATCATGCACCTCAGTGCCAACACAACACAATGGTGAGGCACATGAATTTTGACGTTAGACAACTTGGGTTCAGATTTAAGCCCTGCAGCTTACTAGTTGTGGGGCCTTGGGGGGCTTAATCTCTCTGTAAAATGGGGCTAATCAGAGCTACCTCAATGGCATTTTTGAGAAGATACAGGACACGGTACCTGGTATTGTATACCTGGCATATGACAAGGACTCAATAAATGGAGACAGTGATTATTATTGGTGTCATGGTTGTCACTGTAGGGATGTTCTCTGCCCTGAGCTTCAGAGAAGGAGGTACTGCCCCTCTTAGGGAGTCAGGCTTCCTGGGTCTGTTAATTTACCCATTAGGAAGGCAGTAGCAGAGAGCAAGGCCCAGATCTGCGAGATGTGTCAGGCCCCTCCCTGGCCCCACATCCAGTGGGTTGCTGGGCCTTATCAATGTGACCTGTTTTTTTTTGTTTTTTTTTTTTTGAGATGGAGTTTCGCTCTTGTCGCCCAGGCTGGAGTGCAATGGTGTGATCTCGGCTCACCACACCCTCCGCCTCCCAGGTTCAAGCAACTCTCCTGCCTCAGCCTCCCGAGTAGCTGGGATTACAGGCGTGTGCAACCATGCCCGGCTAATTTTGTATTTTTAGTAGAGACGGGGTTTCGCTATGTTGGTCAGGCTGGTCTCGAACTCCGACATCAGGTGATCCGCCCACCTCAGCCTCCCAAAATGCTGGGATTACAGGCGTGAGCTACCGTGCCCGGTCATCAATTTGACCTCTTAAGGATATCCAAAATCTCTGTTCCCTTCCCCCATCCACACTGGACCTGCATTCTCTTCCCTCAAGGCCCTCATTCATGACACCCCTTTCCATCTCTCCTTGTTGAAATCCTATCCTACCTTAAGAAGGCCATCTCAAATGTGACTTCTTCCGTGTGGTCCTAAGCAGGACTCAGGGCTTAGGTATCTGTCTGTGGTCTCTGGAAAATCTGGGACTAAGATGCTGCTCCCATGGAAAGGGCCTTTCCAGGGTTAGGAGGAGAGTCTGGGCATCTGCTGGGTGGGCATCTGCAGACGGGGGAAAGCGGGAGGTGAGAGCCCTCACCACAATAGAATGGGGTGTCAAAGCAGGACAGCCAGGATCCTCGACCATCCCTGGTAAGGGGGGCTGTCCAGGTCTCCTCTAGCTTACTGGTGTGCTTGGTCAGGCCATCAGTTTGAGGCTTGGAAGCAGAGGATTCAGAGGGCATGTATTCACTCATTTATTTATTGCCCATTTATTTAAAAACATTGAGTGCCATCTGCAAACTAGGCATTGCGCTGGGTGCTGCGAGTTCACAGCTGAATGTAGTGCCTGCTCTGGTCATATATGCAGGAGGTTGAGGTAGAGCCCTCATCTCTTGGAGTAATTTATGATCAAATCTAAGAACGAGGGCTCCCAGGACCAGCTGAGCACTAACCACAGCAGGAAATGGCTTTCTACATCCTCATTCAGTCTTCCTCTCTTCTCCAGCAATCCAAGGTTGTTAGATTGGAGCATCAGATCTGGAAAACCTAGCTCAGTGCTTTAAAAACATTAACGTGCTGATGAATCAATGAATCACCTGGGAGTCAGGTTAAAATCCAGGTTCTGATTTAGTAAGTCTGGGGTGGGGCCTAAGATTCTGCATTTCTAACAAGCTTCCAGGTGATGCTGGGGCTGATGGTCCATGGGAGTCCACATTAACACAAAGCTCCCCAGGGTGGTTCAGCCACAGACCATCAAGGGTGTGACGGCCACCACTGGAGAACCATGTCCAAGGTGACAAGCCTTGCCAGCAGAGGGCACTCACTGAAGGGCTTTTGGTCCCATCATGTCAAGTTTGATGTGGGTGGGAAGTCTTTCCTAACTACAGCTTTTGAAGAGTGTCCTGGTGAATGTGCTTTCACACCCAAGACTTCAGTGTTGGCCTATCCACCCATGGCCCCCTTGCTGGTGAACTAGGGAGTGTTTCCCAGTGGTGCTTGAGGTCTTCACAGAGAGAGCACTGATGAGATGCTCAGGGAAAAGACAGAAGCACTGCTGGACCTTCTACAAGGGGGCTTGTGCTGTTGGGATGAAAGAATATCACCCCATCCCACCCTACTGATCATATCACTTCTCCTTTGGGTTCAGGATTATGGAGCTGTAGGGCCTTTGTGGGTAAGGCTGGGGTTTCCATGGCTTAAATGCCATATGGCTATGTGGGAGGACCATGGCTCAGGGCTAAGCCTCGCTTCAAGATAGGAAAGTCCAGCAATAGATCCATGGTACAGGTCAGTTTGTCTGGTCCCTGTGAGACCATCTGCTTAGGGCAATAGGGGTTCAGCCCAAGTCCCAACCTGGGGCTCAGAGACAGTAGCATGTTGATAAAGGCTGTCGTGGCCTGGGCACATGTGTAAAAAGCTAAGGTTGAAAAATCTCCTTGTTTTGCTGGGCTGCTAAGATCTTCTAGGGCTCCCATAAGTAATCCTCATATCACCCTAGAATCTCTGGTTATGCACAAGCAGGATCACCCACCATCTGTTCACCTGTTCTGAGAGGCAGCTAATCAAGAACTTCAACTGTGGCATGCAGGGGCCTCCTAGAGGTCATCAACTGAGCAAGAAGCCCCAGGACTTTAGCAGGAGCCCCTTGCCCCCTGGGCCCTTGAAGGGACAAGGAACAGGTGGTGCTAGGGATGGGTGACAGGGAAGGGCTTACCCTTTTGGGGAGGCATTTTTCTTTGGTTCGGTTCAGAGGGAGGACATTTCCCTCTGCCAATGCTGAGAACATCTCCATTATATGGTCTTGGACTATCATAGAACAGTTAGCAAGGTCGAGGTCACACTCAGAGAGCAAGGGTAATATGGCATAGATTTGGAAGCCCGGGAGTATGGATGTGAAGGGAAATACTGGCTATCCACAAACAGGCTATGGGTTCAGCCTTGGGTCTGAGAGGAAGAGGTGGGGTCATTCATAGAAACATATGGTGTAGAGGATCAAGAAGGATCAAGAACTGTGGGTTGGTGGGAGGTGGAGGTTGCAGTGAGCCAAGATTGTGCCACTGCACTTCAGCCTGGGCAACAGAGCGAGACTCTGTCTCCCAACAACAACAAAAAAAGAACTATGGGTTGGAATGGAGCCAAATATGGGAACTCGAAGAGGCGGGATACAGGATACATGGTGGCCAAGTCACAACTTTAGTCCCAGGGAGCCTCAAAGGCCCTGTTGAGGGCCTGGCTGGCCCAGTCTAGCCCCAAAGCTTGGTCTGCATCTTGCCCTGGATTGACCCCTCTCCATCCTCTCTTCCACCAGGCGCCTAGATGCCAACCTCATCTCCCTGGTCCCGGAGAGGAGCTTTGAGGGGCTGTCCTCCCTCCGCCACCTCTGGCTGGACGACAATGCACTCACGGAGATCCCTGTCAGGGCCCTCAACAACCTCCCTGCCCTGCAGGCCATGACCCTGGCCCTCAACCGCATCAGCCACATCCCCGACTACGCGTTCCAGAATCTCACCAGCCTTGTGGTGCTGTGAGTGCTGCTCTGTTCCCCATCCCCAGTGGGGTCCTGCTGGGGGCTGGGGGCTGCATGTTTACTTGAGTTGGATTGGAGCCTGGCTAGCTTTGCTCTTCTTTGCATGTTGCTAAACCTTCTGGCCTCCCTTTGGAAAAGCATGAGGATGACCATTCCCTGTTGATCCCATAGGGTTATCATGAGGTCAAATGACATGAGAGCTTGAAAAGTGCTCTGAGAGTCACTAAAGGGCCAGGGTACTATAATCAGAAAATAGGAATTAAGCCATTATTTTCTTGCCATGCACATATAATAACTATACCTTGATAACTGGAATATAAATCAAGAATTTCTTAAGTAATTTCTACCATATTTGACAATTAGATGATGCAGTCATATGCTTTGGCACAGGGATGGGATAAATTCATCTCATTTCCCAGGCCTTAAGAAGCAGAGAAAAGTCATCACTTATAATTAGACAGCAAAGCCCCATCACTGTAATTACCTGGGAGATAGCATCCCTGGCAGGAATTGGGGACTGGGGTTAACTCTGCCTCCCCAGTGGGAACTTTAGAGGGCAAATTAGCTCCCAGCTAATTGCTATGAATGATTGGTAAGTTCATAGGGTAATTACTAAAAGGGCTTGGAGGTCATGTATAATTGCTTTGGGTTACACACTAATTGCTGCAGGAACATGGCTTAGGAACATGCATGTTAGTGACTCTACTGGATGGTAACATTGCCCCCACGCCCCCCGCTTTTGAAGATCTGGCGTGATTTTCTAAACCAGGGAATGGATGATACCTAGTTCCATTTGAGAGATGAAAAGGCAGGCACCAATTTGTTTGTCTAATTCTCTGTCCTGGGAAGCTGGAGAACCAAGGTCAATATCCTTGTGGACTATATTCTTCTGTCAGGGTGCCATACCCTCCCTTCTTCTGGGAGTCACGGGGCAGGGTGGGGGGGTATTTAGAGAGGGTAAACAGAACAAGGTGATTGGTTCTAACTTTGGTGACATCCCCGTGACATTGTGAGAGGGTGGGGTCAGGCCTCTGTGAGGGATAAGATTACTGGAGAAATAAGAACTTCATGGTTGGCCCCAGGTGGATAAGAAGGAGCAGGCATTTATTGAGCCCCCATGTGGTGTACTGAAAACTCAAAAAACTGTGAGATATAGCCACTGCCCTTGAGGGGCTTTCAGTCCAATTGAAAGAGCAGAATAAATATGGGAAAAAAATAACAAATGATGTAGTGAAACTTATGCTAACACAGCCAGATGATAAATTCAGACTCATAGCAGCATAGATATGGTGGGAAGGCTGAGGTGGAGGGGAAGGAGGCTTCCTGGGGGAGGTGGGGTGGGACCTGGGCCTGGAAAGATGATGAAATGAAGAGAATGGGGACATTCCAAGCAGATAGCAATAAAGACATGGAGGGGAGAGTAAGCGTGTTTGGCTGCCAGTGACCAGGCCAGTGTGGCTGGAGCAGAGGGTCCCCATGCAGAGCTCAGGAGAAGAAGCTGGAAAGGTGCATGTCGGGACTTTCAACGTCAGAACAGAGAGCTTGGCTTCTCTCTGCTCGTGTGGGAGGGAAGCTTGAAGGTTTTCAGGCAAGGGTTAAAAGGGAGTATTTTAGGAAGATTAATTTGAAGGCTGGATTGGAACCGAGGCAGACTGGAGACAGGAAGGTCAGTTCAGAGGTTCTTGGTATCAAAGTCCAGTAGTTTAAGGAGGTGGCAGAAGGGATGGAAGGGAAGGCATGACTGTGAGGGCTGTTTTGAAGGAAGAATTGACCTGATTGAGAGATTTTCAGAGGGTAGAAGACCAAGAAGAAGGGGAGTCATGGGTGACTCCAAGGTTTGGGTGGGAGCCAAGGAATTGGCCTATAAGTCAGGCCTGTTATAGATCTAGGAGAGATTGAGGGGAAGGCCCACTGAGGACAAGGAGGGACAAGGGACTAAGGAAAGAAAACCTACTGGTGCGGGAGCAAAGCTGATAGAGAAAAACTGGTCCCTTTGCATGGGGAGAGGTTAGAAACATTACCCCTTCATCCCTCACCTGCCTCCAACTCATGGGATGGAGGAGAGAGGCTTCTAGCAGGAGGTGACCTGTGAAGTGGACAGGAGGCTGGGGAATGCTGTCCAGGGACTACAGGATGAGCTGTAGGAAGGCCCAAGAGGAAGGTAAGGAAGACTGGATATGATGGGAAGCAAAAAAGATATTTGGTTAAAATCAAGGGTTGTACAGGGGCCTGGCTGGAGGTGTGAGCAGGCAAGCAGGGTGGAGGAGAAGGGGCTTCTCTTCAACCCCAACCCTGAGCTTTCATCATCGGGCTGCTCTGCCACATGTGGAATCTCCCTCACCACTGCTCTGGCACCAACAGGACCCTTAGGTAGCACGTAGCTGGACAGCAGTGGTGTCATGTGTGTAATCTTGTCTCTTTATCTGGACTATATACCTCAACACCTCTCCCAGACTGGACCATTTGGGGTGCCCAAGACACCAGGGTTGAATGAGTGGTTTAGGGGAGGGAATTGGAGGCCTGGAGCTGGATGTTTAGCTGAGATGGCCTGGACCTGAGATACTGGGGGAGGCAGAAGGGGGTGGAAAATGGAGACAGGAGTTCAACAGCAGGTAAGAGGAATGATAGAGTTTGATGACAATTGGTTTATAGGTGTGAAGGAAATGGGAAAAATTAAAACTCCTCAGTAAGGGGAGATCACTCCCAGAAGGCAGTGTTTTCCCCTTTGGATCAGAAGCTCCCTGGGGACAGGAGTCTGTCTCCTGAAACGGAACTTCATGGAGCAGGTGGGTAAGGATGGGGAAGACAGACAGAAGCTTTAAATCCCCAGGCTCGCAGGAGTCCCGTCCTTACCCATCTATGTTGGGTGAGGCCTGCCCATTGCCTTTATATTTGAACAACATCTTGGAGGCCAGCCTGATTTTCTTCCCCTTGTCAGTGATTTCCTTCTTCTGCCTGAAGATGTTTTTAAATTCTTGAATTTAATAGTTTAACTAGGATATGTCACAGTATGGAATAGTCAGCATCTAATTATCCTGGAACAATGTATGCTTTTGAGCTGCAGCTTCCATTCTTTCATCATCTTAGAGATTTCTTTTGTGTTATGTCTTTGAATACATCTTCAGTCTCATTTTTGGATTCTCTGCTCCAGAAACATCAATTATGTTTGTGTTAAATCACCTTTATGTCTTCAGCATTTAGTTTTTGTTTTAACATTTTTGTCTCATTCAACCATAGTCACCATGATTATCTCAGGTTTTCTCTCCGACACCAATTCAATTTTTAGCAGTGTCTGCACTGTCCCTTGTTTTAAATTTATTGACTCATTTTTTCAAGTGATGTAGTGTTGGTCCTCAACTTATTTCCTTAATCTACTGTGTCATTTTTCCTTTCACTTAAGAACATTCATCTTTGAAATGTTGTTTTATTGGATTGTTTTGTAGCAGAAGGCTACTGTGATAAATTTCCTTGTGTTCCTGGTTCATTAGTCATCTTTTCTTCTAGGCTTAAAACTTTGCCTGTCTTTTGCATCCTCTTTCTTCTGGCTTTCTGTTTCCCTGTTGTATGTTTTCATAATTTCCATGTAATGTTGTTTTTTTCCGGCTTATGCTTGGATAGCTCTGTCCAGTTGTTCAAGCTGCATCACTTCGGGTCCCCCTTTGCCTGGAATGCCCTTCCTTCTGCTTGTTCAGTTCACCTGTCCTTCAAGGCCCTGCTCTGGATCACCACCTCTATAAAGCCTGCCTCGATTCCTCTGGCCTCACCAATCTGCCTGTTCTCTGAGTGTGTCTGTAGCTCTCTCCAGTTGTAACAGAAAGCTTCGCCTTTAATTATATGTTGACTGCAGTGGTTTGCTGTTGGCTCCCATAAGTACGTCTGGCCACTGAGTCAGGCAGACTGGGTCCTGGGGAGCCCAGCCATAGAAGAAGCCTCAGACTTGAGCCCCTCTGACATCAGACCTGTCTTCTAGAGCTTAGGGGGAACTTGCTTTAGCCTTGGCCTGAGGCTCTCCTCTCCCTTTTTCCTTTAATAGGAAATCAATATGGGGTAGCCTGTGGTCAATCCAGCCTTGGAGATTGTGGCTTCAGAAGTCAGTCTTGGCCAGTCAGTTTGTTCCTGGAAACAAACGGATGGACCATTAGGGTCATTCTGTCCATGCTTCTGCCTACACTTTCCCCATGCCACCATGTGCTCTTCCATCCCCTGGCCCCAGTGCCGTGGGCACCCATTCTGATGCGTCTTTCCTTCCCGTGCAGGCATTTGCATAACAACCGCATCCAGCATCTGGGGACCCACAGCTTCGAGGGGCTGCACAATCTGGAGACACTGTGAGTTTTGAGGTCTTGGTCAAACTCTGTCCTGCCTGGTGATGAAAGCCTGGAGTCTTGGAGTGGAGGGAGCACACAGAGGGAAGAGCCAGCAGTCCTGGGATGCTGGGGTCTGGCCCCGGGCTTGTTTACCCACATGCCCCTCCCTGGCACTTTCTCTGGAATATCACTGAGAATGAATTTCTTCCTCCTTCAGGTGGTCAGAATGTGCCCTCTGGGAGTTCAGAATGGCCCAGGGAGTAGGAACCTGGGATCTCCCTGTGGGCAGAGACCACCAAAATAATGAAAATTCTGGACAGAAATGGGAACTGCAAGAAGCTCAAGGAATTAAAATATGAAGCCCGGGGAATAGAAGGCATGGGGGTGGGGCTGGGGCTGACTTGATGGCAGTTTTGACATCTGTGTAAGGGTGGCTGCTGACAGAAGGAAGAGTAATACTGCAGAGTAATGCTGGGACTGTTTGCCAATTGATCGAACTAGCTAAATGATTAATGGGGAGATGGCCCATTGAGCACTCTAGCCTTACTATAAGAAGCACCCAAGCTGTTGACTCTCAAAAAGCCATATTATTCACACATCATCATCCTGGAATTCAGTTAAGGTCAGAATACACCCAAACCCTCCCATCATTTCCTGTGGAGTCCTGCCAGTCCCCACACAGTGGGCTGAGTGGGCCCCACTTGAGCAAACAACTGGCTGGGCTCTCCAAGTGTGGCCGTTTCTGCCAGCTGGGGTCCCTCAGCATCCATGAGGGAGCTGGCTGCCATGGCCACCTGGTACAGGCCTCGGAGAGGGTCGATGGGGAGAGAAGGACCCCCAGGTCACCAAGTATGAGCCACTGAGGTTGGGGTAGAGCTCATGGTGTCAGGGGGATGCTCACAGTTTCTCTTACCCCCCACTTGCTCCACCTTGCCCTCCATAACCAACCCCCCTTATTCTCCACCCCCTCCCACATATACCCCAGGACATCAATCCTGAGGTGAGGGGTTTTCAAGAATCCGAAGCAGCAGAGGAGAAAATGCTGAGTCAAGCTGTGATCTGGGAAGCAATGTACTGGGGAAAACCATTTGGGAAAACTTATCCCAGGAGGCCTGGGCTAATGGCATTTGTGGTGGTGCAGGGAAAAGTAATAGGGAGGCTGAGACCCAAGCTCCACTCTTTTTTCCTGTGGGCACAAGACCCAGAAGTGTGGCTGCTTTCTTGGGCTTAGCCTGAAGCGGGAGAAATGGCAGAGCCAGCCCAGCTTTGCCGGCATGCTCACCCTCCGGAAGACTGAGGACTGAGGTGTGGGGGACATGCCCCAGCCTGGAGGCAGGAAAATTGGAACCTCTTCCTGCCACTGTGCGTGACTTGGGCTACATGTTCCTCCCTCTCTAGCTGTCATAGACAGCTGGGCAGTTAACTCTGGACAGTCTAGCCCACTCAATCAACATCTGAGAAAATTGATGTCCGGGGAGGTGTCATGGCCTGCCCAGAGTTACTCCCTCAGTTAGAGACAGAGCAGATCTAGGGTGCATTAATGAGAAAACATACATGAAAGTCCCTGGGGGAGAGCCTGCTGTCCTCTTTTGTCTGGGTCAAATGTGAACTGTGTGAGCCTGCTATGTGCCAGCTGTTTGGGGGAATCCTAGATGTAAGAGATGGTGCTCATTACCCTGCAAAAGCCTGTGTGCCCACAGCCACCTTCCCTCAGGAGATATAAGAGCTTTTAGGGCAGTGTTTGGAGTTGCCATGGATGAGCAGGGCAGGAGGGAGTCCAATGCCATGAACCCTGGAGTGTGGGCGCTGTTAGCTTTGCTGGGAAATCAGGTGGGGAGGGGGTACATACACTGACTATGTGTTGGCGCCTCTAAAAAACCAACTAGCAGCTGTTTCTTCACTTTTGGGGCACACTGCCTAATTCTTTCTCAATTAGCCACTGGATTGCCGCGCAGGGCATTTGGCTCAGCTGATGCTGGCTGAATTACAGAGCAATCCTGCCGCTAAGCGCCCACTGTACCTTTCATCTACAGGAGCACTTGATTCCATCACACAAAGCCCAGGGCCTGCACCCACTTTACCAATGGGAAAGCCAAGGCTAGGAGCCTGGTGGCAAAGCCCTTGGCATCAGACAGCCTGGGGTACAGTGCCACTTCTACCAGCTGTGTGACCTTGGTAAAATCATTTGCCTCTGTGAGTCTCCGTTTTCTAATCTGAAACATAATGCCAGTAATAGTTAACTAATCTTACAGGGTTGGCCTGTGGATTAAGTGAGATGATGTGTGTAAAATTCTTACAAACCCTGACAAGCTGTATAGGAGCCTGCCCTACACTCCTTTCTCCTTTCCCATCTCCTCCTCTGAGGGCCTCCATCTCAACAATACCCCCTTCTTCCTGCCCTTGAGGGGTGAGTTCTTCTTCCAACTTTTGATCTCCAATTAAAAAGGGGAAAAGTGTGTTCTTTATCCTCTGTTCCCCAGAGCATTTGCTGGGGAGCCTGCAGGGGCAGCCAGATGTGGCAGGGGGAGGAGTAGATGGGAGAATAAAAGGAGAAAGAAATGATAGTCAAACCTTTTAATTGTTGCATAATTGGCACGCTTTGCAGTCTCTGGAGCTTTTCATGTGAGCTTCTCACTGGAAGGGTATTTCTCCCTCAGGCCCCATAAATCTCTGCCACTTAGACTTCTCTCATCTCCGGCAGCAGAGGGAAGATCAAACCCCTGCGGCCCAAGCTGCGGTTTGGCTGGAGCTGTGGTTTGGCTCCTCTGCAGACTCCTCTAAGTGGGGAAAGCGGCCCCCAGCCATACCACCTGGGGAGGAGGGGCCAGGTGCGGGCATGCACACACGTGGTCACACAGGCATCTGGAACTGCACAGCCAATCATGTGCACGTGCAGCACACGTGCCACATGTTTCAAGCCCTACATGACCCTCACTCCACGTAGGCAGCCCCACCCCACAACCCAGCACAGCACAGAAATGCCCATCACAAATGCACCTGCAGCAACACACCCTCTGTTATGCCCTCAGCTCTGGAGACCAGGCTGTTTGGCTTCCAACCCTGGCTTTGCCCCTGCAAGCTGGGTCAGCCAGAGGAAGTAACTTCACCTCTGTGAGCCTCACTTCCTTCATCTGCACAATGGGCTACCTCAGAGATGGGGAGAAAGTGTGAGAGACATACACCATGCTCTCTTTTACTCCAAAAGAGCCAGCAAATCCAAGTCATTTGGGCAGGGTTCAGGGGATGGGCACTGTTAAGACCTCTCTTGTTTAGCAGAACAAATCGTGCCAACTCCACCCGCCCCACCCCCTTCCTACAGAAACCTTGTTGCCCTCTGGGAAAGTCTGACCTCGTAGGAAGGAAGCTCCCAGGACATTTCTCCTGATGTAGTCATCATCATTCCAGACTTTGCCAAGAAACCTCAGCCAGAAGCAGACAGGTCATGCTCCATCCTGCATCCACAACTCCTTTCTACTTCCACAATGAGGATGACCCGAACTTGCTGGGAAATTGAGAATCAGAGGTGGTCTAGTCCCCAGACTGTGAAGTAGTATTTCCACTTAACCAGATCAGACCAAATGTAGGTATTTGGGGGTGAGTTGCCCATGTCACTGTAATTTGCAAGTGACGGTAAACCACTAGAAACCATACCTCTTGCTTTGTAATACGTTGCTTCACTTAGCACTAGCTCCGTCAAGGTCAGATCAATCATAGGACTTCCCAGGTATCTAGGCTGAGAGATAAGAGAGCATGGTGAAGAACATTTCTAGGAAGGTTTTCCCAGGAGGTCTCAGGACCTGAAACCCTAGGTCAGTGTTTGGAAATGTGTGCCTGGAGGCCATGACGAGCTAGTCTAGCCTGACAGCTAATGATCTTTGAAAATCTTCGCAAGAAAAAAAAAGGTCGAGCAAACACAATTGCATCCTAAAGGGCCCACCCTCATGCTCTAGATCTGGGAACTTGATGGCTGAATCTCAGCTAGAACCCAGGAGGGGACAGGGCCCAGGATGGACCCCGGGGACAATAGTGTCTCACCTCTCTTGGGCCTGGGTGATGCTCCTTGGGCCTTGTTATAACCTCACTAAACAAATCAGGCCCAACTGGAGCCCTGTGCTGGCTGGACACTTCCCTTTGGAGGAGAGCCTGGGGCCATAGTGAGAACAGAAATCTTCTGGCCCCAGCTCTCTCTCTAAATCAGGACCAGCATTCAACAGGGGCCTGGGACAGGAAGAGGGCAAAGAAGAAATGTATTGAATTCTGCCTTATAATACAAAATTGTACCTTCCACATCAAATCTCCTCTGGTGATGGATGCTCTGGTGATCTGTTTCCACAGAACATTTTTACTTCAACAGCAACTGTAGCTAGAAAATGTTCCTCTCTGTGTGTGTCTTTGAAACCATTAATGCCAACAGGAAACTGGCTCTGACTTGGTTCTGAGAGTATCTGGCCACCCCTTACTCCTGGCCCTGATGTCAGCCTTTGGCCAGGGACAGGAAACCAGGTGGACTTCCATCGAGGTCCTCCCAGGGCTCAGGGTTCTTCCCAGGGTAGAATGAGGATTCATCTTGACTTAGCAGACTTAGATTCAAATCCTGGCTTTGCCACCAGCATGTGACAGGTGCAAGTCACCTGACTTCTCAAGAGCCTCGATTTCCACAGATAGAAAATGGGGATAATAGTTTTCAATTGAGAAGATTGTTGGCAAGGATCGCATTAAATGAGATGACTTCACGTGATGCCTGGAACATTATAGGTGCTTGATTTATGTCGGCTTCCTTTCCTGTCCTCCCATTTAATGTTGGATGGAATGTGTCCTAAGGTGGCCGGGAGGATGTTACCCAGAAGTGTCATTTCACAGTGGTCCATGCTGTGTCTCATCTCCTCTGTAGGATGGATGGGAATTTCCAGGCAGTCAAGGCATGACTACTGTGTTAATTTCCTGTGGCTGCCATAACAAATTATCACAAATTTAGTGGCTTAAAAAAACAGCAACTTATTCTCTCACAGTTCTAGAGGTCAGAAGTCCAAAATCAAGGTGTTAGCAGGGATGGTGCCTTCTGGAGGGTTTGAGGCGGAATCTATTCCATGCCTCTCACCTCACTTCTGGTGTCTGGTGGCAATCCTTGACTTGTAGACCCATCACTCCAATCTCTTACTCTATCTTCACGTTGCCTTTTTTGTTTTCTTCTGTGTCTCTCCTCTGTGTGTCTCCTCTTCTTGTAAGAACATTTGCCATTGGATTTGGGGCCCACCCTGTTAACCAAGGATGATCTCATCTTGAGATTTTTAATTCCTTCTGCAGAGGCCCTCTTTCCAAATAAGCTCACATTCACAGGTACCAGGTTTGGACATATCTTTTGGGGGCTACATATAATTCAACCCACTCTACAGCTATCCTGGCGGGCTCCATGACAGAGCCCTCTGGGGATAGGCTGATAGGTTGGGGCAGGGGTCCAGATGAATCTCGCAAATTTGCCTTCATATCTCAAGGTAAGTGCTGATCATCCCACTAGTCACTGGGCAAATAATTCCCTGCAGTTAAGAGAATTAGAAATATTTTTTTTCTGAAAGGCTGTCTTGTCTCATATCTTATTTATCCCCCAATCACTTGTTGAGAAAGACAAGGCAGGAATTGTGTATCCTCATGTTACAGATGGGGAAACTGAGACAGAAGGTGGATGACTTGCCCAAGGACACCCAGCTAATTAAGAGCCAGGATTTTAATTTGGGTTTCTCTGCCTTTGGCCCAGCGTCAGCCCATCAGACCACACTGCCTCTTGAGGCTAAGAATCAAGGAACTCTCTTTCCTTGCCAGTTCTTAATCATCTTACATTTGTGGGTTTATTAGCTGCAAATTTGTAGGGTTTTGTGGCTTATAGAGGAATTTATTGCTCCATATAAAAATTTTTTTTTCTGGCTTCCCCCGCAGAACCACTAATCACTTTAAACAGGCAGAAAATTGAGCTGCCCAATGAGTTTGTGTTGCGTTCTGTGACCGTGACGAGTTATTAATAGTTCTTCCCAGCACAACATTCCTTTTCCCATTGCCCTGGTGTGGGGGGTAGCCAAGGTCACTGCTCCTGTCATTGCTGCCTCTCCCTCCCCTGCTGGCAATGGGGACAAAACTTCCACTGTGAACTCTACCCCCTCTGCCGACTGCTCCAGGCACCCCAGCCAGCTGGTCTGGAATGGAGAGGAAGAGAGGTTAAGGGGGGTGGGAAGCTTGGCCCACAGGTTCCGTAGTAGATGTAATGGAGAGGAAACAAAGTTCAGGTCTGGCCCTCCCATATCTGTAGGAAGGAGGAGCTGGTAAGAATTAAAGATTACCACTCTCTTTTCTTCTGTTTCTTTATATTCACTCATTCCATAAATATTTATTAAGTTTTTAGTATATGCCAGGCCACCATTATAGGCACTGGTAAAACATTTATGAACAACAAAGTGTAGTCCCTGCTATCACAGAGACTAAAGGGTTCTAGATCAGAAGTCCTGAGTTCTTTTAAACTTAACATGAATGCACTGTTACCAGCATTTCTGACCTCATCACCCTAACCCCTTAACCTTGGCATGTCCCAAGGCTCAAGTTCTCCCAAGGCTCAAGTTCTGTTTACGCTTCTCTCCCTCCATGTTCTCATCTGGTCTTGTATGTTTGCTGATTACTCCAGCCCAGACCTATCTCCTGAACTCCAGACTTAAATATTCAAAGGCCTTCTTAACATGCTCACTGGATATCTAACAAATATCCAGACTTCCAGACTAAACCCCGGAGTCTTTCCCTGAACCCATCCCACCAGAAGTCTTCCCCAGCTCAGTGATGGCAGCTTTACTCCTGCAGTTACTCAGGCCCAAACCTTGGAGTCATCCAAAACAACTCTCTTTCTCTCACATCCCACATCCAAGCTGTCAGCAAACTCCATTGGCCCCATCTTCCAACTATATTAAGAATCTGACCACGTCTCACCCCTTCCACTGCTACCACGATGCTCCAAGCCGCCATCCTTCTCTCACCTGGGTTATTGCAGTGGCCTTCTATCTGGTCACTCTGCTTTCATTCTTGTCATCCTACAATCTGTTTTCAACACAACAACCAGAATGACTATTTTAATATACAAATCAGGTCATGTTACTTTTCTGTTCCAAACCCTCCAGTGATTCCTCATCATACTCCAGAAAAAAAAAAGCCAACATTCTGTACTGGTCTACAAGGCCTCAGATGCTGTGGCCCCTTGCCGCCTCTCTGGTGTCACCCCCTCCTCAATCTAGTCCAGGCACGATGGCCTCCTTGAATATACTACTTTTGTTCCTGCATCAAGCCTTTTCCTTTTGTCTGGAATGTTCTTTCCACCATTATCCACATGGTTTACTTCCTCACCTCCTCCAGGACTTTGCTCAAATGTCACCTTTTAAGTATCCTCCCTGGTCACCACTTTGCAACCTCCATTCCCAGCACTCTCCATTTTCTACTTAATTTTTTTCCATAGCATGCACCGCAATCTGATATCCTAATAATGTATTTACTCACTTAATTGCCTGCCCCTTACCGCTCCATGAGTTTTGTTCACTTTTGTCTTTGCAGCACTTGACCCAGTGCCAGGCACAGGGAAGGTACTCAATAAATGTTTGGTGAACAAATATTTCAACAAATAGATTTATGGCTCCTGGCAAATCTTTATCCTCTCTGGGCTTCAGTTTCCCCATCTGTACTGGGAGGCATTGGACCGTCTAACATCTAAGGTTGTTCCCAGCTGCAGTCACATCTATACTCCGAGATATGCAGTCTCTAGCCCAGACCTCTCCTCTGCGCCCTAGATGTAAGTGTCCTCTAGTCAGTCCTATCACAGCCCAGGAGCTGGCACAGGTGTCCCATGCTGTCTTGGAGAAATGGCCTGGATATGGACTGAACCCACGAGGATGGTCCCTTGGCCCTCCCTTTGGTCCAGGTCACCTTCCCATAAGCCAGTTGTTCAGAACTGCAAGACCCCAGCTTTTGACCAACAGGTCCAAGTCTCTGGGAAAGATTATCGGGCCACATTCTGCTGTGGTCAGGAACACCTCAGAGCCTTCAGGTCGCCTGCATTAACGGGCCCCAAACATCCAGGTGAGAGGGATGTTGCCTACAGAGGTCTGATTGCATCCAGAGGTCTGATTGCATCCAGAGGTCTGATGGATCCTGTTCTGGGTGCCATATCTTAAGCGTGGCAAAGGCTCTCCTGGGGAGGGTGGTGAGAGTATGAAGTGTCACAAAATGTGATTCAAAGAACTGAAGACAAGCCTTGGATAGAGTACAATGATCATCTTTGGAAGGCAGATTACATTTTATGCTCTTCCAGCTGACAGGATGAGGGCCAAGCAGGGAAGTGAAGACGGGCACTCCAGCTGACAGTAAGGAAGGATTACGTAATCTGCAGAGTGGCCCAACAGTGACAGCACCAGACACCCAGCATGTCAGTGAGTGCCTTGCCCTTTAGATAGTTCTAGTACAAACTGGATCCCCAATTGGGCCGGAATCTCAGAGATGATTCCTCTTTGGGGGCAGGTTGGACTATTACTTTTTACCACCCTTCTAATTCTAGGTTTCTGTGGTTCCAGGTGCTTCATTAGGGCAGGGCAACAAGTAATCTCAATCTCAGAGATCAGTCATTTTCATTAAAATCAGCACTGCTATTGCTTCAGGTAGATTCTGAATTTTCTCTCTGGCAAGAAAGAGAACGTAGGTGGAAGGAGGGAGGTTGTATCTGTGTCTCTCAATGGAAGCTAATGACAGCTTTACTCATTGCTGCATTTATTAATGGGTGGCCTTTTATGTAGATTGTTTAGAAGGTAAAACAATACTATTAGTTTTAAAGTTTTGGTTGGTTCCTGGCTCACCCAGTCATCTGCCCCAAGCACGTGGAGTCATATTTAGGACAGAGGCTCTGTCTGCAGTATGAGAAAAGCAATTAAGACATGTATTCATTGTGCTAGCTTGCCTTTGTTCCAGGCCTTTGGGAGATAAAAGGCAATTCAGAGTTTACAATCTCTCCAAAATTTCTGTGTTTTGCATTTCACACTGGGGAGCTAGGCTCACCCATATTCCCTCATGTACCCTTATCTGTGATCCAGTAATAAACACAAATGTTAGCCTTGAGAATAAAAATGTAAGTGGAAACCCAATTAATGATATTCATCTTTCTTAATTGCTATGAAAAGGGGATGGGCCAACTTGCATGCTGACTTTTGTAGTATCTAAAGAATGAAAGTGTCTGTTCTAGTAGCTTATGTCTAGTAAAAGGAAGAGGTCAAAGGAATTGGCATTATTTGAACATCTACTCTGTGCTAGTCTCTGGACCAGGTGAACAGAGCAATCTTATGCAATGGGTATGTCCCATTTACAGGTGAAGAAATGAGCTAAGAAAATTAAGAGATTTGTTCAAGATGATCCTGTTGGTGCACAGAAGGCAAGAACTCTCTCTAACACAGATAACATACAAAAAGACATCTAACTTCCAAATCATAATTATTTGGCTTTGACATGCTTATAAGCATCAAAAGAAACTCCTGCAGAAGCCCAATCCTCCACGTCCATTTATCCTCTCTCCCTAAAATTTTTTTGTTAGCCCTGCTATTTAGAGCCTAGCCAGGATCCAACTCTGTGTAGAATATAGGAAAGTGTTTTAAACCAGGAGCCAAGAGGCCTGAGTTTGAGTCCTGGCTCTGGGACTTGCAGCAATTTACCTCCTCTCTCCAAGCTCATTTCCTCATCAATAAAAAAAAGGGGGGCCAGGCGCGGTGGCTCACGCCTGTAATCCCAGCACTTTGGGAGGCTGAGGTGGGCGGATCGCCTGAGGTCAGGAGTTCAAGACCAGCCTGACCAACATGGAGAAACCCCATCTCTACTAAAAATACAAGGGTGTGGTGGTGCATGCCTGTAATCCCAGCTGCTTGGGAGGCTGAGGCAGGAGAATCACTTGAACCCAGGAGGTGGAGGTTGTAGTGAGCTGAGATCGCGCCATTGCCCTCCAGCCTGGGCAACAGGAGCAAAACTCTGTCTCAAAAAATAAAAAATAAAAAGCAAAAGAAGGGACTGGACAGGATGACTGTAAAATCCTGCCAGCTCTGTTGTCTGAATCTACAGCTGAATCTACAGGGAGGCTCCTCAGAGATCTCTGAAGTTGGCCATTTCTGCACAGCCTGATGGAAAAGAGAAAATTAGGCATGTGGGTCCTTGAACAGCTTAGGGCTGGGGTTGCCTTCTCAGCTACTTTTACCGATTGCATGGATTTGCCATTTGTTTTGATTAGATTTGGCTAGAAACAGTTGAGCAGATGAAGGGGTGTCTTAGCTATGGACAGCTGCAGCTTCCAGACTGAGCTCTGGCTGGAGTTGGAAGTGGTTTCTCTTTAACTTCAGTCCTTCCCCCTCTGCTTCTAGCTCCCGGGAGCAGGAGACAGAACAATGAACTCTTCCTGGGCTTCTGGCTGATTGTGGGCTGTTAAAGATAATAGTCTATTAAGCCATGGATGAGTTTTCCTGCTGAAGTTTAGGGCATCATAAGCCATCCTGCAATGAAAGATACACACTGAGCCTGGTCTGCATGTTAGAGTCTAATCCCAAAGGCCAAGACACTGCCATGAAGCAGCCAGCTACCAAGGCCAAAGGAGCCCCCATCTTGAGACCCTGCACAGTGGACTCAAATGATCATCTACAACAATGAACATTCACATATGTGGCCTTGTGCCTGTGCTGTGGGAGATCCAAAAGTGAACCCATATGCTTCCCAACCTCAGCAAGCTTCCTGTCTCATTGGGGAGACAATATGCATGCAGAAAACCCAACTCTGGACTCAGATTGCCTGGACTTCAATCCCCGCCCTTCTAATACTAGCTGTGGAACTGTGGTCAAGTGATTATCTCCCTCTGTGCCTCAGTTTCTCATCTCCAAAATGGAGGCCATTATGGTACCTACCTCAAAGGGTTGGCATGGCAATTAAATGAATTAATATATGCAAATCACTAGAACCATGACTATTACATAGTAATTACTATTATCCTCTATTATTACCATTGTAATGCTATGCATGCAGAGGACGAAAATCCCAGAAAAGTTCCAAGAGAGTGAGTGAATCATTCTGACTACAGGGATTGGGTTGGATTGAGGGAGAAAGGTATAGTTGGACCGGACTTCAAAGGATGACTAGGATTTTAACAGCTGAGGATGTGGGGAAAGGGTATTTCAGGCTGAGGGCATGAGGGGCGCAAGTAACTACACAAGGGTGTGAAAATGGCACAACCCATTAAGGGCTGAAATGGCAGATGAAACTGAGGGATTAGTTAAGGGCATCGGAGCCCATTAAGGGATTTGGATTTTGTCTGTAAGCCCTTGTTCTGGAAGCCTTTCCAGATTTTTCAACAGGAGAGTGACAGACTCAGTTTTGCATTTTAAAAAGATCTTTCCGGCAGATGTGTAGTAGCTAAGAGTGTGGGCTTCAGACTCACACTGCCAGGGTTCAAATCCTGGCTGTGACACCGAATTAGTTCAGGTAGGCTAAATGGCTGTGACATATAGACTGAAACATGTATAATGGCACAAACACAATAGAAGTTTATTTCTGGATCATGTAACAGTCTAAGGAGAGTGTGTCTTCTTGGCAGGTGGCCTCATCCATGTGATGACTCAGGGATCTGGCTTCTTGGGAGCTTGCCACCTCCAGGGCCTCATTGTTTTTGGCCTGTAGCTGGTGGAAGGGTAGAGAGACCAGTGAGGAGACAAGTTGTCTATTTTATAAATCCTGGACTAGATACAGTATGCACCACTTCTGACACACCTACTGTGAAGGAGGCTGAGAAGTCCACTCTTGCTCCATTCCTGGCATTCTTCCTATTATGATAAGCCAGCACTGCCCAGTAGAACTTTCTGGGTTGACGGAAATGTTCTGCATCTGTTCTTATATGATAGTTGCTTGCCACATGTTGCTACTGAGCACTTGAAGTGTGGCTAGTGAAACTGAGAGCCAAATCTTACATTTTATTTATTTGTAGTTAATTTAAATAGCCACACATGCCTAGTGGCTATTGTATTGGTCAGTGCAGCTATGGAGAAAAGAGAGAGTAGATTTTTACTTACAGACAGTAGACTCTGCCACAGCCAGGTATCAGTTGTGTGATATGAGTGACTAATTTAATCTCTCTGTGCCTCGCTTTCCTCAACTGTCAAATGGGTATAATAGCAGTAACTGCCTCTTGAGGCTGTTGGGAGGATTAAGAGATTATTCAGTCAAAACACTTAGTGGCTGGCACACAGACAGTGCTCAACCAATGTTATCATATGGATGACTTGGAGGCAGGGACAGCAGATAAGAAGTGTATAGCAGTCCAGAGGAGACAGCCCCCTAGAATTACCTCCAAGTATTGCCCTTTGCTCCAACCAAGCGATATTGCTTGCTCTTTTCCAAACACGACTCCACAGCACTCACTTCCTCTAAGTCATGCTCTCTCTTCTTGATCCATTCATCCCTTCATATTGAAATCTTGCTGTTCTATGACACATGTCACATTTCCATGAAGCCCTCATGGTCTTTCCAGCTCTGTGTGATCACTGCAGTCTGTGAAGGTCCTGATGCTTCGTGTGCTCTCCACAGTCATGTCAAAGATGCTCTTTCATTATCTTGTGCATTTGTCTAGATAGGAGTGGGTTTTTTTTTTTAAACCCATCTCTCTACCTTCCACTTTACCCAGCAGAATTCTTTGTGTATTGCAAGGAGGCAACAAATGTTCATTGCACTGAGTTGAATCCATCAGGAGCGGAGAGAGTTGCAAAGACATGTTCCCTGGACAATTAGAGCCACAGATTACATCTACATGGTACTATATGAAGCAGGACTTTGGCAATTTCCCAGGTCATAAAATCTGTGTAGACGTCCAAATGGGAAAACTCCGGCCACCTCATTGGCATGGAGTTTGCAGCATTCTCTTTGACCTTTGCACAGTTTTTATTCTTTCCCATTTCTCGACAAAAATAGACTTGTAGTTCACATGCCTTTTACCATATGTCTTTTGCTACTGTCTGTTAGGCCACTCCTGCAAAATTCCTGACCAGAAACTGCCAAGGAGGGCTGGAACTACTCAATGGATTGCCTGGACATGGGTCCAATGAACTGTATAAGGACTCAATGATAGCAAAGTCACATGAAACCATCCCATGGTCTCTGTGGCCCCAGGCAAGCCACTCAGGACTATCTTGTGCCTTTTGCAACATCAACCTCAAAATCTTAAGGACGTTCCCCCAAATACTGTAGATTCTCTTAAGAGTCCATTAGTGTTTTCATTAATCAATTTATTTAGATGTCTTCATTGCTTCATCTATCAAGTATTTGTTGAGCTCCTGCTATGCGCCAGGATTGTTCTGGTGTTTAGAATATGAAACAATGTTTCTATTTTCAAGAAGCTTTCATTCTAATTGGGTGAGAAGAAAATAAACAAATATATGTCAGGTGACTAAGTTCTGTGAAGAAAGAACGGAAGCTGTCTCATTCTATATTGCTACATAACAAATCACCCCAAAATTTAGTGGCTTAAAATATCACTTTATTATTCTTCATGAATTATGGCTTTCCTGGCTCATCAGGTTGGTTCTTCTGCTGGAGCCATCCCCTGGGCTCATTCATGAGGTTGTAGTCATCTGGACGCTCAACTAGGTCTAGGAGGTCTAGGGAGGCCACTCATATGTCTGGGCCCTTGGTATTGGTTGTCGGCTGGTCTTCTGTATCCACATGGCCCTCATCATTCAAGAGTCTAGTCTGGAATTTCTTACATAGTGGTGGGAGCATTCCAAGAAAGCAAAGGCAGAGGCTGTGAGGCCTCATGTGATTAGGGACCAAGTCACACTATATCACTTCCATTTCATTCTGTTGGACCATGCCAGTCACAAGGCCATCCCAGCCCAAGGTAGATGTCACATCTTGAGAGGAGAAGCTGCAAAGGATTTGTGATCACTTTTAATCTACCACACTGGATAAGGGAATAGCAAATGAGAGGATATGCTATTTTAGATAGAGTAGTCAGAGAAGGGCTCTCTGATGAGGTATAATTTGGGCAGAGACCTGAATGAAGTGAGTAAACCATAGAAGTATTTGGGGAAGAGCATGCTAGGCCTATGGAATAGCAAGCAAAGTCTCTGAAGCCAGATCAATGCAATACTTTGCGTTTGAGATAATAATGCAATATTAAGACTTTTCAGCTGGGCACGGTGGCTCATGCCTGTAATCCCAGCACTTTGGGTGGCCGAGGTGGGCAGATCACCTGAGGTCAGGAGTTTGAGACCAGCCTGAGCAACATGGTGAAACCCCATCTCTACTAAAAATACAAATATTAGTCCACTGTGGTGGCACACGCCTGTAATCCCAGCTACTCAGGAGGCTGAGGCAGGAGAATCGCTCGAACCTGGGAGGCAGAGGTTGCAGTGAGCCGAGATCACGCCACTGCACTCCAGCCCAGGCGACAGAGCAAGACTCCATCTCAAAAAAAAAAAAAAAAAAAAAAGACTTTTCAATAAAGATACTTCCATGTCATTTATGGGAAATCTAGTTCTCTTGCAACAATGGAGAATTCCTGATTGAGCTGAGCCAAGATGAAGGGGAACACCTGCTTTTGGAACCTGAGATATGAGAATGAATCATGTATACAATTTAAGACCAAAAAGAGAGGCCATTGCTTTCATCCCTGCTGCCATCCTCAATTCTCCCAGTCTGGTTTTCTAGGCATTTTCTGTAGCCCCTGGTAGAACTCCAGGAACTCCACAGTTTGAAAATTCCTCCCTGTTTCCAACTCCAGTACCTCTGGTTTTAGTCAAAGTGCTTTGCACACATCCTGGCCTCCGCCTGACCACATCCTTCACACAGCCTGTGGGAGCCTCTCTGTGAGCAAATCAACAAGGTTTGACGCATGAGAGGCAAAGGTATCTGACTCACTAGAGAACGGAGCAGAGAGAAGCAAAGCAGAAGGGATTTTCTACTGTAATTACCCAAGATCACCAGGGCAGTCTGAGGGTAATTGGGTAATTAGTGTGTGTGTGTGTGTGTGTGTGTGTGTGTGTGTGTGTGTGTGTGACAATTATCTGGCTCACTGGCTGCCAGATGCTTGTCACTGCCCCTCTGGCCCTTGGGCTGGGTTCCTGGCTCTACCTGTGGACTATTAAGTGTAATGACCCTGTCACGCAGAGGAGCCTGTCATTATCTCCATGTTAACATGGTATTTATCCACAAAACCCTGCCAAGTCACTCTGTAATTGAAGGGCCTCCATGTGGTCCCCCTGCCCTGGCTTGGATGGACAACCATGAAGGTTGTCAGGGCAGGGGTGGCTTTAAAAGGCTGAGAAGGTGGGCTGGGGTCATCCTGGGAGGCTAGGGAGGGATGCTGTAACTAAGTCTTCCCCCAACCTATTGCCAAACCCCAGGACCCCAGAAACAGGATCCAAGAGGCATTAAGACACCCCCAAATCAGTCACATTTCCACATGAGGCTAAGTCGTTGACTACTGAGTAAAATGAAAGCCAACTTTAAAATTTTGGAAGCTCTTCGATGATAGGCGATCTCATTACGTAACAGGGAGTACAACTTTCTAGAAGTACCCTGTAGTTCTTACTCTCTACTTCCCAGTCACTCTGTACTATCTCCCTCAAAACTCCAATGCTCACCTCTTTCCCCGGGGCTCCCCTGCCTTTGGGGCTCTTTTCTATTTGTCACAGGCAATTCTAAATCTTTTCTGATGAAAATAAAAGTTGCCCTCGGCCTCTTCCATTTCTCTTGCTTCTCTTGCCCTGTCATCTCCACAAAAGGCACGGACACAGAAGTTTCCTTAAAAGAGTTGATGGAGTGAAGCTGTGGTCACTTATGGGTCAATATTTTGCCCCTGGTGCCTAAGCAGTGCTGTTCTGAGCATCCTTATGCTTATCCTTACACATTCCTAGACTTGGAGTGCCTGGGTATGAATCTTTTAATTTGAAAAGATGTTATCAAATAGTTTCTAAAGGGTTGTACACATTTAAATTCCCACTAATAATTTATCAGGATGCTTGTTTTCCCACATTCTTGCCAACTTGGGTTGCTACCCCTTTTAAAAATTACCTTTATAATTTTCTGATTATACATGTGATATATGCTCATTGCAAAAAAAAAAATTGGAAAGTACAGAAAAGTGTAAGAGAAAATAGCTGTTGTGCCTTCACCCCAAGAGAAGAAACACTCCCCATTTCTATAGAGGATAACAGCAAAGACCACGGATGGAGACCACAGTGGTCACCTGAGGAACCTTCTGGAATCCCTAGTGCTGGTTATAAGATGTTAACGATCACCCACTTCCCCCCTTCCTCCACTCCTCTGATGTCTCCAAAGGCTTGAGATGCTTTCTTCAGTTGGCAGGGTCTATTCTGAGGGAGATGGTTCCAGGTATCTGCACCCCTGAAGTATGTCTCCCCCCTCAGAACAGTTCTGCAGCCAGGAAGATTCCACGCCTGAGGATTTGTGGAATAGGATTGGAGCATGAACATTCCAAAATGTGTTTCCAGACATTGGCCGCTGGATCCAACAGATTGGAAAACCCATCTCCCTGGCCAAGCCCAGAGCCAAGTTTCCATTTCTCAGGGACCCTGACATGCCCCATTAAGCCTTTGCCCTAATGACTGCTCTGCTTTCTGTTCCAGAGACCTGAATTATAACAAGCTGCAGGAGTTCCCTGTGGCCATCCGGACCCTGGGCAGACTGCAGGAACTGTAAGCGCCTCTTTTGGTTTCTGTGGGTGTCCTTCTGTCCCAAGGGCAGGGGCTGAAGCCAGCCTGAGCTGCCTCATGCTCTTACCTCCTCACCTCCCATGGTCCTTATAAAAGATGTAGCTGTCCCCCACCCTCCCGCCCCGGCTCCCCAAGCCCCAATGCAGCTCTAAGTAGTCCCAGGCCTCATTAGCTTGGTTTCGGGCACTTCCTGGGGGTGTGTCAATAGCAGAAATGGCCCTGGGGCCTTCCAGCCTGGGAAAACCCATGGCACAAGCCACCTACTATTAGCCTGGGCCTGGCACTGCCCTTGCCTTGGTTGGGATGTGTCCAGAGAAGAATGAGGAAAGGAACTGAGAACTGGTTTATAGGATCACTCCTCAGCACCTTGTCCCCAGGGGTACTGAGAAGTTGTCTCTGGTTCCCCAAAGCCACCATTTATTATTTTATTTCAGCATTCGCTGAGCACCCAATGTACCCTGCACTGTGTTTAGTGATAAACACAAACAAAGGGTCAGATTGACATGGCCCTCCCCAAGCATCCTTCAGCCTCATTGAAGACACAAAGTAACATAGGTAAAACAGGGAGCAGGACAAAATGGTATATAACTCCAACCATAACTTGCAGAGTATTAGCTAAAACAGCGGTGGGAGTCCAGAGTAATGTGGAAAGATCATTGTGGACAAATCCTGAGATGAGCCTTAAGGGATGACCGGGATTGAGGCGACAGTGGTGGGGAAGGGGAGAGGCATTTCAGAGGAAGAAATTGTAGGTAAAGACCCAGGTAGGAAGTTGAGCTGGCAGAGGGATGAGCACAGGTGGGAAGCAGCTTTACTGGAGGGAAGCTCTCAGGAAACAATAAGAGCTCTATCGTACAGCTAGAGTGGGACCAGATTAAGAGTCCTGGAGACTCATAAACAGAGCCCCAAATTTTCAGGCAGCTTAGTATCTATTTTTTTTTTTTTTGAGACGGAGTCTCACTCTGTCGCCATGCTGGAGTGCAGTGGCACGATCTCGGCTCACTGCAACCTCCACCTCACAGGTTCAAGCGATTCTCCTGCCTCAGCCTCCCGAGTTGCTGGGACTACAGGCACGCACCACCATGCCCAGGTAATTTTTGTATTCTTAGTAGAGACGGGGTTTCACCATGTTGGCCAGGATGGTCTCTATCTCTTGACTTCGTGATCGGCCTGCCTTAGCCTCCCAAAAGTGCTGGGATTACAGGTGTGAGCCACTGCGCCCGGCCAGCTTAGTATCTTTATAGCTCAAACCACCCCCACCACCTGAGACCTATAGTACTAGCCCCATGCCACCTCCCTTGCCTCATCCAGAAGTTTGAAGGTGTGAATGCCAGATGTAGGCAGCACATAGGGGACAACTGGACCACCTAGAGGAAATAGTCTGGCCGGGCGTGGTGGTTCATGCCTATAATCCCAGCACTTTGGGAGGCCGAGGTGGGCAGATCACTTGAGGTCAGAAGTTCGAGACCAACCTGGACAACATGGTGAAACCCCATCTCTACTAAAAACACAAAAATCAGCCCAGCGTAGTAGTGCACACCTGTAGTCCTAGCTACTTGGGAAGCTGAGGCATGAGAATTACTTGTACCCAGGTGGCAGAGATTGCAATGAGCGGAGATTGTACCACTGTACTCCAGCCTGGGTGACAAAGTGAGACTCTGTCTCAAAAAAAAAAAAAAAAAAAAGTCTGAGTGAGAAACTATTGGAATTTCTCCATTGCCAGAGTCACCAAGGTCTAACTTTTTTCCTTTGATCTGGGGCATGAGAGAAGCATGAGATTTGATCTATCAAGAGGGCATGGAGGGAGCAGGATGTGCAAAAGCATTGAGCCGGGAAATAATAAAACATTAGGGAAGAGCGAGGAGACCTAAGTTAGCAGGGACAAAAATATATGGGAGGGGGTGTACCTGTCTATCTCCATCTCTCTCTCTCTCATCTATTGAGAGAAAGCTGCTTGAGGACAGGGCCCCTGTCTTAGAAACTTCTAAATCCCTCAGAGCTTGGCCCAACATTAGACACAAAGATGGTGTTTAAGAAAAACATAATGAGCAGATGAGAGGAATAAATTAATGAACAAACAGGCCTGGGTGGGTGGCACTGGCTGGAGGTGTCTGAGCGTGAAGCTGTGAGTGAGACAGCATGAAGGTGGAAGTCACGATGGGGATGGCAGGAGGAAGACAGAGGTGAGCAGAGTCCAGGGGGACAGAGAAGCCAGAAACTTCCAAAGAAAAAGAGAGGGAAGGAAAGGAGCCTGCTCCGCACAGGTTATGTACTTTTCAGTCCAACATGTTATTTATTTTGAAATGTTTTTCCCAACTAACCAAACACATAATTCTGGCTTCCAGACTCCCAGACTCTCAGCTGGGTGCCTCAGTCCTCATTTTCCCATAGTGCCATCCACAGTCATTCAGCGGCCCATTCCGCACCTTATCCCCCTGGCTGCGTGCTGTTGACACTTCTGTTTCTTTATTTTAGGGCCTTGAGGCCAAGCCAGCCTCCATTTGAGGAACATCCCTCACTTGGGATCCCCTGGAAGCTGTGTCTTTTCTGTATCTTCCTTTTCCTCTCACACACCCTTGGCTTCCTCTGTGGGGACCCACCAGGGCTCTCACGACAAATGACTAAGGAGAGGATTCCCTTCCTGGGGTCTGAACTCAGCCTCTTGCTCTTGAGTTGCTCCCACAGGCTTCCTGAGGCCTGCAGCCATGTCTCCACCCCTCACTCTTTTTACACTTGTTAGGGAAAAGAGGGTGTGTAATTGAACAGGAAGAAAAATCAGCTGGGTGCAGTGGCTCACACCTGTAATCCCAACACTTTGGGAGGCTGAGACAGGAGGATCACTTTAGCCCAGGAGTTCTAGACTAGCCTGGGCAACAAAGTGAGATCTTGTCTCTACAAAAAAATCAAAAAATTAGCGAGGTGCAGTGGCACATGCCTGTAGTCCCAGCTATGTAGGAGGCTGAGGCAGGAGAATCGCTTGAGCCCAGGAAGTCGAGGCTGCACTGCGGTGAGCCAAGATCGCATCATTGCACTCCAGCCTGGGTAACAGAGACCCTGTCTCAGAAAAAAAAAAAAAAAAGAAAGAAAGAAAAATCACAGGCAGTATTTGAATCTGAACCTGGAATCTCCAGGCCAATGCCTCTTTTGTCTTATGGACTGTCTAGCTTGCTGTCCAAAAGCCCTGTGGAATTCCATGCCTCTCCCTCTCTATACCTTTCTCCAAATCCTCACTGGTTCCTGGTGTTGTCTTCCAGGGGGTTCCATAACAACAACATCAAGGCCATCCCAGAAAAGGCCTTCATGGGGAACCCTCTGCTACAGACGATGTGAGTACTACTTTCTCTGGTCTCTTAATGCCGAACAGTGTTTCAGGGAGGAGGACAGAGGATGGGAAGGCAGGAGGGACTTCCCTAGGAAGCACCAGGGAGGCAGAAGTATGGGAGGGGTTGCCTTTCCCTGCATGTTCTTTCCTGGGTCTACATTGATAGGAGAAGAAAGCAGAGATTGGCCTTAATCCCAGCAGAAAGGCCTGAAAAACCCAATTAGGTGTTTGGACCTTCTTCTTCCAGACACTTTTATGATAACCCAATCCAGTTTGTGGGAAGATCGGCATTCCAGTACCTGCCTAAACTCCACACACTGTAAGTTGGCTCCTGAAGGCTGCTGCAGCCTGAACTTCCCCCTTTCCTCACTCCTTCTTGCTCTCTCCTGCCTATCGCCTGCGGATCTCTCCCTTGCAAGGCACAAGTCCACTGCAAAGCGTGGTCTTCAAGGCTGCAGGCCTCTGCTTTGCTCAGACCCGTTCCCACCTCTTTCTAAATTTAATAGCCTCCCTCCACCTCCCTGAACTGTGGCTTCTTCCCAGGTCTCAAAGGGACAAGGAAGGTCCATCTCCATAGTCAAGGACTTTCATCTGGCCTCTTGGGTTTTATCCTGTTCACGGTAGCTTTTCCAGAAATAATTGGGAGTTTTGAATATGGTGGGTTCTCAAGGCTGGTTCTCCTGTGGCCTTGGAGCCCAGATCCCTGGGCACTTTGCTGTGCCATCGTTATCACCCTTGGCCTGAAGGTGCTCTCTATTTCCCCTCTCTTATTCTCTAATTTCCAGCCCAAGTCCCACTTCTTCAAAAAGCTTCCATGGGGCCAGGCACAGAGGCTCACTCCTGTAATCCCACCACTTTGGGAGGCTGAGGCGGGTGGATCACTTGAGGTCAGGAGTTTGAGACCAGCCTGGCCAACATGGTAAAACCCCATCTCTACTAAAAATACAAAAAAAGTAGCCGGGCGTGGTGGTGGGCACCTGTAATCCCAGCTACTCAGGAGACTGAGGCAGAGGACTCGCTTGAACCCGGGAGGCGGAGGTTACAGTGAGCCGAGATCGCGCCATTGCACTCCAGCCTGGGCAACAAGAATGAAACTCCGTCTCAAAATAAAAATACAAAAATTAGCCGGACGTGGTGGTGCATGCCTGTAGTCCCAGCTAAGCTACTTGGGAGACTGAGGCAGGAGAATTGCTTGAACCTGGGAGGCTGAGGTTGCAGTGAGCCAAGACTCAGTCTCAGAAAAGAAAAAGCTTCCATGGATTGCTGTCAGCCTACTGTGGCGTCACAGTAACATAGCCGACATCTCCAAAGCACATACTTAACTTTCACGTTCATTACGGCATTTCATCTTCATCGTAACCCTGTGAGGTAGGTGTTATTGGTCCGATTTACAGGTGGAACATGAGGTACTCAGGCCCTGTTGGGCATGAACCCAGAACCCTTTAATTTCAGATTCTGGGCTCATTTCTGGACCCCACGCTGCCTCCTCAGGGCTTTTCACAACACTCAATTTTCTGCGCTGCTGTTGCATGCAGGCCCCATGTGGGTCCGTGTCCTCAATAAAATAGGAGATGGTGGGAAGGAGGAAAACCACCAGTCTAAAGCAGTTTAAGAGAACTGATAGTTCTCTTTTTTCTTTTTTCTTTTTTAGACAGGATCTCACTCTGTTGCTCAGGCTGGAGTGCAATAGCGCAGTCTCAGCTCACTGCAACCTCCGCCTCCTGGGTTCAAGCGATTCTCCTGCCTCAGCCTCCCGAGTAGCTGAGATTACAGGCGCCCGCCACCACGCCCGACTGCTTTTTGTATTTTTAGTAGAGATGGGGTTTCACCATGTTGGCCAGGCTGGTCTCGAACTCCTGACCTCAGGTGATCCGCCCGCCTCGGCCTCCCAAAGTGCTGGGATTACAGGTGTGAGCCACCACACCCGGCTGAGAACTGATAGTTCTAATAAAGTTCCAGCAGATGACAATTTAGGGGTGACCCTATCTCAGGTTCTAATAAGCAAAACCCAGCAGCCAAGGGCTTCTCCAGAAGCACCCAAGCTGTTGTCTATTAACCAGAGGCCATTCCCATGTTGCTTGCATGTGGGGTTTTTGCAAGCTGAAGCGTGAATGCTGAGGTTACCCAGCTCTGTCTGGGCGAGGGTGTGCTGAGCAAACTTAAGCAAATGGCTGGTTGGACCCTGCTAAGTATGGCTCAGCCTCCACGAGGGCCTGCGTGGCTGACTTGAGGAAGATTGCAGGGAAGCATGACATTGCCCCCAAAGGAGGAGTCCCGGAGGGGAGACAAAATGGAGAATTGAGAGTCTTGATGTTGAGATGCTCTGACCCCACCCCTCAGAGCTCATTGTCTCTATTTCCAGATCTCTGAATGGTGCCATGGACATCCAGGAGTTTCCAGATCTCAAAGGCACCACCAGCCTGGAGATCCTGTGAGTGGCTTCTCTCTCCCTACCTTATCTATCGCCCCAGCTTCATTCCCAAGAGCTCTTCCACTCCCTGCCCCTGGAAGGCTGTCTAGGTTCCTTGCTTCCCTTTTATCCAGCCTGTCTCTACTACTGGCTCCATCCCCTTCCTCCTGATGTGGCACTGCCCACAGGCAAGGTCAGCAGGTGGCAGATGGGATGGCAGTGAGGAGGCTGGTCTTTCTCTCTTTACCATGCTTGGAGTTTTCAGGTATTAATTTAGAGCTCCTAACCCCAAGCCACAGGTACACTGAGGGTTGAAGTGATGGAGAGGAGGGTTGTGAAAACCCGTCTTTGCCTTTCTGAAGCTTGATTCCAACAAAGACGTTCTTGTATTTTCTATTATTATCTCCTGTGGCATAGAGGGCAGGAGTGCCGACGCATAGTAGGCCCTCAATACATTTAAATGAATGAAATGAAACAATCGAGCAAACACCCAGAATGAGTGTCAGGAAGTCGGCTGCCCTGCCCCACACCACAAAGTTCATTCATGGCACCACTGGGACTGGGGCTCTCCTCTGTGCCTCCGTTGTCTCCCCGCTAGATTCACTGGCATGTGGAAAATTTTCCATGAGGGAAGTAGTTATTCCCCAAAGATGACCTTGGCCTTGGGTCCTTCCTGGGACACCCTGCCCGAAGCCAAGCCTGCTCTCCAACCTGCCCCCACAGCCCTCTCCAGCCCAGCTCCTGGTTCTTCCCTTCTATCCCATCTCTTCTCCCTCCTCCGAGGCACAGGGACCAAACTCTGTGCCTGTGTCCCATGGTCCCACTACGGTGTTTTTCTGTCTACACTTGCCCATGGACATCCCCTCCTCTAAGGTCCCTACAGCAGAGAAGATTTGTGTCCCTGTCCTACAGGCCCAGTGCTGCTTGAGACCATTATGAGACATGGGGTGGGGATGGGATGGGGATGGCTGGAGCAGAGCCCTGGGCTGTGGCCCTCTCTCTCCACTCCCCTCCCCCAGCTCCTCTAGGCCCAAGGGAGCTTGGTGCTCAGATGCCAGTGTCTGCTCGTTTTTGTCCCCACAGCCCCACCCCCTGCCCTGTCTCTCCCTCCATTTCTCTCTTTTGTTAGCTCCGTCATCCCACGACAGTATCAGGTCCAGAGCTGGAGCGGGGTGGCTGGGAATGGCAGGGCCCTGGGCCTGGTGCCAGCTCTGTCTCTGTTCTCCCTGCAGGACCCTGACCCGCGCAGGCATCCGGCTGCTCCCATCGGGGATGTGCCAACAGCTGCCCAGGCTCCGAGTCCTGTGAGTGCTCACAAGAATTCTACAGTCTTGGCATTGTGCCCCTACCCCCATGTCCCACAAAAGGCCTCTCCTGCTTCTGTCCCACTTGGTCATTTCCCTTCCTGGAGAATGGAGCAGCATAGGCTCCTGCTGAGAGCCTACCCCAGAAGGACCGGGTTTGAGGCACAGCTCTGCCACTTACTAGCTGTATTGATTTGGACTCACTCTTTAAAGTCTCTGAGCTTCGATATCCTCGTCTATAACATGGGAGTCAATTTGTAAGGGTTGGAAAAAATATGTAAAGCACCTAGTGCATAATACCAATAAATGACATAATTACTGTAATTTTACACAAGAAAATTAGTCCCCTCTTGGGATCTTGGGACTGTGGAGGTACTTAAGTGGCCTCTGAAGTCAAGGGGAGTTTTCCTCTCTCCTTGGACTCCAACTTGAATCTGAGGCTCCTCATCAGGGACCATAGCCCCTCAGCTCAAGATGGGTGGACCAACGCATAGTGTGTGGAAAGAGCCCTAGGCTGGGGGTCCGGAGACACAGGCTCCAGACTCAGCCTTGCCACTGACTGGTGGTGTGTCCTTTAGTAGGTCCTGTCCCCTCTGTGGGCCTCAGGTTTCTCATCTGCTGAGTGAAAGAGTTGGGCCAGATGATCCCTAAGGGCCTCCAGCTCTGATCTTTCCTGCCAGCTCCATAAATGGTGACTGCAGGTGCTTGGGTTGGCATTGCTCAGTGAGGTCCAATGTGTTCTCTGCTGGCTGGCTCAGTGCCCCTCTCCCTGACTCTTTGCCTGTTTCCTCTTCACCACGCCCCTCTCACTTCCTGGGTAGTCCCATCTAGGCCCAATGAGGAGTGGGACTTAGTAGGAGGAAATGCAGAGAAAGTGAATTGAGGAGACTGGTGCCCTGGTGTGAGATGCCTCAACAGCCATGTCCCTGTGGGGTCCCCACAGCCTTCAGCTAATTGACAGGAAAGCACAGTCCTGGCTAGAGCCCCCCGTCCCCGAGCAGCCCTCAGATAGCCACCATTTCACCCCAGCCCTGGCCTTTCTCTTTTCCCCAGGGAACTGTCTCACAATCAAATTGAGGAGCTGCCCAGCCTGCACAGGTGTCAGAAATTGGAGGAAATGTGAGTCTGGGGTAGGGAAGAGGCAAAAGCACGCCAGCCAGACCCTGAGCAAGTCCTGTAGGGAGGTGTGATGGGGGGCATCAGTAAGGGCCAATGCACACTTTGACATTTCTTCCTTCTCTTTTCTGAGTTTGTTTAACCCAGAGTTTAGGGCTGAGAGCTTGGCAGAGGCCTGCACAATGGCCCTAGGACTCACAGCAGAAGACCGACCCAGGAGCTGGTGCCCAAAAGGAGTCTCAAGGTGGCTCCTTATAAATCAGTAGCAACACAGAAATGCAGTAGTGATTAGAACCAGTGGAGGGACAGGGTCACATCAGGGCCCAGTGGGATGGACCGGAGAAGGCTTTAAGGAGTTGGAAGCACCCTGCATTTTGGAGCATGTTCTCTCCTTTTCCATACCTCTAAACACGCACATGCATATGTGTGTATGTGTTTGCATATTACACACAGACATACATAATCATATGTGGAAGAACAAGCCTGGGATTCAAAGGTCACAAAGAAAATATCACTTGAAAAATTCTCTAAGCTGTATTAACCCAGCTCCTGTTTTCTCAAGCCAGCATGGCCTCTTGAGCTTCCCTGTGTCTGTACCCTGCTTCTAGGCAGGACCATGCATTTTGGGGCTGGGGCAGGGTACAGATATGAGGGTCTCCTGTTTGTCTAGGTGCCAAGGGAAGGAGGGTCTTCTGCATGGCTGAGGCCCAGGGTCCATCTCCCATTCAACCAGTCTACTGAGCTCTGCTTCCCAGTTCCGGCCAGTCACTTGGGTTGGGCGGTGCTCTGCTTCTGGGCTAGGGTCTGGAGGACCCATGGTGATGGGAGGTGTGGGGGCCAGTTTGGCTGGGCTGGGAGCCAGGCCCAGTGGGAACACTGGAAGCTGACTCCCTTTTGGGCCACAGGGATGGTTTTGTGGCTTTGTCTCCTGACCCACTTACCCAAGGCAACCGGATCCCCTTGTGCTCCCTTTAATTCTGGTGACTTCCTCGGGCTGGGCCCTTTCTTCCTGTGCCAGGAGAAGTGGGGGGCTCTACTTTCTTCCTCCCAGTGCTCGGGGGGCATGGAGCGGAGCCAGGGTCTGAGCCTGCCGGCTCATCCAGCCTCTCTTGCTGCCCTAGCGGCCTCCAACACAACCGCATCTGGGAAATTGGAGCTGACACCTTCAGCCAGCTGAGCTCCCTGCAAGCCCTGTGAGTACCCACATCCAGGGGTGGGCCATGGAGGAGCCACCGTGTCCCTCTGCTAGGCATGCTCATTGTCATAGCACATGTGTACAATTTAAGCAAATGTGACATGCACATCGCCTCCCAGCTCCACAGCCCCCACCCCCAGCACACACACACACTTCTCTAGCTGGCACCCAGGAGGTCTTGAGGCTCTGGAGCCAAGCTGTCATGTCCCTGTTCCTGGGGCCACAGCCAGCTCAGGAGCTGGGCAGCAGCAGGTACCTTCCCCAAAAGGCAAAGGTTACTGTTACTGGGGGCAGGTCAGATGGGGGTATGTGAGGGGGAGCCCATGATGGGAACAGTGAGTCCTCCACATGTTACTGTCCCCTCCTGTCACACCCTCTCTGCCTGCAGGGATCTTAGCTGGAACGCCATCCGGTCCATCCACCCCGAGGCCTTCTCCACCCTGCACTCCCTGGTCAAGCTGTAAGTGCCTGCTGCATTCTCCTCCAGGATGCTGGGGGCCAGTCGGGACTATGGGCTGGCCAATGGAGGCAGAAGGGCCACCCCAGAGCAGGAACATGCATATCCCAGGGAGATGGGCCTCAGCCTAATCAATCATTCTGACAATCCGTTTGACAGAGTGTGGGGCCTGATAAACAGAGATCCTGCCTCTTGTAAGCTCTGGAACATCATCTGCTAATGTTCTGCAGTATTTTGGCAGCCTCAGCCCTCCTCATCCCCCCTGCCTCGGTCCCATCCCCATCCTCTCTATCCACCAACAAAGAGGATATATTGGGCCTGGAATCCCTTCACACATAGGAGGGTGGAAGTAGATGTGGGAGCCAGGGTCTCAGAGAGCTCAGGGGTTCCCTGCTTGAGCATTGCTGTAGAGGACTGCCATTCTGTGAGGCAGCAGGGGACCTCAGGTCCTTTAAATTACATAGGATGTAAACAGAGAGTGAGCAGTGTTGGCTACATGGTCATTATGTCAGGGCTGGAAGGGGCCTCTGCTGCAGCTGCCATGTACTGTGGGGCAGGTTATTCACTGCGCAAGCACTCCTGCCCAAGAGGGAGCTGACATCCTGCCACCTCCTTGCCAAGCTGGACTCCTAAAAGCACATCTACCTAGACTGGGCCCTTTTCTGGTTAACACAAAGACTTCTTTTGGGCTAGCTCCAGCCCTGGCCTCAGAGACCATCCAGCCCCACCCGCTTCACTTCACAGGTGAGGCCTCCAAGGCCCAGGAGGAGAAGTTTACTCAAAGCCAAGGGCCAGGACTCCCAGCAGGCACACACATTCCTCCTCAGGCTGGGGCCGTGGCTTTGCAAAACTCTCACCTCCGTCTTCCCTCTCCTGTTTGCTCTAGTCCTGCCAGATAGGTAGGGTGGATATTTTTATCCCTTTGAAAGATGAGGACACTGAAGCTCAGGCAGATTTGTGGCTCCCCTTGGTTACACAGCGAGTTGGTGACAGTGCCAGGTTTCCTGCCTTCCAGTCCAGGGCTGTTTCCACGACGCACAGTCTGTGGTCTTAGCGTTTGGTTTGGAACCCTGGGCTTCCTCTAATGCGCCTCCAGTAGAAGAAAATGCATGTCCTCGCCTCTGGCTACAAAGCAGTCCCTACAAGATGGAATGGATGACCCAATCCCTGCTTGTAGCCAGATGACCAGCTCTGTCCAGTCCCAGACTCAGCCCTCTTATATCATCAGAAAAGTAGGAGGAAAGGCAGGGGGATGGGGATAAACGACAACAGGAAGGTTCCCCAAGCGGGTGGGCAGGGCTTCCTGGATGGCACTTAGAACTGGGCACAGGAACTGTGGTTGAGGGAGCTCTGTTACCTACAAATTGGGACAGCTTGGCATTAAGTTAGAACAGTCCCTGGTATATAGTTGGCACCGTTATGTATTGAATGAATGAGCAAATAAAAGAATGAACAACCTGCAGATGGTGCCTCTAGCAACTCTTGGCTGCCCTCCTCCCTCGGCATTCAATGCTCTCTTCTAAGCTTCTCTCCTGTCCTTTGCTCCTCTCCTCTTGCTTCCATCCCAGGCACACTGGCCACATTCTCAGCACAGCCCTGCCCCCTCAGCAATCCCACTGACTGCCAATAACCCTGACCATCCACTGTCCTAGGGACCTGACAGACAACCAGCTGACCACACTGCCCCTGGCTGGACTTGGGGGCTTGATGCATCTGAAGCTCAAAGGGAACCTTGCTCTCTCCCAGGCCTTCTCCAAGGACAGTTTCCCAAAACTGAGGTGAGGGACTGGCTTTCCCCAACACCTGGGTAGGCCAGCTGGAGACCCTGGAGGGACAGAGAGAAAGCCAGATGGCCCCACCCTGAGAAGAGCCTAGAGGCTTAGGGTTTGACCAAGATTTAGTGGAAGGGCTCACCTGACCACCTACAGACCAAGAGGGGCCTGGTTCATGCCTCCCCTTCCTCCTTATCTCCTTGGTGGCATTTTCCCCTGTCCCAAGCTCCAACGCTAGTGAGCACTGGGACCTGAGAGTGATAGAAGTAAGATGATGTGAAGACCCCCTAGCCCTCCTTGCACCCCATCTGGTTCCACATGTCCAGATTATCTGTCCTCACTTGGGCAGCATCTGAGCCCCTGGAATCAGGGCAGAGCCCAGGACACTGATGGGTGGAAAACAAGCTGCGCAGCCAGGCCGTGGTGCTAATGACATCCAGGCCTCTTCCATGCAGCAGCAGTGGTGCAGCCTGCATGGCCCAAGCCTTGTCTGCTGCACACTAATGAGATGCCCTTAGGGCCTCTGCACTTACCCTCAGAGGGCACCAAATCCAGCTCCAATATGCCCAGAGGTGGGGGAGGGATAGGGTGCAGGTCTCACTGAGGGCCAGAGTGAAGAATCACCAGAAGAATCCATGTGGCCTTAAATATAAAAGAGGAGGTGTTGCCTGGGAGAAGAAGCAGAGCACTGGCAGTGCTGTGTGAGCTTGGGGAAGCCTCTGCCCGCTCTGAGCCAGCAGAGAGGACTCCTTAAACAATGGGCAGAATGTTTCTTTCCCCATCTCACTTGCCAAGATGAACAAAGAAAGACAGAAATGCCTCCAGAGCCCTTCAGATCAGGAGTCAGGCTGCAAGGCCCTTACAAAGAATGCCTAGGAGACTGCCAGCACAGTGAACAGGGAACTTGGGAGTTGAAGGACAGACACTGAGTGCCCAGCCCCTGGGTTGCAGATCTCTTAAATCAGACTTAGGTCTTAGACCCCAAAGATGCTGAGGCAGCCAATCAGCCTGCCTCTCCCCCACCAGGATCCTGGAGGTGCCTTATGCCTACCAGTGCTGTCCCTATGGGATGTGTGCCAGCTTCTTCAAGGCCTCTGGGCAGTGGGAGGCTGAAGACCTTCACCTTGATGATGAGGAGTCTTCAAAAAGGCCCCTGGGCCTCCTTGCCAGACAAGCAGAGAACCACTGTGAGTGACCAGGGGCCCTGGGTTGGGGAGGGTAGTGGGCTGTGGAGAGGAAGTTAGAGGGGATGCTTGGGGGACCTGAGAGGGAATCTGACAGCAGCTGCAGAGGGAAGCCCTACAGAGGTGGGAGGAGCTGCCTGTGACCTGGGAGGAAACTCTACCTCTGTTTGCACTTTGTCTCTCCAAGACTACACCCAGAGGTGCTTGGGACAAAGTAATGATGGTAACAATGGCTGTGGCAATGTCTCATCTGCCTAGCCCTTTGCAGTTCACAAAGTGCCTCTCACACACCATCTCACTTAACCCTCCCCTTGTGGTCCACATGTTTCTTCTCCTTCAACCTCAGGGTATTCTCAGAGAAGACAGACCCCTTATTTTATCAATCTGAGCCAATAGGATTTAATTAAATCAATTGAATTAAACCTACTTCCAGAAAAAAAGAATCCCCTCATAATATGTCCTAGAACCAAAAGGAACAGTGTAGGGTTATTGCTGTCCAAGTCCATCCTGCACCTCCAGTCTGCCCCATGAGTCTGAAAGTGAGACTTCCGTGGCCGCCAGGTGCAAGAGACCTTCACTGAGAAGGGCCATTCCAGTGCAGGCTGTCTTGGGCCATCTGTGTTTCTGGAAGAGTTAGGGTAAAAGGCACATGTTGGAGGCAGGCAGCCAAGGGGGTTCTGAGGGATCATTTACTAAGTGGTATCTTAGATACCAAGGGCAGATAAAAGGGCTTCCCTCTCCCCCTGCCCGTATTACAGAACACAAGCAGAATTAGGAGGGAGAGAGTAGGGGTCCTCTGCTTTGGGGTATTCTTTTTCCATCTCTAACTCTCCACAATATTTCAATGGAGAAAATAAACAAACGAAAAATCAAATATAAACATGTAAGAAAAACATCTCATTACAGCGTAGACAAAACTGAGGTCCAATCCCAACTACAACATTCACCAGTTGGATTGCATTGGACCAGTCATGTAACCATACTGAGCCTCACTTTCCTTATCTTTAAATGAGAAAGATAATTGGCTGGGCGCGGTGGCTCAAGCCTATAATTCCAGCACTTTGGGAGGCCAAGGCGGGTGGATCACTTTAGGTCAGGAGTTCGAGACCAGCCTGGCCAACATGGTGAAACCCCTTCTCTACCAAAAATACAAAAATTAGCCAGTCATGGTGGCATGCGCCTGTAGTCCCAGCTACTTGGGAGGCTGAGACAGGAGAATGGCTTAAGCCCAGGAGGCGGAGGTTATAGTGAGCTGAGATCGCACCACTGCAAACTCCAGCCTGGGTGACAGAGTGAGATTCTGTCTCAAAAAACTAAATAAATAAATAAGTAAATGAGAAAGATAATGGATAGCTCATAGGCTGTTGGGGAAGACTAAAAGATTCCATAAATGATGAAGTATGCTCATCGCTACTACTGAGGACTGGTGCCTTCTGGTGTACATGTATAGGGAGAGTGCAACTGTGGAGTCCGGGGCACAGTGTATGGAGGGCAAATGGTGGGCAGGCAACCTGGGGGTCTCTGAGAGCCTTCTTCCCAATGTATTAACACACCTCCCTAGGGAGGGTATGAGGACCCGATGAGGAGCAGCCCAGCAGCCTGGCTGGCTCTGGGCCAGCAGACAGCTGTCCCCGGGGGACATTCCCGGATGTCTGCTGTACACTCCCTCAGGGGGCTGGAAGGAAGAATGGAAACTTTCCTTCCTCAAGGTGAAACTTTCCACCGAGCTTAGGTCTTGGAGAACCACAGGGCGTCAAGATCGTGGGCTGCCTGCCGCCTGTAACGGGAGCTAGGGCAGGGCCCCCCACTTCCTGTGGGAGCTAATGAGCCTCGAGAAGGAAAGCCAGGAGCTGCTGCTCCAGCCAGATTCGATTTCCTCCTCGTTTGAAGAGTGGTTACTTAACACCTTGGCTGTGATTTTCCCAGCCTCAGACAGAGTCCACGGGTTTCACCCCTTGTGTTTCATTCATGCATTTTGATTTCAAAGAATTGCTGAACTTCTTTCTGGAGAGCAGGGGTGGGCAGGGAGTGAAAGGTAGAGAGGAGGAAATGCCAGGACTCTGTGGGCACGACTCAGCCTCCGACCTGCCCTGATGGTGTCTGGGCCAGGAGCAGCTTCACAGTCTTCCTGCCTCCTGGGAAAGCTCCCAACTGATGGTGTTTACCCTTTAAGTGAGGAGGAAGGATCCACACAGGAAACAGACTTTGTGAACCAAAGATGGAACAAGTGCAACAAACAGAGTCACCTATCCATTGCCCTGTATGATGGAGGAAGAGCCCACAGGATGCTGTCTCTTAAACCTGAAGATTGTACAGTTACCTTTTGAAGACAAGCCATTCTTTCCCCAACTTGGGTCTTCAGACACATTTCCAGTCTGACCTGAGAAACTTGTCTTATTCTTTAAAAAGCCTTTCAGTGATGGATTATCACTGCAAAAAATGTTTTGTCTTTATAGATTATAAAATGTTCTAGATTCTCATTTCAAAATTCGTATAGAATTTGTGGACCTCCAGCATGTCTGCAACCCCCTAGAGTTCACAGGCCCTAGTTTGAGAAACACTGCAAAAGTGAATAAGAAAAAAAAAGTGTAAGGCCGGGCACGGTGGCTCACGCCTGTAATCCCAGCACTTTGGGAGGCCGAGGCAGGCGGATCACAAGGTCAGGAGATCCAGACCATCCTGGCTAACACCATGAAACCCCATCTCTAAAAAAATACAAAAAATTAGCCAGGCGTGGTGGCGGGCGCCTGTAGTCCCAGCTGCTCAGGAGGCTGAGGCAGGAGAATGGCGTGAACCCAGGAGGCAGAGCTTGCAGTGAGCCGAGATCATGCCACTGCACTCCAGCCTGGGCAACAGAGCGAGACTCCATCTCAAAAAAAAAAAAAAAGTGTAAAGCCTGGACTTAGAATTGAAAAGAACATTAAAGATGATCTAGTCCAGCCTCTGACTCAGGTAGAAGTGCTTTCTCTCCCATTGGGGACTTTCTGTTTAGTATCATCAGTGACAAATTATGTTCAGCTCATGCATCTGTAAATCTCCTGAACCCTCCCCACCCCCTGACCCCCCAAAGTAATCAGTCCCTTGCCTGGGAAAGCATGATGGTTAAACATCTGGGCTCTGTAGTCAGACAAACCTGCATCTGAATTCTAGTCTATTGCTGTGAGGCTGCAGGCAAGCCACTTAACTTCAATGAGCCTCAGTCTCCTTATCTGTCACCTGCCTCACATGGATGTTGTGAAGGTTAATGGGACCATGAAGATGAGGACTGACTGGGCACAGTACCTGGTGCCGAATAAGAACTCAAGAAATGTTAACCCTTATTGTTCAGTGAATCTATTAGCTGAAAATTTTTTTCTAATTGATACATAATAAATGTATGTATGGGGGGCACATGTGATTATTTAATACATTCATATAATGTATATAAAGATCAAATCAGAGTAATCGGGATATCCTTTGCCTTAAAAATTTGTCTTTTCTTTATGCTAGGAACATTCAAATTATTCCCTTCTAGCTAGTAAATAAATCTGTTAGTTGATGGCACTCATTGTAGCATGACAATTTGTTTCCTTATTAGTCTCCACAAGCTCTTTGAGAGCAGGTCCATCTCTTATTCATCCCTGAAATTCTTCTGCATTTGCCCAGTGCCAGAATTGCACTCAGCAGATGTGGACCTACTCTGCACCTGTTGAAGGTGGGGTGTTCCTTTGCTGGACAGCTCTAATTGTGGGAACTTACTCTTGTTAGGAAGTAGTAGAGTGTCTCCATTCGAATCATAATTTGCCTCGTTCTACAGTCCATCCATTGATCCTGGTTCTACCCTCTGGGGCAAAACAGCATGTAGAAGTCAAATTCCTTTACCCCTAACAGTCCTTCAGCCCTTTGAGGACGGCCATGATACCCCCACTTACTCTTACCTCCTCCAAGTTAAACACCGCCCAGTTGCTTTGACTGTTTCTCTCACAAATGGCTTCTGCTCTCCCACCCCCTAGTTCACTCGTTCACGTCTAAACACACTGCAGCTCACTGATGTTTTTCTTAATGTGTAGTTTTCACAACTGGACACAAAATTACAGTGACAGCCCAGCCAGAGTAGAGAATGTGTGATCACTAGCATACATTATTGAAACAGCTTCCACTCCAACTCGAAGCAGCACTTGTGGGTAAGGCTGACTGGAGAGGACATAGAGCCCTGACTAATAGAAAGAGAAGGTCTAGGTGAAATGTTTGCTGTGCACTCTTCAGTGCAGATAATCCACATGTGGATAATAGGAAGCTGACCAAATCTTTACCCCCAAGGGTAGAAATGGATGTGCCGGGTTGCTAGAATGAACAGTGCTGAGCAGAGTTAGTAAGGGACATCTTAAAGGAGGGGGCATTTGGAGAAAGGTAGGGCTTGACTGACACCAAGACCCAGGACCCTGCATCACTTTGTCTCTCCTTTCAGATGACCAGGACCTGGATGAGCTCCAGCTGGAGATGGAGGACTCAAAGCCACACCCCAGTGTCCAGTGTAGCCCTACTCCAGGTGAGGTGGTGTCTGGGGAATGGGGACGAGGGGGAATGGAGAAAGGGCACCCAACCACCTAGTTGAGGTATTAGTTCAGCCTGGCATGTCTGCAGCCACATTCTTTGCCTGACTCCCAGCCTGCTGCAAGAGGGCCCTCCTTTCGTAATTCCTGGGGAAGGAACTGGAGTTCTTTCCCTTGGGTGGCTGCTTGAGGGGAGTAGCATGAATGGAGGCGAAGTCAAGCAATCAGCCAATTAGCATTTATGCATCCAGGATAAAACTACTGTTACACAGGAGAGAAGCAGGAAAGAATGCCTTGACCCCATTGCTCAGGGTGGCACGTGGGACTGCTTTTGAGTAATCCCTCAGTCTAAGACCCATACCACAGAATCCTAGAGCCAGGTGGGACTCCAACAGGTCACCTTCTCCATCCCTCCCTGCTCCATCCCAGGAAGATTACAGTCTCTGTTAAAACTCTGCACAGTGGAAAAACTCCATAGTATCCCTGGGTAAGTCCTTACAGCACCATCTAACGCTTATAGTTGCGGAAGCCTCCTTTAGCATCTAACCTAAATCCATCCTGCTATAAAGAAAGCAAAAAAGAAAATTCTCTTTCTCTTTGGTGCAATTCAACTTGAGACATTTAGAGTGAGGAAGTCCCTTCGCTTGCATATAAAATGCTAACAGGCCACAGAAGGTGGCAAGCAGCATGCTACTTAGGCAAGGATGGGATTCTTCAGAATGAACAGAAGTGATGAACAGTTTGCTTCTTCTATTTCGTTCCACCTCCGTTTTCCAGTTTTCCAGCTTTCTCTGGCCCAGGACCCTTGCCTTCTCCCTTTACCCTCTCTAAAGCCTATAGAGTGATTGCCTGGCCTTGCCCAGCCCGAGTTTTCAGTGCTTGGTGACAACAGCACGCCCTCTAGTGCCAGCTTGGGGCCAGAGCACTAACCCAACCTGGAGGAAGCAGGTGCTGCTTCTGACTTGGAAAAACACACATGCTGCATTCACAATGCCATGGAAATTTCACCTCTGAAAACCAGTAATCAGCAGGGATGAGGTAAAAGAGGAAGTTCCAAAAGACAAAGTCCAACTCGAGCTTGCTTCTAAAATAACTCACACCAAATGGTCAAATAATTATGGTACATTTTATGGTACATAAAATATGTTTTGAGTAATATAAAAATATTTCTCTGGGAAAAAATTTGGGAAAGTCTGCTTGATAAAAATGTGACTTAAAGAGAACGAGAAACGCATATACAGTTGTCTTAGTCCGCTTCGTGTTGCTATAACAGAATACCTAAGGCTAGGTAATTTATAAAGGAAAGAGTTTTGTTTGACTCACAATTCTGGTGGCTGGGAGGTTCAAGATTGGACAGCTGCATGTGATGAGGGCCTCAGGCTGCTTCAACTTGTGATGGAAAGCAGAAGGGGAGTGGGTATGTGCAAATAGATCACAGGGTGAAAGAGAAGCCAGACTCCCTTTAACAACCCACTCCTAGGGAACTAATCCATTCCCTGGATTGATTGAGAACTCACTCACCCTCACAGAAGGACATTAATCTGTTCCTGAGGGATCTGTCCCCATGACCCAGACACCTCCCACTAGGCCCCACCTCCAACATTCCCACATTGGGGGATTCCATTTCAGCATGAGTTTTGGTGCAGACAAACCATATCCAAATGATAACAACAGTAAAATCTTAATTTAGCTTGAAAACCTATATGTATGTATGTATTTTTTAAAGACTGGACGGAAGCATACCAAAATAATGAGTTATCTCTGAGAGGTGAAGTCTCATGTCATTTTAATGTTTTCATGTTATATTTTCAAATTTTCTACAGTTATCACCTATTATATTTGGTAATAAGAAAGAAAAGGTTTAAAAATAGCTCCCACAAAAGCCTCTCAAATTCCCAAGCTACCAAGAAACACATTGAAGAACAAGAGTGGAAAGCCAAAGAAAATGAAGAAATAATATTTCCAAAGTTACAAGGTGATTTAGGAACAGACTTTGGAGAGAGGGATGGAAAACACCAGGATCTCACGCATCTCGTGTGGACCTAGGTTGGAAAACCCCAGAAGTCATCTGTATTTTGATTTACTGTACTTGAGGCAATTTACCTCCGAAATACTGATTGACTGACAAGTATTCAATGTGGTCTGTACCCCTCTCACAGAGCAAGGGAGAGCCAGCCTGGTATAATATTTGGTCAGGACTCTCCCACAGTGGAGGACTTAGTGGATCACTGGGGACTGACTGAGAGAAACAGAGCCTCAGGCATAGACTGGTTACTGTCTGGGCAGTCCCTCATGCCTCTGTCCCTACCCACCATAGCTCCCAATTCTGATACCCTCTCCACTCCTTGATGGCAGCCTGTCCTTCCTTTCTTTCCAGTGCTGTCCTTCACTTAACATTTCCTCAATATCTGGGTTTGTACTGTATTAATTTGTACCATGTGTGTGTTTTTTTGTTTTTTTTTTGTTTTTTTGGGGAGAGAGAGAGTCTTGCTCTGTTGCCCAGGCTGGAGTGCAGTAGAGCAATCTTAGCTCACTGCAACCTCCGTCCCCCGGGTTCAAGTGATTCTTCTGCCTCAGCCTCCCAAGTAGTTGGGACTACATGTGCGTGCCACCACACCCAGCTAATTTTTTGTATTTGTAGTAGAGATGGGGTTTTGCTTTGTTGGCCAGGCTGGTCTCAAACTCCTGACCTCAGACAATCCATCCGCCTCAGCCTCCGGAAGTGCTGGAATTATAGTCGTGAGCCACCATGCCTGGCCTATATGCGTTCTATGTTCTGGTGTATTGAGAGGAGGGTTAGGGTTCACCCCACTTGCAGCTCTTCGGAAGAAGAGTCGTGTATGTCCCACAGCTGGGAGTTCTCTAAGGTGAGAGAACCTCCAACTTGGAGTTCTCTGGGGCCAGAAACAGGGTCAGCCTCCCTTAGACTGGGAGTTTTCCGAGGGCAAGGGCCATGTTCATCTCCTTTTGATTGGAAATTCTCTGAATACAGAGGCTGACCTTGGTCCTGAAGACCTGGTCCCACCATCCTCTGGCCCAGGGTTAATGTCTGATCTCTCCTACAGGCCCCTTCAAGCCCTGTGAGTACCTCTTTGAAAGCTGGGGCATCCGCCTGGCCGTGTGGGCCATCGTGTTGCTCTCCGTGCTCTGCAATGGACTGGTGCTGCTGACCGTGTTCGCTGGCGGGCCTGTCCCCCTGCCCCCGGTCAAGTTTGTGGTAGGTGCGATTGCAGGCGCCAACACCTTGACTGGCATTTCCTGTGGCCTTCTAGCCTCAGTCGATGCCCTGACCTTTGGTCAGTTCTCTGAGTACGGAGCCCGCTGGGAGACGGGGCTAGGCTGCCGGGCCACTGGCTTCCTGGCAGTACTTGGGTCGGAGGCATCGGTGCTGCTGCTCACTCTGGCCGCAGTGCAGTGCAGCGTCTCCGTCTCCTGTGTCCGGGCCTATGGGAAGTCCCCCTCCCTGGGCAGCGTTCGAGCAGGGGTCCTAGGCTGCCTGGCACTGGCAGGGCTGGCCGCCGCGCTGCCCCTGGCCTCAGTGGGAGAATACGGGGCCTCCCCACTCTGCCTGCCCTACGCGCCACCTGAGGGTCAGCCAGCAGCCCTGGGCTTCACCGTGGCCCTGGTGATGATGAACTCCTTCTGTTTCCTGGTCGTGGCCGGTGCCTACATCAAACTGTACTGTGACCTGCCGCGGGGCGACTTTGAGGCCGTGTGGGACTGCGCCATGGTGAGGCACGTGGCCTGGCTCATCTTCGCAGACGGGCTCCTCTACTGTCCCGTGGCCTTCCTCAGCTTTGCCTCCATGCTGGGCCTCTTCCCTGTCACGCCCGAGGCCGTCAAGTCTGTCCTGCTGGTGGTGCTGCCCCTGCCTGCCTGCCTCAACCCACTGCTGTACCTGCTCTTCAACCCCCACTTCCGGGATGACCTTCGGCGGCTTCGGCCCCGCGCAGGGGACTCAGGGCCCCTAGCCTATGCTGCGGCCGGGGAGCTGGAGAAGAGCTCCTGTGATTCTACCCAGGCCCTGGTAGCCTTCTCTGATGTGGATCTCATTCTGGAAGCTTCTGAAGCTGGGCGGCCCCCTGGGCTGGAGACCTATGGCTTCCCCTCAGTGACCCTCATCTCCTGTCAGCAGCCAGGGGCCCCCAGGCTGGAGGGCAGCCATTGTGTAGAGCCAGAGGGGAACCACTTTGGGAACCCCCAACCCTCCATGGATGGAGAACTGCTGCTGAGGGCAGAGGGATCTACGCCAGCAGGTGGAGGCTTGTCAGGGGGTGGCGGCTTTCAGCCCTCTGGCTTGGCCTTTGCTTCACACGTGTAAATATCCCTCCCCATTCTTCTCTTCCCCTCTCTTCCCTTTCCTCTCTCCCCCTCGGTGAATGATGGCTGCTTCTAAAACAAATACAACCAAAACTCAGCAGTGTGATCTATAGCAGGATGGCCCAGTCCCTGGCTCCACTGATCACCTCTCTCCTGTGACCATCACCAACGGGTGCCTCTTGGCCTGGCTTTCCCTTGGCCTTCCTCAGCTTCACCTTGATACTGGGCCTCTTCCTTGTCATGTCTGAAGCTGTGGACCAGAGACCTGGACTTTTGTCTGCTTAAGGGAAATGAGGGAAGTAAAGACAGTGAAGGGGTGGAGGGTTGATCAGGGCACAGTGGACAGGGAGACCTCACAGAGAAAGGCCTGGAAGGTGATTTCCCGTGTGACTCATGGATAGGATACAAAATGTGTTCCATGTACCATTAATCTTGACATATGCCATGCATAAAGACTTCCTATTAAAATAAGCTTTGGAAGAGATTACACATGATGTCTTTTTCTTAGAGATTCACAGTGCATGTTAGTGTAATAAAGAGATAAGTCCTACAGTAGTAAAATCTATTGAACTTTGTTTACCCAGTTCCCTGAATTATTTGGTAACAGGTTTTTGTCTGCTTATTTGGTTTTCCTGGAATATCTATTAACATGACAGAACTTAGCACTGTTCTCTCCCAGGGAGCTCATCTCTGTACCACCTAGTGCTACCGAGTGACATCACAAAATGCCACCACTTCCTGAAAGCCCCGATCCTAGAATGAACTGCCAGAGGTAATTGATGACTCCATCCACCAGTAGAGACACTCAGCACTTTACCTCCCACCTCTCTTATCCTATGCTGGGAAGGATGAGGAGAAGCCTGCCGTTGTGGTTCCAGACTCAGACCCCTGAGTTGGGGCAGGGAGAAAGGGATCCCTGTGTGTTCTCTCACCACCCTGCCATCAACCCCAGCAAGCCCAAGCACCAGTGAAAGTTTGTCTGCTGCAAGAGGGATAGTAGGGTTCCTGGGTCCTGGCAGGGCTGTCTGGATTCCCTCTGGCTCTTTGTTGCCTTCTTATGCTTCTCCACCAGATGCCCCTGCCACCTCCTGTCACAAGCCAGGTCCTGCCTACTCTTTGGGACAAGGAGGCCTTAGCCAGAAAACAGGAGAGATTTGAATTGTAGATATTGCATTTTAGGAAATTGTAGTTTTCTGGGACCCTGGGTGTCTCAGATAGGCCGCTGACCCTTCTGCCTCTCCCCTCATGACCTTTCTACCTGTGGTTTACCACGTGTCTCTGAGCATTTCCAGAATGCCCCCCTCACCCAGCCCCAAACACACACATATTCAATCTGAGAGTGAGGCGGTAAGAGCTGGGGCATCCTTCCAGACATTAAAGGTAATTCTTGGAGACATAAAAAGAGAATCCAAGACTCAGCAAAGGGCAAGACTTGCTCTAGAGTACCCCAACATCAGTCACATCTACAAGACAGGAGTCTAGAATTCTGAGACCAGATGGAAAACAATCTTCTTCCTGAATTCTGGCAGGTCCTCAGCCAGGCCCTATCCCCAGGGGCTCCACTATTAAAACAACAAACCTGAGGAAAACCCTTCTTCTAATTTTGTAGTTCAAGTTTCTGCAGCTTAGCTTCTCTGCTATCTCCCTGCTGTCCCCAATGCCTAGTGGAAATTCTGACACAGGACAAAAAGGCTGCCTAGGCTGAGGTAGGTAGGGTAGCTCCATGGGTGAAACTTGCTACATTTCTAAATCTTATCTGACTAATTGCCTGGTCTCTTATAGGCTCTGAAGCAGAATGCGCTGACCTTGTAATCCCAGAAGAATCTTAGGGTCCTACCATGAGGCCAGCCTCGCTGTAGGTACTCGCTAATGATGGCAGGTGTATTTATCAGTTGTTTATTTGAGAACCCTGCTCTCCCAATTTCCCCAGGGCTGATCAAGAGCCCTTAAAGGAAGGAGTTTGCTCTACTTTGGATACTGAGAATTGGTGACTCTTATCAGGGAAAGGAGTTCTTTGCTTCAGGGATGACAAAACTTGTACAATTTTTGGGAGCCTTGACTTGTAAAAAGTCACCCCAGATCCCTTCTCACTTCTTGCCCACGCCATGTGATCATTGTTCCCCTTGGAGTTAGGGAGTCTGTGTTGAGGTGGAGCACAGTGACCATGTGTTAGAGGTTTAGGAGTTACAGGAACTGCTCCCTACAGGTGGCCTCTTCTATGAAAAGGGGACCGATGATTTTTGGCTGCAAGCTGAAGGGTAGCACCACTGTCACCTTATCACCTGCTTCTAAAGATCCAGACGTCTGCTGGCCAGAGGAGCATCTGCTGAACCTTCTCATTAGAGGAAAGGTGTGGAGGAAGGGAGTGGAGGTGTTTGCCATGAACTATTTTCATTATTCAGAAAGTCTGGTCGATGTACACTTACCCGAAATAAAGCTGAGCAGTACAGTTTCTTTGTTTTTTGATTTTGACTGAATTTCTAGCAAGTCAGTATGTTATTTTGACTGAATTTCTAGCAAGTCAGTATGTTATTCCTTTGGTTATCTTCATTATGATCCACAGAAGATTATGTATGTCTTTGATCACAAAATCAAAAAACAAATTATTCATTGCATGCAAATGCATTTTGTTGGGTTGGCAAAATCTTCCAGAATGGTATCCATGGGGAAGAATCTGTCCAAGAGGGCTGTAGTGGTGGCAACGCTGAGAACTGCTGACTGGGTGTGTGTTGCCCTGTGCTCTGTGTGCAGTGCATTGGCAACTGGTGCCAACCACAATCTCATCTCAGACCGATTTGTGGAAGAGAACCTCTTATGGCAGAAATGGTTTTTATAAGCAACTTTGAACATACCAATGGTGAAATCCAAAAAACGCAGAGCTGAGATTTGAAGACTATGGATGAACAGAGCCCCTAGCTGGGACTTCTCCTTGCTTTCCTCTCTCCTCCTCTAGCCTCCAATATCTTTCTAGTTTCCCTTTCCAGGAAGAATAAAAGGTCTAAAGAGTAGGGGAAAGGAAAAAGGAAGAGCTGACAATAAATAGGCCTGAGTGACAATAACGGGAAGTTGCTAGAATGCTTTTTTGTTTGTTCTTCTATGTTTTCTTTAAATTTTTTTACCTTTTTTAAGCATTTTTATTTATTTTTTATTTTTTTATTTCTTATTTCATAAACCAACATCAGAACTACAGTAGCTAGAACCCTTGATCCCGTCTGGTACCATCTAACTACCTCTGCTCTGCTTTATAGCAAGCTCTCCCAACCCCCACCCACCCACCACCCACCACCCCCCACCTCGCACCCCGCCCCCCACATCACTTCTGGGTTTCAGTTCCATGCTCTCTCCAGTTGCTTGAAGTATAAGGATTGTCAAGATGTAAATATTTGGATTCTTCTGTATAATAAAGCACAAGTGAAGTACGATGTGTGTCCCTCAACTCCTTTCTGCTGCCTCTGGTGGAGCCATGGAAGTGGCCAGAGGTATTTGAGAGAGGAGTGATCAGTGGCAAGGCTCTTCCTTAACCTGTCTTCTGAGTTCTGGGGCACCTAGGGCACAGCCAAGGAGGCTCAGAGTTGAAGTTTGGAGGCATCAGAATCCATTCCACTCACCTATATCAAAGTGCCCTTTGTGTGCTTGCCAGTGGATTAGACATAGAAAAATCTAAAGAAAGCAGTGGGCTGGGCGCGGTGGCTCACGCCTGTAATCCCAGCACTTTGGGAGGCCGAGGCGGGCGGATCACGAGGTCAGGAGATCGAGACCATCCTGGCTAACACGGTGAAACCCTGTCTCTACTAAAAATATTAAAAAAAATTAGCCAGGCATCGTGGCAGGCACCTGTAGTCCTGGCTACTCGGGAGGCTGAGGCAGGAGAATGGCGTGAGCCTGGGAGGTGGAGCTTGCAGTGAGCCGAGATTGCGCCACTGCACCCCAGCCTGGGCAACAGAGCGAGACTCTGTCTCAAAAAAATAAATTTAAAAAAATAAAAATAAAATAAAAATAAAAATAAATAAAGCAGTGAGCAGGTTGGGCCTTCATTATTCAGACCCTGAACACCTTCTCAGACCCAACCCTTAATGCTGGGGTTTCCTGATAATGTGAACCCCAAAGAATCAGCTTGCTTTCCTGGCCTTGAGTGCACTCTCTCACTCACTCTCTGCCTTGGGAATCTTTACCCCCCTGTCCCTGGCCCAGCCTTGCTTCAGAGTGGGATGATGCCCTCAAGACAACCAGGTAGCCCCTTCTCAGGGGAGGGAAGATGGAGTTCAACAAAACTTGCAATCATGGGGCCAAGGTGCTAGCCCCAGAATGGTATTAGGGCTTTACTGATCTAATGCCTGACTCCCTTCTGAGTGGAAAACTGGTGCCTTCATGAGTACCTGCCCTCCACTCTTGAAAACAGAGTATTTCAAACCCTCCATCTTTCTGGCTCAACTACAGGGAAGACCATTTCTTCAGCTGTTCTTCTTAGACTGGATTAAGAGACAGAAACTCAGGAGTTAACTCAAGTAAGTACGTGTTTCTTGAGAGGATCCATGTGAAGCAATAAGAGAGGCAGAATCTCAGCAAATAGATCCAAGGCCAAAAAGAACAGTAAGACTGGGCCTTGTGGTACCTGAAACTAGAGGCCATTCTGAATTTAGTCTGTGATTATTCCCTGTGGTGCCCACAATTAGCCGGTTCAGCTGCTCTCTGGAGGCCTGTTTTTATAGCTATCTGCTTCTCAACCACAATCAGCTGCTCCCACCCACCCCTTTTGTTTAAAAAGCTTTTCATAAATTTAATCTTTGAATAATACATTCACGTGGTTCAAATAACACGTTCTTAACAAGCTTCCCTCCCATCTCTGTCCCTACTGGCTCGCTTCCCAAGCCCTCATTGGTTACCACTGTTATTAGTTTCTTATATATCCTCCCAGAGTTTTGAAAATATATATACCAGCAAGATGCATATATATGCTTATTTTTCCTTTTTACCCAAAGTAGCACACCACAGTTCTGCTTCTGCTTTTTTAACCTGTAATATAGCTCAAAGACGTTTCCACATCAGTAAAGAAAGCATTCTAACATTTTTGAAGCAGGTTATATAGCCCATTATGTAGATGTATCATGATTTCATCTTATTCCCCTTCTGATGGACATTTGGGTTGCTTACTCTTTTGCTCTTATAAACAATACTTTAAAAAGTAACCTTGCATGAATGCAATTCAGCACCTGTGTAAGTAAATATATCTGTAAGATAAATTCCTAGAAGTGGAATTGCTGGGTCAAAAGAATAATTTTTCAGAGGATACATGTGAAGCAATAAGGGAGGCAGAATAATTCTTTTGGCCTAGCAATGGGGTAAAGAAAAGGTATGATTATTTATTGCATAAATGAATTGTTTCCTTTGGCTCATAGCCTGTGTTTATGGGTAACTTCTGCTTATGTGTACCTCACTATGATCCCTGTCCTTCCTCAAGGTCTCTGGATGCATCCTTTCAGCTTTCAGTTCCTGGGGTAATTTCCTTGTTGCTTTCCTTTTTAAGTTTCCAAGGGTAATATCCTGAAAGATTGAGAAAGAACCGAACTAGCCAAATTTCCTTTTCTACGATAGGCCAAATCATAGGTTAATGGCCAACAGGTGGGTTGATCACTCTTAGGCCAGGAACCTGTCCTGGTTCACTAAATTGTAGTGTGTGAATGGGTATGTTTGTGTGGGGTTATATTGGACAAAACATAACTGCTCAGGGCTTCCCTTGTGCAAGGGCTGTGGGCAGGGCTACTTTTCTCAGAATGGATAGTAGGCACAGCAGGAAAGTTCCATGAGAGCAGAGATCATGCTGGTCTCATTCACTGTTGTAACCTCAATCCTTTTCATGAGGTCTAGCACAAAAAAAAAAAGGTGCTCAATTAATTTCTTTTGAAAAAAGTATTAAGAAATTAATAGGCCGGGCATGGTGGCTCACGCCAGTAATCCCAGCAGTTTGGAAGGCCAAGGTGGGCAGATTGCTTGAGCTTGGGAATTCAAGACCAGCCTGGGCAACATGGTGAAACCGCATTTCTTAAAAAAAAAAAATACAAAAATTAGCTGGGCATGGTGGCGTGCACCTGTAGTCTCAGCTACTGAGGAGGCTGAAGTGGGAGGCCTGGGAGGTTGCAGTAAGCCGAGATCATGCCACTGCACTCCAGCCTGGGCAAGAGCCAGACCCTGTCTCAAAAAAAAAAAAAAAAAAAAAAAACAGAAAAAAGAAAAGAAATTAATATATCCAAGTACATCCATTAGGATTCTGTTTTTCAACCCAAAGGGGCCATCTGGCCAGAAGATGTATAACGCAGAATGGGCAGATATTTATTTATTTATTTATTTATTTATTATTATTATTATTTTTTGAGACGGAGTCTCGCTGTCTCCCAGGCTGGAGTGCAGTGGCGCGATCTCGGCTCACTGCAAGCTCCACCCCCTGGGTTCACGCCTTTCTCCTGCCTCAGCCTCCAGAGTAGCTGGGACTACAGGTGCCCGCCACCACGCCCGGCTAATTTTTTTTTGTATTTTTAGCAGAGACGGGGTTGCACTGTGTTCGCCAGGATAGTCTCGATCTCCTGACCTCGTGATCCGAGAATGGGCAGATATTTATATGGTGAGATTTGAAGGCTACCAAGTTCCCGGAGCCTCTACTTTATAACAGCTTCTTCCCTGGCTACCACAGAGGTTGAAATGCCACCATCATTGTTCCTTATTCCTTCAGGTTAGGAATAGCCCATAGCCCTTTGCCCAGGGTATCTGTTCCTTTAGAAGAAAGGAAGTGGCCACTTCCTTTCTTCTGGTAACATCAATTTGACCTTCTTCAGGCAACTACCTCCACTGCTCTCTACTGCATACCTTTCAGGTGGGGTTGACTCAAGGCCAGGTTCCAGAGGTGGGAATATAACCCAGACCCTATCAGCTTATTCTAATCCCTGGCCATAGTGATTGGTCCAAGGATGGGCTTACATCTCAAATCCTTCTAATGAGACCCAACTTGAGAACTTTGCTGGTGCTGATAGGAAAGAAGTACTCTTTCACTGGAGTTGCTGGACTGGTAGGAAGAAAGCTGCTGGTGTCTATCTTGCCACTTGGAGTGAAATGAATCCTGATGGCATTATTTGAGCATCTGTACCTAGCCATGCCTGAAAGCACATTTGGGCTTCTCAGATTGTGAACCAATACCTTTTGTTTGCTCAAGTGAGATTGTTAGATTTCTGTCACCCTCATGGAAAAGAAGCCAGATAGGCTTCTCCCTCTGCATTGCTCTCTACCTACGGCCCAGGAGTAAACCCACTGACCTCTTTTCAACTATAGTGTGGAAGAGGGCAGTTACTGAATGAAATTAAAAAAAAAAAGTAAGACAAGGTCTTGCTTTGTTGCCCAAGATGGAGTGCAGTGGCACAATCATGGCTCCCTGCAGCCTTGACCCCCCGGGCTCAAGCAATCCTCCCACCTCAGCCTCTTGAGTAGCTGGGACTACAGGCATACACCATGAAACTCAGCTAATTTTTTAATTTTTAGTAGAGACGGGGGTCTCACGATGTTACCTAGGCTGCTCTCAAACTCCTGAACGCAAGCAATCCTTCCGTTTCGGCCTCCTGGAGTCCTGGGATTACAGACAAGAGCCACCATGCATGGCCTGAATAGGAATTTCAATGAGCAAAAGTATGTGATAAGACAGAAGTACTGTCAGGATGAGTTAACAGGTAGAGACTGTGGGCCTGGGTGGAAGATCCTTAGCAGGTTAGCAGGGAACCTACGGCAAGAGAATGCTGAAGAAGTAAAGATAATGAAAAGGGAAGATGAGAAGGAACAGACCAACCTAATTTACTTCATCACTAAACCGGAGATCCACAGGCTCTCCCCTGAGCCCCTGGATTACACAGGAAGTTTCGGAATTGCAGAGCTGTCGAGTGTCAGCTTTGGGAGAAATCTCAGAGAGCATTCAAGCCATGCCTGCATTTTATAGAGGAGAAAATGGAAGGGGAGAAACTTGCCCATTATCCCATAGCTACTCTGTGGAGGCAGACGTAAAATTATTAGAACAGGGCCAGGAGTGGTGGCTCACGCCTGTAATCCCAGCACTTTGGGAGGCCAAGGTGGGCGGATCACCTGAGTTCAGGCGTTCGAGACCAGCCTGTCCAACATGATGAAACCCCATCTCTACTAAAAATAGAAAAATTAGCTGGGTGTGGTGGCAGGTGCCTGTAATCCCAGCTACTCGGGAGGCTGAGGCAGGAGAATTGCTTGAACCTGGGAGGCGGAGGTTGCAGTGAGCCGAGATCACATCATTGCACTCCAGTGTGGGTGACGAGAGTGAAACGCCATCTCAAAAAAAAAAAAAAAAAAAAAGAACAGAATCCATACAGCTGACAAATATGATTCTGGAGTCATACATGCCTGGATTTGAATCCCAGACTTAGCATTAACAGCCAGTTGTCCTTAGGTTAACCTCTCTGAATCTCAGTTTCATCGTAAAATGGGGATAATCATAGTATCTAAACTCTGAAGGTTATTGAAAAAATTTAAAAAGATTTTTCATGAGGCCAGGCACGGTGGCTCATGTCTGTAATCCCAACACTTTGGGAGACCAAGGCGAGTGGATCACCTGAGGTCAGGAGTTCGAGACCAGCCTGGCCAACATAGTGAAACCCCATCTCTACTAAAAATACAAAAATTAGCCGGGTATGGTGACATGCACCTGTAATCCCAGCTACTTGGGAGGCTGAGACAGGAGAATTGCTTGAACCCAGGAGGCAGAGGTTGCAGTGAGCCAAGATCATGCCACTACACTCTAGCCTGGGTGACAGAGCAAGACTCTATCTCGAAAAAAAAGATTTTTTTTTTTCATGTGAAGGGTTTAGCTTAGCGCATGGCAATAACTCCCAGGCCTAGAGACAACGTAGAGACTAAGAACTCACCCCCTAGAAAAGTTGCCTCTGATGGAAGGTTTGAGGGGAGGAACTGTCAGAGCAGACCCTTTTTTTGAAGCACAGAGTTTCAGGGCCCTGGTTAAAGGAGGAAGACAGTGGAAGGAAGGGGACACACTCTATTGGGATGTGGGATCAGGGGAAAAGGTGAGCAAGGAAAACAAGCACATGAAAGGGAAAAACCCTGTATTGGGGTGGGAGGGCAGGTAGGATGAGCGTGACATTCTGGATAAACTGTCATCCCTGATATAAACTAAGAGATGGTGAGAGGGATGGATGCTCTCTGGGGGCCATGGCAGGAGACAGGGGTGACTTGCCAAGAAGCAAGGAAAAAGTGGAATGTGTTGTTGCTGTGTGTAGCATGTCCGTGTCCATCACCCCAACCTCTCCTGGGCTTTGCTGGCAGCCCAGTGTGGTCCAGGACTGTAAGATGTCTTGCAGCCAGCCATCCCGGGGAGCAGGTTCTGAAATCATAGCCCCACACCTCTTCCTTGTCCTTCCCTCCCTTGGGTTGCCCCAACCTAAACAAGACAACCTGGGCAGGGGGGCCACACGCTGATGGAAAAATACACACTTGGCTGGAAAAGGAGCTTTATTTGTATGTGTTGAATTCCCGCAGCAGCCGAAGGATAAATAGCTAGTTCCAGCCTCAGCTGAGTCTGCCCACAAGGTGGGTGGTAAAATCTGTTCTTATTTAGATAGCTTTTGGGGAGAGGTGGAGAGGGGGGTTGGGGGCAGCAGGAGAGGGGAACTTGGAATCTGCAATGTTTATATGATCAGTCGTGGATGTCATCTCTCTTTAATCAGGGGTTTGGAGTTGAGAAAACAGCTCAGCTTGCTTATCCTAGGAACAGAGCAGATTGGCAAGTTGGCAGTGGGCAGGGCAGCTCCTTAAGACCCACCTGTGGTTGGATCGCTGTCTTCATCCCCCCAGTGCCCTTGCTAAGCACTCAGTAAATGTCAGCACCGTGCCAGGCCCTGTATTGGATGCTTTACATGCATCATCTCATTCAATCCTCACAACAACCTCATGAGTCTTAAGCATCATCATCACTTTTACAGACGCAAAACCTGAAAAAACAGGAGGACTGAGTAGAAAGCTAAGGGCACACAACTTGCAAGCAGCACTGCCAGAGCTGAAACAGGGTCTCCTTGACCTAAGTCCATGCTTTTAGCCTTTTCCCATCCTTCCCTGAGCTGGAAATAAGGAGCTGGGCTTTTAAATCCTCAGGCATGTCACTTCTGTTCTCTAGCCCAGTCCTCGGTACTTCAGGCAGAGAAATGGTTGGATGACTTCTAATAGCTTTTGGCTCTGGTGTTTCTTGTGATTAGAGAGAAAAGTTCCTTGTAGCCACTATATCCCCAATGCTTAGAGTGAGACAATATACACATTAAAAAATGAACACATTTCCAGATAGGTACAAGTGCTATAAAGAAAATTAATTAGGGTAATAGGCTATGGACCAGAGAGTACCTGAGGATCTAGGGCTCCTTTAGATGGGATAGAAAAGGACTTTCTGAGGCAGCTACATTCAAGCTGAGACTATCCTGGGGTATGTAGGAAGCAGAGGTTATAGCATATGTGAAATCCCTGAAGTAGGGATGAGCTAGCTGTGTTCAAGAGATTGAAAGCACTGTGTGGCTGGAAGAGCGTAAGGTATAAGGGGTTGAGGGTATGCAATGAGGATGGATAGATGAGGCAAGCAGGGGCCAGATCATGCGGGGTCTTATGGGTCAGGGAAGGAGACTAGGCTTTTAATTGCAAGATGAAGCCACTTGGAGGAATGAAGCCAAATCTGACTCACATTGTCAAAGATTATTCTTGCTGCTGTGAAGAGCATGGAGTGTCAAAGGTCAAGAATGGGGAAGGAAACAAGATAGAAGGCTATGGCTAAAGTGCAGGTGAGAGATGATGGCAGCTGAACTAGTGTTTTAAGTAGAGGTAGGGAAAAGTAGCTGGTAGAGCTGACTAGACATGGTGATAGAAGTGTAAGGGGTTTTGTCCTATAGGAGGTGCTCTTTTCCTACAACTACTCCCTAAGTCCATCTCTCACTTCATATCTGGGTTTAGCCCAGAGCAATCAGCACATGGCATTTCCCTGGCCACAGTGACTGCTTTCAGGGCAGTCCACAGGGACTTTTGTTTCATGGAAAGTAGAGCCTCCCGGCCTGGCTGGATAGAAAGTACATAACCCCAACTGCTGCTGGTAGTCATCCTAGGAGGGGAAGAAACTTAAGGAAGAAACAGCCTAAGAGAAAGCTGATACTATGGATGGCAGATGGAGAGACCAAGATCTTGATGATATTGTTGAGCCTTTGAATTTACCAACCCAGATGTTCACTCAACCCCTGGACTTTCTATTTAGTAAGGCAATGAACTTCTTTCATTATCGCCAGTGTGAGTTGAATTTCACTCACAACTCTAAGTATCCTAATTTATATACTAACGGTATCTAGGAACTCCAAACCTGACTTAAGTATGCATAAGCATAGGAAACAAGCCTGGAATAGAATTAATTCCTGGGCTTTAAAAAAAGACAGTAACTGATTTTGAAAAGTGGGTTCAAAAATTCTGTAGAATTAGAAATTTGTATTTTTAGCTTCTGCCATGACCTGTCATTAATGGATTACATAAATTCATACTTCTTGTTGTCTTTGCATGAGTCCAAACACCACATAAGCAGTACGGCAGGCTGCTGCTCAGTAAAGAGTACGAGGTAATTCATAGGTAGATGAATGAAAGGTGCCTATTCAGAGATGCATTTTACATGCATGGTGCCTAGCCTAGGTAAAAAATCATCATTGCTACACTGTGATATGGACAAGGGCATTACAGTCTTTAGTCATCTGCCTAGGCAGGTCCAATATCTACAATACATTCCTCAAAGTCTTCGCTTGGCCTGGGTGACCTCTTCCTACTTCAGCTGATTTCTGCTCAAATCTGTTATCTCTGTCATTTAAATAGAATTATAAAGATAAGTCAAGTATATTACAAAATCATGAGTAGGGAATTCAAGTTTGGCACCGAATTGTCCAGAATGGTACTTGCCATAAAATGATGCTGGAGAGAGGAAATCCCTACTTAAATTTGTATGAGTATTTGGTTAATCTCACATCTGATTTTCTCATCATTTCATTCTCAAACACCAGCATAATACTTGGCACATAGTAGGTGTTCAGTAAGTATTTGTTGAACAAATGAAAGTTTTATCACAGAATTCTGGTCAGCTATGTAAATCACAAGAAGTGAAAGCTGCAAAAAAACAAATTTGCAAAAGGATCTATTATCTTCTTCCCACATTATTTTAAGACCTCAGAAAAGCTATCACCCCTGAAAGTGTAAGGGTAATTGAATTGTTTCTACAGCTATTTTACATCTGTGTCAAACATTCAATATCCCTAGTGATGCTGGTAAGTTGGCAAACTAAAGGACAACAATTCCAAATATTTTAACATTCTGATTATATAGCTCTCTGGCCAGTTTACTCCCAGACACACATTCAGGATAAACACATACTCAACATTAAATGACTATTTATTTTTCAGGTTTAAAAGATTTCAAAATACATATGTACAAGATAAATAAACTACACAAAAATTATGTCATCAAATATATTTAAAAAAAAATTCAAGGTAGGCAACTTAGATCACCTTGGCAAAGAACACATTAACTAAGATGAACCAGGACAAGTCCCCTAAACATCAGGATGAAATTTCTTTTCTATGCCTACTAGCTGACTGGCCTTCCTTTTCTGTGTTGAGTTGTGTACTCTGGAGTCACCAGCCTCTGGTAGATTATCAAGCATCTCTTCCTCATCAGCCTAAAGAGGAGACAGGGTGAAACACAGTAAGGTTCACACAAATGCCAGGATGGAGAAAAATGAAGCTCTGTAATATTATTTCCATGTACTTCTTTGTTGCAAGATTTAAATACAGTATTATGCATACGATATTCTCTCAAAGACATCTTCCTCAATTTTTTTGTTTTAATTTTTATTTCTTTTTACAAGTAACACCACTGCTATTTAACTCAATCTGAAAGATGGCATAACTCAGCAAGAACTATGATGTGCTACTTTCCATGTTCCTGTAATTTGAATTTTGCTAAATGAGGAAATTCTATCAACCTGAAGTTTTTCCTTTAACTTTCTTCCATGAATGGTCCCCTAAGAAAAGTTTCCCCCATCTCTGCAACTAGTCCCTGCAAATATAGATTCTTCTCAGTGTTAAAAGGACAACTTAGAAAAAAAGAATCTGAGACACCACTCCACTATCCCTGCTACCTGCAATATAAAAAAAATTAACCAGATGCTGCCTGCCGTCTAGTGTTGCCCAATAGGTGACAACTGTTATGAAACATCTACTGTTAGTTGAGCTATTAGGCTATTTTGCTGAATGATTATTTAGAAGGTTGCAATAGGAGAAAAAGATTAACTAGTCATTCTAGAGTTCAGTACAAATTTGGCAAATCTAAAAAACATTATTTAGGCCGGGCGCGGTGGCTCACGCCTGTAATCCCAGCACTTTGGGAGGCCGAGGCGGGCGGATCACGAGGTCAGGAGATCGAGACCATCCCGGCTAAAACGGTGAAACCCCGTCTCTACTAAAAATACAAAAAATTAGCCGGGCGTAGTGGCGGGCGCCTGTAGTCCCAGCTACTTGGGAGGCTGAGGCAGGAGAATGGCGTGAACCCGGGAGGCGGAGCTTGCAGTGAGCCGAGATCCCGCCACTGCACTCCAGCCTGGGCGACAGAGCGAGACTCCGTCTCAAAAAAAAAAAAAAAAAAAAAAAAAAAAAAAAACATTATTTATACATATATACTTTATACTATATATACTTAATTAACTGACAATAGTAGCAAACATTATACCTTTTGTTTCTGTCTTGCATGCTTCTCTGTCCACTGTCTGGCATTCTTGAGGAAGGCTGGCTTATTATATTTAAATTCTGAGGACTGAGATGAAATCAAAGAAAAGAGTTAATGGAGAAAAACATGATTTGCAGTGGTTAGAGCTGCTGCAGCTATCCTCACACAGGGAGAGTTAGCGGTATAGACAAGGTAGGATATGTGTTGCAGAGGAAAATGGGGATATTTACTATGTCAGCCATGAGCGGGTCATCAGGGTTGGGTTCTGACATGAGCAGCTGAATAGAGGTCAACACAGTTGCGATGTTGAGGGATGGTCTCCAAGCACCCTATATACAAACAGATGAACAGTTGCTTTTATATTAGAATGTGATCCTCTAATTCAAGTTTAATAGATGAAGAAAACAGAATGCTGTAGAGTCAACCATTTACCCACAACTCACTTTTGGTGGCAATTTGAGAACATCCAGACAAATCCTTCCAGCAGAATCAATGTTTGGATGATAAATTGGAGTGAGAAATCGGATCTGAGGAGGTTCAAATGGGTACCTATGAAAGAATAAGACAACAGATAATTTTCATTACATAATTTTGCTTCTAAATACATTTAAATAGTTTCTTGGTCACAATAATTTTGGTATTATAGAAATGTCAGGGAGACTGCCTTTGGGAGGCAAACTTTCTCTCTTCCTAAATTTTCACTATGAAAATTTAAAATAAATCAGTTTGAAATAACAGTATTGAAAACATCCATATATCTACCACCTGGATTCAAGCCACTTTACCTCTAAATACTCCAGCATATCTTCTAAGAATAAGAACATTCTCCCATATAAATGCAATACTATTACCCCTTTGAAAAATTTAAGAACTAATTCCCTAATATCATTTACTGTTCAGATTTCAGTTGTTCTCCCCAGTTTTTTTTTTTTATTGCTGGGTTTTTCAAAACAGGACCCAATTACAATTCATACGTTGCATTTGGTTATTATGTATCTTTAGTGAGACACCGACCTTGCAAAGTTCCCAGTCTATTTTTAGAACTGATGCACCACATGATTATTAAGCTGTTCTCCCAAGACTTTAACAAGTTTGGCCAGGATCTGACCTAGTGATTAGATGTCTATGTTTCAACTGTCAGATAGTCATTTCTTCCCTTCCCCGTTCTGTACAAAACTACAACTGTAACTCACCTGATGAGAGCCTTAAAGGAGACTTGAATTAAAAGGGGCCTTAACCATAAAAAGAACGAGATCATGGTCTTTGCAGGAACAGAAAGCCAAATACCACATGCTCTCATTTATAAGTGGGAGCTAAATGATGAGAACATATGGACACAAAGAGGGGAACGACAGACACTGGGGCCTACCTGAGGGTGGAGGGTGGGAGGACAGAGAAGGGCAAAACTACTGGATACTAGGCTTAGTACCTGGGTGACAAAATAATCTGTACAACAAATCCCCGTGATATCATGAGTTTACCTATATAACAAACTTGCACATGTACCCCGGAACCTAAAATAAATGTTAAAAGAAAAAGCCGGGGGGAGCTTAATGTTAAGAAAGCACAATAGTGGTTGCCAGGGGCTGAGAGCGGGGAGAAATGGGGAGTTAGAGTTTAATGGCTATGAAGTTTCAGTGTAGGAGGATGAAAAGTTCTGGAGATAAATGTTGGTGATGGTTGCATAACAATGTGAATGTATTTAATACCACTGAACTGTACACTTAAAAATGGTCAACTTTATGTTATGTATATTTTATCACAATTTAGAAAGTGAGGGGGTCTTTGATGTGATCTCGCCCATTGTTCTGGAGAAGGAAACTGAACTCCAGAGAGAGAAAATAACTTGGTCGAGGTCACCTTAAGTCATGATAAGGCCAGGATTAAAACCTAGTCCTTTATGCTCTATCTACTACATTGCTCTGTCTCCCAATTTATAAATGCACTTCACCATGTAGGTTGAGAAGCTGATTCATACTAACCTCTCAGGAATGATAACTTCTAGCTTAAAAACACCTTTCTCATAAGGTGTGTTGGCTCCACCTAATATTTCTTAAAAGAAAAAAGAAAGAAAAAGTTAAAAGGGAATCAGATCATTTGAATTACTACCATATGGAGCTAATGAGGTCTATGGTCCTAATAGAGAAACTAGGCCTAGGACAATAATTCTCTGCCAGGACTTTAACAAGTCCTCATGCAACACACCACAATGCTAATGTACTCAAAAAGTTAATGGTGTCAAACAAAGGACATATAGAAAATCTAAAGCAGAAGTTGCAAAATGCTGGCCACAAGACCAAATACAACCTATAGATTTGTTTTGTTTGGACCGCAGTATTCTAATCATGTATGTTTCCCATCTGGCCTCACAGATATTTGAGATGGTTATCTTTGATCTAAACACTGCTTCACTGCTTTAAATCTTGGCTATAAATCAGCATAAGGTATAATAAAAAGTCAAAGAAGCAAGAAATGTCAAGCAAACCTTTTATAAATGTAAACAAATTTGGGTAGAAAGATGGTAGGGCACTCTGACCTTATAACTGCTCCTTACTTTAGAAGAATACACAAAATGTTTTATTTCAGCACAATCTTCAATAGGGTCATGACTTTCATCATATACATGATTTGATACCTACGAGCTCGCAGGTCATCCATTTGGTCTTTATCTTGCCAACATGTGATGCCTGGGGGTGGCTCTGTGGCTAACATGTGCAGCTCTCTCTTCAGACGTGAAGCTCTCTGCATGATCCCCAAGTAGAAGGAACCACACACAGTTCACTGCTCCACACTAAGAGCTGCCTGGGATGCACTGGAGGAGAAAAGAGGTGACCATAAAATCATCAGCAATAATGACTATGAAGTTTTCAGCAAACAGCTTCAATGTAGTGAGGGTGGGGGACAGAGTCCTCTTTTTTGTTTTGAGACACAGTTTCACTCTGTCACCCAGACTGGAGGGCAGTGACACCATCTCAGCTCACTGCAATTTCCACCTTCTGGGTTTGAGCAATTCTCATGCCTCAGCCTCCAGAGTAGCTGGGATTACAGGCGTGCACCACCATGCCCAGCTCATTTTAGTATTTTTAGTAGAGACAGGGTTTCGCCATGTTGGCCAGGCTGGTCTCAAATGCCTGACCTCAGGTGATCCGCCTGCCTTGGCCTCCCAAAGTGCTGGGATTACAGGCGTGAGCCAATGCACCCAGCTTTTTTTTTTTTTTTTTTTTTTTTTTTTAGAGGCAGGGTCTTGCTCTGTCACCCAGGCTGGAGTGCAGTGGCACAATCTCAGCTCACTGCAATCTCCACCTGCTGGGCTTAAGTGATCCTCCCATCTCAGCCGCCTATGTAGCTGGAAGTACAGGTGTGTGCCACCACGCCAGTCCAAGATTCCTCTTATTAATCTCTATTCTGACAAGGGAATCTGAGTTTTTCCACTCCCTTCTTGTGAACGTTTATCTATACAAGCAAATATATTTTTAAAATAAAGAACTAAAAATGCAAAAAGTTCTACAAAAAATAAAAACACTAAAGGTTTTAAATAATGGGTGTTTCCACTGATAAATTATAAACTCATGAGGCCAGGCCTGGGTCTGATTTTGCTTACTATTGTAGCCTTAGCATGCCTGTCATAGTAAGGGATTTGACAAATATTTGCTGTTGTGAGGAAGTCTACATATGCTTTGTGAGAGCAAGAATGGTAGAGATAGTCAACATTCTCAGGTACAAACAAATGTTAAATGTCCGAGTTTCTCTCCATGTGCTATGGATTCCACCTTCTCCCAATCTTCAGGGATACCATTCCATCAATTATTCCATCTTTCTTACCCTCAATGTTCAAATATGCTCAAAGTCTCTCTCACCTAAAACCAACACCTACACACATATTCACCCAACACTCTTCTCAACTCTAGTTCTCTCTTTACTAACCAAGCAAAGGACACTAATCCCTTTTGTTTTTTAGACGGAGTCTCGGTCTGTTGCCCAGGCTGGAGTGCAGTGGTGCGATCTCGGCTCACTGCAACCTCAGCCTTCCGGGTTCAAGCAATTCTCTGCCTCAGCCTCCCGAGCAGCTGGCATTACAGACGCCCGCCACCACGCCCGGCTACTTTTTGTATTTTTAGTAGAGATGGGGTTTCACCATCTTGGCCAGGCTGGTCTTGAACTCCTGACCTCGTGATCCACCCACCTCAGCCTCCCAAAGTGCTAGGATTACAGGCGTGAGCCACCGCGCCCAGCCAACACCAATCCTTTAATGTGTTACAAATATCCCCCAGTTTGTGCTTATCTTTCCATGTTGTACATGGTGTCTTTCAATAAACACATACTCTTAACATAATCAATCTTAAAATCTCTTTCTTTACATTTATACTTTGTGTATTAAATTTTTCCTTACCCCCAAATGTAGAGATATTCCTACATAGCCTTCAAATATTTTATAATTTTGCTATTCAAATTTAAATATTGAATCCACTAGGAATTGAATTTTATGTATAGTGAGTGAGGTGGGGGTCCAATTTAAAGTTTTTCCCCATATGAATAGTCAATTGTTCTAACATCATTTACTGAATCAGTCCATCCTTTCCCTGCTGATATTACTATAAATTAAATTTCTATATGTGTGGATTTGTTTTGGGACTCTTGAATTTGTTCCACTGGTCAAGTGGATTATTTCTGAGACAATACTCCACTGTTTGAATTACTATAGCTTATTCATTTTTTATTATTTAAATTTTTTCCCAGCTTTACTGAGGTATAACTGGCAAATACAAATTGTATATATTTAAGGTGTACAATGTGATGTTTTACTATAGCTTATCCACCTGGTCTTTTTCTTCAGGAATGACTTGATTATTCTTGACTCTTTGCTCTTCCATATAAATTTGAGAATCAGTTCATAAGTCCATAAATATATACATAAATATGTATATCTGAAATTATAATCCAAATCATAACAGGGTTCTGTGGTTTGGATTGTAATTTTATTGATGCTATAGATCAATTTGGAGATAACTGATATCTTTATGATATTGAATCCTAAGATCCATGAACACGCTGTTTCAGTCTTTTTTTTGATGCTTTCCAAAGGTTTTATAATTTTCTCTATAAAGCTTTATCTAATTTTTGTTAGACTGATTTCTAAGTATTTATATTTTTGCTATCTTTTCAAAAACACTATTTTCTACCCATTTCTTACTGATACATGTAAATCTAATTGATTTTTTTTTATTTTTTTGAGATGGAGTTTTGCTCTTGTTGCCCAGGCTGGAGTGCAATGGTGTGCTCTTGGCTCACCGCAATCTCCACCTCCTGGGTTCAAGCGATTCTCCTGTCTCAGCCTCCTGAGTAGCTGGCGTTACAGGCATGCACCATTAGGCCCAGGTAATATTGTATTTTTTTAGTAAAGACAGGGTTTCTCCATGTTAGTGAGGCTGGTCTCGAACCACGGACCTCAGGTAATCCACCCATCTCAGCCTCTCAAAGTGCTGGGATTACAGGCATGAGCCACCTCGCCCAGCCAATCTAACTGATTTTTAACCAAAGCCTTAGTAATGCTAATGATGAATCTATTTGGGGTGGGGAGCAGTCTGGGAATGGTAATTCCACACTGCCAATCATGTCATCCACATATAATCAAGTTTATTTCTTCCCTTCTAATTCTTTTCCTGCCTTCTATTCTGACAGTAACTTCTAGTACAATGTTAAATGAAAAAGCTGATAGCTGGGCCAAGCATGCTGGCATGAGCCTGTAATCCCAGCTACTCAGGAGGCTAAGGTGGGAGGATGACCTGAGCCCGGGGAGACTGAGGCTGTAGTGAGCCATGATTGTGCCACTGCACTCCAGCCTGGGAGGCAGAGTGAGACCCTGTCTAAACAACAGCCAAAAAAAAAAAAGAAAAAAGAAAGAAAGAAAAGCTGATAGTTGGCATTCTTGTCAGATTTCTAACCTTAAAGGGAAAGCTTTTAACACTATGCTAATCAGTAAGACTGGCCTATAACTGTCCTTTCTAATTTTGTCTTTATTAGCTATCAAGGTTATGCTAGCCTCCTAAAATGAGTTAGGGAGTATTGCCTCCTTTTTTTTTTTTTTTTTTTTTTTAACATATTGTGGATTAGTCCAAGAGATAATTTGTTACTAGGTTGTCTGGAATAACTCCATCTGATCCTGGTGTTTTCATTTTGAGAAAATTTTAACCTACAAATCCAATTTACTTGAATCTTATTCAAGTTATTTATTCTTGCATCAATTTTGGCAAGTTAAATTTTTCCACAAATTTATCTATTACATGCAATTTTCAATTTATTTGTATAATGTTTTATCTTTTTAATCTGTAGTTATCTATGGTTATGTTTCCATTTTCATTTCTAACACTGTTTATCTGTGCCATCTTTTCTTTGATCAGTCTTGCTGGGCATGTATCAACCAAAAGGAAGTTCAAGTTTTGGTTCCACTGGAAAGAATAAAAATTTATGACAAAAATAGAAAATGAGAAAAAATACTTTTTTCTTAAAAATAAAGATTTTTTGCTGGAAGTGTTTTGTACTTCAAGATCACGCCACTGCACCCCAGCCTGGGCGATAGATTAGGACTCTGTCTCAAAAAAAAAAAAAAAAAAAAAAACATCTTCGTCCAAACACGTACTATACATTTTTTCTTGTCATTATTCCCTAAACAATACAGTGTAACAACAATTTACTTAGCATTTTATTAGGTATTATAAGTAATCAAGAAATAATTCAAAGTATATGGGGGTGGGGCTGGGCACGGTGGCTCACACCTGTAATTGCAGCACTTTGGGAGATCAAGGCAGAAGGATCACTTGAGGCCAGGGGTTCAAGACCAGCCTGTGCAACAAAGGAGAACCCCATCTCTAAAATAAATAAAGTATATGGGAGGACATGCAGAGGTTCAAGACCAGCTTGTGAGGCCTGGCACAGTGGCTCACGCCTGTAATCCCAGCACTTTGGGAGGCTGAGGCAGGTGGATCACTTGAGATCGGGAGTTCCAGACCAGCCTGGCCAACATGGGGAAATCCCCTCTCTACTAAAAATATAAAAATTAGCCAGCTGCGGGGGTGGAGGCCTGTAATCCCAGCTACTCAGGAGGCTGAGGCAGGAGAAAGGCTTGAACTCAGAAGGTGGAGGTTACAGTGGGCTGAGATCGCGCCACTGTACTCCAGCCTGGGCGACAGAGCAAGACTCTGTCTCAAAAACAAAACAAAACAAAACTGGCCAGGCATGGTGGCTCACACCTGTAATCCCAGCACTTTGGTAGGCCAAGGTGGGTGGGTCATTTGAGGTCAGGAGTTTGAGACCAGCCTGGCCAACATGAGGAAACCCCATCTCTATTAAAAATACAAAAATTAGCAAAGTGTGGTGGTGCACGCCTGTAATCCCAGCTACTTGGAAGGCTGAGGCAGGAGAATGGCTTCAACCAGGAAGGCGGAGGTTGCAGTGAGCCAAGATCGCGCCACTGCACTCCAGCCTGGGTGGCAGAGCGAGACCCTTTCTTAAAAAAAAAAAAAAGAAAAAAAGAACCAGCCTGTGCAACAAAGGATATCCCCATCTCTTAAATATAAAGTATATGGGAGGACATGCATAGGTTATATGCAAATACTACACCATTTTATATCTGGGACTTGACCTTTGGTGGATTTGGGATCTGCAGGATGTCCTGGAACCATCCCTCATGGATACAGAGGGTTGACTGTACAGTAAAAGTATCACAAGTATAAAGTATACCTTTATATAAAATGAGAACAGTGGAAAGCCATGGTAAAAGGATTAGAACAAGCAAGACAATTTCTCCCAAGGAAGCAACCAGACTCCAGCCTCACTATGTTAACCAAAATTGGCATATGCCATTCTTTGGCTCAAATGCCATGAATAACTGCCTATTTTTCAGGGTATAAAGGTTCTTTACAATCTAACCCTTATATCCCGCCTTATATCCAGTATCTACTCTCCACAAACTCATGCTTCAGCCACACTGCACTATTCCTGCTGCCCATAAAAGTTTTATTCTTTCACACCTTTAGATATTAAAGGTTACATATTAAATCACAACTCCTTCTCCAGTAATGCCTCCCCACCACTCACACCTTTCCAACGTCACCCTCTGTGCGTCTACATCTATTTGCATCGTGTTCTAATTCACCTGACAGTTTCTTCTCCTTAGGAGGAATTCCTTGACAGCAGGTCCCTAGTCTTTTTTTGTATCAAGTCTGCAGTAAATTTGGATAATTAATGAACGAAACGTGGGTTTGGACCAGATGTTGAAGAAGACAAAAGAACAGGCCGGGCGCGGTGGCTCACGCCTGTAATCCCAGCACTTTGGGAGGCCGAGGCGGGCGGATCACGAGGTCAGGAGATCGAGACCATCCCGGCTAAAACGGTGAAACCCCGTCTCTACTGAAAATACAAAAAATTAGCCGGGCGTAGTGGCGGGCGCCTGTAGTCCCAGCTACTTGGGAGGCTGAGGCAGGAGAATGGCGTGAACCCGGGAGGCGGAGCTTGCAGTGAGCCGAGATCCCGCCACTGCACTCCAGCCTGGGCGACAGAGCGAGACTCCGTCTCAAAAAAAAAAAAAAAAAAAAAAAAAAAAAGAACAGCCAGTGCACAACCCGCAGCAAGTACTGGGCTGTTATGTCCCTTCTAGTGGCAAATTTCTCCCTGCTGTGGCAGGAGGACGGCTCGGGGGAGCTCTGACCACGATTTCATGCAAAGATACGGTGAGACCCTCCGCTCAACAGTGGCTTTTCTAAGGCTCTCCTTTCAGAGGAGACGAAAACTCCCATATTAGGCGGAAACAGGACTCCTTCCCCCCAAGACTCAGTGACCTTCTCCAGTGTACCTTCTTTCAGATGGGGAACCGGAATACTCTCCTTGCTTACCTGAGCTGACACCCCTCACAACGCAGCAACGCGCGGACCAACGGGGTACCAGCGCCTGCGCGACCTCTGACTGTTGGCGTGGCTCCGCCCCCTGTCTGGGGAAGATTGTGATTGGCCCACAGTAATCCACCGGGAAAGAAGCGCAGCCACCGCTCCTCTCTATTGGCCAGTGCTCTGAACGCTCACGCATTCAAATGAGAGCGCGCGCTGGGCGCAGCCATTCAGCTTCCTACACCCTGCGGCTGAACCCTGAGACGTCATCCGGCAGTCCAAATTCGGTTACAAAGTCGGCTCTGCCAGACCAAGGAAGGAGCTGGAAATCGTTTCTTAGCAAGAACAATGAAAGAAACCAGAAATATTTAATCTGGAAAAGAGAATACGTGATAGCTGTCTTCCTTTATTTTTTTTCACATGGGAGATTTTACTACTTCAGAGGACACGTTTATTCAGAGGACACATTTAAGGACAACGGATGAAAGTCTAAGAGATGCAGAACTTAGTTCAATAAAGCATTCTATCAATTAGAACTCTGAAGAACAAAGTAGGTAGGGTAGTGAATTCCTTCATCACTGGAAATGTTCAAGTGGAAGTTAGGTCATCACTTGTTAGGGATAGTGCAGAAAGGATCCTTGCACTGGGTGGCAGTTTGGAATAGATGACTTTTTTTTTTTTTTTTTTTTTTTGAGACGGAGTCTCGCTCTGTCACCCAGGCTGGAGTGCAATGGTGCAATCTCGGCTCACTGCAACCTCTGCCTCCCGGGTTCAAGCAGTTCTCCTGCCTCAGCCTCCCGAATAGCTGGGATTACAGGCAAGCGCCACCACGCCCAGCTAATTTTTGTATTTTTAGTAGAGACGGGGTTTCACCGTGTTGGCCAGGCTGGTCTTGAACTCCTGACCTCAGGTGATCCATCCTTCTCAGCCTCCCAAAGTGCTGGGATTACAGGCGTGAGCCACTGTGCCCAGCTGGAATAGATGACTTTTAAACCATCTTCCAACGCTAGATGCATGGTACTTTCTGAACAAGGAAGAACCTGTTTATAGTTAAGCCAACCTTAACTTCTCAGAGCTGCCTCTGCCAGAGGCCAATGCTTCATGAGCGCTGAAAGATGGCACAGACCTGACTTAATCTAAAGCACATGGCTGGAACTTGACTAGCCTTTGGAAATGCTGTGGGTGGAAAAACAAAACAAGCAAAAAGCCAACCCTCATCTGACTGCTCTCAGCTCACTGTGTAGCTTTGGAACAACGATGGTAATACTAATAGTAATTTATTATTATTACTATTATTTATTACTATTATACTATTTATTACTATTATTGGTAACAGAGTAATAATCAGTCTCTTTCTAAACTTGTAAATCAGTATAATTTTGGCCACTGCAGTGATGTCTACATCTAGTCAAAACTGGTGTTAAGTGGCAAATGGTTCCCCATAGCCATTGTGTGGGGTGTTTTCTCTCAAGGGCACCACATGTTCACTAGGACTCTGTGATGCTCCCCTGGGGTTCCTCACCTTAGTTGTAGGAATAAACCAACTACAGTAGTTTATTAATTATTATAAAGTTGTGAAACAAACATAAGGAATCCCATTCTTGTCCAGTCTAATTCCAGTTTGCTGTTGGGGGTTTGCATTTATTGTTAGCATTTACTCAGCATTTAGTGAAGTGTTTTCTGTCATAATTGAGTTCCTGCTTATTTTACTACTGATGTTTTGTTTTAGTCCTTTCAATACCTGTCTTTATTTTCTTCCTGCCCCAATTGTAATTGTATCTCAATTACAGTTCTGTCTTCAGAACTGAAATTGATTACTTCCTTGGGTGGTTCTCTGAGAAATAGGTCTTAAAAATGTCTCTTAAAAAAGCAAGAACTGTATTGAGTCCGGTGGAAAAGAGAGATGGTTTGATAAAATAAGTAAATCCCTATAATTTTGGCAACAGAGAGGAAAGAAAAAAGGATAGAAGACAAAAGAGGAAGGAAGAAAAGGAGGTAGAGAGGGAGGAAGAAAACAAAGAGAAAGAAAAAAAAGAACCCCATACACTAAATGTACAGTTTCCATTTGTCCACCAGAGGGGGTATGTTAACTGGTGGGAATAGAGGCCAGGCTAAAAGATTTTCATAAACTTTTTACAGGTGTCATTGTTTTTAAAAATGGAGCATTCTAATGTTATAATTTATTTTTAAATTATAGCTATGAAAATTATTATTTTATGAAGGTTTCTTCACTTTACAACACATCATAGCAGGCTCACTTAGTACTTATAAAAGTATAAAAATTGTATTTTATTTTTATACAGTAGTATTTGTCAGGATTTACTCACTAGTATATGAAAATATATCTTATTTATTTTTATTTTTTATTTTTTATTTTTTTGAGACAGGGTGTCACTCTGTCGCTCACTGCAACCTCCGCCTCCTGGGTTCAAGCGCTTCTCCTGCCTCAGCCTGCCTAGTAGCTGGGACTTCCGGCGCCCACCACCATGCCCGGCTAATTTTTGTATTTATAGTAGAGACGGGGTTTCACCATGTTGGCCAGGCTTATATTTTCTTTAGAATAGCATACTTATAGCCAGGTGCAGTGGGTCATGCCTGTAATCCCAACATCTGGGGAGGCCTAGGTGGGCAGATCGCTTGAGCCCAGGACTTTGAGACCAGCCTGGGTAACATGGCAAAACCTCATCTCTACCAAAAAATACAAAAATTACCCAGGCATGGTGGTGCATGCCTGTAGTCCCAGCTACTTGGGAGGCTGAGGTAAGAGGATCACTTGAGCCCAGGAGGTTAAGGCTGCAGTGAGCTGTGATTGCACCACTGCAAATCTAAAGTGAGATCCTGTCTCAAAAATAAATAATAAATAAATAATAAAGGAATGGAGTACTTATTTAGGAAATTTAAATTACCATACTTGTTTAATGAGCTGATTGTGTAAGTTATTCTCAGAAAGCCCTAGTTGGGAAACATGTTTTAGAAAAAATAGGATTTCAATTTGAAAAAACTTTTCAAGTCATTAGAGGTAGATGAATGTTTTCATGGCATTTTTTTTGGCTGAGCCTGTAAAATTAATTAGATTATAATAATTATTACTACTTTCAATAATCATATAGCCAGAAGGTATATTCCTCTATCTCCAAGTAGATATGCACTTAAATGATCCAAGGAATTTAACTACTTACACTTTTCTGTAAAATCTCCAAAGAAGGTATTACACTCTTACTTCCACAGGAAAAAAAAGAAAAGAAGCAAATAAAATAGGTATGGTAAGGAAGTACTTCTGGCTTCCTGGAACTTCCTTATATTGAGACTGAATTCTTGGCTGGGCGCGGTGGATCACGCCTGTAATCCCAGCACTTTGGGAGGCCAAGGTGGGTTGATCACAAGGTCAGGAGTTCGAGACCAACCTGGCCAATATGGTGAAGCCCTATCTCTACTAAAAATACAAAAATTAGCCGGGCGTGGTGGTGGGTGCCTATAGTCCCAGCTTCTCAAGGAGAATTGCTTGAACCCAGGAGGCAGAGGTTGCAGTGAGCTGAGATCGCACCACTGCACTCCAGCCTGGAGACTCCGTTTCAAAAAAAAAGAAAAAGAGACTGAATTTGTGTTGAAATTTAAGCTCAGGCTGGGCATGGTGGCTCACACCTAAAATCTCAGTACTTTGGGAGGCTGAGGTGGGAGGACTGCTTGAGGCCAGGAGTTCAAGACCAGCCTGGGCAAAATAGCAAGACCCGTCTCTACTTAAAAATAAAATAAAATAAAATAATTTTATGTGCCTATAGTCCCAGCTACTCAGGAGGTAGAGGGAGGAGAATTGCTTGAGCCCAGGAGTTTGAGCCTGCAGTGAGTTATGTTGGCACCATTGCACTCTACCCTGGGTAACTCTGTCTCCAAAAAAGAAAGAAAGAAATTTAAGTTCATATCTCTTGGGAAAGTAAGGATTTAACCTGGAGTGGGTCAATTTTAGCTTATTTAAACAACTGGAACCAGATATTTTTTGCTTCCTAATTCGGAATACAAAAATAATGCAGCCAAAAGAAGCATCATTATTGATCCCTGAAAAATTTACTCCAGTTTAAAAATCCTTATTAGAAGACCAGTATGCCAGTAAAACATAAAGTTATATATATATATATATATATATAGGAGCAGCTATCATATACGAGGAACATAATATTGAAATGATGCATGAGGACTGTAAATAGGATTAGGCTTCTAGCTGAGTATTCTTACCTATTTGATTTAATATCAATTTTTCTTTTATCCTTTAGGGAGAGTTCTATTTGGGAGCTTGTGGGCAATAGTAATTATCAGCAAGAGGCTGAATTGGAATAAGAGGAGGTCCCACTGTGATATGTTACAAAGTAAATCTCATGAATAATTTTTTTTTTTTTTTTTGAGAAAATCTTGCTCTGTCACCCAGGCTGGAGTACAGTGGCATAATCTCGGCTCACTGCAACCTCTGCCTCCCAGGCTTAAGCGATTTTCCTGCCTCAGCCTCCTGAGTAGTTGGGATTACAGGCACCTGCCACTGTGCCTGGCTAATTTTTGTATTTTTAATAGAGATGGGGTTTCACCATGTTAGGGTGGTCTCGAACTCCTGACCTTAAGTGATCTGCCCGCCTTGGCCTTCCAAAATGCTGGGATTACAAGCGTGAGCCATCGCGTCTGGCCAAGAATTTTTAATTGCAATAAATGATGAGACATGACAAGTTCTATGGTGGCCATAAATAAATGCATGTAGCAAGGAAAATGAGGTTACATAATGTATACATTATTATACCTTGATTTTCCTTATGTACATTGTTATTGATAGTACACAGATTTGACATGAGGTTTAATTAGTATTTATAATGTATTTAAGAATATCCTACTAAAGCATATGGTGTTTAGACACAGTATTATTAAACATAATATTTTTTACATTTATATGTCACTTTTCATTTGAGGCTTTCAATTCAATAATTAATTGTTTCCTTAATGTATGATTTCCACTTCATTTCAGGGGAAATTGAGGAACAGGCAAATTTTCACATGACAGAATATAATAAAGTTTCCCTTTACAATACCCCAATCATTTTGCAACATTTTTTAAATGAAAAATTTTAAACATACAGAAACGTTTAAAGAATCTAACATTTGCATATGTACTCTTTCATTATGGGTAACACATTTAATTGTATTTTGTTCAGGGCTAGAGCACTGGAGGTTATACTTATTAAATCAATCGGACTGGCCGGATGCGGTGGCTCATGCCTGTAATACCAACACTTTGGGAGACTGAGGTGGGTGGAACACTTGAGCCCAGGAGCTCAAGACTAGCCTGAGCAACATGGCAAAACCCTGTCTCTACAAAAAATACAAAAGTTAGCCAGGCATAGTGACACAGGCCTGTAGTCCCAGCTACTTGGGGGGCTGAGGTGGGAGGATCGCTTCAGCCTGGGAGGTTGAGGCTACAGTGATCCACGACCATGCCACTGCCCTCCAGCCTGGGTGACAGAGCGAGACCCTGTCTCAAACAAAACAAAACAAAACAAAACAATCGGACAGATACATGTTTTATAACCCAGTCTTGGTGAATATAAAAATGTTCTATTTGCTACCTTAGGAATTTAGTATGATTTAGTATGCTTGATAGTATCTTTCTCTAGCTTTGAAAAAAAAAATCATGGGACAGGTACAGTGGCTCAGGGCTGTAATACCAACACTTTGGGAGGCTGAGGCAGGAGGATCGCTTGTGTCTAAGAGTTCCAGACCAGCCTGGGCAACATGGTGAGACCTTGTCTCTACAAAAAAATAAAAAAATAGTGGGTGTGGTGGTGGGCACCTGTAGTCCTAGCTACTGGGGAGACTGAGGTGGGAGGATCGCTTGAGCCCAGGAGGTTGAGTCTGCAGTGAGCCGTGATTGCGCCATTGCACTCAGCCTGGGTGACAGAGTGAGACTCTGTCTCAAAAGAAAAGAAATAAAAATCATGGAAGACATCTATTCTGTCTTGTAAAAATTTAAGGTATATGAAAAGAGTAGAGGAGGAGGAGGAGGGAGAAGGAAGAGAAATTATTTATTGGGATCCAATATGTGCCAAAGATAGTATTAGGCATCCTTGCATGTATTATTTCATTTGATCCACATGACTACCCTGTGAGATGTTATTCCCATTTTACACATAAGAAAACTGGCTAAGAGAAGTCAAGTAATTTGTCTGCGGCTGTGAATTCAATTTAAATTCACAGCTTAAACTCTTTTCACTACATCTGAATGCATCATTTTCAAGATCTTTTCTGGGCCTGGAGTAAGTTGACAGTATTTATGTAAAACATGTAATACTGTATCTGTATGTATGCTCCTCTTCCCCACGCTCATTCACATTTACCGTGATTAATACACATGTTAATAAAACCCTAGACTTAGAACTAGGATATAGAATCCAGTCGTTTAGGTACTTAATGTTTAGTTCTCTCCTCCAGAAAACAGGAATAATTACCGCCTTTTTTCCACTCCAAAGAATTGATGTGATAATTAGGGAGATAAGATTAGTTACTAGTCATAACAAGAATAAACTACAACTCCCAAAATGCCCAGAGGAAGAGGCTGACGCCAGTCCAGGAGACAGTTCCAGCTTTAGGGCAAAGGTGACCCCACTGGGTCCCGTGGCGAAAGAGAGAGCCGCCGGTCCTCGCCTTTTTTCTGATGCATCCAGGGATTTGTAGTTCCCTTACGGCCACCAAGTGCACTTAGGGCAGGCCTCTTACTACGAGTCCCGTGATGACCCGAGGCCGGGCAGCGCCTGCGTATTGAAGCCGAGGGAGCGTGCGGGCGGTACTACTGGCGGGAGGAGTAAAGATGGCGGCGCGAGGGTCTCCGCCCTCTGCTCCGGGCTGAAGCGCTCTGAGAGAGGCGGCAGCGGCAACTCGAGCCCCAACAGTAATTTAGTGTTGGTAGTTTTGGCAGCAGCTGCCGAGGCCGGAGCAATGGCGGAACTGGAGCACCTAGGAGGGAAGCGGGCAGAGTCGGCGCGAATGCGGCGGGCAGAGCAGCTTCGGCGCTGGCGGGGCTCGCTGACAGAGCAGGAGCCTGCGGAGCGACGAGGCGCGGGGCGGCAGCCGCTGACCAGGCGCGGGAGCCCCAGGGTCCGCTTCGAGGACGGTGCTGTCTTTCTGGCCGCCTGCTCTAGCGGGGACACCGACGAGGTGAGAAAGCTTCTGGCAAGAGGTGCTGATATCAACACGGTCAACGTGGACGGCTTGACAGCCCTGCACCAGGTAACTCCTTTCTTGGTCTTAGAGGCGTCCAGTCTCCTACAGATGAGCCTTTGACCCTGCGAGCCACCCCATGGGGAGTATCAGTGTTGCCGCCGACTCCTTCTGCATGGACACTGCCCTTTTGGGCTAATCGGTTTCATTCTTGGCCAGCTTCCTCCACTAATCAAGTCTTTTTCTGACCCCAGGGTCTTAGGAATAGCGTCACCCCGCTGCTTGGTCAGTGTTTGTATTTCCCTCCACCTACTTGTGTTGTCATGGTTACTGGTGATTTTTGTCCCTGGTCTTATCCCTGTAGATTAGTTATCTTCACTTATGTCTGGTTGGCGTGCCTGCACACCGCGTCACTCATAGGCACAGTGTCATTTGTTTGATGCCCTTTCAGAAAATTCAGTTGTTGTGTGTCCCCGTTATAGAATATCTTATATCACTTAAAGAGTAAAGCCCTTTACTGGGTAAAGACAAGCAGGTCTGAAACCACACCTCTTGTTTTGTTGATTTGTAGTACTTCAAAACAGTTTGTGTTGCCTCTAGGCTACAGCTCCTAGAACACGCTGGACCTCGTTGTTTTAGGTATCTTAACTTCCTTCTCAGCAGTGCTACCTCCCTGAGAGCTTCCTATGGAGAACTAAGTTACTGAATTACCTCTGTTTGATACTTATGGAATAGCTTTTCTATTTTTCTATTTTTTTTTCTAAAGTGCTCTATAGAAATCCCATGCCCCATGTATAGCTATACTATATGGATTGTGGATAATCTGTGCTTGGTAACGACACCTTTACTTCTGTCACCTAATGCAGCAATATTCTCTGTCTACTGACTGCCATGACTAACTACCCCTCTCTCCTCAAATGGAACTTCATCAGTTATTTTGGTGAGCTGAGAGCCGGACACCCACTCTTAATCTTTTGTATTTTTCTTCTTCTGCCGTCTGTGCAAAGTGAATGTATTGGCATGAGAATCTACTTCTAAATAATAACTCAACTTTATATCAGACCACTTCCCTAAATATATTTAGCCAATAGCTTAAAAAGTTACTTCTCACTATGTTTGCAACCCTTCTATTTCAGGTAGAAGAAACTCTTTCACCCTATTTTGTACCCATTTTTTTTTCCTGCTGATAATATTTCCCCACCTGAGGTAGTAACCAATATTTGTAGAGTGCTTTGCTGTTTGATTTCATATGTCTTACCCCATGTGAGTTTCAGCAGTGATCCTTTGAAGTAGGTGTGGCAGGTAGTGTTGTTATTCTCATTTTACAGATGAGGAAACTGAAGCTCAGGAAAATTATTTGTGCAAAGTTAGAAAGTAAAGAAGTGGCCCATAGGCATGGATTTTTCAGACTTATGTCACAGAGATCTCTATCTCACTTAATAAGGAGCTGAATGTAAAATGAGATAAAAGCTAAGAGAACCACATTAAATTCTAAACTTTAAATTTCTGAACTCTTTGGGAAGGTGAATTCTTGTTTTTCTTTTTCTTTTTCTTTTTTTTTTTTTGATTCAGAGTCTCGCTCTGTTGCCCAGGCTGGAGTGCAATGGCGAGATCTTGGCTCACTGCAACCTCTGCCTCTTGGTTTCAAGCGATTCTCCTGCCTCAGCCTCCCGAGTAGCTGGGATTACAGGCGCCTGCCACCACGCCTAGATAATATTTGTATTTTTAGTAGAGATGGGCTTTCACCATGATGACCAGGCTGGTCTCAAACTCCTGACCTCAGGAGATCCACCCTCCTTGGCCTCCCAAACTGCTGGGATTATAGGCATGAGCCGCTGTGCCTGGCCTAGTAATCTATTGAAATAAGAGAAGAAGGGGATGACAGCTATGGATTTTTTTTTAACATCTATAAATGCAATATAAGCATTCCTTTCCATTTATAGGGCTGACAAGGAGTTGAACTGAACAAGTATACTCGATTCTAGACAAATTCAGCTAAAAATTAAGCTGCTTAAAGATTTGAGGTCTGTTGAGAAACTGTATCTTTGAATCAAGACAACGGGCCTTTATTGGCTTCAGAACATTACAAGTCAGTTTCCGAAGAGTTACAATGTGTGTCTCCATGACTTGGAGAAGTTTTTGTTGTTGTTGTTGTTGTTGTTGTTGTTTAAAAAAAAAAAAAACAGTGTCTCACTGTATCTCCCAGGCTGGAGTACAGTGGTGCAGTCTCAGCTCACTGCATGCAACCTCCGTCTCCCAAGTTCAAGCTATTCTCATGCATCAGCCTCCCAAGTAGCTGGAACTATAGGTGCCCACCACCATGCCCAGCTAATTTTTGTATTTTTAGTAGGGATGGGGTTTCGCCATGTTGGCCAGGCTGGTCTCAAACTCTTGGCCTCAAATGATCTGCCTGCCTCGGCCTCCCAAAGTGCTGGGATTACAGGCATGAGCCACCGCGCATGGCCGACCTGGAGAACTCCTAAGGTACATAAAAGACTATTTTCAAATGGGAGACTGGAGCTGTTGGTAGCTGAACCACCTACTTTACAATGGATTCACCTTCTGTGAAATGGAGAGTGAGTGGTACAATTATCTGAATTATTTATTTAAAATGTCCATTTGTTATACAAGCACGATATAAATTATCTGGATAATTGCTTCTTTTCTCTCTTTTGGCCATGGCCACTTGACCAACTGTGGATTATTGTCTTGGCATGTTAGAAGCCCCCAGATAATACTGGGGGACAATTTTTCTCCTCCTACAACGTCACAGTAGATGATTTGCACTGCAGCTTGTGGTGCCTTGATGCTTCTTTTGGACTTAGAGACCTTCTTTCTTGGCAGCCTTTGCTGAGACCACGAGGTGCTTGAGTCAAAGATAACAAGCTCCAGGGGGCCTATTAATAATACTTGAGTTAGACTGGGATAAGAAGTATCTCAAAGGTTAGACCAACTCTGATGAAAGCCTTGGAAACTGATGCAGACTAAATTTCAGTGACTAAATTAAGATTTGGTGTGTATGCATGTGTTGTCCTAGAGTCCTTAACAAGGTATTAATCTGATTATAGAACCCTTGAAAGCACTTGTTTGCTCACAAAGGAATTTCTGTTTCATTTGCGTATACACATTGTAAGGCCAGGAATATTTGTTAATAATTCTATGTGGAATAGTACTTTAAATTTTTTCTTTTATTTATTTATTAAGTTTGACTGTTAGCACCTATCTTGATATCCTTAGCATTATAATCTTAGGTACTCTAGGCCTAGATACATGATATCTACCAAATTATTGCTGTGGGAAGAGGCAAGTGCCTACTTTCAGAAAAGAGATTTTTCTAGGATTTATTAAAATGAATGCTTACTTACTTCAGCATGTATTATGTTGACTCTTAAATCTGTGCTGAGTGTGGTGAGGGATGCTGGATTTCAGTCACCATAGGTCTTGTCTCTTAGCACGGTCTGATCAGTCTTCATCTGGAGGGCTACCAAGGAGATTAGAATAATTCCATACTTGACTCAGAAATTCACACTGGCGGCCGGGGGTGGTGGCTCACGCTTGTAATCCCACCACTTTGGGAGGCTGAGGCAGGTGGATCACGAGGTCAGGAGTTCGAGACCAGCCTGGTCAACATTGCAAAATCCCGTCTCTACTAAAAATACAAAAATTAGCCTGGTGTGGTGGTGCACACCTGTAGTCCCAGTTACTCGGGGAGGCTGAGGCAGGAGAATCGCTTGAACCCAGGAGGTGGAGGTTACAGTGAGCTGAGATCACACCACTGCACTCCAGCCTGGGTAAAAGAGTGAGACTCCGTTTCAAAAAAAAAAGAAAAAAGAAATTCAGACTGTCTTTGTAATGTGCAGGGTCCAAATTTGGACCCTCAAGGTCACACCAGACTGGAATTCAGTTTGTAGTTGAATAAGCCTTTGTCATTCTAGAGTTGCCTCAGTCTGACGCTGTAGACTTAGGGAGGCTAAAATCACGTATTTCTCAGGAAGAGAGATGGAGATAGGAACAAGTGAGGGGAGGAGGATAGGCTGAGCAATTTATATTCAGACAGAGACAGAAGATGAGTAAGATGAATGTGTGTTCAGTTCAATATAAAATAGTATATTTTGTGTGCTAACTCATATGGTAAAATAAAACTTGTGCTTTTAACCTTTTCTCTTTTATTCTACATTTATTACTCATTCCTCTCCTGGTTCCACCTGCGAAGTTACTTTTGCCTTACCCTGAATATTGATGAATTCTGCTTAGTGTCAGGACCCATGGCAACATAGGATTCAGAAAAATCCTGTTTGCTCCTTTATTATTGTGCATCTAGAATAGTCATCTATCCTGAGCCATTTTAGTAGCTTACCTCTTCAAATTGCTTAATATGTTGCATCAGACTATGTTGGACCTCAAAGCCATATTGGGAAATTCAGCTTTTTGTCTGTGTGGTTTTTTTTTTTGAAAGTATAAATAAAAATGACTTTCATTTGTTCCGCAGAATTTCTTCCCTATTCTTCTTCTTTGTGTGTGTGTGTGTGTGTGTGTGTGTGTGTGTGTGTGTGTGTGACAGGGTCTTGCCCTGTTACCCAGACTGGAGTGTGGTGGTGTGACCATGGATCACTGCAGCTGCAACCTCTCAGGCTCAAGTGATCCTCCCCACCTCAGCCTCCTTAGTAACTGGGACTACAGGCACACCCCATCATACCCAGCTAATTTTTAAAATTTTTTGTAGACAAGGGGGTCTCACTATGTTGCCAGGGCTGATCTTGAACTCCTGGGCTAAAACAATCCTCCCCCCTCGGCCTCCCAAAGTGCTCGGATTACAAGTAGGAGCCACTATGCCTGGCCTCTCCCCAATTCTTCAACTCCTGCTGAATAACTGTATATCACCATTTGGGCTTTTAGAATCTTCTACTCTGTGAGTATTTTGAAATAGGCAACCTGTCAATATATATGGATTAAGCACAATTCTGCCAAAGGTAAGGAGTTGGACCAGTCTTGTTGTTAACATAAAACTAAGTAGTTTATTTTTTTCTTTTAAAATATTTTAAAACTAAGATATACTTTATATACAATAAAATTCACTCTTTGTAGTGTAGCATCGTATGAGTTTTGACAAATGCGTACAGTTGTGGAACCACCACTGTAATCAAGATGTAGAACGTTACCCTCAAGATTTTTTGTGCTCCTTGGTAGACAGCTCCTCCCACCCTCAGCCCATGACAGTCATTCATCAGTTATTTTGTCCCAATAATCACAATAGATGGAGGCTGAGGCAGGAGGATCACTTGAGCTCAGGAGTTTGAGACCAGCGTGGGCAACATAGCAAAACCTTGTCTTTACAAAAAAATAAAATTAGCCAGGCATGTTGGTGCATGTCTGTAGTTGCAGCTACTTGGGAGGCTGAGGCGGGAGGATAGCTTGAGTCCAGGAACTGGAGTTGCAGTGAGCCATGATCGTGCCACTGCATTCCAGCCTGGATGACAGAGTGACACCCTGTGTCTATAAACAAACAAGAGCCACCATGCCTGGCCTAGAGTAAAGTTTTTGATATTTGAATAATATGCCATTAATTACATGTGTCCCATTCTTTTTTTTTTTTGAGACAGAGTCTCGCTCTGTCAGCCAGGCTGGAGTGCAGTGCACGATCTCGACTCACTGCAACCTCTGCGTCCCGGGCTCAAGCAATTCTCCTGCCGTAGCCTCCTGAGTAGCTGGGATTACAGGGGGGTGACACCACGCCTGGCTAATTGTTTTTTTTGTTGTTGTTTTTTTTTTTGAGACGGAGTCTTGCTCCGTCGCCCAGGCTGGAGTGCAGTGGTGTGATCTCAGCTCACTGCAAGCTCTGCCTCCCGGGTTCACGCCATTCTCCTGCCTCAGCCTCCCGAGTAGCTGGGACCGCAGGTGCCTGCCACCATGCGCAGCTAATTTTTTTTGTATTTTTAGTAGAGACGGGGTTTTGGGCGGGTGGATCACGAGGTCAGGAGATCGAGACCATCCTAGCTAATTTTTGTATTTTTAGTAGAGACGGGGTTTCACCATGTTGGCCAGGCTGGTCTTGAACTCTTGACCTCAGGTAATCCACCCGCCTCAGCCTCCCAAAGTGCTGGGATTATAGGCGTGAGCCACCATGCCTGGCCGTGTTCCACTATATTTTTCTCTTTAGAGGTTTTCTTAGATTCTTAATTAACAACTAATATTGAATGTCTAAATGGTAGATTGTAAGTCTGTACTAGAGTATATATGTGGTATAATTTCTGCCCTCAAGGAACTAACAGTCAGGTTTGGAAACAGATAAATAAAAAAAAGATTCCTTTTAGAGTTCCAAATTCTATGATACCCTGGAAAGGATGTATTCCTAAGTGGAAGGACAAACGAAGGCAGTCCAGGATGGTAGAGCAGCATGGGCGAATAAATAGGAATGGGTGTGGTGTGTAGGCAGAGGATGCTAGGAAATCCTAATGGATGTGTTTGAAGGGTTAGAGATGAGAGAGAGTCAGGGTGACATCCTAGAGGGCTTTGAACATCAAACATCAGGCCAAGGTGGCTTGATGGACTCCTTAGTAGAGAATTTTTGTGGGTTTGAGCAGGGTCGTTACCCAACCAAAGCAGTATTTTAGGATTCTGAAGCAGCACTTGGATTTCTGAATGAATGGAGAGACAGAGTTGAGAGAACCAGCTGAGTGAATGGAGATGAGAAAAAAGTGTAGTACAATTCTAGCTTGTGAGTCTGAAAGAATTGTGTTATTCAGGTAGAAATAGTATTCAGTCAACGATTAGACTGAGGTACTCTGAAGACGTACAAATAGAAATCTCCTATAGGTGTTTAGCATGGTGGCCCATATCTGTAATCCCAGCACTTTGGGAGGCCAAGGCGGGAGGATTGCTGGAGACCAGGAGTTTGAGACCAGCCTGAGCAATGTGGTGAGACCCTATCTCTCCAACCCCCTCCCCACCCAAAAAAAAATTAGCCAGGTATGGTGGTGCAAACATGTGGTCCCAGTTACATAGGAGGCTGAGGTGGAAGGATCACTTGAGCCCAGGAGGTTGAAGCTGCAGTGAGCTGTGTTCACACCACTGCACTCCAGCCTGGGTGACAGAGCAGAGCAAGACTGTGTCTCAAATAAATAAGTAAGTAAGTAAGTAAATATCCTGTAGGTATCTATGTGACTCAAGGCTAGTCACTTTCCTATCTATGCTCCAGTTTTCTCATATTTGAGACAAGAGACTTGATTTTAGCATAAAGGTGAGAGTTGAAGTAATGAGTGTGAAAGAGGAAAGGGAGAAAACATACAGAGAAGAGCAGAAAACACAAGCAGCTGGTAGGCAGAGAATGCAGAAATTCAAGTTAGAGCTGTTGGAAGATGTGGTAGGCTGACTAATGGTGCCCCAAAAATGTCTAAGTCCTAATCCCCAGAACATGTAAATATGTTACCTTACAGGGTAAAAGAGACTTTGGGGATATGATTAATTTAAGGATCTTGAGATAAGGAGATTAGCCTGGATTATCCAGGTGAGCCCAATATAATCACAAGCATCCATATAAGACAGGCAAGAGAGCAGAATCAGAATAGGAGATGTGATGAAGGAAGCAAGAGATTGCAGGGATTCCAGGAAGGTTCTGTGAGCCAAGGAATGCAGGTGGACCCTAGAAGCTGAAAAAGGCAAGGAAGTGGATTCTTCTCTCAGAGCCTCCACATAAGGAACCAGCCCTGCCAGCAATTTGACAACTCAGCCCAATGAGACTGATTTCAGACTTTTTTTTTTTTTTTTTGAGACTGAATTTTGCTCTTGACCCCTAGGCTGGAGTGCAGTGGCACAATCTTGGCTCACTACAACCTCCGCTGCCCGGGATCAAGCGATTCTCCTGCCTCAGCCTCCTTATTAGCTGGGATTACAGGCGCCCACCACCACAACCAGCTAATTTTTGTATTTTTAGTAGAGACGTGGTTTTGCCTTGTTGGCCAGGCTGGTCTCAAACTCCTGACTTCAGGTGATCCACCCGCCTTGGCCTCCCAAGGATTACAGGTGTGAGCCACTGGGGATTACAGTTGTGAGCCACTGCATCTGGCCATGATTCAGACTTCTGACCTCCAGAATGCTATGATAATAAATTTGTGTTGTTTTAAGCAACTAAGTTTATGGTAATTTGTTATAGCAGCAATAGGAAACTAATACAGAGAAGAACCGACAAACAGTGATATTGAGGTATTTCAAGGAATGGATGGTAAATAATGTAAAAGGAAATTGAGGAGAAGGCCTGTAAAAAGACTGTTGGATTTGGTCATTTAAACTTTGAAAGAGCACTTTCAGTAGAGATATTTTTGAAGACTTTTGTGGAGGTTATATGAAGTTTTTTTTTGCATTAAGGATAACTTGTCTTTCTGTTGACTTTTGGGAGAAAAAATATAGATTTTCCATCAATATAATTGTAATTTAAATGAGGGCCCAAAATATGTGGCAAGACACTTTAAAAGCTGAATTCTGGCTAGTTCAGGTGGTTTCATTATTCATCAGTTAAGAATATTTTAGGATATTAAACCTGATAATAGGGGCAAGAAAGTTATGTCCCTATTACTGATGGCTGCTTATCTAGTTTATTTTACTTCTCAGTCTAGTTTGGCCCATTTCCCACTCATTAGCACTTCCACTGGAAGGCAGCCTTGGGGGAACAGTGATAGGGAGGTTAGTACCAATAAACAGTTTTTTCTGCCATTCTCTTACATTTATTTCTTGAGTGTCTACTGTGTATCTGATTCTGTGCTGCTTGTTACTTTTACTTAGCAGTAGATACAATTTAGAAACTAACTTGAATTTTGGGATTGGTCTCCAGAATAGTTGGTTACTATTATAACTTATAATAGGAAATTGGCTACATAACCGATTTCTGTTCTAGCATTCTGGCTCTTGAGGAGTGTCAGGGGAGTACTATATTTATCAGTATTTGAGACTATTTTATGCTTATGGAGGAGAATTACATATATATCTTCTCTAAGATGGTGAAATATGGAGGTTTGGGATGTCTAATAAATCTTTAATGGTTCAACATAGTAATAATAAATCCAGATTAAGACCTTGGCCCAGAATGTCATATAGGACAAGGAATTGAAGCCTCATTTGGATTGCTAATTGAGTGCTTGCCCAATTTGTTGATGTTGTTTTTGTCTGTGAATATGTTGGGGTTTTTCCTGCTTTTGAAGTGTCATTTAAAAAAATTGTTTCTTCTGATCTTAGATTGTAACCAGTTTGAGTAAAATTTGGGGGCTTAAAGTTTTATCAGGCATGCAGAGTTTATGTTTGTTTCATGAGGCAATTCAATTGAAAAACTGAAGCTTTGCCCAGGCGCGGTGGCTCACGCCTGTAATCCCAGCACTTTGGGAGGCCAAGGCAGGCAGATCACGAGGTCAGGAGATTGAGACCATCCTGGCTAACACGGTGAAACCCTGTCTCTACTAAATATACAAAAAATTAGCCGGGCGTGGTCGCACGCGCCTGTTGTCCCAGCTACTCGGGAGACTGAGGCAGGAGAATCACTTGAACCCGGGAGGTGGAGGTTGCAGTGAGCCAAGGTGGCACCACTGCACTCCAGCCTGGGTGACAGAGCGAGACTCCGTCTCAAAAAAAAAAAAAAAAACTGAAACTTGAGTTTTCAGTATTGGAAATTGACTTGCATGTGGTTTTTAATGAAATATTCTACTTCATTATAGTTATGGAATAGGTTTATACAAAAATTTAGAGATGATTTTATATTTAGTATACTTAAATGTTATGACACAGTGATAATCTGTTAGAATATTAATCTAATGCAAATTTGGGGAATATTTTATGGTGCCATGCTCTAAATATTCATGATATATCTGGCATGATATATGTATCTGGTTTTTCTGTATTAATTATTGGTCTAGTGACTCTCTTTTAAGCATTTTATTATGGAATATTTCAAAATAGAAGATACAAAAGTAGAGAGAATGGTATAATGAATTCTCAAAAGTGATCAACTTATGGCCAATCTTGTTTCATTTATAGATCCTCATCTCCAGTATACTGGATTATTTTATAGCCAATCCTAGATATCACATAATTTTTTTTTTTCTTTTGAGATGGAATTTCACTCTTGTTGCCCAGGCTGGAGTGCAGTGGTGCGATCTTGGCCCACTGCAACCTCCACCTCCCAGGGTGTCTCAGCCTCCCAAGTAGCTGGGATTAGAGGCATGTGCCCCCACGCCCGGCTAATTTTGTATTTTTAGTAGAGACAGGATTTCACATGTTGGCCAGGCTGGTCTCAAATGAACTCCTGACCTCAGGTGATCCACCTGCCTCAGCCTCCCAAAGTTTTGGGATTACAGTCATGAGCCACCGTGCCCAGCTTATATTTTATTTGTAAATATTTCGATATATATCTCTAGAACGTAGAAATTTAAATTAAAAAAAAATCAGCTGGGCGTGGTGGCTCATGCCTATAATCCTAGCACTGGGAGGCCAAGGCAGGTGAATCACCGGAGGTCAGGAGTTTGAGACCAGCCTAGCCAACATGGTGAAACCCTGTCTCCACTAAAAATACGAAAAATTAGCCAGGCGTGGTGGCGTGTGTCTGTAATCCCAGCTACTGGCGGTGGGGGGTGGGGGTGGGGGGCGGTGCTAAGGCAGGAGAATCACTTGAATCCGGGAGGCGGAGCTTGCAGTGAGCTGAGATCTCGCCACTGCACTCCAGCCTGGGTGACAGAGTGAGACTCTGTCTCAAACAAAAACAAAAACAAAAACAAATTTCATTGGCACACCTAAAAGTCAAAATCTTGTTTCTTAAAATTATATTTTAGTAGTGTTTAAGTTTCCCTGATTGTTCACAGGTGTGTGTGTGTGTGTTTTAACAGTTGGTTTATTCAAGTCATGATTCAAATAAGGTCTGTTTTGATTGATACGTATTTTAATCTATGGTTTCCTCCTCATTTTTTTTCTCTTACCTTATTTGTTGAAAACCTGGGTTGTTTGTACTTTAGAGTTTCTCTACAACCTAGATTTTTCTGACTGCTTGCTTGTGGTGTTAAGGTGTTCTTTTGTCCCACGTGTTTTCTATAAACTAGTAATTAGAGATTAGGTCTGATTCAGATTCCAATTTTTTGGTAAGAGTACATCATAAGTGGTGGTATGTACTTCCATGAGAAGGCAAATAATGTCAGGTTATCTCTCTTTGTGATTTAGTGGCCATTGATGGCCTGCAAAAATTTTGAAGTTTCAAGCCAGTCTTGACTAGACCTGAATTCCATTAATTAGTGAATTATTCTAATTATCATCACATCACAAGAAGCTCCTTGTATTGCGCTTCTAATTGGGTTACCAGTGATCAGCTTAAAAAATGTAAATTGGCCGGGTGCAGTGGCTTACACCTGTAATCACAGCACTTTGGGAGGCCGAGGTGGGAGGATCACCTGAGGTCAGGTGTTCGAGACCAGCCTGCCAAACATGGTGAAACCCTGTTTCTACCAAAAATAAAAAATTTAGCTGGGGCTGGTGGTGGACACCTGTAATCCCAGCTACTTGGGAGGCTGAGGCAGGAGAATCGCTTGTACCTGGGAGGTAGAGGTTGCAGTGAGCCGAGATTGCACCATTGCACTCCAGCCTGGGCAACAAGAGTGAAACTCCGTCTCAAAAAAAAAAAAAAGTAAATTGTGAATAAAATAGTTAACATAGGTTTAGTGTATTGACTGTTGCAAGGCTTGACAAGGTGCCTAATGTTGAGATTAGTAGTACCCTTCGTATGTAAATATTTTCCGTGATTGGCAGTGGAGTAAACTTTTTCTACTGTCATTTCATATCTTTACCATTAGCTCTTTTTTTTTTTTTTTTGAGACGGAGTCTTGCTCTGTCACCCAGGCTAGAAGACAGTGGCGCGATCTCGGCTCACTGCAAGCTCCACCTTCTGGGTTCATGCCATTCTCCTGCCTCAGCCTCCTGAGTAGCTGGGACTACAGGTGCCCGCCACCACACCTGGCTAATTTTTTTGTATTTTTTTAGTAGAGACGAGGTTTCACCGTGTTAGCCAGAATGGTCTCGATCTCCTGACCTTGTGATCCGCCCGCCTCGGCCTCCCAAAGTGTTGGGATTACAGTTGTGAGCTACCGCTCCCGGCCTCCATTAACTCTTAACTGAAGTTCCCTATATTAGTCTGTTTTTGTTGCTATAAAGGAATACGTGAGACTAGGTAATTTATAAAGAAAAGAGGTTTAATTGGCTCACAGTACTGCAGGCTATACAGGAAGCATGAGGCCAGCATCTGCTCATGGTGAGGGCCTCGGGAAGCTTACAGTCATGCAAAAGGCAAAGGGGAAGCAGGTGCATCACATAGAGCAGGAGAAAGAGAGAGAGGTGGGAGGTACCATACTCTTTTAAACAATCAGATCTCCTGTGAAGAGAAGAACTCACTCATTGCCATGGAAAGGACACCATGCCATTTATGAGGGAGCTGCCCTTGTAATCCACACATTTCCCACCAGGCCCCACTTCCAAAATTGGGGATCACATTTCAACATGAAATTTGGAGGGCACAAATATCCAAACCATATCATTCCCCTTATTTTGAAATATTGTTCAGAATTCCAGTTCAGTAATATGGTTTCTTATTCCCTAAGTCAACTGCCAGCCCTTGAGGTCCATTATGAAAGAAAACTTCAAAGGGAACGCTCCAAAGAAAACTAAAAAAAAAATAGTAACTTGGCGGTGCAAGGAGAAGAAAGAGACCTGCTTTATAAGAGATAGGAAGAGTGTCCATTCTAGCTACATCAGTTTTGGGCAGTCAACTGTGGGCAAATGATGTGCTTGTCTTAGAAAATGGAAGTGACATTGGGGCATTCATATGGAGATTGGGTTGATTGGCTGGCTTTTGTTGTGCTCTTTGAGGCCTAAGAGAAATTGGCCCTTCTAATTGAATGTGAATTTCACAGTGGGATGTATGGTTTTATGAACTGTTTTATTTATATGCGGGCATTTCAGGGGAGGCAGATTACTTTTTTTTTTTTTCCTGCTTCTTGGCAACATTTTTGCCAGGTTTCTTTTTTTAGTTAGTGATTTTTATTTTTTTTAAAGTTGGTTGGTCTAGCGATGAAATGTGACGTTAAAATGCCAAAACAGATTGTGTTTGGGTCCTGTGGATGCAGCTTCACTGTTTTGTAATTATTCCTCTTGTATTGATTTTCCTCCCCATGTTTAAATTGTTCCTCCTTGACAGTAGATAGCATGAAAAATGAGGTCAAAAGAATAACTCACCTCATTATAAATCACTAGGGGTAATGGAAAGTGATTCTGAAGGATGACCAGGATTCCTTCCATCTGTTAAGAATCATTTCACCTGTTGAAGAGTTCCTACAGCACAAGGACTCTAGTGGTGAGCCGCATCCATTCCAACTTCACAATTGCCGTACAGGGCTAGTATTAGGAGAATTTGACTGCTAGAACTCTAAGTGCTTAACAGGTATTTTTTAAAGCAGGCAACATCTTTATCATTGGCACCAGTTTTCAGTTGAGAGTGGAGACTGCCTTGCTTCAGCTCTGTGTGTGCTATAGCCAGTTCATGACAGAATCAGCAAGGCCCAGGGTTTTTGTTTTTTTTTTTTGTAATAAGGAAATAACTTTGAAAAATTAAAATTATAAATTTAATTTTTCTGCTCATTACCTAAATTATTGCAAGAAGATTATCTTCATTTTTCTTAATATCAAGATAAATGTTCTGTCCTGTCTCTATAATGCACTTCTGTAGTTTGAATGTTTATTTATTTATTTATTTATTTATGTTTGAGACAGAGTTTCCCTCTGTTGCCCAGGCTGGAGTGCAATGGCACGATCTTGGCTCACTGCAACTTCTGCCTACTGGGCTCAGGTGATTCTTGTGCCTCAGCCCCCTGAGTAGCTGGGACTACAGGCATGCACCATCATGCCCAGCTGATTATTGTATTGTTATTGGAGATGGGGTTTCGCCATGTTGATCAGGCTGGTCTGGAACTCCTGGACTCAAGTGATCCACCCATCTTGGCCTCCCAAAGTGCTGGGATTGCAGGCATGAGCCACCATATCCAGCCTGTAGTTTGAATCTTTAAACAGTCAAATGATCTGTTATTAATTTTGGGGGGCACATTTGTATTGAGCACTTCCTGGATGCCAGATGCTGTTGTATACTGGGATACAAACATGGCATACAACTGTGTCTTGCTCTCAGGCATCCCACAGTTACTGACAAACTCATAATTTTAAAGATCTATTCTGGTCTATATTGCTTGTACTTCATGTTGATTCCATTTCCTATTAATCTGTTCATAGTAAAAGTGGAGAAAAGGGTATTGATCATTATCTACACATTTACCTTTGTATGTTTTAAGATAATCAAGACCTTGTCATTAGCCTTCTCTAATAAGGATAAACATGTGCATTCTTTAATTTAGTTTCCAAATCATTAATCGTTTTGTCTATCTCTCCTGGGAATTTCTAGTTCCCTTTGGGTCCCCTGGCTCTGTGAGAAGAGACTGTAATGTCTTCAGCTCTGGGGACCACCACTAGGGTGAAAGACTATTATAGGACCACTTGAAAGTACAGAGTTGCAGGACTGTCAGATATGCGTTTGTTTTATTAGAAGATTATGAAGTTCCAGGATATTATAGCAAAAAGAACATTAGAGGACACCATTTGACCCACCTGTGCCATTTTATTTTATTCTATTTATTTATTTAGAGACAGAGTCTCCTGTTTGTTGCCCAGGCTGGAGTGCAGTGGTGCGATCTTGGCTCACTGCAGCCTCTGCCTTAGGGTTCAAGTGATTCTCCTGCCTCAGCCTCCCAAGTAGCTGGGACTACAGGCACACGCCACCATGCCCAGCTAATTTTTGTATTTTTAGTAGAGACGGGTTTCACCATATTGGCCAGGCTGGTCTCGAACTCCTGTCATCAAGTGATATGCCTGCCTTGGCCTCCCAAAGTGCTGGGATTACAGGTGTGAGCCACCATGCCTGGCCCATTTTATTAATACAAATGAGAAATATGAGGCCTAGAAAAAAGCTAAAGGAATACCTTAAGCATGGTACAGAAATAAGATATAATGAAATGTTCTATTTATCAAACTTCTGCTTGATATTCTTTTCTGTCTATGGAAATGTAGTTATTTGCAAATTATTAGTACTTTGAGAAGAAGCAAAATGTGCTCTAAATTCTTTTGAAGAACTTTTGAAGAAGGATGATACCTTATAGTTGTATTCCTCTTTCAAAAACTTCAAAGTAATAGAAACATCAGGGGTCATTATTCATGTTCCAAGATAACTAATCTAAGGATTCTATTAAGAATTGGTTTTACATTTGACTTATTCATCTCTATATGTATCTACTACTAAGCAACATGATAACATTGCAAGGTCTTACTCTGTCACCCAGGTAAGAGAGCAGCGGCTCAATCATGGCTCACTACAGCCTTGACTTCCTGGGCTCAAGCATTCCTCCTGCCTCATTTTTTAATTTTTTAATTAATTTATTTATTTTTATTTATTTATTTTTTTTGAGACGGAGTCTTGCTCTGTCACCCAGGCTGGAGTGCAGTGGCATGATCTCGGCTCACTGCAAGCTCCGCCTCCTGGGTTCACGCCATTCTCCTGTTTCAGCCTCCCGAGTAGCTGGGACTACAGGCGCCCGCCACCATGCTCGGCTAAGTTTTTGTATTTTTAGTAGAGACGGGGTTTCACTGTGTTAGCCAGGATGATCTCGATCTCCTGACCTCGTGATGGGCCCGCCTCGGCCTCCCAAAGTGCTGGGATTACAGGCGTGAGCCACGGCGCCCGGCCTCATTTTAAAATTTTTTGTAGAGATGTGGTCTCACTGTGTTGCCCAGGCAGGTCTTGAACTCCTGGGCTCAAGCAGTCCTTCCACCTCAGCCTCCCAAAGTGCTGGGATTGCAGGCATGAGCTACCGCACCCAGCCAGCAAAATTTTTTAAAACAAAAAACAATTAGTACAAATACCACCCTAACATATTAATTGGTTTTTTTTCCTTTGTTCTTCCTCAGGCTGTCTTAGCTTTTGCAAATATTTTAACATAGTTGAACTCATGGTATGTTAAAATTACCATAAGTACTGTGGCCAGCTTTAGTGGCTCATGCTTGTAATTCCAGCACCTTGGGATGCCAAGGCGAGAGGATCACTTGAGGCCAGGAGTTTGAGACCAGCCTGGGCATTTTTAGAGACAGGGAAATCCTAAGTCTAAAAAAAAAAGCCAATTGTGGTCGCCTGCAGTTGTGGCTACTCAGGAGGCTGAGGCAGGAAGATTGCTTGTGCCAGGGTGGTTGAGCCAAGATTACACCACTGCATTCCAGACTAGGCAACAGAGTGAGACAGTCTCTAAAAAAGAAAAAAAAAAAGTAATTTTTACTGAGTGCTGCTTTATACCAAGTGTTGCTATGCATTTTGCTTTTTAAAAATTATCTTTACATCAACAGCTCTACCAAATAGGTGGTTTATTCCACTTAATGATGAGGAAGAAGAATCAAAGAAGGTAATTTGTCCTAACCTAGGGATCACACGTCATGCTGGTATTTAAATTCACATCTGTCTGACTCAGAAGCTTTTAGTCTTCTACCTAGGTTGTGCTGGTTTTCTGAAATCCTGGCTCACCTCTCCATTTAGACCTCTTTATTTTTTTAAAAGCCTCTTAGCACCTGTAATGACAGCACTTTGGGAGGCTGAGGTGGGCGGATTGCTTGATCTTAGCCTGGGCAACATAGCAAAACCCCATCTCTACAAAAATACAAAAATTAGCTGGGCATGGTGGCATACCTCTGTAGTCCCAGCTACTCAGGAGGCTAAGGCGGGAGGATTACCTGAGCCTGGGAGTTTCGGGCTGCAATGAACTATGATTGCACCGCTGCACTCCAGCCTGGGTGACCGAGCAAGACCCTGTCCCTCCACTCCCGCCCCCCCACAAAAAAACCTCTTAGAGACATAGTTTTATAGAGATAGGATTCTTTTAGCATTCCATTACTACTGAGATTTTTATATTATCAGAATTCTGCACCTACTCAGTGTGAAGTAATAGCTAAAGCATTGTTTTCCTACCTCCTTCATGTCATGGTATACACAGAAGACGACATTTGTGTAAGACCCCTGGTAAACTAGAGAATATTTGCAAATTTGGTATAAAAATTCATTGTTGCTGGGTGTGGTGGCTCATGCCTGTAATCCCAGCACTTTGGGAGGCTGAGGCGGGCAGATCACTTGAGGTCAGGAGTCCGAGACCAGCTTGGCCAACATGGCGAAGCTCCGTCTCTACTAAAAATACAAAAATTAGCCAAGCATGGTGGCACATGCCTGTAATCCCAGCTACTCGGGAGGCTGAGGCAGGAGAATTGCTTGAACTGGGAGGCGGAGGTTGCAGTGAGCCAAGAACGCACCACTGCACTCCAGCCTGGGAGACAGAGCGAGACTCCATCTCAAAAAAAAAAAAAAAAAAAAAAAATCAGTTGTGTTTTCTTAATACAGTAATGATAACAAAATACATTAAAAATCAGACATTGAGCAACAGAATAAAAATGTATGAATATTAAATAAATAGACTAAGAAACTACAAAATTATGTTTTATTTAGGAACACCTAATAATACCAGATGTATTAATAATGATGATGTTGATTATAATGCTTTTGATGACAAACATACATTTAGAAATTGTGGTGCTATTAGAGCAAATTAAATAGAAAACTTCATTTACATATGGGTGCAAAACGTAGAACCTCACTGATTGTTAAACAATGTAGACTAAAATAAAAATATAGACTAAAATGATTCAACAGGAAGATCAAGAGAAGGGGCTATTTCATGGAGTCACTGTACTGTGCCATGTGCATAGTTTTATGTACCAAAACTATGGTACTTAAGTGGTTCCATATAGTGAAGTCATGTGCATAGTTTTCTGTACCAAAATTATAATTAGGAAGTTTATGTAGAGAACTATATGAATTAAATATAACTTTACCCATCCTGAATTTTTAGTTGGTTGCAAAACATTTTTAATACAATACAAAATTTTATTCAGAAGATCTTTACATTACACTACTTATAAGCCATTTTAGAACAATAAATGATTGGGAAGATCTGATATAAAGCCTTTTAGCTCTAACGTATTGATAGTAAGCATTCAGTAAATATTGAGTATTGTTATGTTTAGTTAGTAAAGCAAAGTGGTTAAGATTATGAGCTTTGGAATCAGACATAGTTGGTTTCTAATCCTGGTTTTGCTACTTACATAAGCTTTATGTAAGCTGTCTGTGCACAGTGCCTTATTCTTAGTAGGCATTTAGGTGATTTTCTTTTAGACTAAGATGAGGATAAAAATCTTTAGTGAGTCTTACCGTGACCTACCAGACACTGTATCATCTGATCCCCCATTAGCTCTCAGTACTTGTCTTTCCCTTGTTCAACCCATTCCAGTCACATTAGTGTCCTCCTTGTTTCTCAAAAACTCCAGTTGCTAGGAATAGATGCTTAAGGGCCTCACATCTGTTTTTCCTTCTGCCTGGAATGCTATTCCATCAGCTACACACATGGCTTGCAAATGTCACCTTTGTAGTGAAGCACTTCCAGGCCATGATATCTAAAAATTTCAGATGAACTTTCCTCACCTTCTCATTTTTTTAAATTGAGGTAAATTTTACATATAGTAAAATGCATAGAACTTAAATCTACAGTTTGATGGGTTTTGACAACGTATACAACCATGTAACCAATATGGTTTGGATATCTGTCCCCCGCAAATCTCATGTTGAGATGTAATCTGCAATGTTGGAGGTGGGACCTGGTGGGAAGTGTGTGGGTCATACGGGAGGGTCCCTCATGGTTTGGTGCTGTTCTCAAGATAGTGAGTGCAGTCTCAGGAGATCTGTTTTTTTTTTGTTTTTTTGTTTTTAGAGACGGAGTTTTGCTCTTGTTGCCCAAGCTGGAGTGCAGTGGTGTGATCTCAGCTCACTGCAACCTCCGCCTCCCAGGTTCAAGCGATTCTCCTGCCTCAGTTTCCCGAGTAGCTGGGATTATAGGCGCCTGCCACCACACCCGGCTAATTTTTTGTATTTTTAGTAGAAACAGGGTTTCACCATGTTGGCCAGGCTGATGTTGAACTCCTGACCTCAGGTGATCTGCCTCCCTCGGCCTCCCAAAGTGCTGGGATTACAGGTGTGAGCCACTGCGCCCGGCCAAGATCTGGTCATTTAAAAGTGTCTGGCACTGCCCCCCGCAACCTTGCTCCCATTCTCGCCCTGTGATGTGCTTGCTCCGCTTCGCCCTCCACTGTGAGTAAAAGCTCCCTGAGGCCTCCCCAGGAGCCAAGCAGATGTCAGTGCCATGCTTGTGCAGCCTGCAGAATTGTGAAACAATTAAATCTCTTTTTTTAATAAACTAGTCAGCCTCAGGTATTTCTTTATAGCAACACAAGAATAGCCTAATATGGTAACCATCACCCAAATCAAGAAATAGGACATTTTTGCCTCCTTTGAAAGTTCTACCCACCACCCCTTCATCCTCCCCCAGGCTACCACTGTTATAATTTCTATCATTCTAGAATTAGTGTTGGCTGTATTTTTCTTTTTTTTTTTCAAGAAATATTAACTATTCTTTATTTGATATATATAAGCCATATAAAATGCCTTTTAATAAGTTAAAAGAACCATTTTATTTTGAGATGGGGTCTTACTGTGTCACACAGGATGGGTTGCAATGGCAGGATCATGGCTCACTGCAACCTTGACTCCTGGGCCCAAGCCATCCTTCCACCTCAGCCTCCTGAGTAGCTACGACTACAGGAATGCACCACCATGCCTGGCTATTTTTAATTTTTGTACAGATGAGGTCTCTCTATGTGGTCCAACTTGTGGCCTCAAGCAATCCTCCCACTTCAGCCCCAAAAAAGTATTGTGATTACAGGCATGAGCCACTATGCCCAGCCAAGGAACCATTTTAGACACAGAGAATTCTAATTAAATTGACATAGTTAAGACCAGAAATATAAAGTAGACATTGTTACCTTATCTTTAGTCTTTGCCTTTAAGAGGCACGTGAACGCAGAACACAGGTGGGTCTTGCTTGGTTCTGAGACAGTGAAGACATTTCCCCAGTATTTAAATATATTCATATAGCTAGTTATATAAATCTAAATATAAAGCCAATCTCTAATAGGTTTTAAGATGGCATTCACCATCTTTGTGAAAAGTTGAACACTACGAATTAAGTCCAATCATAGTTTTAGAAGGGGGAAACAGTGATACCATTTACTGAATCAGAATTACTGTTAAAATTTTAAAAAACCCAAATGTATTCATTTAACCACAAGCGAGTCTTAATTAAATCAGGACTGCTCAACAAAAATATTCTGTGAGTTATTCATGATTTGAATTCTGATGTATATTAGAGAGCTATTAAATTATGTACACATAAAAAAGTCATGTGGTCAATTATTACTGATTATTAGCTTTTCTGAGATAAGCTATCAAGTCTGCCCTTTCTGCCTTCTTCTTAGTGCTGACAATGGTCATTTTTGTTCCAGGGATGTACTTCTTGGGATTCTGCAAATACTCCATCAGTGTCTCCTCTCCTCAGGTGATGCCTTTGTTCTCATTGGCGTCTGTGAGAGAATTCAGTGGCCTGACCTGTCTTCTGCATAAATAGACCATGGAGATTTGGCTCACTCTTGTACTTGCCTCGCTTTACCATGGTGTGGCATTGGGCACACTTTTTTTTTTTTTAAGACAAGTTCTGGCTCCATCATCCAGGCTGGAGTGCAGTGGCACGATCTTGGCTCACTGCAACCTCTGCCTCCTGGGCTCAAGCCATCCTCCCACCTCAGCCACCCGAGTAGCTGGGGCTACAGGCATGCACCACCATACCCGGCTAATTTTTGTATTTTTTATCAAGATGGGGTTTCACCATGTTGTCCAGGCTAGTCATGAACTGCTGGGCCCAAGTAATCTGCCCACCTCACCTCCCAAAGTACTGGGACTACAGGCGTAAACTACCATGCCCGGCCTTGGGCACACTTCTGAACAAAACTCTTCTTGCCTTTCTCAACATCACCCATATTTAATTCTGTCTCTCATCACTGGTACTACGAACTTCCTGTTCAGAAGCCGGACATCCCACTCTTTCAGTTTTAGCTGTTTTAAAAGGAATATAGAATATGTACCTTTTAAAGTTTGGTTTCTTCAACTGAACATAATGTTTTTGAGATTTATTCATTTTTCACGTATCCATAGTTTATTGTTTTTTATGGCTGAGTAGTATTCCATTGTGTGAGTATTCCAAAATTAGTTTATTCTTCTGATTATTGACATTTGAGTTATTTCCTTTTTTTTGCTATTATGAATAAAGATGATAAAGATGCTGTGAGTAGTCTACAAATCTTTTTGTAGACATATTGTTTTTATTTCTCTTGGGTAAATACCTGAGAATGAAATTGCTGGGTTATAGAGTATATAATTTTTTTTTTTTGAGATGGAGTCTTACTCTGTCACTAGGCTGGAGTGCAGTGGCACGATCTCAGCTCACTGCAACCTCCGCCTCCCGGGTTCAAGCGATTCTCCTGCCTCAGCCTCCCTAGTAGCTGGGATTACAGGCGCCTGCCACCACACCCAACTAATTTTTTGTACTTTTAGTAGAGGCAAGGTTTCACTATGTTGGCCAGGCTGGTCTCGAACTACTGACCTCAGGTGATCCACCTGCCTCAGCCTCCTAAAGTGCTGGGATTACAGGCATCAGCCATCGTGCCCGGCTGAGAATGTAAAATCTTAGCTTTATTAGCAACTTGCTGTTTTCTGATGTGGTTGTACCATTTTATACTACCCCTAGCAATGAATTAGAATTCTGTTTGCTCCACATCTTTGTTGATATCTGATATTGTCATTTTTTTTGAACACGAGTTCCATTTGCTCCACATCTTTTTTTTTTTTTTTTTTTTTTGAGATAGAGTCTCTCTCTGTCTCACTCTGCCACTCAGGCTGGAGTGCATTGGCTTGATCACGGCTCACTGCAGCCTCAATCTTCCAGGCTCATGCCTTTCTGCCACCTCAGCCTTCCAAATAGCTGGGACTACAGGTGTGCACCACCACACCCAGCTATTTTTTTTTTTTTTTTTTTTGTAGAGACAGAGTCCTGCTATGTTGCTCAGGCTGGTCTCAAACTCCTGGGCTCAAGCGATCCTCCTACTTTAGCCTCCCAAAGTGCTGGGATTACAGGCGTGAGCCACTGTGCCCAGCCTACATCTTTGTTGATATTTAATATTGTCAGTGCATTTTTTTCCTTTTCTTTTTAATATTAGCCATTGTTTGTATAGTGTTATTTCATTTTGGTTTTAATTTACACTTCTGCAATGACTAGTGATGTTCAGCACCTTTTCGCATATTTATTCATTATTTGGAGTGTGTGTGTGTGTGTGTGTCTGATTTCAGTCTTTTGTACATTAAATTTGCTTTTTGTTTTTTATTATTGATTTGTAGGCATTCTTGATGTTTTCTGGATATAAGTCCTTGGTCAGATAAATATATTATAGATATTTTACCCTGGTCTATGCCTTGTTTCTTTACGTTCTTGTTTTGTTTTGAATAAACTTTTTATTTAGAAGTGATTTAAGATTTACAAAAAAGTTGCAAAGATAGTTTAGAGAGAGAGTATTTGTATACCCTTCACCCAGCTTTCCTGAATGTTAACATTTTACATAAACATGGTGCGTTATTCAAAAGAAGTTTTTTTGTTGTTATGTTGATATTCTGGATGCCATTTCCTTCATTATAGTTTCTTTTTTTTTTTTTTTTTTTTTTGGAGACGGAGTATCGCTCTGTTGCCCTCTGCACTCTGCTGGAGTGCAGCGGCATGATCTCAGCTCACTGCAACCTCTGCCTCCCAGGTTCAAGTGATTCTCCTGCCTCAGCCTCCCGAGTAGCTGGGATTACAGGCACGTGCCACCACATCTGGCTAATTTTTGTATTTTTGTAGAGACTGGATTTCACCATGTTGGCCAGGCTGGTCTTGAACTCCTGACCTCAGGTGATCTACCCACCTCGGCCTCCCAAAGTGTTGGGATTATAGGCGTGAGCCACTGCGCCCAGCCCCTTCATTATATTTTCCAATCAGTTTTTCTTATATTATAAAAGTAATTTTTGGCCGGTTCCAGTGGCTCTTATCTGTAATCTTAGCACTTTGGGAAGCTGAAGTGGGTGGATTGCTTGAATCCAGGAGTTCAAGACCAGCCTGGGCAACAAAGCAAGACCCCATCTCTAGAAAAAATACAAAAATTAGCCAGGTATGGTGGTGCGTGCGGATAGTTCCAGCTACTCAGGAGTCCGAGGAGGGAAGATGGCTTGAGCCTGTGAGGCAGAGGCTGCAGTGAGCTGAGATCAACACTAAACTTCAGCCTGGGTGACAGAGTGAGACCCTGTCTCAAAAAAAAAAAATAAATAAAGCAATTTTGCCTGGACAAGGTGGCTCACACCTGTAATCTCAGCACTTTGGGAGGCTGGGCAACATAGAGAAACCCCATCTCTACAAAAAAACAAACAAAAAAATAGCTGGGCATGGTGGCATATGCCTGTGGTCCCAGCTACTTGGGAGGCTGAGGTAGGAGGACCACTTGGGCCTGGGAATTCAGGTCTATAGTGAACTGTGATTGTGCTGCTGCACTTCAGCCTGGGCAACAGAGTGAGACTCTGTCTCAAAATAAAAAAAAATAAAAAAGTAAAAAATAAAAGAAAAAAGAAAAGCAGTTTTTAAAAAGTAGTAGTAGTATTTATTTGATTTTCTTACTGAACTATGTTGTTGGCTTTCTCAAATTCTGGATTTTTCAGTTATATATTAGCATCTGTTAATCCTGATGATAATTTCTTTTTTTTTTGTAAGATGGAGTCTTGCTCTGTCACCCAGGCTGGAGTACACTGGCACTATCTTGGCTCGCAGCAACCTTCGCCTCCCTGGTTCAAGTGATTCTCATGCCTCAGCCTCCTGAGTAGCTGGGACTACAGGCGCACACCACCACGCCTGGCTAATTTTTTGTATTTTTGGTAGAGATGGGGTTTCACCATGTTGGCCAGGCTGGTCTTGAACTCCTGACCTCAAGTGATCCTCCCTCCTCAGCCTCCCAAAGTGCTGGGATTACAGGTGTGAGCCACCGCACCTGGCCACTGATAATTTCTTTTTGGTTTTGCCCCAAAGGTTTAAATCTTTGACACTATAAAGTTTTTAATTTTGATGGTGTCTAATTTCTCTAATTTTTCAGAGAAAAATTTGAGAATTTTGTTGCTTCTACTTTTAGTGTTGTATCTAAGAAACTATTGCCTCTTCCCAAGTCACAAAGATTTACACCTATGTTTTCTCTTAGAGTTGTGTAGTTTTAGCTCTTACACTTGGGTCTTTGATACATTTTGAGTTAATTTTTATATATGGTGTGAGCTAGGGGGGTCCATCTTTATTCTTTTGCATGTGGATATCCAGTTGTCCCAGCACCATTGTTGAAAAGACCCTTATGCCTTCCTTTTTTTATTGTCAGGTCTTCATTTTTAACCAGAACATTTAGAACACTATTAATAATTGTGACAGAAGATATCTTTGTTTTTTTTTTCCTTTAACGAGAATGTCACTAGTGTTTCTACTAGAAATATGATGTTTAGTTTCCAGTAGCTTCTTTGATTAAGGAATTTTCTTATTTCTAGTTTATGAAGGTTTAAAAAAATCCCCTTTTTATTGCAAAATTTAACACACAGAAAAGTGTACATAAAACACAAATGTATAACTTAATAGATTTTTGTAAAGCAGAGGTTTGAGTTACCACCACCTTGGTCAAGAAATAAAATATTATTTCTAATGGTCAAGAAATAAAATATTATTTCTAATGGTCAAGAAGGTATATTAATTTTTTGATACCCTTGATTATAAAACCGTTAATAACCCTGGGAAATTTAAAAGGATTATTGGGATGATGTCTCACATAGTATGCTTTAAAAGTGACAGTTATCAGCTGTAGCTTTAACTGAGGCACTGAGGCTGCCATTATTTTACATTTTCTCCTGAGCTTTATAACTATATATCCAACTGGATTCTCATTATCTTTCCTTGAAGGCTTTTAGGTACCTCAGACTCAACATATTTTATATGAACTGCTTCTCCTCTGTTTACTATCTCAGTAAAGGGCACCTCCCTTTACCCAGTCATTATGCCAGAAACCTAGGTAACATCTGTGATTCCTTGTTTTTCTTATTTGTTCAATAATGTTTATACAGCAGTTAACTATGTGCTAGATACCTAGCACTGTGAATATAGTAGGGAATAAAAGAGACATGGACCTCTCATGCTGGTCCTCTCATGAGGTTGTAGTCACCAAATCCTGTGGATCATACCTCCTATATGTTAATCAAATCCATCTGCTTTCATTTGTCTCTCTCTTTTTTTTTTTTTTTTTTTTTTGAGACGGAGTCTCACTCTGTCACCCAGGCTGGAGTGCAGTGGCGCAATCTCGGCTCACTTGCAACCTCCGCCTCCCAGGTTCAAGCAATTCTCCTGCCTCAGCCTCCTGAGTAGCTGGGGCTACAGGTGCATGCCGCCACGCCCAGCTAATTTTTTTGTAGTTTTAGTAGAGACAGGGTTTCACCATGTTGCCCAGGCTGGCCTCGAACTCCTAATCTCAGGCAGTCTGCCCGCCTGGTCTCGAACTCCTGAGCTCAGGCAATCCGCCCGCCTCTGCCTCCGCCTCCCAAAGTGCTAGGATTACAGGCGTGAGCCACCGTGCCCTGCCTCATCCACTTTAGTCCAAGTCATTGTCTCTCACCTGGGTTACAGAAACAGTCTGCTGAATGATTTCCATGCTTCTATTCTTCTTTCTCCAACTATTTTCTTCTTTTCTTTTTTTCTTTAGACAGAGGCTCGTTCTGTCGCCCAGGCCGAAGTGAGATGGTGCGATCTCAGCTCACTGCAACCTTCGCCTCCTGGGTTCAAGCGATTCTCATGCCTCAGCCTCCCGAGTAGCTGGGATTACAGGCATGTGCCACCACGCCCGGCTAATTTTTTGTATTTTTAGTAGAGATGGGCTTTCACCATGTTGGTCAGGCTGATTTCAAACTCCTGACCTCAAGTGATCTGCCTGCCTCGGCCTCCCAAAGTGCTAGGATTACAGGCGTGAGCCACTGCATCTGGCCTCTCAAACTATTTTCTATGCTTCAGCCAGGAAAACCTGAATATTTCACACCTTTCTTAAAATCTTTCAGTGGTTGTCATTGCCCTGTTCTCTAGTCTCACTTCTTGTTGTTCCCGTTTTTGAATTCTATGCTTCAGCCACACTGATCATTTTTCACTTTCTCAATTATGTCATTTTCTCATCTCCTAGTCTTAATACATTTCCTTCTCCTACTTCCACAATCCTTATTGTCTCTCTTCTTTGACTACCAATTTTACAGGTCTCAGGTTCAACATCAGTGCCTCTAAGGAGCCTCCCATGGCATAACCTATACTGTGTTTTCCCTTTATATCTTTTCCTTGTGTTTTTAAGAGATAGGGTTCTCACTATGTTGTGCAGTGGTGTAATCATAGCTCACTGTAACTTCAAACTGCTGGGCTCAAGGGATCCTCCCAAGTAGATAGGTCTACAGGTGTGTGCCACCATGCTCGAGTAATTTTTTAATCTTTATTTTGTAGAGACAAGGTCTCACGGTATTGCCCAGGCTGGTCTCAAATGCCTGGCCTCAAGCAGTCCTCCCCCTCAGACTCCCAAAATGCTGGCATGAGCCATGGCATCCCGCCCCCACTTTGTTTCTTATAGCTTACCTGTCATAACACTTGTCATATAGTCTTATAGTTTAATTTGTCATATATTCTTATGGTCAATACACTTTAGGCTCTGGGAAGGGAGGGAGTGTGCCTAACTTATTCACTGTTATGTTAATTGCATCTATGGCAGTATCTATTAAGTCTTAGGCATTGGGAATAAAGATTTGTTCAATGAATGAACTGAGCAGAGGAAGGGGGTGGTGGCAAGAAAAGAGCAGTGAGGTGTTCCAGTTGATAATTTAATAAGAATAATCAGAGTTGGAATAATCAGAATTTGTATTTCAAACCTTATAACTTCCTTTGCTTAAAAATATTTGATTTTCTTTCTTAATAATTCTTGTTTTAGGTTTTTTTTTATTAGTTAAACTTTGGTTGGTTAGGGCTTAACAGGGAATTAGGAATTTGATAGCATGTTCTTACATCTTTTAAAGACCAAGAGAACTAGAAGGAGAGCATAAACCAGGATTTTAGATGCTAAAAATATTACAGAATTTAGATCCTTGACCTTCAGGGAGTGTATCAATGTGAGGAGTGCAACTGTTAGGAATAAGTGCCTTGGATGTTGAAAGTTCTTGCAAAATTTAGACAATTTGCTGTGTCATAGGTATTGAATCAGCTGGAAGCAAACTGAAAGTATAAATTGAATGGATGGATAGAAACGTGAGTGGTAGTAAGAATAAAACAAACTAAATTTTAAAAACAGTTTAGGGATTGGTATGAAAATACAATCTTATATATAAAGATTGCATCCTTTTATAAGTTGTATGTGGATTAAATAAAATTAGTCTTAATCATTTATTTGATGTAAAAATTACCCTGGAAGTTGTTATTTGTAGTAAAGGAATATGGGAAGGATTATTAAAGTTTTTTCAATATAATATAAATATTAAATAATAGGATAGTGCACTAACCAGAGTTCATCAGAGACAATTTTTTTCAACCTTATACCTTTTTATTCTTTTTGAATGCTGGGAGGTGAATCTTTTACACCAAGCTTGTCCAACCTATGGCCCCTGAGGCCACGTGCGGCCCAGGACAGCTTTGAATGTGACCCAACACAAATTCATAAACTTTCTTAAAACATTATGAGATTTTTTTGGCTTTTTTGTTTTGTTTGTGCTCATCAGCCATCATTAGTATTAGTGTGTTTTATGTGTAGCCCAGGACGATTCTTCCAATGTGGCCCAAGGAAGCCAAAAGATTGGATACCCCTGTTAACACCATTTGGTGAGCTAAGACATGGTGTCATGAAAACAGTAACAACTAGCTGTTTAAGGCGGGATAATTATGGAATGAATACACTGGCTAATTAGTGTAGATGTTCTGAGAAGATAGAGGTTACTTTCAATTGGGAAAGGCATGGTTCCTGGCAGGTTGGGTATCTCGTAACTGCTTATTAAATAAACGGGTTGAATATTTTGGAGTAGTAATGTGAGAAGGGTAGTATCTTTTTTTTTTTTTCGCTCTGTCGCCCAGGCTGGAGTTCAGTGGCGTGATCTCGACTCACTGCAAGCTCCGCCTCCCGGGTTCATGCCATTCTCCTGCCTCAGCCTCCCTAGCAGCTGGGACTACAAGCGCCCGCCACCACGCCCGGCTAATTTTTTGTATTTTGTTAGTAGAGACGGGGTTTCACCGTGTTAGCCAGGATGGTCTCGATCTCCCGACACCATGATCCGCCCGCCTCGGCCTCCCAAAGTGCTGGGATTACAGGCGTGAGCCACCGTGCCCGGCGAGAAGGGTAGTATTTTAAGTGATTAATTTGATAAGACTGTGTTGGATGGATTGATTGGAGGAAGGAGGGATGAGTTAAGATGTACAGTAGCTTATTAGCCTCTAGGGCAATAGTGAAAGGCATCTAAGAGAACAGTAAAGTAAGATGTGAATAGGCATTTAAGAAAAATAAAGGATGTTGAGACTTACTGATTATGGGGAGCAGGAGAAAGAAAGGTCAAAGACAGGTGTTTTTTTTTTTTTTTTTTTTTTTTTTTGAGACGGAGTCTCGCTGTTGCCCAGGCTGGAGTGCAGTGGCGCGATCTCGGCTCACTGCAGGCTCCGCCCCCGGGTTCACGCCATTCTCCTGCCTCAGCCTCCCGAGTAGCTGGGACTACAGGCGCCCGCCACCTCGCCCGGCTAATTTTTTGTATTTTTAGTAGAGACGGGGTTTCACCGTGTTAGCCAGGATGATCTCGATCTCCTGACCTCGTGATCCGCCCGCCTCAGCCTCCCAAAGTACTGGGATTACAGGCGTGAGCCACCGCGCCCAGCCAAAGACAGTTTTAAGATTTTGAGAATACTGATATTTCACAAATATTTATTAAGCATCCGTTCTGTGCTCTCTTCTTCTTTTCCTTAAAATGCCTCAAGTTGTCTTCATTCTTTTTTTTTTTTTTTTTTTTTGGTCTTTATTCTTAAAAATGGCCACCAAAAGAACTTTCTTTCAGTCTTACCTGTCTTGCAAACCACTGACCCATCTCTTTCCTTTCTCTTCAAATTCTCCTTAAGGAGTAGTGTAAACCCACTCTGCTACTTTGCTCCATTATGCTGAAACTGCTTTCTCAAAGGTCATCGCAGACTTCCTAAATGCCACGCCTTATCATCCTTCTAATTCTTTTTTTGTTGTTGTTTTGGGACAGAGTCTTGCTCTGTCACCTAGGTTGGAGTGCAATGGTGCGTTCTCAGCTTACTGCAACCTCTGCCTCTCAAGTTCAAGCGATTCTCCTGCCTCAGCCTCCTGAGTAGCTGGGATTACAGGCATGTGCCACCACGCCCGGCTAATTTTTGTATTTTTAGTAGAGATGGGGTTTCACCATGTTGGCCAGGCTGGTCTCCAACTCCTGACCTGGTGATCCGCCCACCTCGGCTTCCCAAAGTGCTGGGATTATAGGCATGAGCCATCGCGCCCGGCCATTTTTCTAGTTCTTATCCTTTTGGAGCATTTTATAACGTTTTATCTACTTGATCTCCATATGAATTAAAACGCTTATTCTTTGGCTTCCAAAACAATGCTTTTTTTCCCCTCAGATCCTCTTCTTACCTCCTGAATCACTCTTCTGCTCACGATTCCTCTTCCATTGCCCACTCTTTGCCCAGATTTCTACCCCAACCCACTTTCTCTATATTCTTTCGTCTTTGTAACCTTACCCACTCCCATGGCCTCATCCCTCATTATGTACTAATGATGTCGAGATCTGTCTGACCCTGACCTGTTTAGACTTGACTTTTTTCCTGGACTCAAGATATGCATTTCCAGCTGCCCATTAGACATCTTGATGTAGATGTCTTACAGGTTTCTCTCGGTCTCAGTATTTCCAGAGCAAAATTGTTCTCATCCTATCACAAAATTTGTTGCTCCTCCTGTTTTCTCTTCTTGAAAAGAAATATCATCAGCCACTCAGTCATTTAAGTCATTGATTCCCAATTGACTGCATGAGAATCACCTGGGGGCACATGTTAACAATAGAGGCTGCTGAACTGTATCCTCCAAAGAGCCTGATTCATTAGGTCTATGGTAGGACCCAGGAATCTTTTATTCTGATGCTTATCCAAGTTTGGAAATCACTGATGAAAACTGATTTGCTCCCTCCGTCCCCATCTCCACCGTCTACTGAGTTACCAGGACTTGTCAGTTCTATCTGTGTAATGTCTCATAACTCTGTCTTCTTGTCTCCATTTACACTGCTAGTATTCTAGTTGAGACTGTCATCTTTATGGGAACTTGTAGGTACATAGTAGGTATTTTTAAAATTCTTGTTGAATAAATGAATGCATGATTGCCATAGTCTGCCATAGGTCTATTTTTTCCCCTAATTTCACATCTTTACAGTCTATTTCTAATAGTACCTTGTTATTTTTAAAATACCAATCTAATGATATAACTTTTCTTTAAAAAACAATCCATCATTGGCTTTCGAGCTTGGTTATACATCAGAATACTCATTAAATGCAGATTCTGTCTGTTTAAGAATGAGGACAATTAAAGAAAAATACAGATGCCTGAGCCCCAACTCTGGAAATTTCAATTTAGTAGATCTGGAGTACAGCACAGGAATCTGTATTTTTACCAGGTATCCCAGAGATTCTGATGCAATTTTGCATTTTGAAGCCATTCACATGCAGAGTAAAAACGCATATAAAATGCTTTCAACCTGTCTTACCAGTTTTTTTCCCTACCATTCCTCAACCTCATTCACATACCTTCTCATTTGTTATTTGCCATCTCCTGAGCACTCCATGAACTTTTTGTTCATACCGTTCTCTTTGCTTAACTGCTCCTGCTCCCCTTCTATGCCTCGTAAAACCCTCCTAATCACTTCAAGGCTTGGCTCAGGTGTCACCTCCTCTGTGAAGTTCTACCCTGTCAGGATTTATTCATCCTTCCTTCTTGTTCTCATGATACGTTGTTGCTGGTTTAGCAAACCACAGGTGATATTATCTTACACAAACAACAAGTTGTTCTGTGGCAGGCAGAAGACTCAGGAGGTGAAGGAGTTTCATTATTTACCTAGAGTTTCCAGCCCAGGGCTGCTGTTGCCCTAGTGGAGAGTTTTATAAAATGGTTTTGATATGACCTGTGAGTAAAGAAGAAAATGTGTTTGAAACAATTTCTGTGAACATGATTTGAACTTTGGGTTATTGTATTTGTTTCTTATCCATTTTAGAGTGAATGTTCAAGCTGTATACCCACCTCTTCCCCTGAGAGTAGAGCCCTGAAGCTTTATATTCTCAACACCCCCCCCATTCCTTGGCTCTGTCTTCTCAGTGTCAATAGATACCTTCTCTCTTCTTCGCTGTTGCCTGCTTTGGTTACAGATTCCAGAGCTTTTCCTGACTTTTCTGGTAAATTATTACTCTGAACTTGAGTGTATCCCTTTGAAGATCTCCTGTGCTTGTACCAAACAAATGATTGTGTATATGCCTTTTGAATTCTTCATATTTGAGTCATGCTCTGTTCTAACACTTGAAGTATTAAAATCTCAAGTATCTATAGTGTAGTCTTTGAAAGTCACTGTCTTTTGATCAAGTGTTCATGCGGTTGTTAGGGTAATTAATTGGATTGCACTGATAGTGCTAGAATTTATAAAGCAATTACTTCCTTTACTAATGACTACCCACGTTCTCTTTCTTATTCATAGATGCTCTCTCTTATTGACGTGTACATAAATTGTATCTCAATAGCATTCCGGGATTTTTATACATATACATTTCTCATATAAATGTGTCTGTATTCCCTTGCACACACACATTCCATACATACATATGTGTACATACATACGTACTTTTCAGATTATTGAAATCCCCAAAGGACCTCAAGGTTATTTGGAATTATTCAGTGTAAGAACAATAACTCTATTTCTTCTCTGAATTTCAGTGGGGGCAAGAGTCCCTAGTGATTATCTATCTTACCCTTAGAGAAAAAGGAAGAAAAGGGAAAGAAAAAAAAGGACCTTTTGGTTTGACCTGATCTAGATATCTGAGTATTTTTCCTTTGTATTGATGAGCGTGGGAGTGGTTTTGATGAGCTTTGGGGTGTGTGTGTGTGTGTGTGTGTGTGTGTGTGTGTGTGTGTATCATCCCTCAACTGCCTCCTCCAGCCTAGGCCAAGACTACTCATGGAGCAGTCCTTTCTAGACAGGTAACTGCTCATCCTGGCTTTCAATTATGACATAGGAAAATTTCCATCAGTGTTTTTCCTAAGCTAATAGGGACCCACATCTAGCTACTGGCATATTCAACTCTAAGAGCTTTTAGACCAGCTTGAAGACTGTCCAAGAAGGAAAGTCAGTATTGCATTTTCCATGGCTTCTGGGAATGGCCTAAGGAAAGGATATCTACAAATAATTCCAAATCCTTCCTTTATGGTATCTGTTAATACGTAGCATGTTAATATTAGAATTTTACCTTTGTCCTTTCTCCTAACCTTCTCATGGACTAGTGAGTAGCATAAAGTCCAGAATTATTAGGGCAACAGTAAGTTAGTAAGAGAAACAAAGGGCTGGAAGGATCTGTAAACCAACAATTGTAGAACAATTGACCCAACCATTCCATTAGTGGGTGTATACCCAAAGGATTATAAATCATGCTGCTGTAAAGACACATGCACGCGTATGTTTATTGCAGCACTATTCACAATAGCAAAGACGTGGAACCAACCCAAATGTCCAACAATGATAGACTGGATTAAGAAAATGTGGCACATATACACCATGGAATACTATGCAGCCATAAAAAATGATGAGTTCATGTCCTTTGTAGGGACATGGATGAAGCTGGAAACCATCATTCTGAGCAAACTGTGGCAAGGACAAAAAACCAAACATCGCATGTTCTCCCTCATAGGTGGGAATTGAACAATGAGAACACTTGGACACTGGAAGGGGGACATCACACACTGGGGCCTGTTGTGGAGTGGGGGGAGGGGGGAGGGATAGCATTAGGAGATATACCTAATGGAAATGATGAGTTAATGGGTGCAGTACGCCAACATGGCACATGTATACATATGTAACAAACCTGCACGTTGTGCACATGTACCCTAGAACTTAAAGTATAATAAAAAAAATATATATATAAAAGAAAAAGAAAAAAACCCACTTTATTTAAAAAATAAAAATAAAAAGGCAAAAAAAAAAAAGAAACAAATCTCCAACTTGGAAAGTTTGGAAAACAAAGCACCTTAAGTTAGAGGAAATGAATTTCTTTGAGAGCTTTAAAAAAATTGACTGTGGCTGGGCATGGTGGCTCACGCTTGTAATCCCAGCACTTTGGGAGGCTGAGGGGGGTGGATCATTTGAAGCCAGGAGTTCAAGACCAGCCTGGGCAACATGGCAAAACCCTGTCTCTACTAAAAATAAAAAAATTAGCCAGGCTGGTGGCATGCACCTGTAATCCTAGCTGCTCGGGAGGCTGAGGCAGGAGAATATCTTGAACCCTGGAGCCAGAGGTTACAGTGAGCCAAGACTGTGGCACTGCCCTCCAGCCTGGGGGACAGAGTAAGACTCTGTCTCAAAAAAAAAAAAAAGGTTGACTGTGAGATGTGTATATAAAATCCAAGAGTACTTTGTAATATTATTATTTAATAGTGATATCAATAAAGTTTAAATCTTGTTGATCCATCAAATTTTTTAGACTGGTTTCATTATGTAGAGATAGTTATAGAACAAAAAGAAATTGTCATCATATTCTCTTCATCCAGGACAAGTAACTAAAAAATTTCAAGTCAATTAAGTTTGCAATTGTTCATGTTTTAAGAACTGCATAGTCTAACTGCCTTAGGGTTTGGAATTTTGATATGAGGAAGCCCTAATGCTTTTTACAATCCCATCTTATTAAATTAAGAAGTCTTATGAGATATTGTTTAACTGTGCCCAGCTGACCAACTTCATATAAGGTTTATGAAAGTCAGCTTAAGAGATAGACCATTAGCAATACAGTTGAATATATCTTCATATTTTTTACTTCATAGGAATGTATCCCTAAATATTTTATAATATTGTCTTACATTTTTATGATCTATAAATGACATCATATTCTATGTATCCTTTTGCTATGTGCTTTTTAAAATTTCCCATATGGCCAGGTTTGGTGGCTCATGCTTGTAATCCCAGCGCTTTGGGAGGCTGAGGCAGGGAGATCACTTGAGATCAGGAGTTAAAGACCAGCCTGGCCAACATGGCTAAACTCTGTCTCTATTAAAAATACAAAAATTAACTGGGTGTGGGGGCACACGCCTGTAATCACAGCTATTCGGGAGGCTGAGGCACAAGGATTGCTTGAACCCAGGAGGTGGAGGTTGCAGTGAGCCAAGATCCCACCCTTGCACTCCAGCCTGGGCAACAGAATAAGACTGTGTCTCAAAAAAAAAGAAAAAGATATAATCTAAATTATATTTGTTAAGATGTATCTCTTTTGATATACACAGCACCTATTCATTTATCTTCACATTGATACATATAACAATAATTTATTTTTTACATTGTTGTGTGGTAGCCCAGTGTATGATTATACCAAAATTTATTTCTTTTCTTACTGATGGACATGTAAGTTGTTTCTAGGATGTTGTTGCTTGTTTGCTTTTCTTTTGTTTGCCTTTGATACATAATGTTGAAATAAAAATCCAAACCACAAAGTGATATTACTTCACACCCACTAGGATGGCTTTAATAAAAAGACGGACAATAACAAATATTGGTGAGGGCATGAAAAAATTGGAGCCTCATACATTGCTGATGGGATTGTAAAATGGTACAACCACTTTGGTACACAGTCTAGCAGTTCTTCAAAATGTTAAGCATAAGAATTAACATTTGACCCATGAGTTCTGCTCCCAGGTATATATTCAAAATAATTAAAAACATATGCCCACATAACAACTTGTACATCATTGTTCACGGCAGCATTATTCACAATAACCAAAAGGTGGAAGCAGCCCAAATGTCCATCAACTGATGAACGAATATGCAAAATGTAGTATAGCTATAAAATGAAATATTATTCAGCCATAAAAAGGAATTGAAGTACTGATATATGCTACAACTTGGATAGACCATGAAAACATTACGCGAAGTGAAAGAAGTCAGACACAATAGGCTACATATTATATGATTTCACTTATATGAACTGTCTAGAAAAGACAAATCCACAGAAATAGAAAGTAAATTAATAGTTGCTAAGGGCTTGGGGGAAGGGGTGAGTGGAAAGTGATTGCTAATGGAACAGGGTTTCTCTTTGGAGAGATGAAAATGTCCTGAAATTGCATAGGATGATGGTTGCACAATTCTATGAATGTATTAAAAACCATTGAATTGTACACTTTCAGAAGGTGAATTTTATGGTATGTTGATTACATCTCAATGAAGATGTTATAAAAGACAATTAAAAAATTTATAGTGCTACTGTGAGCATTCTTGTACATGGTTTCATGTGTAAATGTGTTAGAATTTTCCTAGGGTTTATGTGAAAGATTAAACATTTGTGCATCTTCACTGGGTAAGTGATGTTCAAAGTGACTGGCTATGCCAGTGTACACTTCCTCCAACTGTGTAGGAAAGCTCTACATTTCCACTTACAATTGCTGTTGTCATATTTTTATATCACTAATTTCTCAGATTAAAACTGATAATAATTCTTTAATTGATTATTCTCAAACAATGCCAAGAGTGTGATGCTATTTGCAAATGGCTCTTGATTATTGCTGCTTGGATTTCCTGGTGATGAGCTGCAAAATATCAAGGCCCAAGTGATGTATTGGTTTATATTTGGGGTTTGTGCATGACCAACTTCATATAAGGTTTATGAAAATCAGGGAAAGATTGGGCAGATCTGTTACAGAAAATCTTCCTTAGCATCTCAGAAAATTACATCTGAACAATTTATGCTTAGACTGTTCAGTTTGCATATTATTTAGACTGTTTACATCTTTTACCATCCCTCTCAGTAGTTTCTTCTTCATGCAGCAGTTCTTTTTTCCCAGTGGCTTCTTCTTAGTTGAGGAAGTGTTGTGTTCTGTACTAGATGTTTTAAAAAGAAATATCTAAATTCAACTTCAGATTCAACATCTGGAAAAAAGAAGCTCATTCAAATAGCACCAGCAAACACCATAAAAATCTTGACATAAACTCATTACTAAAATAAAAACATTCATTTTAGTTGTTTCTCGAGTTTTTTAGGGTATTAAAATCTATTGGAAATTGTCCTAGAGTCTTTGGGGGCTGAGATCAGTATAGAATAATACAGCTGGAAGCTACCCTAGTGATCATAGAGCTCAACCCTCTCATTTTTACAGATCAAAAAACCTGAGGTTCAGGAAGGTGAAGTGAGTTGTGCAAGGGCTCACAGCTAAATCTATTTCAATCATACAATAACTGTCACATTTTCCTTTGTCATATTATTATGGATTAAATGTTTAGTCCAAGAGGGTTTTTTTGTGTTTTTGTGTTTTGTTTTGTTTTGCTTTTTTAGTAAGGATTTTATTCAAAAGGTTTACTGCAAGGGATGAAGGGACAATTATAATAAGGAGACTGCTGTAACCATAAGATTTGCAAGTGCCTCAAGAGCTATTTTTCTTTTTTCTTTTTTTTTTTTGAGACGGAGTCTTGCTCTGTCACCCAGGCTGGAGTGCAGTGGCACGATCTTGGCTCACTGCAAGCTCCACCTCCCGGGTTCACACCATTCTCCTGCCTCAGCCTCCCTAGTAGCTGGGACTACAGGCGCCCGCCACCATGCCCGGCTAATTTTTTGTGTTTTCGGTAGAGACGGGGTTTCACCGTGTTAGCCAGGATAGTCTCAATCTCCTGACCTCATGATCCACCCGACCTCCCAAAGTACTGGGATTACAGGCGTGAGCCACCGCACCCAGCCACTCAAGAGCTATTTTTCTATAGTAAAAAATACATGGCTAACTTCAGAATGTAAATGTAAATTTGAATACTTATGATGGGTTTCTGTGTATTTATTTGTTTATTTTTATTTATTTATTTTTTGAGACGAAGTCTTGCTCTGTCACCCAGGCTAGAGTGCAGTGGCGCAATCTTGGCTCACTGCAGCCTCCGCCTTCTGGGTTCACACTATTCTCCTGCCTCAGCCTCCCAAGTAGCTGGGACTACAGGTGCCCGCCACTGTGCCCAGCTAATTTTTTGTATTTTTAGTAGAGACGGTGTTTCACCGGGGTCTCGATCTCCTGACCTCGTGATCCACCTGCCTCGGCCTCCCAAAGTGCTGGGATTACAGGCGTGAGCCACGGCGCCTGGCCTGGGTTTCTGTGTATTTAATATGTTCTGTTGACTTTCTTTGACATTTGGCAAATTTAAGGCACTAAATAATAGTGAAAGAGCTGAAGTACTATTGTATTTAACACTTTGACAGAGGTTTTGTTGTTTTTTTTTTCTCCCGTGGGTAGTATATTTATCCTACTGTTGTTTGATTTTTATAATATGCTAGTCTTCATGAAGGCCATTTTCATGAGAATATATTTAGGTATATTTTCGCCTAAGGACTTTGCCAAACTGCAATTAAAATAATGGAATTACACAACTTTTCATGGCATCCTATTCTTTTACAGAGAGGAATGGAGAAGTGAAATAAAAATAAGTTAGGTGATAAGAACATTTTAGAAGAGCTTTTGTTCATTGCTAGTCCTAACTTAGTCTAGTGACTAAGAAGATGCAACTATTGATGTTTATATTTGCATGCAGTTATTGATTTTGTGTCAGAAAGCCTTCTGGTACTTGCTGTGGTCTTTCCAATGCTGTTAAGCTGGAAGAATGACTTTGCTCTTGGCCTTTACTATAGCCTTTGAAAACAAAGTATTAACATTATTTTAAGCCTTTGAGTTTTTGCCATTCAGCCTTAAGTTGGCATACTCTGTCAACAACGTCAGTGTGGCATATTAACAAGACTAACTGCTCCAGAAAATAGGCTGGGCTACTACCAGTTATGTAGAAGGTTTCATTGAGTTCTAAAATTTCAGAGCAAGAAAGGTGAAACTTAGTCTCAAAAAGATATGGGGATCATCTCTGCTTAGTCTTAATTAAGTGAAGACTTTGGCACCCTGAAAGCCTAAGGAGTGAGGTCTCTGTTGGTATACTGCTATTTCAGGTTCATTTGAATTAATCTCTGAGGTTGTTAACTAGATAGCTGTAACTCCAAAAAGACAACTTAAATGTGCCGGCTAGCTATTTGGCTACTCCTTAAACTTGGCTTCATTTTAATGTTTCGATGGTACAAGATTTTTTTTTTTCCTGATTCCGGTAAGGTAGAAAAGGATTATTTAATGATTTATTAAAAGGCCAGTCATTAGACTGTTCAAAAACAAACTCCCTATTTGATCCGTTTCTGCCTATCCCTTCAGATTTGACTGTTGTGATCTTCTAGGTCACATTCTACTGGGTGAGAAGGCAGTTTTCTATAATAGATGCACTAGAAGTTTAATCTAGTGTCGTAGGGTAATTCTGAATAGCAGATTTGGGAAGATAGGAGTGTTGTCACTTTACCTTTAAAGCAAGTCTTTGAATTGCCCTGTGTCACACAGTAAGAATATATGCAAATTAGTTGTGGGATTAACACATAGTTATGGGATAGACTAGCCATTGTTTAAAAGCAGAATAATTCTAAGGTAAATGAAATTTCAGAAAAAAAATTATATAAATTTAATTTGAATCAATACAAAATAGTTTTTCAAACCATCATTTGGAATATAATAGGTATACATTTAAGAATGTAATGGGAAAGAGGATCCTGTTCATAGAAGCAGCAAAAAAAAAAAAAAAGAGAAAAAATCACAAAATCCTTAGGAATAATTGCCCAGGAAGAAATATATAAGACTTTTCTTTTTTTGAGCTGGAGTCTCACTCTGTCACCGAGGCTGAAGGGCAGTGGCACAATCTTGGCTCACTGCAAGCTCTGCCTCCTGAGTTCAAGCGATTCTTCTGCCTCAGCCTCCTGAGTAGCTGGGACTGCAGGCGCACGCCACCACTAATTTTTGTATTTTAGTAGAGACGAGGCTAATTTTTGTATTTTTAGTAGAGATGAGGTTTCACCATGTTGGCCAGGCTGGTCTTGAACTCCTGACCTCAAGTGATCCACCCACCTTGGCCTCCCAAAGTGCTGGGATTACAGGTGTGAGCCACCACGCCCAGCCTATAAAACTTGTAGGAAGAAAATATAATACTTTATTATAAAGAACATGAAAGAAGGCCTAAATAAGTGGAGCTACTGATAGAAATAGTATTGTATCATCTCTCTTTCTTAATATTGATCTAGTAGTACTACAATAGTAACTACCTCATAGAATTGTTAGAATTAATATATGAAAGATCTTAAAACAGTTTCTGACACTTAGTAGGCTCCATAGTGTTTGCTATTATTGTTTTTATTATAAAATCCATGTAACTCTAGTCAAAATTTCCATGGAAAAATTTGGCAAGCTCATCCTGAATTTCATCTGAAAGAATTAATATGCAGAAATAGTCAAGTAAATCCCTCAAAATTCAATGAGGTGAGTCTTGACCTACCAGATGTCAAAATATAGTTAAGTAATTAAAATGCTATAGTATTGATAGAGGAATAGATAAACAGATAAATGAAAGAAATAGAGACTCCAGAAACAGACTCAATTACAGATAGGAATTTAATTTTGATAATGGTGACATTTCAAATTAATGGGGTAAAAATTGTGTTAGGAAAGTTGGCTCTCTACTTGGGGAAAAAAATTATACCCCCTAACTCTCACCATCTGAAAAGTAAGTTCCAAGGAATCAAATAGTTAATATAATTTTTAGAAGGAAATATAGGTGAATATTTTTATAACTAGGAAGCAAGGAAGAGGTGGGAGGGAGAAGACTTCCTGAGTAAAATGAAACTCAGAACTTTTCTATGACAAAAAACATCCTAAAAAAAGTTGAAAAACAAATGACAGACCAGGAAAAAGATTTTGTGATCAAGGATTAATATCCAGAGTAATGAACTCTTTATATAAACAATTTAAAAAATTTAACCGGCCGGGCGCGGTGGCTCATGCCTGTAATCCCAGCACTTTGGGAGGCTGAGGCGGGTGGATCACAAGGTCAGGAGATCGAGACCATCCTGGCTAACACGGTGAAACCCCGTCTCTACTAAAAATACAAAAAATTAGCCGGGTGTGGTGGCAGGCGCCTGTGGTCCCAGCTACTCGGGAGGCTGAGGCAGAACTGCGTGAACCCGGGAGGTGGAGCTTGCAGTGAGCCGAGATTGTGCCACTGCACAATGGGAAGTAGTTAAGTAATAAACATATGAGATAATATCCACATGGAAGGCCGGGCGAGGTGGCTAATCCCAGCACTTTGGGAGGCCAAGGCGGGAAATCACGAGGTCAGGAGTTCGAGACCAGCCTGGCCAACATAGTGAAACCCTGTCTCTACTAAAAATACAAAAATTAGCTGGGCATGGTGGTGCACGCTTGCAGTCCCAGCTACTCGGGAGGCTGAGGCAGGAGAATTGCTTGAGCCTGGGAGGCGGAGGTTGCAGTGAGCCAAGATCGCTCCACTGCACTCCAGTCTGGGCGACAGAGCGGGACTCTGTCTCAAAAAAAAAAAAAAAAAAAATCCACATGGAATTGCAAGGGACCCAGAATAGCCAAGACAATCCTGAAAAGAAGAACAAAGTAGGAAGACTCACACTTCCTGATTTTAAAACTTACTACAAAGCAATGGTAACCAAGACAGTGTGGTATCAGCACAAAGGTAGACAAGTACATCAATGGAATAGAATTGAGATTGTAGAAATCCGTGCAACTATGGTCAACTGATATATGACAAAGGTAAGACCATTCACTGGGGAAGGAATAGTGTTTTCAACAAATGGTACAGGGGGCAGCTGGATAACATGCAAAAGAATGAAGTTGGAGTCTTACCTCACACCATACAAAAGTTAAAATAGATCAAAGACCTAAATGTAAAAGCTAAAGCTATAAATCTCTTAGATGAAAACATAGCAGTAATGTTTTCCATGACCTCGGATTGATTAATTGATTGAATTTAATGATGAGCTATCAAATTGGATCCATGACCTCGGATTTAGCAAAAGGTTCTTAGATATGTCACCATAGCATGAGCAACAAAAGAAAAAATAATTTGAATTCATAAAAATTAAAAGCTTTATTTATTTATTTTTAAGAGGAAGGGTCTCACTCTGTTGCCCAGGCTGGAGTGCAGTGGTGCGATCATGGCCCACTGTAACCTCAAACTCCTGGGCTCTAGTGATCTTCCAACCTTAACCTCCCAAGTAACAAGGACTGCAGGTGTGTGACATCACATCCAGCTTTTTTTTTTTTTTTTTCATATGGGTTTTGCTATGGAGCCCAGGCTGGTCTCAACATCTTGGCCTCAACTGATCCTCCCACCTCAGCCTCCCAAAGTGTTGGGATTATGGGCATGAGCCACCACCACTCCTGGCCTAAAAGCTTAAAATACTTGACACTATCGAGAAAGCAGGTAGATCACTTGAGTCCTGGAGTTCAAGACCAGCTTGGGGCACTATAGCAGGACAACATCTCTACAAACAATTTGAAAAATTAGCCAGGCATAGTGGCACACACCTGTAGTCCCAGCTGCTGGAGAGGTTCAGGTGGGAGGATCATTTGGACCTGGAAGCATCGCTTGCAGTGAGCTGAGATCGTGCCACCGCACTGCAGGCTGGGTAACAGAGTAAGACCTTGTCCCCCAAAAAAAGAAAGTGATAAGACAACCCACAGAGTGAGAGATATTTGCAAATTATATATCTTGTAAGTGACTTGTATCTAGAATATATAAAGAACTTTAATAATAAATAAATAACTTAATAATAAGAAAAAATATCTCAATTAAAAAATGGACAAATAATCTAAATAGACATGCCTCTAAGGAAGATACACAAATGACCAATAAGCACCTGAAAAGATATTCAACATCAATTGTCATCAGGGAAATGCAATGAAAACCGTAATGAGATACCACTTTGTACCCACTAGGATGACTAGAACCAAAAAGTCAAATAATGACAAGTATTGGTGAGGGTGTGGTGAAATTGGAGCTCTCATATACTGCTGGTAAAAATGTAAGATGGGGCAGCCGCTGAAAAACAGTCTGGCAGTTCCTCAAACAATTAAGCATAGAGTTACCATATGATCCAGCAATTCTACTCCCATAAATGAAAACATATGTCCATACCAGCAATTCTACTCAGGTGTATTGAAGATAAATGAATTATCTTCAGGTGTACTGAAGATAAATGAATTATCTTCAGGTGTACTGAAGATAAATGAATTATCTTCAGGTGTACTGAAGATAAATGAATTATCTTCAGGTGTACTGAAGATAAATGAATTATCTTCAGGTGTACTGAAGATAAATGAATTATCTTCAGGTGTACTGAAGATAAATGAATTATCTTCAGGTGTACTGAAGATAAATGAATTATCTTCAGGTGTACTGAAGATAAATGAATTATCTTCAGGTGTACTGAAGATAAATGAATTATCTTCAGGTGTACTGAAGATAAATGAATTATCTTCAGGTGTACTGAAGATAAATGAATTATCTTCAGGTGTACTGAAGATAAATGAATTATCTTCAGGTGTACTGAAGATAAATGAATTATCTTCAGGTGTACTGAAGATAAATGAATTATCTTCAGGTGTACTGAAGATAAATGAATTATCTTCAGGTGTACTGAAGATAAATGAATTATCTTCAGGTGTACTGAAGATAAATGAATTATCTTCAGGTGTACTGAAGATAAATGAATTATCTTCAGGTGTACTGAAGATAAATGAAAACATGTGTCCATACAACACTTACACAAAAATGTTAATGGCAGCATTATTCATAATAACCAAAGGTGAACACAACCCAAATGTTCATCAGCTTATGGATAATCAAAATGTGTATCCATACAATGGAATATTATTTAGCCATAAAAAGGAATGAAATACTGATTCATGCTACAGTTTGGATGAGCCTTGAAAACAGATGCTAAGAGAAGTCAGTCACAGAAGTCTACGTATTATATGATTCTATTTATTTGAAAGTCCAGAATAGGGAAATCTCTGGAGTGGGAAAGTAGGTTGGTGGTTGCTTAGGGATAGGAGGAGGGAGGGTAAGAGGTTGAGGAGCAATAGCTAGAGGATACAGGACTTCTTTTTTTTTTCTTTTTTTTTTTGAGACAGTGTCTCACTCTGTCACCCAGGCTGGAGTGCAGTGGCGCAATCTTGTCTCACTGCAACCTCTGCCTCCTGGGCTTAAGTGATGCTCCCACCCCAGACTCCCAAGTAGCTGGGACTACAGGCCCACACCACACCTGGCTAATTTCTAATTTTTTGTATTTTTGCTAGAGACAGGGTTTCACCATGCTTCTCAGGCTGGTCTCAAACTCCTGAGCTCAAGTGATCCACCTGCCTAAGCCTCCCATAAGTGCTGGGATTACAGGCATGAGCCACCGTGCCTGAACCCAGGGCTTCTTTTTGAGATGATGGAAATTTTCTAAAATTGACTGTGGTGATGGTTTCACTTATCTATGACTATAATTTTTAAAAAAAGTACCTTTGAAATTATATACTTTTAAATTTAATTAATTTATTTTTCCAAAGACAGGATCTCTCTCTATTGCCCAGGCTGGAGTGCACTGGTGCGATCTCAACTCACTGCAACCTGCATCTTTTGGGTTAAAGGGATTCTCGTGCCTCAGCCTCCTCAGGGGCTGGGACTACAGGCACACACCACCAAGCCTGGCCAATTTTTTTGTATTTTTAGTAGAGACAGGGTTTTGCCATGTTGGCCAGGGTGGTCTCAAACTCCTGACCTCAAGTGATCTACCTACCTTGATCTCCCAAAGCGCTGGGATTACAAGAGTGAGCCACTGTGTCCAGCCTGAAATTATATACTTTAAATGGACCAATTGTATGGTATGTGAATTATATCTCAGTATAGCTGTTTTAACATTAAAAAAAATTTAAAACACATGAGAAACTTCTCAGATTTCATTGTTAATTAGCAAAACGCAAATCGAAACAGTGTTTTTTTTTTTCAGTTCTTTAACAGAAATTTAAAAATTAGTTCTTTTTTTTTTCCTTGAACCAAAAGAATTAGTTCTTTCAAGCATGGATATTGATATGGAATTGGGGAAATGGGTGCACTTAACTGTCTTGTAAATGGGCAAAGCCTTTTCAGAAGGCAGTTTGGCAGAATTTATAAAAATATATGCAGATCATTTGGCTCCTAAGTTTTATTTCTTTCCTTATTCTAGCATATGTACAGAAAGATGTATGTACAAAAATGTTCTTTTATTCCTTGTTTATAGTAAAAAATTAAGGAAAAACCTAAATTTATATAAATGGGGGAATGGTTAGATATTCACAGTATGGAAATCTTTTGCTGCTATGAACAAAAGAAGTAGACCCAGGTCTGGGCATGATGGCTCACTCCTGTAATCCCAACACTTTGGGAGGCCAAGGCAGGAGGATTGCTTAAGGCCAGGAGTTTGAGACCAGTCTGGGAAACATAGCAAGACCCTGTCTCTAAAAAATAAATAAATAAATAAAAAACAAAAGAGGTAGACCTACATAAACCTGTACTAACACTATGCAAGAACATTCTATAAGAATATTGTAAGTAGAAAGAAAAACTCACTGAAGTACATATAATATGTCCCCATTTACGCTTTTAAAAATTCTGGAAGATGGCCGGGTGTGGTGGCTCACGCCTGTAATCCCACCACTTTGGGAGGCTGAGGCAGGCAGATCACGAGGTCAGGAGATCGAGACCATCCTGGCTAACATGGCGAAACCCCATCTCTACTAAAAATACAAAAAATTAGCCGGGCATGGTGGCAGTGAGATCGCACCACTGCTGAGATCGCGCCAGCCAAGATCGCAGCTGAGATCATACCACTGCGCTCCAGTCTGGGCGACACAGCGAGACTCCATCTCAAAAAAAGAAAAAAAAAATTCTGAAAGATATATGAAAAGTACATGTAAGCACATAAGTATCTGGACAGTATTTTAGCAGGATATATTGTAGTTAGATTTTAATTTTTTTTCTCTTAACAATAAAAATATACTCTGTGTTACTAGATTACTTTAAGAAAATCAATTTGGGGCCGGGCACAGTGGCTCACGCCTGTAATCCAAGCACTTTGGGAGGCCAAGGCGAGCGGATCACCTGAGGTTGGGAGTTCAAGACCAGCCTGACCAACATGGAGAAACCCCATCTCTACTAAAAATACAAAATTAGCCGGGCATGGTGGCGCATGCCTGTAATCCTAGCTGCTCAGGAGGCTGAGGCAGGAAAATCACTTGAACCCATGAGGCGGACGTTGCGGTGAGCCGAAATTGCACCATTGCACTCTAGCCTGGGCAGCAAGAGTGAAACTCTGTCTCAGAAAAAAAAAGGAAGGAAGGGGAAAGAAAAGAGAAAGGAGAAAAAAGAAATAAAAGAGAAGAGAAAAGAAAAGAAAATCAATTTGGGCTGGACCTGGTGGTTTACGCCTACAATCCCAGCACTTTGGGAGACTGGGCAGATCACCTGAGGTCAGGAATTCAAGACCAGCCTGGCCAACATGGTGAAACCCTGTCTCTACTAAAAATACAAAAATTAGCTGGATGTGGTAGTGGGCGCTGTAATCCCAGCTACTTGGGAGGCTGAGGCATGAGAATTGCTTAGACCTGGGAGGCAGAGGTTGTATTGAGTTGAGATGATGCCACTGCGCTCCAGCCTGGGCAACAAAGTGAGACTCTCTCAAAAAAAAAAAAAAAAAAAAGAAAGAAAATCAATTTGAAGAAAAAAGCTATAGTATACCTGATATTGGATGGAGCTTTGGTTTGGAAGTTAGGAACCCACAGCATTAGTTCTGCTATTGTCATAGACTTAAGCCCTCTCAAGTTGTTCAGGTTTCATTTGTCTCACATAACTCGGTGTTAGGAAGCAGTATTAGGACCATGTTGTTCCCCATTGTCACTTCCTGAGCATTATTTCTTATACTGTCTTATAAAAATAAAATACCGCCGCTCCCTTGATTCTCATGCCACCTTTTAACTCCCTCATTCATCAAAGACTTAGCTCACAACTTACTCTCCATCTCATTTTGCTATCAAATCATCCAACATTCACTTGGGTGACTGTTCCTGAAAATGTTTCTCATTTTGGGTGATTTTTCCCTCCACCTTGCTCTGTCACCCATTTCCACAGTTATACCCACGACACAAATGTCACCTATATCTGCTCCTCCTCTAATGCATCTGGCTTTTTGGCCATAATGTGGAATTGCTAGTTCAATCACTGCTATTATAACCAGTTCTAATTGGGACTTCCAATTCTTTTTCCCATTTACTTCTTTATAATTCATCAGCTTTCCTTCTTCTCTTGCTTAGATTCTGTTTACTTTAATAACACTTTCCCTAAACCCTAAACTCGTTACCTCTCTGAAATTTTTGAACTTATCTGGCAACGTCCTAACTGGATGAACCTAACTCTGATTTCTCTGTGGTTACACCTAAGTGGATGAAAATCACCAAATAGTATACGTTTTTATCACTTTACATTCATGGTCCCCAAATTCAAATAGATCCTTTCCATTGTCTGGAAACCCAGTCGTATGTCCCTGGCCAACTCACTCATTTCTCTGGAATGATCATTTCATACTTCTGTATGCTCCTCACCCTTCTGAGCATTCTACTTCCTCCCTTTTTCTGAACAGTCGATACCACCTCCTACTGCTTTGCTTCCTACTCCACAACCACTCTGATCTGGCTTTTGTGTTTATCACTGCACCAAAAAAACCCTTTTAACAAGTGCTTTAACATGAGACTTGTGAAAGTCTCTAGTGCCCTATAGGTTGTTACATTTAGAGTTGGTATAATAAAATGGTTCAGAATTATGCTCTGGAGCCAGACTGATTGGATTTGAATGCTGGCTCCTTAGTTTTTAGCCATGTGACCTTGGGCATGTTACTTAATCTTCTAAAAATGATGATGATGATAATAATAGTAATATTTATCTTATTAGCTTGCCAGGAGGATTTAATGAATATTAATTCACTGACATTCATTATGTGGGGCAGTGTTTAATGAATATTAATTCATTAATATTCAATATATGGGGCAGTGTTTCACCCATGTATAGTAAGCCCTTAATAAATGTTAACTGATATTATTGCTCCTACCACTACCTCTGTTACTACTGTGATTACTACTACTTCACAGATAAAACAGAGAAATTAGATGGGAATTTCTTATTTGTTATTACTTTTTTGAGACAAAGTCCCTCTTTGTCACTCAGACTGAAGTGCAGTGTCGCACTGCAAGGCTTGGCTCACTGCAAGCAATGCCTTTGGGGCTCAAGTGATCCTCCCACCTCAGCCTCCCAAGTAGCTGGGACTATAGGTGCGTGCCATCATGCGTGGCTAATTTTTGTATTTTTTGTAGAGATGGGGTTTCACCATGTTGCCCAGGCTCAATTTTTATCTCTAAACCACTCTACCTATGTCTGAGGCATTCTCTTTTCCTTCCCTCCTATTGCAGTGGAGAGTTTTTCCCATTTAAGGCTAATCCTTCTGTCTTTATTTTGGAGCCTTTCTCTTTAATCTCACGCTATCCAACCTTATTCGCCAACCTTTTCTTTTTATGTGAATGCTTCTAAATATAATTAAAGATGCTCAAGTCTCTTTCATTTTACAATAACAACATTTTATGGCCCCTTCCTGGCTTCCATCTATCACTCTGTCTCTTTCCTCCCTTTCTTAGCCATATTTTTCAAGACTTATCAATGCTCTCATTTCCTTTCACTCTTCATTCCATTCTTAATCTTGCTCTTTCCCGATTACTGCACTGAAACATTTCAAGCTCAGGTCCTCCGTGACCTTTACATTGCTAATTCTGACATGTCCTTTCTTCAGCTTACTTGACTGTTAGCAGCATCAACCACTCTTTCTTGAAACACTTTCATCCTATGACTTCCATGCTAAATTTGTTTTTCTTTTCTCTTCTCTGGTTATACCACCTTTACTCACTCATCCTTTCCTACATGGTTTTTAAATGCTAGAATTTCTCATAGCTTTGTGGTAGGTTGTCTTTTCACACTACTCTCTTGCCAGGTCTTGTCCACATGCCCAGCTTCAAATAGACCAGAAAAAATATTGGCTGCTATCACCAGTATTATGATATTCCTCAACCTTTCCCTTCCTTAGAGGACTTTTGGGAAGACACATGGGGATATATTTAAAATTTGAGTTTTTTGGAAGAAAGGATGGCATTATAACTTACATTATTCCATTGAAATTAATCTAGATCTAAAATATAAGAAAACCCAATCCTTTTAGTCAGATATATTAAAATAACATATTGGAAGAAAAAAAGTTGTTGATAATAGTGTGTCTAAAGTTACTATCCCTTGAGTTAGCAATTATGAGAATGTCCAAATTCAGCAATAATTAAATACTATGCATGTAGCTATTTTCTGGCACTGAAGAAAATCATGATAGCAATGGTAGTAGTAATAACAATGGCACTGGCAAGAATACAGCATAGTCCTAACATAAATATTTTCTTTTTTACTTTTGAGATGGAGTCTTGCCCTGTCGCCCAGGCTGGAGTGCAGTGGTGCAATCTCAGCTCACTGCAACCTCCACCTCCTGGACTCAAGTGATTCTCCCACCTCAGCCTCCCGAGTAGCTGGACTACAGGTGTGCGCCCCTGTGCCCAGCTAAAAAGTATTTTCTATATGTTTGATTTTTTTAGGAGACAGTATGCCAAATTCCTTAAATTTGGCAGATTCTCATAGTATATGATCTCATGCTCTGAAAGAGGGAAATAGACCACTGGAAAAATGGATAGTTCTCAGCTAGTGCATTACACGCACATGCATACACACATTAGAAACAAAAGAAGCAAAAACGAAAACCCAAGGACAAAGTGATTCTGATGTCATTATTTCCACAGCAAACAGCTGGGATTTTTACATATGTGACATTAACTTAGAAAACTTAGAAAATGTAAAGCTCCTACTTCATCCTCACTGTCATGTTAGTGTCACCTGGGGGCTGTGATCTGAATCTTCACTGAACTCTCTTCGTTATTATAGCATTCATTGATTTTGATGATATTAAATTGCCTTTTGGAAAATATTCACTATTTAGTTGTTGGAGTCCCTTCCTCCTTTAACCTGTTCTCCCAAAACAGCTTTGGTTTTTTTAAGAGACAGTGTGCCAGGCATGCTGGTTAGCCTAGAATTAGTAGACACAAGGAACCTTCTGTCAGAGGGATTGTTGTGTCTGGCACAGGATCATTTGGGCACAGTATCATAGCTTGCCTGGCAGAAGTCTAAGCAAAGGGGCACAACACTCTTGGCAAGTTGAGAGTGGCAAGGGTAATGTCTTATGTTGCCCAAGTAACTCTGTTTTAGTTAGAATCCTGACTAGCTGAAAAAGCATACTTCTCTCAATGGCTTTGGTGAAGCCTTTTGATGATTGACTATTTCCTTAAGAGTTTAAGAGAAGGCTCAAAAAAGGGCTTTCATTCTGTTAACTTCTTGGTTTTTGCTATGTACATTGTTATATTGGTGGAAATTTCACATTTCATTATTTTATTTCCTTTTCCCCTCACTACTAAACATATATATATATTTTTTGTAAATTGAGGGAGATGAGCTTTTGAATCTCTAAAACCTAGTGTTGTGATTATCAATGTGTGGATTCTAAGATATCTGCTACCAACTAATAACAGCACCAAGACAACCTCTGGATGCTTACTGGATATGCCTGGGGATGGAATATTAACATGGTAAATTTTACTCAAAATAGGATATTAGAAATTATTTTCATATTTAATTATATTCATATTTGTCATATAACTAGGAGATTTCTTTCTTTTGACAGGGTCTCGCTCTGTCACCTAGGGCTGCAGTGTAGTGGTGCGTACATGGCTTACTGCAGCCTCATTTTCCTGGGCCTAAGCGATCCCCCTGCCTTAGCCTCCTATGTAGCTGGGACCACAGGCATGTGTTAGCATGCTCAGTGAATTTTTTAATTTTTTGTAGAGATGAGGGCTCATTTTGTTGTCCAAGCTGGTCTCAAACAATCCTCCCTCCTTACCTTCCTAAAATGCTGGGATTACAGGTGTGAGCCACCGCACCTTTTTTTTTTTTTGAAATGGAGTCTTGCTCTGTCGCCCAGGCTGGAGTGCAATGGCGCAATCTTGGCTCACTGCAAGCTCCACCTCCTGGGTTCAAGCCATTCTCCTGCCTCAGCCTCCTGAGTAGCTGGGACTACAGGTACCCACCGCCATGCTTGGCTAATTTTTTGTGTTTTTAGTAGAGATGGGGTTTCACCGTGTTAACCAGGATGGTCTCGATCTCCTGACCTCGTGATTTGCTTGCCTCAGCCTCCCAAAGTGCTGGGATTACAGGCATGAGCCACTGCGCCTGGCCGATATTTGTTTTTCCTTGATGATGGATTTAAAAGATCTTATTTCATTTATTTTTTATAATTTCAACTTTTAGATTCAGGGGGTACATGTACAAGTTTGTTAATGGGTATATCGTGTGATGCTGAAGTTTGGGGTATGATTGATCCCATCACCCAGTTAGCAAGTGTAGTACCCAATAGTTAGTTTTTCATCCCTAGCCCCTCTCCCTTTCTCTCTCCCTCCCTCTCTGCTCTAGTAGTCCCCAGTGTCTACTGTTGCCATCTTTATGTCCATGAATACCCAGTGTTTAGCTCACACTTATAAGTGAGAACATGCAGAATTTGTTTTCTGTTCCTGTGTTAATTTACTTAGGATAATGGCCTCCAGCTGCATCCATGTTACTGGAAAGCACATGATTTTGTTCCTTTTTATGGCACATAACTAGGAGATTTCTATCCTCGTTATTAATGTATTAGCTTGCTTTCTGTATTGTTAATATCATTAAGCAAATACATGCTTTGTGTGTGTAGAGCACTATTCTGGGCCCTGGGGATACAATTAGTAAGTCATAGACTCTGCATACAAGGAGTCTTGCTGAGAATTTGACCTATCAAAGATAACTACAATAAAATCCAATATACTACAATAGGTAATGGGAAACTGGTGGTAGTGGCTAGTATCTGCTAGGATGAGAAGAATAGTCAAGGCAGGCTTCATAGTGAAGGTAATGTTTAAACTAAGTCTTTCAGACCATGTAGAAGCTCTAAGCAGGAAAATGCATCCCAGGCAGAGGAAACAGCATGTGTAAATATATGAGGGCATGTGAAAGTGTGGCACACTTGCAGAATTGTTAGAGATTGTTATGGAAATGGTTTATAATAGCTAACAGCAATATGCATGAGCAGTTAAGTTGTGCCAGACACTGTTCCAACTGCTGTGTCCATATAAAGATATGTAATCTTCATAATAATACTAAGAAAGAAATAGTACTGTTATTCCCATTTTATAGATGGGGTAACTGAGGCAGAAAGAAGTTAAGTAACTTATACAAGGTCTTATAGCTATTAAGTTCCACAGCTGACATTTGAATTCAAACTTTCTGGCCAATGCACTAAATCAGGGGTCAGCAAACTATAGCTCATGGGCCAAATCCAGCCCACTGCCTGTTTTTGTACAACCTATAAGCTAAAAATAGTTTTGCACTTTTAATTAGCTGAAAAAGAAGTAAAATATTTTGTGATATGTGCAACTTATGTGAAATTCAGATTTTTAGTGTCCATAAAATTTTACTGGAACCCAGCTATAGTCGTTGGTTTAGTATTGTCTATAGCTGCTTTTACATTATAATGACAGAGTTGAATGTTTGCAAGAGACTATGATCTGCAAAGTGTAAAGTACTTCTTTCTTTTTTCTCTTTTTTCTCTTTTTTTTTTAGAGACAGGGTCAGGCTCTGGCACCTACGCTGGAGTATAATGGCACAGTCATACCTCACTGCAGTTTTGACCTCCTGGGTTTAAGCAAGTTATTCATCTCAGCCTCCCGAGTAGCTAGGACTACAGTTGTCCACCACCATGGCTGGCTAATTTAATTTTTTTTTTTTTTTTTTTTTTTTTTTTTGTAGAGATAGATTCTTGCCACATTGCCCAGGCTGGTCTTGAACTCCTGCCCTCAAGCAATTCATTCACCTTGGTCTCCCAAATAAAGTACTTTCTATTTGGCTCTTTACAGAGAAAGTTTGCTCTAAATCAATGCACTATACTGCCTCACAGTATATTTTGTTTTATTAATTAACACAAAGAATAGCATACGTTAATAGCAATACTTGGACTTATGTACTAGTTATCTTTTTAAAAATCTGTTTTCATATTTGTTGTCTTGTGTCCTCACATCAACCCTGAAATAAAAAGAAGGTTAAATTTGGTGTTTTTCTTGTATAGCTAAGAAACTTAGCTGTGGAAAGATTAGGATGGGCTGTGACATTAAAGTCAGACTCTTTTGCCTATACAGCATCTTACAACATCCTCCATTCTGTTCTGAAATTTCTCCTCTACCTCTGTCCTACATAACAGTTGTTCAGAGTTTGGGCTTGAGGACACTCTATAAATGAGACAGTTGAGACAGATTGAAAGCAAGGTAACACACACTCTTTCCTTAACCTTCAGTGCCTCTGCAACAGCATCTGAAATTTTCTGTCTTGGCAAGCTTCACCTAATTCTGAGCACCCTGCTAGTGAAGTGCTCTGGGAGGCTGGGATTTGACTGCAGATAAGTAAGCACTTACCATCAAAGGAGACAGGGGGCGTTTCTCATTTTCATTTCCATAAAGGGATGCCATTGCTTTGCCAGGCTATGTGGAAAGTCTTTGCCTTAACAGTGAATCTTGAGTCCTCTTTCAGGTTTTTACCTGTCCATATTCTACTTTTGGAACATGAGGTTTCTACCTTTTTGCTATTCCTGATCTTTTCCTGGACTTAGGAATGACTTCTCTTACCAACAAATCACGGAAGCTTTTCTTGTTACCTTGGTACTACCAGTAAGCTAGTCGGGGAGAGTGGAATCTAACTCTTCTATTTGTGATCTCAAGGGATGTTTGTGTTATTCATTGGTTTGTATTTTTCATTCTACTTCCCTTCTTCTAGGACATAGCAGTCTGAAGTTTGGACTACAGGCTATGTTTTGTTGTATCATTATGCTTGATGCTTTCAGGAAAAAACCAAGTTGTTCAGATTTCTCAAGTCTTAATCTCTAGTGTGTGTTCTGTTTTCAGCCTCAATAGTGAATTTATATTATCAGATATACAAAATTGATTATACCCAGATTTGGACTGTTAAGGCCTAGCAGAAACAAGACGCAGCTTTAAGAGAGGTCAACTATGTTTCTGCTCATAGCCAGCATTTCCTTGGCCTCGGACAGTGCTGAGGTCAGAGCAATGTAGAAAAACAATTTTCTGTCCAAGGGGTCAGATGCCTGAGAGATGCAACTCAAACACCTACAGTGAGGGGTAACATATACAGACATTTGTCAAAACTTAGTGAATGTATACCTAAGATTCGTGCTTTTCACTGTATGTAAATTTTACTTCAAAAGAAAAATAATACTGTAAAGAGGTATTTAACTCTAGTTTATAGTTAAGTATTTGGAGAAATTATTACTAATGTCTGAAATGGGATGAATGGATGAAGGGATGGATACATGACAAAGCAAATACAACATTAATAGTGGACGATAGCTTGTGTGGGTATATGGGGGGGTCACTGTGAACTTCTTTCAACTTTTCTGTGTTTGAACATCTTCATAAAAATTTTTGGGAAAATAAGAAAGTAAAGGGGATGGGCAGGTAATACAAATTAATAAAGAAGGCTTGGTGTAACACAGTAGAGAGAGATGGGGCCTGGGGCACTGAGAAACGCATGTTCTGCCTAAAGAAGGCAGCTGCCACTCAACTCCAACCAGTTGTTACTTTGTGGGAATCTGGCCCCAGTGTTGTAATCTAATTTTTAAAAAGGAGTTTCAAATATAGAATTTTTGTGTGCAAAAAATCTTTAATTTTAAAATACCATATGGGCCAAACAGTATATTTTTAATTTACCAACTCATTTTCTATTCCAAAGATTAAAATTTTCGAGAAGAAATTGGGGGTGTCCTCTTGAGTTGTAAAGTTACCATTGTTATCACTAACACGTGCCTTTAAAGAGATTTCAGCTGTAGCTGAGACCTTATACTGTAACCTCAATTCCCCTGTTGTGTGGGCTGCTGTACAATAATGCCTTGCCAGGCCCATGCCATGGTATTCATGACACTGACCCAACCAGGACTTTGCTGTGGGGCAGGGAACAGCTGTGAGGCTGGGCTGGTTGGCACTGATTTCTCTAGGCTCACTTTTGGATTATTTAATATGGAAAGGGCAACAGTACTTGTTAGTTTGCTGCTCAAATATAGTTCCTGAGTGTAAGTCACTTAGGCTTTAAGAGAAATTAGCACTAGTTGGGAATCAGAAACAGAAAAGACTTCTAAGACTTCCTTATATTCCCTGTTTTGTCTAAGTGGTGTCACAAATCACCCATGGTCCTAAGCTCTTAACAATCTCCATGTTATCCTTTCTCACCACTGACATTCTAATAAGTGACCCTTTCTGTTCATTTTACCTCAGGGGTACTTCTCAAATCCATGTCCTCCCCAGTGTCTTAGCTGCCAGTACCTTACTTCAAGACCTCATCCTCTCTTGCCTAGATTACAATTTCCTCACTGGTGTCTCTCATGAGTTTTTCCCTCCCAGTGGTTCAATCTTCATATTCCTACTGCAATTATCATTCTAAGATACAATTCTGTTAGTATCACTCTCTGGTTTAAAAACCTCAATACCTCCCTGTTGTCTTCAGGATAAAGGTGAGACTCTTTATCATGGATGGAATATAGGGACCTTCATGGCTGTCAACGTATCCTACCAGCCACAATTCCTTCTATTTTCCACTAGCCTGTAGGGTAAAGTTCCAATTTCTCAGTATGGCAAATGAAGCCCTACTTAAATTTCTATGCATGCCCCCACCCCCTTTTTAGTCTATGCATGCATAGAATTCTCACTATTCCAAAAAATGGACATTTTCTGTTTCCTCCAGACCTTTGCCTATGTTATTCTCTTTGCTTCAGATTCTCTTCATCGCTGCTGTTTCAGTGTTCTCTTTCTTCTTTATAACTCAGGTAAATAATTTTTTATTTTTATTTTTTAAATTTTTATTATAATTTTTTTGAGATGGAGTCTCACTCTATTGCCCAGGCTGGAGTGCAGTGGCGTGTCTTGGCTCACTGCAGCTCCACCTTCCAGCTTCAAGCGGTTCTCCTGCCTCAGCCTCCTGAGTAGCTGGGACTGCAGGCGTGTGCCACCACGCCTGGCTAATTTTTTGTATTTTTTTAGTAGAGACGGGGTTTCACTGTGTTAGCCAGGATGGTCTTGATCTCCTGACCTCATGATCCGCCCACCTTGGCCTCCCGGAGTGCTGGGATTACAGGCGTGAGCCACCGCACCCAGCCCAAATAATGTTTATACTGGGAGGTTTTTCCTGTAGCCCCTCGACCAAGTTAGCAACTTCTTACTCTGCACTATAACACTTTGTACTTAGCTCTCATTTTATATTAGAGATTATTTCTGTTGCATTGTATCATTTACATGTCTCTTTCCACCACTAAATGATAAAGTCTTAATCATTTTTTATTACTACATCTCCACCTGAGGACCATGTCTGGTATAGTACAGGCCTTAGTAATATTTGTTACATGAATAAATGGAAATGCACATTACAGTCAGGGAACACTGATTACTGAGACAAATTCTTAACCTGTTCTTTGGTAATGTGAGTCAGTGTCAGATCAGAACTTTATCTTCTTAGATTTTCTGCTTGTGCTAACAATTAGACTTGATGGACCCTCAGCAGCCCGTGACTCTGTTATGGTAAAACGCAGTCTAAAGCCCCTCAACTTCCTTTACCAGCTATAGAAGTCAGCTATAGGAGCCCTGGCCCATTGTTTTTCCTTTCCTCTAATCCTAACTTAAATTAACTTTTATCTCTTATGAATGAAACCTGACTGTGATCTGTTTACATGTACAGGAACTTACATAGAGCTTATATTCATATTTAAGTATAACATTACTTATATAGAACTATATTTATGTTTAAGTATATCATTTTTGCTCTTGTGTAGAAAGGAGGGTCCCTTGTTAACTCTGGAGATAATACAAGGGTAATATAATAATAGCAGCTAACACGTAACATTTAACTGTGTGCCAGGCTTGAAGTGTTTTTATGTACATTAGCTCATTTAATCCTAATTGTAACTCCATGAAGTAGTTCTTATGATTGGTATGATAATTTAACAGATGAGGAACCTGAAGCAGACAGAAATAACTCGTCCCAAGAACACAAAACTACTTAACCAGTAGACCTGGGATTTGAACTCAGGAAGTCTTATTTCATAGTCTGTGCTCTTAACTGTATGCTGTACTGCTTAGGGTTATATAACTGCTTTCTCTCGTGTCTTCTACCATGTAGTACTCTACCTGTGGGAGGACATGACAATAAGTGTTATGGACTAATAATATATTATTAGCTTTGACTATATAAAACGCTTGATGAAAATATGCTGGGAAAATAATAACCTTTTATTTAATATCTCCTTTTACGGATAATATTTGGTGTGCTGATTTATACTTTCTGCAGATTTAAACTGCCTGTAATTTCTTTGTGGCATTCACTCCTTACTCAACTCAGATCCCAGGATTGTCTTCCTTCTTTTCCCCAGGCTTACTTGACAGCTATGAAGCATTGCCCATGCCATAGCTTTCAGGCTGTGCTCTTGTGTCTTGTGAAACACTTGTTTATGGGCACAGAGTGATCTGGAGTTAAATAGAAAAATCCCTCTCCATGGGACAACAATTTACTCTACATGCCAACTTGGCAGCAGGGTAGACCACTGGGGGGCTGTGATTAAGACAGGTAGCCAAGAGAGGAAGGAGGTTTCTAATCCAGACTCATGCTAATAAACAGAGTGGTAACCAAAGCACTTTAATGAGATCTTTGTGTTTTGCATTTAGTCTAGTTAGGAGTAACCAACTCAAATTGACCAATTGGCCACATTCCTTATATAAAATTATTGGAGTAGACTAATATCAGTTTACACTGTATATACTAAAATAAAGCTATTTTTAGGGAGATGGTATTAAGCATTGAAAATGTTCCATGAACCAAGTAGTTTCTTGACCCTGGCCATGAACTCTATTTCGGACACCTCTAAAGTGGTAGGTAGAAAGCATTTAGGTGGTTCTGTGACTGAATATATGACCTTAAATAAGAATCATTTAACTTTTCCAAGGCTGAGTTTCTTCATCTGTAACATGGAAAGTCCTAATGCTTATCACTCTAGTTTCCGTATTCTTTTTTTCCTTTACTGTTTTGTTATAATAGACTTTTTCTAAGGAATGTCTTTGATCAAGTCTGTAAAGGTGTATCATTCCATTACTTAGTGTGTCTCAGCTCTTATGTACAGAATTTGTAAGAAGCCAATTTCAATAGGACTTTCTTATATTCAAGTGTCAGAGTTACTCAGCTATCTCACCTTTGAGCTGAAAGAAAGTCATACTTGGGATTTTTATCACAATTAGTAGGCCACATTTATTGTTCCTCAAAATTAGAATTATCAGTGAGTAACAAAGTAGAGATTTGGAGACTGGAACATACAACTTCTGTTTGAAGATGACTCATGAGCTTTGAGAAAATGCAGATTTCATTTTCTGAGCTCTTCATCTTCTTTCTCCTCAACTTTCAAAAAACATGATTTGATGATAAGAGATCAGACGTGTATAACCATAGTGCAAAAGTTGCCAAGTTGTAAGACAGCTGAATGAGTTTTTCTTCTTTTAGGTGAATAAAAGCATGGGGAATAGAGAAGATTGAGGGAAACATTATTTGAAGCGAAGGGCTTATTAGAATCCAAATTGAACACATTTTTGAAATTTAAGTACTGTTAACCCTTAGGCAATATGATACTTGCTCTTAATTGAAGGGAGATGTTCTCTGGTCCCAGCCTGTAAACATTTGCAGTCTTGAGGTAATATGCCAGTTTACTGAGAACAAAATCTTAATCAGTATGACACTTCATGGAAAATTCTTTACTTCTGCTCTCTCGGCTGTCTCTCTTGAAAGGGTACAGATCTGTGTCCAGAGCCTGCCTGACCACTGAGTACATAATCAGATATAGTTCTCACCATCTGAGAGCCAAACTGTCTCTGCCAGTGGGGTTATGAGTCTTTCACACAGGGCAGACAGTTGCTGGTGTCACCTGTCATGTTGGAGCAGACTGCTGTGATGATTTCCACTTAAGCAGTAGTTATACTATATCATGATTGGAGTGAAGAGACAGCTACTTGGAAGGATTGACTCAAGCTCTGGATCAGTCAATCTTAACTACTGATAGGTTAAAGCCTTCCTGTAGTGACGATCTCCTGATGGTGGAGATTGCCAGATTTACTGAGTCCTTTATCACCTTTAATTTATTTGTACTACTGGCTCTCCATATCCATGGGTTCTGCATCCATGGAGTCAACCAACTGCAGATTGAAAATATTTGGGAAAAATAAAAAATAAAAATTTAATATTAATAAAAATAATACAAATAAAAACAGTATAGAATAATGACTATTTACATAGTATTTACATTGTTTTAGGCATTTTAAATAATCTAGAGATGATTTAAAGTATCTGGAAGGATGTGCATAGGTTATATGCAAATATTATACCATTTTATTTAAGGAACTTGACCCTCAGTGGATTTTGGTATCTGCAGGGGGTCTTGCAACCAGTTCCCCATGGATACTGAGGGACAGCTGTATAATTTCTTGGCATATGATTTCTTGGCCGTCTAGTTGGGGCAAGGGGACTTTGAGCTTAGAAATGTTGGGTTTCACAGGGACCTCATCAATTAGTATTTCTATCCCAGTTTCAGTCCTCAGCCAGAATACCTTCAGTAAAATGCCTCATGTGAGAACCATGATTAGTTCTTTCAGGGTTTTGCTATTTGAGCCAGAGATTAGTTAAACAGTTTCTAAAACTTTCTATTTAATGTAGTTGTCTTTTAAAAAGTCATATTATAAATTTATTGATCACTTTTCATCTGTCAAAGAAGGGATCAGTTACAGCTGTGATTTTCAGTTACTAGTAAGGATTGAGGATATGGCAGACTCTCTAGGTTCTGATTCTGATTCGCTATTCTATGGCAAGTTTATTAGTTTCCTGTGGCTTCTGTAACAAATTAACACAAACTTGGTGGCCTAAAACAAAATTATTCAATCATTCTCCCACAGTTCTGGAGTCCAGAAGTTTAAAATCAAGGTGTTATCAGGATCACACTCCCTCTGGTATATATACATTGCATGTATATACCATATTTTACTTATCCATTCAGCCATCAATGGGCTCTTCAATTGCTTCCACATTGTAGCTATTGTGCATAAGGCTGCTGTGAACATGGGTGTACACATATCTCTTTGAGAGACCCTGCTTTCAATTATTATTATTTCTTTCTTTTTTTTTTTTTTTTTTTTGAGACAGGGTTTCATTCTGTCCCCCAGGCTGGACTACAGTCTCTGCTCACTGGAACCTCCACCTCCCAGGCTCAAGCAATTCTTATGCCTCAGCCTCCTAAGTAGCTGGGATTACAGGCGCATGCCACCACACCCAGCTAATTTTTTGTATTTTTAGTAGAGACAAGGTTTCGCCATGTTGCCCAGGCTGGTCTTGAACTCCTGAGCTCAGGCAGTTCACTCGCCTCAGCCTACCAAAGTGCTAGAATTACAGGCATGAGCCATTACGACCAGCATCAATTATTTTGAGTTTATACCCAGAATTCTTCTGGATATATATTCAAAATCCTATTTTTGAATAGAAAATAGAAATGGTAATTCTATTTTTAATTTTTTGAGGAACTTCCATACTGTTTTCCATAGAGGCTATACCATTTTACATTCCCCTGAGCAGTGCACAAGGATTTTAATTCCTTGCCAACACTTTTTTTTTTTTTTGAGATGGAGTCTTGCTCTGTCACCAGGCTGGAGAGCAGTGGCATGATCTCGGCTCACTGCAACCTCCACCTCCTGGGTTCAAGCAATTCCCCTGCCTCAGCCTCCCAAGTAGCTGGGACTACAGGCACGCGCCACCACGCCCAGCTAATTTTTTGTATTTTAGTAGAGACAGGGTTTCACCATGTTGGCCAGGATGGTCTCAATCTCCTGATCTCGTGATCCACCCACCTCAGCCTCCCAAAGTGCTGAGATTACAGGTGTGACCCACAACGCCCAGCCAACACTTTTAAAATATTTCCTTGCATGCTAAAATTTTATTTTTATATTTCATTATTTATTTTTAGAGATGGGTCTTGTGTGTTGCCCACGCTTGAGGGCAGTGGTGCTATCATAGCTCACTGCAGCCTTGATCACCTGGGCTCAAGCGATCCTCCCTCCTCAGCCTCCCAAATAACTGGGACTACAGGCCTATTTTGTTTTTTTGATAATAGTCATCCTAATAGGTATGAGGTGCTATCTCATTGTAGTTTTGATTTTCATTTCCCTAATGATTAGTGACATTGAGCATTTTTTCATATGCTTATTGGCCATTTGTATATCTTTGGATACATGTCCATTCAAATCTTTTTTGCCCATTTTTGAATCAGGTTGTTTATTTTTTGTTGTTGAGTTTTAGGAGTTCTCGATATACTCTGGATATTAATCCCATACAGATATATGATGTGCAAATTTAAAAACTTTATTATGTACATATATTTTTGCTTATAAAAAATATGGAATGCTTCATGAATTTGCTTGTCATCCTTATGTAGGGGCCATGCCAATCTCTGTATTGTTCCAATTTTAGTATATGTACTGCTGAAGTAAGCATTGATTTGCAAGTATTTTCTCCCACTCTATGGACTGCCTTTTTACTCTTTTGGTAGTGTTTCTTGATATACTCTCAACAATTTTGTCCACATGATTTGTTGAAATCAAGGAAAGCGTGGGCTGAAAAATCCAAACAAGTAGGTGTTAGGCTGCACTAAGCCCAGCTTCTAACATATGCCCAGACACCTGGAGCTGGGTTTTATGGGGAAGAGAGTTGTTCTGAGGCCAAGGCAGGTAGTATTAGTGATATTCTGAGACACAACAGCAAGGTCAGCTCTGAAAGCTGGCACTTGCTGGTGGCAACAGTTGCAGGCTATTTTGGGAACCGAGGAGGCTTTGTTTTATGAGGCCTTCTCTGCACTGCCAGATTTAACCCTGGCACTGATTGATATCAGCCACTTTTGCCTTTGATATGGAGAGAGCAGTATCAGGTACAGTAGTGAGATCACAGTGCTCTTTCCCCAGATTATTGGTAAAATCAAGTATTTTTCCTTGGAGATTATCATTGCCAGACAAATGTGACATGCTGATGTTGGGAAACTTTAATTTATTACCTGGCAGTTTTTCTAAATAGTTCCTTCATACTAGTAATTAAGTTATATCTCTATTTCTTAAGGAGCTTAGAACACGTTGTTACTTTAGTAAAATTCGATGTGTCTTCAGGAATGCAAAATAGGAGGAAATGGACTTAAACTGCATCAGAAGGAATCTGGGCCAAATGCAAAGAATTTCCCCATTATCATGAGTGACATCAAAAGCTTGTTTAGCCTGCTTCCCAAGAAAAGGAAAGACCTATCTCTCTGGAAGGTTTAGCATAGCTCTGTGTAGAGGTATGGTGTTGAAGTTCATGTCCCTGGAAACAGTTTTATAAGTGGGCGAATCTGCTCATCTACCATGCTTCAGTCGTGAATGAGTCAGCAGCACAGCTGCCGATGGAGTGGGCAGAAGGGCATCTAAATTTAGTCGTTATTCACTTGAGAAGATTTTCAGGGACTATATGTCTCTCATCCATGCTTTAGTCTCTCATCCATGCTTTAGTCATATTCCTTCTTCTGGAGGCAAAAAAAAAAAAAAAAAAGCAAGAAAACAGTCACTCCAAGGTGCTTCATGAGAGTGTCCTACAACTCTGTTGATTGGTCTTACCTACAAGAATGATTCTCTTCCACCTTAACTGGGTGCATACTATTTTATTCATATAGCTCCTGAATTTAAGAATCCATGGAATTCTGAACATTAGAGAGGGAATTTTCTGCAGTTAGACTTACAAACAAGCTCCAGAATCTTGCTAGTTCAAAGACATTTTTAACCAAACTTCTTTCCTCCTATAAGGTACTGGGGGTGGGAGGGGAGGGCTGTGATCATTGAGGACTAAGTACTTTTTGTTTTTTTTTTTTCCCCTTGAGGCAGTTGCTGTGTGTTACACTGTTGCCTTAACAACAACAAAGTCAGGAACAATTCCAAGGGCTTATCTCCTTTAATCTTTACAAAACCTTATGAGGTAGGTGGTACTCCCAATGCTATAGATGAGTACATATGCTTATAGTTAAGTTAGATACCCCACTCTAGGTTGTACACATCAGCAGAGCTGGTTTGCAAGCCCTGGTCTGTCTGACTCCAAAGCTGGTGCTTTTATTTATTTTACAAATAGAGATGGGGTCTCACTGTGTTGCACAGGTTCTCCTGTACTCAAGCGATCCTCCCACCTCGGCCTCTCAAAGTGCTGGGACTACAGGTGTGAGCCACCATGCCTAGCCAAAACTGTTTTAAACAACATACCATCCTTCACTTTGTGGAGGGTATGGGGAATGATTTAGACAGTTGGCCTCCTTTATTTTCTGTAAGATGGTTCTTCACAGATTGATGATCGCCAAATTACATTTTTAGATTAGGCTAGTTTTGTTGTTCTTGTTGTTCTGTCAAACTTCCTTACAGTGTCATTCCCGTAAAATTTTGTATCAAACTGGCTGTAGTGGCATGTAGCTGTAGTCCCAGCTACTTGGAAGGCTGAGACAGAGGCTTTTTGAGCCCAAGAGTTAATGACCAGCCCTGGCAACAGAGCAAGACCCTGTCTCAAAAATGTTTTTTATATCAAGGATTTGGGATTTATAAGACACAATATCACAAAATTTAAAAGAAGAGAACTGAAGTAGTGATGAGGTGAAGGAGATTAAGAAAAGGAGAGGAGAAGTAAGAGGGGAGGAAAGAGAAAAGACAAGTTTTCTCCCGTTTGATACCTGGACTAGCTGGGCTTATTTTAGGGCCTCTGGAATGTGGCTGCTGTTGTCTTTAAAGGCCAAAGAATGATCTTGAAAACATTGGCTTCTAAAAGTCTGCTTGATAGTAGTGTGGACATTAGAGCTAAGTTTTTAGATTGTTCTTTCAGAGCCAAAGAAATTTTGCAACTCAGGAAGAAGCAATTGACCCAGCTGTCCTGGCCTACACAGGTTTAGACGGCACATTTGACCTTCTTGATATAGGAGTATTACTAAGGGCAAAGAGTGTTTTTAGCACAACCTTTAAAATTCTTTTTTCTTATTGGACTTCAGTACCTTTTTGAAAGTGTCCCCTTCCATTTTTTTACTTAAAAACGTTTATTTACAAAAAAGAAAAATAAATAAAATAAAAATGTTGATTTACAGTTTTTAGTGAGATACTCTGTGATAAGTTGGCTAGACCTTGCCATATGGGATTGCAAATGGGCAGACATACAATATATGACCAATTTAGTGATAAGCATACTTATGAACTATTTGTAAATATGATGAATAATTATGAAACATTTTACATGGTAAAGAATGGGATATACTTGTGGAAGTTGATAAACCTAAGAAAACATCATAGAAGAAATATAATTTCTGGAGCTGCTGTTGAAAACTAGACCATTATGAATACTGGCTATAAAAGTCAGATTGGCCAGAAGGTCAGATTGGAGGAATATATTATATAGCATCAAATCAAACCTAGATTGACAGTTTTAGCTAATCTCAGTAACTGTAAAAGAAGTATCAAATATTTTGGGAAAAAATAACAAAGATGCTGTTTGTAACCAAGTTATCTAGTTAAATTTTCGTCTAAATGAAATCACCCTTTTTTCATTCATCCCCTTCTAGGCAGGATTGATATGAGGTTTATCTCTGAAGGGAATTCCTGTAAGTTCTCTTGGTGTGATATGTACTACTTAAGTCCTGTAGTTACAAGGGCCCTCTAGAGTTCTAACTTTAATTCTTTCCACAGTAATCTTTTGCCATTTAAATAGTTGTTCATTATAACCATGAAATATCTTTTGGTATGCTTGATTAAAACAGTGGTTATCAAACTGATCTCAGGATTCCTTTATACTTAAGAAATCATTTAGGACTCCCAAAATTTAACCAGGACTTTGTTTGTATTGATTATTATACGTTACTAAGAAATTTTTAAAATATGTAGTTATTAAATATGTACTTATTAAGTCATTTAAAGCAACAATGACCCTGCTTACATGTTAATATAAATTACATATTTTAATTAAAAATAGTGATATTGTTTTACATTTTTACAAATTTATTTTAATGTCTGTATTCAATCTGCTGTGATATATTATTTTGATGAAAGTATATAAAATCTGGCCTCTCAAAGGTATATATTTGGAAAAGGGAGGAGCATTTTAATAGTCTGTTCAGACAATTGTAGATGTTTTTCTTGGATATTATACCAAACTCCAACAAGTGATGGTTCGTTTCCTTTTTTTTTTGAGACACAGTCTCTGTGGCCCAGGCTGGAGTGCAGTGGTGCCATCCTGGCTCACTGCAACGTCTGCCTCCTGGGTTCAAGCGATTCTTGTTCCTCAGCCTCCTGAGTACCTGAGATTACAGGTGTGCACCACCATACCTGCCTAGTTTTTGTATTTTTAGTAGAGATGAGGTTTCACCATGTTGGCTAGGCTGGTCTCAAACTCCTGACCTCAGGTGATCCACCTGCCTTGGCCTCCCAAAGTGCTGGGATTACAGGCATGAGCCACCATACCCGACCTGATAGTTTCTTAAATGTAAGTTTTAGAAATGGTAGTTTAAGACATGAGTTTCTTAAATGTTCATGCAGTGTGGAAACTGAAACCATGTCAATGGACTTTTCTTACTCTGTTACATTAAAACGCATTAGTCTAACTTGTACTTTGAATGAATCTTTTACTTCATGTGTGATTTTCTAACACTATGCATTTGTTTATTTGGAAAATATAGGTTGATTGAGTTACAGAGATCTTACAAATCTAAATACATTTCATTATATAATATCAACAAATCAGATTTGTTGATAGTCAAACAGATCTTATCAGAAAAGTGAATACTGGGATGCTGTCAAGCTCATGGTGGTAGCTGTTTCCAGAATTCTTATTTTCACTTGGATGGTCACATTTTATTGCAACACATACTGATTATTTTCTCTGAGTGACAGGCTTACTTTGTTCATTTTCAAGTCCGAATAATCATAATTTGTTGGTTATTCTTTTGAATAAAAGTGGTGTTATTTTGATTTTAAAAAGTGGCTAGTTCATCTCACACCTGAAGCAGATGCACAAGTGGTGTGTTTTTATTTTTATTTTTGTTTTTGTTTTCGAGACATGGTCTTGCCCTGTCACTCAGGCTGGAGAGCAGTGATCACAGCTCACTGCAGCCTCGACCTCCCAGGCTTAAGCCATCCTCCCACCTTAGCCTCCCAAGTAGCTGGGACTACACGTGCGTGCCACCATGCCTAGCTAATTTTTAATTTTTTTGCAGAGATGGGGTCTGTGTTGCTCAGGCTGGTCTTGAACTCCTGGGCTCAAGCAATCCTACCACCTCAGCCTCTCAAAGTGTTGGGATTACAGGCATAAGTTACCATGCCTGGCCCGAGGTGCTTTTTCCTAGAATCAACCATCATACCTCAAAATGCAGCAGAAGTGCTTTATGTATACTTTCCATTTTCTCACACAGAATATTAAAAAAAACATTTCTACTACTTCTTCAAGGTTATTCTTAAGTGAAACTGGCTTTCTTTTTTATTTTTTTAACTGTATGTGGTGAGGAAGAATATAGTGCCTGCTGGTAGTTTTTGATGCCATTGTCTTGCTTCATGTTAAGGCACCAGCGGTTTTACTCACCATTGCTTTTGCATCATTAGTGTAAATGTCAATACAATGAAAATGCAAGTAATATCTTAATATTATTATGAAAATCCTTTGATTTGGATAATTCTTCCTGAGCTGAAGTTTTAGCCTTGTTTTTTAAAGGAGGGGATTAAAAGGCAAGTTTTAAAAAGGGAGTCTCATTTGTTTCTTGGTCCTGAATTATCCCAATGGTTTTGTAACCATCCAAGCCTTGGTAATGGTTATCATTTTCACATGTGGGCCTTCTACCACATTTTTATTCTGTAGCTATGTCAAGATCTTTTGGTTTTTTTAGATCTCATTGCTGTTTGTGACTGTTTCTGTTTGTCTTATGGTAAGCCTAAAGCCTTTATTCAGAAAGCTTCTGCTTTCTCCTAATTGCTGCCATGAAATGAGCAGATGAGACTCCCTAACCATCCATAACTGCAAGCATACTTTGCCATAGTGTTTGAAGCCATTCAGAAAATACATGAAAATACATTTTTTCTGTTTGAAATGATCACCCTACCCTTTCTCACCAAAGCAGTGTTTGTTTAGCAATTCTAGAGTCGTAAACTACAACTTCCCACTGAGAAAAACTGTATTTGATCCTGTGTGATTTTTTCTTTTTTAAATGAATGAAGGAATGAATTTTTTTAATAATAGAGACAGGGTCTCACTATGTTACCCAGGCTGGTCTCAAACTCCTGGCTTCAGGCGATCCTCTGATTATTTTCTTTTAAAATTAATAAGCATCTGCGACAAATAGGTGGCAGTGAAATAAAATAAAATTCATATACAAATCAGTGTTTTGTAACATACTTTCCTTTTTATAATATAATGATGAAACAGCTTATTCATTTGTAGCACTTTAGAAATCGCTTTCACAATTAATCCTAATAATACTATAAATAAGATTTAAGTGTCATAAGCCGGGTGCGGTGGCTCACGCCTGTAATCCCAGCACTTTGGGAGGCTGAGGTGGGTGGATGACCTGAGGTCGGGAGTTCGAGACAAGCCTGACCAACATGGAGAAACCCCATCTCTACTAAAAATACAAAATGAGCCAGGTGTGGTGGCACATTCCTGTAATCCCAGCTACTAGGGAGGCTGAGGCAGGAGAATCGCTTGAACCTGGGAGGCAGAGGTTGCGGTGAGCTGAGATCATGCCATTGCACTCCAGCCTGGGCAAAAAGAGTGAAACTCTGTCTAAAAAAAAAAAAAAAAAAAAAGATTAAGTATGATTATACATGAAACTGTGTTTCACAGTTTAGATATTAAGGCATGGAGACATTTAAGCGCTTGCATAAGATCACAAAGCCTAGAAGTCATGCTCTGGACACAGTATGGAAGAAATAGAAATTAATGTATTATTAGAACTGCTGGGCATTGTCAGTGCCCAGAGCAGTGTCTGGCACATAGTGGAACTCAATGAATACTTGTTGAATGAATGAATGGACTTTTCTTTTCAGGCATGTATTGATGAAAATTTGGACATGGTGAAGTTTCTGGTGGAGAACAGAGCCAATGTAAACCAGCAAGACAACGAGGGCTGGACACCCCTTCATGCAGCAGCTTCCTGTGGCTATCTCAACATAGCAGAGTGAGTGAGTCTCTGTGTGTGTGGCTTTGTAGTATTTGTAGGAATAGCCTTCATTTCTCCTCTATTCTTAGGAATTTGAATTTTATAAATAGTTATAATCTCTCTTTATTACAGATTACAAAAGCAGAAAGTTGAATTATCTTTAAGCCATAACTAATACAATGTTTTGTAAAGTTGCTAAATCCATAGTTTTTTAGTTGAAACTCTTTTTGTTTGCTTCTATTTTCAGGTAATTTATATTTGCTGGGATATGCAGAGGTGGCTGTTCCACTGTCTGGGTTCACTTTCTGAACAACTGTAGCTGGGCACGTATACAGGCAGGCCTGGAGATGTTTTTCTGGATTCTTTGTAAACCTATTTCACTGTTTTTTTAAAAAAATCAGTGCTTAGTACAAATGAAGATAAAAAATGCCTAGCATACCAGTCACAGCACTCGTGTAGTTAATCGCAGAAGAATGAGCCTAAACATGTGGAACAAAGGAAAGGTGGGCACTGGCATGTGTTCTCCACATTAGTTGAATGGGAATATTTAATAAGATACATTAGGAGCTACTAATCTCCAGGACAACTAGTTGCCCCTCCCGTGGGCAGAAGAATCCTGACCATGTGGTACCTGAGATATAAGAGGCACTGAATAAATATCTGTTGTGTGAAGGAATGATTGGGGAGTTTATTTTTAAACAAGGAAACATCTTTGAAATGGCAGTCGAAACATCTTTAAAATGAGGCAGTTGAGTGTATCCTAGATGAGGGTAAATTTATATTGTTAAGGTAAATTTCCTAAATAAAATCATGATATTCTATGCTCCTTTGAAAATCAGATTGCTTGTGTGAAGGCCCTTTTCAATAATATGATTAGAGCTCCATTACATTTCTCCTGTCCAGGAAACAGCAGGGAGAATTTTGTTGGCAGCTGTGTAGAGGCCTGAGAATGACTTCCCACAGAATCTGATTTGCCCAGGTTTCCTAAGGGAGAGCCTGAGTTGCTAGGTTTGCTGCTGACCCAGGGATGCTCAGTGGGAGAAGTTAAACAAAGGGAGAGTCAGAGCCAGAGAAACTTTAGGCAGCAGCACTGGTGTTTGACTGGGCTGCTTGTTCTAAAAAGTGGATGACTGGGTTGGCCCCAAAGCCAACAGAAATAAACAATGCAGTTTTCTTCACTCTTGATTCCTCCCTCTGTTCCAATTTAGTAAAAGTCAGTAACCTCTTCATCCCCTAGGCTGCCTATTTTCAGAGTCTAACAGGAAGGAGGGCTCTTATTCTTAGTCTTATCCAGTAACATCAGAATTCTGATGCCTAAGAGTTGAGGTGATTTTACTTAAAACATTTATTTAAGAAACATTTATAGAACATGTTGGCCTTTCAATTGCTATTTGTTCAGGTGGCATGCTTATGATATTTGAGCTACCAAATCTCATTACATTCAAGGATTCAATTTTTTCCTAAGTTTTTTCTTTCACTTTTCTAAGGAGAGCTCATGCTTAGAATTAGGATCACTTGTGCTGGCATTATCCTCCTGTGTGTGAAGCTAAATACAGAGAATGATTATAATTGCTTTTTTTTTTTTACAGTGATTTCTTTAATTCGTCTTTATGAACAAATATAATTCTTCTGGAAGTAAGTTCACAATATAACAATCTCTAGCTCAAACAAATATTACCTTGAATGAAATAAATCTGTGAGAGCTACTGTTTCCTAAGACAGACTATTATAAATTAAACTTGGAAGTCTGACCAGTAGAGAGGTGATCTAGACCAGAATCCATTGCAGAGGTGGGGTGGCGGTGAGATGGCCTTCTTTATTTTATTTTTCACTATACATATCATTATTAGACAGGTTTTGACTTTACTGTCATCTATTTATTTGCAGTATGTAGCATTTTTTTTAATATGCAATGGAAAAAAAAACATTGTTTGTACTGTTCATTTCGGTTGCTTTACCTCAGGGCCAATGGAGAATGTTGTAAATAAGATCAGTCCGTGATGATCTCGTCATTTTTATTTTTGTATCTTAAAGATCTTAGACTTTATGCTCTTATTCCCAGAATCACTAGGAACTCTAAATTTCAAGGGAGTAGAAATGAGTAAAGGCAAACTGGCTTTCTAGGAAGAATCCAAGTACATTCTATTTCATGTTTCATGGTGATCTTTTTGTCTCAGTATGTTGCATCAAAAGCAGGGAGCTTCAGAGGCTTTTTTCCTCATTTTAAAATGAGTTCAGGCTCAATGCTAGTTAGCTGGGTGTTTTTACATTTTTTTTATGAATAAATGTTTCACTTAGAAGCAGCAGATTGACCCAAACATACATCATTTGGCTTTATAGTTTATTGAGTTGCTAATTTATTCTCAGTTTTTGAACGTATTTCATTTTCTTTCTTCCTCCCTTAGGATAGTAGCATAAAGACCTTGTATTGGTGTTGAGTTAGGAAGGACAAGAAGGCCTTATTTTCTAGGGGCATATTTATTGAGCTAGTGGCTGTTTGTGAGCCTTTGGGCAACTGTAAGGATTCTCAGAGATAAAGTAGAAATTACTTCATAGGTTGATATTTATTCTTGTCCAGGTAAAAGTAAAACTAAAGAGGTTTTTAACTTTTTTTTTTCCTAGAACTGGAGAAAATGGAAAAACAGAGAGCCAAATTACTTTCTAAAAATTCGTCTTCTTGATTGTAGAACATGGGAAAAGCAGGGTCCTGTATACCCAAGTGACATTATGCCTGATCCAGTAGGGATGGAATAGATGTCAGAGTAGAGTGGTTAAGATATTTCATGTAATTCAAGCAATATTTATGGAATACCAAGAGGAAAAAGCAAGTGTCAGATGTCATGGCGATGATAGTAATGAGGAAGACCCAGTTGTTGCTATTAACCAAAAACTATCTGAGGCAGGTCTCAATCAATTTAAAAGTTTATTTTACCAAGGTTAAAGATGCGCACCCAGGAAACAGATCTGTGCCTTTCCCCAGAGATCAAGTTGAGATCAATACTTAAAAGGGAAAAGCAGCATGGTCACATTCCTGAATTCACATGTTGCCAGAGAAAAGGAGCAAGTAGGGGAATAGTCAATTAAATGTTCATCTCACGCTCAGTAAATCTCACTTTACATAAGATAATGTGAACATAGAGGTAAACATAGAACCTGTGGAGATATTTAACTTTTTATCTATAGCTATCTGCTTAGGAACAAAAGGTAAGGCAGCTTCTTGCATGACTCAGCTTTCAGCTTAATTTTTTTTCTTTTGGAATAGTGAAATTAGGGTCCCAAGTTTTTATTTTCCTTTCACATTGCCTTCAAGTAGCTTTCAGTCTGATGGAATGGTTGCATCGAGGTACAGTGTAAGTCATGACTGAGGTCTAGAATTAGTGTTTGTTGGGGAGGAGAAGAGGGAGTATGGGGTTAAAGGAAGGAAAGAGGGAATTCAGTTTGTGAGAACAGGCAAAGGTTTCATGAAGGCAAAAGCATTTTAAATGAACTTTGAAAGAAGTGAAAGGTTTCTACAAGGGAAAATAGAAGGGAGAGTGTTCCACCTAGTTGGAAGAAACAAGCTGTGGAAGAGAGCTGGGTGAGAGTTGATGTGTTTGGGAACAGTAAGTGGTTTAGTTTGATTATAGAGTATAGGGCACACTTCAATCCAGGAAACATTTGTTGAGTGCTTACTATGTGTATTATTTGCATTTTGATATTTCAGGGTTGGGGAGGTGTAGCTGAATATTCCTTTTGCTTAAGGGAGAGGAATCAGAAGAGAGGAGCTGTTGAATATGTGGAAATGAAGGGTAATTTATGAACGGAATACTAGGACTTGATAGAATTAAGAATACAAATAGAGGGAGTTCGTTTTGGAATTGAATAAGGTCTGTCTTCCTCTGAGACTATAAGGGAAAGAAGGAGATGGTTAAAAGGTGAATTGTGAAGGCTTTTGAGCTTTATACATGTAGAATTGATCTATAAATTAACAAACATTTGTTGAGGCCCTATTATACCAGGTACTAGGCACTGAGAAAGCAAAAACATGGTCTTAATCTAATCTCTATTGATTCTTTTCCCTCTGCCAACTTTTTTTTTTTTTTTTTTTTTGAGATAGAGTCTTGCTCTGTCACCCAGGCTGATGTTGGCTCACTGCAACCTCCGCCACCTGGGTTCAAATGATTCTTGTGCCTCAGCCTCCTGAGTAGCTGGGACTACAGGTGCCTGCCACCATGCCCGGCTAAGTTTTGTGTTTTTAGTAGAGATGGGTTTCACCATGTTGGTCAGGCTTGTCTCAAACTCCTGGCCTCAAGTGATCTGCCCACCTCAGCCTCCCAAAGGATTATAGGGGTGAGCCACTGCGTTTGGCTCCATCTGCCAGTTCTTTGAATGCAGTGGCCAGTGGCCATATATTATCTCTCTCTTTTTTTTTTTTTTTTTTTAAATCTCCTACAGTGTCTAAAATGTGGTTCCCATGGCCAGGCGCAGTAGCTCACACCTGTAATCCCAGCACTTTGGGAGGCCGAGGCGGGCGGACTACTTGAGGTCTGGAGTTCAAGACCAGCCTGACCAACATGGCAACACACCATCTCTACTAAAAAAATACAAAAAATTAGCTGGGCGTGGTGTCACATTCCTGTAATCCCAGCTAATCAGGAGGCTGAGGCAGGGGAATTGCTTGAACCTGGAACGTGGAGGTTGCAGTGAGCCGAGATCGCACCATTGCACTCCAGCCTGAGTGACAGACCAAGACTCTGTCTCAAAAAAAAAAACAAAAAAAAAAGGGGTTTCTTCAATATAGTAGGGGTCCAGTAAATGTTTATTGAATTGTTGAATGGATTGAAGTCTAATTTGAATCATTTTTCTTTTTCCTTTAAACACTTCTGAGTATTTGATAGAGCTCCTAGCGTTATTAGAGTTCTCACTGGCCCAAAAGTGACTTGATCTAAAGAAAAGATGAACTAGATTTGAAGTCAAGACTGGGGCTGTACCCTCTGCCATTTACCCGCTATGTGGTTTTGAGAAAATTACTTAATATGTATGAACCTCAATTTCTTAAAGTCATGGTAATAATACCCACATTGCCTACTTCATAATGTTGCCTAAGACTTATGATATAATTTTATGTGAAAGCACTCTGAAAATCAAAAAGGATCTATGTAAGGTATTGAATTATCAGACCTTTCTTCTTCAGAATCAAGTATTCTATTTGGATTTAGAATTTAATTATTTAACATTTTAATATTTCTTCTTAAGTAATTTAGTTTCGTCTTACAGCACAGGAAGATTTCATGTGGATGTCTGGTTGATAGGAGAGTTTTATGGAGGCATAATTTAGGCAGATTTATGCAAATTTTAATGCACACTTTATTCTTCTATTTTCACACCCACAGCACTACTTAATAAGCTCCAGTGTGGCACTGGGAAAGTTTAAGGCTGCATGCCTTCTTTATGTTACTTAGAAATTCTCTTGCCATCCACTGGGAGTGAGAGGATGGGAGTTAGTAATATGAGTGTGAAAGAAATCCTGTTTGTTGGCATTGCTCTAGTCAGGAAATGGGGAAGCCTTCAGTCTTAATTATTGAAGTTTAAGGCACATAGAAATTAATAATGGAATATCTTAACTGAGACCATATTTTAAACTCAAAATAGAGACTTCGCTGTGTATTGAATGCCAGATGCATGGGTAAAATTTATATTAGATTGACAGATAATATTGATCCTGGATCTTGTCTACGCAGGTATTTCATTAATCACGGAGCCAGTGTAGGTATTGTCAATAGTGAAGGTGAAGTTCCCTCTGACCTTGCAGAAGAGCCAGCCATGAAGGATCTTCTTCTGGAGCAAGTAAAGAAGCAAGGTAACCTCATGGATTGGAGGGGGCCAGGAAAGATTCTCAAACACTGCCATTTACAGAAAATAATCCATTTGCTGTGCAGAGCATTTCACTATCACATGACAGGAGAGGATTTGATCTGTCTGCACTGCATTAATCATTAATCCAGCATCATGTATCCTCATAATAACTCAGACAAGAATAGGCCAGATGTCAAAAGGATGACCAATCATTCCTTGTTTTTGCCATTCAGAGGTTGCATACCCATCATACAATTAAGAGTGACCTGATGAGGACTGTGTGTATGCACAGTACTGTGTGTATGCATGGTATTGGGATACAGTGTAAATTTGAGAATTGGCTAAACTGAGTTTGTGACTTTGCATCTTTTCCCTTGTTGAGAGCTAAAAGTGGTGCTGATAAAGATATTTATTGTAACTAATCATGAGAATTAGTATGATAATTTGTTAAGGTGAGGAAGCTAACTTAGAATAATATATTCTAAAAATGCTTATTCTTATTTTATAGTTTTAGGAGAATCGATTTCACAGAATAGGATGGAATTTTTCAACCTGGAAGTCCCTGGGTTCTTTTTCCACCACAAAACTCTGCGGACAAGATTTGTAGTGATTTTTTTTTTTAGTCCTTCTGCTAAACTACCTTACTCACAATCTTGCAGTTCATCCCAGAGGATTTAGCTCCAGTGGTCTTTCCCAATATGAACTTTTAGAACAGTCAGGGCCAATTCTTGCTATGCGCATTGTTTACATATTATCCAAAACTGCTTTTGTGCCACAACAGCAGAGTTGAGTAGTAGTGATAGATTGGATGAACCACAAACCTGAAAATACATATTGGCCCTTTGGAGAAAGTATGCTGATCCTACCTTAATATAGTGATGTTCTAGGTCAGTAACTACTTGCTTTTGCTGCCTTTCATGTATAGTTTTTCTGTCCTATTTTGTTTGTTTGTTTGTTTTTTGTTTTTGAGACAGGGTCTCACTCTGTTGCCCAGGCTGGAGTGCAGTGGTGCCGTCTCAGCTCATTGCAACCTCTGCCTTTCAGGTTCAAGTGATTGTCCTGCCGCAGCCTCCTGAGTAGCTGGGACTACAGGTGTGCACCACCATGCCTGGCTAATTTTTGTATTTTTTGGTAGAGACAGGGTTTCACCATGTTGGCCAGGCTGTTCTTAAACTCCTGACCCCAAGTGATCCACCAGCCTCGGCCTCCCAAAGTGCCGGGATTAAAGGTGTGAGCTATAGCGCCTGGCTTTGTGCGCTATTGAATTGAAGAATTTTATGCTTAGCTTAACCTCCAGCCTCAATCAGTTTTATCTCCTAAGATTTGCTTTAAAATGTACAAACAACTTTAAAAAAATCAGTTTTAAAAAATAGTTTAGATTGGAGCAACCACTTTTTCTGTTTTGATTGCTGACTCTTCAATGAGGGAACATACTCTGTTGAAAGGGGTATTCATATATATGTTTAACTTTCCAGCACTGCTAACACTTCTTTGTGTTTGGAGTACTGATCTGATTTAAATTGGTTACCTCTTCACCCCATCCATCTCCCAAAATCACACAGATAATACTTAGGTAGTTGACAGGTTCTCTCTTTTTTTTTTTTTTTGAGACAGAGTCTCACTGTGTCTCCCAGGCTGGAGTGCAGTGGCGCAATCCCAGCTCATTGCAACCTCCGCCTCCCAGGTTCAAGCAATTCTCATGACTCAGCCTCCCAAGTAGCTGGGATTACAGGCGCCCACCACTATGCCCAGCTCATTTTTGTATTTTTGGTAGAGACAGGGTTTCACCATGTTGATCAGGCTTGTCTCGAACTCTGATCTCAGGTGATCCACCCACCTAGGCTTTCCAAAGTGCTGGGATTACAGGCATGAGACACCGCACCCAGCAGTTTCTCTTTTAAGAGCTGAAAGGGAGTAGACCAAGCACAAAGACTGCTAATGAGTGTAAAACTTTTTGAATGGGTATGTTTGTATTTGGGACATTTTATTATTTTGTATAATGGGGTATGCCTCACCCTAACCCCTTTTCACTGGCACAGATATTGGAGAGTTATTGGCTAAAGGGAGGAACTCTTGGAGTTCTTTCATAATGTTTTTAAGGAAAACAAAATCTGCATTCCCTTGAAAGCAGACAGGTTTTTAAACTGCAGATCACCTACTAATCTGTCCTAGATTATATATCTTCAAGTCAGTGTATTTACCTGTATATGGAAATGAACTTTAGAGATAGTTCAATTTTTAAAGTATATCAATACCTGAAACCAAGATTTTGGATACTCATCCTATGGTATAGTGAGTGGATAGGGACCCAGAAGAGGAATGACAGAGAGGGACCCAGGATATCGGAGTTCTAGCGGCAAGTTCTGTCACTAATGTGTTTTGTGGCTTTGAGCAAGATTCCTAACCTTTCTATTTTTATTTCCTCATCTGTTAAATGAAGATTGTAATATCTATTATATTTACCTTGAAGGATTGTTGGGAAACTAAAGTCATATAACATGTAAAAAGACTTGGAAGTTTATAGCTTTGTACAAATATTATAATGTAAAAATAATGTCCCCTTTGTCTTTATGTTCTGTTGAAAACAATTTTAGGTGCATTCCCTTAATGGATCTGTATCACATAATATTTAACCTGATGATTTAATCCTGGTAAGACCATTAATATGTGTACAAATGCCATTGATCTTCTAAATTTGATAATTACCCAACTTGATGGCTAAATTGTTATTTGTATTTATGTTTATGATGTGCTTTAATCTAAGGAAAATATCCTGTCAAACTTAAGTGGAGCTTTAGTAATCCTGGCTGTCTGGTATCTGGTTTCTGTAGGAGTTGATCTAGAGCAGTCAAGAAAAGAAGAAGAGCAGCAGATGTTGCAGGATGCCCGCCAGTGGCTCAACAGTGGGAAAATAGAGGATGTGAGGCAGGCTCGCTCAGGGGCTACAGCCCTTCATGTGGCTGCTGCCAAGGGCTACTCTGAAGTCCTCAGGTATTGTCCATTTACATCAATCAGGAGTGGTTCACTGGGAGAAGATGGAATAGGTTTTGGAAGCAGAGGCTGAATTAGATTTTCCGCTATGACGTGTTTCCTTTTTTGTTGGTTTCCTCTCTGATTGTGCAGTCTTTTCTCACATTTTGCTGGTATTCATCCATGGATTGTCTCCCTCCCTCCTACCATTCCTCTAGCTTCTCACTAACATGTATGATGTGAAACAGAGTTGAGGTACATGGTCCTAGGAGGGGACTTCTTCCAGTTCTCTGATTTGTCATTAATATCCCTGCAACGACCTCTTCTTGTGACCTGTAATACTTGTGATCATTTGTTCCGTTTTGACTTATATAATTTCTTTTGTGTCATTAGATTAATTATATAGATCTTGAGTATGCGATGTCCAGCTGGCACAGGATAGCCAAACTTATATGAGGGATTTGGACTCTACTACTCTGTCTGTTCCATTTTTCCTTACATCCATACATGCTTCTTGTAGCTCTTGGTACTTAATGTTCACAGGCTTTCCCAAATACATGGGTTGCCAAAGGCATTATATGTGCAGTTGTTAACTGGACTCTTCCAGTATTTCATATTTCACCTAATGCAGGGTTTTTAATAGGTATAGCAGTGTTTTGGTGCTCCATTTCTGCCTGATAGCGCTATCCATAAGGGCCCCAATGTGGTTTGGGTCTTCAGGAGTCAAATCTTTTCTCTTCCATGCATACAAGTTAAATTATAGCTTTATAGTTAGCAAAAAATTGGAGATATGTGGGTATATGGTAAATATAGTGTCCTAGAAAGACCAACCAGAAGGCTAGTTGGGAAAATACCCTGAAGAGAATTGAGTCTTCATTTTATTTTATTTTTTTAAACTTTATCTTTATTGTTGACACTATTACAGATAGAGAGAATGACCACAGCCTATTAGAGTCTTCATTTTATATGTTACTTCTTCCCTGCACTGGAAAATGGAAAATGTACCTTTAACAGAGTTATGTGATTTGGCTAATTGAATTATGCTTTGGTTAATCTTAGGTACATACGTTTCCGTATACTCCCCTTGTATGGTGTAAAATGGATATGCCTAGGAAATATCTTATGACTTTTTTGAGAGGATTGGTAAAGGTCATCTATGATTGGTACGCAAAGTAGTTAACTATGAAACCCAAACTGTGCCTTAGAGGGCAGAAGTAATCATAAGACCCCTGTGGTTCAGGGCCAAAATCTGAAATATCAATTAGGTAATAGTGTATTTGCCAGAAAATTGTAATATACAGAAGATATATGTCTTGTTTTGGGTTTTCTTTTTAGACTTTTAATTCAGGCTGGCTATGAACTCAATGTTCAGGATTATGATGGCTGGACTCCCCTCCATGCTGCTGCACACTGGGGAGTGAAGGAGGCTTGCTCCATCCTGGCAGAAGCACTTTGTGACATGGATATTCGAAATAAACTGGTTAGTGAGCCTGAACCTCTAAAAGAACAACGAGATTGGTGGCTGGGTCTCTAGAATAAAAGGCTTAACATCTCTTTTCAATGGCAGTCTGACTGTTGTGAAATATACATCACTGGTAGCTATAATGTTACCCTCCACCACCCTGCCTCTGGCCCTATTAACACAGAGTTATGTTTGTTATTTAAAATAAAACTCCGTGGACCTTCTGATTGTATTTATGTTCAAGCCTCTAAAACAGGAAAAAAATATATTTGTTCTTGGCAAAAAATGAGCTTTGAGGAGCCTAATGTTATTGTCTGTGGTGAGGTATGAAAGATTTTATTGTTGCTGTATTCATGTGAGTCATTAAAATGTTATAATGACAAAGATCCTTGAGTTTGGCTGAAAATAGTGTTATTCGGTCTCACTTCAAACAACTTAGAAGCTCTGGAACTCCTATCCCTATGTCTACTGATTTTATTTTATTATTATTATTTTTGAGACAGAGTCTCGCTCTGTTGCCCAGGCTGGAGTGCAGTGGTGCGACCTCAGCTCACTGCAGGCTCCACCTCTCAAGTTCACGCCATTCTCCTGCCTCAGCCTCCTGAGTAGCTGGGACTACAGGCACACGCCGCCACGCCTGGCTAATTTTTTGTATTTTTTTTATTAGTAGAGATGGGGTTTCACTGTGTTAGCCAGGATTGTCTCGATCTCCTGACCTCGTGATCCGCCTGCCTCAGCCTCCCAAAACGCTGGGATTACAGGCATGAGCCACCATGCCCAGCTGATTTTATTTTAATTAAACTAATTTTTTTTTTTTTTTAATGGTAGAGATGGGGGGTCTCACTGGTTTCCCAGCTGGTCTCAAGCTCCTGGGCTCAAGTGATTCCCAGCCTTGCCACTTGTAATCCCAAACTCTGTGTTTAAAGGATTTGGTGTTTCTCGTTATGTGTCCTCTGTGATAGATGAAGGTATTATCATAATGTATGGTAGACTAGTTAGGGAAGCAGTTATTATTGGAATTAAAGGCAAAAAGTGAATATTGAATAATACTGAGTAATCCCAAATTGTTGGGATTACAGGTGTGAGCCACTGTGCCCAGCCCATATATGTACTGATTTTCTAGTAGTGCAGAGATATGGCCTTTTAATTAGTAGATATTCTTATCTGTGTCACATCTCTCCTGAACCCAGGTTTCATTCTCAGACTGTGGGTCAGGGTTCTTAATTATGCTGATGCTTCCTAAAAGAATTAACTTTCTTGTCAGTCCTCCCCTCACTTAAAGGAAGATGATTCCTGTGATTTAATCTTTATTAAACATGTGCCCTGAACCTCCCTCTGAAGTTTTGAAGAGCCCTTTATGGAATTTATCATAGCAATTAAGACCATTTTAGAACAGATACAAGTAGGGATTTCACTTGATTATTTGCCAGGTGGCAGTAAGGATTAGAAATGGTGTGATTTCTGCAGTACTGTTGTACAAACTCTATATTTAAAGGATTTGGTGTTTCTTGTTATGTGTCCTGTGTGATAGATGAAGGTGTTATCATAATGTATGGTAGATTAGTTTGAAAAGCAGCTATTATTGGAGTCAAAGGCAAAAAGTGACTTTTGAATAGTTCCCTACTAATAAAGTCACGTAATTGCTGCTTCTGTTTTCTATCAGTCATGGTGCTCCTTTTCTCTGCCAGGGCCAGACACCATTTGATGTGGCTGATGAGGGTCTCGTGGAGCATTTGGAGTTGCTCCAGAAGAAGCAGAATGTGGTGAGTTTCTGATTGGTGCTTTCAAAAGTTTTCTAATAGTTTGCAGTTCACACCAAGTATCTCAATCACTTGTTTCAGTTGTGTCTGCTGAGAGTTGAAATGGACATATCTGCATTCCAGAGATGTTAATTGTTCACTTCAGGAACTATAAACAGTCTGTTAGAAGAATATATCCCAGAAACCATTATTGTTCAGGTTTTTTGCTCATTATAAGATAGCCTTCAAGAAGCTGAAAGTTAAAAACAGCCACAAAAAACTAATAATTACCCTTGAGTTCTAGAAAATGAATGTGATATGTTCAAATCAGATGTTTTTCCAAATAGAAAGTACCAGAGTGGAGGATACCTCATAGCTTTTCTTTTTCTTATTGACTAAAAGACTATCTTTATTTAAGCACATTTATTACAGAGAAGAATATATTTCTTAAAAAATAAGTAAATACACATAATACTAAAACTGTCATTTCATATAGGAGAGTATTTGGTCAGTGATTCATACTTACTCCAGTTTTATGAAACATCTAGAATTCAGTCCTCCTTTCTCTGCTCCTCATTTTGAATCTTTTATTGTTTGGTCATGCATGTCTTTGGCTTAATTAGTGCTATACAGGAGAACTACATAAGTACGGTATTTTTGTTCAGACTGCAGAATGGAAAACCCACCCCATATACAGATGAAGAGTGAATAAGCCATATTTTTTACTCATAAAGCAGATGAATAATTTGAGTGGGGAGAATAAAGATTAATGACATTAGGGTGGGACATTAGGGGCCAAAAAAATCAATGACTTTTTTTGTTTTTGTTTCTTTTGCACGTGCTGTCACTCAGGTAATGTAAACTAAAGTTTAGGACAAATGTGGAAAACAGCAGTTCTGAATCAAAGAACTATATAGCTCAATGATGGGACAGATCAACCATACCTAATCTCTGTTGTGTTCAGCATTATGTCTGGTATGGTAAAGTGAAGATTCTGGTTATTTTAAGGCTCAGTGGAAAAGTCACATACATAAAACTCATACAAACACAACTTAAAGTTCATTTTGTTCTCTTTGTTGAGCAGTCAGGATCACTGAAACTAGGATTTTCAAATGCAGTGTCAATGCTGTTATTTAGCAGCAACAGCCTTCCTGATTATAAGTTGTATACTTTGCAGAGTTAGGTTCTTTTAATTTTAAAAACTTTTACTGAAATAAGTTTAGACTCACATGGAAGTTGCAAAAATAGAGAGTTCCTGTGTATTCTGTACCTAGCATGGTAAGGTTTTTGAACATCAATAGTATTATTCATGAAATAATATTTCTACACCAGTGGGAATAGTACTTATCTTTGCCCTCTGCATAACTTTGAGTTCCAGGAATATGAATACATTTTGTCTAGAGCATGCATCTAAATAGCAGACCATTTTCCCTAAGGGCTTATTTCCCATTCGGTACCTGTGTTTTCTTTAGAAATATTGCCAACTTATTTCAGTATATGAATCATAAAGAATTCTTTCAGGTTCCTTTTGGCTTTTTATCCTTCAGAATCTAGACTTTTTTTTTTGAAGATTGGGTTTGGATATTTGATAGGAGCAGTTTTATTGAAGTTCTTAACACCATGGCTTTTCTCTTCTACCTTGGATGAATTCTGTCATCTAAGGAGACCCAACTGATATGTTTCTCTTTTTCTCGGGTTCCCCACTACCTCTTTGGTGTTGGTCCTATTTTCTTCAGAATGACAGTACCATTTTGGTTCTCAATACTGCTGATTTTTCACCAATAGTCAACTTCTTCCCTTTTCTCTCTGTTTTCTCCATTTCCAGCTTCGAAGTGAAAAGGAGACACGGAATAAACTCATTGAGTCAGATCTGAACAGCAAGATTCAGAGTGGGTTCTTTAAGAAGTAAGACATTTAGGCTTGAGTAATGGGATGAGCTTTGCTCTGTGTCAGTGACATACTTAACTTCAGAATTTATAAAGTGAAGAAACTCTGTGTTTGTATTTAGCCGAGTGATCTATAAACTTGTGGGAAACTTGTGGGAAACTTTGTGGGACAAGAGAGTGGCATTGATATGTGAGGGAGACACTAAGGATGGTTGACTGTGTTTTAAACTTCAGAATTAATTGAGACTGTGTGCAGCATTTTAAAATCCTGGCTTAGGCGCTCTTAGTCTCAACTTTTGCCTCTACTTACTGTAAGTTTCATGAACTCAGAGACAATGTCTATTTTGTTTATGACTATACCAGTGCCTAGCATGATTCCTGGCATGTAATAAGTACTCAGTAAACATTTGTTAAATGATTTTTTTGAATATTTACCCACTGTCATCAAAATTCATAGTTCTTCTTTTTTCTGTGTGTTAAGCAGGCCAGATTTCCTTGAGCCATACTCTGTCGTCAAATACTAAATCTTAGTCTGCAAAAATGAAGGGTTTGGAAGAACACACAGATGTAAAGAAGAATTTGAATATGTTTCTGTTATTGCTTCCACATATAGGTTTATAGACTTGTTCCCTTTATTATACCTGATTATCATTTCTGAATTATACTCAAGTTGTCATCTTTAATTTAGCAAAGAGAAGATGCTCTATGAGGAGGAGACACCTAAGTCCCAAGAAATGGAGGAAGAAAATAAAGAATCTAGTAGCTCCAGCTCAGAGGAGGAGGAAGGTGAAGATGAAGCTTCTGAGTCAGAAACTGAGAAGGAGGCAGGTAATGCAAAGATGTTCATAGTGAAGATCCTCTATCTCCATAGTGTAAGAAGATTACTCCTTGTCAGAGAGCTAGCCAGGCCTCACAGGACTCCAAAAAGAGCTTGAAGTTTAGTTTTCAAGGATAAGATATCAAATTGCCAGTGACCACCTGATATAAAAACTGTGAGCTATGTTAGACTATATCTACCAATTCCTGTGTAGCCATATGATAAGGTGCACAAAGAATTCTTAGGTGAATGCTGGGTACGGTGCCTTAGCACTTTGGGAGGCCAAGTGCGGTGGCTTGCTTTAAGTTCAAGACAGCTTGGGCAACATAGCAAGACCCTGTCTCTACAAAAAAATTTAAAAAGAAAAGGTAATAATTCTTATGTGAGGAATCCAACTCTCCTTACTCCAGGTTGGTAAATGGCATAGAGACCAAATTCCAAAATGTCGGTATGCTGAGAGGCAGAGAAGATGAGATCTTGCAGAAGCTCTTAGGGTCAAACCAACTGGTGAATACTTGCATTTAATTCTCAGGTTTGTCTGATTTCCTAAACAGAATCCTAAAATCTTTTTTTTTCCCTCTCGTGTGAGTTGGGGAGTAAGGAAGGAACAAAATCATATTTACCTTTATGGCTATTATTGATAATATATACCTCATATAGGGCTTCTTTTTTTTTTTTGAGACAGAGTCTCGCTCTGTTGCCCAGGCTGGAGTGCAGTGGTGTGATCTCAGCTTACTGCAACCTCCGCCTCCCAGGCTCAAGTGATTCTCATGCCTCAGCCTCTCAGTAGCTGGGACTACAGGTGTGCACCATCATGCCCAGCTAATTTTAGTATTTTTAGTAGAGACAGGGTTTCACTGTGTTGGCCAGCTGGTCTCAAACTCCCGACCTCAAGTGATCCACCTGCCTTGGCCTCCCTAAGTGCTAGGATTACAGGCATGAGCCACTGCACCTGGCCCTAGAGCTTCTTAAGTTTATTGTTTGACAAGACAGGAACCCCAACAGTGAGAGTGAGATGTTGAACATGGTCAGACCAACAAGCTATAAAATAATCCACAGGTTTTGATTTATAGTCAGGCAAACACTGAGAAAAGAATAGTGTACCTAAGCCCCATTTTCACTGCCATATTATCCCTCCAAACTGGAGTCCATGATGAGATGAAATGTTTCTGCTAGAGGGGAAAGGGTCACACATTAAGTTTACAATGGAGTCTGTGTTTTCCTCTGAACTCTGCCATGGCTGGCCTACCTATAATGAAGATATTTAACTTACTCTGTTGTCTGGCCACCAGCTCCTGATGAGGTCTGGCTTTGCTGATATGATTTCTCTCCATGATGGGAGAATACTACCCTTCTTCATGTCTCAGTCTCTGAGGCTCACTGAATGTCAGTCACCAAAAGGAAGTTAGAGAACCATCAGTTCTATAGAGAAGAAAGGCACCAGCTAAGTTTACAGTATAGGAGATGACCTTTTATTCATTGAGACTTGAACTTCTATTATTAATCATGCACAGTATGCTCCGGAAATGGTATTGTAGTACCTGTCAGAATTTATAAATGTTCATCTTTTTGATATTTGATTATTTATTGAGTACTTACATGTTCTAGGCTTCAAATATTTGCAACAAGTATCTGAACTTGCTCTATTCTAGATCACTTTTGTTAGTTGCCAAGGTATGAGAAAAATTGGAGGGATCTGCCTGAACTATGGTCATTGCTTTGTGATTTGTACCCTTGCGTCAGATCTCTTGTTCTCTGTAGCCAGGTCTTCACATTGCTATTGGCATAAACACCCACAGTACCCTTTTGATTATGCTACACCTCTGTTTAAACCTATGACCACCTCCCTCACTCTATCTTTGCCTACAGAGTAAATAAACCCCAAGCTCCATAGTCTGGCCTTCAGGACTTTTCATAATCTAGCTCTAGCTGACCTTTCCAATGCTGTACATAGATAAGGACATATTTTGGCCAAACTGGACTGCTTAATTTCCTCAAACCTGCCCTGAGCTTTCCTGCTTCTGAACATTTGTACCATTTAAGCCGAAATTCATTTCAGGCCATCAATGCTCATTGAGTGATTTCTGTAGAAAACTATAGGATCTAGCAGGTTGAAAAAGTCTTTCTTTAGGTTTTTCTAATATAGGAAGCTGAAAGGAAATGGGCCACCTCACTGTTCTTCTACCCCACGACTGTTCTCTGTTTATGTCCCTCTAGCACTGCCTACTTAACTCTGCTGTAGCACTCATCATTTTGGCTGGGAACTCTGGGTTTATTATTGAACTCCCAGGTCTCAGCTCAATGCCTGGTACATAACAGGCATTCACATTCATTAAATGTTTTTTGTTGAATATATCCAGTCAGGGAATAGAAAGGTGTATACATGAATAAACTACATGTCACATGAGAGATATAAGTGTAGTCAATAGGATTCACTAGTAAGACACACTGTATCTAGTTCAGGGAATTACAATAAAACTTTACATTTGTATAGTGCTTTTTACTTTGCACCACACTTAAACATTTTTCTTTAATCCTCACAACCATACTCTGAGGTATGTATTATTATCACTACTTTTTAGAATGGGAAATTGACACTGTAGGAGGTTAGGTGAATTAGGTTTCATAGCTGGCAAGTGGTGTGCCTAAGATCTGGACTTTGATCTGGGACTCCCCAGAGTAGTAGTAGGGACCCAGTGGAAATTATCTGCATAAGAAGTGAAAGGTAAAACTGTAGAAAAGGATGAGATCCCCAAAGGACAGATTATAGATGGATTTTATATATGATATAATAATGTGGAGATAGTTTTCAGTTTTTATCTGAAAGTTGGAGTTGGAGCCTACCAAGATGGGAATAACATTGAGTTTATTTTTTTCTGCCAACAGTTGCAAGAGTTTACAAGTTGTTAGTTTATATCCAAGCATTACAGGGCCTTAATAATCTGTTTTGATAATGGGCAAATCTTTTCTATTAGCAGAAAAGGACATAGACACAAAGATAAGATTTTTATACTAGTACTTGTTAATTCTCTTGTCTTAAATAACAGATAAAAAGCCAGAAGCCTTTGTCAATCATTCCAACTCTGAAAGCAAGAGTAGTATCACAGAGCAGATACCAGCACCAGCTCAAAATACCTTCTCTGCCTCTTCTGCTAGGAGGGTGAGTACTTTTTACTTAATTTGGGAATTAGATTTCACCCTACTGCAGTAGCACACATCTAGAAAGGCCTTAAAGGTACATTCTTGCAAAATAATAAAAATACATTTTTCCTGTCATAATCTGCTCCCATAACAAAAAACACAGGCTGGGTGGCTTAAACAACAGACATTTATTTCTCACAGTTCTGGAGGCTGGGAAGTCTCAGATCAAGGTACCAGCCAGTTCAGTTCCTGGTGAGGGCCCTCTTTCTTGACGTGAATATAACCACCTTCTCGCCATGTCCTAACATGGCAGAGAGAAGGAGCTCTGGTGTCTCTTTCTCTTCTTATAAGGTAACCAGCCCTATCAGATTAGGGCCCCACCCTATTAACCTCATTTAAGCTTCATCACTCCTCACAGACCCTTATCTCCAAATATAGTCACATTGGGAATTAGTGCTTCAATATATGAATTTTTGGAGGACACAAACATTCAACCCATAACATTGCCCCCCAAAATCTATAAGATTATTACCAAACAAATTTGGCTACCATGTGTTAAGATAACATAAGATAGAGTAGTCTGAGACCAAAGAGATTTTGTCATTTGCCTATTTTCTTTGTATCTGAAGTTAAGATGCCTACATGTAAAGTGTGGACTGGGCTAGAAGATATCTAGCATCCAGCATTCATTGTTTTGGTGATTATTCTCCTTTTTCTATTTCTCCTTTAAGACTTTCATGAGTAAAGTCTTTATATCTTATGATGAGTAAAGGGCAGAGGTAGAAATAACTTGTTGAAATACCAGAGGCCCCTCCTTCTGTAACTTTGTGCAGGCCTCTGAGAATCTGTAGGCTTCTAGTCAGTGAGAGTGAGTTGAATGATGACCCTGCTCTACAAAGTATAAAAGTCATTTTGAGGTTAAGAATTGATTTGAGTTCTTTGGAATGAAGCTGTTGAAAAAGCTCTGTGGTTATATAGGTATGAACTTAATGATCTTCTTAGCACTTCATGAATTGGAAAGATGGGCTTGTGGTATTCTTGTGGAAATGAGAGAACAAAGGCCTGGCTACTTATTTATCCCTAGAAGCATCATCGTGAATAATTAAAGAGGCTTTGAATAAATGTAATTCTCACTCATATTCAGTCATTTAGGTGTACCTCATATACTGCCACTGCTTCTAAGGATGCCTAGACTTCCTACTTTTTTCAATAGAAAAATACTAAATTAGACAGGGTGCAGTGGCTCACACCTATAATCTCAGCACTTTGGGAGGCCAAGGTGGGCAAATCACTTGAGCCCAGGAGTTTGAGACTAGCTTGGGCAACATCGGAAAACCCCATCTTTACAAACAATAAAAACATTAGCCAGGCATGGTGGCACACACCTGTAGTCCCAGTGACTTGGGACTGGGAGGCCGAGGTGGGAGGATCACTTGAGCCCAGGAGGTCAAGGCTGTAGTGAGCTGTGATTGCACCATTGCACTCCAGCCTGGGCAACAGAGTGAGACCGTGTCTCAAAAACAACAACAACAACAACAACAACAACACACACACATTCTACTTTGCTAAAATGATGCTGGGGAAGGCATTTTCCCCCTTAGAATCAGAGTAGCTTGTAAAAAGCTGACATTATTGAACCCCTAAAGCTGGAAGGGGTACGTAAATGTGTACATTCAGATGACTGATGAAAAGAGAAAATCTATATGTGAGTTGGAGATGAGTGATTTAATATTTTTATTTATTTTCGCTGTATCAGGCAGTAAAGGTAGCCTGATATTGGAAGAAAGGCTTAAATCTTCTTGAAAAGGTCCTGGACCTCAGGAAGGGTCTGTTGGCTTGTGTTCCAGAGACTAGCTGTACCCCAAACTGGTCCTTGGCCTAATGCTGGTCTATGATGTTTCCCTAGTTTATGGCAAAATGAGATAATTAAGGACAATGTAAGCTTTCCATAAAGCTTTCTTTTCTGATATTAAAATTTCATTTTTAACAAAATTGTGGTAATGATGAGTTGTTCAAAAAGAAAACATCTTTCAGAATGTTGTTTTCTTTTGTCAAAATTATATTTAAAAGATAAAAAGATAGCAACCCTTTGACCTCTAGTTTTTTTTTTGTTTTTTTTTGTTGTTGTTGTTTTTGCTGGTCAGTGAAATCTAAAGCTCTCTAAACTGCTACTCTAGATCAAATAAATTTTCTTGAAATTAGCAGTTAGAATTTGAGTGGAGTGGCGTCTAGAATTTTTATCAGTGTTAAATCACTGTATCATAGTACCTTAAAATGTGTTTATAAATTAGCTCATTCCTGGCAGGGCATGGGTTCATGCCTGTAATCACAGCACTTTGGGAGGCTGAGATGCGAGGATTGCTCGAGTTTAGGACTTTGAGACCAGCCTGGGCAACATAGGGAGACCTTGTCTCTACTAAAATTTAGAGAAAATTAACTGGGCATGGTGGTACATGCTGATAGTCCCAGCTACTCGGTGGGCTGAGGGGGAGGATTGCTTGGGCGCAGGAGGTCAAGGATGCAGTGAACTCTGATTAGGCCACTGCACTCCAGCCTCGGTGATAAGAGTGAGACCCTACTTCAAAAAAATAAAAATAAAAGATAAATTAGCTGGTCTCATTTTTTCCAGTCTCCACATATTATAAGGAGGGATTAAGCTCATTACCGTCATTTTACAGGTGAGCATGTTGAGACCTAGAGAAGTAAAGTATCTTATATTCAGTTCCACGGTGAGTTAGAAGAAGGTATATTACTAGAATACAATCTCCTGGTGTTCCAGGTCATTATTAATTGCACAGAGATAGCAAATTTCTCAGAACAACCCTGTCAGGTAGGAGCACTGTGTGAAGAATCCGAGGCTATTTTTGGCTTAGGAAGAAAGAGCCTGGAGAGGTTATTAGCTTTTGCTGGGTGAGGGAGGGAACATGGGCAGAAAGACTGCCATGTATTTGTTCTTCTTAGCTACCTTATGTTGCCTCGCTGAACTTAGTTAAGTGTGGAAAAGGCAAATAGGCTGAGAAAGAATCATCAGAGCCTTTATTTTTCATTTCTTTTATTTGCTTCTCTCATAGTTCTCTTCTGGCCTTTTTAACAAGCCAGAAGAGCCCAAAGATGAATCTCCTTCTTCATGGAGATTGGGACTGAGAAAAACTGGCAGCCACAACATGCTGAGTGAGGTGGCCAATTCCAGGGAACCTATAAGGGACCGAGGCTCTTCCATCTATCGCTCCTCTTCAAGCCCTCGGATTTCTGCTCTACTGGACAACAAAGATAAGGTGCAGTTTGGGAGGGTATGGGGGAATTCCAAGGCAGTTTTTTTTTTCCATGAAAATTCAATCTTAGGAACAAATGAAAATATTTTCTAGTCCTTAAGTTGATTTTGGAAATGCAAAGTCTTTAAAGAGAGAGAGGCACACTGATAGTTTATTCAAGTAGCTATTTGCTTGCTATTGTTTGCTTGACCAAAAAAGAAAATAAAAAAGCTTTAAAAATAGCTTTTCCTTTTGGTTTGTTCAATCTTCCTTGCCCCCTTACCTAAAGCAAAAAATGGATCAGCAACATAAAAATTTCAGTATGGCGGAGGGGGGCACAGGACCCCAGGTAGGGGTCCTGGATCCAGAGGGCCAATTCCCGTCCCCCCAGCGGCATGGCTTCGTGTGCTGAACCCTCTAAGCCCTCTGCCCCCGCCTCCTGCCAGGGTCCCACCGCTTGAGGACTTCAAGGTGCTGGATGGGGTGGAGGATGCAGAGGGCGAGGAGGAAGATGACCTGAAAGAGCTGCCCCCGCTGGGCATGGGACAGCCCCCGGTGGAAGAGGCTGAACAGCCTGGGACATTGGCCCTAGAGTTCCTCGCTGCCATGGAGCCTGAGCCCGCCCCGTCCCTGGCCCCGGAAGCAGCTGTTGAGGAAGAAGACGCTTGTCCCAGGGCCGCCGGGTTCAAGCCGCCCAGTCAAGGGCCAGGTGGTTACCGTGCATTTTGCAGACGTCGTGAGAGAACAGCATGTGGGAGCTGGTGTTCACCTTGAACAACTGTGACGTCATCCAGGCCCTGGATCTTAGTGTCTAACTCACGGACGTGGGGGAGACGGCCATGGTCACTGCTGACTCCATCTACTGCTATAGCCCCCAGGGCAGGAGCCCATACATCCACCGCACGCGGCCCTGTGCCTGGAGGTGACCCCGAAGACGGCCGTGGACTGGCCTGACCTGGAGATGCTCACAGGGCAGGAGCGCATGGCCCTGGCCAACCGGAAGCAGGAGTGCGGCAGTGCCCACTACCAGTGGGCGGACTTCATCCTGGCCGCCAACTCCTATGACCTTGCCATCAAGACCATCACCTCCAGCGCCAAAGTGGACATGACGTTCGAGGAGGAGGAGCAGCTCCTGTAGTTGAAGGTGAAGTGTCTGAACAACCTGGCGGCCTCGCAGCTGAAGCTCGACCACTACTGCGCAGCCCTGTGCTCCTGCAGCCTCGTTGGAGCACCATCCAGACAATATCAAGGCTGTCCTCCACAGAGGCAAGATACTGGCCCAGCAGGGTGAGTACAGTGAGGCCATCTCCATCCTGAGGGCAGCCCTGAAGCTGGAACCTTCCAACAAGACGATCCACGCAGAACTCTTGAAGCTGGTGAAGAAGCACGCGGCACAGCGGAGCACGGAGACCGCCCTGTACTGGAAAATGCTGGGCGACCCCAGCTGGCTGCCCGCCAAGTGCCCCGGCAAGGGTGCCTGGTCCAGCCCATGGAAGTGGCTGTTTGGGGCGACTGCTGTTGCCTTGGGGGGTGTGGCGCTCTCTGTGGTCACTCCTGCCAGGAACTGACCACCCAGGTGGCCGCCACCCCCTCTGTACACCATGGACCCTGCCCTGTGCTCCATAACTCCCCCAGGCTCCCTGTCCACTGCCCTTCCTGGTCCGGCCCCCTTCTCCAAGTTGGAGGCAGCAAGGACTGGGGGTTGTGCAGCCCAGCCAGCAGGAGGGACTGAGGCCCTCTAGGAGGAATGCGCAGAGTGAGGGGGACCTCATTCCTTCAGACCCACTTTCCTCCCCACTCCCCTTCTCCTGCTGGGCTAGGTCTCCACTGGGGCCAGCCTCAGTTTCTCCTCAACAGGTTTGGGGACAGCCCCTCCTGCCCTGCTTGCCCCACACTGTCTAGGCTCACTTCCTGCCACAGTGTAATAAAGCCTCCTACCCTGCAAAAAAAAAAAAAAATTCAGTATGGCCTAAGAGGTTCTCTGGGCTTTGAGTCCAAATTAAGCTCAGGCAAATTAGTACTTAGAAAAAAAAAATTTTTAACTTGTCATTCTTTCATTAATATGGAAAATGTGGTTAGGCTAACTTCACACATAGTTTGTGTATTCATTCAAGATTAGTAAATTTTTATTTTCTTCACTTTTTAGTTCCAGATTTTATAGGACTCTCTTTGTGCTTTTCTCTGGGGTCACATCTTCCTTGTAATCACAGTCCTCTTGCTTTATATCTCTGGAGACTACTGAAAGAGATGAGGCATATTGGTTGAATTAACTCTGCAGCATACTATTGTACATATTCCTAAGGAAGCTGTATTTCAAGGAAAAGATGTACTGGGGACTATTGGGGACTACATAAATCTTATTTCATCAAGAATATTAGAGTGGAGCTTTCTGTTTGTGTCTTCAAAGGCTTTCCTCCTCTCTTGACAGAGGTGCTGCTTTGCATAATTTGTGCTGCTGTTTTCTTTATTTACTCATCCTGACTTTCCCATGAGAATTATTTCCCTTCATACTGTTTTTTAATGGAAGAAAGTTAGGAATAAGCTTTTGAAAGCTAACCTTTTGTAAATACCACTCAAAATAGAATTAGTGTTGGATCCAGAAATAAGATGATATAGGTATATTAAGTTCTGCTTTTTTACTCAAAATGTTTTATGCTGTGCCAGTATTGTACCTTTCTTGTGCTTTACTTGTTTTTATTTTACAGGAGAGAGAAAACAAAAGCTATATTAGTTCACTAGCACCCCGGAAGCTCAACAGCACAAGTGATATTGAAGAAAAGGAGAACAGGTAATCCTAAAACCAGCCAAAAGATGGTCCTCATCCTCTTAGGTCTACTGGACATAGTCATCTCCTGGGCATTACTCTTCTGCATTTTTCCCTCAGGTGTCCTTACCACATTATGAATTGTTTATTCCTTCTGCTTAGAACACCTCTCAACTCTTATATCCTTGCTTTGCTGGTTCTTTATTTTTCAAATTCTAACTCCAGGTTAGACATTACCTTCTTTAGGAAGTCTTCCCTGATTTTTCCACACATGCATTAGTTTTATTCTACCAGCAGGCTCTGTAAAGGTAGGGTCTGAGTCTGTCTGGTTTCTTAAGGACCCCTAGTTCCTAGCACAGTGCCTAACACATAGTAAACACTAAAATAATGTTATTTAATTAAATTGACCAACTTCTAATTTGTCAGAAGGTAAAATTAAAGTCTTCCTAATTAGTTAAAATAAATATAGGGATTTTGAAGTATTGCTGCATCTCAGGGCAAATGTGATCTCAAACCTTAGCCAGCGGTATTGGCATCACCCGGGTACATTTTATTTTTATTAAAAATAATTTTCTTTAATAGAAGCAGGGTTTTGCTATGTTTCCCAGGATGGTCTCAAACTCCAGACCTCGAGTGGTCCTCCTGACTTGCCCTCCCAAAGTGCTGGGATTGTAGGTGTGAGCCACTGCTCCTGGCCTGGGTGCATGTTAGGACTCCAGAATCTCAGGCCCTACTCCAGATCTACTGAATTAGAATCTGCATTCTAACGAAATTCCCTAGGTGATTCAAATATTAATACACATTAAAGTTTGAGAAGGATTGTTCTAGAGAACCTTGTGAAGCATGGAAACCCATAGGTTTTGCAACAAAGACCCTGAGTTATCAATTGTGGATCAAAAATCCTAGTACAGCACTTTCCTGGATACCTTTTCATTTATAATGCTAAAGAGGCTTCCAGCAAGACTTCTTTCCCTTTCCCCTTCTGTAGTAACTTTTTTTCTCGGTAACAGACTTCTTCATCTTCCCCCATCATTTCCTTATCTGCTTAACTTAAAAGCCACGTGCTACTAAGACTGATTGCAACACACTTTTTTCTTTATTTTTTTTTTTGAGACAAAGTCTCACTCTGTCGCCCAGGCTGGAGTGCAGTGGCATGATCTTGGCTCATTGCAGCCTCTGCCTCCTGGGTTCAAGCGATTCTCGTGCCTCAGCCTCCCGAGTACAGGCATGTGCCACCATGCCTGGCTAATTTTTTTGTATTTTTAGTAGAGATGGGGTTTCACCATGTTGGCCAGGCTGGTCTTGAACTCCTGACCTCAAGTGGTCTGCCTGCCTCAGCCTCCCAAAGTGCTGGAATTATAGATGTGAGTCACTATGCCCAGCTGCAAAGCACTTTTTAAGTGAGGATCAAAAGTGACTTCTTATTACAAAAGGGTTAGAGACCTTTGACATGAGGAATTTGGTACCTGTTGAAATTAATTGGTTCAAAGTTGATAAAAGAAAGCAGGCAGTAATACTTCTCTTCTGTACAGAAAACTGGTATATAAAACAGAATAACCTGAAGAATGTGTCTATTAGCCATGTTATAGTTTGCCTGTCTGGCTCTTCTCTCTCTGCATTGTATCATGGACAAAAACTGGTGGTAGGAATCAGTGTTTTGTTTTCCTTTCATGCTTCTACAGAGAATCAGCTGTTAATCTAGTGAGGAGTGGCTCCTATACCCGGCAGCTATGGAGGGATGAAGCAAAAGGAAATGAAATCCCACAGACAATTGCTCCCTCCACCTATGTATCAACTTACTTGAAAAGGTACCAGGCTCAAAGGGGGTGGGAGATGTTTCTTTCACTCTAGCCATGGGAAATGGGTAATGATTGTATGCCTTTTTATGTCCAATTAACACCGCAGAAATGAATCAAAATGAATTACTTTCAGGTTTCTTAGAATTAACATCTTGAATAATTTAAAATTTATTATCTTAATAATTGAATTAAAGTAAGCTAATTTCAGATTCTCACTACAGATCTGGCTTTATACTTTATCCTCTCCATCCTATTAAAACTTTCAATCAGAAGTGGCTTTCAGTAATCTCTGGGCAAGACTGAATTTAAGTTATCCTTGTCCAGTAGCTGGTTCTCCTTATCTGAAACAGAGTAGTTCTCATCCCATGTGCTATTTTTGGGGGGAGGAAGGGAGGGACACTATAAAGTGGTGGGGGGTGGGAAATGGGGACAGTTTTCTATTGCATTAAAGAAGTTTCATACTGAAGCCTGTTAATTTAGGGACTTGAGTTGTTTTTTTTCTTATGACTTTAATGGCCCTCAGATCCATCAAGATGTGAAACTCGCAAGTTTGGTGCAGAGAAGGTACATGGGTTTCCTTCTTTTCTCATCTGTATTCCCTTTTCTGCAATTATTTTCTTTGCCACATACTAGCCAGCAAACCAGGCACCTTTGCCAGAGCCATTAAGCTACAAAAATACTTAATATTTTAATTTGAACTCTGCTGCTAATGTGGAAGAATCTGTTTTTTATTGCTTACTTTGAATTCTTTCTTCACTTCCACTGTCTTCTCACACCATAGCCTTCATCATTAGGTTTTTTAGATGATTGGTTGGCTACCTTAGAAACAGGCCCTGGCCTAGACTAGATGAACACATTAACTCTTTGGAATCAACACTTATTTCCACTTGACAGAAAGACTTGTCAACTAGTTATTGTTGAAACATGGGAAATAGCTAGAAAACAAACAGTCACTGTTGCCTTTTAATGTTCTTCAGTTCTGTAGATACATTCTATAAGAAAGGGCTCAACTTTGGAAGTATGAAAGTTTGATGATCTCACTGATGCTTTATTACACAAAAGAGGTGTTTCTTGCTTTATGAGGCTATCACCTATTTGTCTTAATGGCTAAGGCCTTGGTCTTCCTGGATGCATTATTATTCATTATAGTTGAATCCAAGATCAAGAAAACTTTTCTAAGAAAACAATGTTCTAGATCAAGGGAAGGGAGAAAGCTGCCATTTAATTTCCAGGCATGGAGTTATTCTGTGGCGAGGTTGTTGATTTTTGTGATCCAAATAATCAGCAAATGGGTTGAGAGGCATTTGGTTTGATAGATGTAGTTTGGCAAAGTTACGGTGAACAGTGAAGGGACAGGCTGCCTCTATTTAGGATCAAAAGCATGCTTAATGATATGAGCACTTTTTGAGGAAAAGATGTACAACTTGCTTCATATCTTGGATTTCCAAAGCTTTTCTCCTGTAACCCTAAAGCATTTTTTGATTTTATAAAAACCTCTTATGGTCTTTTTAAAAGGAAAGAATCATATGCCATCACCATTTAAAAGAGCAAGTGTAAGGAGAAATTTGTCATTTCCCAGCTATGCCAAACCTTCATATACATTCCATTTTCATCTTTGAAAATGAGAATGAGAGTTCATCTCTTGTGTATAGGCAGAAATTCCTTTCATATGGCCCATATTAAAATACCTCTTTTCCAAGGAAGGCTTTATAGCTTTTTTTGGTTATCTGCTCAAGTGTCTCATTTCTATTATAGTCAAGAAGTATTTTTGAAATTTGAACCCAAATAATTTTTTCCTGCAATTGAGATGGTTCTTACCTGTCTTCAATCAAAACAAATACAAGTTGCCCTTTATTGCTCATACAGTATTACTTTCTAGACTTAAAACTAAATCCTCCCAGAGACAATTTTGCTTTAGGCTGAATAACTGCAGTTCTCAAAGTCATTTTTTTTCACAGAGCTTCTTTACTCTTTCCACTTTTAAATTTTAAATCTCTGCTCCACAACCTCTCCAAATTCTCTGGTCTTACTTTTGCTTTTGCAGTGCTAATTCTGTATCAGGTAGACATTTGGGGTTGCATGATTATTTGCCTTGGGTTTGTTGGGAATTACTTTTTTCTAATAAAATTATCCTTTTTCCTATTATTCCCTTTCTTAGCCTCTCCTCTTATCATATATTCTACTTTCCTGCTTTCCCTCATTCAGTATCATCTCTCTTCCTCCACGTTCCTTCACTCTTTTGGATGATTGACCAAAAAGACCATCCTTCAAAGAGTGATGATTCCTTCATTCTTTTGGATGATTGCCTGCTTGCTGCCAGTGACTCAGCTCTAGCTGGAGTTGATCACTTCACTTCCCAGTTGTCATACCCTTTCTTTGGTCTATATTCATTTCAAGTGCACAATCTGGGTGGGAAGGTGGTGCTGGGAAATGGTGGGTGAGCAGCATGTCCTGAAGAAAGTGACTGTGTGCTGTTTTGCAGTGCTTCATTTGGTAGAAGTAGTGACCCCACAAGTCCCTACATTTCAGCCAATCGCAATTCATCTCCTGCTACCTCACCCATTACCATTGGTTCATCTACCTCTCGGGGCAGCCAGTGGCAACCTGCCTCTTCTTGCCCTGCACCAATCAGTGCAAACACTACTGCATCTGTACATCATGGCAGGTAAGGCTTCTTGAAGCCATTTGAGTTGCATTCATCAAAGTTAATGGCTCTGAAAACACATATGAAATTTGAACCAAAGAGACTTTATCACTATAAAAACAAGTTAGAACTCCTGAGAAAATGTCTGAATTTAATGAAGATGCTTTTGCTTTGACTTGTATTAACCAGTCAACAGTTGCATATTGAATAATCAAAGGGTATGTATAATTGTACTTGGTGTTTGGACATCAGCTTAATGTGACTGATTTCATCCCTCAACAACCTAACCAGTTGTGATTACAATTTAAGGATCATACTATTGTGGTAAATTAAATATTGAAAACATTTTCATATTTTACTTCTATTAATTTTCCAGTAATTATAATAGGAATCTCTTGTATTTAGTCTTTTAAATGACATGCAAACCCAAATCAGAAAGAAAGCTAACTCATTTTCCAAAAGCCTATGATAACCTTCTGAAAACTCCCAGCCAATGAGAGTATTTTGCTGGAAACATTGTGAGAAGGGACAGATTTGTGTTTGTCTAAACTGTGTTGTGGGGGCAGTATCTTCTTGGTTTCTAGTTCATCTAAGGGATAGCATGGTAGAATGTTACTGTGAAAGTACATTAGGACTTTAGCTGTAGTTTTAACTGTGGCTTTTAATCCTTTATGTGTGCTGGCAAAGGGTCTCTTTTTTTTGGGTCTGTGTCTACAACTGATAAAGAAAATGAAAAAAATCTTAATGATAGTGTTGTTGCAGGAACACCAGTGATGGTGCTTGATTGATATTTGTCAGTTTACTAGATTTCTTTCCCTAAAATAAGCGGTAATCATTAATTCAGCCAGGAGGGAAGGGTTTATGATGGATTATTAATAATAATACTGTATAATTATAGGTAAATTTATTAGGTCCTTATAATAATCCAGTTGCATAGACATGTTAACTATTATCACCATAGCTGAAGAAACAAACATAGAGAGGTTATTATTACTATATTATATTACTCTCTCTCTCTCTCTCTCTCTCTATATATATATATATATATATTTTTTTTTTTTTTTGAGATGGAATATCGCTCTGTCACCCAGGCTGGAGTGCAGTGGTGCAGTCTTGGCTGACTGCAACCTTCACCTCCCGGGCTCGAGCAATTCTTCTGCCTCAGCCTCCCGAGTAGCTGGGACTACAGGCGCATGCCACCATACCCGGCTAATTTTTTGTATTTTTAGTAGAGACGGGGTTTCACCGTGTTATCCAGGATGAGGATGATCTCTATCTCCTGACCTCATGATCCGCCCACTTCGGCCTCCCAAAGTGCTAAGATTACAGGCGAGAGCCACTGCACCCGGCCGTATTACTATATTTTACATATATAATATTATATATTATATAATAATACTATATTGCTATTACTATAACTATTAAGAGCTGCAACTGAGAGAAAATAATTACAGCTGCCATTTGTTGGACCCCATTATGTGACAGGCATTTGGTTGGCTATTATACTGGGATTTAGTTTGCTCATATGTAACGATAAATCTAAATAGTAGTGGCTTAAATAAGGTAAAGGTTTTTTTTTTTTTCTTGCACTTAAGAAAGTCCAGAAATATGCAGAGCTGGCTTAGTAGCTCCACAGTCATTAAAGGATCCAGGTTCTTTCGCTCCACAGTTCTTGCATCATGGCTGCCATTTCCATGGGTTGCCTGATGGTCCAGAATAACTGCTGAAGCTATAGCTATCATGGCTGTACTCTAGGGAAGAAGGAAGAGGAAAGAAGGAAGCAGACAAAGAAAAAATGCTTCTGAACTGAGAATTTTCCCAGAAGTACTAGTTGTCTGCATATGTCTCATTGGATACCTCTAGTGGCCAGGAGACTTTGAGAAGTGTGGACTTTTAACTAGGTATATTGCTGCCCTCAATGATATAGGGATTCAGTTCATAAAGAAGAAAGGGACAATGGATATGGGTTAGACAACTAGCTGTCTCATGCATACATATATCATCTATTCTCTTATAATGAGCCCCCTATTATATGAAGTATTATTTTATAGACGAGGAAACTCAGACCAAATGGTTAATCATCTGCCCAAGGTCACACAGCTAGTGAGGGCCTGAGATAGGATTTGAACTCAGATTTGTACATTTCAAAGCTCTTACCTATTTTGTCACTGTTTGTATCTGCTGAGTTTATATTTTATTCTGGGTACTATTTTAGGTGTCCTGCAGACATTATTTTATTTAATCATTAGAAGAACCCTGTATTTTAAGGTGCCACTATCTCTATTTTATCAATGAAGAAGAGATCAGAGAGTCTACATTTAAGCAAATGTTGTGTTTCCAAAGCCCATATTTATCCTACTCCATTGCATATCCTCTGATCTCTGCTCTAGGGCTGTTCTTATTCTAACAATCTACTTGTAAAATTACACTGCATTTCAAAATAATAGTAAAAGTCCTATTATGTAATTTAATAAAATAAAATCCTTGGCATTTCAAAAGCATAAGAAATTACAGTGAGACCAAAACATGTTAGTAACCTAAAAAGAACTTCAGGTAAGGTTTGGTTAAGTGTAATTTTTTATAGCTGTGTGTCTAGCTAATTTTATTAGTACTTCCTATAGATTCGTATCTTGTAAGTCTGAGGAATTTTTTGCCTTTTCTTTTTTTGTTAAAAAAGACTATAAAATTTCACCTTTTTTCTTAGTCATTAATTGCTTCTGGAGAAGTAGCATGTGTTTTTTTAGATATTACATGTATCTTTTAAAATATTCTGCCTTTATGTTTGTATCTAGGTACCATATTTATATTTTTATGTTTTTATTATTTTTTTTCAAGCTTGTAATTTGATTATTTGGAAGTAAGCTTAGAGCTACCCGTGAACATTTCTGCTAATAATTGTGAGTAGGTGAAAAAAATAGATTTTTAATATTTGTGCTTTTCATTGCTTTCTCCATCTCTGTATCAGTTTTGGACCTCTGTTACCCCAGCAACAGCTGTGACATCACAAATGATAGCTTTTTGGGTGGAGAGCCAATGGTTGCTCCCAACTCTTCGATAAGAAACAAAGGTCTTGTTTTCATGTAAATGAGTTTAATTATACAGCTTGCTGTTGAAAAGTCTGTGGTTAAGGATACTTATAGAATCCGGTTTGGTTTTTGTTTCAATTTCTCACTTTTGCAGTTATGAATATAGACAATTAGGCATTTGGTTAAATGGGAAGAGAGAGCAGTTGCTGAATTAGGTGAGGGAGAACTAAGCATACTGAGACTGTAGAGTATCAGTTGTCTCTGGATAATCCAAGAAGATGGTCATCAAATCTAGGCTGAGGACTACCACAAAGACTCCCACTGCCAAGAATTAAGGAACAGGTGGAGACTAATATTGTAAGTGACTTTAATGTCTTTTTCTTGTGTAGAGAGGCCATGTCTCCGTGTGCATGTGCAGAGACCAGGTGCTACTGGGGTGTCATTTAAAACACTCTTGCATATGTCACTATCTTGCCTTGTGCCATAGCTAATGATTTTTGTTAAAACAAAATCTCAGGCACACACATACACATACAAGTCTCATAAAATGTGACTCCTCAGGCAAAGGATGTCAGACTAAACATGTAATTATACTATTCCAAGCTGTAAGAGCTCAAAATTAAGAAACCAACAAACAAAATCAGAGCGAGATTTCCTAGATGAACCACTCTTTAATCCTTCTGTCTCTGTGCCAGTGCTTTGTTGTATAGCATGCCTAACCATTTCCTTTCTGCTTGTATCTTTTTAAATTTCAGGACTCCTCACAAATCCCAGGCCGACACAACAGCAGAGAAAACAGCAGACAATGTCTCTTCTAGCACCCCGCTCTGTGTGATCACCAATCGCCCTCTTCCTAGCACTGCCAATGGGGTTACAGCTACTCCTGTGCTCTCCATTACTGGAACAGATTCCTCTGTGGAAGCCAGGGAGAAGAGGAGGTATGTTGAGTTACTGATTTCATTTGTGGGGCTCTGCTTTGAGGTAGACGATAAAGGAATGGGCATAAAGTGTTTTTCCCAATTTCAAATACGTTTATGAAAATATGTCTTTTTTTTTTTTTGAGACAGAGCCTCACTCTGTCGCCCAGGCTGGAGTGCAGTGGCGCCATCTTGGCTCACTGCAACCTCCTCCTCCCGGGTTCAAACGATTCTCCTGCCTCAGCCTCCCAAGTAGCTGGGACTGCAGGCGTGTGTCACCCCACCCGGCTAATTTTTTTGTATTTTTAGTAGAGACGGGGTTTCACCATGTTAGCCAGGATGGTCTCGATCTCCTGACCTCATGATCTATCCACCTCGGCCTCTCAAAGTGCTGGGATTACAGGCCTGAGCCACTGCGCCCAGCCTGAAAATATATCTTTATATTATTGTTCTGTATTTTGTCTCTGAGCAGTCAGTTTTTGGTGACTCAATTATTTATGATTATTTAGCATAGACACTTAACGCCGTTATGGATTTATTTTTTTTATTTTTTTGAGACGGAGTCTTGCTCTGTCGCCCAGGCTGGAGTGCAGTGGCGCGATCTCAGCTCACTGCAGGCTCTGCCTCCCGGGTTCATGCCATTCTCCTTCCTCAGCCTCCTGAGTAGCTGGGACTACAGCTACCTGCCACCATGCCCGGCTAATCTTTTATATTTTTAGTAGAGACGGGGTTTCACCATGTTAGCCAGGATGGTCTCGATGTCCTGACCTCGTGATCCGCCCGCCTCGGCCTCCCAAAGTGCTGGGATTACAGGCGTGAGCCACCGCTCCCGGCTGTCGTTATGGATTTAAGCATATCTTTTTTCTGTTTGTCTTGTGATAGAGACAATTGTTAGGCATTATTTCACCATTTTGTAATGGAGAACCTGTGAAGCACAGAGAAGGATCTTTTGTTTTGTTATGGATAGTCTACGTTGACTTCTCTGGCAGCAAAGAAAGGAAACAGTATGACACAAGGCTCAAAGAAATAGAACTAGGATATAAACTTTTGATTAATTTGAGAAGAATACCAGAAAAAGAAATGAATAATATGTGATGATATGGTAGAAGAATAGTGACTAGATATTCTGTAATTTCTTTAGAGAGAAGTTATGAGAGAATATTGTGAATTGACATAGAAGAGATTTAAGGTAGAAGCTAAGAAAAACTTTTTGATTGCCAGCATTAAGAGAAACATTAGAAAATGTGACCGAGCAAGAATGGGTCATTTTCTCCTACTTGAGGAAGTATTAAAAATAGAATGTACTGCATTTGGGAGTTTCAAATGTACTTAAAGACTAAGGCTATAATTATCCCTTGTTAAGATTAGACCAGGTGAAATCTTATCAAAATTTAGATTTCAGTTTGACTTCATATTATTTTGAATATCCAAAGGAAGGAGCTTTTATATTTGTGTGTATTAAGAGATTGTCTTTTCTCCAATGTATGTTCTTGGCACCTTTGTCAAAAATGAGTTCACTGTAGATGTATGGATTTATTTCTGAGTTCTCTACTCTGTTCCACTGGTCTATATGTCTGTTTTTATGTCAGCACTATGCTATTTTGGTTATAATAGCTTTGTGGTATCATCTGAAGTCAGGTAATGTTATTCCAGTTTTGTTCTTTTTGCTTAGGGTGGCTTTGCTATTCTGGGTCTTTTGTAGTTCCATATGAATTTTAGGATTATTTTTTCTATTTCTGTCAAGAATAGCATTGGTATTTTGATAGGGATTGTATTGAATCTGTAGATTGCTTTGGGTAGTATGGACGTTTTAACAATATTGATTCTTCCAGTCCATGAATATGGAATATCTTTCCTTTATTTGTGTGCTGTTTAATTTCTTACACCAGTGTTTTATAGTTTTCATTGTAAAGATCTTTTAGTTATTTGATTAATTCCTAGGTATTTTATTTTATTTGTAACTACTGTAAATGGGTTTACTTTTTTTTTTAATAGTAGTATGATTTATTTATTTTTTATTTTTTATTTATTTATTTTTTATTGATCATTCTTGGGTGTTCCTCGCAGAGGGGGATTTGGCAGGGTCATAGGACAATAGTGGAGGGAAGGTCAGCAGATAAACAAGTGAACAAAGGTCTCTGGTTTTCCTAGGCAGAGGACCCTGCAGCCTTCCACAGTGTTTGTGTCCCTGCGTACTTGAGATTAGGGAGTGGTGATGACTCTTAACGAGCATGCTGCCTTCAAGCATCTGTTTAACAAAGCACATCTTGCACCGCCCTTAATCCATTTAACCCTGAGTGGACACAGCACATGTTTCAGAGAGCACAGGGTTGGGGGTAAGGTCATAGATCAACAGGATCCCAAGGCAGAAGAATTTTTCTTAGTACAGAACAAAATGAAAAGTCTCCCATGTCTACTTCTTTCTACACAGACACGGCAACCATCCGATTTCTCAATCTTTTCCCCACCTTTCCCCCTTTTCTATTCCACAAAACCGCCATTGTCATCATGGCCCGTTCTCAGTGAGCTGTTGGGTACACCTCCCAGACGGGGTGGTGGCCGGGCAGAGGGGCTCCTCACTTCCCAGTAGGGGCGGCCGGGCAGAGGTGCCCCCGACCTCCCGGACGGGGCGGCTGGCAGGGTGGGGGCTGACCCCCCACCTCCCTCCCGGACGGGGCAGCTGGCCTGGTGGGGGCTGACCCCCACCTCCCTTCCGGACGGGGTGGCTGCTGGGTGGAGACGCTCCTCACTTCCCAGACGGGGTGGCTGCCGGGTGGAGGGGCTCCTCACTTCTCAGACGGGGCGGCTGCTGGGCGGAGGGGCTCCTCACTTCTCAGACAGGGCGGCCGGGCAGAGACGCTCCTCACCTACCAGATGGGGTCGCGGCCGGGCAGAGGCGCTCCTCACATCCCAGACGGGGCGGCGGGGCAGAGGCGCTCCCCACATCTCAGACGATGGGCAGCTGGGCAGAGACGCTCCTCACTTTCCAGACGGGGTGGCGGCCGGGCAGAGGCTGCAATCTCGGCACTTTGGGAGGCCAAGGCAGGCAGCTGGGAGGTGGAGGTTGTAGCGAGCCGAGATCACGCCACTGCACTCCAGCCTGGGCACCATTGAGCACTGAGTGAACGAGACTCCATCTGCAATCCCGGCACCTCGGGAGGCCAAGGCTGGCGGATCACTCGCGGTTAGGAGCTGGAGACCAGCCTGGCCAACACAGCGAAACCCCGTCTCCACCAAAAAAATACGAAAACCAGTCAGGCGTGGCGGCGTGCGCCTGCAATCACAGGCACTTGGCAGGCTGAGGCAGGAGAATCAGGCAGGGAGGTTGCAGTGAGCCGAGATGGCAGCAGTACAGTCCAGCTTCGGCTTGGCATCAGAGGGAGACCGTTTAAAGAGGGAGAGGGAGACCGTGGGGAGACGGGAGAGGAGGAGGGGGAGGGGGAGAGGGAGAGGGAGAAGGGGGTTTACTTTCTTGATTTCTTTTTCAGATTGTTCACTGTTGGCAAATAAAAGTGCTAGTGACTTTTGTATGTTGATTTTGAATTCTGCAACTTTATTGAATTTTTCAGTTCTAATAGTTTTTTTGGTGGAGTCTTTAGGTTTTTCCAAATATAAGATTATCTATCTGCAAACTTCTTCCTTTCCAATTTGTATGTCATGTATTACTTTCTCTCTCTCTCTCTTTTTTTTTTTTTAAATAGAGATGGGGTCTCACTGTGTTGTCCAAGCTGGTCTCAAACTCCTGGGGTCAAGCCATTTTCCCACCTCTGCCTTCCGAAATGCTAAGATTACAGGCGTGAGCCACTGTGCCTGGCCTATTGCTTTCTCTTGTCCGATTGCTCTAGGTAGGACTTCCAGCACTATATTGAATAACAGTGGTTGAAAGTGGACATCCTTGTCTTGTTTCAGATCTTAGAGGAAAGGCTTTCAGTTTTTCGCCATTCAGTATGATAATAGCTGTGGGTTTGTCATATATGGCTTTTAGTGTGTTGAAGTATGTTCCTTCTGTACCCAGTTTTTTGAGGGTTTTTATCATGAAAGGATGTTGAATTTTATCAAATGCTATTTCAGCATCAATTGAAATGATCATAGTGTTTTTATCTTTCATTCTGTCAATATGATATATCACATTGATTGACTTGTGTATCTTTGAACCATCCTTGCATCCCTGGGATAAATCCCACTTGGTCATGATGAATTATCTTTTTAATGTGTTGTTGAACTTGGTTTGCTAGTATTGGCCTGTAGTTTTCTTTTTTTGATGTGTCTTTGTCTGATTTGGTATCAAGGTAATGTTGGCCTCATCAGATAAGTTTGGAAGTATTCCTTCCTTTTCTGTTTTTCAGAATAGTTTGAGTAAGATTGGTATTAATTCTTCTTTAGGTGTTTGGTAAAATTCAGCAGTGAAGCCATCAGGTCCCACGTGAGTATGTATGTATGTGTAGTAAGTATAAAAGATACAATACAAATTAAACAAGATGCAAGATACAATACAAATCGAACTTTTTATGTTTGCTTATTGTAAGGACAGGTCTAATATGTCTATTATAAAGACACTTTTTTTTTTTTTTATAAAGACACATTTTGAGAAGGAAGGGAGATGTTGAGTTGGAAAATAGTGTTTTTCTTCTTCTTTTCTTTCCTGTCCTTTCTTTTTTCTTTTTTTCATTTCTTTACATAAAATGGAAGGAAACTAATTTCTGGGCTAACAGGTTTCAGAGCCAATAACTGTCTTTTCAAAATTGGTCTCCAGCCAAGGAAATAGTAATAAATCAATGTTGAATAGTAAATGCTTCTATACTTAATAGCTCAAATGTAATTTAGATACTATTAGTTTCACCTAGAAACTAAATGCAAAAGTAATCTCTAGCTGACAAAAACTCTCTTTAAAAAATCTTTCTGAGCTGAAAGAAGTAAAATGAGTTAAATTCATCATTAAGAGCATGATCCCAGAAAGGATGGGGGAAATCAGGTAGTTTATAAAACTGCATTATTAAATACCTTGTTGCATGAACTGTTATTTGGAGAAACTTAGTTTTACTGCCTTCTGGAAATGTTGTAACCTACAATCAATAAGATAGTACCTGTAACAGAGACCAGATATATGAATCAAAGGGTTAAATCAAAATATTAGTGAATTATGAGTTGAATGTGGTACATCAAGTACAGGTCAAAATAAGTGCATTTTAGGAATGGCACAAGATAAGTAAGTAGGGAGATGTTAGATGTAGACTGGTTGGACTCATTCACTGGATATGTTCTAGCATTCATTCATCTTCAAAATACTTACTGAATATTTTAAAGTACCTGTTGCCAGGTGCTATGAGAAGCCCAGGTGATACATCAGTGAACCAGACAAATATGATGTGAGCCCTTGTGAAACAAATATGCTAGTGAAAAAGAAAAATGTAAATAATTATATTTGTGTAATATAAAGAAGTAGTATGAGTTGTTATAACAGTGTCATACCGAAAATCTGCTGACAGAAGACTTCCCTTCTTGGCCAGGTATGGTAGCTCACACCTGTAATCTTGGCACTTTGGGAGGCCAAGTTGGGAGGATCACTTGAGACCAGGAGCTCAAGACCAGCCTGGGCAACACAGCAAGACCCCATGTCTACAAAAATAAAATTAACTGGGTGGTGGCACATGCTTCCAGCTGCTTGAGAGCCTGAGATGGGAAGAGCTCTTGAGCCCCGGAGTTTGAGGCTACCATGAACTATTATAACACCACTGTACTCTATCCTCGACCACAGAGCACAACCCTGTCTCTAAAAAAAAAAAAGATTTCCCTTCTCCTGGAGGATGAAAGAAGGCTCTCATGAGGGTGTGATACTGCTCAACCTGAGATCTGCTGGTTAAGTAACAGCTAAGTGAAGAGAAGGGAGTGGGCATTGCAAACAAAAGATCTGGCAATTGAAAAGATACTGAGGTGGAAAGGTACTTGATCTTTTGGAGAAACAGAGAAGGCATTGTGACTAAGAGTAAAGAATGAGGGAGAGAGGTCTAGGATGAAGCTTGAGGAGTAGGTAGGAGCTATATACATATATATATATAGAGAGAGAGAGAGAGAATTCACATACCATACAATTCACTCATTTAAGGTGTACAATGCAGTGGTTTTTAGTATATTCACAGATATGTGGAGCCATCATCACAGTAAATTACAGAACATTTTCATCATCTTAGAGAGAAATCCTGTACCCTGTAGCTATCCCCCACAATCTCCTTATTCCCCCTAGGCCTAAGCAACCACTGATCTACTTTTTGTCTATAGATTTGCTTATTTTGGACATTTTATATAAATGGAATAAAAATACAATCTTTTGTGCCTGACTTCTTTTACTTAATATAATGTTTTCAAGGTTCATCCATATGATAGCATGTATCAGTACTTTATTCCTTTACATGGGTGAATAATATTCCATCATATAGATAATGCCACATTTTGTTTGTCCATTCATAAGTCAATGGACACTTGAGTTGTTTCCACCTTTTAGTTATTATGAATAATGTTACCACAAGCATTTGTGTAGAAGTTTTCGTGTGGACATCTGGTTTGATTTCTCTTGATTATATACCTAGGAGTAGAATTTCTGGGTCATATGCCACTAGAAGATTTTAAGCAAAAAGTACCATGACGTGACCTATAGTTTTTAAAGTTCTGACTTTTAAACTCTGGCTGCAGTTTTACATATGAATTGGATGAGGAAAAATACACAAGAATGGGTGTGAGATGACCAGTAAGGAAACCACTGCAGAAGAAAGGCTCATGAGAGAGAACAGTGGCTTGCACTGAGATAATGGTAGAAGAGATAGAGAAAAGTGAATGATCTTGGCCAGGCACGGTGACTCATGTCTGTAATCCCAGCACTTTGGGAGGCTGAGGGGGTTGGATCACTTGATGTCAGGAGTTCTAGACCAGCCTGGCCAACACAGTGAAATCCCGTCTCTAATAAAAATACAAAAATTAGCCAGGAGTGGTGATGCACGCCTGTAATCCCAGCTACTCAGGAGGCTGAGGCAGTAGAATCGCTTGAGCCTGGGAAATGGAGGTTGCAGTGAGCCGAGATTGTACCAGTGCACTCCAGCCTGGGCGACAGAGCAAGAATCCGTCTCAAAAAAAAAAAAGAAAGAAAGAAAGAAAGAAAGAAATGTGAATGGTTTGAAAATACGTTTAGGAGGATAATTCCGACATGGTAGATGGAACTTATAAGGCTCCCTTGCCCATTATAAACAGAAATTCATAGTTGAATTCAGAAGAATAATAGGGAACTCTCAGATGACAAAAGTGAAGAGTACTCAAAAGCCAGAGTAGTTTGAGTGACCCAGGGTTGGTGTCAGACCTATATGTAGACCATAAGGTCTGGACACTCAGATTTTAATGCCGTGTGTGTAGAACGCATGGCTGTGGACCTACTAAGGCTGCAAGTTGTAACTAAGAAACTATATCAAGCTAGAAATCTCAAAGGGTTCATGAAAAGGGTACTTTGCCCATAGCTCAAAGGAGTGGCAAGGAAGGAAATCTATACAAGCGTCAGGGTAGGGCAGATGACTCACTTGTGAGAAATTTTCACTATTCGTATAGTTTAGAAATCCCAAAAGTCAAGGATTTAATACAGAAACTGTGTCTGTACTCTTGAAACTCTGGGGCCCTGGCACAAGTAAATTCAAAACCACCTTGAAGGAACACATCTGCAATCCAGAGTAAAAGACTGTAAACTGTAAAAACAGTTTCAACCAAAGATGAATTCACATAAAACATAAACACTGAAGGTCACCATGAGGGAAGAGTTCTATGACAAACTCATAGATGCAGACTAACATGTAATAAAAGTTTTAAATGCAGAAAGAAACCTCAAACTATTATTGGAATAGGTAACAAGAATTACAGTTGACCAGCTGTATTGAAGATAGACACACGTATAGGAACAGTTTGGTAAATGAATCAGGAATGGTTTTTAAAGTATAAGATTTTGCAAAATAGTATTATCTATATAGAATCTTGTTTAAATGGGAACCCACATATATAAAGCACCTAACAACCATTTATTGAGAGACTGCCATGTGCCAGGCACAGAGACATTAAGGATACGAGACCAAAGAAAACATTTTTTTGGCTGGGTCCAGTAGCTCACACCTGTAATCCCAGCACTTTGGGAGGCCGAGGCGGGTGGACTGCTTGAGGTCTGGAGTTCAAGACCAGCCTGACCAACATGGCGACACGCCATCTCTACTAAAAAAATACAAAAAATTAGCTGGGCATGGTGGCACGTGCCTGTAATCCCAGCTACTAAGGAGGCCGAGGCAGGAGAATCACTTGAACCTGGGACGCAGAGGTTGCAGTGAGCTGAGATTGCGCCATTGCTCTCCAGCCTGGGAGACAGAGCGAGACTCCATCTCAAAAAAAAAAAAAAAGAAAGAAAGAAAACATTTTTTCTACCCTTGAGGATATAACTATTATGGGAAGTCAAATAAGTACATCAAATATTATTGTATAATTGTTAAGTGCTGTGGTAAAGATATGTATAGATTGCTATGAGAGCATAGAGGAGGGGAATCTAAATTAGATTGAATAGGGTGACAAGGAAGGCCTACCAGAGGAGGTAACTGGAGTTGAATTTTGAAAGGCAACTTTAAGTTAACTATAAGTAGTAATAGGAGGATGGTATTTGAGAGGAAACATGAGAAATTCAAGAAACAAACAAGTTCAGAATGCCTGAAGCTGGGAGAAGGTGAGGCCAGGCTAGCATATCTGAAAGTGTCTTTTGTGGAAACAGATTTAGATGAAGGAAAAAAAAAAAAGTATTCTGTGGCTAAATGAATTTGGGAACAATGGATTAAACAAAATTAAATAGGATCACTCAAAAGCCTTCTTAGGGTCATTCCTCTCTGGGGAATGGGGAGAGTGGGACATGGGAGTGGTTAGGGAATTTGCAGCATTTTCCAAATTTCTGAGTCCATCTAGTAGTTTTGTTTTTCAAAGAAACCCAAGACTGGTATTCCACTGGAGAAACTTTGGAAATTGTCAAGCTAGAGAGGTAGGCAGGAACCAAATCATGTAGATTTTTGTCTGTACTATGCTAAGAAATTTGAATTTCTAGTCTCAAAGCTATGGAATACAATTGAGGGAATAAATAGGATCACTCAAAAGCTTTCTTAGGGTCATTCCTCTCTGGGGAATGGGGAGAGTGGGACGTGGGAGTGGTTAGGGAATTTGCAGCATTTTCCAAATTTCTGAGTCCATCTAGTAGTTTTGTTTTGTTTTTCAAAGAAACCCAAGACTGGTATTCCACTGGAGAAACTTTGGAAATTGTCAAGCTAGAGAGGTAGGCAGGAACCAAATCATGTAGATTTTTGTCTGTACTATGCTAAGAAATTTGAATTTCTAGTCTCAAAGCTATGGAATACAATTGAGGGATTTCCAGCAGGGGAATGACTTGATCAAATAAAACATATCATTTAAGCCTTTACAGAATTAAAGCCATTTAGTTTCTCTGGCTAGACAAGCATAAACTGAAAGAAAAAAAAATCAGATGTTTTGAAAACAGCTAAATTTTCCTTCTGAAAGAGCATGCTGGATGCTAATTCTACTCTTGAAGCTGCAGCTTTCTCTGTAATCAGCTCATTGTGGAAGCATTTTGACTCCTACTGGGAAACCTTGATAAAAGCCTGAAGCCTGTGTTCACAGGTCCAATTTCAAACAATTAGTGAGCATTGGGATAAATGGGGCTTTAAAACTGGCCACAGCAAGACCAAAGTAGTAGAAGGTTCTCTCTCAGAAATAATCTCCATTTGCAGTGTAATTAAAGCACTTCAGTTGGGGAGTGGGTTTTACCATTAAATTGCACAGCTGGCTCTCCTTTTCTGAGAATGTTTTATCTTAAGAGGGGATAAGTGGGTATGTGCATACCAATTGGCCAATGATCAGTCTCAGCTTTACACCCTTGTGCTAACAGTTCTTTACTCAGTTTAACTACAGATATGTTGCTAAATGAGCAAAGCTAGATATAAAAGAATACATTATGATGCCAAATAGTAATAAACATGGAAATGTTAATATTGGATTTTTGGGTGTATTATGGATACTTTTTATTTTTATTTTTTCTGTATTTTCCAAAGTTCCAGAATGATAAAGGATTACTGTTATTATGGGGCAGAGGGAGCAGGAGGGCATGAAGGAATATTAATTATAGGGACAACAGTCTTTCTTATAATGTAAGTCTGTGAAGAAGGCTGTGATCGTTGAAGAGTAAATATAATAGAGATTCAAGGTTTGCAGGATTCTAGATAATTTATGGTTTTGCATACACAGTACAGAACTTGTAAAACAGTTTATTCCTTTTTGAGAAGGGCATAATCTTGGATTTGTGAAGTTCCTTTTTTTCCCCCCTGAAAAGCTCAAGTGTGCTTGAATGTATTCTCTTTATAAGATGGAAAGGAATAGAACAATATGCTCCCTATTTTACAAATGGGAATGCTGAGGCCCTAAGAGCATAGAGTCATTTGCTTAATATGACACTCTGAGTCAGAGGCACAGTAGAGACCATCACCTAGGCCTTCTTTTCCTCCTCATTGAATTTACTGACCATTTCTTCTATTGAATTTAAGTATTATCCATTCAGAATAAAGGTTTTGACTCAGGGGCCAGTCCACAGCTCAGAATGCAACAGTCTCTATCTTTAGGGCTTTCTGATAACTGCCATTCAGTCTTTGGATTGCTTGTGAGAACTATAGAAACCAACAAGGTCATCTGATTATAAAGGGACTGATTTGACAGGACAGAAATGGCAAGTGGCAAGCTGTTGGCAGATAGCTCTGCAGAAATACCAGGGCCAGGCAGCAGCTGTCACAATAGGGTAGTGGTTGGGTTCATTTTCCAAAGCTCCAAGTTTTCCTTAGCAACAAAATGTAAACAATTCCCATTGCTAATATTAGAGTCTAATAGTGTCTGACTTTGATTCTTTTGTTTTTCCTTTAGCTTTTTCTCTCTCACCCAACCCTGAATTTTACCTCTTTTTTAATTGTGCTCTTTCTTTTCTTTGTAGAAATGGTTAAAAATAGTTTTTCTCCACAATAAGCTAAAATTGTCTTTCCCAAATAGCTCACATTACATATGACTCTGCTTTGCTTGGTCAAGATACAGTGAGTACTGGCTGAGTCATATATACCACACTTATGGACCTTCTTCAGTCCCTTGGGGTCTTTATAAGCTAGGTAGTTATACCTACTAATGTGAAGCTGTCAGCAGATTAATTTGGCATCATCTTTGGAATGTTCAAAATTTAAACCAAGAATTTAAACTCTGAGTTATGGTTTTTAAAAGTCATTTGATTTGTTCCCCTGTGTCCAAGCTAAAGACTGGCAGTTGTCAATTCAAAAAGGTACTCAAAGAGGTTCCACAAACGACTCCAATCTTTCTCCAGTTTTGTTCTAAAGTGATTAGTTATCTAAAAGTCTGCGGCCATGCTGCCATTACCAAGTTTTTTCTCTACTGATAGAAATAAGCTCTCTCTTCCTAAGTATGAATATTGAACAAGAAGAGAGTGAAACATATGTAGCAGTGGGTACATTTTCTACTATATTACAATTCTGGAGGTCTCTGGATTGCTTATAGAATTAGGATTATGCTGTGGGACTCTGAACAATTCTGGAATAGAAAGAAAAAAGGTGATTCTTTTAGTGCTTTGGCCCTAATCCTTAGGTAGCAAAATGACAAGAGGCTTCACCAGGCTGAATATGCCTTACAAACAAACTGCTTTCAGTGTCATATGGCACCTCTATGTAATTTTTTTTCAGAATATGTCTCTTTGAAATAATAGTGATGATATGTTGCTGCCTGAGAGATGAGGCTACCCCTAGATAACTGTGAATGGCTAGACTTAGTGGGAAATGCACAGGATTGATTTAAGAGTTCCAGTTCAAATGGGGCATGGTGGCTGACACCTGTAATCCCAGCTACTTGAGAGGCTGAGGCAGAAGGATCACTTGATGCCAGGAGCTCAAGACCAGCCTGGGCAATATAGTGAGATCCCCATCTCTTTAAAAAAAAAAAAAAAAGAATAGTCCAGTTCGGCCTTTTATATGTGTGATTTTGGTTAAATAAATCAAGTTCCGTTTCTGACTCTTTCCTCATATGTAAAAAAGGGATAATGCTTACCTTGTTTGCATGTATTTGAGGATTAGAAATAATTTACGAGTAACCTAGATTTTCCCAAATCTATCTCATGGAGCTATTGTGAGGATCAAATGAGACAGACTATGTGAAAGTGTTTTGCAAACTACAAAACAATTTAGAGATATATATGACAATTATTTATGTCATTACCAGTGAAATGCTTTTTTGACTTTCATTAAGATCCATTCCTAGCTTTTCCAGAGCTAATACATTTGGAAATAAGATCCACCCTAAAATGCTAAATATTAATACCATTTTAGATTTTAGGGATGTTTAATTTTTAAACCCTACATGCTATAGGGATTCCATATCTCAAGTTTAGGAGACTTAATTTTTAAATTTAAGCTCACTTGTCCTGCCTCTGATGTCCTTACCAATTATTTATAATGTTATACATTATTTTCTGCAGCCCTAAGGGAAAATCTCCATTGTGGTGACAAAGTAAGTGGCAGCCATACACAGGTACCTTCTTATGCCTTTTCTCCCCTCACCAAGCAGTGTCCAGGAATCTAAGCATTTGAACATTTATATGAGGCAAGAGCTAGTGAGCTGAATGTGATAATGGTAGCAGTTGACCCTTGCAGGAAAGTTTGAGCCTGGGCCTCCTATCCCAGTGATATTCTTTATGCTAAAAATATTAGTAATTCCCTCCCACAGATTCCTTTCCTGCCTAAGTGAGGTCAATTTCTGTTGTTTTGCAAACAAGTACACTCAATACTATGCAGTAGTGGATATTTTTGATACTAAGGTGAGCATGTTTTAAAATCGGTTATAGTGACGATTGCATAAATCTGAATATACTAAAAATCTTTAAATGGTACACCTAATGGGCATGTGAATTATGTCTCAATAAAGCTGTTTAAAAATAACATTAGTACTGTTAATCTCCACCAAACAGTTCTGGGAAGGGAGGCCTAGATGGTGTCTACTAAGAGTTAAAGCAATGAGATTTAGAGCCTTGAATAAAAGAGTCTATTTTCTTTTTTCCGTATTTCTGTTGCTAAACACGGCTGTTGCCAACACCATCTCACTTCATTTTCCAGAGATAAGGGCATTTGTCATGCGTTTCTCAGCCCACCACTTAACAGTTCAGGAGTGGAAGCTTAAAGTGTTTCCCCCTCCCCCTCAGGACACGTGCATTTAGAAGAAAGGACAAGAATCCATTTCCTTATGTAGCAGAACCTCTGATAGTTCTATCCCAGTTCCCAGCCACTTCAGAGTGAAGACAGTCACCCAACACCTGCTACTAAAAGCCCTTATCAGCCATGTTTTTGCGGTTAATCTCCTTCTGATAAAGTGGTTCATTTTTCAGAGCTGTGAATATTGGTGACATGTAGGAGGGACCAAAATTTTCAGCCCTCATTCAACCCTCCCTTGTTTTTTATCAGTTGATTTTCCCATGTTAGAAAAGGACAGTTGCTGGTACAATCTCATAAAATGGGCTCCAGTGTTTAGAGAAGGACAGTCAGAGGAGTGGCCACCTGTTTGTTGAAAATTGGGCTTCTGGGAAAGTTGCTGCACAAGTGTGTGGCAAGGTGTGTCTGAGATAGCTTGACCTGCTTTCACCTGGAATGATTTGATCTGGCAATAGAGTTCCTTGCCATTCCTGGTTTTATGGAAATCAGAGGCACAGGAAGTTGATCTGGGTGTTCTGGGGAATTGAGACAAGCCTCTGCCATAGTTTGTTAGTACTCTGTGTTTGGATGCTAACTCCAGTGTGCTGAGTTGAGACATCAGCAAGTGCTGGGCCTGGAATGTCAGAAGCAGCAGGTAAAATTTCTTTGTTTGATAGCTTTAATGTCCTAGATGCATGTTTCTTTGGGAAACTGGCTTGGTTGCATACTTTGATTTGGTGGTATGGTTGGGGAAGTGGGAGAAGGCAAGTGGTAAGAATAAGATATAACCAGTTTGGAACTTCTCTAGTGTTTCTTCACATTACTAATGAATTTAAACATGTGCACTGACTTATAAACATCAGACCCAAAAGATTAGGGTAGCAGAGGACAATTAAGAGTTTCAAGAAGTAGAAACATGCTTCTCTTTTAAAGAAGAAACTGGAATTGGCACTGTTATTCTTAAGTTGGATAGTAAGACACAGGTGATGGTTTATTATTCTTTATATCTTTTTTGTTTGCCTTAAATATTATATATGTTTTAAATAAGTAAAACAGAAAAAAGTATTGTTGGATATTTAGGGCAATTACAGAAAGAAGCTCATTTACATAGGTGAAGGGGCAGATTGCAACTTGAGTTGGCCTTTGAAATTATAAAATGAAGAGACTAGTTCAATCAGGTATGGGTAAAAGTTATTTACTTACTACACACTCTACAATCAGATTGAATATTAATGGAAGTTAATGTTTTTCCATGTGTATAAGATGAGAAGTTTCCTAGTTGATCTTGTTCAGAGGACCAATTTCTGGACAGAATACAAACACATGCTGAATCAGGCAATATAGAAAATCCTGCTGATCGTTAGTCATTTTAGTTCTGTAGAGAGAGCACTCACCAAACTCTGAATTCAGCCTACCCAGGACTATACTTTTCTCTCTATTTTTCTTATCCCTTTCTCTCAACTCTTCTTCCTGGTAATTGCGTCACTTTACTCAGGTAGAAAGATTAGGCCTATTTCCTGTACATTTTACTTTCATGACCCTCTTCCTTTGTCCATGCGTGACCTTCTTTCTAGAATAGTTTTTTCTCACCTTCTTTGCTTAACAAAATTGTATTCATACTGTAAGAACTCCTGCAAATTAAAACCCACTACTGACTACCCTGCTACACCTGAGCCCCAGGCTAAAACTAGTATTCTGTCTTCAGTGTTCTTTTTTTGTAACACTGTCTTAGGATTGGTTTACTAATTAATTAAATGGTATGTTGTTGCTTTTCATTACTACATTCTGAGCTTCTTTAGGGTGCTTTTAATTGGGTTTTCTTCACAGAGCCTAATACATAGTAGATGATGGGTAAATGTTTATTGAATAAAATTATTTCTCAAATGAAAATAAGCCCATGTGTAGTGATCTTCTATGCCCATAAGATGGCAGCAGAAGAACGTCTATTGATCTACTTGAGTGTGAAGCTAGCAAAGACCGTTTTGTGTTTGGATGAGTTCGCAGATGAGCCTTTCTATCCCATTCCATTTAAGTGTTTTAATATAGGGAATGCAGATTTTTTTTGGCACATGAAGGCCCTTTGTGCACTTTCACCCTGGCACTTCTTCACACAAGAGCGACAGGTACAAGGTATAAAGCTCCCTGGATTGCAAGAGAGGATACCTAGTTTACTCTCCAGCTAAGCCCACAATTTATGCCTTCTCAGGCAAGCCATTTAACTTCTCTTGTTCAGTTTCTTACTCAGCTAATTGGTGGAGTTAGGAGATCTATAGGGAATATTAGATTATAAAATAATAGCATTCTAAGTCATCAGTGACTGCCTTAGTTGTGTGCTCAATATTGTGTTAAAAACTGTATGATAAAAAAGGGACATGCCCAAGTGCTCTCATGATCCAAGACATCAAATGTACACATAGTAAGGCATGAGTGTATATTAAGGAATAATATGTCCTTGAGAGCAAAATTGTGTTTAGGTAGGTATATTAAGAGTTCAGAGAAGATGAATGGTATAGGATGGAGTAGTCAGAAGGGGCTTCGTGGAGCCAGAGGAGATTGAGTTGGCCTTTAAGTATATGAAAGGTTTAAATGCTGTAAGAGAATTAATGTTTTTGAAAACTTACTATAAGCCAAGTACCCTGCTAGATGCATTTAATCTTTGTAACTTTGTCAGATAAGTAATATTCTTTTCTTAATTCACGTAAGAGAATGCATTGAGGCTCAGCTAGGTTAAGGAATCTGTCCACAGTCACAGAATTTGTAATGAAAAGCCAGAATTCAAAACGAGGTATTTTGGACTTTGAGGCCCATGCTTGCTCTTCTACACCTCCAAGAAAATGTGTCCAAGGGGTCAGTCTTCACTGGATATTTGTATACCATGAGCTTGGCAATATAAGCACAATGGTTAGAATCTCTTGATATTTATTTGAAGGGAAAGTAGAACTTCTAGGAAATGAGTCTTTGTATAGGGAAATATCACTTCTGAAAGTGAAGCAAATTGAAAACTTGCTAGCCTCTCTGAAATCTAGATGGGAAATAGGGTTTTTTTGTTTTTATTTTTGATTTGAGAACCAAATGAGAGGTTGTCTTATGGGTCATCTGGCTGTCCAGGGTTGGCTGAGGTTGCTGAATATAAGAAGCTTATCTTTGGGAGAGTTCCAGAGCCTTGGGCAGGCATATTTCTATTTTAAGAAGTATTTTTAAAAATGGAATTGGCTGACAGCAATTACCTGAAGGCTTGTTTCTGATTCTTCTTTAAACAGTGATTTTTCTTCCTCTTCCTCAGAGTCTCTTAAATAATACTGGATAGTATACTGACCTAGCTTTTAAACTTATTTTTTCTAAGGAAATCTAGTCTTCTAACCTGATAAAGGGAACTAGAGTATGATTCACAGTCCTTGCGCACTTGTGCTGAAAATGGCTCATTAATCATTGACGTGTAAATAAAATATAGTAATAGCTCAAGAATCCTTTGAGAACTAAATTTCTTTATAATGAAACTGACAGTGTTTAATAGAACACTTAGCATACAAAATTCATAAACATTGGGAAGCAAAACTGCAAGTTTAGCTCTATCTATTACAAAAATACACCTGCACAATGATTTTATTTGTCCTTGACAGTTGTTTATTTTTCCTGTCGTAATAGGATTCACCTTTGACCCTGCACTGCTCTCTAGGGTTACCATGTCTCACTCTTCCCTTCACTGTTAGTCTTGAAACAGTCTTCCAATTTCACTTTATCCATTTCCTGGCCTTCTATTCATTGTTCAACATATTGAAATAGAAATTCTGCCCCACCCCCCAATCCAGTGAATTTTTTCTGGCAAAGGGCCCTGTAAACTTCCTAATTACTAAATTCCTTAGTCACTTCATCTTTTACCTTGAATCCTGGCAGTAATTTATAATGTTGACTATTGCCTTCCTAAATTTTTATTCTACCATAACCTCTCTGATATTATTCTTTCCTGGCTCACTTCTACCTTTTCTGATTGCTCCTTCTTTGTGTTCTTTTTAGCCCTTTTTTTTTTCTGTAAACACCTTAGGCATTGTTCCTTAGGCTTCCTTCTTTTCTCTCCTTAGGACTCTCCCTAGCTGACCTCATCCATTCTGATTGCTGCAGCTAGCACTCAGATCTCTCTCTCCAGCTCAAACTTCTTTGCAGAAGTTCATTGTACTACATGTAAAGGACTTACTTAGGACAGTGCCTAACTTCATGTAGGCACTCCATAACAATAGCCATTTCTGGCTGTTACTTTATCTCCTTATTTCTTATTTCCTTTATTTATCTATTTAAAGTATTGTTATAGGCATGTATTTCTGTAAGAATTCTCAAGTCCTCTTTAGAAAGAGGGAATAAGCCAACAGGTAAACCAAATCTTTCTTTCCTCTAGCCTTAAAAAGGCAAGAGAAAGTCTTTGTTCTCACTTTTTTTTTTAGAAATCTCTGCTAATTGTCTTACATGTCACCCAACTGAGAACTTGGAAATCAAACTAGAAGGCTTTTCATTCTTTACTTCTCATATTTAGTCTGTCACCAAGTCTTGTCTGTCATTCTCCTTAAGAATCCTTCAATTCCATCTTCTCCTCTCTTTCTGTTAACTCAGGCCCTCCTAACTGGGCCTTCCTCTCCCCTGCCCCACCCACCATTCCACCATCTACAGTGCAGCATTAGTGATCTTTCTTATATGCAAATCTCATCCAATCACTGACTCCTGCTTAAAATCTGAGAATGGTCCTGCAAGCAATGCTGTCCTCCCTTGTTTTGTAGGATGTCTCTCTCTTTTTTTTTTTTTTTAATTATACTTTAAGTTTTAGGGTACATGTGCAGAACGTACAGGTTAGTTACATATGTATACATGTGCCATGTTGGTGTGCTGCACCCATTAATTCGTCATTTAGCATTAGGTATATCTCCTAATGCTATCCCTCCCCGCTCCCCCCACCCCACAACAGGCCCCAGTGTGTGATGTTCCCCTTCCTGTGTCCATGTGTTCTCATTGTTCAATTCCCACCTATGAGTGAGAACATGCGGTGTTTGGTTTTTTGTCCTTGTGATAGTTTGCTGAGAATGATGATTTCCAGCTTCATCCACGTCCCTACAAAGGACATGAACTCATCCTTTTTATGGCTGCATAGTATTCCATGGTGTATATGCGCCACATTTTCTTAATCCAGTCTATCATTGTTGGACATTTGGGTTGGTTCCAAGTCTTTGCTATTGTGAATAGTGCTTCAATAAACATATGTGTGCATGTGTCTTTATAGCAGCATGATTTATAATCCTTTGGGTATATACCCAGTAATGGGATGGCTGGGTCAAATGGTATTTCTAGTTCTAGATCCCTGAGGAATCACCACACCGACTTCCACAATGGCTGAACTAGTTTACAGTCCCACCAACAGTGTAAAAGTGTTCCTATTTCTCCACATCCTCTCCAGCACCTGTTGTTTCCTGACTTTTTAATGATTGCCATTCTAACTGGTGTGAGATGGTATCTCATTGTGGTTTTGATTTGCATTTCTCTGATGGCCAGTGATGATGAGCATTTTTTCATGTGTTTTTTGGCTGCATAAGTGTCTTCTTTTGAGAAGTGTCTGTTCATATCCTTTGCCCACTTTTTGATGGGGTTGTTTGTTTTTTTCTTGTAAATTTGTTTGAGTTCGTTGTAGATTCTGGATATTAGCCCTTTGTCAGATGAGTAGGTTGCAAAACTTTTCTCCCATTTTGTAGGTTGCCTGTTCACTCTGATGGTAGTTTCTTTTGCTGTGCAGAAGCTCTTTAGTTTAATTAGATCCCATTTGTCAATTTTGGCTTTTGTTGCCATTGCTTTTGGTGTTTTAGTCATAAAGTCCTTGCCCATGCCTATGTCCTGAATGGTATTGCCTAGGTTTTCTTCTAGGGTTTTTATGGTTTTAGGTCTAACATTTAAGTCTTTAATCCATCTTGAATTAATTTTTGTATAAGGTGTAAGGAAGGGATCCAGTTTCAGCTTTCTACATATGGCTAGCCAGTTGTTTTCTAGGAAGTCTCTTATTCTCTTTAGATTCTGCCCAGATCATCCCCTTGCAACATTTTATTCCTGATACTCCTCAGATTTCCTCTCCAGAGCTATCTCTTTGTGGCAATTTTTGTCTTAAATTTTAATTATCAGTACTTAATATGTCCAGCTCCCTTACAAGATCTTGCTTCAGAACAGAGCATTTGGAATAGGTAAAGAAGGGTAAAGTGGTGGCTGGGCACGGTGGCTCATGCCTGTAATCCCAGCACTTTGGGAGGCTGAGGCGGGCGGATCACCTGAGGTCAGGAGTTCAAGACCAGCCTGGCCAACATGGTGAAATCCTGTCTCTACTAAAATACAAAAAATTAGCCAGGCATGGTGGCGCTTGCCTGTAGTCCTAGCTACTTGAGAGGCTGAGTCATTTGAAACCAGGAAGCAGAGGTTGCAGTGACCACTGCACTCCAGCCTGGGTGACAGAGCAAGATTCTGTCTCAAAAAAAAGAAAGGGAAGGTAAAATGGGAAACTGGTTGAATAGAATGAACAAAATGAGCACATGAACCAGTACACTATTGACCAAACTTTAAAAATGGTAAATAAATATGTAGGGAATTAGGGTCAACTCTAAAACAAAACTGAATAGCTCAGATTCTGAATTTCATCCATAACCTTAATTCAGTTCAATAATTGTTTTAGAGTACCTAATAAAGGGTAGGCACAATGCTAAATTTTAATGATGTAATGATAAAGTGTAGTCCCTACCTTCCTAGAACTTCGAGAATGGTGGTTAGTTGTGGGTAGAATAGCACTTTTTTTTGTTATAATCTACAGTTTAGTATAGTGGCCAACATCTGACTTAATGAGCTAAGGCAGTTGTTGGTTTACATATTACTTTCTAGTGTGAGAAAATGTCAATGTGTTTCTTCAACAGTGAGTTTTAAAAATAACTATTGGGTACTAGGCTTAGTACCTGGGTGATGAAATAATCTGTACAACAAACTCTGTGACATGAGTTTACCTATATAAATAAATAAAAAATAGAAGTTAAAAAAAATTTTCCTTATGCTAGGACTGGGGTGACTACCAAGTAGCATGAGTGAGTTTTGGAGGGTGACAGAATTGTTCTGTATCTTGATTACAGTGACGGTTATGAGACTTTATGCATTTGTCAAAATTCGAACTCACAGACCTATTTGCTAAAAAGGGCAAATTTTACCATATGTAAACTTACCTCAGGAAACCTGACTCAAAAAAGAAAAAAAAATATGCCACCGAGTCTTAGAGGAATTTGATTCATCTGCAAAGTAGGGTAATTGGAAATTGAAAATAATGGACTTATTTTAGAGGCTTTCTCTGAAGATAAATCTAATTTAGGTCTTTTAGGGAGTTCTTTCTTTCTAGATCCTTTCCTTCATAATCTGAGCTAATGGAAAGTTCAGAAATCCCTGAAATTGCTAGCCAAATTTTGTGTATACGTAAGTGCTTTTTTAGGGGTAGGAGATTACATTTCTTATCTGATTGTTAAAGATGGGTTAGATTTCAATAAAGGTTAAGAACCGCAGGTTTAAGAGCTTTTCTGCTTCCCCAGATACCCCCTTTTTCCCCATTGGAGGCCATCCTAGTGATTACAGGAGCTGGAGACCGATTTCTAGGAGTTGGTGAGAGTAGACGAGTCTGTGAATCTACTGGTCGTAATACAGAGAGTCCACCTATGCTAACACGGTTCTTTTCCTGATTGCCTACTTACGCAAGCTAGAACTCCTTTTTCTACCACTTCTGACCTCTATTCTCTCTCTGCCCCCTATGGCGGACCAATTTTTTTCTGGCATATTTAGCTTCCTTTAGTATTTAGCATATACTGAGGAGTACCTGTGCTTTCTATATCACTATGAACTATGGTAATAAAAAAAAGTGTGAAATACAAATACATCTCTTTTATGTATATCTTACTGTTTGGAACAGTCCTTTAAATATGAATGATCATTTTTCAAAGTTAAAAGTTTCTAACCTTAACTTTTAAAAAGTTTACAAAATTTCCCACAGTAACTGTATTTTAAATAGAAAATAAAAATTGCCCGTATTCTCACCATCAGCAGTATCACTGCTAACATCTTTATATATTTTATTTATTTTGAGATCATGCTATATATGGTTTTTTCTTTTAAAAGATTATTGGCCAGGTGCAGTGGCTTATGCCTATAATACTAGCACTTTGGGAGGCAGAGGTGGGACGATCACTTGCACTCAGGAGTTCAAGACAAGCCTAGGCAACATAGTGAGACCTCATCTCTACAGAGAATTATAAAGAAAAAAAAATTTTAGCCAGGCCTGGGAGCCTGTGCCTGTAATCCCAGCTACTCAAGTGGCTGATGTGGGAGGATCACTTGAGCCCAGGAGGTCGAGGCTGTAGTGAGCTATGATCATGCCAGCTGTACTCCAGCCTGGGTGGCAGAGCAAGACCTCATCTCAAAAAAAAAAAAAAAATGAACAAAAAGTTACCAAATATCACAAACACCCAATCTCTCCATCTTCTGGTCTGATCAAATCCCAATATTTTGCCATATTTGCTTCAGTTATTAAGAATAAAATATAGCTAAGCTCCTGTGTATCTCTCCTCAGTCTCATCTCTTGACTCTCTGCCTAAAATTAATCACTATCCTGAATTTGCTATTTATCATTCTCAAATTTTTATCACTATTATTTTTCATTTGCATACTTATATAATTCTTTCACATGTTTTAATACTTTATATAAATGGTATAACCTGCACACATCATTCTGAAACTTGCTCTTGTCACTTAGCATTCTGTTTGTTCATTCTAAATGTTTATTTTAGTCCATTGTACAATTATACCACAGTTTGTTTTTGTTTTTTTCCTGTGCTGATGGACATTTAGGTATTTAGGTCTTTTTTTTTTTTCTTCCCCTAATACTAATGATGCTGCTGTTTACATTCTTGTTCATGTTTCTTACACAAACGTGCAAGAGTTTCTCAACAGTATTTATTTCCAAATGGAATTTCCGGGTCTATAGGGTAAGTGCATCTTCACTGGACACTGCCTGATTGCTCTCCTCTTTACTCTCACCAGCAATGTACGTGAGTTTCTCATTCTTTTCAACTAGGTTAGACTTAAAATGTTTTTTTTTTTTTTTTTTGCTGCTACTGCTTTTTTGGTAATCTAAGGAAGATGAAATCATTTCTCATTTTAATTTGCATTTTTTTTATTACTAGTGAAACAACATTTTCTCTTATGTTTATATGCTTTTCTGGTTTCCTTTTTTGTGAATTCCTGATTATGTATTTTGTTGATTTTGTTGTTGTCATTAGGTTGGTTCTTTTTTAAAAAATGGGTAAAAGTTTTTTTTTTTTTATCCAAAATGTGTTTATTGAGATGGTTTCCCACTCATCTTGACTCAGAGTGCTTTTAGTGCTGCTTCCTCCTGAAGGAACATCCTTCTGTAAGCCTTGCTTTTCCTCCCGTAGGCTGGCAGAGGACAGTGGAGCAGCCAACACACAAAACTACCGTTTGTGCATGGCTAAAGACCGTGGTGATTTTATAGCATCCTGGGCATTTCACATCCATGAAGTAGGAATTGGGGCTCTGCACCAGGCGTTTCTTCTTGTGTTTCCTCTTCTCCTCTTCTGGAGAGGGATGAAGGAGATCCTTTGTGAGAGGCATGTTCTCATGTGCGTAGGTCATCACCGCCGGAAAACAAAAGTTTTTTATATATTCCAGATATGAATATTTTGGAACTTACATATATATAGTACTTTTTAGTTTGTCTTTTAATGTCTATATTTTATCATATGAACGTTCTTTATTTAACCATTCCCCTTATTGTTTGATATATAGGTTATTTCCATATACATTTTGTGTGTTTAGTTTCTTGAGCTGTCTTGTTAAAAAAAATGAGTGGTGGTGCTGAATTTGTCTTGGTCTAGTCTACTTTGTTGTAAATGATAAATATTTGAGACAGTTGGCCAGGTCCAGCTGGTATAGCTGATGTATGTGAAATAAAGCAGCACTCACTGGCCTTGTTGGTGCTTGAATCTGCCATTCTTACCATCGGTAACACTTGTTCTGACCAGTGAACTAACTGTAGAGTGACCTATGTAAGTAAAAACATTGTCATTGTGAAAGTGGCTTTGGCACTTGAGGCTGGCATGTTTTTAATGGAACAAATGTTCAGATGGAAAAGAATTCAAGATGATATAGTAGTTATCTAAGATAGGTCACAGAAACACCAGACTCACACTTTCTCTAAAGCAAAAGGACTTCTCTGAGCCATAGCTTGGTGATAAATAACTTAGTGTCTAGAGCAGGGATCAGCAAATGTTTTCTGCAAAGGACCAGGTAGTAAATATTTTAGACTTTTCAAGCCACATGGTTTCTGTTGCAACTGCTCCCTTCTGCTGGTGTAGCACAGCAAGCAGTAGTCACACAGCCTTGCCTATTCATTTATGTGTTGTCTGTGACTGCTTTGGTCTCACAACAGAGCTGTTGAGTAGGCCTGCGAAACCTGAAAGATTTACTGTTTGGCCCTTTACAGACAAAATTTGCTGACTTCAGCCCCTGCAAACTCAGCACTCTTGACATTTGGGGCCAGTTAATTATAGGTCTAGATTTAAGAAATGCTTAGTTTGGCTGAGGGAAATTCTTTCTTAAAAAATTCTTAATGGAATTGTAGCTTTGATTCGTTGCTTAAACATCAGCTCTGATCTCAGTGTCAAATTAGAGAGGCCAAAAATGACACATGAGCATTTGAATGCAGTTGTCCTAAACTATGAAATCAGATCATATTTTGATATGTGACACATATTAGATCTAGAAATCTTCCTGATCTGTAGCTAGCTTATCAAATTGAGTGGTATGTACACTCTTTCTCTATCTAGGTTTAACCCATTTATAGCAGATATGAAATTTGTTCCTGCATTTCTGTGTGTCAGGTGTTCCTTTTTTATCTGTCTCTTCACAGCTGTTGGCATTTGCTAGCTGGCTATGCCTGAGCCTCAAGTGAGGCAGTATTTACAGCTCAGTTGGATGGATGCAGCAGCTAGGGTAGCTCAAGGGCAGATGAAATAGGATCCAGAATGAGAATGCTGCATCTCTCTTTGCTCTGTCTTCTTTCACATGAGGAAGAATTTCTCTCTTTCACCTCCCTGTCAAATGAGAAGTAGTATTGATTGGTTTGGTACAGTGTATAAAACATGCATCTAATGGAATGTTATTTTGGGAACTATTAGCAGCATTGGCTCTGCCGAGGCCCAAGATTTTGCCTTCTTTCCCTTTTCTCCTCCCCTTCCTTCTCCTCCTCCTTAGTAGCAGCTCCTTAGCAAATTGCAAGCTTTGCCTCTGGCTTGCTGTATAGCAGTGGCAGTGCAAGCCTTTTCCAGTTTCCAAGGGAGACCGGGTGCTGAGACTGCAGTCTTTCCCAGCAGCCACTTACCTTTCTTGCTATTCATTTCCACGCATCTCTTGACCTTCGTTCTGCTATGCAGGCCTGCTCGAGGAGGTAACAGCCTGTTTTCTTGGAGCGCTCTTTGTCAAAGGGGGCAGAGGGAAAGTAGGGTGGTACAGGGAAAGGTGTACAGAGACAGCAGAGTATAAATGCTGCAGTTGGGAAAAAGTAGCTCTAAAGTGTGCTGTATCTGTGGGCTTGTTCCTATTTGCTATATCTATAGAACTGTTTTAAAGGTGGGAACCCCAGCATTATATCGTACTACTTAAAGTACCACATATAAAAATGTAAGATTACTGTAATACTGCCTCCAGGAAGCATAGGAGAAAAATGAGAACTTTGAGAAGAAAATGGAATCAATTGCTTTTAAACTTAGCTGACTAACAAATTGCATTTTTTTTTTTTTTGAGACAGAGTCCCACTCTTGTCGCCCAGGTTGGAGTGCAGTGGTGCGATCTCACTGCAACCTCTGCCTTCCAGGTTCAAGTGATTCTCGTGCCTCAGCCTCCCCGGTAGCTAGGATTACAGGTGTAGGCCACTATGCAATTTTTTCTGTTTTTAGTAGAGACATGGTTTCACTGTGTTGGCCAGAATGATCTCAAACTCCTGGCCTCGGGTAATCTGCCCGCCTCGGCCTCCTAAAATGCTGGAATTATAGGCATGAGCCACCGCGCCCAGCCACAAATTGCATTCTTGATGAAATTTTGTTAAGTTTATGTTTTATGAGTTGGATCTGGTTTTCAGGTTTGAGGAGAGGGCTTGATAATATTGTCTTTTAATTGGATTCTCGGGACTTCTAGAGCTGTGGTGTGCAGTATGGTAATCAGTAGCCATGTGTGGCTACTCAAATTTAAATAATTAAAATTAAATTTAAAATTTAGTTCCTCTTTTAACTGCTCAGTGACCACATGTGACTAGTGGCAACCATATTGGGCTGTGCAGGTATACAACATTTCCATTATTACACAAAGTTCTGTTGGTCAGTACTAAAGAAAGTAACCTATGAAATATAAGAAATGTAGTATTTGGCCAGACTGAGAATAGACATTTAGTGAGGAGACTTAGAGGCCGTTTGTTCAGAATCAGTATAAATTTGGATTCACCATGGTTTAAAGCTAAATGGGATCTTTAAAATTTTAGATTTACCCCTTTGTTTTACAGATGAAGAAAACTAGAGTTCCAAGAGATTAAGTGATTCTCTTAAGACCAAACAAGTAATTAATGGCAGAGCTAAAATTAGAACCCAGGTGCCTGTTCTTTCTATTGTACCATAGTATTAGCCTCCCGTTCCCAATTAGGAACAGCAAGGAAAATTTGAACTAAAATTTACCTCATAGGGTCCTAGCAACTGTAGAGTCAAATGCATCCTCCAAAGAAGAATTTATCCCTAATATTTTTAATGTTTATAGTTTGTTCATGGCAGTCTTATAGCATGTTGACGGAAATTTCTAGAAATGTAAAAATCATACTTTCCCAAGAATGGAGTGTTGATTATGACAGACTTTTGGGAAATGTCAGGGGATGCTAGGAGAAGTTTAATGCAGGACATTGTTATCCATTAGTTCCCGATATTGCAGGATTTGCTAGAAGAAATGTCTTGCTACATAAATCTACATAGCTAGAAATACCATGGTACTGAGTGGAGGAAACAGTGTTCATTGTGGTGCAATATAAGAAAAGCTGTACCTGAAGCAGGAGAACATGGTTAAAATCCCTTTAGGTATATAACGTTGTTACTTGGGTGTTTTAGCATCTCCTTAGGCCTTTATTGACTCATCCGTAAAATAGGAATACATTTTTTGTGTCTACCTGAAGTCTTAGAATTAGATCAAATGACATCTTGAATTCATAAAGTCTGTAGGCATAGGTCTGTGATTCCCGTGATCCCCCTAAGTCTGTCCCCCTGCCCCGGCCCCCAGTAGCTATCCATATGTACTTCCAGGTTGATATTAAAGAAGGTTTTTTTGGGATCTCTGAAGAACTTTTGTCGATGTAATCTTATGTTAATACACAGGACATTGACTGGGCATCGTGGCTCATGCCTGTAATCCTAGCACTTTGAGAGGCTGAGCCGGGCAGATCACCTGAGGTTAGGAGTTCGAGACCAGTCTCGCCAACATGGTGAAACTCCATCTTCTCTATTAAAAAATGCAAAAACTAGCTGAGTGTGGTGGCATGCGCCTGTAGTCCCAGCTACTAGGGAGGCTGAGGCGGGAGGATTGCTTGAACCCAGGAGGCAGAGGTTGCATTGAGCCTGAGATTGTGCCACTGCACTCCAGCTTGGGCAACAGAGTGAGACTCTGTCTCAAAAAAAAAAAAAAAAAGATATAGTTCAATGAATAATAAACTATCTTATAAGACCATTAGATATTCTGTAATTAATGACCACAGCATCCTCAGTGGTCAGTATTAGATATATACTATAAGATATTTATATAGTGTGTCTTTAATTATGTTTTTATATATTATAAGCTATATAATATATAAATATAGTAAATTTCTATGGCCAGGCTGTGGTGGCTTACCCTGTAATCCCATCACTTTGGGAGGCTGAGGCAGGGGATCACTTGAGGTCAGGAGTTTGATACCAGCCTGGCCAATGTGGTGGAAACACCGCTCTACTAAAAATACCAAAATTAGCTGGGCCTGGTGGCACATGCCTGTAGTTCCAGCAACTCGGGAGGCTGAGGGAGGAGAACTGCTTGAACCTGGAAGGCAGAGGTTACAGTGAGCCGAGATCACGCCACTGCACTCCAGCCTGGGAGACGGAGCAAGACTCTGTCTCAAAAAAAAAAAAAAATTTTTTTTTAGTAAGACATATACTACAAGATACATCTATAAAAGCTATATACTCAACTTAGTTCCTTTCCTGTTTGGAGTGAACATGTTTAAATACCATTCTCTCCTCAACAGATTTGAGGTATAGGACTCTAAAGCTACTTCAAAACCCAATTTCCCATTGGATTCCGGACAAAATTTATTTTGTTATCATTCTAGAGAAAGCAGCGTTGTTCTCTCCTTGGAAATTATGATTATTTCTTTTTTCATTCTTCTACTTGGAGTAGTTTTATTTTACTTAGGTAACCCTATGAACCTTCATGGAGAATATTTCAAGGGAATTAAGTCCTCTTCCAAATGAGTTAGCCATACCTGGTAAAAATAATTAAGGGGAACTCTTTGATTAAGATGTGATGAATATTGTAGCACACCTATCCTTTCTTTATTTTCCAAATTATTACTGATGAGCTTTTAATATGACAATGAAAATAATGTAGTAGTAAGAGTGTTGGTCGTGATGATAGTAGTTCTGGTCATGGTAGTAGCAGCAAACGTGTGCCAGGTTCTATTCTAAGTGCCTTACATGGGTTTGCATTTAATCTTCACAACTCTATTAATATATCTGTATATATCTGTTACAACTGCTCATATCTTCATTGTATAAGAAACTCGGGTATAGAGTGCTTAAATAATTTATCCACAATCACCTACCAAGTAAGCTGAGAAGCCATGGTACAAACCCAGGCAGTATGATTTTTATGCCAGGGTACTTTATCACTACACTATACCTGTCAAAAGACAGTTTAGGTCTTTTATTATTATTTATTGTGACTTTTAAAATATTCACTGGTGATTTGCTGGATGTTTTGCACAACTTCCTTTTTATTTTTCTTTTCTTTTCTTTTTTATTTGAAACAGGCTCTCACTCTGTCACCCTGGGCTAGAGTGCAGTGGTGCAATCATGGCTCACTGCAGCCTTGACTTCCTGGGCTCAAGCAATTCTCCCAAAACAACTTCTTGAGGCAGAATTTGTCCATTTATAGTGTGTGAAGGGGCAGTATAAACTTTAGTGACAAAGTACAAAGTGTATCTTTGAAGTCATGCTTAATTCTCTGTAATCAATTATTTGAATGCCACTGATGGTGTAATCTCAATATCATACCAAATACAAAGAAAAATTCTTCCTGCCCTCTAGGAAACATAGTAGATAGAGATGGTAATAAGAGGACTTTGGCATCTGAATTCCTTCTCATGCTACTAAACTGTGAGTGTTAGCCTGGTTTTTTCCGGATGCCAGAAGGCGAGGGGATAGATGAGAAGCCATGGCTTCCATTATTTTTATTTCTGTTTTGTGAGACTGTATCTGTCTTCTTTGCATAGCAATGAAGAATCCTGTAGCATTCAGATTCATGGATGGCTGCAATGCTTCTCAGAAAAATCAAGGAGTGTGGAGTGAGGGCTTGCTCTACATAGGGGTCAGCAATATTTTTCTATAAAGGTTCAGATAGTGATTATTTTGGCCTTTGCAGGCCATGTTGTCTCTGTTGCAGTTACTAAACTCTGCTCTGTGATTCCAATAAAACTTTATTTACAAAAATGTTGCAGGCCAGATTTGGCCCAAGATCATAGTTTGCTGACCAGCTGGTCTAGATTTTAGAAAGTGTTACAGAAGGACTTAGTCTCTACTGAAAACGTAGTATGTTCTCAACGCAGCTATAAGTTAGGCACATTACTTCTGTAATCTTTGGAATGCCCATCTGAGATAAAGAAAAATGAATGAAAATGTTCCTTCAAAAACATTTACAGTTCAAGTACTAGAATTTATGGGTTTTGTTTTTATATATTTTTTCTTAAATAGTAAAACTCTCATATATTGACACAGGTTACAGAATAATATGTGTGATATTCATAGTATATAGTTTTTATAGTTTTATAGTTTATAAAAAACTATATATAGTTTGTATAGTATATATTTACATACAATCTGGACTTATATGCAGTAAAATAAAAATGAGATTATCTCCATGTGGTGGAATTTTAGTTGATTTTTGTTTTCATATTTTTGTCTGTTTTTTCCCCTGGGGAAAAAAAGCAGTGTGATTTCACATGTGTGATTTCAGATATTTAAGATTCCAAGTCAGGTAAAATATTCCTGATCTTACCTACCAGGTTTTTATGAGCTCTGTTTCTCTCATTCAAAAAAACTCTCTAGAGTAGGCAGTAGGATAAGGGAGCCCTTTTTCTTTCACTGTGCCTTCTGTCCTGTATGCAAAGAAGAGATAAAGATCAAGAATTCAGTATAATAGTGATACTGTATGTTTTGCAGGTAGAAATAACACGTGAGTAGGTTTGCTGGTAATCTAGACAGAAATTCATGGGAAGTTAGTTCTCACCAATTCCAGTATCTGGACTACAGCTTTAGTTTTGGGACTTAATTTTTTTAGTTCACTCAGAGGCGAGGAATATATTAAGGAAATATGCAAACCTACCAAACTATAGCATATTGACACACGTATTGGAATTCCAATTTACTAATTTACCTTGAGGGAAAAAATATGAGTATTAAAAACATTGCCTGGTTGGGGACTTCTGCTTCAGTCTGTGGCATATTTTGTTTATGTAAAATCTTCCACTGAGAATAACTAGAAAAAACTGGATAAATATAAGAAAAAAGTTTTTGAAGGTACTTGAGAGTTACAAAGCAAGTGAGAACTTGAGGGATCAAGATCCTGGAGAGAAGGAAACCTTAAAAGGGTAAACCCAACATTTGGCTCTACTTTTCCCCTTGAGGTATTTGCTGATTAGTAAAGCAGTGGCTATGAGCCTGAGAAACTGAACAAGATTTTCGTAGTCTCATGGGACTCAGGGAATGATTGGAGTTCAGAAAGAGAGCCTAGCGGATACCCCAGACTTTGATTTAGAACCACTGAAGGGCTACATTCTAAGGGCTTACCAGAAATAGACCAGCCCTTGAAAAGACTGAAGCCTAGCTTCCAATCAGCTCAGTCTCAAAGTGGATTAAGGTACTTTGCCTTAGTCTCCTGGTTCTTAAAATGTGGTCCCCAGACCAGCAGTGTCATCTGAACTAATTAGAAATGCAGATTATCAAACCCCTACACCAGACCTGCTGAATCAGGACCTCTGGTGGTGTGGTACTCAGAAATTTGTATTGCATAAGCCCTCAAAGTGGTTCTGATACAAGTGAAAGTTTAAGAACCACTTCCTTAGCCTAACTGCCAGGGGGAAAAAATATCCTCTCTGAAGGGTAGCAACAACAATCATGAGTTATCACTCACTACATTTTTTTATTAAATATGCCTGATGTTATTTTAAAAATTAGCATACATACCAAGAAATAAGAGTTACCAAAAGACCAAAAGAAAAAATAGACAATAGGAACAAGTCCAGATACTGATATTATCAGACATGGACTTTAAAATAATTGTGATTAATATGTTCCAGGAAGTAGATAAGAAGTAGAGATTTTCACCAGAGAACTGCAGTCTGTTAAAAACAATCAAGTGGAAATTCTAGAAACAAAAAATCACTGAAATCAAGAAACTCAGTTGGTGAGTTTGCAGTAGTAGACCAGCTAAAGAAATGATTAGTGAACTGAAAGATTGGACAGTAGAAAATATCCAGAATGAAGCACAGAGAGATAAAAGGCTGGAAAATGCAGAAAAAGCATGATAAATCAGTAGAACATGGCCAGTAAGGTCTAACATAAATGATTGGAGTCCCAAGAGAAGACAGAAGCTAGCTTCATTTTTCACAGAACACCGTTTTTACTTCAAAGCATTACTGATGGTCAAACAATGGGTATTCACACCTGAGTAATTTGGCAGACATTTTCTTGAAAATAAAGTCAACCCATTGAGTATTTGTTGCCAATTAAAAATTTAAACTTTCAAGCAGAAATTAGAATTTTAGAAAACTTATATGCTACCGTGAGTAATATTATTGACAGCTTCCCAATACTTAAAGACTGTTCTAAGATCAAAGGTGATATTAAATAATTTATTTTTACTATTATTATATAATGTAGTATGTCAATATTGGGAAGATCTGCTTAATGCAGCAATATTTTACAAATGCACCAATATTTTACAAATGACTAATGAAGATATGTTACAAAATCATGCATGACTAAGAAGATTCTTTGAAAGTACAAGATAGACCAAAGGATTTCAATGTAACAGAATATGAAAAATCTATTAATATGTTTTAGAGCAGTGTTCCCCAACCTTTTTGGCACCAGGGACTGGTTTCATGGAAGACAATTTTTCCACAGACTGGTGGGGGCATGGGGTGTGGGGGGCAGTGATGGTTTTGGGTAAAACTGTTCTGCAGATCATCAGGCATTAGTTAGATTCTCATAAGGCATGCACAACCTAGATTCCTGGCATGGGCAGCTCACAATAGGGTTCACGTCCCTATGAGAATCTAATGCCGTGGCTGATCTGACAGAGGGCAGAGCTCAGGCATCAATGCTCACTTGCTCACCTCCTGCTGTACAGCGTGGTTCCTAACACGCCACAGATCAGTACTGGTCTGCAGCCCGGGGGTTGGGGACCCCTGTTTTAGAGTACACATTGTAACTAACCACCACTTGTGTTGGTGTAGCATCAAAGAAAAATATCTCCCGATTATCTGAGAAAGCTATCACAATACTCCTCGCTTTTCCAACTATGTATTTGTGCAAGACTAGATAGTCTTTATATATTTTAACCAAAACAATATATTGACTGCATAAACAGATAAGAGGATCCCACTGTCTTCTATTAAGCCAACATTAAAGAAATTTATGAAAATGTAAAACAATGCCACTCTTCTAATTTTTTGTTTTGGAAGATATAGTTTTTTTAATAAAAAAAAATTGATGTTAAAATGTATTAGGGCTATTATTTTCTTTTTATTTTAAAATTTATTTGACACATTACATATTTATGGAGGTACAGTTTGATGTTTTGATGCATATCTGTGTTGTATAATGATCTAATCAGAGTAGTTAGTATATTCATCATCCATGCATTTATCATTTCCTTGTGGTAAGAACATTCAAAAGCATCTCTTTTACCTATTTTGTAATATACAATATTTTGCTTTTAACCATAGTCACCTTACTCTGCAATAGAACATCAGAATTTATTCCCCCTGTCTAATTATAACTTTGAACCATAAACCAACCTCTCCCCATCCTTCTCTCACCTCTTCCCTCCCCAGTCTCTGGTAACCACTGTTCTACTCTCTGATTTTATGATATCAACTCCCCCCACCTTTTTTTAGATTGCACATATTAGTGAGATCATGCAGTATTTTTTTTTTCTGTGTCTGGCTTATTTCACTTAACCTGATATCCTCCAGGTTCATCTGTGTTGTTGCAAATGACAAGATTTTATTCTTTTTTTTTAATGGATGGATACTGTTCCATTCTGGATATACACATTTTCTTTACCCATTCTTCCATTTTTGAGGACTCAGTTTCATATTTTTGTTAACGTAAATAGTGCTGCCATAAACACGGTAAGGCAGATAACTCTTCAATATACTAATTTCCTTTCCTTTGGATGTGTACACAGTAGTGGGATTGCTGAATCATATGGTAGTTCTATTTTTACGTTTTAAAGGAACCTCCATACTGTTTTCCACAATGGCTGTACTAGCTTACAGTCCCACCAACTTGTGTAAGTGTTCCCCTTTTCTTCACATCCCTGCCAAAACTGGTTTTCTTTTGTCTTTTTGATAATGGTCATTCTAAGTGGTGTGAAATGGTACCTATTGTGGTTTTGATTTTCATTTCCCTGATGGTTTGTGATGTTGACCATTTTTTCATATACTCATTAGCCATTTGTATGACTTCTTTTGAGAAGTAAATGTCTGTTAAGGTCTTTTGCCCATTTTTAAAATCAGGTTTTTGTTTTTTTGTTTTGTTTGCTGCTAAGTTCCTTATATATTCTGGATATTAACTCCTTGTCAGATGTATAGTTTGCAAATTTTCTTTCCCATCCTTTAGGTTGTCTGTTTACTCTGTTTAATAGTTTCCTTTGCTATGCAAAAGCTTTTTAGTTTGTTGCAATCTCATTTGTCCATTTTTGCTTTTGTTTCCTATGCTTTTGAAGTCTTATTTAAAATATCCTAGCTTAGCCCCATGTCATGAAGCATTTCTCCTATGTTATCTTCTAGGTAGTTCCATAGTTTTGGGTTTCCATGTTAAGTCTCTAATCTACTTTGAATTGATTCTTGTATGTGGTGAGAGGTAGGGATTTACTCTCATTCTTCTGCATGTGGATGTCCCACTTTCCCAGCAGCATTTATTGAAGAAACAGTTTCTCCCCTAATGTGTGTTCTTGGCACCTTTGTCAAAAATCAGTTGGCTTTAGGTGTGTCAATTTATTTCTGGGCTTTCTATTCTGTTCCATTGGTCTACGTGTCTGTTTTTATGCCAGTACCATTCTGTTTTTGTTATTATACATTTGTAGTATATTTTTAAGTTATGTAGTGTGATGCTTCCAGCTTTCCACTCAGAATTGCTTTGGCTATTCATTTTTTTTTTCTGGTTTCCTATGAATTTTAGGATTTTGTTTTATTTCTATGAAGAACACCTTTTTTTTTTTTTTTTTTTGACATGGAGTCTTGCTCTGTCGCCCAGGCCAGAATGCAGTAGGCGCAATCTTGGCTAAGATATTAACAAGAAATTACAAAAGATAGAGAACTGGAAAGATAAACCTATGGAAGAGCTTCTAAGAGAAGCCCAAAAAGTATATGTAAAAAGAGAGAAAGACTGACAGAGGGAACAGAGGAAGTCTGTGCCCAAAATCCCAGTGAGTAGTTTGGTGGGAACGACGGTTACAGAACAGGTGACTCAGGATGACTCAGGTCAGAGCAGGTGATAGAGGCTAGGAGGGGGTTGTTTACTGAAGCTAGAGGCAAGAGGGTGAAGAGAACCAGGAAGTTAAGCTTTAAAATGGAGAATAGAGAATAAGAGAGCTGAATATACTGGCATACTGATTCTTTGAAGAGAAACTTGGAGTTCACTACATTTAACACCTACTGTTATAGTATTGCAGTCTATCTCTCCCTTTACCTCTAATAATATTTGCTTTATATATCTGGGCGCTCTGGTCTTGGATGGATGGATGTATTTATAGTTTTTATATCCTCTTGCTTAATTGTACCCTTTATCAATGTCTGATGACCTTCTTTGTCTTCTTTTACAGTTTTTGACTTAAAGTCTGTTTTATCTGACATGGTTACTCCTGCTCACTTGGTTTCCATTTGCATGGAATATCTTTTTCCCTCCCTTTACTTTTATTCTATGTTTGTCTTTAATGGTTAGGTGAGTCTGTTTTAGGCAGTATATAGTTGGGTCTTGTTTTTAATCCGTTCAGCCACTCTATATCTTTTAATTGGATAATTTAATCCATTTATATTTAAGGCTATTATTGATAAAGAAGGTCTTACTCCTGCTATTTTGTAAATTTTTTTTTCTGGTGGTTTTATAGATCCTTCGTTCCTTTCTTCCTCTTTTATTTACTTCTGTGGTTTGGTGGTTTTCTGTAGTGCTGAGCTTTGTTTCCTTCCTCTTTCTTGTTTGTGCCTCTGCAGTAATTTCTTTCTTTCTTTGTGGCTACCATGGGGCTAACATTAAAAGTCTTATAATAGAATGTTTTAAGCTGATAGCAACTTAACTTTGGTTGCATTAAAATACTCTAGACTTCTCTCTTTTGTTTCTGTAATTTACTTTTTTACCTGTGATTGTATTCCTTAGCTACTAATTGTAAGTGTCACGGGTTTTGACCATTTTGACTTTAAACCTTCGTACTAGAGGACTGAGAGACTTACATAGCACCATTAAATCACTGGGCTAGTCTGAATTTGATTTATGAATTTACCTCTATTGGTGAGTTTTATACTTTTACATCTTTTCATGAAAATAATTATAATCTTTTATTTCCAGTTATACCATTCTCTTAAGTATTTCTTGTAAGGCTAGTCTAGTGGTGATGGGTTTTTCTCAGCTTTTGCTTGTCTGGGAAGGTCTTTATTTTTCCTTCATTGGTGGTTGATAGCTCTGCTGGATATAGTATTCTTGGCTGACAGGTTCATTTTTTTCCCCCAAACACTCTGAATATATCATCTCATTCTCTCCTGGCCTACAGGATTTCTCCTGAGAAATCCAGGGGTACAGGGCTGCTGCTTGACCAACTATCAGGCCAAGCATGGGTACAGCAGGGCCACACAACCCTGCAGTGGTCTGTCTTTGGGGCAGGGCTGCTGCTAGACTGGCTGTCAGGCACAGTGGTGTGTGGCCACAGCAGGGCTGGGTGGTTCTGCAGCGGTCTGAGGGATGGAACCACGGTAGAACTGGTTGTTGGGCTGGATGTGGGTGTGCATAGGTTCAGCTGGCCAGCTAGCTGTGCAGTGCAGGTATGTACCGGTGAGGGGACTGGCCAGCAGTTAGGCAGTTTCCCCCCTGTGCAGCTTTGGCTGTTCCTGGGGTTGGGAGGGTAGTGTGCCACATGGGTTCAAGAGCAGAGGTCTCAGTTGTTGCATCTGGCTAGGCTTCAGGCAGCTAGGATTGTAGTGCTACAGGTGCCTGTGTGAACATGATAGAGTGATGGCAGGGCTACAGGAATGGAGAAAGTCCATTCCTGTACTGGACTACAGGGAAGGGCACATTCTAGTAGTAGGTTCAGTTTCAAGATGGTGCTGAGTAGCAGCAGCTTAGGATGTGAGGGTGGGGGGCAGGGGGTGCTCAAGGTGAGCTCCTACTCTAGGCAAAGTTAACTGTATGAACTCTACTCTCCAAACTGGATTCAGGGCCTGTGAGGACAGAGGGACTCTCCTATAGCAAGAATTTCTGGCATTTGTGGTAGCAATGGGGATCACTGGTGATCTCCAGCTTACGTTTTTCCCTTAAGAAGCCCCCTCTGGCTCCAGGCTGATCCTGGTAGGGAAGACAGTGTGGCAGAAGCAGAATACCTTGCTCCCCTCTCTATGGTGCTGCCCTGGACTTTTGTCTTCCACAGGGATTTTGCTGTTCCCCTAGTGCTCTCCCGAGTACTTCTTTGGTCATTTTAATTGAAATATCGTTGTTTATTCATTGTTTTGGTCCCTTTTTGTGGAGAGGATGGGCTTTAGGTAACTCAATTTGGCCATCCTGCTGACATCACTCCATCTTATCTAGGGCTATTTTAATATTATTATTATTGTTATTATTATTTGAGACAAGGTCTGGCTCTGTCAACCAGGCTGAAGTGCAGTGGTATATTCTCAGCTCACTACAACCTCTGCCACCCAGGCTCAAGCCGTCCTCCCATCTCAGCCTCACGAGTAGGTGGGACTACAGGCATGTGCCACTGCACCCGGCTAATTTTTGTATTTTTTGAAGAGACGAGGTTTTGCCATGTTGCCCAGGCTAGTCTCAAACTCCTGGGCTCAAGCCAGCTACCCGCCTGGGCCTCCCAAAGTGTTGGGATTACAGGCATGAGCTACTGCTCCTGGCTGCTATTATTTTTAAATAAATTAATAAATACATTTTTTAATTTTTAAATTTTAATTTCTAGTAAGATAAATATTAAACCCCATATAAACAAAAGCTCTCTGGGGTTCTCAATAATTTTAAAAAATATTAAAGGATCTTGAGACCAAAACAATTTGAGAACCACTGCTCTAGATATTAAAATAACAAATATATTCTAAGGGTATTGTTAACAACTTGATGCCACTAAATGTGATAATATAGACAAAATAGAAAATTTCTTAAAAAACAATTACCAAAACAGAAAATTTGAATAAGCCTAACTCTATTAAAGAAATGAACCCTTTATTTAAAACTTTCCCATAGGGGCTGGGCACAGTGGCTCACGCCTATAAACCAGCACTCTGGGAAGTCGAGGTGGGAGGATTGCTTGAGCTCAGGAGTTCAAGATCAGCCTAGGCAACATAGCGAGACCTCATCTCTACTAAAAATAAAAAAAAGTTAGCAGGGCGTAGTGGCGTGCACCTGTAGTCCCAGCTACTTGCAAAGGCTGAGGCGGGAAAATCGCCTGAGTCCAGGAAATCAAGGCTACAGTCAGCTGTGATCACGCCACTGTACTCCAGCATGGGCAACGAAGTAAGACTCAAAAATAAAAAACAAAACCTTCCCACAAGGAACACTGTAAACCCAGATGACTTGATTGGTGAACTCTTCCAATCATTTAAGGAGGAAATAACCCAAATCTTACACAAATTCTTACAGAAATAGACATGTAGAGAACACTCGCAATTCATATAACCTTAATTCACAAAGCTGACCAGCATATTACAAGAAGGGAAAATTATAAGCCAATTTCTTTCATGAATGTGGTAGGAATTCTAAACTAAATAATAGTGAATATGTTTAAAAATCTATATAAAAAGATGGTACATCTTGACCAAGTTGAGCTTGTCCCAAGAATTCAGTGTTGCTTTATCATTCAAAAATTATTCAGTGTAATTCACCTTCCTGACAGAAAAAAGGAGAAAAGCAATCATCTCAATATATGGGGAAGAATAGCATGTGATAAAGTTCAACATACACTAATGATTAAAAAACAACAACGAGAAACTCTCTTAGCCTATTTTCTATAGGAACAGAAGGGAATTGCTTTAATTTGATGAGTGGTATCTGCATAAATCTTACAACAAACATTACACTTAATGAAAAAATGCTGAAAGCATTCTCTTTGATGGCAGGATTACAGAGAATGAAAACTTACTATCATCACTGCTTTTCAGCATGTCCTAGAGATTCCTAGCCAAAGCATTAAGTCAAGAAAAGAAATAAAAATTGGAAGGATAGGAAAGAAGAAATAAAATTCTCATTTTACAGATGACATGATTCTGTGTGAACAGTAATACATTTACAAACACAATAGTCCCGTTATCCATGGAAGATACATTTCTTTTTTTTTTTTCTTTTTTTTGGAGACCTAGTTTCACTCTTGTCACCCAGGCTGGAGTGCAGTGGTGCATTCTCAGCTTACTGCAACCTCGGCCTCCAAGTTAAAGTGATTCTCTTGTCTCAGCCTCCTGAGTAGCTGGGATTACAGGTGCCCACCAGCACATCTGGCTAATTTTTGTATTTTTAGTAGAGACAGGGTTCCAGCATGTTGGTCAGGTTGGTCTCCTACTCCTGACCTCAGGTGATCCTCCCACCATGGCCTCCCAAAGTGCTGGGATTATAGGCGTGACCCACCACACAATACCTTTCAAGACTTCCAGTGGATGACTGAACCTACAGATAGTACAGAACCCTATATAAATACTATTTTTTCCTATAAATACATATCTACACTGAAGTTTAATTTATAATTAGGCACAGTAAGAGATTAACAATAATACTAATAACTAATAATAAAATAGAACAGTTATAACAAAATGCCAGCATCACTACTCTTGCACTTTGGGGCCATTATTAAGTAGAATAAGGATTACTTGAACATAAACACCGTGATATCACAACAGTGCATGATTTGCATCTCAGGAGGGACAGAATGGAACAGCATGAAATTTCACCACGCTATTCAGAACAGTGCACAATTGAAAATGTATGAATTGTTTATTGATGGAAGTTTTCATTTAATATTTTCAGACCACAGTTCACCATGGGTACTGAAACCACAGAAAGCAAAACCACAGATAAGGGGGAACTACTGTAATGACTTGGATTCTGTAATGTTTGCTGATGGTTGATAGCATTTCTGTCATTTTGACTTTGCTTAAGTTCATTCCTAGAATGTAGAAATCTCTTCAATATGTGGAAACACTTTGTCATTCCTCAAGTATATGCAGCAAAGATCTTGCTTTTGCTATTACTTTTTTTTCTCTGCAGGTCCTATCTGACTCCTGTACGGGATGAGGAAGCAGAGTCTTTACGGAAAGCACGCTCCAGACAAGCTCGGCAGACACGAAGGTCTACTCAAGTGAGTGTGGCTTTTTTTAAAATGTCATTTTGTGTATCTACCCTTCTGTTGGAGGTACAATCAAAACACACTGCAATATCCATGTTCAACTGCTGATTTAAACACACACACACACACACGCTCACGGCTTGGCGTGGTGGCTCACACCTGTAATCCCAGCAATTTGGGAGGCCAAGGAGTTGAGACCAGGAGCATTCCTGACTTGAGGTCAGGAGTTCAAGACCAGCCTGGCCAACGTGGTGAAACCTGTCTCTACTAAAAATATGAAAATTAGCCAGGCATGGTGGTGCATGCCTGTAATTTCAGTTACTCGGGAGGATGAGGTGGGAGAATTGCTTGAACCTGGGAGGCAGAAGTTCCAGTGAGCCAAGATTGCGCCACTGCCCTCCTGGGCGACAGAGCGAGACTCCATCTCAAAAAAACAAGACAAAGCAAAACACACACATGAAAATGACTGCCCTATTCCAGCCAGTCTTAAAAGCTTTCATTGTGTTGAATCTTATACTACATAGAACCAAATGAATTTACAGCTACATCTACCCATTCTCACCAATATTCCTCCAGGCTTAGAACAGGTTTATCTCTTTTCCTTCACAAGATTAATTATTCCACTTGTGCTTAAAGACCTTAAGAATCCCTATACATCCCTATATCCCTACTACATTTTAAGAATCCCTAAGGGAAAAGAGTTTGGCAATTCCTCAAAATTTTAAACATAGTTACCATTTGACTCAGCAGTTCTACTCAAGAGAAATGAAAACATATGTTCATATAAAAACTTGTATATAGGTGTTTGTAATAGTATTATTCATAATAGCCAAAAAGTAAAAATAAGCCAAATGTCTATTAACTAATGAATGGGTAAACCAAATGTGATAAATCCATGCTATTTGGCAATAAAAAGAAATGAAGTACTGATACATGTTACAACATGGATGAACCTTAAGAAAACATTATGCTAAGTGAAAGAAGCCAGACACAAAACACTCCATATATTATATGATTCCATTTATATGAAATGTCCCAAATAGGCAAATCCAAAGAGACAGAAATTAGATTAGTGCCAGGGCTGGGGGGAAGGCAGAATGGTGAGTATGTGGTTTCTTTTTGGGGTGATGAAAATTATGAAATTAGATGTGGTGATAATTTTATAACTCTGTGAATAAACTAAAAACCAAGGAATTGTATACTTTCAAATGGTGAGGTTTATGATATGAGGATTGTATTTTAATAAAGATGTTACAAAAGGAATCCCTGAGGGAGTCATTGAAGCAGTTTAAGGGAATATGGTATAGTCTACATTATATGTTAGAAAAATCACCCTGCAGATAATTGATGGGAATGGTAGGTAGAGGTATGTTTACCAAGCCTGGAAGCAAGAAGACTTGCTAGGAAGCTGTATTGTAGTCCAAGTTGTATTGTAGTCCCAGGAAATTACAAGGGTATGAAATCAAGTTGTAATGGCAATGAGAATGGAGAGAAGGCTATGAATTTGTTATTGAAAGAAGCAAAGAAAGATGAGCCCATGAAACAGAACGAAAAGAAGCAGCAGGAGCGGTGAAAAGAAAATCAGAAAATAGTAGCAGCATGGAAGTGAATGAAAAGTCCATTTCCAGTGAAAAGGAGAAGTTCCACAGTTTTAAATACTACAGAGGTCAAGTAGCAAATTTCACCACTGGAAAAGAGACATTATATATGGCAGCAAAAACACCCTTGTTGTCTTCTTTGACTCTCCCAAAGTAGGTCATGTATTCTTCCTTTATTTTTACTTGATGATTATTTGTCTGTTTCCTCCATTAGAATGTAACCCCCAAGAGGACCAAGACTGTTTTTTTGTTTTGTTTTATTGTGGTGAAATATACGTAACATAAAACTTACCAGTTTTACCATTTTTAAGTTTACAGTTTAATGGCATTAAGTACATTTACATTGTTGTATAACTATCACCACCATTCATCTCTAGAACTTTCTTCCTCTTCCAAAACTGAAACTCTGTATCCATTAAATAATTACTCCCCATTTCCCTCTGGCAACGCTGCTTCCACTTTCTGTCTATGAACTTGACTATGCTAGGAACCTCAAATAAGTAGAATCATATAGTAGTTGTCCTTTTGTGTCGTATTTTACTTAGCATAGTTATCAAGGTTCATCCATATTATAGCATGTGTCAGAGTTCCTCCCTTTTAAAGGATGAATATTTCAGCCTTTTATGGATACTGCATTTTGTATATCCATTCATCTGTCAGTGGACATTGGGTTGCTTCCACCTTTTGGCTGTTTAATGCTGCTATGAGAATGGCTATACAAATATCTCCCTGAAACCCTGCTTTCAATTCTTTTGGGTACATACTGAGAAATGGAATTTGCTGGATCATGTGGTAATTCAATTTTTAATTTTCTGAGGAACTGCCATACTGTTTTCCTTAGCGGCTGTACCATTTTATGTTCCCATCAGCAGTGCACAAGGGTTCTAATTTTTCCATATCCTCACCAATATTTTTGTTGTTGTTGTTTTTATGAGATGGAGTTTTGCTCTTGTCACGCAGGCCGGGGTGCAATGGTGTGATCTTGGCTCACTGCAACTTCTGCCTCAGGGTTCAAGCAATTCTCCTGCCTCAGGGTTCAAGCAATTCTCCTGCCTCAGCTTCCCAGGTAGCTGGGATTACAGGCACCCATCACCACACCTGGCTAATTTTTGTATTTTTAGTAGAGACAGGGTTTCACCATGTTAGCCAGGCTGGTCTTGAACTCTTGACCTCAAGTGATCTACCCACCTTGGCCTTTCAAGGTGCTGAGATTACAGGTGTGAGCCACCATGCCCAGCCTGTTTTTTTTGGTAATAGCCACCCTAATGGGTGTGAAAAAGAAGACAGGCTATACTTTAGCTCATCTTTTCCACCATCATACAGTAAATAAATCAATATATATTTATTGAATAAAAAAATGAGTGGGAAATAAATGATAGGGAAAGATAAATTGCTCTGGAATGATTTCAAGTTTGTTTATGAAGGAATGGGAAAAGATAGGGAAGTTGCTGGAGAGGGGCATAGAATTGAAGGTGGGAGAGACAGGAACATAGAAACGTCTTAGAGGGAAAGATTCAGTAGAGAGGGAGTGAAGGTCCATGTCAAAACTTGAATAGATCTTTGAACTCGTTGAAATGTGTACATAATTTTTGAGGAGATTTTATTAGATTCTCAGTAGTCTTCATGAGATTCTCAAAGGGACCACCGACTCCCAAAGAAAGTAAAATCTAAGCTTCTTAGCATAGCTTACAAAATCTGTTATGACCTAGCCTCTGCCTGCTTTCCTAAAATCACCTATCCTCATTCTCTCTCTGTCCTCCAACTTTCCTTTTTTTGTTGTGTGCTTCATCTTTGCTAAGTTACCTACAGATTCCTAAATCATCCGTGGCCTCTCTTGTTTCTGTATCTTTGTACAAGATCCCTCTATCTATAATGCCTTTTCTCCCTCCCCCTACCCAAGTTCTTTTTACTCTTTAAAACCCAGTGTTCGGTATTCATCCTATATACTCTTGTGTTTCTGTTTTAATACTTACATTCTCTCATTATACTCGTCTGTCTTCTTACATCTTTTCTGCTAGACTAAAAGGTTCTTGACAGTAACCATTGGATTTGTCTTTGTAGTTCTAGTGCCTAAAGACACCTAATTCTTTATTAACAGAATGAGTAAGTAAATGAATTAATAGTAAAAAAGCTGGGGGTGGGGAGGGGAAGCAAGTTGTGGATACAGTGCCTGATCAACTAACTACCTTCCAGCTTTGGAACTTCCTTCTTCTGAGGACTCATGCACATAACTACTTGAGTTGGAATCAGCTCATGCTCTTTCTAAACTCCTTTTCTCCCTTCTCCTGTAGTTTTGTCATCATTTGCCTGTCTTCTCTCTTGCTGCCCCTGTGACACTGTGGGGGGAACATTAATTGTTGGAATATCCCTATATGATTCCTAGAGTTACTTGGGAATTGATATTAGAGAAAAGCTAGTCTAGGAGTTTTAAGAGGTTATGTTGTTGTTATTGTAGCCTAGCTCTGAATTTTCATCTTGTTGAGCCAGGTTTTTCTTTTTTTAAGTGAATATTTTTCCCCAGTATCTGCTGTTTAGGAAATCTCTGTTGGTAACCATTTGATCTTGGGAGGGTAGGGACCTTTCAAATAAAGATACTGAGAACTATTTGGTATGGAAAAAGTACATCTATAACAGGCAGACATCAGTGTTGACCTATTTTCTGGAGATCAAACTAGAAAAACTAAAGTATTACATTTAAAATGTACCTAGACTCAGGCCCGGGTTCTTTGTACACTGAGATGCTTATTTTAAGCATATATTGCTTGAAGTGGCCTCATTATGCATTTTGAGGGGCTTCATTTTGGGATTTGATAACTATTAGGTCTTTTTGGGAATATTCCTGATCAATCAAGAGTTATTCCATGGTTAGTGTGAAACAGCCCTGATCTTGTGATATTTTCCCAGGGTGTCACCCTAACAGACCTTCAAGAAGCAGAAAGGACATTCAGCCGGTCGAGGGCAGAGAGGCAAGCTCAGGAGCAGCCTCGTGAGAAGCCCACAGACACTGAAGGGCTTGAGGGGAGCCCTGAGAAGCATGAGCCCTCAGCAGTTCCAGCAACAGAAGCTGGGGAGGGCCAGCAGCCCTGGGGCAGGAGTCTGGATGAAGAGGTGAGCTCATTTTTGCTGGCATGTACTGTGCTAAAAGCAGGGTAATTAGTTTGGGGAGTATCTTCTTCACTGGTAGTTCAAAGGCTGTGTTCTACCTTGCAATGGACAACTCACTCAGTATGGCTGTCTTTAGTTTGCAAACCTGTGTGACAAAAATTTAGAGGATGTTGGTCCTTAAATGACCATTTTTTTCTTCTGAGAGTTCACTGATGCTTTTGAATAAATGTCCTTCTAGTCTAAAAGGAGAGGTCATAGTATAACAAAATGCAAATAAAAATATAAGCATATATTGAGTGTTTACTTTACTCAATACATGCTTACTTTATGCCAGGCACTATTTTAAGTACTTCTTGTGTATTAATGCATTTAATCCTCATAACAACTCTCTGAGGTAAATATTACTATTTCTATTTTATATATGAGGAAATTGAATCACAGAGGTTAAGGAATTTGCCCATTTCACATAGCCAAGAAGTGGTTAAGCCAGAGTTTGAACATAGGCAGTCTGACTCCACAGCTTGCTCTCTTAACTACTAGTGTATTGTTTTTCAAACTCTTATAAACCTAAGGGGCTTACAAAGCACTCTTGAGTGTCACTGTTGGGAGGGACGTTTTGATTTATGTTTCATTTCTCTAGTGGAGTTGGTAGTAAAAGGTATAAGTTTATATTTAGGGTGAACATAACTCCTGGTTTACCTAAGATGGTTCCAATTACAACTGTTGTCTTTGTGTAATTATCATTACCCCTCCTTTGCACTCTCAAAAGTGTCCCAGTTTGGACTGATAAATGTTATGGTCACTGTGGTTATAGAAGAAAGGTATCTCCTTCTTGCTTTGACTCTGAATGGCTAGATTCTATAAACTGAAGTTCTATTTTGTATTTTGTTTTATAAGCTACTATTTATTGAGTACCTATTACCAGGTATTCTTCTAAGCACCTAACACACATTTTCTTAATTTAATCCTCATAATCCTCTCTGAAGAAGGTGTTATCTCTGTTTTATAGATGAGGAATTTATGGCCCAGAGAAGCTAAGTAACTTATTCAAGGTCACAGCTAGTAATGCTGAAGCTAGAATTTGAACAAAGATCTTTCTGACTCCAAATTTACTACATTTTATTGTATATGTCTTTATAAATCACAAAAATGTGTACAATCTCTATGTCATAAATTTAATGTGTAGTAAGGATTTATCTATCTCTGAGTCTTCCATAAACCAAGTTAAGGCTTATTGTTAGGCTCTATCTGTCCTAATTCTCAGGTTTAAAAAAAAAAAAAAAAAAGACCACAATAGACCAGAATTGCTTGAACCCAGGAGGCAGAGGTTGCAGTGAGCCAAGATCGCAGCACTGCACTCCAGCCTGGGCAACAGAGCAAGACTCCGTCTCAAAAAAAAAAAGAAAAGAAAAGAAAAGAAAACAACAACAACAAAACAAAACTACAAAAAGGAAAATGGGAACTTTAGAAAGTTTCAGTAAGCCTGGTTATGGCAAGGTGGTAGAGTATTCAGAACTCGGTAGGATACTCACATTTATTCTCTGTTCTCAGGTAATCCCTACATTCTGCTTCTTCATGCTCCTGATCTTTTTGTTTCCCTACATAAACCTTGCCTTTCAGCCCTCCATCTTAAAAAGGCCATCATTCTTATTTTCATTCCAAGATCAAAGGAATTTTTTTTACATGGTTAATGCTATCTAGTACCCTTTGGTTAATTGATGAATAATTTGCTTGAACTGCTCTCAACATGATGGGATTCTCAGAGTAGGAGTCTAGCAGCTGTGTTTTTTTTTTTTTTGTCTAATTAACTAACTTTAGCTTAGTTCATTTATTGAGTGCCTATTACCAGGTACTCAATATTGATCATCATCTACTCATAAGCCCCTTAATATAGAAAAAAACATTTTGTATAAACCTGCTGTCCTTACTCTTTAGATGGACTTGATTTCTAATATCTCATATTGTGGATTATTTCCAGCCTATCTGTCATCGCCTGAGGTGCCCAGCTCAGCCAGACAAACCCACCACGCCAGCATCTCCTTCTACGTCAAGACCCTCACTCTACACCAGTTCCCACCTGCTATGGACAAATAGATTTTCAGTCCCTGATTCTGAGAGTTCAGAGACTACCACAAACACTACAACTGCAAAGGAAATGGACAAAAATGGTATGTAGAACTTCAAAAGACACAGGCCCCTCCACAGTGCACATCCCCAGATTCTTAAAGTTCATACTTTATTTTATCTCTGGCCAGAGAATGAAGAAGCAGATTTGGATGAGCAGTCCTCTAAGAGGCTGTCCATCCGAGAGAGGAGGCGGCCCAAGGAACGACGAAGAGGCACAGGCATCAATTTCTGGACAAAGGATGTAAGTGGATTGGTCTGTGCTGAGGCATATCATATTACTCTTGGTCACCATTCTTTCAGTTGAGTTTAAAAGAAAGAGTCCCGCATGGTGCCATGAATCTTGCAGTTTCTCAGGAAGTATTACTGAGGAAAAGAGAAGAAAGACCTAACTAGTGTGGGACTCATTTGGTATGTTCCTGCTAGATTCCCAGTATCTAGTACAGTGCTAAGCACATGGTAGGCACTCAGTAAATAATTGGCAAAGAATTAAAAAACTGGAAATATACAACAGCCATATAAACAAATATAACAAGTGAATAAGCTTGTCGAGTTTTAGTAGTCCTTCCTAATATTCCCTGAATGTCATGTAGTGAGTCAACAATATCTTAATGCCACATATGAGCAGAGATTCTAACTAAATATTGTAGGAGTACTACAGGAAGTTCAAGGAACTTAAAACCTCTAAGTAATACAAGTTCACTTAGTTTTACTGTTTTAGAGAAAAAGTGGAACAAATAACATAAAATAGATGAACTTTGGCTTTAAAATAAAGACAGATATGCCAATGTTTACTAACTACAAATACACAATCAGTAGTTCCATTCATCCTCTTCCATATCTTGTTCTGTAGCCTTCTCATTCAACCTTGTTATTGGCATTTTAAAGAACAAGTGGCCAATAACTTGGACAAGACGACCCTGCCTACCAATGACTCCTTTGAAAATTGGACACACTTTATTCAGTGAGACAAGAAATGAGACAGTAGTAGTCATTCATTATAAATTATTTTTTAGATAAAAATATTTCATTGTTTTAGGGCTAAATTGACTGATAAGTATTGACAAAGATGAAATTAAGTCTGTCTGTCTTGTCTGTCTGTCTTAAAGATATCCCTTTTCCAACTGTGGTTGATTTGACTTTTTAGACTACAGGTGACATTTCTAAGTTGCCTGCCTGTGATGGCTGTGAAAAGTAGCAGTAACAGAGCATCACTTGGAAGTCAATTCTCATTGCCCATGTTTGAAATGCCAAGATGCATAATTGATGGGATCTGACCTTGTTGCTTTCAAGGATGTCTGTGACAATGAGCCTCTTGATTTTCTTCCCTTTTCTTTTTTAGGAGGATGAAACTGATGGCTCTGAAGAGGTCAAAGAAACGTGGGTAAGTGACAAGCCAGTGAAGCATGTCTCTTGAGAGCACAGTCTTGCTCTTGTATGTAATTTTAGTAGAAGAAAGGGCAAGACTTAATGCAGATTTTAGTTGAGAAGGAGTTTGGAGATAGACATTCCTCTAAGAGATGGGGCAGGTGTTAGTTTGTGGTACTATTTTCTCATGTGGTGTAACAGTGCCTGTGCTCTTGAAGCAGTTTCCTACATTTTTCTGTGCCTACTGCCAGTCTTTCACACTGTTATAGGATCCATCATTTTCTCTCTTGTATGTTATTGGATTATATGAAGTACTTTGAAATCTTTGAATGAAAAGTGAAGAGTGATACCAGTTCCTTTTTGGATCCGCACTAATAGAGAGGGACATAAATGTGGAGAATGTAAAACATCAGACAGTCCCCAAGTCATTTATATTTGACTTTGAGATAAGATTAAACATCTGGCATCTTACATAACTCTGCCCTTTTAAGGCCTGACATCCAACTCTTCCCTGCAGTGAAAGGCCTAAGTTCAGCTTTTCTGAAGATACTCCAGGCTCCTGTAAGCCACTCAGACATGATTGGTGGTGGTTTTCTTTTTAGTACTGTTTTCCAAGAAGGAAGGAATTTGGTTCTGACTAAATTAATTGAAATACATGTGCTTTTCTATTGAAATTATGTAAAAAGATGACCTTTTGTATCCTACAACTTATTGGAAGTATGTTTTCAGAGTATATTTAATAACCTGTACTGAAAATTAACATCTAACTCATCTTTAGCAGAGAAGATATAAATAATATATTGTCATTGATCTGCCTATATTTTTGTCTAGATCCAAAACAGACAATAGTAGCCTTCTAGAAAGTAGTGCCTTTAATGACTAACGGTGACATAGGTGAGAATTGCCTGCCCTTGGTTGAAGCTGGGGCTACTTCATAAAGGCAAGCTATGTGGTGTGGAAATAGTATATAGAGGTTCCTTGGGGCACGAGTGTGTGCCTGTGTGTATGTGTATGAATTATAGCAACTCTTAGTTTCTTCAAGGGGCTTGGAAAGGCTTTTGGAGATAGGAAGAGTGAATATAGGAAAGTTCCTTTGGGGAATTATAACTCAAAGCATATATAACTCAGGAAATATAACTCAGAGGATCTGAGTTATAGATTATAGAGTACTGAAATGGAACATTATCCATACAGAATTACATAGGCCATTTAAATCCAGGGAATTGCAAAAGGGAAGGCTTTGTTGTCATAAGAATGTCTTTTGCCAGTGAAAATTCTATTCTCTACTTTTCTAAACTTCTTGGCACTGGAAAATCCTAGCCTAGAGGGTACCAAGTAAGGAAAATTAAGATGATCTTGATGCAGTACTTCCTAGGGAATTTTACTTTAGGACTGTTGACTTGAAAGTATGAAGAAAAGCAGAGACTGTTGCAGTTTGATGTGAAAGGCATTTGTCAGACTAAAAAATACTCCACACATCCAATTGCATAAGGCATCTACTAGTGTTTACCATGTGTCAGGAAAACAACAATGTGAATCAAAAAGAATAAACAGCCCATTATCTGTGGACTGGTACATTTGAATTTATGCAGATAAGCTAAGGTTGCTATAAGAAATATATTCCAAGTGCCAATCTCCAGCCTCGCTAATAGTGCAGGAAGAAAGGCCGATAATGAATCAGCATAGGGTGAGGCATCCTTTTTGTAAAAGTCTTATATTTGCTTGTTTCATTTCTTTCAGTTAAATTCTTAACTGTTTTTCTCCCTTGAGCACTCTCTCCTAATGCTAGCAGGCATGATGCCATTATCTATATGGGCCTACAGAGCCACATGCCTGGTCATGGCCTAGTGTAAATTCCTACATTTCTATTTCAAGACAATCAGTAGTATCTTATGACCACCTCTCTACCCCAGCTCCATTTTCATCCTTCAGGCAGTACAGTTGACTCAGCTCTGCAACAACAAATGAGCCAGTTAAAGCGGAGGGCATTCCATTGAAATGGTGCTGTTAGCTAATCAGCATGGATACAGTTGAGAAGCCCAGGGCAGCTCTTTCCTTTCTTGGTTTTTAGTTCAATAAAACTATATCTGCTATTGAGGTCATGCTGGCTTCCTTCTCTTACCTAGTCCACTCCTTGAGAATTATAATATCTATTATTTTTAAAGTTATCTCTTCCCAAGACTCTAATATCTTGGCTTTTTTTTAACTGAAATATAATTTACAATTAATGCACAGATTTTAAATATACTGTTTGCTGGGTTTTGACACTTGTATGTACCAGTATAACCACTACCCAAATCAAGATATAGAACTTTTCCATCACCTTAAAACGTTTCATCATTAACGCTCAAGAATAAGTGATACTAATCTATGGTGATAGAAATCAGAAGAGTGGTTGCCTCTCAGGACAGAGAATTGAATGGAAAAGATAGAAATCAACCAGCAGTAATATTTAATTTTTTTTTTGAGACAGGGTCTTGCTCTTTCGCCCAGGTTGGAGTGCAGTGATGTAGTCATGGCTCACTGCGGCCTCAACCTCCCAGGCTCAAGTGATCCTACTACCTCAGTGTCCCAAGTAGCTGGGAGTACAGGCACAAGCCACCACACCCAGCTAATTTTTGGAGTTTTTCTAGAGATGGGGTTTCACCACGTTGCCCAGGCTGGTCTCGAACTCCTGGGCTCAAACAGTCCTCCTGCCTTGGCCTCCCAAAATGTTGAGATTATAGGCATGAGCCACAATGCCCAGCCAATAATATTTAATTTTAATGGTAGAAAGGAAGCTTCAACGGTTATTATCTTTATCTTATGCCTCCAGTCAGAGTTAGACCTAAATGATTCAAAATATCTATGGTTTTTCCCCCCTTCTTAAAGATTTCAAAAGAAGATTGTTTAATACTTCACTTGTATAGCAGTGACAACAACGTGGTTTAAGACCTTTCTGTTGTTTAAACTAAATCTCTATTGAGGTCATTGAAGTTCATTTCCTTTTTTATATACCAAGAAAAATGTAACCAACATTTATATACAGGTAAGATTTATGGCCAGGAATGGCCATAATGTTTGCTATCAATAGAATATTTGGTCAGAGAAATGCAAATCAAAACCACAATGAAATAGATCATCTGACCTGTTAGAATGGCTGTTATCAAAAAGACAAAAAATAACAAAACCTGGTGAGGATATAGAGAAAAAGAAACTCTTAATACGCTATTGGTGGGAATATAAATTAGTGTAGCCATTATGGAAAACAGTATGGAGGTTCCTCAAAAACTAAAAATTGAACTACCATATGATTCAGCAGTCCCACCACTTGGTATTTATCCAGAGGAAAGAAAAACAGTGTATCAAAGAGATGACGCTCCCTGGTGGTCTAGTGGTTAGGATTTGGTGCTCTCGCTGTCTCTCTCTCTTGCTCTCTCTCTCTCTCTCTCTCTCTCTCACTCTCACTGTCTCTCTGTCTTTCAAAGAGATATCTGCACCCCTATGTTTATTGCAGCACTATTCACAATAGCTAGGATATGGAATCAACTTAAATGTCCATTAACAGATGAACAGATAAATTAAATGTGGTATATGTACATAGTGGAATACTATTTAGCCATAAAGAAAAATGAAATTATGTCATTCACAGCAACATGAATGATCCTGGAAGCCATTATGTTAGGTGAAATAAGTCAGTCACAGAAAAATAAATACCTCATGTTCTCTCTCATATGTAGGATCTTAAAAAGTTGAGCTCATAGAAGTAGAGAGTAGGACTGTGGTTACTGGAGTCTGGAAAAGGGAGATAGTCAGAGGTTGGTTAACAGATATAAAATTACAGGTAGGGGGAATAAGTTCTAGTGTTCTATAGCACTAAAGGGTGAATATAGTTAATGATAATTTATTGTATATTTTCAAATAGCTAGAAAAGAGGATTTTGAATGTTCCTAACATAAATTATTTTTGATGCTAGATATGCTGATTACCTTGATTTGATCATTACATATTGCATATATGTATTGAAATATCACTTCATACCACATAAATACGTACTATTATAATGCATCAATTTAAAATTTTTAAAAAGAGAGTATGTGATAGACTAGTCATGCATTGCTATGCTGGGGACAGCAAGGAACATGCTTAGAAGGCTGGGGACCCTACTTAAGCCCAACATAGTGCATAGTTTTAGTCTGAACCCATCTCCACTGGTAAATCCATGAACCAGTGAAACTAACAATGAATATGTAAAATTGACATCTTAGCACCTCCTTGACAGATGTGTTTAAAAACAATTCTGTTTTGTTTATCCACGTTAGGTATATGACAGTCTCTGAGAATCTTAATAGATCCTTTGTCTTTCTGAATGAAAAATAATCTGCATCTTAATTTGAGGAATAGGGTTATTCTAATTATATCTGAAAATGCTTTTATATTCAGCAGTGTGTTTGCTGTTTTCTTTACTATAGTAGTAATCACATAGAATGTTTGCCCTGGAGGGAACAAGCATAGGTACGCCACAGAAGATAATGACCATTTGGATATTTCTATCTTTTTTTACCTGCATCTTTGGCCTGGATTCCATTTTCTTTACATTGAGTTTTATCTATTGCTTTCTTACTGTTTTCCCTGTTTGCTCTGGAGCTGTTTTCCAAGCCAATCCTGTTGTATAATTGAATTTATCACTAGAGGGCACAAGTGGTCAACAGAAAAGATATTGGTGAGCAGGCAGAATGGTGCCCTAAAGCTGAGCAGAAGACAAATTGCCTTTGTTTTTAAGGAATTGTTGAAGGACCGGGTTCAATGTAGTAAAGGTACTTGCCTCCCAACTTTTGGTATCATAGGATTGGAAGAGAATCTAGAGATATCTTGGATTAGGAACCAATTTTATGGTTAAGAAGACTGAGGCTCAGAGAAATTAAGAATTATTTGGGCATGACATCTCTGCTAGGTGAGCAACCTGTACCTTTTTTCAGGGAACCTCTTTGTTTGACTGTAGTGAAGCAAACCTGAAATTAGGACTTACATCCTTTTCTATTCCTTATTCATCCATTTGGTTTTTTTACTCAGCAGGTTACATGTTCGAATTGACTTGCTAGTAGCATCTCACCTCCTTGAGTGAAGGAACGTCTTCTTGAAGGACAACTTAAAAGCCTACTCAGAGTATCAAGATTCAGTGGGTAGAGCATCAGCATTCTTCTGCTGTCCTTGACATAGGTGGGTAGTTATGTATGTCAGGAAGTAAGACTTTTCATACTTTTCTTTTCCCCTAGAATCTCTATTGCTTTTAGATAAATCAGGTGGCACTCAATCTGAACAAAATCACTGAAACCTTACCCTCAAAGTTAGCAATGTAGCTGTCCCCATCCAGAATGCAATCAGTAGGTCTGGATTACTAGTCATCCCTCAAAACTGATTGGTAAAGGAGATAGTGTTAAAGAGTTACTAAATTATAGATATCAAGGTACCTGCCTTAGATAACTGGGGGTATGCTCGTGGAGAGATCTGTTGGTAAAAGTCTTCTAAAAGAGTTAAGCTATTAAATGCAAGGTTTTCAAACTACATGAAAGAACACAATTGGAATTTGCTAGCAGAGCTGAGTTTTGAACTTTAACAGAAAATAAATGCCATAGAAATAAATAGAAATATACCAGAAGCCACTAAATGCATTTTCCATTTTGTCCTGCCTTCACTTTTGTAAGCATCTTAATTCAACAAGTGCTTTTAAGCGCCGATTATGATCAAGCACTTTTCTAGATTCTGGGGATGCAACAATGAACAAACAGCCCTGCTCTTACGGAATTTACATTCTAGTGGGGGAGACAGACAAAATAAATATATAAAGTAAATACTATGTTAAAAGGTGATACGTGCTATGGAAAAACCATATAGAGTAGGCTAAGGAGGAATCAGAAGTGCCAACATGGAAGGAGGTTGACATTATAAGTAGGGTGGTCAGGATAGGCCTTACTGAGAAAATATGATTTAAGCCTAGTCTTAAAGGAAGCAAGGTGGGAAACTATGTGGATATGTAGGGGTAGAGTGTTATGGACAGAGGGAATAGCAATTGCAAAGACCCTAAGATAGGTGTCTGGCATGCTTGAGGACAGGTTAAAAAAAATCAATGTGGCTACAGTGGAATGTGCAAGCAGGCCAAATGGCATCGACTGATAAGTTATTATAAGAACTTTGGCTTTTGTAGTTTTGAGCACAAGAGTGACATGATTATATTTATATTTTAAAGGATTACTGCCTGCTATTTTAGAGAATGTACTCTGGGAGGACATTGGTGGAAGCAGGGACATCAGTTAGGAGGCCATTATAATACAGTAATCCAGGAGAAAACTGACGGTGGTTTGTACCAGGATAATAGCAGGCAGTAAAGATGCTGAGAAGTTGTCATATTCAGGATATATTTTGAAGTTAGAACCAATGAGATTTGCTGTTTTCTTGGATATCAGGTGAGAAAACAGAAGGTCAAGGTTGACACTAAGACTTTTTAGCTAAGGCAACTAAAAGCATGGAATTTTATTAATTGAGATGGAGAATACTACAGGAAGAATACAGAATACATTTGGTGGGGGAAAAGTAGACATTTGGTTTTGGTTTTAGAATTGTTAAATCTAATAGGTCTGATTGACATATTTCTACATGGAAATGTCAAGAGGACAGTTAGATGTAGGAATCTGCAATTCAGGTTTAAGGGCCAAGCTGGAACTACATCTTGGATATCAGTAAACCTAAAGATTGGATTTTAAAACCATGAGATTGAATGTGACCACGAAGAGAATGAATGTAGACAGAGAAGAGGCCGAAAGAGCCCTGGAGCACTCCGAAATTCAAATTGAGGAGAAGGGGAAGAATCAGCAAAGGAAACTGAGCAATCCTGGTACCTGACCCTGAGAATATGGATGCAGTTTCCCCCTTTTTCCAAAACGAAATCAAACAAAACACATGGAACAATAGGCAGTTTTATCATTGTTCTTATTTTACCTTTTTTTTTTTTTCAAGGGCTATTTCCCATGAAATCTGCTCAGTCTGTTTATAAATGGACCATGCAATGGTATAGGAGACCTGGACATTCCAGGGCATCTTCTGGTGTCTTTTGAGCTAGAAATTGCTTCCTTTCTGCAACCTTGTCTAGAGGCCTTTGAAGTCCAGGGATGTCATAAGACTCTTCTTACTACATCAGAGGGATTCTATTAATTACCATGTCTGCAAATGATCTGTTAACTTACCTCTTGGTCTCCTTTGCCAAATTTTCTTCAGCTCTATTACATCTTTGAATAAATGTCACTTCAATTTCAGTTAAGAAGACTCTTGAGGCCGGCCGTAGTGGCTCACGCGTGTAATCCCAGCACTTTAGGAGGCCGAGGCAGATGGACCACTTGAGGTCAGGAGTTCGAGACCAGCCTGGTCAACAGTGAAACCCCATCTCTACTAAAAATACAAAAATTAGCTGGGTGTGATGACGCCCACCTGTAATCCCAGCTACTCGGGAGGCTGAGGCATGAGAATCGCTTGAACCCGGGAGGCGGAGGTGGCAGTGAGCCAAGATCGCACCACTGCACATCAGTCTGGGCAACAGAGCGAGACCCTGTCCCCCCCAAAAAAAGAAGACTCTTGGAAAAACTTTTATTAGAAATAAAACAACACCTAAAAGTTGTTACTGTATATTAAAATTTGATTTCTCTGGGGTGGCTAGAATGACAGTTACAGACTAAATTTAAAGCTAAAAAATACTTTAAAGGTCACCTAGTTAACACTGTCATTTTAAAGTTAACAGCTGAGGCCCAGGAGATTAAGTACCTTGCTAGTGTCACATAGTTGTAGTCCTAGTGCACAGCTGTTGCACTACCTTCCAAATTTGTATCTTTATATCTGTTATATCTCTTATATCATATTACATACTGTTATGACAAATAATATAGCATAATAGTTAAGAGGACACACCCAGGAGCTAGACTCCCTGCATTTAACCCCAGCTTAACCATTTAACTACTTTGGATAGGTTATTTAACCTTTGTATGCCTCAGTTTCCTCATCTGTAAAGTAGGGATAATAATAGTCTACCTCTTAGAGTTGTGAAATGAAAATGAGCTAATACATTTAAATAGAGATGATTACAATCCATTTAAATTATTTTCCAAATCTACAAGTTCCTACATCTGGATGAGAGTAAGGCTTTCGGAATACTTTTATTGGCCTTAGGATCACATGATTTTGAAGTTATTAATTTATCCTTAAAGAATGGATTATTTGGAGAGTCACAGAAGTAGCCCCAAATCTTCTATAACTCCAACATGTGTTCTGACACATAACTGAAGAATTTTGAGGAATAAGGTTTAAAGGAGATTGCTGAAGTAGGGGGAAAGAAATGAGTAGAAAGGAAAGGAACAAGAACTAAATGTTTCAAATTGTGTTTGGAACCTGTTAAGCATCTGATCAAGTCAAGTCCCTGCAGCTTCTCTGTCAAGCAAGCAGGCTTTCATTTTTATGCCTAAATAACCCATCCCATTTATGCTTCTTTGCCAGTGCTTCCAACAGTCCTAGTTTCAGAGATCTTTACTATTTTTTCCCACCTTCTTCCTTTGAGTAAATAGCAGCCCTTTTTCTCCAATTTTTCACAGCGTTGCTTCTGGCTATTTGCTGGATCCTTTCTCTCGAGCAGAATTTTTTAATCTTGTGAAACCACTTTATCTGCTGGAGGGTATCCAGCAACTTTCTGTCCACTCTCCACCACCAGTCAGTATTTTTGCCATTCTCCTTTTAGGTAAAATCCTAAGTCTGTTTTGTTTTCCTCTCTCTCTGGGGCTCGATTGCCTAATATGGTAAGGTATTTCCCAGACAAGATTGCGCTGTGGAGTTAGAACAACAGTTTGTCTAAGTTTAAAGACATGGTAGGTGAGCTATCTAATAGTTATTTATGTAGTAAAGTAATATTTTTTTTTGCAGTATATTACATAACAACCAAAATCTATTTTTTAAGCAAGCCTCTGTTGCTTTTAACAGACTTAAAGAGATAATAAAATATAGATTTTTCTCCTCTTAACCTGTTTAGGCAGATTTTTTTTTTTAAAAGGGAAAGATAGCTCGTCCCCAGAATGAAAGGGTTTTGAAAAGTCTGAGAAATTTGATAACATGATAATGTTCATAAGGATATAAAAGTAAGGGTAAACTTGATAAGCAATGGCTGTTATAAACAGTCCTGTGGTAGCCAGCCTCTGGGAATTGGCAGGCATTCCACGTGTAGAAAAGCAAGCTGTCCTGGATTTCTGCAATTGATGACGATGCGCAGTCCCAGGGAAAAAGATAGAGACTGAGAAATGGCAGCCAACCAACTCTGTATGTGGGAAGCTGCCTGTTATCCAGCATGCACTGAGGAATCTTCTCTAGTGGTTGACTCCACATTGGCCTCGAAGGATCTTTCCTCTCACTGTACATTTGCTCTTGCTTTGCAACTATAGTTTCTTAAAATACTGCAGATGCTGTGATTTTCTATATATGGGTTGTGTCTTGCTGTAGCCCAAGCTGTATAAACCATCTTAAGAACAAAGTTTCTTTTGGCATCTTCCTTTTATGGACTCTATTAATTTTAGGTCGTGCTGTTGCCCAGGAAATCTCAGTAATCAAAGCTCACATGTATTCCTTTGAGACCCTGTAATTTTTGGACCTAGTGTCCCATTACATCAGTGAATTCTGCTTTAATCATAAATCTTTTTTAAGATAGAATAAATTGATCTTTGAGGTATCTGTTTGGACTTCTCTCATGCATCTCATCCAAAGATGTGAAAGGTTTATCCAGCTACTAAGGATAGTATAGTTAACTTCTTGACCTTTTCTTTTTTTGATTTCTTCTTCTGCCTCCAATTGCTTTCAAGATATTAGTTTGTGTTAGTGACTTGTGACCTTATGTCTTTTTATTATAGGAACAGAGATGAGCTTAAAACTCTGCTGGAGCTTTTTAAAAAAAATGTTTATAAAAGATAGTAAATTTCATTAAAGAAAATTCATGAAGTATAGAAAAATATAAAGTGGTAGCTCTCAAAAGCAGCAGGAGAATTGCTAAAGGAGTTTGTAAAAATTCATAGGGCTACTTTCAGGGAATACAGCGATGGGGGATGTTCTGCATGCATTAAGTGGAAAGGGTGAGAGATGCTAGATATCCTAAAATGCCCCATATCAAACAAGTATCCTGAAGCTTGCTTGACTTTTGACTGTCTCCCTTGACAGTCATAGATGAAAACCTATCAGTTATCTGAGTCTAAAACCAAACTTGATTTTATGTTTAAGCTCATTTTTGAGGGGCAGTGGGGAGGAAGACAGTTCTAAAAATTCAACCACCATGTAAATGAGGAGAAACTGCTCTTAGTTTTATTTATCCCTGACAGCAATGCCACTTACATAATGCGTACATCATGCTACACGTTCTGTAGATCTGCATTTAACCTCTGCCTTCATGGTAACTATATGATGCATCCAAATCTCTGACTGCTTCTTTATGCCTTCTACTTTACTGGCCCAAGCATTAACACATTAAAATACATATTTTATTATAAAGTGCTTTGCTCTTTATTTCTTCTTCATATTCTGTTATTTTTAAAATGATTTTAGTTTTATATCAGTGATTTTTATTTCAGGATAGTAAGGGGGTGTTAAAAATATTTGTTATGAAAAGGGATTGTTTCAGCTATGAAAGCTAAGAAAAAATTGTCCATAACCATCCATAACTATACTTTTCAGAAGAAATTATTAACATTCTAGTGAATTTCCTGCTGGTATTTTTCCAAAGTTTTTCTTTTTAAAAAACGTATTCAAAACCAACTAATGACATTCTTTAGAAAAGGATCATTGTCAACTTGAGCATTCCTGGGACACCATCATTACTATGATGACAATTTTATAAGGTTGTCTTCAAAGCACTTGGGTTCAACTCTTTTATCAAAGTAGTCCTATGATGGCGTTGATCATAGACAGCCCCAGGAATAATTGTTTCTCTTTCAGTTGGAGTCTAAGAGTTACCTCGGTTACAGAAGTATTCATTTCTCCTGTTGATAGCATGGCTGGAGAGCCTTAACCATGGCTTAGGCTTAGCTAATGTTAGAGTTCTAGCCCCATGATTGAGGTAGAAAGCTTGATGTGGGATTTGAAGTCCTTTTTCAGCAAATGGAATGTTTATAGATTTGCCCCAGCAGGAATGTTGAGCTTAAGGCACTAACAGACGTTACCTTTAGAAGTGTTATTTTGGTAGAATCTCAAAGGTAGGATAGTAGGACTACCTATCCCAAGCTGTAAAGCTTCCTGTATAAAGCTTGTAAAAATGTAAAGATGAATGGCCACCACCTCCCAATTTTAACTTTTCTCCATACTGTCTCAGTCTTCAGTAAAGCAAGTTCAAGGATCAGATAGCAGCCATTTAGTGACATGAATCTCTTCGTAGAGAAACCATAGTTTTGTAACCTAGTATGATCCTTTAAGGTACATAAATGTTCACACAGATGTGCCTTCATAGAATATGTACTTTTAAGAAACTCTTAACTTTTTTATAGTTTAAATTTTTAAAAATGTTTTATTACAACCTGAACTCTTACACCTTAAACTATGTCAGTATTATTGGCTACCAAGAGGAAAGCAGGGAAGTTTTAAAAATCCATTGGCAAATTAATACCTAGCATAATACATAATACAAGTACTTATTATGGTCTTGGAGCTTATAGCTCTTGTTATGTTTCTGAAAAATTTTTTCAGGAAACAGAAGCATTTTAAAGGCAAACAACATGTTTGAGTATTATGTCACCAAATAAAACATTGTATACTTTAAGATGGCATTTTAGGAGTTGGAGGACTTTCAAAAGTGATATGCCAAATGGGCGAAACATGGGGCTGTTTATGGTGACTGAATGCTGTATTTCTCATTTCTCGAAATGTCTGGTATAGCTACTACTTGCTGGCTGTTGTGAAGAGTCAACACTCTGCCTTTCTGAGGCTGATAGGGAAAGCAGATGTTTATACCTATTCTCCGGCAGAACATGTTGGTGGTGGGACAGTGGTAGCAGCCTCACTTCATCTTTGGCACGTGATGCTCTAGGTCCGCAAACTTTTTATGAAAAGGGCCTGATAGTAAATATTTTCCACTTTACTGGCCACGTAATCTGTTGCAATGACTGAACTCCACTGTTGTAATGGGAAAGCAGCCACAGACAATATGTAACTAAATGGGAGTGACTATGTTCCAATAAAACTTTATTTACAAAAGCAGGCCGGTGGACTGGATTTGGCCTGCAGGCCACGCTGCAGTTTGCTGGCCTCTGCTCTAGGTTACTGATAGAAAAAGTATTTGCTAATGTCAACATAACTCCAAATGTCAATTTTCTCTCATCCAAGCACTTCTCTGATAACTCAGCATTGTGCCAATTCCCGATTCTTTGTTATCAGCAACAGTTTGTTGGGGAACATCATGTGTTTAGAGGGATAAATGTTGTTTGGGGCAGCATTAATGAGTTTTGGTCATGCAGCAGGAAGCAAGCTGTAAAACTTCCTGAATGAGAAAGTGAAGGAGAGAGGGGGAGTTGCTTCCATGTCATTTTAAATATAGTCTCTCTGTTATGTTTTAGTTCATTACCTTTTGAGGAGAAAGTCTGAAATGGTTCTCCTAGCGTGTCCCTATCTGTTTTTCTCATCTGATCCTATTCCTTCTTACTTCCCAAGGACCAGTCTTTGAGGTTAGCTAAGATTATAGTTGGGAATATATAATCACTTAATACTTGAAATTTAGCTTTTGTAGATTATGACCGTAAGTAAATTTGCCTTTAAGGCTCACAGGTTCTTGGAAGAGTGCCTGTCAGAAGATTGTTAGTTGCTGTCATTCACTTTAATTGCTTGTTGTCATTTGAATTCCTTAATTAGGAGTAGATTATGGAATTTACTAGTCTTTTTGCCTTGTCAACGCTTAGTCTACTGAATATGTGCAGGAAAAACATTTTGGGGATTTGTGGAGGGGATGACAGAAATCTTCAAAGTGATGACCCTGTGCTTGCTTGAAATGATAGTTAGGAGGGATGGATGTGGGGGAAGAGAAGCTGAAATCCTGATTCTTCAACAATTTTAAGGAAAAAAGTGATGAAAACTGACATTAATATGTCACAGTAAAGACTCATATAAGGTGTGGGAATTGAGCATGGGATGGCATAATTAATTTTGTGCCAAATAAACAAAATCAGATCCTTTCTTGAGAATAAATGTTCACACAGATGTGCCTTTATAGAATATGTACTTTTAAAAAACTCCATATATGACATGTTGTATGAGAAGGCCTCTCTTAGATCACTGGTGACCTCTAGTACTTTGGACTAAAACTAATGAAATATTATTTAGGCAGTTTATGTATCATTTCTGGAGTTCTTGACTTAGAGCTAAGGGCGTGTGTAGATACTGATATCCAGCAAGCTGAGCCATTTTCAACTATAATAACCTAATGGGTAAAGCTTCTATAGTAGTCTCCTTCAAACCTGTCAGTAGCAATCACTGGGGTTATTTGTTTACAATGTAGGTTTTTAGACCTCTCCCCTTGAGATTCTGGATAAGGAGGTGACATGGTGGTAGCGGGTGGAAGTCCTGGAAATCTATATTGTAAAGGTCTTCCAAAGTGTTTCTTAACAGGCAAGTCTGATGGATAGTGTTCCTAGAGGTATAATGTTTAGGGATTGCTAACATCCCAGGTAGGCCAATCATTAAAGAGTAGGATTAACTGTAGCACACTAAAGAAGCTTAGAGCCAACCTCTACTCCTTTCTGTCCTCCCGAAATACACATTTAACCCAGAGTACCAAATTCTCAAAGACCCTCTAGGACAATTGAGTCCCATTTGGGATGTCTTTTGCTCTCATGCAGCATGTGTTTATTCAGTCAACATATATTTATTGATGAGCCATTATATGTCAGGCACTATGCATTAGAGATGCAAAAATGTACAAGGTAGACAAAATTCCTGACCTCATAATACTCACATTTTATTTATTTATTTTTGATATGTATTATAGATATTGGAGTTATCCAATACAAGTTTTATTCAGGCAAGTATATATATATTATATATTATATATTTATACTAATATAATATATAATATAATAATATTTATACTATTTATTAATTTATAATATAATTTATATGTATTAATTTATAATACATATAAATTATATCCAAATTTATACAATAATTTAAAATATAATTTATTAATATAAATATAACAATTATATCATAATATAATAATATATAATATATATTATATATATTAGCAGAGTCTTTTAAAGTTTATTTCAATAATTTTGGGGAACAAGTGGTTTTTTGGTTACATGAATAAATTCTTTGATGGCGATTTCTGAGAGATTTTGGTGCACTCATCATGCAAGCAGTGTACACTGTACCCACTATGTAGTTTTTTTTTTTTGAGACAGAGTCTCCTTCTGTCGCCCAGGCTGGAGTGCAGTGGCGCAATCTCAGCTCACTGCAATCTCCGCCTCCCGGGTTCAAGCGATTCTCCTGCCTCAGCCTCCTGAGTAGCTGGGACTACAGATGCCCGCCACCATGCCCGGCTAATTTTTTTGTATTTTTAGTAGAGATGGGGTTTCACCGTCTTAGCCATGCTGGTCTCGATCTCCTGACCTCATGATCCACCTGCCTCAGCCTCCCAAAGTGCTGGGATTACAGGTGTGAGCCACCGTGCCCGGCATATGTAGTCTTTTATCCCTCATCCCCATTCCACCCTTCCCCCTGAGTCCCCAAAGTCCATTATATCATTCTTATGCCTTTGCTTTTTCATAGCTTAGCTCCCACTTTCAAGTGAGAACATACGATATTTGGTTTTCCATTCCTGAGTTATTACACTTAGAATAATGGGCTCCAACTCCATCCAATTTGCTATGAATGTCATTATTTCATTCCTTTTTATGGTTGAGTAGTATTCCATGATGTATATATACCACAATTTTTTTTTTTTTTTTTTTTTTGAGATGGAGTTTCGCTCTTGTTGGCCAGGCTGGAGTGCAATGACATGATCTTGGCTCACTGCAACATCTACCTCCCAGGTTCAAGCAATTCTCCTGCCTCTGCCTCCTGAAATACTCACATTTTAATAGGGCAAGGGATATTTCTATTAGACATCCAAGTTGAGATGTCAAGTAGACAGTTGTCAACTAGGAATTTGGACTTTATGGGAGATATTAAAGCTGGAGAAATACAGACATGGAAGTCATTGCTTTAGTGCTGGTATTTAGAGTCAGAAGACTGGGTGAGATCACCAAAAAGCATAATTAAAGCAGAAAAGAAGTCACCTGACTAGGCTCTAGGATATTCCAGGGCTAACCCTAGAAAAGAGCAGGAATATTTCTTCCATGATACATATACAGACAGTTGTTGAATCTCTTGTTGTGAAAGTGAGATCATGCCGATCTGACTTATTGTGATACATACACACATACCCCTTTATACCTAGAGAGCAATTAGAGCCTAGGGTCCAGGTGAAAGATAATGTGCTGAGTTTCTGATGGTAGGTGTGGAGAGAATGGAACAATGTAAGAAATATGAAAACTCAGCAGGATTTGATGTTTTACTAGATGTGGATGATAAAAGCATAAAGAGCAGTCCCAAGGTATTTGGGAAGATGCATGGAATTGGCTTTGGAGCCAGAAGACCTAGGTTCAAAGCTTGTTGCATCTCTTATTAGCTGGGTGGTCTTGGAAAAGTAATTTAACCTCTCTGAGCTCTGAAAGTTCTTTAATCTGTAAAAATGAGATTATTATCCTTGTTTTGTAGGCTTGATACAAGGAACAGCAGTAATAATGTATATAAAGGGTTTAGCACAGTGCCTACATTTGGTAAATTTTTAAATAAATAAAGGCAGCTCATATGGTAGTATTTCACCAGTCTCCTCTCCTCCCATCTTTGAGCTTTCATACATGGTATTTTCATTCTCTAGAATTCTCTTCCTCTTACTTTACTGCCTCTTCCTCTCCCTACTCCACTTTTTAAAAACATATTCATGTTTTAGGTTAAGCACCACCTCCTCTAAGAAGCCTTCCTTTGACCCCCTCCCTGGACCAGACTAGGTTTCCCCTAGCACTGTGAATTTATCTTTAATATGGAGTGGTAATCATACTATGTTGTATTTGCCAACTGACTGAACTCCTTGAAGGCAGGGTCTGGAATGAGATGGAGTCTCATTCCAGTGCCCAGGCTGGAGTGCAGTGGTGCAATCTCATGTCACTGCAACCTCCACCTCTTGGGTTCAAGCAGTTCTACTGCTTCAGCCTCCCAAGTAGCTGGGATTATAGTCGTGAGCCACCATCCTTGGCTAAATTTTGTATTTTTGGTAGAGATGGTGTTTCACCATGTTGGCCAGGCTGATCTTGAACTCCTGACCTCAGGTGATCCGCCCGCCTCAGCCTCCCAAAGTGCTGGGATTACAGGCGTGAGCCACTATGCCCAGCCTGTTTCTTGTTCATTATATTTACAAGAATATCTAGTATTTAGGTATGTCTTCTGTGAATAGAGAACAATGCAATGCATGATATTCATTTTTTATTATGATGACTGCATAGATAATATGCCATTAATAAGATTGAGAATTCAGGAGGAAGAATATGTTTGGGGATGAAGATAATGATTTTGCTTTTGGACATGCTGAGTTCAAGATACCTATCAGACATAAGAAAGTAAATGTCCTATAGGCAATTAGATACATGGGTATGAAGTATAGGGAAGTTCCAGGGCTAGAGATAAAGAGTTGAAAGGTATCAGCTTGCTGATAATAGTTTTAAGCTATGAAAAATACATTTCCCAAGGTTAACTTTTAGAGCAGTGATTCCCAACTTCTTTTCTTCCCCAGAATTCTGATGGATATGAGGTACTCACTGTGTAACTGTGGTTCAATGTCTCAATGACTCTGAAGCAAAGGCAAGCAAAAGGAGCATGTTTCCCAGGGAAGGCCGATTATCAGAATGATTGTGGGGTGCTAAGGAGGGCCACTGCTATGAAAAGAGTACACAGTTTAGAACAGAGCCAGGGCACACCACTGTTTGAGATGGCAGAAGGGGAGAGGTACCTATGAAAGAGATCAACAGGGAAATGATCAGAGAAGAAGGAAAAGAGCCTGGAAAGGAGAGTTCTGCTTTTAGCTCTTGGAGGAATTGCCAACACTGCTTTACACAGTGAATACTCCCACCAATAGTGTATAAGCATTTCCTTTTTTCTGCAACCTTGCCAGCATCTGGTTTTTGTTTTGTTTTGTTTTGTTTTGTTTTTTCTTTTCTTTTCTTTTTTTAACTTTTTACTAATAGCCATTCTGACTGGTGTGAGATGGTATCTCATTGTGGTTTTGATTTGCATTTCTCTAATCATCAGTGATATTGAGCTTTTTTTCATATGCTTGTTGACTGCATGTATGTCTTCTTTTGAAAAGTCTCTGTTCCTGTCCTTTGCCCATTTTTTAATTGGGTTTTGTTTTTCTCTTGTAAATTTAAGTTTCTTATAGATGCTACATATTATACCTTTGTCAGATGCATAGTTTGCAAATATTTTCTCCTATTCTGTAGGTTGTCTGTACTCTGTTGATAGTTTCTTTTGCTGTGCAGAAGCTCATAAGTTCAATTAGATCCTACTAGTCAATTTTTGCTTTTGTTGCGATTGCTTTTGGTGTCCTCGTCATGAAATCTTTGCCCATTTCTATGTCCAGGATGGTATTGCCTAGGTTGTCTCCAGGGTTTTTATAGTTTGGGGTTTATATTTAAGTCTTTAATCCATCCTGAGTTGATTTTTGTGTATGGTGCAAGGAAGGTGTCTAGCTTCAGTCTTTTGCATATGGCTAGCCAGTTATCCCAGCACCATTTACTGAATAGGAAGTCTTTTCCCCATTGCTTGTTTTTGTCAGCTTTGTCGAAGATCAGATGGTTGTAGGTGTGCAACCTTATTTCAGGGCTCTCTATTCTATTCCATTGGTCTGTGTGCTGGGTATATACTCAGAGGAATATAAATCATTCTACCCTAAAGACACATGCATGCGAATGTTCATTGTAGCACTATTCACAATAGCAAAGACATAGAGTCAACCTAAATGCCCATCAGTGACAGACTGGATAAAGAAAATGTGGTACATATACACCATAGAATACTATGCAGCCATAAAAAAGAGTGAGATCATGTCTTTTGTGGGAACAAGGATGGAGCTGGAAGCCATTATCCTTAGCAAACTAATGCAGGAACAGAAAACCAAATACCACATGTTGTCACTTATAAGTGGAAGCTAAGTGATGAGAACTTATGAACACAAAGAAGGAAACAACAGACACTGGGGTCTACTTGAGGGAGGAGGGTAGGAGGAGGGAGAGGAGCAGAAAAGATAACTATTGGGTACTAGGCATAATACATGGGTGATTAATCTATGCAACAAACCCCTGTGACACAAGTTTACCTATGTAACAAACCTTCACATGTACCCCAGAACCTAAAATAAAAGTGTTTGTTTGTTTTTTTAAAAAAGAGTAGTATTCAACCAAACAAGGGAATGAAAACTTTCAAAGACTCAATGTGACAGAAACTTAACTTCTTATAACTCAAGCATAAAGGCTTATGTAGCTAGAAAATCTGCATATTTAGCCTGGCCTAGCTTTAGGCATAGCTAAATCTAGGAAGCTGAAACTTTCAGATCCCTGCTGCCTTCTTTGCATAGGCTTCAGAGGAAGAAAGACCTTCCCTATCCTAGTGTCCATATATCTTTTTTTTGTTTTTTGTTTTGGTTTTTGCACACAGGATCTTGCTCTGTTACTCAGGCTGGAGTGCATGGTGTGATCACGGGTCACTGCAGCCTCTACCTCCTAGGCTCAAGTGATCAGCCTCCCAAGTAGCTGAGATGATAGATGTGTGCCACCATGCCCAGCTAATTCTTTTTATTTTTTGTAGAGATGGAGTCTCACTGTGTTGCCTAGGCTGGTCTCAAACTCCTGGGCTTATGTTGTCCTCCCACCTTGGCCTTCCAAAATGTTGGGATTACAGGTGTGCACCACCACACCTGGCCTCGTAGTGTTGGTATATCCGATTGACCTTTCCTGGATCAGATGAACTTCCCTGAACCAATTTCTATAGCCAGAAATTAGATGAGATTTAGCGAGAGAGGCAGTGAAGCCTGAACCCTGAAACCAAGTTTAATTCAAGTCCCTCCTCTGCTACTTACTGTGTAACCTTGCCAAATTATATACTCCCTGTGTCTCAGTTTCCTTAACTTTAAAATAAGAGAAATCATAGTACTTATCACATAGGTCATTTCTTTAAATGAGATAATACATACAAAGTGTACAGAACAGTGTCTGGCACATAGTAAATTATCAATAAATCTTAGCCGCCATGATGATCATAATGATAACAATAGTGGTAGTGCTGGTCATAGTGATGAAGAAGAAACAAGAGCAGCAGCTACCACTTGTTATAGGGGTAGGGTTAGGAGAGGGTCAGCTACATGGAATAGATTCCCCACAGGAAATAGGGATTCTGTTATCAAAAGAAGAGAAAGAGATAAAGGGTTGGAAAGATAAATTATAGCTACCAATAGTCCTCTGTAATCACATCCAGTAGTTTGAGAGCTGAAGAGTATCTCGTAGGTTTGCCAGTAAGGAGATGTTGCTGACTTGTGAGAGCAGTTTGGTGGAGTGGGGCTGGGGAGCATGAAAGGATGATATCTTCTCTTTGTGACTCATCTGCGTATAACGATTTTGATGGATTTTCTGGGAATTAATAGTCTTTGGTTAGTAGCCATTTGCCTTGTGGGCAGAGCTCCAAGATAGTTTGCCGTTAAAAAAAAAAATCCTCATAAAGGCTTAAACAGGGTTCAAACAGATCTAATCGTCATATCATTTGGCACATTGTGGTACCTGATTCCATCTAAATTGTTTTCCCCTAACAATCCTTAGTCCACATTTCTGCTTTCTCTCCTTGTTAAGAATAGATGGCAGGTCAACATTCTTGCCTACTCCTGCAAGAGCATCTTGAAGGAATGAAAGGCAATTATACTTCTGCTGCAAAGGAGCATTTTCCACATGTTATGCTAACAGTTATGAAAATAGCTAGTTATTGGATTAGTTAGTGAGGTGTGATTGTCAGTTTTCATCAGGTTCTCATTACTGGTAATGTTGCCCAGACCTACATTTTTTCTCTGAATATGCTTCTGCCTTTTCTGTGTCTAGCTTACTTGTTTACAAAATGTTTTCAGAGAGAAAGTCTAATTCAGGGTTAACAAAGTTCTGCTAAGTCACCCCAAGATTATCTGGGCTAAAAACTTCTTAGTTTTTACAGAGTACAGTTGTGGAAAACAGCTCTTAAGAGTTTCTGGGTTAATCTAGAATGATTTCCTAAAAGAAAAGTTTTAGAAGAATTATTAAAGGAATTTTTTCCTGCCAGCTCTCCCCTCCCAAATTACAGCAGCACCCACAGACAAATATCACAAATAAAACAAAACTATATAACAGATAAATATGAAGAAAGAATGAGGAACTGAGAACTCTAGCCTCCAACTTTACCATTAATAAAAGCACATTACAGTGTTCCAGACTTGCTCTGTGAATAAGCTGTTCTCAGCTATGTATTTACGTTAGTTCCTTAAGTTCCTTCCAGAATTTATTTCCTAAAAATATTGGGGCTTTTATTGTTACTGCAACCCACAACTGACCTTTCAGGAATAAATTAGATTTAGATAGTGATTATTAGAAAGCTATTTCAAAATAGACAATTAACATGCATAAGAAAAAGTGTGTAACCTTACTGGTGTTCGAAACTATAATTAAAATTATAATGAGGTATCTTTTTTTTTTTTTGAGACAGAGTCTTGCTCTGCCACCCAGGCTGGAGTGTCATGGCGTGATCTCGGCTCACTGCAACCTCCGCCTCCCAGGTTTGAGCAGTTCTCCTGCCTCAGCCTCTCAAGTAGCTGGGATTACAGGCGACCACTATCATGCCCCTCTAATTTTGGTATTTTCGGTAGAGATGGGGTTTCATCATGTTGGCCAGGCTGGTCCTGAACTCCTGACCTCAGGTGATCTGCCTGCGTCAGCCTCCGAAAGTGCTGGGATTACAGGCGTGAGCCACTGCACCCAGCCAAAGTAACATTTTTTTACCAGTCATGATAGGCAAAGACTTTGAAAAGATAATGCCCAATTTAGCCAAGAATGTGGTGAAATGGGCCTTCCCATATTTTACTGTTGGGAATGCAAATTAGTCATTATTTTCTGAGGAGCAAATGGCTAGATTGACAAAAGTCCCAAATTGACCCAGAATAGCCCCCTATGAAAATGTATCTCTGGGAAACAGTTCTAAATATGGGAAGGAGGGGGATTTTATGCACAGAAATTGTTATCACAAGGTATGTTATATATAGGCAGCTCTGTAAATATTCATTCTACAAATACTTGAGTACCTACTATATGGAAGGCTATTAGGCACTATTGAACAAAACAGATTTAGCTCGTTTAGCTATTTATAATAGTGGAAATATTGGAAACAGCCTACTGTCCAGTATTCTGGCAGTGGTTAAGTATACTATGATTTATCCATCTAATGGAACACTATGAATCATAGTTTGCTTTACCATTCCCCACCAGCTAGCCATTTAGGGGTGTTTCCTTAAAATAGAGTGGATTATAAGGCAGCCATTTAAAAGTGAGTTACAAAGATAGTATAGTAACTTGGATAAATGCTTACAGTATAGTATTACTAAATGAAGTAGATACACAATTGTATATGTCATCTGATTACAACCATAAGGATGTAGCAGGCCCAGGTAAAGAGACCAGGGAGAAAGTGAGCAAAGTGTTAGCAGTGGTTGTATTTCTGTGATGAGACTAAATGTGACTTTTTTTCTGCTTTTCTTTATTTCCCAAATTTTCTTTAATGAGGCCTTGTTATTTGTGTAATTTTTCCCCCCTTAAATGCTTTGGTAACACACTTAGAAAAAGTTTGCATGAAAGTGAAGACTGCTCAGTGGCTATTTCGTGAACTGAGTGGGAATTTTGTCAGAGAACTTTATCCCTCTCTTTTGACTGATTGGCTATTTCAGCTCTGGTGGAAGTATGCAATAGTGGATAGAAATCTGCTGGACACTCACCCTTAATATAGTCTGTCTATACATATATAGCAGCGTTGATGCAATACACTGTGCCTCACAAATAGCAATGTAGATGATAAGATGCTTTTTGTTGTTTTTTTAGAAAACAGTATGTCTTTAGTATGTTATTTGAAGACTCGGGATTATGGCTAGCTGTGTGCCAACTTTCCATCCTTCAGACCTATAAAATCTGAATCAGTTTGGTTTTTTACTGCATTGTGGTGAAATTAAACAATTCACATAAATTTTTATTGTGGCTGATAGTCAAGGCTCTAGGAAGCTCTGAGATTTAATCTTGAGTTTTCCTTGCCACTTCAACCCAATTAAAAAATTTTTTTTTTTCTTTTTCTTTTGAGACGGGGTCTCACTCTGTCACCCGGGCTGGAGTGCAGTTGTGTGATCTTGGCTCACTGCAGTCTCCGCCTCTAGAGTTCAAGCAATTCTCATGCCTCCACCTCCTGAGTAGCTGGGAGTATAGGTGTTCACCACTACACCCAGCTAATTTTTTTTTTCTGTATTTTTAGTAAAGATGGGCTTTTGCTATGTTGGCCAGGCTGATCTCAAGCTCCTGGCCTCAAGTGATCCGCCCACCTCTGCCTCCCAAAGTGCTGGGATTACAGGCGTGAACCACTGTGCCTGGCCTCAATTTAAAAATTATTAATCCACTCTTAACTTCCATTTAGTGGAACTCCAATTTTATTCTTTCTTTTCTCATTGTCTTCCCTACATTTCTGTTCACATGAAATTTCTAATTGTACAGACTTTGCAGTGTGCAGAGTCAAATCTCTCATATCCTGTAACTTTGCTGCATGCTCCTTAGTTTTTTCTTTATCTACACATATATCTGGTCAGTTTGATACATTTTTTTCTTTTTTGGTCTTCTCAGCTATTAGAAACAGACATGTTTGTAGAAAAGAACTCTTACCATTTGTTGCGTCTGGGACTTGTGTGGAGGGTTTTTGTTTTGGTCTGGGTTGGTTTGCTTTTTCTATTTAAAACTTAGATTGTGTGTACACCCACACAGAAACTTCATCCAGCTACCAGGCTATTCCTTTGTAGAGTGGTGATCAAACAAAAATATGCATCTGGTGATTCTTTCATTTGATTTGAAAACTGATTTCAGAAACACATTATTTTCTTCTTTTACCTGGCAGATTATTTCTGAGCAAGCTGAAGAATGGAGGACTCAGCCTACTTATAAAGTACCAAACTGTTAAGGTCACAGAAAATTATTTCTGGAAGGTACATTAGAAGTTGTTCTAGCCCAACTCTCTTATTTTACAGATGGAAAACCTGGGGCCCAAAAGAGGGCCTGGCTTAGCCTAAGCTGTACAATGACTTAGTGGTAGAAAATGAACTAGAACATTTCTGAATTCCCAGTCCAGCATTCTTTCCACTAAGCTGATGGCTGTCTTCCAGGTGCAGGAGTGCAGGTTGGTACTTATTACAGGACTCTGCTGGCTGCAGTGGCTCTTTCTGGTGCTGTGGAAAGTACCCTCTTCTTTGCTCAGTCTGATTCCATTTATGGGAAGCAGTGGTGGAGTTTGTACATAAGATTTACAGTAAAGTCTGCTGCTGTCCCAAGTTTCTTAACCTTTTTAAAGTCATCTTCCTTCCATTTCTGATTTCCTAGTACATCTATTATTTATTTCAATGTAAACAAATTCCAAATAATGGAAATTTGTCTCTACTACAGCTTATTCAAGTTTGAACTTTGAGTATATATGCTAATGTTTACAGACTGGTGAGATCAGGAAAATTGAACTGCTGTTATTTCAAAAGTGAAAGCTACTCTGGGACTTCTAGGTCAGGGTGGCAGAGTGAATACTCCTGAATCTTATTCCTCTCATTCAAAAACAGAGAAATTATGCATAAATATTTTTAAAGGTTTTAAAAAATACATAGTTATTCTTAAAAATAAGAAAGAAAAGTCTCTTTGGGCCAGTAATAGAAAAGCCACTATGATGGCAGGGGATCGGGGGGTGCTATGAATGGATATGGGCAATTGGGACCAGGTTTTTTTGCAATGATCCTGTCTGTGCATGAACCCAGGACCCAAGAGCACAATACAAATAGGAGCTGGGCTAATCTAACTTATCCCAGCAGTGTCACAGCCAGGAATAAGCTGCTTGTTCCTGACCAGAAGTAAAGAAGAATTGGCAGTCACAAGCAAGCGCAGGAAACCACTCAAGATAGGACTTGGACCCAAAATACTTTTGGGCTAAAAATTCAGAACTGGGCTACCTAGGAGGAAAGAAGACCCAGAGCTACCAACTTAAGGTCTGGTTCAAGGTTGGCACATTATCAGATTTAAGCTGAGGCAACTTAAAACTGCCCTATAGATACAGGTACTTACATTTTTTAGTTATCATAAAAATTGAGCCCCCAAAACATTACAAAGAACCCAGTAAAACCTAAGATCATGAAAAAGCAGTCAAGAGAACCCAACAAATGAGAGAATTTATACCTGAGAAAAGAAGAACAATCTGGTGAGAGTTTAAAAATAAGTTAAAATTCTCAATATATGTACAGAAGAAGTTAGATTTTACAGAATGAAGAACAGATAATGAAACAAGAAGAGAAAGCTGTGAGAAAGAAGCGTTTAGACATCTTGAAGTGAAAAATATTATAAATACAATATTGAAGTAAAAGAACAGTTAGACTGCACATACTTTCTATAGCTTAAGAGAAAATTACAGAATTAGGAAATAGAACTGAGAAAATCTTTCAGAATGCAGTTTAGAGAGAGTTAGAAGAAAATGAAAGAGAAAGATGGACATGAAAGATGACCTGAGGAGCTCTAACATACATCTGCTAGGAGTTGCAAAGGAGAAAAAAGAATGAATAAAAAAGTGGCAATAATAATAACAATAACTGCAGCTAAGAATTTTTTCAGAAATGAAGCTGAGTCTTCAAAATAGAAAATGCTGCCATATGTAACACAGGATAGATAAATCCACAACTACATACATGATAATAAAATCGTAGGAAATTAATGATAAAGAGAAAATCTGAAATTCTGAATACAAGTATAAGAAAAAATTCTGAATAATGGAATGGTAGTCAAATTGGCAGTAGGCTTTGGCAACAGTAGATACCAGAAAACTGACTAGTATCTTCAAAGTGCTGTAGAAAAATAACTGTGAGCTTCCAGTTTCATACAGTGGTTTATATACAGAGTGGGAGCAAAATAAACACATCTTCAGATACACGAAGCTAAGTTTTCAACTCACAAACTCTTGGTGATAAAAGAACTAAAGGATGTTCTTCAGTAAAGAGAAAAATAAATGCAGAAAGAAGTGGAATACTAAAGCAAAGAGTGTTAAAATATGAGCTAAAGCTAATATGCTTCAAAAGCTAGAACTAAATCTTAGCAATAATAATATGGTATTAAAGATGTAAATGTGTGCTAAAGTCCTTGTTTTGAGTAGAAAAGATACAGATGAATGTTATAGACTTTTAAAAAATATATATTTAAATAAGTATGTTAAATATAAGGGTATCCAGTATAGTAATAGAAATATAGAAATAGAAGGTACAAGTCCTTAATCAGTAGGGGAAAGAGAAAAGATAGGTAATATTTTAAATGCTTTCACTCCATTCAATAGAGGGCAGGAAAGAAGATAAAAAGAAGCAAAGGAAAAACATGGAAATAGGAAATACAAAATAAAATATGTAAGTAGTCATAATATAAATTAATCTACAAAGCCAGAGAGATAGTCAGATTATCCTTCCATATGCTGTTTTCAAAGTAACACTGAAAGATAAAAAAATACAAGTATAAGACAGGAAAAATTTTCTCTTGGTTACCACCAAGTGAAAGCTGGCAGCATGAACATCATTTGAAACATGAACATGTTTTTGCTTTAAAACAGCAAATGACAGAAATATATGTCTCACTTATAAATAAGGAACAATCCATGAAGATGATATAAAATGACTCTAGATACTGAAAATATACTCTCAAAATATATAAAACAAAACCGACAGAATTATCAAGAAATAGCATATCCACAGTCAGTGTTGCAGATTTTAACACACCTCTCTTAGAAACCAGTATATCAAAAAGTCAAAAATACTCAAGAACATAAAGAATTTGAACAGCATAATTAACCAGCTTAATCTAACAGATATATAGCACACATAGGGCGTGTGTATTGTGACCATGCTAAATGAAAAGTCAACATTCACTCATTCATTCAACAAATACTTATTTGTCCAATATTTGCCAGATATTGTTCGAGGTTCTTGGAATCCTTTAGTCAACAGTATAGACAATGATCCTGACCTGTTGAAGTGTACATTCTAGCAGGGAGTAAGATGAAAAGGCAGACAATAAACAACAAACATAATAAAGTATGTGTTAGACACTGATGCAATTTGGAAAAAAAACTAGAAAGGAGAATTGAATAAAGAGGATTGGATGGAGAAAGTACAGGTTGTAATATAAACAGTGGGTCTGAGTATATCTTATTGACAGGTTGAGATTTAAAGAAGCAGAAGGAGTTAGCCACAAAGATATCTGAAGGAAGAACATTTCTTCAGATGTAGTGTAGTGAGGTCCTCTAGCAAGAGGGTACAGCTAGAGCAAAGGCCATATGGTGGGAAAGTACTGACACATGAAATAAATGACAGGTGAGAGTAGCAGGAAAGAGAATCAGATCATCTGAATGCAGAGCGTCATAGGCCTTTGTCATTTACTATGCACAAAATGAGGCGCCATTGCAGGATTTTGAGTAGAGGAGTGATGTGATCTGACTTAAGTTGTTTTTTTGTTTGTTTTTTGTTTTGTTTTGTTTTTTTGAGACGGAGTCTTGCTCTGTTGCCCAGGATGGAGTGCATTGGCGCCATCTCGGCTCACTGCAAGCTCCATCTCCCAGGTTCAAGCGATTCTCCTGCCTCAGCCTCCTGAGTAGCTAGGATTACAGGTGCATGCCACCACGCCCAGCTAATTTTTGTATTTTTAGTAGAGATGGGGTTTTACCATGTTGGTCAGGCTGGTCTCAAACTCCTGACCTTGTGATCTGCCTGCCTCGGCCTCCCAAAGTGCTGGGATTACAGATGTGAGCTACCGTGCCCGGCCAATCTGACTTAAGTTTTAAAAGAATCATTCAAGCTACTCTGTTGAGATTAGACTTCAGACAAAGGTAGCAGCTGAGCAGCTATTTCAGTAATCCAGGCAAGAAATGATGACAGGGGCTTGGATCACATGGTAGCAATACAGTTGTTGAAAGTTGGTTAGATTCTGGATATATTTGAAGGTAGAGCCAACATTTCCTGGAAGGGCTTGTGGGATGTGACAGAAAGAGGGAGGAATTTTAGATGATTCCAAGGTTTTTGACCTAAGCAACTGATAGGATAGAGTTGCCATCAACTGACATGGGGTAGGCTACAAATGAAGCAGGTTGGGGAAGAAAACTAGGAAGCCAATCTTATTTATTTATTTATTTTTCCCATAGATTTTGGGGGAACAGGTAATCTTTGGTTATATGAATAAGTTCTTTAGTGTGATTTCTGAGATTTTGGTGCACCCATCATCCAAGCAGTGTACACTGTACCCAATGTGTAGTCTTTTATTCCTTACCCCCCTCTCACGCTTTCCCCTGAGTCCCCAAAGTCCATTGTATCACTGACACCTTTTCGTCCTCATAGCTTAGCTCCCTCTTATGAGTGAGAACATATAATGTTTGGTTTTCAGTTCCTGAGTTACTTCACTTAGAATAATGGTCTCCAATTCCATCCAAGTCACTGCAAATGCCATTATTTCATTCCTTTTTATGGCTGAGTAGTATTCCATGTTGTGTGTATATATATACCACAATTTCTTTATCCACTCATTGATTGATGGGCATTTGGGCTGGTTCCAAATTTTTGCAATTGCAGATTGTGCTGCTGTAAACATGCATGTGCAAGTATTTTTTTCGTATAATGACTTCTTAGGAATCCAATTTTATTTTTTTATTTTTTGGACAGAGTCTCACTCTGTCACCCAGGTTGGAGTGCGGTGACGCGATCTTGGCTCACTGCAACCTCTGCCTCCTGGGTTCAAAGTGATTCTCCTGCCTCAGCCTCCCGAATAGCTGGGATTACAGGTGTCCGCCACCACACCCGGCTAATTTTTGTATTTTTAGTGGAGTCGGGGTTTCACTGTGTTAGCCAGGCTGGTCTAGAACTCCTGACCTCAAGTGATCTTCCCACCTTGGCTTCCCAAAGTGCTGGGATTACAGGTGTGAGCCACCACACGTGGCCAGAATCCAGTTTTAGATATGTTGGTTTGAGATACCTGTTAGATTTCCAACTGGAAATTTTGGCAGTTTGGTTATACAGATCTGCCAAAATGCTGTGGAGTATTTAGATGATATTTAAAGCAATGAGACTGTATCAAATAACAGAAAGAAAATATAGAAAAGGGAAGAGGGCCCAAGAAGTATCTGGTGTCCTTTCCAGTGTGAGTGAAAAAAAAAAATGTATCATGAAAGAGGTAGTTGTCAACAGTGTTAAATGTTGCTGATAGGGTCATATAAGATGAAGACTAAGAACTGACCATTGATTTTGATAACATTATGACCTTGATAAGAGTGGTTTTGTTCGAATAGTGGGACAGAAAGCCTGACTGAAGTAATTTTAAGCCACATTGAGAAGAGAGGAATTGAAAACATTGAGAAAAGCTTTTTTTTTTTTTCTTTTTTTTTTTTTAGAGAGAAGTTTTTCAGGAAGGGGGGTTAGCAAGGAAATGGAGTGGCAGCTTTTGGGGAGAGTCAAGAAAAGGATGTTTTTTGTTTTGAGATGGAGTCTTGCTCTGTTGCCCAGGCTGGAGTGGTGCAATGGTGCAATCTTGGCTTACTGCAGCCTACGCCTCCCAGGTTCAAGTGATTCTCCTGCCTCAGCCTCCCGAGTAGCTGTGATTACAGGTGCCCGCCACCACACCTTGCTAATATTTTGTAGTTTTAGTAGAGACGGGCTTTCGCCATGTTGACCAGGCTGGTCTCAAACTCCTGGCCTCAGGTGATCCGCCTTGGCCTCCCAGAGTGCTGGGATCACAGGCGTGAGCTGCCACACCCATCCAGAAAAGGGTGTTTTTTAAGCTACATGTTTGCTTGTGAGAATGATCCCAATGGAGAACAACAACAACAACAAAAAGATGATGTGGGAGGAAGAATGGAGAACTGCTGTAATGAGGTCCTTGAGTAGGGTCTAGGGTACAAGTTGAAGGATTTGACTTCAAATAGAAGCATGTTAGATTCATCAATGGTAACAAGTGAGGAGATGATAAATGGTGGTTAAATGTGGTAATAGTTTGTGGAAGTTCTTTTCTGATTGCTTCAGTTTTCTTAGTGAAATAGAAAGCAAGACCAGCAGCCAAGAAAGAACGTGAGGAAGGAGGTGTTGGGTGTTTGAGTTAAAAGGGAAAGGGGTAAAGTATTTATCTAGGAAAGTAAATGGACTAGGGAAGTATCTGTGTGTGCATTATAGTCCACTAAAGGTTCAAAGTAATGAATTTAAATTGAGACCAATGAGCATGGTTGTATGTTTTTTTCCAGCCACATTTAGTTGCACAGGTGCGGGTGTGGAGTAGGCAGAAAATTGGATTTAAACAAGGTTATAGTTTTGCCAAGCACTATGAAGGGAGAGAGGGGAGAGTGATGATAATAATGATAAATCATGGAATGTAAGCTCGATAAAGAGGAGAGTGAAGGGACATCAAGAGCATGAGAGACAGTGGAGATTTCATGAGGTTGAACAATGAACAATAGTTCAGGATCACCCTAGTAGAAAGAATAAGCTGGAAAGATACGATGTGGAGATACAGAATTGAGATTATGGAGGGGTTATAGTTTTTTGTAATGGCAACAAAAAGTTAGCTGAAGAAGAAAAGAATACTTCTGAAAAGTATAAACTTCCTTGTAGATACTGCATGGGTAAGGAGGTAATTATAATGAGAATTACAAAATAGTTAGAGCTGAACAACAATGAAATTACTTCACATTAGATCTTGTAGAGTAGCTAAAGAGAGAAAACTGTAACCTTAAATACATGTTTAAGGTTAAAAAATTAGAAAAAGTGAAAATAAATGAGCTAAGCTTTCAACTCAAGAAGTTGAAAACAGAGTAAGCCCAAAGTAAGTAGAAGGAATGAAATAAAATAAAGATAAAAGCAGAAATTAATGAACAGAAAACAGAATAGCAGTAGAAATAGTGTTAATACCAGAAGCTGATTCTTTGAAAAGATAGAAAATTCAATAAGCCTTTTTATTTTCCAATGTCCACCTTGACTGCAGTGTTCTAGGACTTCTCAAAGGCATCTTACATGCTAGTCTGGGGCCTGGGATGCAAACAAAAACAGATCAGAGGCAGTTATTTTGGCAACAATAGGGAGAGAGAAGAGTCTTCAAGGTCCCTTAAAGCAACACATAGAACAATTGAGCTGCATACATAACCAGGGCATCTACTTTTTCCAGCTGCTGCACACTGAGCCCCATCAGGGAGGGTAAAATGCAGTAAACCTTTCAAAAGCTGATCTAGAGAAAAACTATAGGTGAAAACAAATAGTATTTGGAAGAGAAATAGGGACAAAATTAAGATAAACATATTTAAAATATAAGATTATTTTGAGCAACTTTATGACAATAAGCTTGAAAACTTAGTTTAAGTGGACACTCTTCTGGGAAAATATAAAATATCAAAATGACTTAGGAAGAAATGGCAAAACAAAGAAGTCCCGTAACCTTTAAAGAAATTTAATCATACTTAACCACCACCTCCCCAACCTCCTGCCCAAAACACCAAGCCTAGAGTAATTTGGGGGATGAATTCTATCAAACTGTCAAGGAACAAGTATAATAATACTTGCCTTACATAAACTGTTTCAGAAAATAAAAAGAAGGAAGCGAGAATCTACACTAGATTGTTTTGCCTCCAACTTGTTTAGTAACAACAAAAAGAGGCTAAGAATTGAGGCAAAGAAAAACCAAAATAAAGTCTGAATACTTCCCACAAACAGCACTAGAAAAAGACATCTGATTATACCTAGGTGGTACAGGTTTTAAGGATTGGACCTTTGACTTTGTGCTCATCCTTCTGTGTGGACCAGCTTTGCTCTTTGATTCCAGTTATTTTAATTCCAGTTGTAATGATGGGTTTTGGACACTCTCAGTCGGTATTATGACCAACAGCATGTATCCGTAAGATAGCTAGGTCACTAATAGTCTGTGGCATGGAAAAAAATTTGTTTTGTTTTAATATGGTGCTAACTAAGCATATAGAGATTGACTCTGTAACTTTAACTCCAGTAACACACTGTTATCACCACGCAAATTGACCAGCCTAGTTAGTAACATCATATGCAATATCATACAAACTACGTAGAACCATGCCTGGGGCACTCATCTGTTAGCTCTTACATGCCCTTTGTGCTCAAAGAGAACAATTTGTGGTTGTTGTATGCCAGTCAATTCAGTCATCATGGAGCTTAGTTGTTTACTGTATTGCATGCTAAGCAGTAGACTCTAGGAATCTAATAAATTTGATTCTCACATTGGTCCTGTTTGCCACAAACATTGCCATGCCTCAAGAACCTCACAAGTTTGTTTTTCTTAGAACAGTGCATATGTAGTTCTCATACTCTGCAAGTGTTTGCCTCAGCATAATTGTGTTTATGTGGAATTGCACTGGCATTGCAATGTGAGAATGACAGAGTTGACAGGACCACTAACATGTACCCTGGGAATTGTTTCCCCCATCCCCATAGCTGGCTGAAGAAACTTTATTTCTGAGTTATTATGTAGGGACTGAAAGGTTTTTTTTTTGTTTTTGTTTTTGTTTTTTTTTACATATATACACAGATTGTTTTTTACCTACAATGAGCAAAAATAATCTGGACAAAAAAATAATGCTCTCCCTGTTTTTTCTTTCAAATGTATACATATATTTGAAATCTTAGGCATAGGGAAAAACTTTTATGTCATCTTCAGAGCTACAGCCATATTTTTTAGCTAGAACCAACTCTTAAATCTCTCCCGACAGAACCTTAAGGAAGGGGACAAAGTGATCTCCAATGGAAATGTGAAAGGCATAAAAAGGAAAAGTTAGATATCTGGAGGATTCAGATGACACAAAGAAAATAAGTTGAAGATAAAGGAAATGAGAGGGTAAACCTAGTAGTACAATGGCATCTTTCATCTTCAACTATTTTAAAGTATTTTTACCTGAGAACGTGAAGATAAAGTGTATATAGATGGCACGTAGACAACTAATAAATGAATAAACATTTACATTGCATATGTCAGAAGTATCTGCAAAGCAAAAAGGGTGCATGCCAGTTCATTGTTGATAAGGAAGAGTCTTTCATATACTCTTCCAGGATCTATGTTATTATTGAAAAAAAAAAAAAAAGAAGTTAGATGTTAAGTTTGGGAGTATTTTTAGTAAACCCAGATGAAGAGAGCAGCCTTTATTTCTGGATCAACTGCAAATTCACAACTATGAAGACTAGTTGAAATATTTAAATTTCTAGATGAATCATACATAGATTGCTTTTCGTAGGGCCTTTTCCTTAAAACTCTGCAGTTAACTAAAAGTGGGAAATAATTATTTTTCTTAACACCTGATGGACCATTCAGCCTCATTTATAGGCTCTAAAGAAAACTAACAAAATATTTTAAAAAATCAAGTTGATGACAATTTAAAAACTTACATAGAATTTCTGAACCTTCTTTAAGTTATAGGTTACATTTTCAAGAAACTGATCGTTATCAAACTTGTGAGCTGAAATTTAAGTGTGTTGCTACCAGGCAGTAATACGTTTTGCCTGGCATACAGATTATAAGCACAACTTAACTATCACAGATATCTTTGAGAACTAAATGGATTTATTTATTTTAAAAGTTATTCTAAAATTAATTCTGTACCTTTCTCCTCTGTACCTTTCTCCTTAAGTTTTCAAAACACCTTTCTTGACATATAATTTCTGTACAACTGCACATATTTAAATTGTAATATCTGATGAATTTGAGGAAACTATCTCCCTAATTCTCCCTAACTCTTAACTGTACTAAATATTTATAGTCTTAACAAAAATTTCAGATAAATCATATGCTTTAAAGCTACTTATTCAGTGTTTAACTGACACTATATAGAGCCCTTTTGCTACTTTTAAGCTAATCAAAAAAGATATAATATACCCTGTTAGTGCTTCTGATCAGTTCAAGCATTTTTTTTTTTCTCATCAAGGTGCTGTGAGCATTTGGCAGGGTAATTCTTCACTATGTGGGTCTGTTTCTAGAATAGCAAGCATTCAGCATCCCTGAGCCTGGCATTTGAAATGCCAGTAGCACCCTCCAATCATTGTGACAATCAGTGTCCCCACATATTTTCAAAAGCTCTTGTGGTAAGTGTTGCCCCTTCCCCTCCCCGTGACAAACCTGCCCCTTATACCTTTACTGATGTTTCTAGCCTATGTGGCCTACAAAAAAAGTGTGAAGGGGGAAAAGCTATGTTGTTCACATTAAAAAGAGATAGGTTTTCATTTCTGCTTTTTGTAAGCCATTGCTAAAGTTAAATTTAATTGCAAAATACTAAACTCTTGAACCAATTCTAGGACAGGTTTGCAGAATGATTTTCTTAAAGGACCTTTATAATCTATTACCCTGAAATGAATTTCTGAGACTTAACATTCGTAACACTAGGGCATGATTAAATATATGGGAGCAAGATTGGGAACATTTTGTCAGCTAGTAAAGTTATTGTGAGCTCCATGCTGTGCAACTTGTATATCCTGTCTTGCTTTGCCTCTCTGTTGCTGCCTTGTACTCCAAAATAGCACCATCTCTTCTCCCTACTCCCAGCAACCCACTAGACTATGCAGAAGCCATTAGTGGATATATTTTGTTGGTCTGATTTTTAGCTTTTTTGCTTGTTCACAAAGAACATGTGTCAAAGGCCCTTTATTACACTGAAAGAATTGCGTGACTTTTCTCTGTTCTGCATTTTCTTACATGTGGAATTAAGGCTGACTCTTTACTCTAAAATGATTCATTTTGTGGTAAAGTCCCTAATATGTCTCCCTCACTCAGGAGCATCTGTGCAGGAGTCAACATTAAATGTGAGTTATCATTATTGATCTTCTCCATCACCCCCAAAAGGGGAGGATTTTCACATCGCATAAATTAAACAGGATTGAGATGGAAAAATCAGAAGAAGAAGAAGTGACAAAGAACCTCCTGTTTCCTTTAGAACTTATTTCCTGCCCCCAAGTAATATTTTTGGCCCTTCTAAGTACCCAGTAATAAAACGTCGCTATAAAAGCATAGAATAGTAAATGAAGCTGTTATGAATTCTAGACTATCTTCCAACTTGGCTGTGTGCTGTTGATGGTCTCCTTTAAAAATAAATTGTTTGTTTAGTATGAGATCAAAAATTATTTATATAAAAATATATGGAAGAGTAGGGCTTGATATTTTTTAACAGTATGGAGATCTTTTTAGTGATACAAATTTTGAGATTTCCTATAATCTCTTTGAAGACACGAATCATGTCTTACAGTACTTTGTATATCCCTATCCCTAATAGTACCTTGCATAGAATAAGAACTTAATAGTTGTTAGTTGATGGAAGAAAAGTATCAGTTGAAAATAAAAATAAAAATATTTTCTTTGGATCTTATATTCATAAATGGACTGAAAATGACTGCCCTGTTCCAAAAGGAGGAACAGAGATCTTAAACTATACTTCTTAACTGGTAATACTTGACTCATCACCTTCTTGCCTAAATCTGAACTAAAATACTGTATATTGTATCTACTCAGAAGTTTATAAACTAACCTACCAAAAAATTGATTTGAGGACGAGGCAGAGACATTTTTGAAAGACTAGGTAATTTCCACCTAACTGTTGATCTCCTTTGGGCCTTAAAGGACCTTGTGGTTTTGTTACTAGAAAAGCAGTCCGATCTGGACCCCAAGAAAGGGTTCTTAGATCTCACGCAAGAAAGAATTCAGGGCAAGTCCATACAGTAAAGTGAAAGCAAGTTTATTTAGAAAGTGAAGGAATAAAAGAATGACTCCATAGACAGAGCAGCCCCAAGGGCTGCTGGTTTTATGGTTACTTCTTGATTATATGCTAAACAAGGGGTGGATTATTCATGAGTTTTCCAGGAAAGAGGTGGGCAATTTCCAGAACTGAGGGTTCCTCCCCATTTTAGACCATATAGGGCAACTTCCTGATGTTGCCATGACATTTGTAAACTGTCGTGTCACTGGTGGGAGTGTCTCTTAGCATGCTGATATTTTATAATTAGTGTATAATGAGTCATGAGGACGAACAGAGGTCACTCTCATTGCCATCTTGGTTTTGGTGGGTTTTGGCTGGCTTCTTTATCGCAGCCTGTTTTATCAGCAAGGTCTTTGTGACCTGTATCTTGTGCTGACCTCCTGTCTCATCCTGTGACTGAGAATGCCTTAACCTCTTGGGAATGCAGCCCAGTAGGTCTCAGCCTTATTTACCCAGCCCGTATTCAAGATAGAGTGCCTCTGGTTCAAACACCTTTGACAAAAACATACCAATACCTTAGTCTACTATGTGTAATGCATTCCAACATTTGCTATTCTGTTTATTCACTTTTTATTGATCTGGTTGTGGCCACTAAATTGATTCATAACCTAATAATGAGCCTCATTGTACCTTCAGCCCAAGTGACTGCCTGTTTCCGTTAGCAAACCCAATTCTTTGGTGAACATATAATCTTAGAGTCCTCTGTAAAGAGAGACTATCTTTCAAAGTTGTCAGGAATTAAAAAAGAAAGTCACTTCCTTGTGCCCCTTTCTCACTGTAGTGAGATGAAAAAACTCTGTTTTTTTTTTAAACACTGTTAAACTTACAGAAATATTTCAAGAATAAAGAATTGCTGTATACCCTTTACCTAGAGATCACATTCACTTTTTTTTTTTTTTTTTTTTTTTTTTGAGCTGGAGTTTCACTCATGTTGCCCAGGCTGGAGTGCAATGTTGCGATCTCGGCTCACCCCAACCTCTGCTTCCCAGGTTCAAATGATTCTCCTGCCTCAGCCTCCCGAGTAGCTGGGATTACAGGCATGTGCCACCACACCCGGCTAATTTTGTATTTTCAGTAGACATGGGGTTTCTCCATGTTGGTCAGGCTGGTCTTGAACTCCCGACCTCAGGTGATCTGCCCGCCTCAGCCTCCCAAAGTGCTGGGATTACAGGCGTGACACATTCACATTTTTACCAGTTGTCCTAATGAAGTCCATGGGAGCAGAAAGATCCAATCCAGGATCACTATACCCAATTTTTGTGTATCTCTAGTTAGACTTTCCTTGACTTATATGACCTTGGTTTTTTGGGGGTATTTTGTTTTGTTTTGTTTTGTTTTGTTTTGTTTTGTTGTTGCCCAGGCTGAAGTGCAGTAGTATGATCTTAGCTCACTGTATCCTCTGCCTCTTGTGCTCAGAGGATCCTCCCACCTCAGCATCTTGAGTAGCTGGGACTACGGTGGGCACCACCATGCCTTGCTAATTTTGGGTTTTTTTGTTTTGTTTTGTTTTGTTTTGTTTTTTTGGTAGAGACGGGGTTTTATGACATTGCCCAGGCTAATCTTGAACCCCTGGGCTCAAGAGATTTGCTCTCCTTAGCCTCCCAAAGTGCTGAGATTACGGGCATGAGCCATCACGCCTGGCTGACCTTGATATTTTTGAAGATAGCAGGCCAGTCATATATGTCCCTCAGTTTAGGTTTATTCAGTGTTTTCTCATGATTAGACCCAGCTTATGCATTTTTGGCCACAGTGTCATAGAAGCGATACTGTACTCTTCTCATTTCATGCTGTCAGTTTGTCATGTTACTAGTGGTCTTGTCTTTGAGGACTGGATTGAGATGACGTCTGCCAGGTTTCTCCATGGTAAAGTTAGTTTTTCCTCTTTTGTGATTAATAAATGTTGTCTGATGTGGTACTTTGAGATTGTGTAAACTCCAGTTTCTCCTCTACTTTTACCCACTACTTTGAACATCCATTAATACTTCTTTCTTGGATTGATTTTACAGTCATGGTTGCCAAATGGTAATTTTTCTAACTTTATTACCCCTTCTACATTTATTAGTAGGCATTCTATTGTAAGCAAGAAGCTTTTCTCCTCCTATTTATTTTTTTCATTCATTTATTTATATCAATGTCTACTCATGGGTTCCTAGTCAGTGGGTTATAATTCATTGCTATCATTATTTATTATGATGCTCTTATTATCCCAGGTTTGGCTTTTTAAGCAGGCTTCTGTGTCCTTGTGTCATATCATTTAAGTGTTGTTTGAGGACTTTCTCACCTTCTAGCACAAGAGATCAGGCTCATTTTCTTTCCTTACCCCAGCTCTGGAATTAGCCATTTCTCCAGGGAGCCCTGTTCCTCTTAGTACAAAGTGGCATTTAGAAACAATGATCTGGGCACTAGGTACGCTAAATGCTGCTGGAGTGTTGCTCTTCCCAGGCCCCTTTCAGTGGACAGAGCTAGGAAAGACATACATATGGATGCATTTGCTTACATATACATGTACATTTACATCTTTATTTCTTTATCTATCTATATTGAAAATCATGAGTTCATACCAACATGGGGTTCTTTCTAGCTTTCCCTTTTTTTTTTTTTTTTTGTATTTATGTCTGCCTTCTCTAACAATGAGAAACCTAGTTGCCATTTTCAATATGTTTACTTATTTGCTCAATCCCTTGTGTAAAGCCAATCCCCTAACTAGACCGAAGTAGACCAGGCTACTACCTCACCACTGTACCCTCCTCTTATTGCCAGGGCTCTTTGCCTTCTAAGAAATAAGGAAAGCTGGGAAGAGGGAAGGAGGAAGATAGGTAGAGATAAGTTTTTTCTTAAAGCATTTGAAAAGGAGATTCTATCATCTTTTTCAGTAACCTTTTACATAATCACAAGGAAAATAAATGCATAGAATATAAAAACTGATATTTAAGCTCTTTTTTCAGATTTTCATTTGGATTCTTACATATATTTTATAAATGCACATGCATGTTAACCAAGTATTTTTTTGTGATAATGACCATGTATTGAGCATGACCGCATGCTAGGCACTGTGATGGATGATTATGTGTGTGTGTGTATGTGTGTGTGTGTGTGTGTGTGTGTGTATCCTAAACCATATAACAACTCTGTAAATAAGCATCCTTATCACTGTTTTGGGTGATGAACCAAGTAAGATTCAATGAGGCTGAAGAACTTGATCATATCAGTCAGTTAAGCAGGGGTTAGAATTTCAATCCAGGATATCTGACCTCAAATACACACCCTTCCCAAACCATGTGTACAGCACCATGGTATATTGCTAGCATTGGAAATCATCACTGGGGAGCATTTTATCAAACATCACCCTTAAACCATGCCATTTAGGTTTTTTTAATTTAAAAAAATAAAAAGAGGAAAAAGTAGAAATTACTCAACTGGTTCATTAATTTCTTCCTTTACTAACTTTTGGGAGAGTTGAGTCAATGAGAGTCGATGATTAGTATTCACATCATGAGACATTTTATTGACTTATTCACACATTAGATATGTCCCATCTAAAAAACTAACATATGCAGTTCCTCTATTTGATAGTTCTTATATTTGTTGGAAACTCTGTTGAGCCGACTACCTGGTGCTCTTAATTCCATTATAACAACGCCCTAAAGTTTATAGACTTTTTTCTTCCCTCTTTTTTACCTACAAGAAATAAAATAGATGAACTCAACATCCTATCCTGCTTATCTGGAATGAGTTATTTTCTAAACAAGTGGCTGTTTGCAAAGCTCATCCTGTAGAAGTCTGTGGTCAAGAATATTTCCATTCAGTTCTTATTTTTACAGGGGAATTAATATCTTTTCAGTCAGAAAGGAACAATAAATGCTTGTTGGCTGGGTTGAAAAAAATTAAATCTACAAAAAGACAAGTGAAGAAAGAAAGAGCTCACATTCAACTTTCTGGAGAATTTATCTCTGTTTCTCTGTATATCTGATGTGTTCCTGCAAGTGTCTCAAATACCCAGAATTTTACTGAAGGATTTGAATTGGTAGATCTTTTCAGATCTGTTTTTACTTTACTTTAATCAACCAAAGTTTATTCTTCAGGCAGTTGTGTTTTGCTCCCATTTTACTGGCTGTGTGTCTTTGGCCAAGACACTTAACCTTTCAGAACTTCACTTTCTTCATCTGTAAGATAGTAATATGGTCACGAGTCCCTTAACGACAGGGATACATTCTAAGAAATGAGTTTTTAGGCAATTTCGTCCCTGAGCAAACATCAAAGAGTGAATTTAACACAAACCTAGATGGTACAGCCTACTACACACCTAGGCTATATGGTATAGCCTATTGCTCCTAGGATACAAACCTGTACAGCATGTTACTATATTGAATATTGTAGAGCTGGAACATGATAAGTATTTGTGTGTCTAAACATAGAAAAGGTATTGTAAAAATACTGGGTAAAAGATTAGATTAAAAATGATATACCTGTATAGGGCATTTACCGTGAATGAATGCACCTTACAGGACTAGAAGTTGCTTTGGGTGAGTCAGTGAGCAAGTGGTGAGTGAAGGCCTAGGACATTACCGTACACTACTATAGACTATTAACACTGTGCACTTAGGCTACACTAAAGTTATAAAAATGTTTTTTCTTTCTTCAATAATAAATAACCTTAGCTTACTATAATTTTTTTACTTTATACGTTTTTAAAATTTAATGTTTTGACCCTTTTGCAGTAATACTTAGCTTAAAACAAACACATACAGCTGTACAAAAATATTTCTTTATATTCTTAATCTATAAGCTTTTATCTGTTTTTTTTTTTAACTTTAAAACTTTCTTGTTAAAAACTAAGACACACACACATTAGCTTAGGCCTACACAGGGTCAGAATCATCAGTATCACTGTCTTTCACTTCCACATCTTATCCCATTGGAAGGTCTTCCTGCATGGAGCTGTCACTTCCTATCATAACAATGCCTTCTTCGGAATATCTCCTGAAGAACCTGCCTGAGGCAATTTTACAGTTAACGTTTTTATATATAAGTAGAAGGAGAAGTACACTCTAAAATAATGATTTAAAATATAGTATGGTAAATACCAGGTTAGGCCGGGCATAGTGGCTCACGCCTGTAATCCCAGCACCTTGGGAGGCTGAGACGGGCCGATCACAAGGTCAGGAGATCGAGACCATCCTGGCTAACATGGTGAAACCCTGTCTCTACTAAAAATACAAAAAAAGAAAATTAGCCCGGCATGGTGGCAGGCGCTTGTTGTCCCAGCTACTTGGGAGGCTGAGGCAGGAGAATGGCGTGAACCCGGGAGGCGGAGCTTGCAGTGAGCAAAGATTGCGCCACTGCACTCCAGCCTGGGCGACAGACTGAGACTCCGTCTCAAAAAAAAAAAAAAGAAAAAGTAAATACCAGGTGATAAGAATTTTTCAGTTCCATTATAGTCTTATGCAACCACCATTGTATGTGTGGTTTGTTGACAGAAACATCGGTTATGCAGGGCATGACTGTACAGTGGTATACTTTTCAGTGTGGTTGAGAGGATCAGGTGAGATAATATATGTTAAAACACTTTATAAAATATAAAAGAGTTTGTCATTGTTACTACTTCCTAGAAGTGGACATAAGATAGAAGTAAAAAGAGACAAAGAGGCCAGTTTGTAGTAAAAGAGGTTTACATTCCCTCTCTAATTGCCAGTGAGTGTGAAATCACTGTATGAATCTTACAGAAACAGGTCAGGAAACTGTGTCTGATCAAGTTGTTCTTGCCATGCCTTTAAGGAATAATGTAAACCGGTGACTTTCATTCAACATATCAAAAAAGTGTCACTAACCTTTCCCTAGCCAGTCATGCTACCAAGCATGGGAATGTTAGTATTTAGGTTTACATCAGTATTTCTTTAAGTGAAAAGATCTAATGGAGACTCACCTTATCAGATGAGATTAGCTATATAAGCTATATCTATAATATACATCATATAAGATCTGAATTCCCAAGATAATTGGCAAGTTGTTTTTGTTTGTTTGTTTGTTTTTGAGACAGAGTTTTGTTCTTGTCGCCCAGGCTAGAGTGCAATGGCACGATCTCAAGGCTTACCGCAACCTCTGCCTCACTGTTTCAAGTGATTCTCCTGCCTCAGCCTCCTGTGTAGTAGCTGGGACTACAGGTGCCCCCCACAATGCCTGGCTAATTTTTTGTATTTTTAGTAGAGACAGGGTTTCACCATGTTGGTCAGGCTGGTCTCAAACTCTTGACCTCATGTGATCCACCCACCTTGGCCTCCCAAAGTGCTGGGATTACAGGCGTGAGCCATTGCACCTGGCAACAGTTGGCCTTTGAGACACACTGTATTCTGGTTTATGATAGAATTTATCAGTCTTCTTAAGGAAGATGGAATAATTTCCAGGACCCCTAATAAAGGGGTTCTGATTCATTCTCAATCTAAAAGAATGAGTTTGTAAAACTCTTTTCAACCTATATTCCTCAGACCAACTTCCAAGTAGTTGATCACTTCCCTTGATTTAATTTCACAAAGTTAATCATAGGAATAAAGAAGTTGTCAAGGCAGTTAGAAAAGAATAGCATATTGAGAAAGTTTGAAGTGAAAAGTATAAATTTCATGTGGAAAAAGGGAAAGCAGGATAGAGTTTCCAAGAGTCCAGAGAAAAGAGGGTTGTTACTTTGGGGATAAACCCGTTGGCTTAGAAAACATTTGGCCTAGAAATTTTGGTTAGTGTAGTGGTAACAACAAAGTGCAAAAGATTAAATTTTAGATGTTTCTTCCAGGTCAAATCCAAAATCCTTCAACACTATGCAAATAAATTCCTCTCTTTTTAATTTCGTTTTCCCTGTACTACTGAGTCCTGTAGCCTTGCAATTGCACTACTGTCTGTTTTCTCTCTTCATTTCTGACCCTTCTTTCTTTTCCCTCACCTTTATACCACTTTCCATTGTCATTTTCCCGATTGTGGCATCTTAGGAAACTCTGGTAAGCTTTATACTTACAGATCCAGCCAGTAAGGTCTGTAATGGACAGATAACTTTCTTTGCAGTGAGCCAGAGCTTCAGTTTGCTTCCTCACGGTGCAACAGGAATGGCATCTCATTAAAATTGAACATTAAGGGCCTGAAGGTGCTTTGACTAATTTTTCTGTCTGGGCGTTGTTACTTAAGAGATCTAGAAGTTGAAAAATCCCCCTTCTCATAGTATTCGGAGCAATCAGCCTTAGAGACTGCTGCCTACTCTGAGGCAGGGGACACTGGAAGGTTGGTGAGGTTTGCCTCTGAGCATGCCCCCAAAGAGCCTCCCTTTATTCCTAGAAGCTGGCAGGCTTTCTTTTCCTCCTACAAGTGGTAACCCGAATTCTGAGTTGAAAGTGAATCTTTGCCCTTGGCTCCTCTCCAGCATTCCTCACTGAGCGAATAGGGATTTGGAATGTCAGAAAATAGAAGAGGGGAGGGGAAAAGATGTGTGTATGACTGTGAGTGTTTATATGTAAAAGCAGCTTCGTCTGGGAGGACTTAGGGAAACTTGACTTCCTCAGACTGCTTCCTTCTTATAAACTCTTGGTTCCTTATTTATCATTTTTCGTTTTTGTTTTTTAAGTTGTTTGACCTGATTTTATCATAGTAGTTCCAAATGCCTTACAGCCCAGTGGAGTCAAGCTAAGGAAAGACAGCATGATTTCCACAGGATTTGTATTTCTTCCCTCTGGATAAAGTGATAGTAGTTCCCAGACTCGCTGCCGGCAGGATCCAAGGTCGTCTTTCCTCCGGGATTTAATCTGGTGTCATCAGGAACCTAGACTCAGGTTTTATTGGAGAGCAAGGCTCAATAAGAAGTGTCCTTTGAGGAGAATCAAGGACTCAATCTAGGCATAAAAGGTGTTGCTCAGCACAATACCCTCTACGGTAAGCTACCAGTCCTGAGAACCTGTGGTCAAAGCTGAATTGAAAATATTGATGGAACTCAGACTCTGTGTAACTGGGGACTGGTTCAGAGCTCAAGACTATAATTTACAGGGCTGCTTTTATCCTTTATTTAGTTCTATCCAAAGTCATCTTGCATCAACTCAAAAGGAGAGATTCTGTGAGGGTAACCTACAGGGAAATTTCCCAGCTTTGTGTGAAGAATCCAGTGGTTGAGTGTCTATCTGCATCCTGAGGAACCATGTCCTCTTTATATACCCGAAGTAAAGAATTCACTCGGAATAGGAAATCTCAGTCTGATTCTCCCCCAGCATCTCCCTCCCCGACTGCCAAGACGCTCCGAGTAAGCAGCATTTTTTATTTACGTATGTTCATAGCTGTGTCAAAGGTAGAGAATGTGTATATATATAACTTGGGGCATTAGGTTTAGAGCAAAGGGATTTCAGAGCATATGGGAATCAGTACAGGGAAAAAAAATTGCAAGTAAAGACCCTGTAAGTTTCTCTGCAAGAGGTTATGGTTCATAATACTTAATGTAGTCTTAAGTAAAAGCAGACTTAAATATGTCGGGCTACAGTTTCTGCCTTTTAGCTTTTAACTATCGGTTGTAAACTGCTTAACAGTAAGATTTTACAGTCCTTATCACTTTATCTTACAAGGCTTTTCTCAATTTCTACAGCTATTTTAGTCACTGCCTTTCTTGTGTTTTATGAGTCAATACTATGTTTCAAGAGAAAAACCTCTGAAATGGCCACACAACTATATACATTAAACTTCAGTTTTGCAAGTTCTGTGTGTGTATTCATGTATGTATGTATATGAGGTAGAGTATGCTTTTGCCTATTTTGTATGTCTGTCTGTGAGAAAGACCAAAATGAGCAATGAGCAAGGAGTTATGGCCACTTGGAACCTTACTCCTTAATCACCAAGTACCTTCAGGAAATGTCTTGCTTAAAAGCCAAAGAACTAACTCTTGGCCATTGACAACCAGCTGTATGGAGGTGTTTGTGATGTCCTAGGTAGAGCCATTTGAGACTTTTCTCCATTTTCTCTAATGAATGTCTCAGTGAAGAGATTTACATATGGGCATTTGCATCTGATTTAGTGTCTTCCTCTGTGGGAAGCTGATAAAAGCAAGAACTGCTACCAATAGCAAGGGATGAGAAGCTCTGATGGGCATATTAGGTAGCAGGCAATATAACAGTTACTTTTTCAGGAACTAGATTGCGCTTTGCTGTATATACAGAGTAAGAAGAAGGACGGCCATAGCTTCCTTATTTAGGGAGCTATGGGGAGAAAATTTGCAAGAAGCCTGGATAGACTAGTGTGGGTTTTTTTTTCCCCCAATTATTTTGTATGCATTTTCAATGTCTTTCTTACCAGTATAAATTACCATGTAGTGGAATTTGGTATATGGCATGTTGGTCTAAGACCTCAGCTAGGGATGAGAATACCAAAAGAATATTGTTACGAAGTTATTTTATTCACAAGTTTTTGTGAGAGCACCAAGAGGGGCTCCGATATATATGTTACTGTCATCGAGTTCCAGGAGTGTCTCTTCAACACATAGACTGGTACCTTTTTTTCCCAAGGAGCCACAGAATGCTTTCACCCCACTAGCTGTTGGGTATTTTTTGCTGGCTACCAATTGAGGTCCACAAAACTGAACACCTTACTTCAGTTAGTGTTTATCTTTGCTCCCTTCCCTCTTATACTGAGTAGTACCTTTAGTTGTAAAGATCCCCTTATTAATGTCTCTTCACCACTATAACCATAGCTCCCAGAGCAATGTGGTGAGCAGTCAACAATAACCTGTTTGGTGACCTTCCCCCATTTTCCCTTTCTGTTTTTCCTCTGCTTTCTTAGAGTTAGGTACTGCTTTCGTCTTGTCTCACTTCTAACAGCTGCCATCCAACCTCCCTACCCTCGTTTCACCACCCCTCATCCCTGCCTTTTAGACAGAGGTCACAGTGGGAGAAAATCTGAGTTACAGGAAACTAAAACACAGATGGCTTAATAAGAGACTGCTTCCCAATTTTAGTGGTCACTGGCCGTGGATTCCTACAATACCATCAACTTACTCTAACCAACTTCCAGTGTCCAAATGGCTTGAGACTATAATAAAGAGAATGTTGATTTTCATATACCACTCATGTTCCATTATGTTGCTTATGTCTTTAATGTCAGAGAAAGATATGCAAGACTCATTTGGTGGCTGCTGACACTAAGGACTGGTTATAAAATGAAGATTTCATCTCTTAAGATCTCCCTAGCCTAGTTCATTTCCTCTCATGTCCAACTAATTAGGGTACTCTTTAAAAACTGGTTTTGAGTGTATTTTAACAACTGGTTTTGTGATGGTGTTGTGCTCATATGTCTTTTGATGCCTGGTTGTAACTGGCTGGTCCTCAGCCACCCTGAAAGGTGGGTATTGCTATCCCTATTTTACATATGAGGAAACTGAGATACATAGAAGAGAAATGGCTTGCCTAGCATTGCTCAACTAGTAAGCAGCAGAGCCTTGATTAAAGCACCAAGCTCTCTGACTCTAAAACCCCATATTCCCAGCAACATTGGAGTACATCTCAAATATATTTGAAGGTCAAGTTTAAGAACATGCTAAAGGGCAAAGATGACAGTTAAAAGCTTAAGTAGCTGTGGGAGTCCAAAATTTATCCTTGATGGAGACACAGGAAACTGAAATTGCAGAAAGGAGGAAAGCTGTATTTATAGGCCAAGGGAGGGAATTGGCAGGCCATAACTGAATCTCCTGTGCCTGGTTCTCAAATCCCAGTCATACTCTCTGGGACCATGGAGCCCACAGAACCTGAGACCTTATGGGCTTCAGGGTCTTTGTATTTCTCTAGAAAAGTGGAAATGCTTGAGTCTTTACAGTAAAGATACTGGGAAGTTTCTGTGTGCATTTCAGAGTTAAAGTCAGGACAGCTCTCTTACTGTCCTCTTCCAAACTTCTTTAACTTGTTTGTATACATACATACAGTTTCTTCTAGAGATGGCACAGAGTTACAGAGGGACAGCACCTGATCCAACATTCTTCAAAACGGAGGATTGAAATTTCAGCCAGCATTTAGAAGTTTGATTCTTTTTTTTGAGTGTTGTTAACAGGGCTAAATAGTAAATGCCCCCATATAAGGAAAATATCCTCAGAGAGTATTTTTAAAATAATAGCTATTCACATGGAGAGAATATTTTGGACACTGTACCCTTTGTCAAATGTTCAAGCAGTAGTAAAGGCAAACTATAAACTGTAAGTCAAACAAGTTATTATTTTTAACTTGAGAAAACAAAAGGCAGGATGATTTTTCAGTGACTAGAAAACAAACTTTTATTATATATGTTTACTTTTAAACTCGTAACAGCAGCTGATGATATACTCCCTAATGAAAAATCACTCATATATAGAAGATAGTGCATGTCCTCACCAGCCAAGAAGATTTTTGTTTACCTTCTCTAGTTTGTATTTTGAAAATAATAAATATTTTTAATTCTCTGAACACAAAATTATGCTATTAAACATGGTTTTTAAAAATATACATCCCAGCTGGGCGCAGTGGCTCACACCTGTAATCCCAGCACTTTGGGAGGCTGAAGCCTCGTGGACCACGAGGTCAGGAGTTCGAGACCAGCCTGGCCAACATTGTGAAACCCCATCTCTACTAAAATTACAAAAACTTAGCTCGGCATGGTGGCGGGCACCTGTTAAGCTTTTCGGGAGGCTGAAGCAGGAGAATCGATTGAACCCGGAAGGCGGGGGTTGCAGTGAGCCAAGATTGCACCATTGCACTCCAGCCTGGGCAACAAGAGCGAAACTCCGTCTATAAATAAACAAAGAAACAAACACATCCCTCTTCCTCACTAGAGAAAATTTCATCCATCCTTTTGGCATGCCCTCACTCGCTCCTACCGACAGTAAGAATGACTGTTATAAGTGGTATGCTCCTAATATTGCTATTTTGGTCTCTGTTGATCCTAAATAATGAAGTAATTTTTTTTACTGCTACTTTTGGCTTTCATATGAAGTTTCCATTAGTTCAGTATCTTTTTTGTGTCTAAAAGTTGAGAAGTTCCCTTAGTAACAGCTCTGATCATCTCTGATTTGTTACTCAGGAAAAGCGGAAAAACTTTCAGATTCACTTGCATTTCTAATGGGAACCACACCAGGTAGATATTGATGAGAATTTGAAAGCTCAGTCTCTTTTCTCATACCACGAAACAACCCTAATATAAGATGCTGGGTTCATACAATTAGTAGTAAAACTTTCTTTTGACAGTAATTTTCCAACATTAAAAAAAATTATTTTTCTTCTGAGTCTTCGTAGTTAAAGAAAAAATTCTAAACTACAAATACATTAGACACTTCTAGCTCTTGATTTTTAATTACTATGTATATTATTGGGTCTAACATTTATAAATTCTATAAATTAGGAACTACTCAATTTAGATGGTTTAGCATTTTTAAATTATCCTAAAAGTAAGAGCCAGGTAATCTTTGGTCAGTATTCTCAAATTTTTCTTATTTGCTAATTTAAAAATTTTTCAATGCAGGGTATATTTAAAGGAAACAAATACTAGAGTATGTCCAAATTGTAGTGCTTATCTGATATTTATTATATTGAATAAATCTTGAAGTAAGTGGGTCATTAGCTGAACCCTGGGAATCTTTTAATTAGGCACATTTTCATTGAATTGGTATTTGTTATAATAGGATTTGACCTGTATTTATAAAGCAAGATCAGTAGCATTTTCCCATTTAGTCTGGATTGCTATTCCTTCAGTTCTAACATGTCAATTTAAAAAAATGACAAAAACAAAAAAATACAAAGATGTTACATAATATTTTTCAGTCAGCCATTAATGTGCATAAAGGGAACATTTAATCAATTAGCTTTGTTTTATAACCAGTCCTACAAACTAATTAGGGTACATTTGATAAATAATTGGATGATAAAGGATTGTTGCCTTCATGAGAGCTTGTCTACATAGCAACTTTGGTTAGCAGGCCAGAGGCATTCTGCCTCTTTGCCTTCCAGACTGTCAGTGTTGACAATTATTTTTTGCATGTGCTTTGTGCCTTCCTCTGACAAGTACCAAACAGTTATTTAGCATATTATCGTATCCTCTATACATCCAACACTACATCTGATGCACTACCAATCTGGAATCCATTTTTACTCCACTTTATAATCCGTTGTCATGGAATGAGAAACACTTGGATGAACAATGCTAATTAAGAGTGCAATCTGTTAACCATTTTTTCCGCCTAATTAAAAGCAGGAGTGTATTCGTTTTGGGGGTTTTTTATTTCACTCAAGGAAAATCAATAGCAGTAATTGTTCAGCCCAAGGAATCTTCCTAGAATAGTAAAACCTGTGGGAATAAAAGTAGCTTTCCCATTTGGACCCATTACATGAATTCTTAGTAGAGACTGGCCTAGTTAACTCATGTCCTACGTAGAGCTGGGGGAGATGGCATCTGAATTCTTGGTTTGTTGACCAGAGAGACTGGGAGCTTCGAAGACATCAGCTCCCTTTCCTGCAAGCGGTGTCCTGCCCTTCTACTCTAATTTTTAGTTCCATGATAAATGTGTATCAAAGCCATCTGCCCTATTGTGAATCCTCCCACAACATTTTATGAGCATCTGCTTTGTAGTAGGCTTTATATTGGACACCAGTATTCATAAATGAAAGACACAGTTCCTGCCCTCAAAGAATTGGCAGTCTAATTGGGGAGATAAAGAAAATCAAGAATTAGAACACCAGGGAGGTGAATTTTCTAATAAAGACATAGGTTCAGGGTGTTTTAGATCAGCCATGTGGTTAATACATTAGCCTGATGTTTGGAGAACAATAGAAGCTAGATGGACAAAGAAGGAAACAGTACATTACAAAGGTAGAAAAAGAATATGAGAACATAATGGCATTATTCTGAGAGCTGCATATCGGTGTGGCTAGAACAAAAGATATATTTAGAAATGTAATAAGAAATGAGAGAGGAGGCTTAGCAAACCCAGGTCACGTGAGGCTTAGTATATAATTTTGAGGATTTGGGGAGTTATCCTGTGGATAAAGAATAAAGGAATGAAGATTTGAAGTAAAGTTGCTGTGCTCAGAATTGCATATTAGAGAAATAACTTTGGCAGCTATGGAAGCTGGACTGGGAGGAGGGTCAGGACATGATCAGGTCACTGGCCTTTGATTGCAGTATTCCGGGTGAGAAATGTTAAGGGCCTAGGCAGAGATATTTTTTCTGGGAAATACAGAGAAGCATTCAGTTGTTTAGAAGGTAGAATTGATAAGATATGGACTGATAGAATGGGGATAAGGATGAGCCTGAGAGAGGGCAGAGTCAGGAGTGACTACCAGGTCTCTGGTTTAGGTGACTGGGTAGAAAATGGTATGATAAGTATCAGGTGCAGGGGCTCACACCTGTAATTCCAGCATTTTGGGAGGCAGAGATGGGAGGATTGCTTGAGCCCAGGAGTTTGAGACCAGTCTGGGCAATGGAGTAAGAACTGTTTCTTCAAAAAATTGTTAAACTAGCCAGGTATTGTGGCACGTGCCTATACTCTTAGCTACTTGGGAGGCTGAAGTGGGAGAATAGCTTGAGCTCAGGAGGTCGAGGTTTCAGTGAGCCATGATTGCACCACTGCACTCCAGCCTGGGCAACAGAATGAGACTCTGTCTCAAAAAGAAAAAAAAAATAGTGTGACAAAATTGAGTTGGCAAACACAGGAGGCTAAATGCTGTTGAGTGGGGAAATGGTTTCACTTTGGATATGTTAAATTAGAGGTACTTTGGGACATTCAGATAGTGATTTCCAGAAACTAGTTGGTCTGACGCTTGGGAGAAAATTATGGGCTAAAAATACTGATATTTATGATTGAAGCCATAAGAGTGGTAAGCTTGTCTAAGGAGTAGATGTAACATAAGGAAGGGCTGAGAGTAAACCTCGAGAGGAGTAACCACAAGCAGATAAGAGATATGTTTCTTTTTCTAATGGCGCTTTCCTATTCCATCACCACTGGAATCACATGCAGGAAGACAGCAGGTCTTGTATCTGGTTTCTTTGTTCAAAGGTATTGTGGTCAAACTTATGTTACGGTGATGAGTTTCAGTTCTCAAAGGATTCAGAAATTTAGTTAAGGGTCAATTGGTTATGAGTTTTGTGTTGGGTTCTAGTTTTGTTTTCAGTACCTAACCTAAGCTGTGTGACAAATACCTAAGCTGTGTGACAAGGGATTATTTTTTAAAGTTTGGAAAAGTTCCCAGACTATTCAGCATTGGTTTTTAATTTCTTTTCTTAATCTGATAATATTTGGGTGAGCTGGCAATTTATTACTGTAAGAAGACCAAAGGGAAACAATCAAAGTTGCCTTTCATCAGCTTTTTATTTCTTTTAAGCCTCTTTTTTATTCTATTCTTGACCTGGTTATCATGCAGTGAGTGATGGTTATCCACAACTGGGATGTTAGTTCTCATAACAGTTCCAAAATCCAACAGCTTTCTTTGGTTACACAGCATGGAAAGAGTTCTACCAGTGACATGATTAGATAAAGATACTGAAAGTGTGTCTGGACTTTAACCTCTTCATAGGTCATTATGAAAGCAACATTTTCATATAGGAGTTGTACATAAAATTGCAAGTGGCTATTTTAAAAGTTGTTTGTATGAAAAGTTAAATATTCTAGATTTAAATAAAATTGTAAAATAGATGAGAGTATATTATAGCATTTTAAAAAATGTTTTGCGTTGATTTCCAAAATCAACTTTACATGGTTGGTTGTCTGGAAGGACATATATCCATCCAGACAGTAAAATAATGACCTTAAATGTGTGTAGATTAGAAAGGGAAGTAGGAATTAGCCTGGATAATCAAAATCTACAAATAATCAAAACCCTTTACTTGAGTGCTGAGGAATTTATTTGAGCTTATTCCTCTTGTAGCCAACAAACATTGGGAGAGCCAAAAGACCAAAGAGGGACAAGAGAGAGAATAGAAAAAAGTACAGAGAACTGTAGTAATATCAATAGCTAAAATTTATTGAACATTTACTCTTTGTCAGTGCTGTACCAAGCACTTACATTTATTGTCTCATTTAATACATTTGATAACCATAAACACCAAGTTTACTATCTCATTTTAATGACAGGGACACTGAACAGAGAAGTTAAGTAATCATGTAAGATCACATAACTTAGTAAATGCTGGAGCCAGCAATCTGGATCAGGAGCCTCAGCCTTAACCAGTAAGGCATGTAACTGTTCTAGTGAAACTACTGTCTCTTCTTTAAATAGCTCCTAGATTATTACCAGTATCCCTGACTATTGAATCTGACTTGGAAAGAGAGATGACGACAACAAAAGCTATATTAAGGAAAAATGTAACAGAATTACAGGAACAGACAAACCTAGATTAGTAAAAAGTCAGAATGTTTTGTTTTGTTTTGTTTTGTTTTTTTTGAGACAGGATCTCGCTCTGTCACCCAGGCTGGAGTGCAGTAGCACCATCATGGCTCACTGCAGCCTCAAACTCCTGGCCTCAAGCAATTCTCTTGCCTCAGCCTCCCTAATAGCTGGGACTATAGGTGTGCTGGGGCCTCACCAACTTGTTGACCAAGCTGGTCTCAAACTCCCAACCTCAAGTGATCCTCCTGCCTCAGCATCCCAAGGTGCTGGGCTTACAGGTGTGAGCCACTGTGCCCAGCCAAAGTCAGAATTTTACATAATTTTAAAATAGGTGTGGTGGTGCATGCCTGTAGTCCCAGATACTCAGAAGGCTGAGGCAGAAGGATCACTTTGAGCCCAGGAAGTAGAGGTTGCAGTGAGCCATGATCATGCGCTCGCTCACTCGCTCGCTGTCTCTCTCTCTCTCTCTCTCTCTCTCTCTCTCTATATATATATATATATATATATATATAATTTTAGTATTTATAAGTATCTATGATAAAACTCAGGACCTGTTAAATTGTAACAAGTTCTGAATTAGTAGGGCCTGAATTACTGAGGTTTTTCTCATCTGAGGAGACCCTTCCCTGCCAAAACCAAGAAAATAAACTACAAAAGCATCCCCTGTCCCAAAAGTCTACATTTTAAAATACCTGTTCTGCTCTGGGAGGTGGTTTAGCCCCCTAAATAAGAACCTTGTGCATTTGAAGACTCAAGTTCCCTATTGGGGGTATGAAAGTGGAAGAATCAAAGAAAGCTTCAGTTCTTTATCCTTCTGAACTTCATCTTTCAAGGCAGACTAGCACTTTGGGATGACTGTGGCCCTCGCAAGGCCCCAACTTATGTAAGATCACTTACAAGTCACACATAATAGTGTCATTTTTCATGACCACCCAGTTTCAGACTTCAAGCTGATGTATCCACTAAGCTTGTTCCTTCCATTATCACCTTGCCAAGAATATCTAGTCAGTATTGGTCTCTCCCTTTCCTAACTACCCCTTTTTATTTACTGTATGTACTAGATGGTCTAACATTTGATTGCATTTAATCAATTACCTTTTTTTTTTTTTTTTTGAGACGGAGTCTCGCTCTGTTGCCCAGGCTGGAGTGCAGTGGCGTGATCTCTGCTCACCGCAAGCTCTGCCTTCCGGATTCATGCCATTCTCCTGCCTCAGCCTCCCGAGTAGCTGGGACTACAGGTGCCCGCCACCACACCTGGCTAATTTTTGTATTTTTAGTAGAGACGGGGTTTCACCGTGTTAGCCAGGGTGGTCTCAATCTCCTGACTTCATGATCCACCCGCCTCGGCCTCCCAAAGTGCTGGTATTACACGCATGAGCCACCGTGCCCGGCCAACTTTCTTGAATTACACTCTGTTTTATGAGTGTGCATATTTTACCTCCTCAGAGAAGAGCTCTTTGAGATCAAAGAGCCATGTCTTAGATTCTGTAATTGTCGATTTTATTCCTGTAAGTACTACTCACAAGGCTGGGCACATACAGGTGCTTAATGTAAATGCAGGGAATGAATGCTGCTGCCTGAGATTTGATCTCTCCGCTCCTATCCCATTTAGCCATCTGGAAAGGAGTCAGAGGCCACACACACTTGAGAATCTTATTTCTAACATGAAGGCTAACCATAGATCTTCCCAAGTCAATTCAGATTCCTGTTTATTGCAATTTGCTAGTATATTGGTCACTCCAAAATATGTGAGTTAATATTTTTGTTTTTGTGGGAATCAAAAGAGAAAAAGCCTGTGGAATCTACTAGAAATAAAAAGTTCTACCCTATGTTACTTAGGTCCCAAGTATTAATATTTATTTCCTCATGAAATGTGAGGTCTGGAGAGCCTCACTAATTCCTTTGTAAAAGTTTTGATTCACAGCCTAGTCCAAATAAAAATAAAGTTACTGCTACCCAAACAGGCTGCTGGACTGTGACATTTACCATATGAAAAAACCCGTCTCTTCCCAGGCTTCATGGAAAGCTTACTTCCTAAATAGGTATAATGGTGGTCAGTAACATCATGACAGGCTAGTGGGGAGAGACCTGGAATCTCAATTAGAGAAATGGAGTGAAACTCAAACAGTGGGATTTAAGGCCTAAATAAGGACTTTTAAAATTTACGATATACTCTATGCTGTATTCTAACAATATTTTGGAGGGACTGATCAGGCTTCTTAGGTGTTCATTGAGGCTGTGTTTTTTTTTAAAATCATCTGAATGTATTTCATAGTTTCAGATGCCCATACACATCTGTGTGAACCTAAAACTCCAAGCTATGGGGAAAGTAAATATAGATATTAAATGTGAGAAATGTGACCCATGTGCTAGAGCCACACAAGTTTTAGAGCTCCTCATTCCCCTGTTGGTCATTTTCATCCTATATAGTACACAGCATGTGAAAGGCTCGATGGAAAATATGCCGGAGGCTGCAAATGCATTTATGAATCACAAGAGTTTATGAATTATACATATAAAATGGCTTGCCTTAGGTATTTTATGGAGGCCTTAGTATATCCATATATTTCCTTCTACAATGAGTGCATTTTGTGAGTTTCCAAAAGATCAGAAATTCTTCAGAAGCTGGGAATATTCACAAAAGGGAGGTGCAGGTCTGCATAGATGCTAAGAGCTTTAAAATTCTAATAATATTAGGTAGCACAATAGAGACAACAAAAGATGAGTCTATCATTTAATGAACTTAATGGTTTTTCTTTTAAAATATAGTGATATGTGCTGCAATATGTGAGATGATGTTACATGATATCATTTTTACATGCCTTAAATTGATAGGGTAGTCACAATCTGGCATATGAGATTTTTCAGAAATATTTATAATATGAACTGAATGTAAATACTGTATTTGACTATGTTTAACTTTTTGTTCTATATGTATTAAGTAGTCAGTAAAGACAAATCAAGACATATAATATGATGAAGACATATGTGATTTAATACTTGCTTTTAAAAGTTAATTTTTCCTTGGAAGTATACTCTCTTACACATATGTATACCAGGTCACATGGACGCCTGTTTTTTTCCCTGCATAAGACAGCACTTTTGGTATTGCCCTGATTCTGAATGTATGTAATCACCTAGTGCAGCTGAGAGGCCATGTGCTATGGATGTTTCTTTTAGGATGTTACAGATAAATTAAACCATTTTTTTTTTAAGGGAGATCCTTGTGATAGTTGGAATTTCTAAAATGCCTCCCCAAAAGTCCTCACCTGATCTGTAGAACCCACGTATATGACAAGATAGCTCTCGCATGATTGTTCTGTTACATAGCACAGTTGACCTTAAGTTAGGGAGGTTTTCCTGGGTGGGCCTGAGCTAATCACATGAGCCTGTGAAGGCAGAGAGCCTTCTCAGCAGATGATGGAACGGGAAGCCAGAGAAATGTGAAGTGCGAAAAGAACTCAGTGCTTCAATGCTGGTTTGAAAATCAGAAGGGCCATGTGAAAAGGAATGTAGGAGCTTCTGCAAGCAGTAAGCAGCCACTACCCTGCAAGGCAGTGGGTACCTGAAACCTCACAGGACTGGATTCCTGCCAACAGCCTGGATGAGCTTGAAGCAGATTCTTCCCCAGATGCTCCTGATAAAAGCCAGCAGCAGACTCCTTGATTTCAGACCGTTGAGAACTTGAGGAGGGAACCCAGCAGAACTGTGCAGACTTCTGACCTACAAAACTGTGAGATAATAAATGGTTTTAAGCCACTAAATTTTGTTTTGGCAGCAATAGAAAACTAATGAAATTGAAAATTTGATGATAATTTTTTTGATATAAAAAACAGCATAGGCCTCATTATCATTGCCCTCTACTGTCACATCTTTGCATAAATCTTGGAAGTTGTTGTTCCACCCTCACATTTATTTCCAGATTATGCAGGATCCCCAGATAAATTACTAGAACAATGCAGGCTTCACTTCAAAGTTAGAGACTGGTAGATTCTCTTTATTTCAAGTTTCCTAAGAATCTTCTCTGTTTGAATTATGAAGAAATCTTTTCCCTTAAGATAGAAGGATGGAAAACTTTTGTCTCTCTTAGACTTATATATGAAACCAGAATGATTCTTAAACTCAAAAGTTACAAAATTATACTATTTTGCAATTAACTCAGACCATGATTAGGTTTGCAGTACCTCTGAAAATTTGAAGGGTCCTTGCTGCAGCCACACTCACATCATTGGCTTGTTCATCATCAGTCAATATTCTGAGAAAACTGAAGGGAAAGAAGATGGTTCTCTGTAGACCATCCCAGAATAGCTCAAATTGTTTCCCCTGGCTCAGCTAGTACACAAGAACATAATATAAAATGTTCCTTCTGCTTAGTCCCTCTTCAGGAGAAAATGTAAATAGAAGTTTTTTCCCATCACTGTGGGGTCAAGCCATGACTTCAAAAGGAACTTGAGTTAAACCAGTTTCAGCCTTGGCAGCAGACATGTGACTTGGTCTCATTCCTTTCCCTTGGGCCCAGCTTTCCTGAGCCACAATTTTATTTTAAACTTGGTAGGAGTTTGGTTTTAATTATGTGCCTTCCTGAACTCCTGATAACTTTCAAGTTAAAAGTTTTTGTGGGGATTTTTCTAAGCCAGTCTCTGGTGTTTTGAGGGCCCTACACATTTCACAAATCAAAACCAGTCTGGTTTCTGTCCCTTTCTAGGATTGCCATCTGAATTAATGGTGATCTTCATTCTGTTCTTTTATTAGAAACAGGCCCAAGCAATGAGATTATTACGGGAGAATTTCAAGAGGTATGAAAGAAAGAAGTCTGCTTCTTAGTTTTGGGACATTTTTAAAACTATGGTCTATCCAGCTAATCATTCTTTTTACCTCTACTCTACAATGTATTCATATTGGTTTCTGAGCAGCTTTTAGTCTCTTCTTCTCTAGAGTCTCATTTACATTATCTGTTGTCCCCAGTTGGGCCATAAAAGCTGTGAAAGTAATTCCTTCTTTGAACAGTTTCTATCTAGTTCAGACACACTAGAGAGTCTCATTTTAGTGGCCATCATTTGTCTTCAACAGAAGGTAGAGCAAAACAATCTTTAACAAAAACACTTAGAGAAGTTCTAAGACTTCCAGATTAGAGCATACAGCATAATAAATTTGTGAATTAACCTACCAATTGGAGAAAAGATTCATGCCTTTTCTAAAATATATGATATCATCATGTGCAGATAAGCTATTCAGACTCTACTTACAGAGTAGACTAACTTCTGTTTTTGAGAAGAGAGAGGGAGTGTACAGAGGAGGAGGATGGAAGGATGGGACCATTGCCAGAGCATAGATAAGATGAGTCCGCATTCCTAGCCTCTAAAGGATCATCGATTTGGCTGGAGTCCCTAAGCCTTGTGTTCTAGGACTTCCCCTTATTTTCTGCCCACTCAGCTGACCTCTTAGAATCCTCTTCTCTGGGAGAAGCTTCAGTGTTCATTTCCCTACCTTATGTTCTGCTTGCCTCTTCTGATGTCACTTCCTGGCTCACTGTTCCCCTGAGATTACTTAGGCAAACTCCCACTCTGTCTTATCTCCTCTAGATTTACTTAGTAGTCTCCCTGCAGGGTTGGCAGTCAGCTTTCTTGAATGAAGTCGTGTTAGTCTAACAGTTGATTTGATCTGTGCTTAGTTTGAATGACAGGAGGATGAAGAGGAAAAATTAAAGTTAAGTCTTCTGAGTCAATCCAGCCACTCTGCTTCTTTACCCAAGAAACCCCATCTTCTCTCTCCCTAAATCCAACTAGTGTTTTTTCATCAAACCCCGGATTATCTAGGGTATCAAGAAGCCAAGCAAAACACTAGTTTCTAGAGGTATTCCACCAATGAAAATTAGTTAGGAAGTATGATCTAAAAACCAAAGCCATTTTATCAGAATTGGGGGAATTAAACATTAAACCCTATATACTTTTAAGCTATCTTGTCTTACTCTTTTTAGGCTAAAAACCTGAAAGGAAACCATTTCTATTACAGCGAGAATAATTCACCCTTAGAAGTCCAGTTTTCTTCCTTTTTTGAAATAATATTGTTTGTATTAAGGTAACTGTGTTACTCCTACTGCATCCAAAGCTCACTAATCTCTGAGGTTTTAGGAGATTTATCTACTCTCCTCTAATTGGTAGGGTTGACTTTCCCAGGACATTGCTAAGGTTAGCCCCTGAAGGCAATAATATTTAAAAAAATAAAAAATAAAGGATTCCACATAGCTCCAAAAGTCAGGTAAAAGCTGGAGGGAATTAGAGATAGCAAGGAAAGATCAAGGATTAACTTGCAAGCTCTATTTTCTCTAATATCTGGATCTAGGAAAATTGTCTACCGCCTTGTCTGCTGGATCACTCATCACCTACGCATTTTATAAAAGGCTACCCAAAAAGAAATTGTTAACAAGGAATGTTAACAAGCCTTTAAAAGCTAATAAACAACAGACTGTGGTGTTTGCTTTCAGTTACTCCTGGCAAGCAGAAGTAAGAGCGTAGGTCATCAACTTCCTAGGTGGCTGTAGGGAACACCTCCTACAGTAAGCCTATAGGGACAAAAACTGGTATGGGAATCACAAGTGTGAGCACCATTATCATTACCTTCCTCCACATGCTCTCATTTGTGGAAAAATTAATCTAGGCCTCTCGAAAACCCTATGGAATCTGCCTTTTCATGTCCAGGAACCCTGTGGGCTTTTTCTGATTGCTGCTTGATAGTGCTAACCTATTTTTTGTGTTTTTCAATTTTTAAGTGTTTGTATTTTATGTCAACCTCCTCAGTGAAGGTCATACAGTATAAACAGCCATACTATACAGCCATATATCTGAAAACTTTCTTGGCTTAATTGTGCTTCTAGAACATTCTAAATGAAAAGGGTTAATGTCATTTAAAAAGTAAAGCAATGGAAATTATTAGCATGCTTTGATTTATAGATAATGGCTAAGATTGATGCTTGGTAAAACCCTAATTTTCCTGTTTTAATGAAAAAAAAAAAAAAAAAAAAAAAAAAAAGCTTGTTTCGTCACCATAGAGGCAGCTGCCAGAGTCTACACAGCAGAATTTAAAACTAAAGATATAGTAAAATCTTACCCAACAAATAGGATATTTACAAAGAAGAAACTAAAAAAAAAAAAAAAAAAAATTCAAGTGAGGTTTCACATTTCAAGAAAAAGTCAGCAGCAAAAAAGCATGATTTAATTGTCAGAAAGTTAGGCCTCAGTCTGCACACCATGGAGAAATGAGCTCCTAGTTCAATAGGAGGAGGAAAAGGCCCAAGGGACCAGTTTGATTGTAAACAGGTCATTTTTCCATACCTAAGACGATGTGGAAAGTACATCTTTGGAAAGAGTGTCAAGAATGCTACCCCCATATGAAGGGTATAGTTTGAAGGCTGTTCTACTCAGAAGCACTGAGAGAAACTAAATGGTCTTCTAAATTATTGTTTCATTTGGTTACATGTGAATTCAATTCCTTGAACCAAAGGTACGAAGTTTTAACTTGGTACTCTAACCAGCATCAATAGCCAATATAATATTCTTTTTTTTTTTTTTTGAGACAGAGTCTCACTCTGTCTCCCAGGCTGGAGTGCAGTGACGCTATCTCAGCTCACTGCAACCTCTACCTCCTGGGCTTAAGCAATTCTCCTGCCTAAGCTTCCCAAGTAGCTGGGACTACAAGCATGTGCCACCATACCCAGCTAATTTTTGTATTTTTAGTGGAGATGGGGTTTTGCCACGTTGGCCAGGTTGGTCTCGAACTCCTGACCTCAAGTGATCCACCTGCCTCAGCCTCCCAAGCTGCTGGTATTACAGGCGTGAACCACTGCACCTGGCCTAATACGATATTCTTACAATTTAAAAAATGAAAGCAGAGGAATGGTGGCAGGGAAGCTGACATTTTAAGAGTTCACTTCCTTGTAGTTATCACAGTTAATTCTTACTGTTAGAATAAGTGGTAACTTGCCAAGGTCACATTGCTAGATGTCAGAGCAGAAATTAGAAATCAGGTCTAGCCAAGGCCATCACACTTCTCAGAGCATTAACAATTCAATTCAGTTAGTGTTTATTGAACACCTATTGTGTTCTGGCCCTGTAGGTACTAAAAATATAATTAGGAATAAGATGGAATTTTAGGGAAACGTTCCCTCCATAACAATATGTTTTTTTAAAAAATGTATGTATCTCTTCTGGATCTTTGTTATCAGAAAAAAAAATGTGTGTTTGTGTGTGTTTCTCTAATATGATCTTCCCAAAACTCCTATCTTTTAGGAGGTTTTCTTAGTTGGAGCCAATGGGTTACCACTGTTATCTCCATAGCACGTATTCTCATGTTTTCCCTACATTGCTTCAGGCGAACTTGTTAATTATGTTCACAGTGCTCTCCTGGTTCTGTCGTGCAACTTGTTCTGCTTCTTCCTCAGTGCCTCCTCTACAGGGCTCTGCACACAGTGGGCTGTTAAATACAATAGATGCTTTACATTTGCTGGTATGGAGTTCAGGCTCAATTATTCACAAGTATTTGACATGTCACAATAAATAGTTTTCCTGGACGTGAATTTTAATTCACCCAGATGCTAGGTCTTCTCACAAAGCTAATGAGTGACATAGCCCATAGCCCAGGATCTCAGCTTCACTTGGATACTTTTTGTTTGTTTGTTTTGTTTTGAGACAAGGCCTCACTCTGTCACCCAGGCTGAAGTGCAGTGGCACAAACACAGCTCACTGCAGCCTCGACCTCTTGTGCTCAAGTGATCCTCCTGCCTCGGCTTTCCATGTAGCATGGATCACAGGTGCCCACCACCATGCCCAGCTAACTTCTTAAAAATTATTTTGTAGAGATGGGGTCTGCCATGTTGCCCAGACTGGTCTTGAACTCCTGGGCTCAAGTGATTCTCCTGCCTCCAGAGTGCTGGGATTACAGGTGTGAGCCACTGTGCCCAGCCCTATATATGTGTTAGTTCTTGAGAGGTGATTAAAATTTAGTTTCTTTTTTGAAAAAAGATATCAAGAAAAAAAAACTTAAGGTAAAGTTGAGAAAGTAGGCAATGATAGTGTGGGGTATACATATGAATGCCACTAGAGATTAGATATATAAATGTGGGACAGGAAAAATGCCTGGAATTGTCCTGAATTTTAGATTTCCAACTTTCAGGATTCTCAACTCAATGTATGAGAATATACCATATACTTTTCTTAATGAGTCCTAATGATTCCCCCACCTCAAATGGGGGCATGTCTCCATGTTCAAAAACCTTCGTTTAGTCCAGCGGTATTTAACCAGGGCTGTACAGCAGAATCACCTGGGGTACTTTTTAAAAATACATATAGGAAGGCTGCATTCTAGACCTACTGAAACAGCATCTCCAGTATTGAGGTTAGGACATGTACATTTTGCAAAAGTGTGCAGGATTATTCTGATGAGTATAACCCCTGATTTAAAGAGAGATTCTATGAGGAAATGTCATCGTTTATCAAGGTGACTCTATTCAGTCCTCTTTAGTCATATGTGCTGTCACTGTATACCTCTCCTGGACAGCTGTAGGGTGTGGTGTGTTGGGTTGTCCTGCTATGTTGTTTGACAAACCAGTGGCTTCCAGGGACTGTTTAATGCAAAGCAGTGTCATTGAGTGACTCCTCAGAAGTTCAAGGATTCATTATCCATTTTGTAGATTATTGGACCTTTGCTTCTCTTCCTCCTCTTGTCTGTCTTGAAGATTTTGTTGTTCTTTAACACTTCAGAAAGGGAAATAATTAAGTGCATTTAAATCAATTGAATTTTTATTTGCCAGAGTTCTTTAAAAAAAAAAAAAGGGATAGGAGGGTAAAGGTCATCTACAGTAAAAAGTAAATGTCAAACACAGACATAAGCACTTTTTGTTGTGTGATTTGTTTACAATGACCAAGCTTACTGGTTGTATCTATAAAACTCCTTTCTTTTGAGACCTCAGAGTACCTACTTTTTTTTTTTTTCTAACCAGCATCCTAGGGACAAGGATGGGAGTTTCTCCCCTCTCCCTTACTCTTCTACTTTCACTAGCAACCTAGGAGAAACTGAGGAAGTCTCCTGAGTTTTAATATTTGTAGTTGCAGTATTCACTCAGGGCAAGTTTGGGAGTTTGTGAACAAAGGAAATTAATAGAATGAATGTTGAGATCCAGAGAGGCCAAATGTCACATAGAAAGTCAGTGATAGTCACTCCTAGAACACAAGCTTGGCTAGTTAGTTGGGTGGGGAGTTGGGGGCAGTTTTTGATCATTTTACATTTTGCTAACTTCTAGTTTAAAAAGGTGCTATCCCTAATGCCTCAAATCTAGTGAATCATGGCATGCAAAGAAGTGTGAACTAGGGCTAAGTCACCTTTGTGTAGTCAATTTGATTGCTTTTCTTAAATGGCACCCCCATCTCCAGCTGTGAAGTTCAGCCATCTGATTTGAAAAGTGCATTTATAGATGGAAATAATACAAATCAGTCTCTTGCTAATGCTGTTTTCTTTTCTTTTTTCTTTTTTTGTTTTTGTTTTTGTCTCCTTTCTCTAGCATGAAAGACTTTCTAGGTAAGAACTCTCCCTGTTATATATGCATGCTTAATACTTGTGAGTGAATGCATGTCGAATTAAACTTAGCTTTATATAATAATTCAGTAATGTTTCTCACATCCTTTCCATCCTTTTCATTTCCACAGCCACCACAATAATTCAGACTTTTATTACCTCCTGCCCAAAGCAATGGAACAAGCTTTTCAATTTACCTTCCTGCTTCCAGATTCTCCTCTTTCCAGTTCACCTTGTAGACTTCCACTAGATTAATTTTTTTTAAAGCACCAGCGTACCAGGCACCATGCTCGGTATTAGGGAAACAACATGAATAAGACAGTATCCTTACCTTCAATTAGCTAACAAGCCAGTAGAGAGACAGATCATTTCAACAGAACATAGTAAGTGCCCATTAGAAGTACAGACAGGTATTCTGAGCACAGAGAAGAGCAATTAATCTAATCTGATGGTTCAGATTGAGGTTAGATACTGTTATTTAATAGTGGATCCAACAAAATACCTTATACCTAGATGATGCTCCTTAGTAGTTTGTTGAATGAACAAACTAAAGACCTGTTTTGCAATTGCTGAAAAATTAAAGAAGGATATCAAAATTGGGGGAATGACCCTCTGCAGTTTTTCACCTAGTATCTAAGGGTACAAAACTAATCTTCTGAAAGAAGAAACTAAATAAAAAATAATAGACTATAGAGCCAAAAGTTGGAATCTTTCTTTTTCTACTGTTACTCTGATGGAGAAATTAAGAGATTGGGAGAAGATATAGTTATGGGACTATAGGCCAAATGAGTTTCCTTATAATTTGTTTGGTATTGAGCTGGTTCTGTCTTATTAATATATTCTAATGTTCTTCTTCTGCTTGCCCTCTCACCAGGCAGCAGCTGAGGACAAATCATTTACTTCTAACCTAGCAGAAAATTACTTAGTTTTGCAAAATTGTTGGAGAGTGGTATTTTGCCGTAATCTTTTGTGAACTCTCTCGTATTATAATAGCCATTTGTGAAAGGAAACTTTTTCCCACAGACTTCAAAATATGCTATGAAACTGTACCAATTAAAACAGTGAAGCACTAGCTCAAGAATAAACAAAGAGACCTATGGAACACAATCCATAGCCCCCCAAAAATCACATGTATAAGGTGACTTCATCTCAGTGAGGAAATAATTATTCAGTAAGTGATCATTAGGACAGTTGATTATCTGTTTGAGCAATTATATCCTTCCCTTCAGCCATACCGAGAAACAAATGGATTTCAGTTGGCTTACAATTTGTAAGAGAAAAGTGTTTTACCATAAAAGTTAGCAGAAGAGAATATTTTATAATCTTTATATAGGAAAAGCCTTTCCAAGTGTGATACCATTACCGGAAAGGGGTCCTGATTCAGACCCCAAGAGAGGGTTCTTGGATCTCACGCAAGAAAGAATTCAGGGAGAGTCCATTAAGTGAAAGCAAGTTTATTAGGAAAGTAAAGGAATAAAAGAATAGCTACTCCATAGACAGAGCAGCTGGTTGCCCGTTTTTATGGTTATTTCTTGTTTATATGCTAAACAAGGGGTGGATTATTCATGCCTGCCCTTTTTAGACCATATGTTGTAACTTCCTGACTTTGCCATGGCATTTGTAAGCTGTTATGGTGTTGGTGGGAGTGTAGCAGTGAGGATGACCAGAGGACACTCTCACGGCCATCTTGGTTTTGTGGGTTTTAGCCAGCTTCTTCACTGCCACCTGCTTTATCAGCAAGGTCTTTATGACCTGTATCTTGTGCCAGCCTCCTATCTCATTCAGTGACTTAAAACGCCTTAACCGTCTGGGAATGCAGCCCAGTAGGTCTCAGCCTCATTTTACCCAGCCCCTATTCAAGATGGAGTTGCTGTGGTTCAAATGTCTCTGACAATACCATAAAGATAAAAATCATCAAATTTAATTATATAAAATTTAAAATCTCTAAGTAAGACACTATAAACAGAGACAGAAAGTGAAGTGGGAAAAAATATTTGCTGCCTATATTAGTTTTAAAAGCCCGATGACGAGTTAGTGGGTGCAGTGCACCAGCATGTCACATGTATACATATGTAACTAACCTGCACATTGTGCACATGTACCCTAAAACTTAAAGTATAATAATAAAAAAATAAAAATAAAAAAAATAAAAGCCCTACTCTACAGGAGGTTCCCCTACTACAATAAGAAAAAGATGATTACCCTACTGAACAAAGGCTATGAATTGGCAATTCAGAAACAAAAAAAAAGAAAAATAACCAAAGATATTGATTGTTCATAATGATTTTAAAATATTAAAATTAATGACAGATACATATTTCTGTCATAAGAAATATTTCATAAGAAGGTAACTGGACAAAGGCACTAAGGTTTATAGATAAGTCTGCTCATTTTAGCATTGTTTATAATAGCTAAAAAATTTGAAAAATTTAAGTGTCTATCATAGAAGATTAGTTAAATTATCTTACAGGCATGTAATGGAGAAGACTGCAGTCTTTTTTTTTTTTTTAGTGAGGCAAATCTATTTTTACTTAGATGGCAAGATGTCCACGGTCATAGTGGTAAGTATAGAGAGGAGGAGGAGTTAGACAATAGTGTATGTTATCTGAATTTATTTATAGAACTATGTATTTTAACATATATGCTTGACATTCTGCAAGGATATGAACTAAACAGTTAAAAGTAGTTATTTCTTAGGCAGGATTATGGGGTGACCCTTTCACTTTCTACTTTAGATACTTCAGTATGAACTTTTTCTACAACCATATATTGCTTTTATAATCAGGAAACTCAATAAAGAGATTTCTATTAACAAAAGAAGAAGAAAAAGAATGTTTTGAAGAATGTGGGACTTAGCATCTCTGTGAGTGAAAAGAGGCCACCATTGTCATTAGGAGCTAATTACTTTGCCTCTGCCTTCTCTGTGTCATCCTTATTGCTTCTCTATCTCTTCTAATACTTATTTCAGCTTCCCCACCCCCAGCTATGGCAAATAGCTACCACAGGACAGATACATCAGATGCAATTTTCACAGTTGTGACTCTTCAAACCATCCCAGTTCAGGATGTAGCACTCTGCAGGGCTGATTTCAGTTTCATATGTGCTGCCTTTTAATTTGGAAAGAGCAAAGTCTGAGAAAAATATAAACCAGCGTTAAGGATTTAGGGTGATAGTTGTACACTTAAACAGGTAATCAGCTGAGAGATCCTTCCCTTAATGAACTTACCAATACTGGAAATAAAACCACTATCAACTCTAAGAGCTCAGTTGCTAAAATATGTCAAAATTCTAATCACAGGCACAGCAGTCTTGATGTGGAATATGGATAAGATGGTAGAAAACTAGCTATTTGGGCACTGTGTTGGTATCCCTAAAATGTTTGGGATTCCAGCAAACCTGTAGAGCACCTAAAAGGCATACGTAGCATGCCCTAGTGGCCATTTCATTCCTATTCAACCTCCAGCTCAGATCTCTAAGTCCACATGTTTCTGATTCATTGACAGTTCATTGTAATCATTTTTCCAAGAGCCATTGAAATTCAAGAAATCTTTACTTTTAAAAGCACACTTTTGAGGGAAGCTGTTCAATCCTAAACTAATATGAAAAGCTCTTAAGATTTAAGTCAGCTCATAGGTCCAAACCACTAATTTTTCAATAAGCTTCATTCTTGGCAAATGATGGTCAGCCTCCCTCTCCAAGCTCGTGCAGTTTAGCCCTGAGGTCTGGGAACGCTGGCAGAGAGATTGAAGGAAAGAATGTTATGAGTTGTTTCTGGCCAGGGCTCCGAAATACTTCTTAGAAAAGGCGCAAACTACCCCTGAGCATTACCTTCTCCCCACTACTTTGTTCTCAAAACCAATTTTTATCTTTAATATTATCTCCCACAGGTTGGAATCGGGAGGTAGTAATCCTACAACCAGTGATTCTTACGGTGACCGGGCTTCAGCAAGAGCCCGTCGGGAGGCCCGGGAGGCCCGCCTAGCCACCCTGACCAGCCGTGTAGAAGAAGACAGCAACAGAGATTATAAAAAAGTAGGGTCTTTATTCAATTTTCCGGTTCTTTGGTGACATGTAAACCTCTCAGCCTTCCTCCACCACACCCAGAAAAATTACCATAGCTCTGAATAAGCAGAAGAAAAGGCACTTAAGTAATAATAATTCCTTGCAGTTTTCTGGGTTTACTTCACCTCTCCAAAAAACTAGATAAAGACCCCTTCAGATATTGAGGTGTTTTGTTTTGTTTTTTGAGACAAGGTCTCATTGTTACCCAGGCTAAAGCGCAGTGGTGCAATCATAGGTAACTTCCCTCTCAAACTCCTGGGTTCATAGGGTCCTCCTGCCACAGCCTCCCACATAGCTAGAACTATAGCCATGCACCACCACACACGGCTACATTTTTTATTTTTTATGGAGATTGGATCTCACTATATTGCCCAGGCTGGTCTTGAATTCCTGGCCACAAGCAATCTTCCCACCTCAGCCTCCCAAAGTGCTGGGATTACAGACGTGAGCCACCATGCCCAGCCATATGTTGCTTTTAGTGCAGTAAGTGTATAGTTAGAATCAGGTATTTAGAAGTGTAGGGAAAAGTAAGAAATTAAGAATATAAAAAGGGTGAAAAACCTAATGCTGTCTCTCTGAGCCCCTGAGAATCATTTGGTAGACTGTTATTTTTAACAAACATGTGCTTCTAATAAGGTCCTGTGAATATCAACTAAATACTACTTGGTGTTAGTAAAAAAAAAAAAAAAAAAGAAAAGAAAATCATCATCACTTTACAGTTTATTTCCTTTTTTCTTGTAGAATAGTACCTAACTCCAAGAGTAGACTTAAAAACCTTCCCTTTCAGGTGTTTGCGATACCAGGAAAAACTATTTTTGTAAAGAAAATATTTAGGATGGGCATGGTGGTTCATGCCTGTAATCCCAGCACGTTGGGAGGGTGAGGCAGGATGATCACTTGAGCCCAGGAGTTCCAGACCAGCCTGGGCAATATAGTGAGACCCCCATCTCCACAAAAAATTGAAAAATTAGCTGGGCATGGTGGCTCATGCCTGTAGTCCCAGCTACTAAGTTAGGAGGATTGCTTGAGCCTGGGAGTTCAAGGCTGCAGTGAGGGGTGATCATGCTACTACACTCCAGCCTGGGTAACAGAGCAAGACCCTGTCTCCAAAGGGAATAAAGAGTGCTTGTTCTGTTAATGTTTTGTTAAGCAGAACTTGACTAAAATCAATATACACAGTAGACTGGTTCCAAAAAAAAATTGTCTTTTTCATTGCTCTTTTAAGCAATGAAAATGTCCCATAGTAATGACTGTTTTTCCCCCAGAGATTAACATTATTGAAGTTGGAGCATCATCATTCTCTTTCTGTTCATCACTTTGAAAAAGCAAGAGACCAGTTGGCTGAATGTACTCTGCTCCCTACCCTTCCTTCATTTTCTCTCTCTACCATATAGTGGTGGCTTGGGGCACAGAGCCCTGGGCATTCTCATGTGATGAAATGGTGTGAGTTCTAACGCGAACGCTGATCCTCTTTTTTCCCTCTCCTCTAGCTCTATGAGAGTGCTCTGACTGAAAACCAAAAACTGAAAACAAAACTTCAGGAAGCCCAGCTAGAGCTAGCAGATATAAAGTCCAAGCTTGAGAAGGTGGCCCAGGTAAGACGGAAGAAGAAGAAAAAAGATGAGAACCAAGGGTTGATGTAAGGAAGCAAACTAGACTAGGGATCTAAGGGACAGGAAGTAAGATAGAGTCAAGATCAGGCCTTCTCGGGGCAATGAGATAGAAGCTTCTTAGATTCTAATTTATTTTAGGTTTCAATCAGTGTTTAACTTAAAAAGGAAAACTGATAATTCAGTGAACAATTCCTGATGGTCTGAATGCTAATAATTAATACTATGGCTCATCATCTACTTATTTATTAGTAGAAAAGCATAAACCAGCACTACAAAGCTAGTCCTAGACAGTTCCTCTTGTCCTGTTCATTATGTTTCAGTTCAGTTTATCTACACTTCACCTCTTGGAGAGAGATAAGCAAGACCCTATTAAACCTAGGGCAGAGAGATAACAAATTAAGCCTAGAGAAGTAAGTGGTTTGCTTAGGCCATATAACAAATCAAGGGCAAAGGTGGTGCCACAACATAGGGTTAAGTCCCAAAGCAAAGATTCTGTAGCATATGTTATCTCCCCAAGCCACCACTCTTTTTCAGCCTACAAATAAGGAATATTAGTGGCAGAAAGACTGATAAACTATTTCCTCTCACTGCCAGGTTTGATTTAATTAGATGATGCTTTAGAGGATGCTGGAGGTAATAACCTTGTCACCAGTGAAACAAACTCCGCAGCTGAAAGCTAAAGCAAGCACTGCTTTTGGTTATTGCTGAGTTATCAGGAAACCTATTGAGTTATTTCCCTCCTAGAATGCCTGGGGACTTAGAATTTCGAAAGCTGAACTGAAGTAAAAATGATTCTTTAGCAGGAAGGCTTGAAATGAAAACCAGAGGTGGCTAGTCATTCTGGCAATATGACTGGCTATCCAAAAGCAAAGACTAAAATGCTAGGGTTGTACAGTACCAAATACATGGAGTTTGGAGGGCAGGGGTGTTGATTACCCTCTAAACATCCTATTCTAACCCCTCTGGAATTGCATGAGCAGGAGGGTGCCAACACTTGGAAGACAGCCCCACAGAGCTGCGTAGGACTCCAGCAAGACAGCCAGGACACTCACTTTCTGGAGAAGGGCTTACCCAGGTGTAAAATGTGAACTGCCTGTCAGTTTAGAAGAGCCACCCCCTTTTTCCTGATTATAGTAGCCCAACATGGCTCTACTGGAAATTTCTGAGACTTACTGCAACACAAATAGATAATAACTAGGCTTAAAGTGATTTTGTGGAATAAGAAAAGTAGGTTTCTAAATCTAAAAGAGAAAAATACACACATAGCTATAGCCCTGCCATAAGGCAGCGGGGTGGACTGAATAAATCTCACTCCAACATTATTGAGCCAGGCAAAAAAAAAAAAAAGTCTCATTCACAGTAGACCCTCAAAAGAAATCTGGGGCTAATTTTTATTCTGAATGGCGCCACATATTGGCAGTGGTTTATAAATACAGATCTTATGCTGGTTCTTGTCAGTTATTACTAGGATTGTTTTACAGAAAATTAAAGAGCAGTCATGTGAGGAACCACAGGAAGAGCAGTTTCACCTGCTCCCCACTCTTCTCAGCGGAAGCTTCTGACAGCATATGTCTTGACCTTTAGGGGTTCTCAGCATTTCCACCAGCCCATGCCTTAGAACAGTGAGCAGTCTAACAAGCTGCTGACATTGACTTGCACAGAGGGCACTGAAAATAAAATCAGCCTTTCCAGTTGCTGGGGAAAAGCATTTACTCTCTGGCCCACTGCTTTGCTGGGTGTGTCAAAATATACTTAGTTTTGCCAAATACAAGTTATTGAAATTCATAAGAAATGGTGCTGCTACAAACCAAGTCTCTGCCATTTACCAAAAATGGAGTTGTTTGGCAGGACAGTGGAGGGAGGGCTTCTCAGCCTCACACATTTGTATGGAGACAGTTACCACATGAACATACACAATATTTTTACATAAAAGATCCACCCCAACTCTAAGGGAGTCAACATTAAAAACAGAACAAACAAAAAACTAGTTCTTTGTGTATATAAACCTTGAAAATCATGAAATCATCACAACTTCTACAGCTCCTCAGGCTTAGGAAAGAAAGACTTACGAGGATATTAACAAGCTGTAGGATCTATTTTTGCGTTTTTTTCTCTTCCTTCTGCTTCATAGTAGATGCAGCATAAAGGCAGACAGCCATGCCCTTCCAAACAGAAGGTGAAAGCCCAGGACAGGAGCCAGAATTCTGAGTTTTATTGTTAGTTCTGGCCATTCCTTAATTTTTTTTTTAAAAAAAGAAACTGCTGCAAGAAGACCAGCATAATTTCTATATTTATTTAAATGTTGTCTCTGCATGACACTAAGCAAAATAAAAATAATCACCCAGCAGTTATTAAATGTCTACTGAATGTAAGAAATTCTGCTGAGTTCTATGACCCTAAGGCCAAAAGGGACTTAAGGGTTTTTTATTCCCCTTTTAAGGAAGGGCCATTATCTGAGGTTATTCTGTTTTTTTTGCCGTGAGGCTAAGTCTTTTCAGCCCCTCTGCAAAATTTAAGTCAAAGATGATCTAAAATAAACATTCTAAATCTTTTATTCAAATAAAATTACCTTATCTGGAAGCCCAATATATAAGACAGATGAAAGTGGACTACCTCTGTTCAAAGCAGGGCAGATGCCATGAATGGACTCCTAAGAACCCCTTAAAGCCCACCCACATATGAAAACTGCTGCTCTAAAAGAAAAATGGTATCAATTCCCAAAACAGAAAGAATAGGGGAAAGGGGATTATTTAGACAAGTGCCATTGGCCTTAGACATTCTCGCTCAGGAGTTGCCAGCCTTTTAAAGAAAAGCCTTTTTTTTTTTTTTGTTATTTCCTCTGGGTTGTGATATTACTCATAGAATGAAGAGAGGAGAAGAATGGTGAGATGTAAAATTGTAATTAGCATTGAAGACCTGTGGAGAGAGAGAGAGAGAGAGAGATTGTGTGTTGTAAGTAATTTCTTTGTAATTTCAGGGAATACTACTACTGCCTTCCCCTCCCCAGAGGGAATCCTGCAAACTTCAGAGAGGTGATAATGTTAGGCTTAGAGATCTATCAGAACCTGTTTGCTGGGGATCCCTGCTATAGGGGAAGTCCAAAGTTTTACTGTTTATTTCTAGATGTCTAGTAGTGAAGCTGAACTAGACTGGGCGTTCTACTGGCCCTTAGACAACTTAAATAACAACTGTTTTCCTTCCATTTGCACCAGCAGAAACAAGAAAAGACCTCTGACCGATCATCAGTGCTGGAGATGGAGAAACGGGTATGCGCATGTCTGTTTCCCCCTCCACCCCATTTCATCTCTTCTTTCTGACTCTCTCCCACTTTGTTATTCATGCCAATGGAAAAAGTCCATCTTAAGAAGGAGGGAGTTCTGCCACATTCCATTCCCAGCTTGATGATAAATTCTTTTTGTCTGACTCTAGGCAGTAATTTGATTGCTAGTCCTTTTGATTTCCTCAGATGGTCAGTACTTTCCACATATTTAGTCTTAGGGTGGGAAGGGTCCTTGGAAGGTCATCTCGTACATTGTTCTGACTGTGGGCAGAACTGCATACACACACAACCCATAACATTTTGGTTTACTGTAAATCATTGCATACACACACACACACACACACACACACACATCCAAGGTCTCTTTACCGTTTTCATAACCTTGAACAGAAAGGAAGCTTTCAGTGGGACCCTCTGCCATTTAGGTCTTACGACTTGAAACATGAGCCAACACAGTCTTTCACTTATTTTGACTGAGGGGAGGATTTCTGGTTCAATTGCTGATCTCCTCCCAACTGTACTCAGAATATTATTCTGGGATTTTACATTCTTGGATTGGGAAAATTCAATTAGATTTATTGATGGACCCTAGCTTTGATTTGGCCCTGGAGATATAATATGTTCCCATCTGTCCTGTTGTTGTCTGTTTAATTTGGAAAGCAGCTAAGTTTTACATTTTATTCCTTTGGCCTGTAACCAAACTTCCTTGGTATCCCATCTGATCAAAAACTCCTCATTGGGTTTAGGCTAAACCAAGAGTCAGTTGCTGGGAAAGAGAAATGGAACGGGAGAGAAGCAACTACAGGGGGAGGGAAGAAACTAGGGGGAGAGATGCTGTTTCTTAGACAATGATGTCTACTTCCCGGCTCACCATCTGCTCCTCATCATGAGAGAAGCAGTTTCCTAGGAATTTAGGGAGAGCATTACTGAAGATAATGATGCCTTTTTGATAATAGAGAGCAAGGGCCCTAGTCACTTGCAGACATTTGAAATTCTATGAAATCTTCAACCTGCACAGAGTAACTGAATGTCTTCTTCTGTTTGCATATTAGCAAGTTGCTTCTCCATATATCTACTGATTTTATGATAGGAGATTTAGATAATGTGATTTTTATCAGTGAGGTAGCTCCATCTTACAAGTGGCAGGATCAGATAGTGCTCAGATCTCCTGAGTAAGGTTTGCCTGAGTCAGCAGACAAACCTTTGACCGTGAATCTGCTGATCACACAGCAGCTGGGAGGCAGCATTTTTACTCCCTTCTGAATTCAATAATGTTCAACAGTCTCATTGTTCCGAAACAGGAGAGGCGAGCCTTGGAGCGCAAAATGTCAGAAATGGAGGAAGAAATGAAGGTATGAAGAGATTTTCTTTCTTTTTGTATGCCTGTTCTCTGAATGCCTGCCAAGACTGGATATTTGAGCATAGGCCTGCCCCCTCCAGATTTCACTACAAACTCAATATCTGCAAGAAGAAATGATGTGTAAAAAAGTGAGCATCTCTCCTCAGCCATTTCCTAGGCTCTCTCAGCTCACACAACATCCATTGAGGACACCTTAAAGGCATTCTAGGAAAAAATACTGCCTTTGGTTTAAGGAGAGGTCTTGGCAGGCTTGAAACAAACTTGAGTTTAACTTTTAAGGCTTTTCAAGCAGTATCTTTGCCCTCTAGAGGGTAAATGAGAAGGCTAGAACAAGTTTTCCAGCTCTGGGAGCCTCCCATTGGGTGCCTGGGGAAGCCTGAGCATGGCCATAAGCTTTCTTCCCTGGTGCCCCTCCCAACCCATCCCTTTGCTGGCAAGAACACAGATTGAATCATTCTGCAGCAAAATAAAAATGTATTCACATATTGATTTCCTGCCCCAGTACATTAACTCTGAAATATTCAGGGATGCTTGGCACTCTCCCACTAGAATAAGCTCATGCCACCAGATACACTTCACAGCTCACTACTTTCCTTTCTCTCCTCACCATGACCTGCAGTGACCATCACCTCCATTAGCCACTTTAATGGACAGCTGCCATCCTGGGCAGTTTTGAGTGCTAAGAACTGGAAATCTACCCAAAGCAGTCAATTTGCTGCCATGGGAGGCAGTGGGGCAGGGGGAGGGGAGGAGGGTGAAAGGGGCAAGATGGATACAGAGCTGCAGGGAATATAGAGCTGGTCAGGGTAGCCACCTGGAGATTATTTTGAAACATCTGATTCCTGCAATGCATGATGACACATGCCCATAATCACTTAGCACCTACTCAGCTTTTTTCTTTCTTCAGGCATCTTATTTTACCAGATACATGATGCCAAGCATTCATTTGGTGAGACAGGGTTATTCAACTGGGAAGCCAAAGCACTGGGATAGTATTAGGCAGATCCCCAAATGTCTTTCTATGAGCAAGCATCCCTAATATGCAGTTTGGGAGAGACATTTATTGTTCCAGTGGCCTAAATAGATTGGTTATTTATTGAAAAAAAAAAAACTTTTTAAGACCTGTTGAGGTTATAGTTTACACCAGATCTGGTGCTCATAATCAATCCTGTTACTCTATAATTCCAGAATGAAGGAGAAATGCTGAGCCTTGCCCTTGCATTTCCTACCACTATCCCAAGGCTGTAACTGTAACATTCACATAGAATTTTAAGCAATACCTGCTTATATCTCAAACATTTTAAATCTTCCAAGTTGATTCAAGCAGCAAGAAATAGAAATAATAAATAATTGATTCTCATGAGATGGTAGAACAGTATGCCCTAGCACCTAAACTTCTGCATCTTGTGATTTTTTTCAAACGCACCTTACTACCACACAGAAGTATTCTCTCCCGCTTAGAGCAGTGAGTTATTAGAGATAACCAGTTCTTTTTTAATTTTTAAGAGATGGAGTCTCGCTATGTTGCCCTGGACTTGAACTCCTGGGCTCAAATAATCCTCCCATCTCATCCTCCCGAATAGCTGGGACTACAGGCACGTGCCGCCACACCCAGCTGAGCTAACTGTTTCTTGATGAGTGCATATCCACAGCTCCTTGTTGCATGGAGGCTCCTCCATTTTTGAAACCTCCTGAGTTATACCATCTGTACTCTGCTGTTAGGCAGCTGTCAGTGTTCCTTATTAAGAAATGTCCTAAATGCTGATCTAGAGCATGTAATTGAGGCAAAAGCTAGAACCTTTCAAGGAGTACCTGGGAGCCCAAAGCCAGCCTCCACTCACCAGTCATGGGGCTCTGTGTCACATCAAAGCAGGCCCACACACAAAAACCCAGAAAGTGGTCAAATTAGAGAAATTGAGGCCCTTTGTTATTTTTATTCCAATTCTAAATTTGGAATTATGGAAGCCCCTTCAGTGGTTCTAGTTGCCCTCAATTCTGTAGGTTGAGATAGGCTTACATTTTTTCTCTGTCTCTTTATGCTATCAGTCTATGATTTCCTAAACTAGATCATGAGTTCTTTCCTTTCCTCAAGAGATTATAAGATACGAAAGTGTTTGCTCTCCCCAGCCATAAGCCATTTGCCAGCAACTCTAAAATCAATTGTAAATTATCAAGTGGAGCCAGATCATGAATGTTTAGTCCCTAAACCAATAGGTAAGCTGTTGTGAGGCTGTTTTTTGTTTTTTTTTTCTCTTTGAGACGGAGCCTCACTCTGTAGCCCAAGCCTGAGTGCAGTGGCACAATGTCGGCTTACTGCAACCTTTGCCTCTAGGCAGATTCAATCGCTCAAGCGATTCTCCTGCCTCAGCCTCCAAGGAGCTGGGACTAGTAGTGTGTGCCACCACACCCAGTTAATTTTTTTGTATTTTTAGTAGAGACAGGGTTTCACCATGTTGCACCAGGTGGTCTCGAACTCCTGAGCTCAGGGGATCCACCCACCTCGGCCTCCCAAAGTGCTGTGATTACAGGTGTGAGCCATCGCGTCTGGCCAGGACTGATTTTTTTTTTAGTTAAAACATTCAGATTCAGTCAGGTGTCCATTATTCTCCATTATCCATTACAAAGCCAAATGAAGAAGAAATGCCTGTAAACTCTAAAGCCCCTAAACACTATTTGCTCAAATCAAAGCCCAATGCCAGGTTTGCAGATCGTCCAGCACCCCCTAGAGGACTAAGGGAGAAGCATCTGTGCCTCTGCATTCTCACCAGTTTTATTTTTCTGTCTGTACCTACTTGAAGACAAAAACTTCAAAGATGCAAATATATAAATATGATAAAATTGGTATGACTGGCCCTAAAAGAGTCTAAGAAAATACTTGTTTAGCTCTCAAGCTCTTCATTCAGACTATGGTTTATGGTGACCAACATTGCTAGAGTGATTAATAGCTAAAATCTCTCTGTACTAGGCAGCCAAAGGTACAGGTGACTGTCTGGCTGAACTGGGACCCAGTAGAGCTTGGGGCCAGTTGGTCATGCTTGTTGCATATTCATTTTGTACAGATGCTCAAACCTCCTTGGAGCAATCAGTAGGGAACAGTAGAGGGGGCTGATCTCCAGTGAACCCTTAAAAATATAGTAGGTTACTCAAGGAAAGAAAGTGACTTCAGTCCTATTTTTCTAACTCTACCAAATAAAGTACAAAGGCCAGGTGAAATGGGGGAACCATGAGATGGGCTAACCCAGATGTATATGTGGCTCTGTGGTTATGAGATGTGTTGTGCCTTTCTGGACTTTTATTGGAAAGGTAAGTATTTATGAATTCTCCTCAAGAGAAACTCCACCCAGATCCTAGATTGGAGTAGGATTATATGCCAACTTCTGACAGGTGTGCATGTCAGTGTGAGCTGTGCCAGGCCTGCACCTGGTCTTGGCGCCCACATCAGATGTGATTACTTCTCTACTGCATCCTCCACTCAGCATCAGCCTCCTTGTCAGACCTTCTCCCCTTCCTTTCCTAGGTCCTTGCATGAGAGGGACCCAGCAACCAATTCCTTTTTAGATTGGTCCTGGAATTTTTATTTTTCTTTGGAAAGATTACTAGCTGACCCTGCTCCTTAGCCCTGCCCTTGCCCATCCTGCGCTGGGCCCTGCCCCTTCTCCTCTCCTCCTTGCCTTGCCTTGTTTTCAATACTGCTTCCTATAGAACATTGACCAGATTGTTTCCTGCCTCTCTCCCTCATGCTGATAACTTCCAAATTCTTTCACCTTGATCTGCTTATACTCACTTGTCAGATTGAGTCACTTTCATCATTCATGTCTTTAATGTTATTCCCTGGGAGGTAAGTACCACTTCATACAATGACAATTATTTGATAATGATTATGTTGAAAGCTTTGGTCCAATGTCAACACCAAAGAAGGGTGAGAGCCAGGGACTTTCCATTGGCTTTTAAATTTGGTCCCTGCCCATTGCTTTAATCTTTTCCATATGCTGTACCATGATCTCCCTCCTCTATCCTCACCATGGCCAAGATGCTTACAGTGGGCAAGGAAGATTGCCCGGTCCTCACCCTCCAATGGCTACATGAGACAGTTTGGCTAGCCTACCTTTATTCCAAGGTGGTCATTCTTTCTCTTTGGTTAAAGAGATTCAGCAGTTTGTCTCTGCTTGTTTTTCCTTTTCACTGTTTTTCCCCTTCATGCTACCTTTCATTTTCTTGCTTCTTCACTCCCAAACAACTATAACTCCACTAATCTTTCATTTCTATCCTTCTCATCTTATAGATATGAGAGACTTTTCTCTGATACCTGGCCACCTTTTTGTAGTCATTATAACCCACAGGATTGTCCATCCTCATCTGTGAAACCCCATTTGCATAAAAAAATCATTATTCTCCTCCCAAAGAGTTGATGGTCTCAGTTTCGGGGCAGTGCAGATGACTACTTAGGAAGGACAGTAGCAGAGTCGGCAGGCCTTTGATATAATTCCAATTATTAAAGTCTTTAAATGTCTTATGGAATATGGGGTATCAGGAAGAATGTCTGTGGGCTGGTTATTCTGTTCCGCTTGCAACACTGACAGGCAGAAAGGGCTGGACTAGCACATTGGTCCAGCTAGTTTCATTATCATTGGGCTTTTATGGTTTCTCCAGCTTTTTTGCACAGCTATAATTTCCAGAGTATGAGTCTGTTTATGAACACCTTTAAGCAGCTCCCAAACTGCTTGAACTGAGACAAAGAAAGCATGATTAGCTGTGAATTTAGTGATGCATATAATCTTATAGCAGGTCAGAGACAGGTTAGCAGTTTTTGGATCCTGAAACAATCTCTCTGGACTGCAGAGGAAAACTATCAGGGTTAATGAAGCTTCCTACAAAGCAGGTTAGAGGACGATCCAGAGAGCTGACAGTTCTTTCTTATTTTGGTATGTGTAACTTTAACCTTCTAAACAGTACATGCCCCACAAAAAAAAAAAAAAAAAGCTTAAATAATAGGCCTCTCTTTTATTTTTTAAAAATAAATGAGGCCAAATGCAGTGGCCCACACCTGTAATCCCAGCACTTTGGGAGGCTAAGGCAGGAGGATTGCTTGACCTCAGGAATTTGAGACCAGCTTGGGCTACATAGCGAAATCCTGTCTCTACAAAAAATATAAAAATTATCCAGGTATGGTGGTGCATGCCTGTAGTCCCAGCTACTTTAGGAGGCTGAGGTGGGAAGATGGCTTAAGCCTGGGAGGCAGATGTTTCAGTTTTGTGCCACTGCACTCCAGCCAAGGTGACAGAGTCGGACCCTATCTCAGATAAATAAACAAAGTGAAAGAAGGGAGCTGAGTATGAGGGGAAGATTAGAGGAAGGGAGAGAGAAAGGGGCAGCAGCTAGATTTAAGAACACACCAAGTCCTCAGCTCTAATCTCAGTCATGATGAAGGGTCCCTGAAGTTATGCCTCAACCATGTTAATTTGGTTCAGAAGGCTCCAAACCACATGCTGGACTTTCATTCTCAAAAGCAATCCATATGTGCCTTTTGAGAGCCTGGCAGTTATATTCATATGGCATATTTAGATCTTAGCCAAGAATCAGACATAGCTCTCCTTCCCTGTTGCTTTTCTCCATCATCCTTCCACCTGCCACCCATTTGCTCCATGACTCCTGCCTTTCTCATTTCCTTTCTTGCATGCAAACTAAAAACAAAAACAAAAAGTCATGTGATTTCTTTGTCCTACTTTTCTCTCCTCTGGTCTGTCTTGTCTCTCTCTGTCTTTTCTGTCTGTCCTTTTCATGTCTCAATCTCTACAGAACCTCCACCAGCTAAAACAGATTCAAACCTTGAAGCAGATGAACGAGCAACTGCAGGCTGAGAACAGGGCCCTGACCCGAGTGGTGGCCAGACTCTCGGAGTCCATCGAGTCCTCGGACACCCAGGAGCTCTAGTTCTTGCCCCTACTCTCCAACTCACTTCCCTCCTCCACTACTCCAGGCAGGTTCAGTCTTCTTGTTAGTCCCAGAAGCTCTGTGCTCATCCCCTCCATCCGAGCCTCCATATGCAGGTTCCTGCAAAGCTTGGTTATCTGCAGATGGAAGCAGCCAGGACTGAGATCATAGAATGGGACATACCAGCCTAGGTCAAGGGAGGCAGTGAGAGAGACCTCAGCTGGGCTACCAATATATTCATTTGGTAAGGTCACCACATTAGCTTCTCTTCCCCTGGAGACTGAGTATGAATTTGTTCACTCAGCTACACATAGGTATACACGTGTATGTGCATATACCTGTGTACATGCACATATACATATTTCATTGACGGGGTCATTGCCAGATGGAAATTGATCTTTCTTAGCCAATAGCAACCCAAGTCCAACCCACTCCCCTGGAGCAACTGGGGTTGGGCCTTGGGTAACCAAGGGCAGGGGCTCTCAATCTTGGCTGCAAGAAACATCTAGGAGCTTTTAACGTATACCTATGGGTATATTTTAAACATATACATAGCTTTTAACATATACATATAGGGATGTCTGGGTCCATCCCCAAATAATCAGTGGTCTGGGTTGAGACCCAGGCATCAGTATTTTTTCAAACCTCTCCTATTGATTCCTTATACAACCATGGTTAAGAACCACAGCCCTTTGGATACCAGACAGTCCTCACGGCTGACAACATTACCGATGGAGAGGACTAAAACTCAAGGTTGGAACTGTTCCTGTCCAGCTCCACTACCAGCAAAAACACTCTGCATCCCATTATTCAAGCATAATTGGATAAGCATTCTTTGCCTCCTTCTGCAGTAGTCTTTGCTTTCTTCTCCCACCTTAGGAGGCATATCTCTCATTCCCGTCACAAATCTTTGGGCCCTAGGGATGTGCCCCTCCCTGTCCTTAGTGTGTGGGCTGTGAGGCAGAACACAGCCTATATAAATGAGACCCTCATGGAGCCAGGCCCTCTCTAATGAGGCCAGCTTTGCAAAGGATATGGCAGGCAGTGGAGCAGAGAGCAAGGATTTATTTTCAACTGAGAACCAAAAATGTGCTTGGCAAACTGGATCCTTTCCCTAGCTATGGATCTGAAAGACAAGCTCACAGACAACTGGTTTTTCTATCTCAAGATGGTATGATGGGGTCACCACTCCTCTGAGATGAATTTTTAATTGTCAGCAACAATCTAATTAGTCCTGACCAGAGCCTGTTCTTTCTTTCAGCCTATTTGCTTTTGCCTTCAGGGTTAGTAGCTGGCAACTAATATCCACTAGAACTGAATCACCCGAATTATCATAGGGCTGAGCTAATATCCTGCTGTAGATGCTATCATAGGCAGAAAGAAAATTGAAAGGCAAGTTCTACCATGGCCTGGCTGTAAGCAGCCACTGTTAGGTCCAGACTCCATGCTTTAAAGTTAGCCTCAAGATTCCTGGAAATTTTTACTTAGGCTAAACTAGGGACCCCCCAAAAGGTGTCCCAGTTATTTTTAGTATCCCTTTGTTGCAAGATAGTATAGGATATGGGGCAAAACTAGATCTCATGCTTTCAGTAGTTAATAACCTTAACAGTTGTCATTTATTTAAGGCCTGTGCTGAATGCTTTATATAGTTTTTCTCATTTATTCCCCAAAACAATTATTGTAAAAATGAAAAAAAAAAAACTGAGTCACAGATTAAATAACTTGCCCAAGGTCACTCCGAGAGTAAGTGGTAGAACCAAAATTCAAACCAAATATGTCAGGTTCCAGAGTGCAAACTTTTCACCACTGTAATATAAGCTGTCTGCATATTTGGCACAGTTTTCACCATTTGTTAAGCATGTGGCCCAAACAATGCAAGAAGGATCTATTGAGCAACTACACTGTGCCCCCAGCATTGCAGCTGAGGGAGGAAGGGCAGCATTCTGCTTTCTGAGCACTGTGACTTCCTTGTCAAAGCCTAACTTCTAAAGAGCCATTTACCTACCAAAAGATTTTGCTGCTGTAAAGAAAGCCATTGCCTGGTACATGACCATAGCAAGGGTTAGCAAACTGTGACCCACCACCAGTATGGCCCATAAGCCATACAAATAGTCAAAAAAGAAATCAAAAGAAGAATAATATTTTACGACATATGAACACGAACATTATATGGAATTTAAATTTCAATGTCCAAAATAAAAGTTTTATTGGAACTGAACCAAACTCATTTGTTTACATATTATTGTTATGTCTATGGGTGCTTTTGTGCTACAACAGCAGAGCTGAGGAGTAGCAACAGAGACTGTTTGACCTGCAAACCCTAAGATACTTATTGTCTGGCATTTTACAGAAAAAGCTTGCCGATTCTTGCCAGAAGGAAGGATGAGATAACTAAGCCAAACTGGCAGTGCAGTCGAGAGATTTTACTCTACCTTTTTTTTTTTTTAATAGTTCCCTGGAAAAATCATCTTATCTCAGCATGTAGAGCAAACCACTTACCAACAAAATACCAGAGGGGACTCCCTTCCCACTTTCCTTGTAGTTAAAAGCAAGACAGCTCATGCAAGACTCATCCTGAGTCCCTCTCAACCTACAGCTAGCCTTGCTCTAGGTCTCTGAAGCTTTAGGACCCCTGTAGCCCCTTCCTCTTTAACACATTCCTCAAAGACTGTAAGAAGTAACAGTTGAGAAATGTGTACTTAATTTTATTTGCCCAGGGTATCTTTAACACCAAATTGTGGTAAGCTGGGAACTTAAAAATTAAGAAACTAAGATCCAGAGAGTTAAAATGATAAAGCTTTGCTAAACTTCATACTTATATCGTACTTTCACATATGTTCTTATTTAACCATTCTTTAACTTCAAGTGGATATCAGATAACACTGTTCATTTCCCCCTCTCTCTGCTGAGATTGAACTTTGTGGGGCTTCCCCCGCCCCTTGATTTCTACATTCCACCTCTTAACACTTTTTGCCACTCCCTTTAGATGTCAATTGTAGCATGTTGCAGCTGCAAAACTGCCTTGTCCAAATTTTTTTTTCAAGGAATTGACTTCTTAATGTGGAAATAAATCACTAAAACTCTACAAGACTCTACAAGTTGTTTATACATTTTTTAAGGCAGCTTAGTTCTGATTTGATGAGCTGCTAAGCAGTGAAATGTAATCCATTGCCATATATAGCTTCTTCCTACCTATTATGGAAATGTGGCTTTCGTCTCACTTATACCCAAGCTGCAGCCCCAGCATGGGGCGTTAAAGAGCAGATTGAACACGGAAACATGAGGCCACCCTGGGTTTTTTCTAAAAATCTCATTGAAATGAGTTTCCAAGCATTCAGTCTGGTAGGCAAGGCTACAGGGATAGAGGAACGAAGGAGAGGGCAGCCAGAGCTGCTTTGATTAAATCAGAGGTAGGAGACCAGGGTCAAAGGACTGCAACTTTATTTTTATATTTTCTGGATTAAGTCTTCTTAATAAAGTTTGCAGATTATTTGCCTGCCCTCCCACAGTCATGAGAAAACTCACAGTGATTGTAGGAACACTCAGTATCGCAAAGCTCATTATGTATGTCAACACACTTCCACATCTGTTACCTCCTGTGAGCCTTGCAGAGTCCCTACCATACGAGAGAGTAGGACAGGGACTGTTGTTCTTACGAAAGTACAAAAATGGAAATGCAGAGAAGGCGAGTGATCTGCCTAAAGTAATAGATCACTAGTGACAAAGACAATGCTGGAATTTCAGTTTCTAGGCGTCAAACATTTTTGGTGTTTTGTTTTCCATCCCACGTGTAATAAAAGAATGATCTTTGGAGTCAGGCACACTGGGATTCAATATTAGCTTTGCTGGGTGCCTTGAACTAGTTATGGCACTTTTCATTTCCCCATTTGTAGAAATCGGGATAACAACTGTATCATAGTCTCATGAGGCACTAGGGAGACCCTCTAGCACAGTGCCATCCACATTATAGATATTCAGTAATTTTCTTTTTATTTCCCTGATACAAATTATTTATGTATCTGTGATTCATATTTGTGTACATACACATATATTTATATAATTTAACCTATATCTTCTCTGAGAGATCAAGGAAACAGATTATATTCCTTAAGGCACAGTTAGATCTCCTAAGTGGTTAATAGCAGAGCCAGAGCTAGAACTAAATAGGCCTCATAACACCTCAGCACAGGTCACCCTTTACTGGGGGCATTACCTGCCCCTGGGGTCCTATAGGTTGAAATGACTAGTCAAAGGACACCTGTATTGAACAGATACAGATGTAGCTTTCTGTAGCCTGCATAGTGGCGATGTACTTACCTGCTATCCTAAATCGCTCTTGCTGCCAGTGGGACCCACACATAAACTGTACCCTTATCAACATCCCATTAGGATTTTTCAGATGCACAGCGTACTTGTTGAAAGTGCCTGATCATGTAACAAAGACTTGAACTTCCAGGATGGAACTTGAGGCTATTTTTCCTTTTTTTCACAAGTTAGACAACAGTATGTGTAATGTTCCAGGATAGCAGAACTAATAAAATTGAGTTTCCACTCCCTCCCCTGCCCAACAAGCATCTATTTCTGTGAATTACAATGCCATCCCCTAAAACTGCTGATGAGGCCTCTGGGTATCCTTTGGTGACTGTCAGTGGGGAGCTTTGGGGAGGATTAAATACATGCCTAGTGTTCACTGTGCCTCACAGCTCTGTGAGTGTAAGTTTTCTGAGTTTTAATTGTTGAAAGTGGATATGTATAGTATGACCAGTGAGAATTTGGAGGATTATTCACCGAAGGCACCAAGTGGAGGATGCTTAAATCATCTTGTGCATATGGCAAGAAAGCCGAGTACTGCCTCTCTGGCCTTTGCTCTTGTTTTTGATGAGATGTGAAGCAGTATCCTCCTTTAACTCTTCTAGTTGACCACCACCCCCTTTCTGAATTCTTTCCCTATGTCCTCACCAGCCCATTTTGGCTCTCTCCCCAATTTCTTTAGGGGTGAGTTTAAGGGCAGGAGAAATTGAAAGTGGTTACTGATTCAGTAGAATGAAAGGATATACAGTGTGAAATGTGAGGTCTGCCTATGAAGAAATAAGATATTACTGCTAAATATGCCAGCTCAAAAGATGGAGTGGCTATAATCTCCCTAAAGATTAACATTACCAACTCAATAAAAAGGAAGATTGAAGGGAATTTCATCCCTGGGAGAAGGGACCATGAGAGTTTATTCCACACATTGTCTCAAAAGGCCCTGCTCACCAGGCTGGCCTGGCCTGGTCAGGGAGGGCCAAGGAGGATCCTGCCAGGCTCTAACTCACCTTTCCCTCTGTCACCCTACAGGTGTTAACAGAACTGAAATCCGACAACCAGAGGCTGAAAGATGAAAATGGTGCCCTCATCAGAGTCATCAGCAAACTGTCCAAGTAGGCTAGGCTCCAGATTTATGAGGAAAGAAAGGGACAGCATTTGCTGCCCCCACCCCTCTTTTCCAGTCCTTGCCTTCCAACCAAAAGAAATGGATGTTTTGGTGGAAGGACACTTCTTTCTATCACCCTCTTCAGTCACCTCTATACACTCTACATTTTCTCTGCACTTTCAATGCCCTGTTCTTCCAAACCCCTATCCCAAGTTTTATGACAGTTTTAATTGAAGCATGATTGTGGTAATTCGAGCCATCTGGAGAATGCTCTGGGGAGTACACCAGGCTCAGCTGTGGACCCCTCAACTTCCTGCTGCTCAGCTACTTTGTCCACATTGGATTTGGTCCAAACATGTAAGACTTCTACCCTAATCAGTATCCTTCAGCTTTTTACATTAACCCAGTGTCCTCTGATATAGGTGAGTCTTGTGGTAGCCACTCCAGGATCCTGATTGGGGTGCCAAGAGAAACAGCAGGATGTTGAATTGATCATCAGATGCCCTCTGGAATGGTTAGCATCCAAGGTGACAGTGACTGCATTGAGGCGCTCTATTCTTCTTCACCTCTCAGGAACTGACTTTTATTTTTTCTGTCAACACCCAGTAATCTCCCTAACTAGTTTTAACCCTTATTCCTCCCTCATACCTAGCCATTTCTCCAAGGCGCAAATGGCCCTGGCTTCATTTATTCCTTTCCTTTCTATCCTTTTATATTTTTCCCTTCCCCACCCCCTCACTCAATGGTATAAAAGCTAGGACAGAGCACCTGACCTCAGTTGTCTTTGGCCATTGTGGGAAGTCATTATTCTGGAGACAAGAAAATCATCACTCTGGTGCCTTGGTGGCAGCACCACTGCCTGCTCCCTGGAAGGTAGACTATGGCATAAGTGTCAGCTCATTGTTTTCGTCTCCCACTTATCTTCCCCCTTCAAAGTGATTTTCTTTATAAGAAAATTTGGGCTCTGAATACTCCATTCTGCCTCACTTCCTTGACCTTGTTTTCCTCTCTTCGCCCTGACACCTGCTTCTAATGAGAAATGAAGTCAGTGCAAGGAGGAATGAGAGGTGGGGAGGGGAGATTGTTGAGAGATGGACTAGGAAGTGGAAGCAGGCTGGAAAGACACATATGGCGAAAGTCAAGTATCTGAGGCCACTTGCAACATTGTGACAAAGAAGATGGAAGATAGCAGCCTACTGGGCTGTGAGAATAGTGGTGAATTTGATTATTTCCAGTGGTTAGATTTAGCAGAGAGATTTACTTTCTTAGAAATTAATAGGGGAAATGGCACTTAATAGAGGTTTAATGGAATGAAGTACTTTCAACCCATTGATGAGAGTCATGGAAGTTTAGAGTGGCAAGACCCAGAGGTCATTAGGTCCAGCTTTCTATTATTGTGTCACAGGGACCCCTGCTACCACAGCTTTCACCCATGGGCATGGTCAGGTAGCCTCTGGTGGCTATGCATTTATTACTCAAAAGTTGGGCAACTCTAATAACGAGAGAGTTTTTCCTCATATCAGCTGAAGTCTGCCTGTGGATTCTCCTTGTAGTCCAGATCTACTATCTGCAACTCTTTAACGGCACTTGAGATATGTGCAGTGGGTGGTCTCCCCCTCAGTCTTACTTTGAGCTGCTGTTACTCTAGTCCTTTAAGTCATTCCTCATATGGCATGCTTTTCTTACCTGTCACATCTTGGCCATCCTCCTCTAGACAAAACCAGCCTTTAAAATATCATGTCCAGGCCTGGAAAGAATACAAATCCAGTGCAAAATTAAACCATTAGTTCTTGATGATAACCTAGCATTAATACTTACAGTATTTTCTTTTTGTAGGAGTTTTATCCCTTGGTTCACTTGAGTGTGCAAGTCATTAAATCCTCATCATTTTAGGGTTGCCAGTGATATTCAGTGTTTAGAGTGGTTCATTCCCTTAATATATACTACCTCTGTCTGTTAATTCTTTCCTAACATGACATGTAGCTCTCCATGGTCCTCCCTCTGAAACACCACATGCTGTTTAAACTAGAAGCTGTAATTCAAGATCCCAATTCCACCAGGTGCAGTGGCTCATGCCTGTAATCCCAGCACTTCAGGAGGCCGAGGTGGACAGATCACGAGGTCAGGAGTTCGAGACCATCCTGGCTAACACGGTGAAACCCAATCTCTACTAAAAATACAAAAAATTAGCCAGGCGTGGTGGCAGGCGCCTGTAGTCCCAGCTACTCAGGAGGCTGAGGCAGGAGAATGGCGTGAACCCGGGAGGCGGAGCTTGCAGTGAGCCTTGATCACGCCACTGCACTCCAGCCTGGGTGACAGAGCAAGACTCCATCTCAAAAAAAATAATAATAATAAATAAATAAAAAATCCCAATTACAGAACAGGAGATATGTTTCCTCTGACAAAACCCCATTTTTAGAGTGTATAAAATTCTGTCTTTCATTTCCAACCATTTTTCAAGAGAAGCTGCTACTATCTTGAGACTTCGTATTATCATGGGAGTACTGTAAGTTCAGTTCTCAGGGAATGCTAAATTAGAGTAATAAGTTTTATATCCTTCATTCTGGGAGAGGAAATCAACATAAGGTGTTGACTAATTGATTATCCTGGAACATTTTGAATATTGGGGAAGGAAGATGATACTTCTTTCTCAAGAAAAGAAAATTGGATTATTAGGAATACATCTTGACCCTTTTCCACTCAATAGACCAGGGAAAGGGGTTACAGAGAGCCTCCTCAGATCTGTTTGTGCCTTTCAAAAGTACTGGGGGCAGATTCTCAAAACTCTTAGATTGGTGTTGCATCCCTGCCACTTCACATGACCCTTCCATGTTAAAGCTGACTTTTCTTGCCAGAAAGTTTTCCTTGTGACAAGAAATTTGCAAGCTTTTCAATCTCAGGAATACTGGATTCTATAGCCAAGAACTCATGAAAGTAAGTGTAAACTATCCTAGGTAATTTCAGGTACTTTCTCTTATGCAATTAATTTTATTAACTGATTTCTGGTCTATCTCCAGAGATAAAATACCATTCCTTCACAACTGTATTGTCTGGAAGCCCCATGAGATGGTAATTATAGGCCTTCTACTAGCCAGCAGTTCTCTCTGGATACTGGCATCAGCAGGTCTCCTTTTTCTTGTGCTGCTTGGACAGGTACCTACTGCTGGCCTCTTCAGTGGCCACAATCCTCAGTCCTCACCTGCTGGTTTGGAGACTCATGAGCACCCCAGGCAGCTCAAGCTGAATAAATAGCTGCAGACATGGCCAACAACATGGGGCTCAGGTCTGTCACTTAACTTAGAGTCTTTACATGAAATATCAGAATGGGAAAGAGAATGTTCCTGGTAAAACTCTGTTTTCATTAATTTGTTATTTTTCAAAAACCGAGCCACACCTTTGGAAGTAATGATTTGGCCATTCCAGAGATTCTGGGGCTAAAGTTTGTTTTTCCAGGGCTGCTGATCCTTTTCCAGATAGCTCCAGAGTATGATGACCCCAGCCCCATCCCAATCTCTAGCGAAAGGGTTATGCAAATCTCAGGGTGTTGCCTCTAAAGAATCTAAAGAATAGACATGCTTTGGGCTTACTCAGTGTACCAGATTCTCTAGTGGGCCATTCTCATTTGATGTTCCCTAGAACCTCCCTGTCTTCCAACTGCAGGATGTGTTTACTTCTCTTCTGGGCTTCCCCTGGTTTCTGTCCTAGTTCCCACCCCAAGTTTAAGAAGACTTAGATTCATTTATTGCTATCTGAGGCCACTAGTGAGATTTCAGATCTCTCTTTTGCAACATTTTACCCATTTCCCTTCCCCAAACCATGTGCTTATTAGATGGTTCCACTCAGGAAGCAAGGAAGCTAAAACTCAAGTTAATGGTCTGTGGATCCCACGAAAGTGTGTGTAAACTACTGACTGTTTCTCCACTAGAGGCATTTAATTGAGCCAAAGATGATGGAAGAAGAAACTCTCAAAGCCATGTACTTTGTTAGGTGTCTGGATTTTTGGCCTGTTTGCAGCCTCTCCTAGCCACAGACAGACACTGTCTCCTCTCAGAGAAAGGCCAGTGTTTCGGTCCAGGCCACTGGTGAGTGTCGGCACCCTTGAGGTGGGCATGGAGTGAGCAGAAGAAGCCTGGAGAAGAGAGAACTATTTAAAAGTGTTGCCAGTTATTCAGCTTCCAGGCGGCTTTGCACCTCCAAAGGTGCAAAAAGGAAAAAGAAAGCAGAAAGGATTCAGCATTTAAGCAGAAAGAAAAGGGAAATTCTACTCTACCAGATGAGCCACTGGTTCCACTGGAGCTTATCAGTGAAGTAACACTGCAGGAGCCCTGGTATCCTTCCCTCAGAGATATCATCAGGGGCCCTCAAACCCCATTGTTTATGCCAGCACTGACCGCACTTTAAGCACACACTTACCAATCAGAGGTCGTGTAATTGGCCTAAATCTAGGCCCAGTTATTACTACAAATCTTAGTCACCATACTCTCTCGCCCAGGCTGGAGTGCAGTGGTGTGATCTCAGCTCACTGCAACCTCCACCTCCCAGGCTCAAGGGATCCTCTCACCTCAGCTCCCGAGCAGCTAGGACTGCAGGTGTGCACCACCATGCCCAGCTAATTTTTGAATTTTTTTGTAGAGATGGGGTTTTGCCATGTTGCCCAGGCTGGTCTGAAGCTGCTGGGCTCAAGCAATCCACCTGGCTGGGCCTCCCAAAGCGATAGGATTACAGGCGTAAGGGCCCACGCCCAGCCTACCATACTGATTTTCAAGGCAGGGTCTAACCCTTCATAAGATGTGAGTTCTTCCAACCCAATAAGCAGGCAGCTTTGAGGACAAAAAGGCAACATTAAAAGATAAGACCCTAGAAGTCAGAACATCTGTATTCCAAGGCCACCCCTTCTCCTTTTAGTCATGTGACTTTGGGCAGGTCACCCTCCCTGTCTGTAAAATGAGGTTGGACTGGATAATCTTTATGTGCCCTTTCCTTTTGGCTTAAAATTCTGTGATTTATTCATTCTTAGGAAGATCAGCATATTTATTGGGATTTCTGCTTCAAAAATTCTTTCTAACCTCAAAAATCCAAGTCCAGAATTTTTTGTTTTCTTCTGGATTTAAACTGTTTAATATGAGCACATCAAGGTTGACTTCTCATCCTTTTTGGGAAGTGAATTTAATATTGAGGGTAATTGAATGATGTTGCAATGGCTTTCCCTCCTGCTGGCTTGGTAAGAATATTAAAGCCTGCAGAGGTGGAAATTGGAGCTCATGGAGAAATGGATAGAAAGCAATTTGTTGCAGGCAGCCTTTGGACAAGTTGTTTTAATAGGAAATAGACCTGCTGCTTCATAGGTTTCCTCAACCACCTTTCCTCAGCTTTCTTAAAATGGGATCTACATTGGCTCTTCACACCCAAATAGCAGACTAATCGTTTTTCTGCTTAGCACCGTCTGGTTCATTGTCTTGAACTCTGCCTTACAGCAGCAAGAAAATTTTCCTCGACAAGAACCTCAATCTTTAGTTCCATTGAGCTCCCCCTCTGGATTTTGGACTTACCAGAAGTAGGAGGTTCTGATACCATTCAAGATGGTCTTTCCTTCAAAGCAGGTCTGAAGAGGAGACTACCAAAGCAGTGTTTACAAACCCAGAGTCCACACAACCATATTGCATAGAACAGCACTTGGCTTTCACAAGCCTCCTACAGGACCTGGTGTAATTGGAGTGAAAGGGCAGAGACCCTGGAAGTGGAGGTGGCTGTGTGCTGCGATGGGAAGAAGGCAGAAGGCCCAGGGGCTTTGGACATAGAGCAGGGTGGAAGCTGCAAGTACTGGGAAGGAAGAGAGTTTCACAGAAACAAAGCTTTGTCACACAGAAATGAGTTCTGTCTCACTGGTGACTTCATCCCTCAGGCTCCAGCTGAGCAGAGATTTTAATCAGCTTCCTTAATGGGTATTGACACTGCTCAGGAAGCAGTAGACCCTGTCAGGGACAGCTATTGATCTTTTGTGTTCTGATTAGATTGGAAAATAGATCAACTTCATTGTAGTCCAGGAACTGTTGGTCACAGCTACTAGGAATGAGGTGATTTCTGAGGGCTGAGAAAAAACACAGAATCTTGGCCAGCAGCCAGCAGCTGCATGGTGAAAGATGCATTCACTTCTCCTTTGAGAGTTGGGGTTGAGGGCAAACATAGAACCCAGGTTTGGCTTACAACCCAGTGTCCCGGAAGCCCTCCTTCGGGAGAACTGTAAGTAAGAGGTGGGTGTGTCTAAAGACAATACCATTAATGAATGTTCTGGCCTTACCTAAAAAGGTTTAGCAATTTGGGGATAACTCTTGGATCTAGCTTATGTGCGTTCACATGCACATTTGCTAGCCCAGAGCTTTTAAAATGAGGTCTGGCATATACTTGATTACAAATGAAAACTCAGAAACCAATTTTATTTATTAAATCATATCTTTTGTTTTTCCCCCTCCCTTCTAATCCCCCAAAGGACCTATTTGAGCTGTTCCCCAATTCATCTGCTTATTTTGGACCATGAATCTGCCAGAGTGATATTTTCTGTTATTTCTCCTCCAAATTTTTCCCTGATGTTTCCAATAAAGATTTACTTGGGTGGCCCCTTAAGGTGACATCAGGATGCTCTTATGTCCTTCCAGAATAAGCATACACTTCACTCCTCTCCCTTTCATCTCCCTCTGCATTCTTAATTCCTTGCTTTTCTCACTTGGAGCCGAGGGTGCTTTAGAGAGGTGGTTTTCCATGAATCAGCCAAGATTCCTGTAGAAGTTGGGTATACCAACCACCACCACCACCGCCCCCTATTCCAGTTTCAAAGCTCCTCGGCTATGCTAATGTCCCCTCAGAGATGAGGTTTGACTTTTAGGCCCGTATGACTCCTCCATAGCCTGGCCAAGGAGACCATGAGTAGCCATGTCTGGTTTACTCTTTATCCTGAGACTGTTTATAGCTTAAAACAGAAGTGTGTCTTCCCAGCACAAACCTAATCAATCAGTGTATCAGTGCATCTGGTGGCAACAGCTCAGCCCATTCAAAGAGCAAGGATTCAGGAAAGGCACACTGATGGTGGGGAGCCTCTTAAGAGCCTCTAATGTTCTCCCAAAACCAGAGTTGAGAGTCGGAGTGCCAGTCGTCGGGGCCCACTATTCCTGAATAAGGGACATGCAAGGGCCAGAAGTAGCTTGACTCTCGCCTAAATATCTGTGCCTTTGCCTGTCCTTTCTCCCACTCTACTGAAACCCGGAACAGATTCCCGCTTGCCTTCTGATGAAGAGAGGTTAGGTAAAGAGAGTTTGGAGGAAAAAAGACACCAGGAGGCAGGCTGCGGGGTAGGAGAGGGTTCTGAGAGGAGGCAGCAATCCAGAATACCTCCTTTTCTAGCCAGCATCCCTTGAACTTTTGAAAGGTTGTGCCTACCACTGGCTGGCACACCAGGGCAATGATTTCCCTGCAGAAGGAAGGAAAGAATGTTTCACCCTTGCATCCTTCTTGGAGAAGCTACAGCCTGTGCTCAGTTGAGTGGTTCACACTCAGACTTTGGCTTTATGGTTTTCCTTCCTCCTTGTCTTTGCCCTGACCTTGATCAACAGGGGTGAAAAGAACCACCCTGAGGTTTCCATGCCTCTCCCATTTTAGTGGTAGCATTTTGTGTCTTTACTCCACCCTTCACCCTAGTTCCACCAAGGTTCACACACCAGATGTAACTGTTTTTCAGCTGAGTTGTATGGATTAACTTCAGTCCACTGTAAATACACCTGGGATGGGGTGGGGTTGGGGTTGTTTAGGGAGAAGCAGCCAGACTTGCTTTGTGAACTGAATGTATTTTTATGCAATTTTGAGTGGCCTTTCAACCCTAAGATGAATGGTTTTGTTTTACTGGTTGTTGTTATATAGTTTTGAGTATTCTGTGTTTGAAAGTTTGGGAATAATAATATTCACTTCTATATGATGCCTGTAAACACAACAGTATTTATAAATGAGTAAATAAAACTGTGTTTTAACTTTGTGACTGTCTCCACAGTTCAGAGCATGGGATTTCTAGAATCTCACATCTGGGGCAGCCTCTTCTGATTTTACATCTTATCATTGGTGGGGGCCTCGCCCACCAGCCTCCTACAACTCCTGTCCACATAGAGGCCCCTTCCCCAGGGACAGCCACAGTGAGTCATGGCCACTGAGAAGGGTCTCTGGTAGTATCAAGGAATTTCCTAAATGGAGTCAGGCCAAGGAGAAGCCTAGATTGGCGTTCAAAAGAACCGTAAGATAGATAGATAGATAGATAGATAGATAGATAGATAGATAGATAGATATCAAGGTTCCAAGCTTCAAGTAACCAAGAGTATATACGGTTATTTCTTGGAAGACACCAGGTTTAAGTGACAAAGGTGTTGAGGCCATCCAGGTGAACACTAGCACACTCTAGTACATGGGAAAGTTGAGGTCTAGGGAGGTGGTGATTTCCTTGGGCTCATGGAAGTCTCCTGCCATCACCCTTAGTCATCTGCTATATCCATAAGTCTTCATGAGGTCATTGTTTAATTCAGGAGATCCAAAACTATCCTGTAGTTCCAAACTACAAATGTAGTTAACTTGGGGGCTATTGAAGGTTAAATCTAAACTCAAAATGAAGGAGCCATGCCCAGAGAAGAGCTGTTCAGGCCCGCTGGCAGGGTTTGTACGTGGGTGGCCAGGTCTGACCCCAGGCAGCCAGGATCTGGGTCTGGTTTCTCCATCCAGCAAGCCCTGCCTCTGGCTTTGCTCAGCCCTGTGTTTCCTGCCAAGCGGAAATCCCTGGTCACTGACTTGGGGAGAGGTCAGGGAGGGAAGATTCTTCTCCCCTGATGTCACCCAGCTGTTTGTAACCCAAGCAGCAGCAGAACAAGCACACTTGATGTCATGGTTGAAGAATTCAGTCCTGTCCTGGGGCACAAAACAGAGGCAAAGAAGCATGACCGATGCAAAGGGTTCCTAGACTGCAAATGTCATTTCTCTTTCTGACCCCCACTGGTTGTAGTAAGGTCTGCAGATACAGTATCACCTAGCCGTCACGTGGTCCAGCCCTCTTGGGGGGAAAGGAGAAGGCCACAACCTATTGGCAGAGTAAAAAGCTCATATTCTTAGCCAGGAGACCCTCAGGTGATAAATCCCAGTCCGTCTGCTGAAAGGCTCATGCCCCTCACCCTACCCAGCCTTAGGGACTGAAGCAGCAAGACAGGATAGATGTTAAAGGATCTGGGCTCATGCTCCCTCAGGTGGGCAGCTCCCATCCCTGCTTGCATTCACTGCCCCCATGCCTTTGGACCTGATGGACAAGCACACATCTAGCCAACGGTGTTCCTGGAGGACAGGTGCTGGTGTAAACTGACAAAAATGGTAGCTGCTGGTCTATCCTCAAGGAGAGGAGACAGGTGGAAGTGGGAACCGAAGAAGGAGTTTTACTCTTCCCTGGTCTTTGGGGGCAATGCTGTCCCACTCTCCCTTTCCCTAAAAATTCTGACGCCCTATCCCTGGTCCCTAACATCTTTGCTTCAGAAGTTAAAGACATTTCAAGTTATTTGCAAAGAGTCAACTGAGGACTTTGTAGAAATTGTTACTTTTCAAATTCCCACTTCCCAGGGCCAGCCTCCCTCTCGTCATTGGGCTCAGACTGTGGCTGTTCCCTAAGCCCAGCTCTACTGGAAGGGAATTCAAGAATATAGTCCCCACCACCACCCCGCCCCGCCCAGCCTCCCAGACAATGTTCCCCGGCACCACCACACTCCCCACAGTTCCACAGCCTGGCATGTGTTCTCAGGAGATGTGTGGGCCCCAGCACCCACCAGAGTGCCAATCTGGTCTTCCCCCAACCCCAGGAGAGAGGGGACCTCAGCCCCTTTTGGTGCTTCCCTGAAGGGAGATTCTGGGTTAGAAGCCAGAGCCTCAGGACCATCTCACCACCCTCACCCACCATACTGACCCTCACAGGCAGCTCCCACTCCCTCACCCCCACCTCAGCGCAGCAAAAACAACCAGAGACACCCCCCACCCCCAGGTTTCTTTCAGCTCATTTCTTTAATAAGGAGACGCAGTTCATTACAAAATAACAATTTGACAAGAGATCAGACAAGAACAAGAGTCCACATAAGGGAGATGGAGAGCATTGCCAAGCAGAAGTGGGAATGAGAGGGCCGGGGGCAAGGGCTGTACATGTGTCCTTCCTATGGAGACGAAGGCAGGGCTCCTGGTGGGCTGACCTTGGCGAAGCTAGGCTCTGCCAGGCCCTGATTTTGAAGTTTTCAGCCCCAGGGTTTTCAGAAAGCAGCAAATCAAGTCCTTAGATGGGCAGGAGTCAGGGCAGAAGGGTCACTATCTTTGAAGAGGCCCCCCTAAAGTCCTGATCGCTAAGGCAGGTGGGATGGAGGAACTCCTGGTGCCCCATGCACACTGCTCCCATCACCTCACCAGACAGATGCTCTCTCAACTCTTGCCTCAATTTGTCTCTGCTGTGGGTGTGGAGAGTGGGAGGGCCCCAGAGAGAGCTGGAGGAAGCAAGACATGTCTTCACTGGTCCAAGCACCTGATTCCAGCCTGCTCTGAAATGGTCCCCTCCACCTTCCCCACTCTTTCAGTTCCCAGCACAAAGGTCCCTGGGACTTCTGTGTGCAACTTCTGTTGTGGTTTGTGCAGGGCAAGCCTGCCTCGCCACCTCTGGCCTCCTCGAATGCGCCCTGCCTGATTCCCTTCCCGTTCTCTCTCCTTCCTCATACTTGTCACAGTTGCCAGGCCTGAGGCATCCTGGGCTCTTCCCATGCAGTACTGCCCTCAGGTGCCCATGGGGCCAGGGGCCGCAGGCAGGGGGGCTACCTGTCCCTCTCAGTTCAACAGGATGACCTGGGGCCTTGGAAGCCCCCAGGCCCCTCTACTCACCTCTGCTACTTGGTGCAACTGGCTGGGGCTTCTCTGGGGAGCAGGTGTGAAGGTCAGGGGACTTAGTCCACACCTGCTCTGCCTGAGCCTCTCTCACAGCTGAACCTGCCCACCCCACTCTCAGGGGATCGCTGGTAGCCCTGAGGTTGCCCCGCTATTGGGCTGCTTTCTGTCAGACTGCAGGAGGATGCACGAGGGAAGAGCGTCAGCCCCTGTATTCACCGGCCTCTCCCTGAGTCCCTCCTCCATCACCACCCACAGACCCTCACACTACAGAGGTGAGTAAGCAGGGATGGTTCTGTCATCCCTGGCTGAGCTGCTGACTGGCTGCTCCTGAAAATCCTGGTTGCCTCCACAGGGACCCCAGGAAAGGTATCCAGAACCATGGAGTCCCACTGCTGTCTGCTCCTCGCCCAGCGTAGAGATGGAGCTGAACTGTGAACCCAGGCCGAGAAAGCCAGCTCGGGCAGGGCCAGCATGGGCATCTCCTGAGACCCCACCGGAAGCCCTGGACACCGTCCATTCTCATGACACGGGACTGAGGGAGCAGGAGGGAGTGACAACAGGTGAGCCCTTCAGAAGTGGTCTGTGGGGAGCCAGTTGGAGAGACATGGGGGCTCCTGGGAGGAGCCAAGGGAGGCCAAATCTCCAGCAGGAGGCCCCCTTTATGGCTTTTCAGTGAATTCAAACAGTGGGAGGAAGGGGCACACCACACACATACACAGAACATGGAAGCTACTGGGATGCCAGATACCAGGCTGGACACTGCACCGGGCCCTGAGGTTTGGCTCTGCAGGCAGATGTGCAGCAAACAGGCCTTCAGGGCGACAGGGTCCTCCAGCATCTCCCAAGGCAGGGCTGGACTGGAGCAGGCACCGACTCCCGCCCACTGATGACTCCCATGGGGGGTTTCCCGATGGGAGGAGGCAGGGGTGGGGCTGGGGAACAAAGACTTTACACGACATAAAATCAAAGGAGCAGCCTCAACCAGTTCTGTAAAATGGGTTTGAGGTTGGGGATCAAGGGGACTCTCAGCATTGCCATGCGGCTATTTACAGAAAGTTATAGACATGCATCTTGATTAAACAAGATTCTGTTCATATGTTTCTAGGTAATTATCTTCTTTTATATATAATTAAATATACACGGATGGGGGCAGATGAGGCTCAAATGGCTTCAGAAGGTTCTTATTTTGTTGTTGCTTAAAAAATAAAGTAATTCATGTGTCTTCAAGTCACAGTGTCCCCTTCTCAATATTGCAGTTCAAAAAACTGGTTAAGTCAAATCCTTGGGGTTCCTGGCCCCTTGGGACCAAAGGGAGAGGGGGAAAAGTCATAGGGTAGGGTTCCCAGACACAATGCAGGATGACCAGTTACATTTGAATTTCAGATAAACAACAAATTATTTTTTAGTATATGTCCCAACTATTTGCCTAGGACATATTTACACTTAATAATTGTTTGTTGTTGAACTGAAATTCAAATGTAACTGGACATCCTGTATTTTTATTTGCCAAATCTGGCAACCATAGCATGGGGCTCAGGGCCACCAGGATCTTGGGACTCCTCCCTGCCTGCCACCACCCAGGGCTCTGAGAAAGGGCCCCAAACAGCTTTAGGTGGGAGGGGCAGAGGAAAGGGAAGGGAAGGGGCAGAGCAGAGGATATGAGGGCAGTTCCTGGCTCAATCTCTTTCTACCTTTGAGTGGGAGGGGACACCCTCAGGGACAGTTTTTCTCTCTGTGAGGCTGGGTGAGACCCAGGACTCAGATGCCTTATGAATTAACCTAGGACATTAAGGGAACATGGAAGCTCTCACTCCCCAAACCCAGGGAGGTTCCTCAACCTCTTTGCTGTCACCCACCCTTACCCCCACCCCACTGCATGGAGGCAGGTTTATAAGAGAGCTGCTTTTACCCACAGGAGGGCTGTAGTGACCTCTCTTCTCCCTCTCGCTGAAGCCTTGGGCCAGCAAAATCATCCCACACTGATTCTGCAGACACAAGTTATGTATGCTTTCCTAGGAAGAAAAAAGATCAGGATCTGAGACTGTGGCCTAATCCCTGCTATCTCATCCTCTACTGAGGGACTCCAGGAAAGTCACTTCTCATTCATGCCAAGCACCTGCCTACTGTCTGAGATTGCCCCAGCATTCCTTACCCAGCCTTCCCCAGGCCTCAGCTTCCACTTCCAAAGCCCAAAAATCTGCCTGTAGCTCTGGCAGAGTTAGCATCCCTTCTGGAACAATTATTCAGGGAGGAAGAAGAAAACGAACTTTCAGACTTTACCCCAGTTTCTGGATGGGATTAGGCTTGTTTTCATGGTCTCAGCTTCTCTAAAAATCACCTCTATACTACTTTCCTTTCTCTGGAACAGACTTTGAGATGAAAACTCACAGCCCCAGAGGCGTCCAGAACCCCTTACTAGCCAGACACCCTAACTCTATCCTGCTTAGTGCCTACACCCCAGTACCCTGACATCCCCAGAAATAAACCTGCCCAGCAGTGAGTGTTTGGCATGATGCCCTGTGGTTTAAGCTACGTCAGCCCTCAGGTATGGAAAACACACAAGCAGAAGCATGTTCCCACCAAGCCCATGGACCAAGACAGATGCCATCCACTACGTGGCATATCAGGACCAGCTGGGACCTGAGGAAGGCACTGCTCCCCACACCCACACTGGCTCCACACTGGTGTCAACGTTCAAAATCACTCAGCAACCTGTCCCCACCCCTCAAGGCTCCTCACTAGCAGTGGGCTCAGAGTAATAAAAATCCAGCCCTGGTCACCAGGCACATAGACACCCAGACCACCAGAGGTTCCTACCATTGCCTTTCCTCCCTGTCAAGGGAATGCAAATCTTGGGCTTTGGAAGGGCTGAATGAAGTTCATGAATGGAAAAGAATCCAGGTGGTAGAAGATGAATTGGGAAAGGGCAAAGGAGTAAAGGTAGAGGGGATATTGACAAGGGGGTCTCCATGAGTGAGTCTGTGGGATATGGGTGAGAAGAGTGAGTCTGGGGAGAGACCCTGAGAAAGCACCAAAATCCCATAACTCTGGGGTTGGGAGAAGAGTCCAGTGACTTCTGATGTCCATACCAGGAAATCCCACTCTGTGGCCACCCAGATTCTGAAAACACCCTATTGTCCTACAACTCTCTACCATGACCACACCTTTGGTCCCAAGGACCGCAGTTCATAATCCTGATCAGAGTCTTACCTTCCCATCATTAAGTACACACACACACACACACACACACACCAGTAAAAACATAACTTCCCATGTACCACTAACAAGACAAAGAAGGATCTCCAAGAGACAGGCAGGCTTTCCAGTCTGTTTCTGGTGGGGGTATTCCCTCATTTCCCTCACTCCTTCATCCAAAAAACAAAGCAAAACCAAAAGCCCCTTCCCCCTTTTTAAAATAAAATAAAAAGACACTCTGCAACTTCTTCACACTGGATCCTCAAAGCCTGATTCCCTCCAACACTGTCCATCTGTCTTGGGTGTCTACAGGAAGCTGAAGTGGCCCAGATGGGGCAGGATAGAGATGCTGCCATTTGTGCTGGGAAAGAGAGATACTCAGGCTTCTGGAGAAGCCATGAGTTTTCTGTGGTGAAAAAATGGCAAGGGCCTGAGGGCTTCATGGATGGAAAAGAGAGGTCAAAGGAAGGCAGGCAAGGAGGGCTGGCCTCTGGCCACAAGGGGACCTCACTCTGTTGTCCAGGCTGAAGGATTGGAAGAAGACTCAGTGCAAACCTGACTAACATATATATGGCTTTTATATCAGTGCTGGGGACAAAAGGTGAACAGGGAATGGGATACAACTGAGCATGGGTAGAAACCCTAGAAGGTCACCTCTGCTACTCATTTGGAATGGATGCCCTTTGTTTCTTAGCATTCATAGAGAGAAGCCCCCTAATGGTAGGACGGGTCCTTCCCATAGGTCTCCCTGGGCCACTCCAGCTACCTATCAGCTCTCCAGCATGGAGGGCAGAGGGCCAAGGGAGCAAGGAGTGGGAGTCGGGGGAATTCCAGTGCTCCCCTATATCTCCTCCCAAGGGATCTCAGCCATCTGTCCCCCATCCTCTTCTTACCACCCCCTTCTTACCTGGACCTCAGGAGAACTAAGAACATTTAAACTTTCCTTTTAAAGTTCTCTGGCTCTGCACAGATAACGTGTCTTCAGACAGTGTTGCTCCACTTAAAAGAGAAACAGAAGCAAAAGCACAATGGGGAATAAATGCAAATGAACTTGGCTGCTTATATTCTGGAAAGGGAGAAAGCATCTGTGTTTCCCACTGGATGGGGTGAAGATCCAGGAGTTTAATTTTGGTCTTTCTGGTAATGGGACTTCTGTTTCTTCATAGTTTGATATTTATTGTCAATAAGAGTGAGATTTTGGGACTGAGAGTCCCTGTTAGTCTGACCCAACTAGTGAATAGCTCATATCCATGAATGTCCCAGGAACTACACTTCTGGGGAAACCATGACTGGCAGGAGGAAGTATTTGATGGCATCGTTTGGTCCTAGTTCTGAACACATCCAGTCTTCACATCTTGCTGCCTCCCAAATAGCCACCAACAGGAGTATGAAAGCCCCGATATCTGAACAGGATCCTGAGACTTTGCCATAGATGAGAGAAGATCTCCCACTTAGTGGACTTCTTCATGTCAGGGTCCCCAAAGAGCCTTCTTTTCCCACACAACTTTACTGTCCATGGCTCATTCCAGGAATGAAGAGAGATGCTCAAAGAGACACACACACACACACATTCCAGGAATGAAGAGAAATGCTCAAAGACACACACACACACACACACACACACACACACACACACATACACACACACACACACACACACACACACGATCATTGGCCACTGTGATGCCTTCCCTGTCAGGAAGCAGGATGTGCTGCCATTTTGTTGGTCCAGAAGGCTCAAAAAACAGGAACTGCTGCAAGTTTGTGCCAGTAGAGAGCCTCGCTTGGGGTGAGGCAGATGTGAAGCTTTGAAAGAGTCGAGGGAACTGTGACAGGGCATGCAGCAAGGACAGCTCCTGGGACCGTGAACAGAGCCAGGCTTCTCTTTCACCTCTTAGGGGACTCTCCTCACACAGCCATCAAAGGGAAGTTGGTCTTTAAAAAGAGAAAAACAAGGAAAAACAAGGACACAACCACCCAACAAATGAAAGAAAAAAGAAAACCTCTAAGGTTGCATAACTGAGGTATTGATAGCTCTGGATCTTGTCAGTGTCCGTGAAAGGTGTGGGGTCCCAGCCGCTGCTGTCTACTTGTTCTTGCCCAGGAGTGCATCCACCTCCTCCTCAGGCTTGAGCGAGTGCCACTGGGCGATGGGCCTCCGGGGGTTGGCCAGCATGTCGGACCAGTGCCGCAGCTCTGTGCCCGTGGCATTGCTGCCCACGAAGATCTTGCCTATGGCTTCGTTCTTGCCCAGCTTGTCATAGTCCAGCACGGTGACCACTACCTGGACTTTCTGCAAGGAAAACGAGGGAGGGAGTTGGCAGACAGAGACGTGGGATCCCATGACCAAATTTATCCTCCATCAACCTCTACTCCCAATGATTGGGAAGGTAAGGCCTCCTGGGGCTCCTTGGTTTCATCTCTGCTCCAGTGAAGACTGAATTGACATGGAGGCAGAGGCCACGCCTTTGGCAGCCTTTGTTTCTACCACTGGGCATTTATTGAGGATGTACTGTGCTCTAGACCCTGTTAAGCACTTGGAGGGGGAGAAGAGGGAAGGAAAAGTGAAAAGATGAATTTCACTTCCTCAATGAGATCAGCAGACATGTAACTGAAAACTTACAACATGAATTGATAAAGGTTATGCTAGAGAGATGGGCACAAGGTACTGTGGAAACTTAGAGGAGGTGACAGTCCTGGGGCCAATCAGAAAAGGCTTCACAGAAGAGGTGACTGGGACATGAAGTCTGAGAATTTCTCTAGGAGGAGAAAAGAAGGAAGAGGATTCCAGGAAAACAGATTTGCTTGGGTAGAGGCATAGAGACCTGAGAGTGCATTTGGCATCTGAGAAACATTAGATGTTCAGTCATTGAGGTATAGGGTGAGAAGCAGTGAGGCAGGAAATGAGGCTGGTAGAGTAGGTTGGGGTCAGCCAAGGAGTCTGCATTTTGTCTTTCAGGCAAGCAGTAGGGGACTCCTGACGACTTTAAGAAAAGGAGTGTCGTGGACATTTGAGAGAGAGAGCCCTGGCATTGAGTTGGAAGATTTACTGGAGGAGGAGTGGGCCTAATGGCAGGGAAGAGACCCATTGGAGGATGCTGGAGGGTCTGGGAGGATGGATCCCGAATACCTGTACCAAGGCAGGGACAGTGGGGATGGGAAGTCAAAACCAGGTTGGAGAGGTATTTAGGAAGAGAATCAAGAGGACTTGATGATCAGCTGGATTTGCTGAATGCTCGATGCCTTTTTCCCCTGTGACTCCAGCCAACTCAGATTTGTCCTTCAGGACCAAGCTCTCTCTGGGAAGCCTCACTACAGTCCTCCGCTTCATGGACATTGAAGCTGTCGTCTCACTGTGCTTTACTAGACTGTTTACTGGTGCCCTCCCACTGTGAGGTCCTTGAGAGCAAGGAGTGTGTGGATTACACACTTATTTCCTCATCCCCTAGCCTACCACTTAGGAAATGCTCAGTAAAGTATGTTGGATAAATGAGAAAGGAAAAAGGAAATAGTCAGTCTAAGGTGACGCCCAGGTTTCTGACTTGGGCCACTGGGTAAATGATGGACTGTGGGGTCATTCATTGAAAACAGAATTCAGATGAAACAGGCTTGGCTGGGAAGAGGTAGGAAGAAGAACATTACATTGGTTTTAGGCATGTTGAATTTGAGATGCCTGGGTCAGGATGCTCTAGATCTAAAATTCTCTGTAATGAGGACTTCTCTTGGATTAACATTATCACTGAGCTGCCCAGTGTTCCCTTGAAGTATTCCATCAATAACATCATACACATCTCCATAGATGACAGAACCAACTCTGAAGATTCTCTTGTACCCTTGCCCCCAGCCCTCCTGCGGGGAGGAGAGGGGGTGGGATCAGCTCACTACAAAGAAGGAGAGACCAAGACTCCATGATAACCGACCACTCTGCAAGCCCCCAGCTGCGCCTGACTTCCCGCCCAAATGGGTGGGTGGGTGGGTCTCTTGTCCTACCACGTCCAGATCCCACTCATACCTGGAAATGGTGAAAACCAGACCTCATCTCCAACATTTACAGAACTTGCTGGTGAGAAGGAAGGAAAAATAGAGAAGGCTGGAAGGGTGGAGGGAGAGAGGAGAGGAAGCAGATCAGAGGAGTAGATGGGAAAGACCTAGAGAGCAGTGGAAGTGGGGCAGGGATGGCCAAGACAGGATGTGGCTGGAGAGGATGGAGGTGGCAGCGGCCACTCCCACCCTCTCAGCCAGCTCCCAACCCCTCTGGCACCTTTGCTATACCCCCATACATCTGTGTGCATGACCATGGTCCTTCAAGTCCTAAACGAATGATTTGCAGAATTTTTTGAATTAGTTCATGTTTATCTCCTCAGAAAAGGGGGATCCCTGAAGCACTTGGGAAGGAGGCCCCACCCAGGCACCATTAGACCTCGAGCCTTCCCCTACCAAGAAAGGCTGTTCCATGGTCTCTAGGTGAGTTCCCTCTCTTCAACCTCCCCATACATGTTTGCCTCCCCAAACCCTGCTCCATGCCTAGGAACCCAGGGCTCCAGCACCTGAATCTGCTCGAAGGGGATCTCAAAGCTGAAGGACTCGTTGAAGTATGGGTTCAGGGTCTTCTTCTTCACGGTTGTCTTCTTCTTCTTGAGCCTCTTGCCATTCTGCATCAGGTGGATCTTCACGTACGGGTCTGCGGAGGGAGAATCCCAACCCCAGAGAGGTTCCCCTTAGCCCCCAGCCTTCCTGCCGAATGTACCAAGGCCTGCCCAGAGCATCGGTCAAGAGGGGGTCTTCACTCCGCTGAGACCAGGCCCTCAGAAAGCCCCAAGTCATGCCATCCAGTTCAAAGGTGGCAAAAGGCTTCACCTCCAGGACCAACTGTGACCAGTTGGTTGTGGCTTCCTGAAGCATTGGGTGGAGGGCATTTCTGAGTCTAAGTAAGGCCTTGTGAGAAAGAGTCTGGGGATTCATCTGTGATCCTGTACTGGGGAGTGGGTGGGGAGTGCTGAAGTCAGGACACACATCTGCTGGGTCATAATCCCAATCCGATCCCCCTAATCTTGCAGACAAGAAACTGAGGCCAAAGAACGGAAATGACCTGCCCGAGGTCACACAGCGGGTCAGTGACAGAGCCAGGCTGGCACTGAAACGCGCTGGTTGGAGCCCATGCCCAGGGCTGATTCTCTGGGAAGGCAGCTGAGGCAGCAGGCTTCATCCACTAGAGCCCTGTGCCATGGGCCAGCCCCATTCACTGCCAGGTAAATGTGATATTCAGAGCATCTTCCACTCCCTTGCCTCACCCTCCCCTTTCCAGGGCAGAGCCAGCAGAGCCTACAGCCTCTTCTGGAAACATGTCTCGATTGTGGTGTCATGCTTTGGGCTAAGCCCTGCTCATTTCCCTGGGAGAAGTAAAATCCTAAGTCACAAACTTATCTGGGGATGAAATTTCTCTGATCCTTTTCTCTGTAGCCCACAGTGCATGGCCAGAGAGCGCTGGGAAGGCAGCTCTGATGGGGACAAGGGGCCCTTGGAGAAAAGGAGGGCCTGGGAAGCTAAGGCTCCCCCGCTCCTCGAGGAGACATCTCAGTCCCAGGGCAGCAAAGTGTTCCTCTTCACTGGAGTGTGCAAACTCTGGGACTTGGTGCTGACTGGCTCGCTGGTGCCACCCAATGGCAGCCAGAAGCTCTCCACGTACCTGAAAGGCCGCCCACGTCCATCTTCTTGAGGTTCTTAGCCTCCAGGATGCAGACAGTGAGCTTCCCGGCCGTGGGCACATAGCGCAGGGAGGTGCAGATGTCGCCCAGCTTCTCCGGCTGTCCAGGGGAAGAGCAGGACTTGGGTCATCTCACCCATCCTAGTGCCTCTCTCATGGCTGACCTCTTTCTTGCCAAAATTAGCAAGGCAGTGATGTGTCCCTGCCTCCCTCATCACCAGTCCCCATATATGTGATGGCCGAGAAGGTCTTCCAGCATCTGACCTTGGGTCCCCCTGATGCAGTGCAACAAAGTCCCTGAAAGTGACAGGTTGGGACCTCAGGAGCCGTGGGCTGAGGATGCTGACAGATGAGGGGGGTAGAGGACAGCTGCGGTGGCAGGACTGAGGGAGGGATCCCTGGGTGGATCTGGGATCTGGGAGGTTGGGAGTATGTTTGGGCTCCCACCCCAGGCCCTGGTAAGGTGGGAAGGTGTGCGAGAAGCGGGTGGGTTAGCCACGTGTCCACCACCAAGGGCCCTGGGGGACTGAATGTCTCAGAAGCCTTCTTTCCCTTAACAGTCCCACCCACCAAGATCTCTCCTTGTGGACCATTCCACTTGTAGTATGATTTGTGGTTTTCGGAGCAATTTGCATCCCTTTTGTTACTATCACTGCAACTCTTTGATGTAAACAAGACAAGAATTCTTTGTAACCAATGAGAAACTGAGGTTCCCAGAGGCCATGGTTTGCTCAAAGTCACACAACAATTTAGCACTGTAGGCAGGCTGAGGACCCAGGGCTCCTAATTCCTAAGGCCAACACCACACTGCAGAGTCAAAGCTGCTCAAAGTCAAAGCCACCCAGGGCAAGACTGACGACATCACACAGGTCCTGGTTCAGGTGTGCTGGCCTTCCTCCCAGGCACAGGGGACAAAAGGGAAAAAAGGATGTCTTAAGCTTCTCTACTCAGCCCTCCATCACTGCCTAGAGTGTGCCAGGTAGCAGGGCCCTGGCCAAGACAAATGATTGATGCCCAGAAGGAAGAATGGCTAAAATGGAGTTTTAGGTACACAGCAATTGCTCAGCAAATATTTAGTGAGTGAATGGATGCTGTAGCAGTTCTGGGAGGACAAGTCCCTTTGCTGAGTATCCTTTAGAACAAACATGAGCTTTTCTTGTGGGTGAACTGAGGCACAGAGGCGTGAATCACTGGCCTTAGGTAATAGCAGAAGCTTAGGAGTAACAATAATAATGGTGTTTTTATTTATTTGAGTACCTACCAAATACCAGTCGCTGCGCTAGGCGCTTTATGCAGGTAATGAATCCTCATCTGTAAAAAAAGACTAAAGGAGGGAACCCGAGTCCAGAGAGTGTAAGCAACTTGCCCAGGGTCACACAGCCAGGCAGTGTGGAGCTGGGATCCTAACACAGGTCGTCTGCCTCCAAAGCCCACCCTGTTTCCATCATGCCAAGAGGTGGAAGCCCACCTGTACATTCGTCTTTCTGCCCAACCTGGCCTCATCTCTGCTCTTACCTCCTCCTTTTCCCCGCCTTGCAGGTCTCTCCACTCCTCAATGGGCTGGCCGAGGTCCACTGTGTTCATAGGCACCTTTACCTCTCCAATGATGTCATGTTTGGAGAAGCGGTCAAAGTCATAGATGGCCATCACCAGAGTTTTGCCCCCAAGCTCCTGGTATGGCACCTGCAGGGCACAAGCAGAATCAGAGGGGGCCAGAGCGACTCACGCACCTCCAGGGGTGCTATGGGCAGGGGCCTGCATTCCAGCCCACAGGGTCCAGGTTAGTGTGCCGAGACAGACAAAGACCAAGGCTTTTGGGGAGCAGAGTGTGAGGGTGGGGTGGGAGGGATCCCGATCCTCCATAGAGGCCGGGGTAGCCCTGCAGTCAAGGCTGCCATTGTTCCAGGCTGAGCCATGGCTAAGGACCAAGGAAAGGTCTGTAGAACTCAGCAGAGAATTGGGATCAGGCAGGGAGCTGGAGTCACCCTTCCAGCCCTCAGCACCTTGAAGGTGAAGGTTTCATTGAAGGCAGGGTTCAGTGTCTTCCGATGGACTTTGGTCTCATATTTCTTCTTCTTGTCAGGAAGGAGGAAGACCTTGACATAAGGGTCTGAGGTGCCTCCCATGTCCAGGGCAGGCAGTTCAGCAGCCTGCAGAACGCCCACAGTAAGCTGTGGAGAGAGATGGGGAGAAGGGGCCTGAGTCTCAGGACTGCTCCAATACCACAACTGGCCCCAGACCCAGCACCCACCAATTCCGTCCCAGAGGAGGCAGTTGGGGCAGGGAAATGGCGGGAGGCTGGTGCTAGAGAGGAAGATTGGTCTCCATTTCCATCCCAAGGAATTTGGAATGGCATTTAGGAAACCTGAGAAAGGGAAATTGCCTTGCCCAAGGTTGGTGGGGAGGTTAATAGCATAATCAACTTGGAACCTTCCCCAAAGCAGGCTAGTGGCCAAGCCAGCATCAATGTCCAGAGCTATAGGCCCTGCAGTTTCCAGCCTGCCTCATTCTATGGAAAGGAGTAGTGCCCACACATCTCTGAGGGAGCTGTTTCTATCCCCCTTCCACCCAACTCCCAGGCCTCTCCCCATTCCCCCACTCTGCCCCCCCACAGCCCTGCATACCTGATTAGCCTGAAAATCATAGTCCAGGGAAAACTGCAGTTTGCCCAGGTTCTCTGGCTCTTTCTCCTCCTCCCCTTCACCTTCCCCCTCAGTCAGGCCTGTCTCTGCGTCGTCGTCATCCTGTGGGAGCTGGGGGAGAGAGGGAACAAGTTAAAAGGGGAGGACCGAGAAGTCTGGCTTAGCACAGGATGACGGGAAACCAGCCCCTCTGTGGTAGACCCTGACTCAGAGCTGTGTGTGGTGGGAACACAAGAGGGAACGTGGCCCTGCCATGGGACCCTCCTTCACGGCCCATCAGAACCCCTAGGTGGCTCCTCTACCCCCAACCCTGTGTTTGAGACATGGCTCTGGTTTGGGCACCACTCTCCTGCCTCTGAGACACACTGTGCTATGGGACCAGGCCCTGTGCCAACTGCTCCATAGCTTCTAGGGGCTGGTGTGGGGGTAGGATTTACTTCCCTTGTAAGCCCTCTCCCAAACACTTTCCCCAGCTCAGGCCCCACGCATCCTGGGCAAGACATACCAGAAGTACGGTCCAGGCAGACAGGAGCAGAGTGAGCCCACAGAGGTGGAGAGAGAAAGAAGAAAGTGATGTAAGAGAAAATCCTGCAGCTCAAACCAGCCCCTGAAGTCACCACAGCCACTCCTCAAGACCAGGAAGGGCTACACCCAAGTCATCCTGGAACCCCTCCCAACACACTCTCACACTCACACACACTGCAGGTTCCTTTTGGGCCCACATACATACACATACCTGCATGTGCAAGGACATATACACACACACATGCACTCAAAGGCCATTTAGATCCCTGGCTTCTGAGATCAAGCCCTTCCCTCCATCCTCCATATGGATTCCTTGAGCAAGAGATTCCTCCTAGTCACCCCCAAACAAACATGGGGGAAATGGAAGCACACAGAGGCCTCTGCAAACTTAAAAGAAGAAAAGGAGCTTTCTAGGCTGACCAACACCAAAAGACAGGGGAAAATAAATTATGATATGATTAATGATGGATTCCACTTGGCTCTGTCTTGGTGCCTCAGGGTCACTCTTCCGCCTCATTTGATTCCCGCCCCATGCCCAGTTAGATGCCTCCCATGAGATATTGTCCTTCAGTCTCTCTGGCTGGAAAACACAGGGTTAACTGATGGTGTCTTGCTGGTGTGGGGCTGTCTCTTTCCAACATTTTGTCCCAGTAGCCTCATTGGGGAGTCAATATATTGTTCTCCTTCACTGTCTTTCCAGGGATGAGTTCATGCTAACACAGGAATAAGGCCCCCCCCTCCCAGGGGCCTCCAGGTAGACGGTGTTATACTAGAGATGTAACTGAGAGAGCCAAGTTTTAAGGAGGGGAGCAGGTTTGGCTGTGGAAGCCCAGGAGCCTTTGCTTCCCCTTTCAGCATCAGGAAAGCCTGGGCTGAGCCCCTTCCAGTCCCCCTCACAACCAATGTGCCCTACCTGACCCCCTTTCATGTCCTTCATGTTCATGGCATTCTTCATGCCTTTGCCCTTCTCCTTCTTGTTCTTCTTCTTCTTGCAGCAGCATTTCTTGCAGATGCAGAAGCAGCAGGTGAGAAGCAGGAGCCCAGCAACCACAGCAATGGCGATCAGTGCCCAGGGTGGTACTGCCCACACAGAGAAGATCCCAGGGTCAGCAGTGCCATGCCTTGCAGCCCCTGACCCCGTAGCATTGGGAAAAATGGGTGAGGAATATGACTGCCATCCCACAATGCCCACACCCCACATTTTAAAAGCCACACACCCATGAGTGATTTGTATGTAAGGTGCATATACTTTGCATGCCTTTTCAATCATGCCTTGCTTTTTTTTTTTTTTTTTTTTTTTTTGCCTACTGTCCTTGTTGGTATAGCCTGCTAGCTGAGAGGTAGCAACCAGGTGGATGCATGGAAGAATATCAGTTTAGCTCTATTGAGTTTTACTAGTGTGATCTATGGAGGACTGGCTCACTCTAGAGAGGATGGGATGATGCTTATCAGTCCTTTGGCCTCTGCCCCTTGTGCCAAGTCTTGAGAGGGCTGATGCATAGCCAGATAGGCAGGCCAAGCTCCTTGAGGCTAGACCTAGACTGCTGCTGGGCTTTGCAAAACCCAACTGGGGATGGGTCCTGGGCTGCTCTCTGTGGTTCTGAAGCACCATCTCCCGCCAGTGTGGCTGCTCCCCCTTAATCTGCATCTCTGGTGTCTCCTATACAGCCTCTGCCAGAAATTCAAAAGCAGAGAGGGCTTTTATTTTCTATCTTCCAAAATAAATTTCAAAGTATTATTGGCAAACTTGAATAGTGACTTCTGTTTCATAATTTTTCATCGCCTTTTGGTTTCATCTTTAGACAGTTTTTTAAGTTATAAGAACTTTTCTTCCCCTGAGAAGTTGACGCACATAAACCCCCTTGTTTGCCACATTAGTGGCAGATCCTACTTCCCCCTCCCCGATTCCTGCAGGGGCTCTCCAAAAACCCAGCCTGAAATCTAAGCATTAGGAAAGAGCCCAGCCAATCACATCCCAGTGGTATCCCCACCCTTCTTCACCTCTCCCAGACTCTAGCCTTGCCCCACCCTCTCAGCCACCAGAGACACTCACAGGGAATCTTGTTTATCTCATTGAATAACTTCTCCTTCAGTTTGGCAAACATGTCCTCCTGGCTCTCCCCAGCACCCCCACTCTCAGTGGAGTTGTCCACGGGTCCAATGGGCATCGTGGCGGTGGTGGTGGCAGGAGCCACAATAGGCTCCTGGTTCCTCTTGAAAATGTTCCTCATGGTGGCAGAGGAAACAGCTGGGGACGAGAGGTGAAGAGGGCAGGGTGAGCATCCAGAGGTCGTCTTACCCTGAGAAAGCCCTGCCCAAAGGACCAGGAGAAGCTCTTTATAGATCAAAGATATTTTGCATAATATTAACAACTGTAGTAAACCAATAATAATAGACATCATCCAATTAGTACACAGTCAGCCTGAGCAGCATAGCAAGACCCTATCTTTAGAAATTTTTTTTTTTTAGTTAGGCATAGTGGGGGCTGAAGTGATAGAGGATCACTTGAGTCCAGGAGTTTGAGGTTACATGAGCTATGGGTGATTAAGTAAGGTTCTGTCTCTTAAAAAAAATAGTACATATATGTGCCAAGCACTGTGCAAAACACTTTCCATGCATTATTCATCTAATCCAAAAAATAACCTAATGGTTTTTATTGGTTCCATTTAACAGATGGGGAAACAGGTTCAGAGAGGTTAGATAGTTTTTCCAAGGTCACTTAGCTGTAAGTTCTGAAACTGAGGTTTGAACTGGTCTGCCCAACTCCAGAGCCTGTATAGCTAATCACTCTCCTATATCTCATTGAAATCTAACCTCACCACTCTAGGAAGGAGACAAGGTTTTACACTGAGGGCTCCTCTTTCAACCTCTCTCCTTGACTTCCAAGGATTTCTAGATACTACTCTGCCTAGAATCTCTGCCCAGCTCCATGACACTTGACTCTCCTCATCCCTGACTCCAATTCCTCCTCCTGCCCCGCGAGACTCCTCAGCTCTCTGCGGTTTCTTCACGGGCTCCCTCAGTGCCCACTCAGGGTTTGTTTTGACCTCTCCTGTAGGAAGACGGCACCCACATCTCCATCTCTAGCCCTTCCTCCCCGGTCTACTCTGTGGCCCCTACTCCAGGTTCATCTCTAGCCCTGCCCCCACATGCAGCTGTAGATTAGCCTTCCCGCATCAAAGATGTGATGTTTATTAATAACATAACCCAGACTTACTGTAGAAAATTTGGGGAGAGAGAGAGAAATCCCCCCATAATTCTACCCTCCAAAGTCAACTAGCATTTGGGGCATTCTATGCTGGTATTTTTTCTGAGTATGTTTTACATGTTGAGACCATACTATGTATAGTTTTTTTTCAAGATTTTTTACATAAAATTTCATCATAAGCCTTTTCCTTTATTGTTTTTTATTATTAAATAGCTACATAATATCCTACTATATGGTAACACCATAATTTTTTTAGCCATTCCACTGGTAGACATTTAGGCAGTTTTCAACTTTTTCCTAGTAAAACACTGAGCATAAATGTTGGTCTTCATTTAAGGCAATGTTCTTACGAGCTTCCAAACTCTGCCCCCCATAATTCTGTCCTCTCCACCAAGCTCTTTCTGCTCCTCAGGGCTATGCACTTATTTCTCAACTGAAAGTCCCATGAGGGCAGATCCTGTGTTGGCAACAGCACCCCTTGTGCCAAGCACACAGCGGGCACTCTGGGTATTTGTTGACTGGGCTCCTCTGAGGGAACATAGCAGCATACACCCACAGGTATTCCAGGATGCAAGAATAAACAGCACAACTCCCTGAGGCATCCGTTTTACTGAATGGCAATTTACAGTATTTTTAAATTAAAACAAGCTGGAAATAATAGAGTAGGATGCATACAGCACAAGAATTTAAAGAAAAAATGTGAGACTTTTCTCACTGCACGTTAGGTATGAGTTAACTCTCCTCTAGACTCAGGGTTCTTCTGAAGGAACATTTTAGGAGCTCTTAAGTTCTGTCCCTTCCTTTAAAAACCTGCTGAGATCCCCTCCCCAGCCCTGGAGACTGCTCCAGCCTTAAGTACTTCTGGTGGCCTGTACATTGATGCAATGTAGGTTCATTCACCAAGCATTTATTTAACTCTTACTGTCTGCCATGTTGAAATAGCCTTGACCCCAAAACTGGTCTTGAAGTGAAAAACCAAGGTCCACTGGACTTCGCCTCTGGGGACAAAGAGATGGGTCCGGTTTGGCGGGAACTGCAAGTAGCCACACAAAGGGATAAAGATGTGTGTCCAGGGCCTTCCGCCATGTCCATCTCCCCTCACTTCTACCACACTGTTCAGGGCTCTGTGACCTTTTTTTTTTAAAAAACAGCTTTATTGAGATGTAATTCACATATGTCACCCTTTAAAGTACACAGTTCAGTGCATTTTATTGTATTCACAGAATAGTGGAACAATTAGCATAACCTAAGTTAGAACATTTTTGCCACCTCAAAAAGAAACCCAGTCCCATTAGCAGTCACTCTCCATTCCCATCCTCTTCCCAGCTCCAGCAACCACTAATCTACTTTCTGACTCTATAGATTTGTCTATCCTAAACATTTCCTATCAATGGAATTATAAAATATGTGGTCTTTGTGACTGGCTTCTTTCATTTAGTATGATGTTTTCAAGGTTCATCTATGTTGTAGCATGTATCAGTATTTCATTCCCTTTTTATTGCCACATAGTATTCCATTGTGTAGATAGAAAACATTTTTTTTTTTTTTTGAGACAGGGTCTCACTCTGTCACCCAGCTGGAGTGCAGTGGTGCAACCACTTACTACAGCCTCCACCTCCAGGGCTCAAGTGATCATCCCACCTCAGCTTCCCGAGTAGCTGGGATTACAGGTGCATGCCATCACACCAAGCTAATTTTTTAATTTTTTGTAGATATGGGGTCTCCCTATATTGCCCAGGCTGGTCTCGAGCTCCTGGCCTCAAGCAATCCTCCCACTTCAGCCTCCAAAATGTTGGCATTACAGGCATGAGCCACCGCACCTTGCCTAGAACATATTTTATATTTATCCATTCATCAATTTATAAATATTTGGGTTATTTCCACTTTGGGCTATTTTATAACTAAATATAGCTAATAATATCCCACTTGTGGGATATTATGAATAATGCTGCTATGAACATCCATGCATAAGTTTTTGCGTGGACATATGTTTTCATTTCTCTTGGGTATATACATAGGTATGGAATTGCTGGGTCATAACTATGTTTGACATTTTAAGGTGCCAGCACCAATTTATGTTCCCACCAGCAATGTATGAGGGTTCCAAGTTTTCCACATCCCAGACAACACTTATTTTTTTATTATACTTTAAATTTTAGGGTACATGTGCACAATGTGCAGGTTAGTTACATGTGTATACATGTGCCATGTTGGTGTGCTGCACCCATTAACTCGTCATTTAACATTAGGTATATCTCCTAATGCTAACCCTCCACCCTCCCCCCACCCCACAACAGGCCCCAGAGTGTGATGTTCCCCTTCCTGTGTCCATGTGTTCTCATTGTTCAATTCCCACCTATGAGTGAGAACATGCGGTGTTTGGTTTTTTGTCCTTGCGATAGTTTGCTGAGAATGATGGTTTCCAGCTTCATCCATGTCCCTACAAAGGACATGAACTCATCATTTTTTATGGCTGCATAGTATTCCATGGTGTATGTGTGCCACATTTTCTTAATCCAGTCTTATCATTGTTGGACATTTGGGTTGGTTCCAAGTCTTTGCTATTGTGAATAGTGCCGCAATGAACATACGTGTGCATGTGTCTTTATAATCCTTGACTTATAATCCATGACTTATAATCCTTTGGGTATATACCCAGTAATGGGATTGCTGGATCAAATGGTATTTCTAGTTCTAGACCCCTGAGGAATCGCCACACTGACTTCCACAATGGTTGAACTAGTACAGTCCCACCAACAGTGTAAAAGTGTTCCTATTTCTCCACATCCTCTCCAGCACCTGTTGTTTCCTGACTTTTTAATGATCGCCATTCTAACTGGTGTGAGATGATATCTCATTGTGGTTTTGATTTGCGTTTCTCTGATGGCCAGTGATGATGAGCATTTTTTCATGTGTCTTTTGGCTGCATAACTGTCTTCTTTCGAGAAGTGTCTGTTCATATCCTTTGCCCACTTTTTGATGGGGTTGTTTTTTTCTTGTAAATTTGTTTGAGTTCATTGTAGATTCTGGATATTAGCCCTTTGTCAGATGAGTAGATTGCAAAAATTTTCTCCCATTCTGTAGGTTGCCTGTTCACTCTGATGGTAGTGTCTTTTGCTCTGCAGAAGCTCTTTAGTTTAATTGGATCCCATTTGTCTATTTTGGCTTTTGTTGCCATTGCTTTTGGTGTTTTAGACGTGAAGTCCTTGCCCATGCCTGTGTCCTGAATGGTATTGCCTAGGCTTTCTTCTAGGGTTTTTATGGTTTTAGGTCTAACATTTAAGTCTTTAATCCATCTTGAATTAATTTTTGTATAAGGTGTAAGGAAGGGATCCAGTTTCAGCTTTCTACATATGGCTAGCCAGTTTTCCCAGCACCATTTATTAAATAGGGAATCGTTTCCCCATTTCTTGTTTTTGTCAGGTTTGTCAAAGATCAGATGGTTGTAGATATGCGGCATTATTTCTGAGGGCTCTGTTCTGTTCCATTGGTCTATATCTCTGTTTTGGTACCAGTACCATGCTGTTTTGGTTACTGTAGCCTTGTAGTATAGTTTGAAGTCAGGTACTGTGATGCCTCCAGCTTTGCTATCTATGACAAACCCACAGCCAATATCATACTGAATGGGCAAAAACTGGAAGCATTCCCTTTGAAAACTGGCACAAGACAGGGATGCCCCCTCTCACCACTCCTATTCAACATAGTGTTGGAAGTTCTGGCCAGGGCAATCAGGCAGGAGAAGGAAATAAAGGGTATTCAGTTAGGACAAGAGAAAGTCAAATTGTCCCTGTCTGCAGATGACATGATTGTATATCTAGAAAACCCCATCGTCTCAGCCCAAAATCTCCTTAAGCTGATAGGCAACTTCAGCAAAGTCTCAGGATACAAAACCAATGTGCAAAAATCACAAGCATTCTTATACACCAACAACAGACAAACAGAGAGCCAAATCATGAGTGAACTCCCATTCACAATTGCTTCAAAGAGAACAAAATACCTAGGAATCCAACTTACAAGGGATGTGAAGGACCTCTTCAAGGAGAACTACAAACCACTGCTCAATGAAATAAAAGAGGATACAAACAAATGGAAGAACATTCCATGCTCATGGGTAGGAAGAATCAATATCATGAAAATGGCCATACTGCCCAAGGTAATTTATAGATTCAATGCCATCCCCATCAAGCTACCAATGACTTTCTTCACAGAATTGGAAAAAACTACTTTAAAGTTCATATGGAACCAAAAAAGAGCCCGCATTGCCAAGTCAATCCTAAGCCAAAAGGACAACACTTGTTATTATGTCTTTTTGTTTATAGTAATCCCAGTGGAGGTGAAGCGGCATTTCATTGTAGTTTTGATTTGCATTTCCCTGATGTCTAATGATGTAGCATATCTTTTCATGTGCTTATGGGCCATTTGTATATCTTCCATAGAGAAATATCTATTCAAATCCTTTGGTCATCTTAAAATATTTTGTCTTTTTATTATTGAGTTGTAAGAATTTTTATATATTCTGCATACCAGTTCCTTTTTGAACATATAATTTGCAAATATTTTCTCTCATTCTAGGGTTATATTTTCATTTTGTGTGTGTGTGGTGTTTTTTTGTTGTTTTTGAGATGGAGTTTCACTCTTGTTGCCCAGGCTGGAGTGCAATGGCACAATCTCAGCTCACTGCCACCTCCACCTCCCAGGTTCAAGTGATTCTCCAGCCTCAGCCTCCCAAAGTAGCTGGGATTGTTATAGGCGCTCACCACCATGCCTGGCTAATTTTTGTATTTTTAGTAGAGACGGGGTTTTACCATGTTGGCCAGGCTGGTCCCAAACTCCTGACCTCAGTTGATCTGGCCTCCTCGGCCTCCCAAAGTGCTGGGATTACAGGCATGAGCCACTGTGCCTGGTCATATTTTCAGTTTTTAATGGTGTCCTTTGAAGCAAAAAAGTTTTCAATTTTGATGATGTCCAATTTAGCTGTTTCTTTTGCTGCCATATTTTTGGTGCTATATCCAAGAAACCATCACTAAACCTAAGGGCACTAAGATTTACTCCTTTGTTTTCTTATGGGAGTTGCATAGTTTTAGCTCTCACATTCAAGTCTACAAGCCACTTATTTTTTAAGACAGGGTCTCACTCTGTTACCCAGGCTAAAGTGCAGTGGCATGATCATGGCTCACTGCAGCCATGGCCTCCTGAGCTCAAGTGATCCTCCAGCCTCAGCCTCCCGAGTAGCTAGGACTACAGCCATGTGCCATTACATCTGGCTAATTTTTAATTTTCTTCTAGAAATTAGGTTCCACTATGTTTCTACAATCCACTTTGAGTATGGCGTAAGGAAGGGGTTCACATTCATTCGTTTGTATGTGGATATCCATTTGGTATATAACATTTGTTGAAAAGACTATTCTGTCCTCCATCCAGTTGTCTTAGTTCCCTTGTAAAATATCAACTGACCACAAATATGAGGGTTTATTTCTGGACTCTCAATTCTATCTGTATGTCTAACCTCATGGCAATACCACACTGATTTTTTTTTTTAATAGCACCTGCCTACTATTGACCATACTGTCGTGATTACTGTAGCTTTGTAGTAAGTTTTGAAATCAGGCAGAATGGGTCTTCCAACTTTGTTTTTTGAGCCAAGGTCTCACTCTGTCACCCAGGCTGGAGTACAGTGGTGTGAACATGGCTCACTGCAGCCTTGACCTCCCGGGCTCAATTGATCCTCCCACCTCAGCCTTCTGAGTAGCTAGGACTACAGCCCCATGCCACCACAACTGGCTAATTTTTGTATTTTTGTAGAGAAGGGGTTTCACCATGCTGCCCAGGCTGGTCTCGAACTCCTGGGCTCATGCAATCCACCTGCCTTGGCTTCCCAAAGTGCTGGTACTACAGGCATGAACCACTGCACCAGGCCTGTTCTTCTTTAATCAGGATTGTTTTGGCTATTCTGGGTTCCTTGCATTTCCATATGAATTTTAGGACCACCTTGTTAATTTCTACAAAATAGCTGGAATTTTGATAGGCATTGTGTTGAATCTGTAGATCAGCTCAGGGATCATATCAACAACATTGAGTTTTCCACTATTTTCCCACTTATTTAGACCTTTAATTTCCTTCAAGATTGTTTTGTAGTTTTCAACTACACATCTTGCACTTCTTTTGTTCCTAGGTATCTTATTCTTTTTGATGTCATTATAAATGGAATTGTTTTCTTAATTTCACTTTCAGATTGTTCGTTGCTAGTGTATAGCAATATAATAGATTTTTGTATCTCAGTCTTGTACCCTGCCACATTGCCGAACTCATTGGTTCTTCCTTTTTTTTTTTTTTTTTTTTTTTTTTTTTCCAGACAGAGTCTCGCTCTGTCGCCCAGGCTGGAGAGCAGTGGTGCAATCTCGGCTCACTGCAACCTCCGCCTCCTGGGCTCAAGCAATTCTCATGCCTCAACCTCTCTAGTAGCTGGGATTATAGGCATGTGCCACCATGCCCGGCTAATTTTTGTATTTTTAGTAGAGACGGGGTTCCACCATGTTGGCCAGGCTGGTCTTGAACTCCTGACCTCAGGTGATCCGCCTGCCTCCACCTCCCGAAGTGCTGGGATTACAGGCATCAGCCACCGCGTTCAGCCTGAAATCATTTGTTCTAATAATTTGTGTGTGTGTGCATGTGTGTGTGTGCTGGTGGAGTCCTTAGGATTTTCTATATATAGAATCATGCAAATGAAGATAGTTTTCCATTTTCTTTTTCTTCCCTAATTGCCGTGGCTAGAACTTCCAGTCCACTGTTGAACAGAAGTGGTGACAGTGGGAATTCTTGTCTTTTTCCTGATCTTTGGGGGAAAATCTTTCAATCTTTCTTCATTTAATATAATGTAAGCTGTGGGCTTTTTGTAGATGCCATTTATCAGTTGAGCCTAGCTCCTCCATTCTACCCTTGCCGCTGGATTGGCAGTCCTCCTCCCCTTTCTGCAGACAGCTCCCCACAGCCGGTCCACGGTCCCTGCAGCACCCCACCCTCTCACTCTCCACTGCAGGGCAGGCAGGAGGCAGCACAGGCTGGGGGAAGAGGCTGAATGTAGTCCCAAGAATGCCAACCACTTGTCATTTGACTCCAAAAATCCCTTTGTGAAACTTGATTTCTTCAATATAAAATTGTGGAAAATAATACCTACTTTTCAGAACTGCCGTGAAAATTTTAAAAATAAATTTGGTTGTGTCTGGCACATAGAGGGCATTCAATAAATGTGGGTTGGATGTGAATCTGAGAAGTGTTCATTGAACCTTATCTGAGGCACCTGGAAGTGGCCCTGGCACCGTAGAGGGACCCAAGGTTCATGGTGGATGCAGGCCTTCTCTCCAGACTGACCGTCCAGAAATGGTCCTGTAGCAAAGTAAAGCTGCTTGGTGTCAAATAAACCAGCCAGGAATGAAGACGCTTAATGCTCCTGAGGTTCAGGGAATCTGCAGGCCAGGAATGAAGGGGGAGAACTGCATCTCAGGAGTGTTGGAGTCCCAGAAAAGGAGATTAGACTTCCCTCTATACCCAGCAGGAACCACTGAAGGGTGCTGAGCAGTTATAAGTGGGGTTTGTGAAGTTAGCTCCATGGGGAGTGGAGCAGGGAGGTTGGTTCCACAGACCAGAAATGGTAAAGACCTGCACTAGGATGGGAAGGTAAGGAATGGAGTAGAGAGAACAGATGTGAGAGACACATTCATTCATTCACTCACTCACTCAAGTATTTACTGAGCTCATATCATGCTTCCCTCATGGAATTTACCATGCACTTCACATAAGTGCATATAAAATTGTAATTATGAGAAGTGCAAGAAAGGAGAGCCATCTGGTGGTGGTGAGCATTTATAATGGGGCATACGTGAATTAATCTGGGAAAGCAAAAGTGCTTTCTTGAAAAATTGATGATTGAACTGAGACCTGAAGGGTGAGTATTTATCCAGGTAAAGAGGAGATGAAAGGGCAGCCTAGGCAGAGAGCACAGCCTATGCAAAGGCCCAGAGGTGGGATGCAGTGTGGTGAGTCCAAAGCCTGAGAGAAGGCCAGGGCAGCTGGAGTGGATGGATCACGGTTCAGGGTGAGGCTGGCAGGCCGGGCAGGGCAGGATCAGGAGCACCATAGGCCGCGTCAAGGAGTTTTGTCTTTCCCAAAGAGGAATGAGAAGCTGTGGGAGGCCTTTTAGGGTGGGGGCAGGGGTAACATGTACAAATGTATATTTTAAAAGTTTCGCTTTGGCTGTCGTGAGTAAAAAGACTAGGGTGGAGCATAACTCCAGAGGAAAGCGGGGAAAGAGTTGAAAACAGCCAATAACAAATGTCATCCCCGAGCTCTTATGAAAGACAGACGGCATTCCCGGGGAATCCACCAGAGGAAAATGACTTAGAGCTGCAGAGAGGGAATGTGGGGAGTCCATGAAGCAGCAGCAGCAGATTGGAAGCTTTTCCAGACTCCAACAAAACCAGGAGGCCATAGCTGCCCAGACAGCAAGGGAATAGAAGATGCCTGAGGAGGCTCATGTCAAAGGCAGGCATGGGCAGTGGGCCCAGAGAGTGGATGGGGTGGATTCAGGGCCCGTCTCTCAGTTATGCACCCAGTACATGGCACCAGGTGCTGAGACCAGAAGCCTTGGGGTCATCCTTCCCATCCATGTGGGGTCACCCCCCCACATCCCAGGTGTCTGCAAACTCATCAACCACCCACAATGCCTTCCAAATCTGGCCACTTTCCACCCTCCAGCTGGAGTACCACAGTAGCCTCCTATCTGGAAGCTTCCACTCCCCTCCACTCAGCCTGATCTCCACACTGCAGCCAGACTGATCTATTTAAAACCCTCCTGTGGCTTCTTGTCACATTTAGAATAAGATCCCTGCCTGGCCTGGCCCCTGGCTGGCTCCCACAGGCATTTCCTGTCCTTGCTCTCAGTCACGCAGTTCCTGCCATGCTGGCCTCTTGCCACCAGCCACAAACCCACCAAACAGACCCCCATCCCACAGTCTTGGCACTTACTCTCCCTCAGCCTAGAATGCTCTTCCTGGAGAAGTCTCCCTGACCTCCCTGGGCCACCATCAGCCCCTCTAGTCTTCTTTTCCCACCATGGTCCGTGGTGCCTACAACTTGTTCGCAATTCCCCACACTCCCTTGGCATTTCTGTGGTATTCACCTGGCAAAGCGCCAGCCCTGGAGAAATCCCACTGACAGCTTTCTCCTTCTCCATGGCTACCCCCGACTGCTGAGCCCCCTGGTGAAAATCCCCCCACAGTACAAGGGCAGCCTGTATCCCATCAATCCCCAGGATCACCCAGGCCCTCTGCACTGCACAGAAACTGCAGGAAACGCCTCCCCACCAGCTTCGCCTCCTCCTCCAGTTTCCGCAGGCCTGTGGCTCCCTCACACCCCTCCTCTCTCTTTGCTGTTATTTTAAAGAAAAGCAGAAGCGAGAAATCTCTCAAAATGTCCCAACCTTGGGTCAAACCACAGACCTTTCCTCCTGACCCCTTGTGAGTTGAGGGCTTTTCCTCTGGTTAAGCCAGTTCCCGTTCCTGCGCAGGATCCCTCCTGACTTCTCAGGAAGTCTTTGCCATCCCTGCCCTTTCTTGTGCCTAACATTTCCCCCTTCCCTCAGCTGAGGCTGGACCAGTCCAGTTTATCACATCACCCACCAAAAATGAGCCCCACCTGCTGCCTTGTTCTCCCCTTCGTGACCACGCACACACACTTGCACACACATACACATATGCACACACATATACACACGTGCACACACACGCACACATGGTCCCCATTTCGTCACGTCCACCTCACTCGTCAGCCCCTCCATTGTGGCTTCTGCCCCATCCCTCTGCTGAAGTAGCTCTTTGTAAAGTCATGGATGATGAACACAAGGTCACTAAACCCAGGGCGCATTTTCATTTTCCTTGAGCTGGACCCCTGAGCTGTGGTCAGCTGGCCGCTGCCTGCTTTTGTCATAACTGTGACTACTCCTCCTTCGGTTGCCTCAGGCTTGCACTTGAGGTCCTTCCCTTCTCAGCCATGGTGTCTCCCTGCGTGGTTCCTTCTGCACCCAGGCATCAGTGCCATCCTCTTCTGTCAGAGTCAAGCCACTTCCGAGCTCCAGGCCCACAGGTCAACTGGCCCCCGACATAGCTGCCTGATCTTCTGGGTCTCCTCTTGCTCGCCTCCAGTCAGTTCCGTATTTGCCACCAAGGCAATCTTCATAAAATGCAAAGCCAGTCATGTCGCCAAAAATGAAAAGCCATCCCAGGGAGACAGGCCGAAAGCCCTAGCGTGGCCTACAGCCCCTCATGCTCTCCATCCAGCAGCACCTCAGCTTTCCCTCCCTGGGTTGCTAACACCAGCCTACACTCCTTCTTTTGTTTCCCCTAATACACTGTATTACCCTCTTCGGGGCCTTTGTATATGCTGTGCCCCCTTCAAGGAGCCAAAGCCTATGATACAGTTTGGATCTGTGTCCCTGCCCAAATCTCATGTCAAATTGTAATCCCTGATGTTGGAGGTGGGGCCTGGTGAGAGGTGATTGGATCACAGGGTCAGATCTAGTGATAGTGAGTTCTCATGAGACTGGTCATTTAAAAGTGTGTAGCACCCCCCAACCCCCACTCCCTCGCCTCTTCCTCCTGCTCTGGCCATGTGAAGTGCTGGCTCCCTCTTCACCTCCCCCCATGATTGTAAGTTTCCTGAGGCCTCTCCAGAAGCCGAGCAGATGCCAGCATCATGCTTTCTGTACAGCCTGTGGAACTTCGAGCCAATTAAACCTCTTTTCTTTATAAATTGCCCAGTCTTAGGTTTTTCTTTATAGCAGTGCAAGATCAGACTAATACAGTCTACACATCTTTCTCAGCTCAAACAGTACTTCCAAGAACGCCTTCCTCCCCACACCCATGGCTCCCTCCTCCCCTACCCCCGCATCAAGGCCTCAACCACCTGCTTTCCCAGCTCTCCATTCTCATCCCCATGGTACTCATGCAGCTTGTGACTGTATAAGCAGCCACCTCATTGGTCTTACTCACTGCTGTTGCTCTAGTGCAGGCATTGGCCAACGGCAGTCCAGGGGCTAAATCCAGTCCCCCACCTAATTTTTGTAAATAAAATTTTGTTGGGACGCTCACTTGTTTACGCATTTTTTGTTGTTGTTGTTGTTGAGATGGAGTCTCGCTGTCTGCCAGGCTGGAGTGCAGTGGCACGATCTTGGCTCACTGCAACCTCTGCCTCCCAGGTTCAAGCAATTCTCCTGCCTCAGTCTCCCAAGTAGCTGGGATTACAGGTGCCCACCACACGCCTGGCTAATTTGTTGTAGTTTTGTAGAGACGGGGTTTCACCATGTTGGCCAGGCTGGTCTCGAACTCCTGACCTCAAGTAATCTGCCCACATTCAATAAATATGTGGGTCTGTAAATGATCAAGCAGGACAGACTTTGAGATTGGGTCACATTATGTCATTTCACAGAAGACACTGAATTCTGTGGGGAAGTGGCCTTCCCAGGGTCCCCCCGTGCAGTACAGGCTGGCTCTGGGCCCAGGGCTCTTTCCACAAACCATGTTAAGACTCAGTTGTCATCAGGCTATATCCAGGGACACCCACCCAAGCATAGATTGGGAAGGAACCAAGGTCTGGTGTGAGTGTGTGTGTGTGTGTGTGTGTGTGTGTGTACAGCGAGACCCCAAAGCTGGCATGGGAAGTGGGGGCATTGCACACAGCTTTGGGAACTGCCCACCCTTCCTCTCCTCTTGCAGCAGGCCTGGGACCATAGAGAGTCAGACGCACCCCCTTATGAGTCATTTCACCTCGGGTGGTTTCTTTCACCTCTCTGAGTGTCAGACTTCTTAACTATTTGAATGCAGCTTTTATTCCTAAACCCTCGAGTTGAGGCTGGGATTAAATGAGATGTTGCATGGGTAGAGACCGCATGTCCTTCCCACAGCCCACATCTGCTCAGCATGTAGAGAACCACTGCTTATTTTTCCAAGGCTGCCCTTCGGTTGCATTTCCATTTTCCCTGGGAGACACGCCAGTAGCTGAGAGACCAAGATTCCCTCAGCTGACTCTCCTTCTGATGTGACCCCCTGTCACCTGGCTCTGCTGTCCCTTCTAGAGTCAGAGAAAAAAAATGTAAAAAGAAGGAAAACAGCAGGAGCCCTTTCATACCCTGCATGCCACCCAAGACTCCTGGAGGCCTGGAGAAGTGAAGCCAGTTGTCCAAGGTCGCACAGGCATTTGGTGGAGGAAGAATCTAAATCCCTGGACCCCTAGTCCAGTGCTTCCTTCCACAGCCCAGCAGCCTCCTCCGCCTCCAGGACTATTTCCCCCACTCTAGGAGGCAGGGCTCCTATGGCTGGGGAGGAATGGCGGCGAGAACGGTGTGAGGGAGAGCCAAATTATCGGGAACTCACAGCTGCCTCGCCTCCCGCATGGCTGGGAGCTGCAGTCCCGGGGAGAGCAGCCAGCTGGAAGACTTGAGGATGATAAATGGATCAGGGTGCCAGGGCTCCCAGGACAGAGTGAACTCCTCTGTCTGGTCAGAATCACCCGAGCAGGAAAGCATGAAATGGCGCCATTAGGTGAAGGCTGCAGCTGCCCGGAGAGGGAGGCTGGGGGTGGGGAGAGATGCCTGCTCCCAGCCTGCTGGGCCACAGGTCAAGGTCTGAAGAGGTAGGGGTCTGGGAGGCCCCAACAAGGGAGAAGACACACAAGGGAAGGGACTGAGGAAGGGTCTCTCAGGCTTGGCCTGCATCAAGACCCCCTGGGGAATTTGTTAAAATGCAGACCCTCTGCCATTGCACCCTGTCTCCCAGAGCCTAACTCAGAAAACTCAGTGGACTGGAATGTGCCCAGGGATCTGCATTGTAACAACATCCCCATTTCCTCTGATGCAGGTGATCTGGGCACCACACTTTGAAAAAATGAGGTTCTAAGTAATTCAGAAAGACTTGCCAGAGAGGTCAAAGTCCAAGCCCGGTTGCTGGAAGTAAAATAAGCCTCAAAGGCACTGCAGACCTGGAGGGCATCAGAGCAGGGCAGGCAGGAGGACATTGGTGGCAACAACAGGTTCAATCACCATAGCTCTGTTTGATGAGCGCACAGATGTTCTCATCTAACCCACCTGGGAAGAGGGCACAATTACCAGCATCATTTCAAAGGCAAGGCAAATTCTGCTCAGACAGGTAGTAAGTGACCTGCCCAAGGTCACACAGTTGATCAGAGTAAAGATCCGGGTCTAAATTTGACTGAGGCCAGGTCTCCTGCTCAGGAGCAAGGTAGGGGGCCCAGTCCTCAGGGAAAGCTCAGGAAGGGGGAGTCTCCAATAGTGGGAAATGATGCTGGAGAAGCAGGGGTAGACCAGAAACAAGGTCACTAAACAGAATCCACGCAGGAATTCCCTTCTCTCCCTGGTCCACTGGCCGCTGTCCTTCTGTCTGCCCAGGATGGCCACTTGGCCCCTGTGACAGTGTCAGTCCCAAGCACTCAGGCCTCTGCAAGTGGCCCCAGGGCTGGGAGCAATGGGTCCAGGAGGAACCATGCTTGGCATGCATGTCCCTGCACAGACCCTAAAACATGCTGGGGTCTTGGAGTACTAGTTAACTGCCTCTGGCCCCCTTTGCTAGGGAGAACAGCCACACTTGGCCTGGGGTGAGTTAGGAGTTGGGGAGCAGGTGACAACCTGGTTGGCTTATCCTTTATCTTATCCTTTTTTTTTTTCTATCATGTAGAGAGCTGTCAGGGCAGAAAGCAGGACTTCAGGTGAGTATCAAAAAGAATGCTCTCAACAGAGAGCCTAGGGATACGCCGGGATGGGGAGTGCAGGGGGAAGGGGCCACCATCTCTCCCCCTGTTATAAGCCCTCTTATAACAAGCAGAAACAACATGTCTAGAGGCTCTCTCTTTCCTTAACTCCAAATGCCCAGATATGCTCAGAGCTCAGCCACAGTTCTTGTACCTAAACTAAAGGGAGACTTGATTGACAATCAAGTTGAGTAGGAGGGAAGGGGAGCTAGGCTGGAGGAGGAAGGTGGGGTGAGACGACCTCGCACACTCACACTCACACTCTCAGTAGTTCTGGGATGTTCTGCTTTGAGGGTCTTCACTCAGCCCATGGTCAGCCTACATGGGAGAATCACAGAAGGCCCAGATGCCCTGGAGCTTTGCTCTGTGTGGGTGAACAGGGAATGATCTCCAAGGGAGATAGTGGAAGAATCGGTGTGCAGGGGAGTGAGCATGATACCTGTGTAAAAGGGTAGGGGAGAAGTATATGTATGCTTGTATGCTTCTATATTCACAGCACGGCTCTGGAAAGGTGCATAAGGAATTGATGACATTAGTTGTAGTTGCTTCTGGGGAGCGGAGTTGGGAAAGGAGGAGCTGGAAAATATTTCACTGGGTATCTTTCTGTATCTTTAAATTTTTGAACCCCACGAAAATCTGCCTGTCTCTTCCACCCTCTGGTACTTCAGAACCCTGGAGCTGGATCCTCAGCCTTGCAAAGGAGAAAACAAATGAGGGGGGTTTGTGTGTTTTTAAATTTATTTTATTTTTTACAGACAGCGTCTCACTCTGTTGCTCAGGCTGGAATACAGGGCCGTGATCATAGCTCACTGCAGCCTTCAAACTCCTGGGCCCAAGCAATCCTCCCACCTCAGCCTCCCAAGGAGCTAGGACCACACACATGCGCCACCATGCCTGGCTAGTTTTAAAGTTTTTCATAGAGACAGGGTACCACTATGTTGCTCAGGCTGGTCTTGAACTCCTGGCCTCATGAACTCCTTGAACTCCTGGCGATCTTGCTGCCTTGACCTCCCAAAGTGCTGGGATTATAGGCATGAGCCACTGCGCCCAGCCAAAAGAGAGAACAAATGAGTGGGTTTGTGTAGCTCACCCAGAAATCGCCTGACCTGCTCCAGGTGGGAGGCATGCTGCAGGAAGAATGCCACCAGGACCTGCCCCCCTCACCCTCAGAGGACCCCTAGGCTCTCACCTTGCCTCTCTTCTTCCCTACAAAAAGTCAGGAGACTGGAAGCCCTGCTGTCTCCTCTAGCAGGCTTCTGGGATTCCCTTGGTGTGCCCCCAAATGAGACTGCCTCCAAAATGGGATCCTGATGCCACATCAAAGATGAGTAAGTTCAATCCTCACCCTCACCAAAAGCATATATGTGTGTGTGTGCACACATGTACATACACTCACCATCAACTGCCACCCCAAACCAATTAAATATGATCTGGGGACTAGGCACTTCTGTGGATTATCCCACTCAGTACTAGCCTTGATTAATGCAGATAATGGAGAGCTGACTGGATACAGCTTACAGTATTTAATCTTTCCCGGCATTGTATTTGCAGAAGCCAAAGTAATGAGATGGAAATAGGTTAACCAGCAAGACACCTGTCACCGAAGCTCACAGGCTAGAAAGATCAATACTTAAGGAGAAATATATGTCTTTATGTTTTGCACCAATGCTTCAGTCCAACATTTGGTCCTAGGAGGCTGAGGATAAAGTTTTAATGAATTAATTTTCTAGCTCATTCTGAAAATAAGTTACCCATTTCTTTGAGTTCCTTGTGTACCGAGGCCTGATGAGCCTTCTTGGTCAGTGCATGCACACCTCCACTTTGGAGCGAGGTTGTCATTCCGCACACGTAGAAGCAGAGTCTGTTCTTGACTGGCCCTGGGGAAGCTAACAACTCCCAGGTTCCTGAGAGTTGGAACGTCCTTCTAGTGTCTAACTTCAATCTCTCCTGCTGCAGCAACACTCATTTTCCTTCTCTTGATCTCGCTGAGATCAGCAATTCCAGGCCACCTGATGGGCGCCTCAGAATCCAATGGCTGAGGATTGAGCCCTTCCTGCACCAATCTTGGGCTGGCCTGTTAGCCTCCCTGCGCTTGTGCAGCTGTGTGTGGGGGTTAAGCATCCCTGCCCTGCCTGCCTTAAGGACAGCTTCCATGATCAAAGGTGAAGTTTCCTGAGTGAGGCTCTGTAAACCTGCAGCACCTCACACCTGCCTCGGATTATTTATTTCTCTCTGAACCTAGACCCCAGGCATGGATACCCTTAAATCACAGGCAAATATTAATAAAACCCAGCCTGTGAGGGCTGAGGGACTCTTACAGACAACGCAGTCCACAGCCTCTTTTCGAAAACAAAGAAACTGAGGCCCCAAAGGGAGGTGGCTTACCTCCATCACACAAACAACACCGCTAAATGGTGGCAGCCCTGCCTGAGTTGTCAACTCCTGGATTCCAGGCCTTTGTCGCCCCTCAGGCCACCCCACCAAGCCCTGGCTCCATTTGATCCTTGGCTAACTCTTGTAGGGTGCAGGGATAGTAGCAGTGGTGAGGGGGCAGAGGGATGCCCCCGCCAGGCAAGCCCCTCAGCACACCCTCCGCTCTGCCACCCCAGCCAGGATCACAACTTGAAACAGGACAGAGAAGCCCGCCATCCCCATGGGAGAGGAGCTGGAGTCCAGGCTCCCTGGAGAGGGAGTTAATACTGCAGCACGGCGCACTCTAGCCAAGACGGAGAAGCTGCTGAGTCACAGTCCAGCCGCCTGGCCAGCCCTGAGCTGCCTGCTGGGGCCCCCAGCTGCTCCCAGCCCAGGGGGCTGCCTCTGGCCCCCAGACAGGCTGCCTTCCCACCTCCTTCTCCAGAGACTCAGAATCTTGGGCCTCCAGGGTTCCCCACTCCCCAGCACCCCACAACATCTCCCAAACCCACAGGCAGCTGTCCTGGGGCGGAGGAGAGGGTCTTCCATTGGTTGGGTGTCAAGATGCTTGGGAGCAGGCCGGGAAGGGTGGGCGACCCGGAATGAGTGATTGAGTGGGGACAGATGGAGGCTTGGGGACCAGCGGGCCCTGGGCTGCCTGGTGTAGGATACGGAAAGTGTGTAGGGGGGGTGCACCCGTGGGCCCCAGGAGGTCTGTTGTGCGCATGCTCTGAGTGTGAGGGAGGACGGGTAGGACTGTGGGGGTCTGCCCTGGTCGTGCTCCCAAGAGAGGCACTGCTTTCTGCAGAGTGCGTGGGCAACTGCCAGCTGGGGGAGCGCTCACCAGGGGAAAGGGGAGCTCTCTGTGGCTTAGCAGTGATTAACCCACACAATCAATGGATCCTCCAGCCACAGTGTGAGCAGCTCTGCCTCATGTGAGGCACACAGCACCTTCCAGCACAGTCCCGATATCTTTCATGCCAGATGCACATCTTCAATTTCAGCTACAAACTGTTACAAATTGATGCATTTTCTTTCTGACTAAATGTTACAAGGTTTGAACACACTAGCTCTGCCGATCACCGCCCCTCTAAGGGATGGGTTTAGAGGTTTGGCACGAAAGCAAAAGCCTTTTAATAGGAGTGCGTGAGTGTGGTGGTGTGTGTGTGATGTGAGTGTGCATATGTGGCGTGTGCATGTATGTGGTGGGTAGGGGTATATGTGGTGGTATGTATGTGTAGGATGTGTGTGCTGTATGTGTAGTGTGTGTGATGTGGGCGCTAGGGTGTGGGGGACAGTGGGGTGTGTATATATGGTGTGTGTGTGATGTAGGGGGTGGTGTGGGTTAGGGGTGGAGGCTCTAGTGGGGTGTCAGGGGGTATGTGGGTAGTGGGTAGTGGCATATGTGTGGTGTGTACGTATGTGTGGTATGGGGGTATAGTGAGTTTGTGTGGGATGTGTGTGTAATACGTGTATGTGTTGTGGTCTGTTGTGTGTAGTGAGGTGTGTGTGGTGTATAGTAAGGTGTGTATGGTGTGTGTCTGTGTGGTGTGTAGTAGAGTGTGGATGTGTGTGGTGTGTGTGGTGTTTAGTAGTGTGTGTGGTGTGTGATGTGTGTGGTATCTGTGTGGTGTGTGTGGTGTCATAGAGTGTGTGTATGGCATGTAGCACAGTGTCTGGTGTGTAGTAGTGTGTGTGTGGTGTTTAGTAGTGTGTGTTGCGTGTAGTAGGGTGTGTGTGTGGTATGTAGTAGGGTGTGTGTGGCATGTAGTAGGGTGTGTGGTGTGTGTGTGGTGTGTGGTGTGTGTGTGGTGTGTATGGCATGTAGCATGGTGTGTGTGTGTGGTGTCTGGTCTGTAGTAGGGTGTGTGTGGTGTGTAGTAGGGTGTGTGGTGTGTGTGTGATGTGTGCCTGTGTGGTATGTGGCGTGTAGTAGGGTGTGTGGTGTGTGTCTGTGTGGTGTGTTTGTGTAGTGTGTGTGGTGTCTGTGTGTGGCATGTGTGGTGTGTGTAGTGTGGTGTGTGTCTTTGTGGTGTGGCATGTAGTAGGTTGTGTGTGTGGTGTGTGTGGTGTCTAGTAGGGTGTGTGGTGTGTAGTAGGGTGTGTGTGTGGTTTGTGTGTGGTATGTGTGTGGTGTGTGTGGTATGTGTGTCGTGTGTGTGGCGTGTAATAGGGTGTGTGGTGTGTCTGTGTGGTGTGTGTGTCGTGTGTGTGGCATGTAGTAGGGTGTGTGTGTGATGTTTGTGGTGTGTGCTGTGTCTGTGTGGTGTGTGTGTGGTGTGTGTGGCATGTAGTAGGGTGTGTGTGTGATGTTTGTGGTGTGTGCTGTGTCTGTGTGGTGTGTGTGTGGTGTGTGTGGCATGTAGTAGGGTGTGTGTGTGATGTTTGTGGTGTGTGGTGTGTGTGTGTAGTGTGTGTGGTGTGTAGTAGGGTGTGTGTGTGGCGTGGACTGGGAGTGTAAGGGGAGGGGGTGTTGCCAGTGTGCGGGGAGGGGGAAGGGGGCAGGGGCAGGAGCCCGGGCTGGGTGGCAGGTGCCCCCGTTCAAGCTGCAGGAGAGTAGCTGGAGAGACCGCGGCCTCCTCCCCAGCCCACTTCTTCCCTGCGGCCCGTTGAGGAGACCTAGCGGTGCCCCCTGCTGTCCGTCCAGGAGGCTGCCGCCTGCCTCCAGCCCCATCTCCACCCAAGCCAGGCCCACGCCCTCCGCACACAGCCGCACCCCCGCCAGGCTCCCTCCCAGGCCCCCAGTCAACGCTCACACCCTGGAAAGGAGGAGGTGGGCAACCGGTGGGAGGCCGGAGGCAGAAGGAGGCTCCATTAACTCAGTAATGGAGCAGAACATCAGCACTGTGGCATCTGCTAGCCGGCAGCACCGGGGAGGGGGTCCTGTCTCCATCTCTCAGGCCCAGCTGAAATGGGTGACAGCAGCCAGTGCAAGAACATAGCAGAGAATGCCAGAAAGGCTGTGTATGTGTATGTGTGTGCACGTGAACGCCATGTGTATGAACACCATGTATGAATGTATAAACATGCATGAACCAGCACTGTGAACACATATGCAAACATTGTGTGCAGGTGCATTACACTGCCATATGTAGAAATGTGAGAAGCTCCAGGGAAGGGAACGCTGGGGGTCTCGGGCCACACCACTTGTCCAGGAAGCTGGGGTGATAGCTACAGGCCCTGTACGTGGGTAATGGGAGGGGGTGGACTACGATGCGGGTCACCTTACAGCCTCGGGGTTGGAAGAGACCACAGGGTCACCAGCCCCCACCCTCCCTCTGCAGTGGCATCTCTTGCCAGACCCTCTGTCTCCAAAGGTGGCAAGAGGGCTGGGACCTGAAAGAGGCATCAAGAGACCTGGTTTCTCTTCACTTCTTTCCATCCTTTGGAAAGTGGCTTTGCATCTCCCAAGACAGCCTCTCAGCTTTTTTTTTTTTTTTTTTTTTTTTTTTTGAGACAGGGTCTCACTCTGTCACCCAGGCTGGAGAGCAGTGGCACAATCACAGCTCACTGCAGCCTCGACCCCCACGAGTAGCTGGGACTACAGGCGTACCACCATGCCCGGCTCTTTTTTGTAGAGAAGGGGTCTCACTATGTTGCCCAGGATGGTCTCAAACTCCTGGGCTCAAGCAATTCACCTGCCTCAGCCTCCCAAAGTCCTGAGATTACAGGCCTGAGCCACCGCATGCAGCCTAGATAGCCTCTCAGCTTTTAGAACCCAGCCTTCCGAGATGCTTGGAGAGTTCTACCTCTGAAGGCAAGCGGCAGAAAGGGTGGTGGGGTCATGAGAGAACGTGGGCTTTAGAACAGCCAGGGCTGCTTTCCAACCTGACACTTAGCAGCTCTGCAGCCCTGGGAGATGAGTTCATTTCCCTGGGATCATTTCTTAGCTACAAACCGAGGATCAGGTGCCTGTCTCACAGGGATGTTATGAGGATTGAAGAGGCCACATGTGCTGGCACAAAGTGGACCCTAAATACTCATTTCCTTTCCTCAGTTCTCCTCTCAGCGGGGCTAGGCTGAGTCCATGCTGACCACGAACTCAAGGACAGACCTTGTGTTACCCACAACGAGGGGTGCAGTGCTCGCCAAGTCAGGGACTCTGAGCCAGTCCAGGCTCTGTCCAGGAGGGCAAGGGTTGCTGCAGAGGTTGTGCGGCTGGGGAGCCTAAGGCCCAGAATTCTCTTCCCTGGCTCTGTGTGTTCCTCTTGCAGAGACTGCGTCACTTCTTCCTGGTGTCAAAGGTACTTGTATAAGCAGCTCAGCTCCCAGGGGACCACTAGGGCTGTGAGGTGGGAACGTGCCTTGTTTACGACTGCATTTCCTGCCAGCTCCCAGAGGAGCAGCCTGATTGCTGAGCCTGATAGCAGGAAATGGAGGAGGTGGGGGATCTCACCAGGAACTGCCCCCCAACTCTGGCAACCTCCGTCCCATCAAGCTCCCTGCTAAAGGAGAGAAGAGAAACCCCAAAGCCAAAAGAGGCACCCTGTCTAGGTCAGACCGTGACACCCAGGGCCTGAGTGGTCATGGGTGGGGTGTGGACGGGCAGGCGCACTGCCTTGCAGTGCTCCACTATAGGTAGGCAGGCCCATGGCTCCCCATGGGGAAAGGAGATCCAGTGCAGCTCAGGTTCTCTGGAGAGTAATGCGCAAAGGAAGGGCATGAAGACCACTTCCCTGGTTAATGAGGGTTTGACCAGGAGTTGTCTGCCTTACCCAAACTTGAAAATAACCCCTAGCATGTTTAATTGCTTAAAAATCCACTCTTTCATCTGATCTTCACTTTCGTTTCCTCCAAATCCTATGTCAGGCTCCATGCTAAGTGCTGGGAATACAAGATGAATAAAACCCAACCCCATCCTGAAGCAGCTCACAGGGAGACGACAGAGCTCAGGCCTTTGGGAGGTGCAGCAGATGTGGTTCTGCCCCTTGACAGAGGAGACAACTAAGGCTCTGAGATCAGCTTGCCCAGGGCCTCCCAGTGCACTTGAACCCTGACTTCCCAGCACCCAGCCCAGGGCTCTTTCCTTCCCAACAAAGAGCCCCAGGGAGCTCCTCAAGCACACTGGGAAGGTGGGTCTAACGGGAAGATCACAAAGGCACCGGGCTCAGAGGTGGGTGCCGGGGGCAGGGAGGGAGACCTCCACTGTGCCCACTCCGTGCCAGCGGCATATTTCATTTCATCCGGGCCTTGTGAGGTGGGGACTGTGATTCCCATTTTGTAATTGAGGAAACTGGGCCTCAGGGGGAGCGAAACAGGTCACTCGCTCAAGCACCCTTCCCCAGAGGATGGAAAGAGCTGTACTCCCAGGTAGCAGAGCAGCTCGCTTTGGGCCACACCAGGACCTGGGAGAGGTCATGAGATGTCTGGGGAGCCCAGCCTGCTCTCAGTGGGAGCTGGGAGCCAGCATCCCAGGCAGGGAGCCAGCCAAAGAAGGTGCAGTCTGGTCCTCCCGTTTCCAAGAGCGCCTCCATCCTTCCAGGTGCTGGCCAGGCCCCAGGGACAGAGACGTGCCCATCACTCTTCAGACAGAGATGCCCATTATCACCAACACCTATGACAGCTCATGGTCTCCAGAAACTAAAGTGGAGCATGCAAGTCCCGGGGGCACAATTAGGTGCTCCAAAGAAGCCAGCTCTCTCCTGCCTGACCGGGGGCCGGGACAGACATGGGAGATAGGGGCCAGGAGGGATGAACCATGGCCTCAAAACACCCATGGGCTGGAGGAGGGGAGCAGTGAGGGGGAGAATTCCAAATTGGAAAGCCTCAACTTGGAATTCTATGTGGATCCAAACCTAGAAGACAGCTCCGCTGAGGAAGAGGAGCCAAGTGAAACACCAGGTGCTGCCAAGTGGGGTGAATGAGCACCTGGGCTCTGGGCAGACTGACCTGGACTGGAGTCTCGGCTCTTTTAGCCATGGGAACTTGAACAGGTTGCTTAACCTCTCTGGGCCTCAGCACTCCGTCTGCAAAATGGGAATGATAATGGAAGCTGCTGCGCAGGGCTGCGAGGCTTAGGAGCACTGTATGTAAAGCATGGTATTATGGCCATGGCCGGTTCCTGAGCCAGGCTGGGCACGGGCCTGTCAGAAGCACACAGGGATGGCTCCAGTGGAGAGGTGGGGCAGCCTCTCTGCTAACTCCCTATTAAGGACCAGGTTAAGCCAATACCCTTTTTTTAAATTATTATTTTCTGAGATAATTCAGGCCTCTCTTAATAAATGGTCCTCCTTCTACCCATGCCTTTAGCTCCAGCCCAGATGGCCTTCTTGATGCCCACCTCTGGGCCAAGGCCTCTCTTGAGCCATTGCACTATCCCTGGCTTCTTTCCTGCCCCTGTGTCCAGATACTGCCAAGGCTTTCCCCCTCCTCCAGCCCACCTTCCCCAATACTCAGGCCTCTCAGCAGCCATGGCTTCTCCAACAGTGGCTGCTAAGTCTCTATTTTGGTTGCTCAAGCTTTCAAGTTCTCATTTGTGGGTATCAAGTTCTCATTTGTGGGTATCTGACCACATCCTCCTCTCAGAAGTCAGCAGAGTCTAGCTGTTCTTCCTCTAGCTGCCACTCCCATCCTATAGATGACAACACTGGGATGTGAAGAGGTGAGGTTGCCCAGACTCCCCAAGGGTGTCCCAGCCAAAACCTATCCCTAGTGTGGTGGCTCACACCTGTAATCCCGGCACTTTGGGAGGTTGAGGCCAGCCTGGGCAGCACAGTGAAACCCCATCTCTACAAAAAATTTTAAAATTAGCCAGGCATGGTAGTGCATGCCTGTCGTCCCAGCTACTCAGGAGGCTGAGGTGGGAGAATCACTGGAGCCCAGGAGTTTGACATTAGGTAAGACCTAGCCATGCCAGCGGACCAGCCAAGCGGCCATACCCAGCAGGCAGCTGGTGGGGGGGGGGGGGTGGTACGGCAGGTGTGTTGCTCAGAAGTGACTCTGGAAGTCACTAGCACAAAAGGATAATCCACTGGGGAGAGTGTGGGCATAAGAAGAAATCCAGAGATGGGCTTCTAGAAATATCAGCATTTGGAGGATTTGTAGAGAAAGAAGAAAGCCAGGGAGATTGAGAAATGACCAGGAATGGGAGGAAAGCTCCGAAGAACAGAAAATGACTCCATGGCAATAGAGCAGTTACACTGGAGGGGCAGGCAGGGGCTGGGAGGGGACAGGGATCCTTCTGGGGAATTTCTTTGGTGATTACACTGGTGCATATATCCATAAGTTGTGCACTTTGCTGAATCTAAGTTATAACTACATCAAAAAGAAAAACGAATGTGCAGAGCAGAAAGAGCTGGGGGCTGACCCCTGGCTCCCACACACTCTGGCTTGACCAGGTGCTGGAGGACACATGGGGAGAGGGAACACAGACCCCAATAGAGCGCCGTGCATCCCATCGCCAACCGGCTTTCCCATGATGCACAGGCGCTTCTGCTGAGAACCACAGGGCAAAGGCACCTAGAACCAGGGAGCCACTGAGGAAAGGCTTCCTGGAAGAGCAGCAGGGAGCCAAGGTTTAGGAGGAGATGGGGTGGGCTTGGAAGAGGCTGGCCACTTTCCAGGCAAGAGACGTCCACCTGGGTGGGTGTCTGACAAACCACAGACCATGATGGGACCCCTCACAGCCACCACCCTGGAAAGTGCAGTGATGACAGCTGACTTGGGAAGGTGATGACACAGCCGAACACACCCCTGGCTCCAGAGACGCCATCATCTGGGACCCTCTCCTCAGAGCCTGACCTAGGGCAGGAGAGCCTCCCTGGTCCAGGACACCAGAGGCCTCAAGGTTTTCCCTCACAGGAGCGGAAGCATCTTTCCACACCCCGGGCCCCAGGAAACATTTGAGAATGGGCCGTTGCCCTGCCTAGCAGTACACAGGGCTCTGGCCTCCCTGCTCTGGGCCAGAGGAGAGGTGGAATGGAAGTGGGCAGAGGACTGTCCCCTTCATATGACCACTGGTGACAAACACTGTGTCCTGCAGAACACAGCCCAGGATGAAGCACCTCCACCCACACACACGGCATTCGGCAGCTGCAGGGCCCAGCCCTGCACCATTTCTGAAGGTCCACACATAGCACATATCACAGCCGAGGAAACTGACAGCCAGAGAGAGGAAGGGACTTGTCCAAAGTGGCAGAGTAAGGAGCCTGCCTCCCAATCCAGTGCTCTTCCAAGCTGGCAAAATCCTGAGCCTCGGAGAGGCTTAATGAGCTGCCTGCCTACCAAAGCCAGCATGGGTGAGCATCTGTGGCTCTCTGGAACCGCAGGGAGTTCCAGTTCACCCTACAGATGACCCCTGCTTGGAGCTGTGACTATAAATGGAATACCTGGGGTGGCTCCTATCAGACCCTGACTCCCTGGAGCTGGCAACAGAGAACCGGCATGTAATGGTCCCCGTAAACACAGCTAGCCTGCATCAGGGTTTCTAATGTTCTGCTGCAGGTTCACTTTGCACTTGAGAAACAGGAACGACTTAAGTTTTTTTCTAGCAGCTTCTTGGCTCTTCCCAGCGGCCCCTCCCCCAAGCAAAGTCCCCTGAGAGGAAAAAAATCACACCACATCTTTGTGGATCAGCGGTGCCTCTGCCCCCACCCAAGACACCAGGCATGGTTCCTCATGAAGAGTGACTTGCGGCTCCTTCACAGCACCGAGGGCTGGAGCCAGAAGATGGATGAACCCACTGCGGGGGTCTCCTCTCTTCATGTGGGAGAATAGATTTAGGCTCAAAATGAAGGAGGGTTTTTGCACAGTCAGCACCACCCATTGATGAGTTCATGGTCCCAGGAGGTAATGAGGGCTCCATCATTGGGAGCATTCAAGCTGAGGTTAGCCCACTATTGGGAGGGGTGTTATAGACAGGACTCAGGTAAGGGGACACAGCGCTGACCTAGATGAAATTTGAGGTCTCCCTTCCAACCCTGAGAGCCTCTAAATCTCTGACATCTCCATCCCAGCCCTTGCTGCTGATTGGCCTCATTCGCCAGGCCCTGCTGGTTCGCCAGGCAGTTTGTCCTCAAGGAGAAGTAGCTGCCAATTATGTGAGGACCACAAGAGCTTCCTTTATGACACTGCCACTCTGCAGGAAGGGGCTGAGGTGGGGTAAGAGGGGAGAAACAAGACAGAAGGTGGCACCAGAGAAGGAGCCAGCTCCCCAGGGCCTGGAATCTGCAGTGTTGCCACCACTAGATAATTTGTGGGGCACATTGCTGTGGGGGTCTCAGGAAGCCAAGTCTGGGCCCAGAAGGGAAATAGCCCAGTTCTGGCCTCCTGACTGGGGTGGGGGACTGTCAAGGGAAAAATAAGCCCAACCTAGCTCTCTGAGGCTCATTAGAGAAAAAGGTAAATGTTGAAGACGTGTCATGGCAGGCAGCTCATTAAGCCCACGGAGCTTAAAAATAGTGAGACACGCAGATATTGGGGGATGGGGAGCTGGGGATGAGACTCCGGCTCATCACACTACAGGCAAGAACAGCAAACCTGGGAGAAACTGACTCTATAACCAGTGGAAGAAAGGCTGCGTAGCCATCGCCGGATCTCTAGGTAAGCTTGGCGCACAGGCCTGCTGGAAATGTCAGACCCTGTTCTGTCGATGAGAAGACTAAGCCCAGAGGAGGGTGTTCCCAGGCATTACCCAACAGGCTCGACTCTTCTCCAAGCAGGGGAAAAGAGAAGACACAGAGACACAGACCTGCCCCGGAGGAATCCAGAGCCCACCTGCCCAGAGAGGCTCCTCCTGATTTCCCTGGCTCTGGGCACCCCCTTAAAAGCCCTTTATGCCATCTTTCCTTTCAGTCAAATGATGCAGGATTTGGGACCAGACAGCCTTTGCTCAAATCCTTCCACTGTTACCTACCAGCTTGGTGGCCTTGGAGAAGTTATTTCCCTGTTCTGGATGTGCTTCCTCTTCTATAAACTAGAGACGCTACAAATTCCCACCACAGAGGGGTAAATGCACCATCCTGTATGTTATGTGTTTGGCACAGGACCTGGGATGCAGGAGGCACTCTGACCGGTGGCATCCAGGAAGTAAGGAATATGGACTAAAGGGAGGGCCAAGGAAAAGTTTACAGGATGTGGCTGTGCAGTTGGAAGATGCAGACGCGCCTCGCTTGGTGCTGCCAGGTTAGATTTGCAGAATGCAGTGAATGCTCTTGCTGACAAAGGATGGGGAAAAGTGAACTGGGGAATCATGACCTAGGGGAAGCCACTAGCTCAAATACTGATCCCTATTTAAGTCACCAAAATATGCTGGGCACCCACTGGGTGCCCAGCTCTTTCCCATAAGTGATCCCAAACCAGGAGCTAGGCCAAGCCTCCAAAGACGGCTGGGTAGTTCATTGGAATGAGGGCTGCAGTGACTCCAGAGGAGCAGGACTCAAGAGAAGGAGAGCCAGGGAAGACTGAGGGGATGTGTAGGTGAGGTGGCTTTTTTCTGGCTGAGAGAATAGAAGGTCTCCAGCCCACACCAAGGGCTCCATAATGGAAGGGAGGCCTAGGGTGGGTCCTCCCCTCTCCCCATCTTCATCCCACTCAGCCCCTACCTGGCCTTTAACACACTGGGTGGGAGAAGTGTTGCTGAGCACAGCAGTGACCTGAGGCCCTGGGCACCCATCCCAGCTTAGCTCCCTAGGGGGCTCCAGTTGCTGAGGAAGAACATAGAACTTATATAGGATGGGAGAGCTGGAAGGAAACTTAGGATCAATTGTTACAGCCTCTAACTGAATGGTGAGAGGCCAGTGAGAGAGCCAGAGCTAGAATCCAGGGCCCTTTCCATGATATTGCACCTCCCATCTCAGCCCTGTCTCTTATGAAATGCCATATTGAAGCTTTATGTATTGGGGAAATTTAACTGAGGCTCAAAGGGACACAAATTCCCTAAAGCCACATGGTGAGTCAGACAGCGAAATGCAAGGTTTCTGGTCCTTTCCCAGCATCCAACAAACATTTCTTGGGCACCTACTACAGTCAGGCTGGGAGCACTTTCAGACATTCTCTCACTTAAATCTCACATGTGGGAGCAAGGTGGTGGAAGAGCAAAGGGCCAGAGGCCAGGGTCCAAATCCTGGCTCTCTTAGCTGAGTCTCCTTGGACAAATCCCTTGATGTCCCTCAAATGATGCCTCCATTTCTTCACTTTATAATAAGGGGATTCATAATAGTACCTACCTTGTAGAGTATTGTGATAATTAAAGGAGACTATCCATATGAAATACTTAGAACAGAGCCTAGTAATATAAATATACCATTTAAAAATAAGTATACTGGCCGGGAGAGGTGGGTCACACCTGTAATTCCAGCACTTTGGGAGGCCGAGGCGGGTGGATCACCCGATGTCAGGAGTTCGAGACCAGCCTGACCAACATGGAGAAACCCCATCTGTACTAAAAATACAAAATTAGCTGGGCGTGGTGGCGCATGCCTGTAATCCCAGCTACTTGGGAGGCTGAGGCAGCAGAATTGCTTGAACCCGAGATTGTGCCATTGCACTCCAGCCTGGGCAACAAGAGTGAAACTCCATCTCAAAAAAAAAAAAAGTATACCATTTGACAATCCTAGGCATATACCCGAGAGAAATGAAAACACATATCCTTACGAAAACCCTTCCACAAATGTTGATAGCAGCATTATTCAGAGTAGCTGAAAAGTGGAATCAACCAAACATCCATCAACTGATGAATGGAGAAATAAAACGCAGTATATCTACACAATGGAATGTTATTTGGCAATAAAAAGAAATAAAGTATCGATACATGCTTCAATGTGGCTAAACCTTGAAAGCATTATGTGAGTGAAGGAAGCCAGTCACCAAAGACCATGTATTATATAATTCCATCTAAATCAAATATCCAGAAGGTGCAACTTCATAGAGACAGAAAGTAGATGATTAGTTGGCTAAGGCTGGGAGGAATGGAAGAATCGAGGGTGACTGTTAATATGTATGGAGTTCCTTTTCAGGGGTGAAAAAATGTTCTGAAATTAGATCGTGGTATGGTTGTGCAGTTCTGTGAATATATTAAAAACTATTGAATTGTGCGCTTAAATGGGTGAATTGTATCGTATGTGAATTATAGCTCAATAAAGCTGTTTTCAAAAAGTAAATATATATTTATAAACTTCTATAAATAAGATAGTAAATCATATCCATTCCAATTTAATGATAAGGCTCAGAGCGAGTCAGCAACTTGCCCAAAGTCCCATGGCTAGGAGGCCGCAGAACCTGATTTTGGACTTTGTGTTGTCGAACTCCTGAAGCTCCTAAGACCTGATCCAGCCCACACTCATGGAAAGCAGGTCTGCCCTTATGTATCTTGGGGAAAGCCTCCATTCCCTGTCCCAATGAGGCCACTCAGGAAGTTCTCCCCGCTCTCTAATCCAAACCCATAGAACTTACAAGGGATGATGTTGAGGGGGATTTGATGTCAGGAGCAGGGTCACGGGAGACAGGCACCAGAAGGGAAACCTACATTTCTAGCCAATGCTGGATATCTTCTTTAGGGAAGCCTGGGGAATGGGGCAGAAGAAACATAGTGGACTTCAAGACATGAGCTCACAGTTGATTTTGGGGGTGACCTTGGCCAAGAAACCTCATCTCTGGGGCTCTTGGTAAAATGATATTCAGGAAGAAGCTCTGAGGACAGCTCCAGAAGCAGACATTTCTAAGGCCATTTCTAAAGTGGCCCTCCCTCTCCTTACGTACAACTCACCCCAGATGACCAGGTGGGAAGTCTGTAGGACAGTGGGCATCACTTGGTTGCTTGCTTGGGTATACACAGCCTGGTCACCCCCATGGTTCTTGGCAGAAGATATTGGGGGCCAAACCATGAGGCCCTAACCTAACCATCAATGCAATACTATGAGCAGATCAGGTTGGCTCTCCCTCCCAGCCAGGAAGGAGGCAAGAGGAGGAAGCGACAAGGGCACTAACAACCAGGGTCCTTGTCTTACCTGGCAGGAAAGATGCTGAATGTGATATTGACTCAATGTGCTGCTTCTGATCAGCCCCCTGCCTGCCTCCCTGCACTGTGGATAGTCTGGCTGCAAGTGGTAGGGGGAAGGAGCTCCCAGTTTTGACAACCCAGGGAAGGCATCACCTCAGTCTGTCTGGGGCTCATGGCCAGGGTGTCCCAGCTTGAAGGAGAGGTTCTCCTGCCCCCTTCTCTGCTTGTACAACTACAGACTGCATTCAGAAACACTCCTTCTCTCTTGCTAAGGAGCATTAGGAGATACAAAACCACCATCCTTTTTCCAGGTGAAATAAGGAACAGAAAATGAGGAGGGCCAGATTCAGCCCAGAGCCACCCAGAGTCCAAGTGGCCTCACTGGGAGAGCAGTCCACTGGGTTTGGTGCCCTTGGTAGAAAGCCCAACATGCCAGGACCTCAGCCAGAAAGCCAGCATGTGCTCCAGAGCAGGGAGAGGGAGAGGCCAACCTGTGCATCCGCTAGGCTCACTGGCTATTTCAAATCATCGTCTGCCTCATTTGATCCCAGGACATCTTGGGAGAAGTGAGAAAGACAGGCATCCCTCTCCACATTTTTTAATGGGGACCACTGAGGTCCAAGAGATAGGGAAAAACCGCTTGCCTGGGGCCATGTGCAGTAACTTAATAGTGGGTTCACTGGATTCTAGGTTCTTCTCATCAAAGCCAATCATATCCCTGCCTCGCCCCACTCCCAGCTCTGCTGCTATGTTTCTTTATCTACAAAACGTCAGTTTTCAGAAACACCATAATAACACTCTTTATATTACTTTATAGCAAAATCTTTACAGCACCGTTGTGTCAGGCACTGCCTATTCTTAGAGCTATATGTAAATAGTCATACATTAAATCCTCATGCCAACCTGATGGCAAGCTATTTCATTTCCATTTTACAGATGAGGAAACTGAGGTAACAAGTGTTTAAGTAACTTAGCCAAAGTCCCACAGATAAAAAACTGGAGGAGCTGGCATTTGAATACAGGCAACCTAGCCCTAGCATCTGAGGTTTAACCACTGCACCACAGTGCCAAGCACATGCAAGTACAAGGCTCCTCATATCCCAAGTCTCACTAAAACATGGACTAGGGGCTGGGCATGGTGGTTCACGCCTGTAATCCCAGCACTTTTTGGAGGCTGAGGTAGGAGGATTGCTTGAGCCCCAGGAGTTCGAGCCCAGCCTGGGCAACATGGTGAAACCCTGCCTCTACCAAAACAACAACAACAACAAAGAAAAACCTCCCAAAACAAAAATTATCCAGGCATGGTGGTGCACACCTGTAGTCCCAGCTATGTGGGATGCTGAGGTGGGAGGATCACCTGAGCCTCGGGAAGTTGAGGCTGCAGTGAGCCGTGATCACACCACTGCACTCCAGCCTGGGCGACAGAGTGAGACCCTGTCTCAAAAAACCTGAAAACCAAAACCGAAAACCAAAACCAAAAACCATGGACTAGGGGCACACGAGTCGGCTCAGGACAAAGTACGCATGCAAGAAGTCCACATAAGTCCAGAAGCTGGGCTGTGCTCTCACCCAGGCGCCATGTGCTGGGGGTGGGGATGGGGGACAGGCTGCAATCTGTCTCTGAGCAGCCGGCTGCCCTCAAGTCCCAGCCCAGCCGAGCAGTGGGGAGCAGGTTGAAGGCAGGCTTGGAGCTGGCAGGCTCCGTCTGCCCCACTGTGAGCAGCAGCTTTGAGAGACTCTCCTGCCGGCTGCTCATAGGTGCTGCAGTATCTCTCCTGGCTGCAGGGCTGGCTGGGCTGAGGCCAGGCCAAGGGCCTTCCTTCCCCCTTTCACCCTCTGCCCCTCCCTCAGTGCCCGGGGCCAAACTAAGGCCTTTGGAAGCTACTCTGGCTTTCTGGTCTCCAAGGACTGCCGGCCCTGATGATCAATTTGGTGGCTGCGGGACCAGGTTTAGTCTTGGGTGGCAGCGCTGACCTCCAGGAATGTCACTGTGGCCCCTTCAGGGGCAGGTAACAAACCTAGCTCATTCCCAAGAGAATAAGGGAGTCCGGTGGATCAACTCCCAAGGTTTTCCACCTAGCAGATTTGCCAACAGCGGGCAATTCCCCGGTAGGAAGTCCTTCCTTGTACCTCACATGAGCCCTTCCTGCTGCAGTACAGCCACATTACCTTCTACTAGAAACCCTTCTGCTTCCAAATGCACCCTTTGTTAAATTGCTAAGATGCGATTCCATGAGTAACACAGCAATCACAAAAGCCACTGAAGCAGACGGCAGCTGCTACAGGGTTCAAGAATTCCATTCCAGCTGGGGAAAGGCTGTGGGCTTTGCCCCTCCTCCCCCCCAGCCCCTCCCCAGTCTCAGGACACAGAGAAAAAAGGAGCAGCATGTGGTGAAGAAAAATGGAAAGATAACAAAACAAAGGAAGAAAAAAAAATATTCACAGCCTCTCTTGACCTGCCAAGGACTTTTTCCACATCTTTCCCTAGGCTTGGGGGCCCAGATAAGGAACTGAGCCTTTCTTGCAGCTTCTGCAGGCTCTGCCTGAGAGACCCGCTCAATGGGCCATCTGCTCGGAGGCCTTTCTGCAAAAGCTTCAAAAGTTCCATTTCTCCAGGGAGCTGGAAGCTGGGGAGGTGTCAGCTCCAAACAATAAGGGAAATTTATTAGGGATCAGGGCTTCCAGGAGGATGGTGCCTGCAAATGCAGCCGGATGCACTCCAAGATACAAAGGGTTATTTAATGCGGAAAATCCAAAGGCTCCTTCAGAAGTCAAGTGCTCACACCCGAGGCCCTACACGCTGCAACCTTCCTTTTCAGAAACACTCCCCATCACCCTACCCTGTTCGCCCCTACCCCGCCCCATCCCAAGTCAGACTTATTCCCCGTCCTTTGCCCCTGGGCAAATATTGACTTTCTTTCACTCAGCCTTGTCAATGGAAGTGAGACCAGTGGGGCTGGCTATTGTCTCCCTCCTCTCTCCTCTCAGAGGGCAAAGCAAGCTGCCAGCCTCAACAGCTCTGAGCAGGGGCCAACTGTGACAAGCTGAGAAAGAAAAGCGTGGTCTTGGAAGTAATATTTCTGTCTTTTGGTCTGTTGTCTTTCTGTCCTCCCTCCCTTCCCCAAGCCCATCTGGGATTATTTTTTTCACGTTTGGCTATCCTGCTGCCCTGTCTGGCTCAAGAGCAGCAGCGTGGCATAGCTGGCATAACTGAGAGAGCTCAGGCCTGGGAATTCAAGTGTCTGATACCGGGTCACCTTATGCTAGTTCTTTAATTTTCTTGGGCTTCCGTGTTCTATTCTGCAAAATGGGAAGGTTGGACCCCATGATCTCAGTATCTAGATCAGGAAGTTCCTTCCTATCAGGACCCATGTCCTTTCTGCTGCAGTCAAGGCATTTTACCTTGTGCTCTGATTTTAGAAAAGATGGAAAATAACTGCTTGGTGCTTAACAGGGAGGAAGGAAAGAGCGTTGGATTGAGGGTCTACAAGGGCTGGCAAGCTCCGTCGCTGGGCTTGGAGCTCCCCCTAAGCCTCAGTTTCCCCATAATCAAAACAGAGGGCTGGATGAGATGATCCCACAGCCCCTTTCAGTGCCTCGTCCTGCCGTGCCACTCATCTAACACATCTCTGTGGAAGGCGGTGTTCCCCGCTCCTTCAGCTTTTCTCCAAGGCTGCATCTCACAGCCTTTCCTCATGACTAACCTTGAATGGAGGGATGCCATGCTGCTGGCTTGCGTTCCCTCATCATCAGGAGCCTTTTGTCAGCCACACTTCTCTCAGACTCATGCTGCTTGCTTGGCCTTTGGCCTTTGTGGCTGAGCTCTTCCTTTCTCCAGGCCCCATGACGAAGACTAGAGCATGCAAACTCCTGGAGCCTGAGGCCAGTGCGCAGCAAGAGGAGGACACAGGACGTTGGGGCATTTTGGGGGATCGTGTGCATGGTGACAACTGCAGGACTGTGAACTGTATCCCTGCTCCTCCTGTAATTTGAGCCCTCTCTGTGATAACATAGAACCTCAAAAACCCATCCCTTGTGCATTAGTCAATAACACACTACAGACTTCCTATTCCAGGTTGGTAATATTCCCTTTTCACAGATGAGATAATTGAGGCTCAGAGAGGTTGGTAATTTGCCTGAATTCACACAGATATTAAGGAGCAAGCCAAGATGGGAACCTAGATATATCTACCTGCAAAGCCTTTGCTCTTAACCATCAGCGCTCTTACTGAGAAGGGGAGGTCATCGCCTCTCCCCAAGCTGACTTATAGGACTGGAATCACGGGGCAGTGAACACCCAAAGCTTGAACGACTCCAACAAACCTCCCACCCCACCCCACCCCGCCCCACCCAGCCTTGGCAAAGGCAGAGCCAGCAGGGTCACGGACCAACAAAGCCAGAAGGACTTTGGGTCATCTAAACCAAGCTTTCACTTCACGTATGAGAAAACTGAGGTCCACAGTGGTGTGCGACTTGCCTAAGGTCACACAGCAAGTCTAGGGTAAACTTCAGTCCCGGCCATGGGGTCCTGGGAGTCCCCCTCCAGGTTGAGCCAGTCCCTTTGCCACTCCTTCCACCTGGGTGTAGACATGCCTTTAGCCACTCACTCCAGGGACATCTGGCTTTACCGCCTCTCTGCTTCTCAGTTGGTCCATTCCTAGAAGGTTTGGGGAATGGAGTAAAAGGCCCATTTTTTCATAACCACAGAGGTGTGGCAGAGAGTGGGGAAGGGAGAACCAAGGAAAACTGGTGTGAGATTATTGGAAAGTCAGGCAGTCTCTCTGTTTCCCATGAAGTTTCTACTGCAGAATGGTCCTAATGGTCAGAGAGAGAGAGAGAGAGAGAGAGAGAGAGAGAGAGAGAGAGAGAGAGAGAGAGAGAGACAGACAGACAGAGAGACAGAGAGACAGTGAGACAGAGCTGATGTTCCCATTTTGTAGGGAAGCTTTCAAGATGGTAGAGGAAGATCACACTGCAAGTCCACAATCTTTCCCTGCTCCCCATGGCCACTACTCACAGCTGCCCTGCCACCTGCTTGCTACGCAGCTTGTATTATTATTATTAACAATAGCTACCACTCATTGAGGACTTAGACAGCTCAGTACTGGACCAAGTATTTACATATGCTTCTTGTTTAATCCTCATAAAAACCCTAAAATACCACCACTATTCTCATTCTGTTTTGACTACTTAGTAACTGAAGCTCTAAGATATAAAGTAATTTGCTCAAGGTCACACAGCTAATAACCAGTAGAGCCAAGGTCTCCTGGGGACTCCCCCTCCAGGGGTGTGCCTGGCTTTGAAATTCATATACAGTATTTGTCTCAATTTGTCTCGACTCTGGTGACAGAAGTGGGAGGGCAATGCATTGGGAATTCCTGGAGACCACCTGCTCCCATCACCCAGCCAAGCCCACTTCCTGGACTCAGACACCAGCCCAGAACTGCAGCCACAGAACTGTGGGGTTGCAAGGGCCTGAGAAGTTATCTAGTTCTACCTTCTCAATGTACAGGCGAGGAAAGCAAGAAAGGGCCTTGCCCAAGGTCACACAAGGTCACAAAATTGGAGGCAGAGCCTGTAAATTAAACTCAGCTCTCTTGTCTCAAACTGGGACTCGTCCGCAACACCCTAATGCCCAGTAAGAAGTTATTGTCTCATCTCAACCGAAGACAGAACCAGAGTTCATCCAAAAAGGAGTTAGATTAGACTTTCCTATGGCAAGGACTGTCACATTGCACAGTGGGGTGCTCTAGGCTATTGTAGTGGAGATCTTTCTAAAACGAGACAATTCCTTCAGATCTTCCTTATCTGAGATGAATGCAGCCCTGTCTGGAGGTAGAGAGCAGACCGCATGACCTTGTGAGGTCCTTGACATCACCCTTTAACCTATAGTCATCTGTCTGTCACAGCCAACCTTTCTCTAGGAAAGAATCTGCCCTCTGCAAAGAGGATGTGTAATGCTGGAAAGCCGGCCTTTCTCCCCATCAGCTGGATTCTGAAAGTGGGGAGAGATGACCAATGAACAGGCTGAGGGTGTCACAGCCCTGCTACTTTGGGATGGGGGGTGCAGTAGGGGAGCTACAGTCTTCCCAGAGGATAGGTCATTCTACCCAGCTAGGTCATTCTACCCCACCCCCATCCTTTCAGTGGGCAACACCTGCAGGGTGTTGGGACTGGGAGAAACCTCAGATACCTTAAATTCCAAACCCCATTTTCCAGATGAAGATACTGAGGCCCAGAGTGGGTCAGTGAGTTGCCCAAGGTCATAGGACAGGTCAGAATGGAAGCTTTCGGACTCTCCCTGGGGCGCTGCGTTCACAGCTCCACTTTGACACCCCCTGCCCCGGAAGTGAGCACTGAACTCACTTAAGAGAGGCCAGTGACCAAAGGCAGCGATTCCCAGGTGCAGAGGCTCGGGCAGGCGTGCCCATGAGCTTGTCCCCCCGCGCGCCCTCCCCCACCTCGTCCCCATTCCTGTCTTGGGCACCATGCGCTCCATCATCCTGAGATTCAGAGAGGTGCAGTAGCTTGTCCAAGGTCACACAGCAAACTGAGTAGGGCCCTCGTTTCCACTGCCCAGCTGCCCCCTCCCATCGCCCACCCGGGTCTCTGCAAGCTTGCCAGGATCCCCGCGAGCCTGCTTCCTCCAATGCACAGAGCCGTGGCGCGTGTCAAAGTGTGGGAAAGTTCCCGGGAGAGGAAGGGGTGGAAAATGCAGCCGCTCATCTCAACCCTGGACGGCTGCGGCAAGGCGGGGGCGCTCAGAAAGGCAGCCAGTCCTGCAAACCGCCCGTGCCTCCGGCACACCCCCCTCTGCGCCAGGGGCTCCCCAGTGTCGCGCGAGCATGGTCTTCCAGCTCCTCCTCAGCGAGGCAGGCGCTGCAGGGTCCCATGCGCCCCGCACCCACTTCTCTCCGCACGCCCACTTCATGCACCTCCCCGCGCCCTTCCCACGGCTTCTCTGCGGCGAGTCGCCTTCGCTTCACCGCAGGTCCCTGGTCCCAGCGCTAAGGCACCGCGGCTTCTCTCGCCTTCTCTCCGCTTTGGACCCGGGCTCTCCGCGGGGAGAGATAGGTTGGGGGCTAGGGGTTCCCGAAATAATTCAGGACACCTCCCCCGGGTCTAGCCAGGTAATTCCGACGCCCATGGATTTCCGGATTACAGTTCCCACCGCGGGCTCAGTCCTACCTACTCTTAGTTTACCCCGCAGTGAGCACCAAGTCCCAAAAGTCGGAGTGTCACCGTTTGGCGACCCCGCGTCCGCCCACGCCTCAGGCCCTAGAGGTGGCCACTGTCGGTCGAGGCACGGCTTCGCTCGGGACTACTGGCTGCCCTCGTGGGGTGCCCCGCCTGGGGTTCCCTCTTACCCTGGGACGTTCCGGGCGCGTTCAGCCTGAGCTGGTGGAGAGGGCGGGGGCGGGGGCGGGGGCGGGGACAGCTGGGGTCCCGAAGTCCAGGTCCCTCTTCCCACTTCCCCGCCGGCCCTGCCGCTGCGGCCCTCGCTCCCGCGCTCGCTCGCTCTCGAGTCTCTCCCTCTCTCTATTCTCTTCCTCTCTCTCTCTCTGCAGTAGTAACAACCTGATCCCGCTTCCCCCGCCCGCCTATTGATATGCTCCTCACATTCGCCTGCACACAGCGCGTGCGGCCCCTCCGAGGGCGATCCCCGCAAACCACGACGCAGGGCCCCCGCCCCAGGCAATCCCCGCTGCTGGGGAGGCTGCCTCCGCGCGCCCACGCCTCCCTTCTCCAGTCCGGACTGCCAGCGGAGGGGAAAATGGGCGACAGGAGAAGGGGAGGTGTGTGCGGGAGGGACTAGGCTGGGGGAGAGGGGTTTAAACTGGCGCGGTCCTACAGAAGTTTGAGGAGGGCGGGGCCGGCTCCGAGCCCCCGGAGCCCTACGGGACTCCCCCGATTCTGCCGAGGAGTCCCCGCCAGCTCCGTGCACTCCTGCAACACTCCCCACCCCACCCGCCAGCTCCGAGTTTACAGCCTCTCGGTTCGGGGGATTAGCTGGGGGAGGGGACCCCCTGGCTGTAGGGAATGGCCTGCGGGCAGGGGTGGGAGGGAAACGATTTGCTTCGGGAGATAAGGATGAAGGTTTTCCTGAGTCAAGGGAGAGAAGGGAGGGAGAAGAGAGATGGAACAAAAGGCAGATGCTGGAGGGGAAGGGGAGCTGGGGAGTTCGCCCCGAGGGCTCCGGCAGCCCGCGGTCCCCACCCTCAGTCTGTCCTGGAGGGTGAGGTAAAGGCTGGTGCCAGGGCTCTTCACGGGCCACTTGGGGAGGGGAGAAAGGGCGATGGAGGGGTACGGGTGTGGGGGAGAGGAGGAAGAGCGTCTGCTGGCACAGGACCCCTTGCCTGCTCCCAGACAGGAACCCAGCAGAAGGGCTCTGCCACGGACCCGACACCTCCCACCTCCACAACTCTGCTTTCTCCCACTTGGGAAAAGCGAGGCTGACACCCACGGTGAGCACCAGGAGGGGCAGGGAGGACCGAGAGCCTGGGCAGCACTCCTGTGCCTCAGTGTCACCCTTGGGCCTCACCCTCAACCCCCAACCTCACCCGATAAGACCTCGGGGCCACAGCTCGCCAGGTGGAATTTCTGCTGCTGTCCGGCCATTAACCACCCCTGACCTTCCCAGCTCCACCCCATCCTCGCCCTCTCCCCTCAGCCTCTCCTTCACCCTCCATGCAGCTGCTTTCTGTTTGCCTTCCACTCTGCACACTCAGGACCAGGACTCGAGTTTGGGGTTTGACCCAGGAAGTGACATTCCTCATCCCCCAACCCACACACACAAAAATCCAGTGTGCATGTGTGTTGGGGGGGGCAGTCACTCAGGGCTTTCCAGGGCTTCTCATCCCCACAGAGTCTGGGGAACCGGGAAATTCCCAATACCCGCAGTGAATCCCCCTTCTTCCCCTCCTCCAGGCATCCCCTGCCCCAGGACATAGACCTCACTCCCGAAGAAGCCGGGGACTGAAGTGCTGCAGCACCCGCTGCTCCTGGCCGGGCTGGAGCCTCTCTTCAGAAGGGCAGCAGCTCGCTTGTCACAGACCCTGGACTGCAGAAAAGCTGATTCAGGGATTTCCGGGCGGCTCCTCCTGTGGGGGAGTGTGCATCTGCATACCTGGGTGTTGGGAAGGGTGTGTGCGTGTGTTCATGTGTGGGCTGGGGGAGAGGACACATGCCTGAGCCCCTCTAGTCAGGTCTGCTGACCCCTCACTGTTCTTCAGATGGAAAGGGGGACCTGGGGTAAAGGGCTCAAGGTCAGATGCTCAGCAGGAGGGCACCAGGGGTTTCCCCCCACTCTGCTACACTCCCGTAACCTACCCCCACCTCGTCATCCCACACTGAGGAGGGGACCTGTCACCTGAGATGGGTGTGCGGGCTGAAGAGCAGTACCTGCTGCTCCTCTTCGGTTTCTCCCTGGGGAGAAAAGTGCTTCTGTTTTGAAATCTCCCCCAAACCTTCTTTTGCTAGGACGAGGGAGGATGGGACTCAAATTTCATTCAGCAGGCTGGATTCAGGTTCGACTTTGGGGTTTCCTGATGCTAAGGGTCTGGGGCAGCATCCTGCTTGACAGGGAAAGCTTATGCCTTCACGATTGGAATGTAGTGCTGCTTAGATGAAAAGGGATGGATGAAATGACCCCCATGGTTCCTTCTGATAAAATGGACCAAGAGACGCCTGAGCCTTATGCAAAGCTGCCTCCAGTAAAATAAAGTCTAATTACAGAAAATAAAGCACTTCTGTAAGGTTATGTCTGCTCCTTCTGAAAATACTGTGTTTAATGTCTATACTGCCTCCAATGTGCCCTTTCCCCTCTTGGGCGGAAGTGGAATTCTGATGGCATGTGGAAGGAGCAGGTGACATTTGCACAGGCAGCGGCTGGGCCAAAATGGGGGAGGATGGGAACACAGTGGGTCCCTGGAGAAAACACAGCTGTGCTTCACTCAGAGCCCCCTCAGGCCCCAGAGAACCCTTCCCCTGATAGGGATGACAATGACAGCCTGATAATCTTAATTTCACTTGATTCTTATCAACTTTCCCAGGAGGCAGCAGGGCGAGGAAGGGATAATTCTTCACTCCACTGAGGCACAGGGAGCCCCCAAAGGGTGGATGACTCACCCAAGGTCCTGAGGTAGGTTAGGGCATGGAGCTGGGTCTTGTGAGTCTACATGGGCTGGGTGCATATCTGGAGCTCCGCCCTCCTCCCCAGGTGCTCCTTAGGTCCTGACTGTCCATCCTACCCTGTCCTCTCCTTTCAGGCTTCATGCACCAGCATCTCTAGATGCAGCCCTTACCCACCTTCCAGCTTCACCTGGCACTGCCCACTCCCTCACTGTCTCCTTGCAGGGCCCAAAGGGCCATGCTCCTTCCTGCTGCAGAGCATTTGTACATGTTGTCCTCCACACCCCACTGCACCAGGCCAACCCCCTCCATCCTGCCAGTCCCAGTTCCCTGACCCCTCTCCCTGTGTGCCCTGTGCTTCTCCTCTGCAGCCCTCATCACGCTTATCCTTCCTTGTTCTAGTCTCCCCACAACACTAGACTGTAAGCTCCAGGAGGGCAAGGACCCCTGCTCACCGAGCCTACTGGCCCGGAGTAGGCACTCAGTAAACACCTCAAATCCTGCATCCTCAAATCCTCATGCTGCCTCTGTATGCTGTATGACTACAGGCAAATTGCATAACTTCTCTACGCCTCAACTTTCTCACCTGCGACATGGGGATTTTGATTATAAAACAGACTTTTTGTAAAGATTAACGGGATAATGTATATAGAGAGACTAGCGCAGTGCCATTCTTGGCATAGCAGTGTTGGCCTTGCTGGGGAAGACAGAGGGCTGAAGGAATAAGGGAAGGAGCATCTTACTCCACCCTCAGCCTTCTCCCCCAGGGTTCTAACTATCCCTCCCCTTCCTGACCCCCAACTCTCTCTCCTCCGCAGCCCCACCTCACTTAGTGGCTCCTGAAATCCTAACTTCTCCCTCTAGGCTTCCTGGACAAGGTGGACAGCAGCTGAAGCCAGCTCATCCCCACTGAGGCTTTGCCTCTCCAGGTCTGCCGTCCAAGCACAGGATTCTCTGCACTGTCCCTGCGTTGGCCTCGAGCGTCAGCACAAACCCCAGGCCTGGAGCTGTGGTACAGGCATTGGCAGAGCCATGGTGGCCAGGGTAGGGTTGGGGAGACCTTACCCTCCTTCATGATCTCTATCAGCATCCTCCCCAAAGTCACCTCCAAATAAGTCCACAGACTAAAATAAAGGCCCCTTACCTCCCTTCCAATGAGATGGCAACTCCTAAGTCCCTCCTCTACAGAAACGCTGGAGCTGTCCTGGAACTCTGGGCTCTAAGCTAGCCCTGCAGGATCAGGCTCCTGTTGCCCATATGTTTCCAGGGCCCGTAGAGGGAAGGGTCATGTTAGGAAGAGGTGCCTCAAAGAGTACTTTTGCAGTCTCCTGGGCCAGCTTTCTGTGGCTGTTCAGGTGTCCTCCTTTCTCTCTGAGCGATCTAGGCCTTAGTGAAGGCTGCTGCTTGGGAGGCTTCCCCCCCCAACCGTACTCCATGAGCACCCCCAACAGCTGAACCCTGCAACAGTAGCTGAGGCTACCTGCCTGGGCAGTGTGGAGGCAGCCTTGCTGGAAACCTCACCCCTGCCCCCAGGCCCTAGCTGAATGAGGAGTGAGGGAGAAAGAGGGGAAGGGAGAGAAGAGGATGCTTGAGAAGCTGATGTAGTTCTTCACCTTGACCGAGTTCCCTCCCCACTTCAGACCTGTCCAAACAAAATAATGGCTCTCAGTTATTCCCTTCCAGAAACGAAGCAACTAGATTTCTGCAAAGAGCCTCTAAATCCTGCAGTCACTACCACGACCATCACTAGTGCTAAGAGAGACCCTCTCCCTGCTCCTCCTTCCCCCTCCTCCCTCCCCCTCCAAATCACTGAGCCATGGGAGCAGCAGCTCTTAGTGCTTGTATAGAGCCATAAGACATAGAATCATTGGATCTCACAGTAATTCTGAGCATTAGCATGGATACCACGATGGTTCAAATACAGGCTCCGAAGCCAGTGGTGGGAGTAGAATCCTGGTTCTGCCACTTAGCAGCTGTGTGACCTTGGTCAAGGCACTTCACACCCTATGTCTCATCCATAAAATGGAACAGAAACAGTATTTACCTCATGCAATCATTGTGAATATTGCATGAGTTAATACATGTAAAAAACTTAGAACGTCATCTGGACATAATAAGGGCACAGTAAATGTTAGCTGTTTTGTTTGTCTGCTTATTTGTTTTGAGGCAGAGTCTCGCTCTGTTGCTAGAGTGCAGAGGTGTGATCTCGGCTCACCGCAACCTCCGCCTCCCAGGTTCAAGAGATTCTCATGCCTCAGCCTCCCAAGTAGTTGGGACTACAGGCATGCACCACCATGCCTGGCTAATTTTTGTATTTTTTACTAGAGATGGGATTTCACCATGTTGGCCAGGCTGGTCTCGAACTCCTGACCTCAAGCGATCTGCCCACCTTGGCCTTTCAAAGTGCTGGGATTACAGGTGTGAGCCTGTAATTTACATTTTCTCTGCTTTGCAGGTGAGGAAACTAATAAAAAATACATACTGGTTATTTAGTGCCTGCTATGGACCAGACAGTTTATATATGTTGCGTGGGGCAAGGCATCCAGGATGGGTTGCAGCTGAGACTGAGATGCATACCTCAAACCCAAGGCGTCTGCTGGCATCCATCTTCTGGAGTATGGATTTGCATCCACTGGGCTACCTGGGGGCTAAAGAGGAGTTCCCTGGGGGATAAACTTGAACTGTGTTCACAGTCAGGCTCCAGACATATAGAGAGGTTTTTGGCAGTTGTTGAGTAGGGGTTATTGCCAAAAAGAAAGAATTAAGCTGACAAAACAAGCAAGTCTGCACAACAGGGCTTGAGGTCAGACAGAGAGACCCTCCAGCTTGGGCAGAGTGGCTGGCTCTTGACCTTGTCTGACCCAGTGATCCTGGGAAGAGGAGTGGCTGTGTGTAGAATGAAAGAGCTGTCTCAAGAGCAAGCTCACTAAATCTAACACTTCAAGGCCCAAGCAACCTGCTGTGAGACTCTGCCCCTCCAATGATCACATCACCTAGGGAGGGACTGTTCTCACTCTCTCTTTGAAAGAAGCTGCTGAGCAGCTAAGGCTGCAGAAGATTGAAAGCCTTGACAGACAGGCACATCAGCAGGAGGAGCAGGGCCCAGGCATCAGAGGCCATGCAGCAGCTTTGGACAGTGGCGGTGCTGGAGGAACTGGAGACACTGAAACCAGCATCAAGTGGCAGCCCAGACAGTATGAGCATGTGTACATGAGCTTTAGGGGTCTCCCAGATCATATGCTGGGATGAAGCAGATCTGGGGGAGGCAAGATTTCCTGCAAGAGCAAGTAGGTGCCTGGAGTTAATGAGATTCAAGTATTGAGATGATGATATTGATGAGGCTGACAGCAATGGTGATAGGAAGCACGAATTCATGCTTACTATGTGCCAGGTACTATTTTAAGGGTTTCACATGAATTTATTTACTTCATACTTACAAAAACACTAGGAGAGAGGATTATTCTTATTTCTATTTTCAAGATGGGAAAACTGAGGTAAAGAGAGGTAAAATAACTTGTCCAAGGTCACACAGTTAGAAAAGGGAAGATGCAGGATCTGAACCTCATCATCGCCTCCTGAGGCCGCACTCCAAACCCCTGTGCCATATGCCTTGCCAATTGATACAGGTGCCTCCTTCCTCAGTCATAAACTGAACAGCATTGTAGACACTTGGATCCTACCTCATCCCTGTAACTACTTTATGAAACTGGTGTTTGTCCCCATTTCACAGCTGGGAAAACTGAGGCCCCCAAAATGCAAATGACTTGCCCAAGTCTGCATAGCTGGGAAGTGCCAGAGCCAGTATTCAAGCACTGGTCTGTGGAGGCGCTAAAACCCATCCACCTTCTGGGGAGTGATGTGACTTGCCCAAGACCGCACAGCCAACTTCAGTCTCCCAGGCTGCTGTCAATCCAGCTCCAGTCTTCCCTGCACAAAAGTACAGATCTTCTCCATCCCCTCCGTAAGGGCTTTTCCCGGACATGGGGAGCGATTCCAAGTTCTCTCTAGACTCGAGCCAGACATGTAGGCCATCTAAGAACAGATGTTTGGCAGAGGGCCCCGGAAGAGGAAAAGGGAATTGGGGCTGGGCTCAGAGGATCTTCCCAGAGAATCCAAGAAGCCCAAATAATCAACTCCCCTGTCTGCGGGTATGTAAACTGCAGCCTGAGGAACTCTACCTGAGTGAGCCCCGTGTTCCAGGTACTCCTGTCCACCTGTGAGCCGGGGTGTCCAGCCTGCCTGAGAGGACCCCAGAAAGGGTCATGTGCTTGCACGCAGTGACACTTCCATTGCCACCTACTGGTTGGGCACATATATAAGGGGCATAGCCTACGTGTACGTCTCTTCCAGAGTAGCTGGGTCTTTGGGGTCTGCCAAACATTTGTTTCATATGCTTTTGTTTTTTTTTTTTTGAGACATAGTTTCGCTCTGTCACCCAGGCTGGAGTGCAATGGCACAATCTCAGCTCACTGCAACCCCTGCCTCCCGGGTTCAAGCTATTCTCCTGCCTCAGCCTCCTGAGTAGCTGGGATTTCAGGCACACACCACCACACCTGGCTATGATATGTTTTTATTGAATACATACTATGTGCCCTGCACTCTGCCTGGCCCTGGGATAGAGTGCTCTGGGACACAATCCCTGCCCACAAGAGTTTGGAAGTTTGCTGGGGGAGACAGGCACATAGGCAGATAACAGTGCAGCACGGGGAAAACAGCAGTGTGCACAAAAGACCGTGGAGCCGGAGCCCTTGGAGCCTCCATGGGGGTTAAGATGAAGGAACAGCCAGAGAAGATGGCTTCTGAGTGGCTCTTGAAGTACACTTCTGATCTGATCCCAAGGAAAGGCGGGTGTTTCAGGCAAAGGGAATAGCGAGTGCTCCAGCGTGGAAGAAGGAGGACGCTGGGCATGCCGCCTGGAGGCACTGGGCAGAGTGGGAAGAAGGGGCCGGGAGTGGGGTGGGAGGGGCATTGGAGCCTGGATGCGAAGGGCCTTGCAAGCCAGGCTAAGGGTGTGGGGCTTCTGCCCACACAGGCAACGGGCACAGCGGAAGGCTTGAAGCAGGGAGCTGGCAGGAGGCAATGAGAAGAGGGAGTGTTGCGGCAGGTCAAGGGAAAGCCAATACCAGTCTACACCATGGAGGAGCCATGGGAGTGGGAAGGAAGGGATGGATTTGCTCATCTACATGCAAGACTGCACACTGGGTAGCTAATTGGGGGTCGGGGTGAGGAAAAGAGAGGAGTCCAGGATGACTTCTGGATCTCTGGCATGTGAAACGGGAAGGATAGGGATGTCAGTCACCAAGAGAGGACGCACAGGGGTGGGTGGGAGTGGGGAGTTCAGCCTGGGACACGATCAGTTTGGGAGCCTGTGCCATATCCAGGAGGAAATGTCCAGGAGGCCCCTAGAAATGTGGGCCTGGGGTTCAGAAAGGAGGTTGGGCAGAAGACATGGAATTCATTGACTCATAAATCATACAGGAAAACTTGCTCTGAAGATGTTAAGAACCTCACACATGGCAGTGACTAGATTTGATTCCAGACTATTGGACTCAAATGCTGGTTCATTCTTTCCACCTCGGCACATTCCTATCTATCAATAGTTATTACCTCACAGCTAAGAAGCTACAAAAGGCTCCTAAACAATCTTTCTTTTTCCTAAAGCCTTCAGGTATAAGTTTCCATGCAGATATTATTCTACCCAGTTTACAGAAGAATATGTTTAAATAAGTCACACAGAGGGCAGGCGTGGTGGCTCACGCCTGTAATCCCAGCACCTTGGGAGGCTGAGGCAGGCAGATCACGAGGTCAAGAGATCGAGACCATCCTGCAAACATGGTGAAGCCCCGTCTCTACTAAAAATACAAAAATTAGCTGGGCATGGTGGTGTGCACCTGTAGTCCCAGCTACTCAGGAGGCTGAGGCAGGAGAATCGCTTGAACCCGGGAGGCGGAGGTTGCAGTGAGCCGAGATCCCGCCCCTGTACTCCAGCCTGGTGACAGAGTGAGACTCCGTCTAAGTAAGTCACACAGCAAGTCTGAAATGGTGCCTATCGCAGCCAATCATTCAACTATCTCTGGGAGAGTTGTTCCCTCTGCAGAGAGTTGGTGGTGGCTGATGCCAGTGGAAGGGGCCCGAGGAGCCGTGTGTGCATCTGTTGAGGGAACAGCCATCGTCCCTTTGCCTTGGGTGAGTGGCATCTGAGGATGGCTCCCTGGGGAGAAATAAACATATGTCAAGGGTTGTGGTGATGGCAGAAGAGGAACTCCTTGGGGTCATGCATGGATCTGGGTTGGGGGTGACAAGGAGGGGTCAGTGGGTTCAGCCTCTGTCTTCACTGTTCTTCATCTCTCAGCTCCTCCTTTGAATTTGGGCACCTGCCTTTCTGCAGGAGGCCTGTCTCAGATCAACTTTAGTGCACCAATGTGTCTTCCCTACCTCCTGCATCCTTGACAGCAATGGAGTTAGTGCATGGTGACAGGAGCCAGTCCCCTGTGATGCAATGGCTGGAACCTGGGGACCAAAGCAGGAGGCAGCTTGCTGCTGGGCCCTCGCAACTTCTCTGCCCAGCAGGGTCACTTGAGGAGCTTAAAGGAAAGGTGCCCAGCCCCATCTCCCAGAGACTCCCTCAGCTATCCTGGGAGGGGGCCGGGCATCAGTCATTCTCCATGTAGCCAAGGGTGAGAGGACTGCTTCGGTGGAAAGACCCTGGCTTCAAAATCAGACCCAGAAACGTGGCTCTGCCTTGTGCTAACTGTGTGACTTGGATTAATTACTTAAACTCTCTGAGCTCCAGATGAGCTCCAGTTTCCTTTTCTCAAGGAACATTCATCACCAATTCACCTAAGATAACCCATTTAAAGCACAGTGCCTAGAGCCTGAGTTGGCCTTTGATGCATATCATTTTCCTTCCCACCACCCACCCCCCCTTAGAGTTTGGATTTCCTCCTAACCTAGCCTTGCCTGCAAGTCCCCCAGCTCTGCATCCCATGGAAAGAATGCCCCTCCCTGATGGTGTAAGTTTTTCCTTGTCCTTTTGCATGAGCGGCTTGACATCTCAATGCCACTATTTTCATAGAAAATCTCGATTGTCACTCTCTTCCTGCTGCACCCAGACAAAAGGCCCTTCTCCAAACGGCCCCACCTGATCACTCCAACTCTCATGCCTCTGTCCCCAACACGGACCCCCCCTGAACCGTCCAGCCCATCTGCATCCTCATATCCCTGCATAGATTCATACTTAGATATATAGATTCACACGCTTACCTAGAGCACCTTTAGTTCTCCATCTCCTCACTCATCACCTCAGTTCTGACTGACTTGTCCTCACAGACACACAGCTCAGCATGTCACTACGCACTGGCTGGTACTGTTCTCCAGTCACTTTGCTTGTACTACCACAGGGGACTGGTCCCATACCTTGGCCGTTACCCCCACCCCCACCCAAAGCATCTAGCACAGTCTGGGCACATAGTAGATGCTTGCCTTAACTGCTGACCTCGTATGGGGGTCAGAAATAGACCAGAACCTGTATGCCCAAAGACCATCCCCAGAGATTGGGAATAGGGAATGGCGGTATCTCCAAGCCCACTCCCCACAAACACTGGCCTCATTTTCCAGACAGGGAAACAGAGACTGGGCGCTGGAGTCCCACGATGGAGGCAAGGTACCGCTGCATGCTTCTCTAGGGGAGCTATGCTGTGTGACTACATCGCCACAACCCGCTGGACCTCTGTGGGTCACCACAGTGATTTCTGCACCTCTTCTTTTCTTTCCTTGAAGAGGAGGTCCTGGTCAAGGAGGCTGGGAGCCTGGGTTCTGGGTCTGTCCCTAGAACTAACTTGCTGTGTGACCTTGACTAAGTTATCCTCTCTCTGGAGTGACATCCCTGGGGCCTGGAAAACTTATGTCTTGATCAGAAGGGTCAATGAGAGATGCAAAGTCTGAAGGTGGCCAGTGGGGCTTCAAGGGCCCTGGCAGCCTGCTTTCAGCCAGCCCTCCTCCCCAGGTCCCTCTACCCCTCCCACTCTAGGCCCCAAAAAGAGGAAATCAATTGAGTGTTCAGGTCTCTGCCCTTGCCCAGCCACAGCTGAGCTTACTGGGGAAATTAGGGTGACATTGGTGCAAATAATTAAGTGTCTTTCCCCAAACGGTCTTCAGGCCCCATTGCTTTAGCTGCTGCTTAAATGGATGAGCTAATTAACTTAACTAATTGCTCCTGAGGACTAATATTTTCACAGTCACGTGACCCAAGAAGGCACATTCTCCACTGCAACTCTGCTGCCCACGCTCCCTGGCAGACCCACTTTCTGAGCCTGTGATAGCTGCTTCCACTTGCAGCACCTACACTTAGGCCAGCCCTGTTTCTTCGAAGGCACCAGAACGCCTTCCTCCAGCCTCTCCGCCCAAGTGCAAAACCTGACTCCAGACTCACTCCTGCCAATTCATTCATCCATTCAACAATCTTTTGTTAATTGCCTACTTCATGTGTCAAATGCTATTCTCAGCATTGGGGAGTTAATGATGAGCAAAAGCAGACAAGGTTGTGCCCTCATGGGGAGTTCATCCTACTTGGAGAGGTGACACTGATCATTGACCCCTGCCCCCGCCCAACACACACACACATCAGATCTGTGCTACAACCAGCACTATGGAGTGTGGGACGGTGCTCTATAATAGACAGACTCAGATCTCTCAGGGAGCTCAAGGACAGCTTCCTGGAGGAAGTGGCCCTTGAACTGAGGCTTGAAGGCTGGGCCAAAATTAACTAGGCAGCGAGGTGGGAAGTGTATTCCAGGCAGAATGACCAGCTTCTGCATAATCCAGGTGAGAGATGCTAATGGCTGGCCCAGGCTGCTAGAGCTGAAGAGAGGTAGAATGTTCAAGAAAGAAGAGAAAAAAGTGACTGACTTTGGTATTGGGTTGGGGGAGAGGATAAAGGGGCACTAAAAGCAACTCCTAAGCTCCTGGCTTGTACTATGGGCCAAATGGGGGTGTCACTCACTGGGATATAATTTCCTAGAGTCAGACCAGGTGTGAACAAGAGGGTAAGAGCATGAGGTGGGTGTTGAGATGCCTTAGAGGTGTCAAAGTGGAGTCGCTGAACATGCAGATAGGTGAGCAAGTGGGCTTAGAGGAGGGGTCTGGGCTGAAGATTCACATTTGTGAGTTATCTGCTTGGAGAAGGAGGTTGAAGCTGAAGGGTATGGCCATTTCGGACAGCAGGAGATGCGAGCCCAGGACAGGCCTTGAGGAAGCCCAGAATTATTCACTACAGGCTCATCCCTAGCAGACTTGAAACATACCTCATTTTTACAATGTCATTGTGTTCTGGGTTGTTGTTGTTTTTTTAAATCTCAGAGTCCTTTAAGTTCTTCCGTTTTCTTTATCTACTGTTGAGCCAACAGCTGATCAAGTGTCTGAGAGTCTTCAGGGACAAGGGGACACTACCATTAATTCAGGCACAAGGGAACACCACCGTTTACGCACTGTGCTGGGTCTTTATGTGCCCAACCTACGTGACCCTTGCAGGAGAGGTGTTCCTATCCTTGTTTTCCAGAACAGGACACTGGGGCTCAGAGAAGTTAAACAATGTCCCTAGGGTCCTGCAGTGAGTGGCAGGGGTTACACGATCCTGCTTGATGTGTTCTCACTTCCAGATGCTGTCTCTCCAAAAGAAATGGGCATGCGCTTGCGAGGCTGAGGGAGGGTCTGAGGGACAACAGGAGTGCCAGTCACCTTTCATCTGTGTCATGGGTAGCAAAGACCAGAAGATGTGGATCTCTGATGTCCTCCCACTGGTCCAGGGCTGCACTGTGATGCTGGCAGGGGGAACACAGGGAAGGGTGATCATGCGCAAGGTGACCATGGAGCGAGTGGGCCTGCTTGGGGCAAAAAGTGCTGGGCCAGATAGGAGAGGGGGGCTTCCCTGTCTGAGCAGCAACAGGTGTGACCCCAGGCCAAGAAATAAGGACCAGAAAGTGTGGCTTATTGTGTGCAGAGAGGAGTGGGTGAACAGCGGGCCGTGCCTGTAAGAAAGGGGGTGAAGAGTGAGCATGCAGCACTGGGGGAAAGCGGGCTTTGGAACGCACACACACACACACACACGTGCACATATGCACACTTGCATGCATGCACACAGGCACAAACGCTCACATGCTCCAATCAGAACAGTCAGTCACGGAGCATCAGCCTGGTCAGGGTAAGCCAGAGGCTGAACTCTGGGGTCCCCTGCTGGTCATTGCTGTTGGACTCCAAGGTAAACAGAAATTTCCCGACTCCAGATCCTCGGCCCCTGAGGGCTTCGGCTCCCCTATCTTCTTGATTTTAGACTCAGAGCAGGAGTGGTGCAAGCCTCTGTCTGGGCATTTAGCCCAGGGCCCTGTGAGCCTGAAACTTGGAGCCAAGGATGGTAGAGTGCAAAGACCAAGGGATCAGGAGCCAGACAGACCTGGGTTCAAGTCCCAACTGCTGCTTCCCAAGCGGACAGCCTTAGGGAAGTGTCTTTAACCTCTCTAAGGCTCATTGTGACATCTATAAAAGCAGGAAATAATGCCTTTTTTGGCAAGGATGGTGCGAAGCTTAGATGAGCTGGACCACATGTTAACTTTGACATACCACACATATGTGGAGGGCCGAACCTCGTGCCACAGCCATGACATAGGTAAGTTTCCTTTGTGTTTTCACTTAGCTATCCCCAGCCCAACCTCCTGCTTCATGCAGGAATTCCCTAACCAGCCTCTGCTAGAACATTCCAGCAACAGGCAACCCACCACATTATGCTCTTCCCACTGTTTGGACATCTTTAAGAGTTACAGTGGACTTCCTATCTTGAACTAAAATCTCTCTCCCTGTGGCTTCCACTGCCAGACAGAGTCCAGCCCTTCAGAATACAGGACCACTCTCCAGCTCTCTGGAAGCAGCCACCATGGCTTCCCTGGGTGCCTTTGTCTAATCCAAACTGATCTTTCCACTCTTGTTCCAGTGTTTTCCATTGCCTCTGCCCTGCTGGCCAAATTCTTCCGGGCACAGCTCATTTTTGTGTATGTCCTTTTTAAAATGGGATGTCCAGAGAAGCACAGCACACCCTACATAAGAGCCAACTGTCCAAATTCCAGGTCAGACTGAGGCTGAGCCAACCTCATCATGGTCATGACACAGAAGCCTTTTCATCAGGTCCAGTCTCTGGCACAGCCAGTCCAAGCACACCCACACAAGAGCCACGTTCACCACGGTCTTTAGAGCAACCCACCAGAAGAGTCTCAAGGGCACCCTTTAGAAGAGATGCCCAAGACCCAAAGTGGGCCTCTTTCTCCACCTACGATTCTCTCTTCTCCCAGTGAGATCTGAAGTCCATTTCCCTGGGAGGTGGGGTCAGGACCCTGGACAGAAGCTGCTCCTGGCTTCTTAGGCATTTGAAGGGAAGGCATGCAGTGACTGGGGGCTACCACAAGGCTCTGGGAGAAGTCAGGGAGGGAGCAGTCAGACAGCTCTGTGAGCGGGAAAATGTTGGTGTGGCGGTCACTGCATTTCCCCTCTCCTCCCTCACACTGGAGAGCTGTGAGATCGCCTTAGGGACCCTGGCTCCTGGGGTGAGAGATGTAAAGGACCCCCCTTTTCTTGGCCTCCCCCTTCCCCTGGTTTCAGTTTCTGGGTCCAGAAACTGAGTGCAGTCAGCATAGACAACAGCCCTGGGATCCCCTCACTGTCCTTGACAAGCACTGGAAGCCAGCAGGTGGGTAGAGGGCTCCTGGAGGGTGAAAGCAGAGGGCTACAGCGGGGTCAGGGCCCTGCGGAGAGCTCAGGGTATGTTTGGTGGGGACGTAATGCTGATCCTGCATCTCCTCTTTGACTGCCTTGAACAGCTAATCAATGAATTCATTACTCAATCAGCAGGAAGTCACCAGCCCCTTCCTGGGGACCCTCTCACTTGGGTTCACTCAGCATGTTTCAAAGCACTTTCTGTGCCACCTCTGGGCCCACGCTGTAGGATCAGCTCTGCCCAGAGCTCATCGAGTGACCTTGGGCAAGTCACCTTTCCTCTCTGGGTCTCAGGTTCCTTATTAATAAACTAAAAGGATTGGACTAGATGATCTCTTAGGGTCCTTTCGGCTCTGATATTCCATGGCTCTGTGAGCTGGGAGACTGCAGGTGGGTGGATGACAAAGCTGACTGGCCCCTTTTTTGGAAAGAAAAAGGAAAAAATGACGAGGGCATCTGCACTGGATGGTGCCAGGAGTGGGACTGTGCAGGTTTCAGCTAAAAGTGCCCTGGATGGTGGCAATAACCAGAGTGTGCGGCAAGGGCAGTAGAGGCAGCAGAGCCACAGACCAGGAAGCCAGCCAGGCCTAGCCACCGTGTCCCCTCCCTGCGTCAGAAATCCCTACCTTTGCCTCTACTGATGCCTCTTGGATCCTGCCCTGGTCCAGTCCAGAGCTGAGTGGCAGGATGGCTGAAGTCCCCACTCCCCGCCTCTGGCCCCCAGGCTATGACAGCAGCTGCCAGAGGGGGTAAGAAGACTGGGGGCCTAGGTGCAAGCTGTGAGTACGTGTGGCGTGTGTGTGCCTCAGACAGCAGCTGAGCAGCCTGCACCAATCTCAGAGGCACTGCAATGCAGTGGTCGGATTTTTTTTATTAGTTTTTTTTTTTTTCCTAAAAGTCCTCATTTCCCAGGGAAATGCGCAGCCAAATGCTTTAAAAAAGGAGTGGCCAGATTGCCTCAAAATGTGTCAACCCCTCCCAATTCAGGGTGCTGGCACCCTCCTCTTGCCCCTGCCAGTGTGTGGCCCCCTGAACCCTGCTCCTGGTGAAGTCAGGAGGTCTAGGTAGAAGGAGTATGAAGTGGCCGATTTTCCCTTCCTAAAAGCTGGGACACAGACTGATTGAACTTAAATGCTTGCCAGATTGGAGAGCTTCTCAATTTCCCAGTCCCTAGGGGATCCGGCATAAGCCTCCTTCACATAGAGGCAGAGGCCTTTAGACTCAAGAAAATCTCTGTCTCTCTTTCTGAATGAGTTTTTTGAGGGATGGAGGGAAAATGACAACACCCCTCCCCCTTTGGAGTATCAAATACCAAATCTGCTGCAGCATTCTCAGAAGGGCATGAAATTGACCACCCTGTCTCCTTCCCTGGTGGAAGGGACCCCTCCCCTTTCCCAATGCACAGCAAACTAATTCTGCACACATGCTACCTCTGTCCGTGTTCTTCTGATCTTGGGTTTCATTTTAAGGGAACTTTTTAGTCCAGCTCTGTTTTCCCCGTTAAAAAGGTGATGAGTTCAATCAGCTGTGAAAATAAATCCAGAAGAAGGGCTGAATGGAACCAGGGGCAGACCTATCCCTGCCAGCTCAGCCCCTCCCTTCCACCAAGCAGAGGGTTTCCCGGGACTCCAACTGCTGTGGAGTGACACTGGGGGCTCTTTGCTGACAGAAAGAGAGCGGCAAAAAGAGATAGCTTAGAAGTGTGGTCAGGCTGGCAGTGTGTGGCCAGTAAGTGGCATTTTAGCCTTGGAAACGACTCTGAAAGCCCCTTGCAGGGGAAGTAGAGCTGCCCCTGCAGTCTCCGTCCTGGCTCTCAGGTGCCCAATTTGGGCACAGCAGGTGGTGAGCATCACAAGGTCCTAAGCTCTCTCCCCATGACCTGGAGGGGCTGCGAGAGCCCCATCTGCCCTTCTCCTCTAATGTTGGGTCTCTCTTGGGCACAGATGGTTCTAGCTTAGGGGCAGCCAGGGCATAGCCGAGCCAATCTGGGTACAGCCCAGGGAGAGGTGCTGCCAGTCAGCCCATCTGTCGAGCAGGTGACAGCTGCTGACATGTAAGTTGGGGGTGAGGGGTGGGGAGCTGGGCTGGTAGGGTCAGAGCTACTACCTGCAGGACCGCTCCTCCCTGCCATTAAACCCCCTGGGTCCCAGGCAGGAGGTACCTCCAGACCTGAGCTTGGCACGGAGGTCCTTCAATGAAAACAAACTGATTCTCTGCCCAAGAATCTCTGTCCCCTCTGCTTCGTGTATTTCCATCAAAACACAGGCTGGAGCAATGCCCATTGCCAGTTGAGGTGACAGCTCTCTCCTCCTGGGGTCAGGACAAGGGGCTGGGTTCTGAGGACAGTAAGGGAGACCTGAGTTAGCCACAAGGGGGAACATCTCACCAGAAAAGCAGAAGGAACTAGCAGAGTAGTACAGTGTGATATATACAAGCTGGACTTCGGTCCTGACTATGCTACCTTTTAGCTGCATGACATGGGGCAAGTTCAATAACTTGTCAGAACCTCAGTTTCCTCATCTGTAAGAGGAAAAGTAATACTTCATAAGGCTGCTGGGAGGATCACATGACAATGCATGTATGCCCTCAGCTAATGGTGGCTACAACTTCTGTTACCGCTACTACCCCAGCAGGTGAGAAAGACAGGAATCTCTTCCACAGCAGCTTTCACCAAATAGCTCCCAGACTTTAACATGCATTGAAAATCTTCTGGAAACTTCCATAAAGTTCAGATTCCCAGGCCCAACTCCAGAGATTTTGATTCAGCAAGCTCAGTTCTGGTGCTCCAGGAGATTTTGACATGGTGATCAGTGGACCATCTTTATTTTTTTATTTTTAAACATTTTTAATTTAAAAAATATTTTTATAGAGATGGGGTCTTGCTATTCTGCCCAGGCTGGTCTTGAACTCCTGGGCTCAAGCAATCCTCCCACTTCAGCCTCCCAAAGTGGTGGGATTACAGGTATAAGCCACCGCGTCATGCCGGTGGATCACATTCTGAGAAGCACTTCCCCAGAGGAAAGGAGAGATGGTTCTGAGCCCATCGCTCCCAGGTAATTAGATGTGGGCGCCTATGCTCGCAGCACATTGCAAGCTTCGTCTCCCCCAGCCTTCCTTCTATCCGGACTTAAGGACTCTCTAGTGCTTTGCTTCTTCTGCCACAGTATCATACTTCTGCATCCCTTTCCTCAAGTCACTTAATCATTCAGCACATGCTTATTGAGCATCTACTCCACTCCAGACATGGCTCCAGGTGCTGGGGACAGAGCACTGAATGAGATAAAAATCCGTGCCCTCATGGACCATATAATTTGTGTATTCATTGATTCAATCAATGCTATGGAGTGCTGACTCCTGCTGGGCACTGTGCTGGATGCTAAGGTTAAGTGCACAGCCCTTCCTGTCAGAAAAGGGCCGTGGAAGAGATAGCCCTTAGGACCACCTGCCCCTGGGAACCCTCAGTTCCAAATCCCAAGCTAGAGGGCAGGGTCCAGCCAGTTATCACTTGCCACCTACTGGGTGGCACCTACTGGGGCCACCTACTGGCTATGCCAAGCAGAAGCAGCCTAGAAGAGATGGATGGCTTCGCCTTCCTCCCCAGCTCACTCATCACCACTGCTGAGTACAAGGTATATCCTTTTTCTCCAGTGCAGCCTTGTCCCTTTGCATGATCCTATGCCTCATAATTACATGTGAGGACGGGCTAATCCCCCAAACACGGTGTCAGGCCATCGATAACATTCCCTCGTGGTTGCCCTATGCCACTCGGCAGCCTTCACACAGCCTGGCAGGGGGAGCTCAGCCCGTGGCCTCAATTTTTCATGCCAGTCCTGCATCCATCACTGGCCTGCCAACTCCGGTCTCTGCTCCAAGGGGGCAGGTGTTCAGAGAGAACACTCTGCAGGCGCTGGCCCTCTCCCTCCACCCCTGCGGGAGTGTTTCTAAAGCGCAAAGGGCTTTCGAAATTCATTGGATCCAATCCCCACATTTTGTTAGTGGGGTAACTGAGGCTCAGAGTGGGACCCTAATTTGCTCAAAGTTGGTCACAAATCTAGTACATTTATTTCATTAATGCACGCATTTACCCATTCATTAGTTCACTTGTCAGACACTTTGAGAGTCCACCAGGTACCAGGGCTGTGCTAGTCACTGGACATACAAGGATGACAAGCTGTGGTCACCCTTGTCCACAAGAGGCCCACCCTCCAATGAGGAGACACACGTGTGATCACAATGCAATGTACAACGTATGATGATCAGTGTGGTGGGAACAGAGAGGAGGGTGCCAACCTGGCCCAGGAGCCACGGGACCCTCTGAGCAGAGTTTTTGGGGGGAGAATAGGAATTACCCAAGCACATGGTATAAGAAGGGCATCCCAGGCAGAGGACACACCATGGGCAAAGACCAGGAAGCGGCAAGAGGCATAGTGTATGCGAGTTGGCGGCAGAATTGGAACCATGCCCAGATCTTCAGATCCCAGTGTTTTTCCCCTATCTCTGCAGCCTCACTACTTCCTAAAGACGCAGAGATTACACTAATTGATCCCCCTGCCTGGGGCAGAGCCCCATACATTCAAGGCAAGAAAGTTAACCCTCTAATTAGTAATGATGCTCAGGGCAGCATCTGGAAGACAGCACATCAATTACTAAAACTCACTGAGGCCAAGGGCTCCTCCATAGTCTACCTGGACTATGACAGCGCAGATACTGGCAGGGCCAAGTGCTACCCTTCCACCGGCTCAGGTACATCATTAACCAAGAGGCAACGGATGGAGCGGGGTGGGTGGAAAGACCCTATGTACTCCATCCTCTCTAGGTGAGTGCACATGTCCCTAACTTCCCTGGACATGTGCCAGGCTCATTAAGAGACGCTGTGTGTTATGGTTGCAGGTACAGGCTTTGGCATTACACAAAGCCTGGTCCCATCGTTAGCTAAGCCTTTACTATCTGAGTAGCCTTGGGCAAGTCAGGTAACCTCTCTGGGCCTCAGGATCATCACCTGTAAAAGAGGGTTACTAATATCCATCTAATAATGTTGTTGAGGATTAAAAATAATGTGTACAGAATAGATTTGCAAAGTCCCAGGCACATAGTAAATTGTCGGTAATAATAATGGAGAAGTGACTGGGGCTTGGAAGGGGAAATGAGCTTGTTCTTTCCCAGAGGAGAGAAGCAGTAGCAGGCTGCAGTACTAACTCCTTGGATATGCTTAGCAATGTGAACTGTCATCAGTCACTTAATCTCTCTCGGCATCATCATGAGTCCTCTTTTCTGGAAGTTTTCCTGGGATTATGAGTATGTGGGGCAAGGGACAGCAATCAAGGTATCAGCCCAACACAGGGGAGGCCCTTTCATGGCTAACAAGAAAGAGAACTCAAGCCAGCCACCCTTTGCCCCAGGGACAGCAAGGCGTTCAATCTTCTCAGAGGGAGAACCAAGGGATGCGGAGGTCATTACCCTCAGCAATAAGAAGGGTTCTGGGATAGCAGGTTTTATCGGCAGCCATTCTAGCATGGACATTCAGTTGCCATGCCGACAGTTCAGCCTGCTCCCGGCCCTGCCCTCTTCTTTCCAGGTTGCTGGGCGTCACCATCTGCACCAAGTACACAATACTTCCCCAAGAAAACTCCAAAAACCTTTGCCTTCAAACCGGCTCCTCTTCCTGAATCCCCTGTGTCTGTCCACAGCACCGTTGTGTTTCTGTTCACTCCACTTCGAAACCTCAGCGGCAACATTTTAAATAGATCTTTTATTATGACTATATCCTCAAACTTACACATAGGTACAAAGGTGAGTATAATATGCCTCATGTGCTCGTCACCCAATTTCAATATATAAGAATATTCTACAATCCCCTTTTACCTCTTCCCCCTCACACTTTTTCTTCTGGAGTATTTTAAAGCAATTCCAGACACTATCTCCTCTGAGGCTGGCTAAGGGACCTCTGCTTGAGCTGCAGGGCTGTGGCAGGCAGGGCAGGAAGACCACGGGGCAGCTCTGGATGCACTCGCTGTGCCTGGGTGCTGAGGGATCTGGCTGCTCTGTCTACTGGGCTCTTAGAGGAACGGATGCTCCTTTCTCTGGGTTTGTACTAACTTTTGGATGGGCTTGGGATCCAAGAAGTTCCTCCCCCAGATGTAAGGTCAGCCAAGTTACAAAACTCCAGGATTCCACAAGCACAGTGCCCTCTGGAATCTGCAATGAGGCAGCATCGGGGATGTCAGCTGCCTTGCTGCGTGCTCTTCTACCCTCAAGTCATTGTCTTCTCTTTGCAACGCAGGTAGGGAAAGGCAGTCTTACCCACTGCCTGAACCCCGGCTTCCCCAAACAGAGGATATGAATGTTGAGAGGGGTAGAGGGAGGACCTTTCCATGTACAGGGAAGAAAGAGATTTCAAGACCCTCTTTCTAATAGTCCATGAGGCTCCTGTGAAGTCCCAGCTCATGCCTCTCATTCTGGTTCATCCTTAGCTAGCAGGAAGGTGACTCACTGCCATCCTTCTTGGGTTTCCTGCATGCACACAACAGCAACAAGGCCCCAGTCTCCATCATTGGCCTCATTTTATGTTTTCCAATCAACTTCATTGAATTATAATACATACATGCAATGAAATATCCTCATTTTAAGTATGCAGTTTGATGAATTTTGTTAAGTGTATATGCACTTTCCCACCACCCCAATCAATATACAGCACGTTTCCATCACCTTCAAGCATTTCCTTGTGCCTCTCTGCACTCAGCCCCTATCATCCCCAGCACCAGGTAAACTGTGATTTGGTTCATTGTCAAGTTTTGCTTGTTTGAAAATCTTACAGGAATGGAATCATTACAGGATGTACTCTTCTGGGATGGCTCCTTTTACTCAGCATAATTATTCTTTGAGACAGAGTCTTACTCTGTTGCCCAGGCTGAAGTGCAATGGCGCGATCTTGGCTCACTGCAACCTCCGCCTCCTGAGTTCAAGCGATTCTCCTGCCTCAGCCTCCCAAGTGGCTGGGATTACAGGTGCCCACCACCATGCCCAGCTAATTTTGTATTTTTAGTAGAGACAGGGTTTCACCATGTGGGCCAGGGTCATCTCGAACTCCTGACCTCAGGTGATCTGCCTGCCTTGGCCTCCCAAAGTGCTGGGATTACAGGCGTGAGCCACTGCACCCGGACTTCTCAGCATAATTATTCTAAGATTCATTCATGTCGTTACAGGTAAGAAGAGTTCATTCTTTTTATTACTGAATATAGTATGCCATTCTATGATGTACCTATTTAAGTTTTTAATTTCAATTTAAAATAATTTATTTATGTATATTCTGCTCTTACTCTTCCTACAGTCTTCTGTTCTAAGAAACTCTGCTGCCTCCTAAGAGGGTAATGAACTGGTCCCTGGGATGAAAGTGATGAGGAGGAAAAGGGCAACAATGACAACAACAGAACAGTTTTTGCTGTCACCTCTTGCGTAAAGCACAGAGTCAAAGGTACTTAGGTATGTCTTGTTTAGGGAGAGGATGAACCCAATAACTTCTATACTCCTTTTTAGTTTTCTGATTCCCTTTCAGTGACATTCATCAAAAAATTATAAGTACTTACTAAGTCCTGGGCTAAGTACATATGACAAGGCGCCTGACCTCAAGGCCCTTGTCACAGAGACAGGCAGATGAATATGTGATGCCTGGTGTTTCTTCTGGACTAAAGCAACCAAGGGAAAAGTCTGTTTGGAGCTCTGACTCCTGGGCCTTCAGATAGTCTATAGCTGGGAAGATAAAGCTACTTTAAAAGTCTCCAGCTGCGACATCCTACAAGGCCAGAAGAGTGGGGTCATTGCTTCATGAATTATGGGTCTGTTTCCATACTTCCTCATTTTCTACACACCAGGATCTCTTGGGAGGGCCTCGGTGCACCTTTCTCTCCTCATTTGCTCTTCTCTCCCTCCCCCGCATCTGTCTCTTGCTCCTTTCCACATTCATTGGTCATCAGTGAAATGTTTACACTTGTTTTGTTGTTTATTAAATGGAGATTTGTGATCATGATTTCTAATTTAAGAAGCAAATCACAAATTTATTTCTTTAAAAAGCTAACTAGCCGGGCGCTGTGGCTCACACCTGTAATCCCAGCACTTTGGGAGGCCGAGGCAGGCGGATCACAAGGTCAGGAGATCGAGACCATCCTGGCTAACATGGTGAAACCCCGTCTCTACTAAAAATACAAAAAATTAGCCGGGCGTGGTGGCGGGCGCCTGTAGTCCCAGCTACTCGGGAGGTTGAGGCAGGAGAATGGCGTGAACCAGGGAGGCGGAGCTTGCAGTGAGCCGAGATCGTGCCACTGCACTCCAGCCTGGGCGACAGAGCGAGACTCCGTCTCAAAAAAAAAAAAAAAAAAAGCTAAAATAAGATAGTTTTGTGAGCAGCTCTCAGCAGGAAAAAAAGATTATCTAGTCCCTGGTCCTCATGATGCCAAACAATTAATTTCACTTAAATTTCCCCAGTGATCAGACAGCTTGACTGGCTGTTTCATCAGAATCTAGATCCAGTTTGCTGGTGAAAATGGTAGCATTCTCTTCCCTCAAAGAAGATTCCCAACCAGGAAATCAGGACAGACCAATACCCTACAGAGCAAACCTAGAATGCGGAGGGCCCAGGATTTTGCATCTTCTTTAGGCCCACACATAATGTACAGAGAGGAGAGGGTTTGAAGGCTGAATACTGGGGATGCTGGGGTAGGGCAGGAGAAGAGAACAATCTCTCCGTGATAAACACCTACCATTTCAGAGGTATGTCACAGACGCAGCCCAAAGTGAATGACTTTATCGGTCTATTGAGACTCTCTGGGACCAATGTGCTTACCATGGTGAGTCAGAGCACCCGGCCCCTAATCCTCTTATTAAATTCACTGTTTGAAAGACCTAGAAGGCCAGGCACGGTGGCTCATGCCTGTAATCCCAGCACTTTGGGAGGCCAAGATGGGCGGATCACCTGAGGTCAGGAGTTCAAGACCAGCCTGGCCAGCATGGCAAAACCCCGTCTCTACCAGAAATACAAAAATTAGCCGGGTGTGATGGCAGGTGCCTGTGATCCCAGGTACTCAGGAGGCTGAGGCAGGAGAATCACTTGAACTCAGGAGGTAGAGGTTGCAATGAGACAAGATCACACCATTGCACTCCAGCCTGGGCAACTGAGCGAAACTCTGTCTCAAAAAAACAAAACGTACAAAACAAACAAAAACCCAAAAGATTGTCATTATGTTCTCTTTCCCATATAAAGGATTCCTCTCTATTTGTCCCAGAGTATTTAAGCCTTATGAATCTTATAGTAATTTAACAGTTGATAGAGAACTGAGAAGTAAGGCGGGGAAAAGACTCAACCGAAAGGAAAACAGTATTAAAGAGCTACTACCACTCCTAGGGCTGGGAGGAAAAAAAGGAGGAGGTGGTGTTATTGGGACCCAGAATCTGGGGCCTTCTATTAAAAACTAGATCCATAGAGGAAACACAACTACTGCCAGAGAGGCCACTTGAGGCAAAGAGAGAAAGGGATTCTCCCCTCCTCCCACCCTACAGTCTCCACCAACGCCTGCCTGTGGCTGAACCTACCCAGAATCCACTTGTCAGGGGAGCTTGGGAAATGTAGTTTGCTGAGCAGAGGAAAGGATCTAAAGACAACAGGCAAGTGACCAGCCGTGTGTGTGTGTGTGTGTGTGTGTGTGTGTGTGTGTGTGTGTGTGTGTACCTTCCTGTGTGTATTTATCAGAAAGAGTTGTGGATACTTTATTTTACAGTGGTCATTCTAAATAAACCACATTGGTATGTGTAACCATGAAGATTACATCAATCAATAAGTCAGTCAATACAAAAGTCCCATGAGAGTAATGGACTGAGCCCACAGTAGGCTTCTCAGATATTTTCTTTTATTTTTATTTTATTTTATTTTATTTATTTATTTTGAGATGGAGTCTTGCTCTGTCGAGCAGGCTGGAGTGCAGTGGCATGATCTTGGCTCATTGCAACCTCTGCCTCCCGGGTTCAAGCGATTCTCCTGCCTCAGCCTCCTGAGTAGCTGGGATTACAGGCACCTGCCACCACACCCAGCTAATTTTTGTATTTTTAGTAGAGACAAGGTTTCGCCATGTTGCCCAGGCTGGTCTCGAACTCCTGACCTCGTGATCTGCCCACCTCGGCCTCCCAAAGTGCTGGGATTACAGGCGTGAGCCATCGCGCCCGGCCCAGATATTTTCAGGCAATCCTCCCTCTCAGCACCATCAAAGCCTATGCAGCAGTTCAACAGCACACAAATAAATGGAGAAGGACATTTTGGTGGGAACAGAATAGAGGCAGAAGATCTATAGCCCCCCAGAGTATAAAATCATTGAATATATTGTAGGGCTCCAACACTCATAGTCACAGACACGTGGAGACATGGGCTCACACATCTCTCGTGCGCTCATCCACATCTGTTGGTACACTCAGACACACTCAGATAAACTGGTTAAGACACATGTCTGCTTCAAGTCTTTTTTTCATTACGGTCTAAACCTCTCAGGTGTGATGTGGGAGATAAATAGAACAGTATATGTGAAAGTGCTTTATAAAGTTGATAGCATATTACTCAAATAAATGCAAAAATATAATCGAGATTATATTTTCATTCTGTAGTTTGTTAAGAGTGAAAACTGCTAGCAATGTTTATAGGTAGAATTACTATAAGATCCACAGGGTTTAAAAGCTCTGGGGCAAATAGAGAGAAATCCTTTATTTGGGGAAGAGAACATAATGACAACATTCATTTATCAAGTGCTTACTACATGCCAGACCTGTGCTAGCCATTTTATGTGCATTATGCTACCTAGGAGAATAATAATTCCTTGCCTTGAAGTATTTCTTATAGGCAGGCATTACTCTGCCCATTTTCCAGAATAAAAGCAGGTAACTTGCATAAGAGCTCATGGCCACCAAGGGACAGAGCTGGGATTTGGGCTTGAATCTGTCTGACTCCAAGGCCCAACCACCACTCCATAAGGCATCTCCTCAAAGACAGGGTGGCGAGGCACTGACCGATGGCCCCTGGGCAACTGGATGACCTGAGTGTTGAAGCCACATGCATCTCTTGAAGTAGAAGCCAAGAGGAGGCTTGTTACATCAGGTAGAAATGACTGGCTGAGTAGGAGGAAATCTTGTAGTAATCAGGTATCTGTCTGTGTCTCATTTATGTCAAGCCTTCAGGAATTCGGGACCTGTTGATGTTTCTGAAAGTCTAGGGTACAGTTAATAAATTCAGCATGCATTAATTCCACACAAGCCATGAAAATATCAGTGAGGCTAAGCAACTACTAACACAAAGTGAGATACTGTGAGTCACATAACTAGACAAAATCTTTGCATCTCTTTACATCTTGCATTAAATTGTGCACTAAAATACTGTTTAGAAATACTAATGTTTAATTTTTATCTTTAGCACAGGCATGATGGCTCACACCTGTAATCCCAGCACTTTGGGAGGCTGAGGCAGGAGGATCACTTGAGCTCAGGTGATTGGGACCAACGGGGCAACATAGTGAGACCTTGTCTGTACAAAAAAATAATTTAGGCTGGACGCGGTGGCTCACACCTGTAATCCCAGCACTTTGGGAGGCCGAGGCGGGTGGATCATGAAGTCAGGAGTTCAAGACCAGTCTGGCCAAGATGGTAAAACCCCATCTCTACTAAAAATACAAGCAGAGAATTGCTTGAACCTGGGAGGGGGAGGTTGCAGTGAGCCGAGATCACACCATTGCACTCCAGCCCGGGTGACGGTGCAAGACTGCATCTCAAAAAAAAAAAATTAAATTAGCTGGGCCTAGTGGTGGACGCCTGTGGTCTCAGTTAATCAGAGGCTGACGTGGGAGGATCACTTGAGCCCAGGAGGTCAACGCTGCAGTGAGGCATGATCATACCACTGAACTCCGGCTTGGATGACAGAGTGAGACCCTGTCTCAAAAAAAAAAAAAAAAGACCACCCACAATTCTTATCTTTAATAGATTTCAAGACCATAGTTGAGTAGAAAGACACGAAACATGTCTCTCATTCAGTCAACCTACCTGGGAGCCCTGGCCTTTCAGATCTGGGCATAACCGAGGCACTGTCATCTGCCTGGTGACAGCTTATCCTCATTGGTGTAAAAGCAGAGGGCGTGATGAATACAAAGCTTGCAGGTCCAGATCCATTGAACAACAGTGCCACCCACACCCCAACATTCATCAGCACACCTGTACTCACTGACATATGCCAGCACTCGTGAGGAAGGAGGGCTTGTGGCAACCCAAGAGGGAGAAAGATTCAGAGAATACCACTAATGCTATCAGCCAGGGGTCCTAAGAGAGGCGTTTTCAGTGTTTAGGGCAATGCAGGAATGTTAGAATTTAGCCTCTCTGCAGTTTGTGAGGTCCCATGAGTGACCCGGCCTCACAGGAGCACTGGGAACAGACAGAGAAGGAACTGAGAAGATACTGTTACTCCTGAAGCTGAGGAACCTAGGCCAAGACAGCATGGGATTGCAGGATCATAGAGAAGTGGGAGCATCGGGCACTCAACCCTTTAACCCCTGCATTGCTAAATTTCCTTTGGTGCCCAGGGAGCTACTGGCTGAAAACTGTGGTGGGGCTTCTGAGGTTCCAAGGAGCTGAAGAGCCACAGAATCCCCCAAGCCCAGCTAGCTCTCCCTGGGTATTCACATTCTTCCTTCAGTCATTAAATGTCTAGAAAAATGAAGGGGGAGGGGGAAGAGGAGCACAACTCCACTGGGCACTAAATCAAGATTAATGAAGTTCTCACCAGGATTAATTACTCACTCCCTAGTTGCTGTGAGCATAACATGGCCATGACCATTTGTAACGGCCAAGTCTGGTTGGAACAACATGGGTGGGCGAGATGGGTGACTTAGGCCTCTCCACACCTAATGTTTGAAAGCAGCTGTCAAGGGAGCAGCATGAAAGGAAGGTGTCCCTGCAGCCTTGGGTCATTGCTCTGTATTAAAATTCATCTTTTGTTTGTCCCAGTCTGTTCTGATCAATGTGGGCTCTGACTAATCATACACAGCCATCGGTATCATTGATAAAACAAGGAGAATAACTGATTTAACGACCTGTGGATGGGGCTGGATTCTAAATGTTCACCATCCCAAGGCCACCCAGTGATCTCTGCTGGGTCAGCTGGGCCTGAGTCTGTTCACCTGGTCAGGGTTGATACAGGCGAGGCCAAAGAACCAATCCTTTGTGATAAGCAGCCCGCCACTCCCATCGGCGATCAGCTAGCCTAATGAAGCAGTCAGACCAGCAAAACTCCCATCTGCACCAGCCTTCAACCCCTGTGAGGGGCAATAGGGGCCCCTCCTTTTAGAAACAAAGTCATGATCAGCCTTCCCCACCTTTGAGAAAAGAACTCAAAGAGGACTGGGGAAAGCATGAGAACCAGAGGCAGCCCCTGATCTGTCAAGGCCTTGGAGTTGGAGCCAGAGGAAAGTGCTGCCACTCCTGCCTGCCTGGGACAAGCTCATGGCGGTGGAGGCCAGTCCCCAGCACAGCACCAGGGCAGCCAACTGTGCATGGGCCAAGGCGGAGAGACCCATTTTTAGCGAGGGAATTTAGGCCGTCAAGATCGACCCTCCCACTGAGGAAAAAAGTTTGATGAAATACAAAAAGCACCTAAACAGTGTCAAAGACAAGCTAGTGAGGAAATGCTGGGCCCAAATCTAGAAGACAACAAAAACCCAGAGCTGGAAGTCGCTTTTGCCCTGAGGGCATTTGTCCCTCAGGAGGAAACTGCTGAGAAATTCAGCTTGGCTGGGCTCACTTTTGGCAGCCTCCCAGGCCTAGAGAAACGAAAGTCAATAATGTCCAGAATCCACCAAGGCAGGCCTTTGATAAACTACCTATTGCTTTAGAATCGACCCCAAAGGGGCTCATCCCTTACATGCAGAACAAAACCAGATGGGCTTCTAAGCTGACTTCACTCTCTGGCCATGAAAACTTAAGCCCTGAACTTGAATGAAGCTTCCCTGCCCTAAGAATGCCCCCAGGCACACTGCAGAAGCTAAAAAAATTATCTCTGAATAAAAGAATAAAAATAAAAAAGAAAGAAAAATTTCTCTCCAGGGAAGATAGCAAATGATTTGTCAAAAACAATGCTTACTACATAATTAAAGGAACTCAGGCACACAAAGAAACAAGACACCTTGAGAAAGAACTGTCAGGAACAACAGATAACAGAAAGAGATCCACAGGGACTCCAGATAGGGGAACGGCAGGTACTGATTATAAAACAACTATGTTTTCAGTATCAAGTAAATAAAAAGCCAACATCGAAAATTTCAGCAAATAGCCAGAAACTGTAAAACGTGCCACATGATAGTTTGAAAACAATAAAATATAAAGCTTATAATTGACAAATGCAGTGCTATGGACTGAATGTTTGCGTCCTCCCAAAATTCATATGTTGAAATTCGTTTAACCCCCAGTGTGATGGTATTTGGAAGTGGGACCTTTGGGAGAGAATTAGGTTTAGATGAGGCCATGAAATGGGGGTCCTCTGCCATGGGAAGAGGATGTAGCCAGAAGGCTGACATCTGCGAGCCAGGAAGAGGGCCCTCACCCAGAACCACATCTGCCAGCACCTTGATCTTAGACTTCCAGTCTCCGGAACTGTGAGAAATAAAGGTCTGTTGTTTAAGACACCCAGTCTATGGCATTTCATTTTAGCGGCTGGTGCAGACTAATATGGTAAGATTGTATGTTATTGTATTTACATACAATAACTGAAAATACAAGTTCAATGAACAGATATAATCTCAAGTTTAACACAGCTGAAGAAGACATTAATGAACTGGAAAGCAGATCAGAAGAAATAATCCAGAACACAGTGGTTAAAACTTGGCAGAAGCAGAATAAAGGGTAAAAGAGGATGAGAAGAAAACAGACATTTCATTGGAATTACAGGTGGGAAATGAGAGAGGGAGGGAGGGAGAGAGAGAGAGAGGCTAAGGCAACACTTGAGGAGAGAAAGGCAGAAGATACCCAGACCTGATAAAATATATCAATCCACAGATTCAAGAAACCCAACAAATCCCAAGCAGCAAAAAATAAAAAGAAAGTCATGTCTAGACATATCACAGGAAAACTGCAGAAAACTAAAGAAAAAGTCTTAAAAATGTAGAGCCGAAATAACCAAACTAGCAGCTGGGAGGGCAGTACAGGCTCCAGCTGTCTCACAATATCCAAACGTTTGCTAGTGTGTAAACTAAATGAAAATATTTTTCATTTCTTGCCCAGAAATCTGGGCTTATGGATGGTGTTATAAGAAAATCTTGGAGATGGGAAACAAAAGAAAATAACATATTAGCCATCCTCCAAGTGTAGATGGTGGGCTTGGGTTTACTGAACATTTTAATAAATCATCTGAAAAGGGGAAAATGTCTGAACTATAAGTACTATTAAGTCTTCTAGAATAAACAGCAAGACCCTGTGTGGCAGGTCAGCTTCAGCGTTGGAACATGTAAGTTAAAAGGTACGTGAAAATGGACCCAACGATATAATAAAATCATGGGCCTGGACCCTCAGTTACATTGCAGGAAAGAATCAGTAATTCACATCTAAATCAGGCCCAAACAAACCAAAAATGTATCAATGTTCTGTGTCCATACTCTGAAAAGTTTGGAGTGAGTTTTGACTCAACAAGTACTTTTCCTCCCTGAATGGATCCAATGAGATGGATGTTTCTGTGTCACGAAGATCGATGCTCACCCACATCCTTAGGTCCCAACAGCTCCAGTTGAAGGGACACATTACCCAGGGAATGAGGCCATAGTTACCTTGGGGTGACCTCCAGGAAGACTTGCCCGCACACCCAGCTCCTTTCCTTGCCCTGGACAGCCCCAGCTGCCGGCACACCCCTTGCAGATTTACTACTCTGTTCCCATGGCTGTCTCCAGCCACCTCTAGTTTCTCAGCCTTTAATGCATTTTCTACATCTGTACAAGATTTATTCGAGGCAGGGAGATTTATTTAGCACATTTATGCTCAACAGAGAAGACAATTCCTCACAGAGTTCTGATCTCATTTGCCATTAGAAGCCTGAATGAGATTGCCTGGCTGATGGGCAGTGACAGTTGGCTGGTTCTGGGTAGGAGTGGATATGGGAACCTGCCGTTACATACATGTGATATTTGTGTGTAATACATGAAGGTCTATGTGGCAGGTTAATGTGTATTTTTTTTAATGTGTGAGTATTCTTGTGTGGGTATGTGTGTGAATTTCTGAACAATGGGAGAGCACAGGTATATTTATTTGTTTTATTTTATTTTTTGAGACAGAGTCTCACTCTGTCACCTGGGCTGGAGTGCGGTGGTGTGATCTTGTGTCGCTGCAACCTCCGCCTCCTGGGTTCAAGCAATTCTCGTGCCTCAGCCTCCTGAGTAGCTGGGATTACAGGCGTGTACCACCACGTGCAGCTAATTTTTGTATTTTTAGCAGAGGCAGGGTTTTGCCATATTGGCCAGGCTGGTCTCGAACTCCTGACCTCAGTTAATCCGCCCACCTCAGCTTCCCAAAGTGCTGGGATTACAGGCATGAGCCACCGCGCCTGGCCTAGGTGTTTTTAATTATGCATATACCCCAGTGTTAGCATGGTCCATCTGAGCATATGAACATCTGTGTGGAAGGATGTGAAAGTCTGTGTAATATGATGTGATATGTACACATGTGTGAATATAGAAATATGAGCTTTGATAAATGGCTGCAAGTACTTAGTGAGATTATGTGTGTTCAATCACTCATCCATATCTGTATAACTGATGGGAGTATGATCTGTTACCAGCCTAAGGATTCTTTTCAAATGGTAAACCAAATCATCTCTCCTCAGCTTAAAATTTTCCAAGGACTCCCATTGCACTTGGTATGAAACCCCTACTGTTTAATCTGACCTCAGCAGTCCAGGCCTCCCACTTCACTGGCCGCAGCTCTGCTCTCTCACCTTCACACACTGCTCTGGTCACACTGGCCTCCCACATGTCCCCTCCAGACACCCTCAGACTGGCCGGCCCCCTCCCCCACTGCCCAGCATGCTCTGCCCTGAGCACCACCCCAATAATCTCAATGTCATGATCTCAGCCTGCTTCGCCTCCTTCAGAGCACTTACTACCATCTGAAGTTATCTTGTTCAGAACTCACCTTGTTTATTGTCTGTCCATGCCTCCCAAGAAAATGCCAGGTGCTCAGAGAGGGCCATGGCTTTCTTGTTTATTACAGCATCCCCTGAACAGTGCTGGGTGCACAGGAGGGCCCAGTAGTTAACTGTTGAATGAGGACTGTGTATGTGTGACCATATGATGTCTGCATATGTGCACTAGGATGTCTACTAAGGAAAAATAAGATGTGGTGAATACTGAGCACGTTGGGCACATGAATGAGTCTGTATGACCATATATTTAACGTGCAGTCATTCATTTAACAAATTACTTTCAAGTAAGTGTGTGCCAAACACACTAATAGGCCCTGCTCTCATTGAGCTTACAGTCTTGTGGGAGAGACACACACTAAATAATTATATATATAATTAATATATATTATAATAATTATATAATATATATACACAATTGAAAATTATGTGAAGACTATTAATGCAAAGCATAGACAGCCATGAAAGTATTTGACCAGGGACCACAGTTGAGTTGGGAGCTCAGCAAAGTCTTTCCCAAGGGGCTGGAGTCACTCTGAGATCTTCAGGGACTCAGGGAAAGGCTGGGCTTTTCTGTTTCTAACCCACATGTGGATATGTGCACTTGCAAATGTTATCACTAGAGGTCCTGGACACCGAGCAGGAAGAATCCCAGTCCTCAAGAATGGGACATACTCATTCACTGATACCCAAATGGATTTCTCACATGATCTGCTGGCTGGTTCCCTTCCACCTTACCCCATTTCCTCTAACCGGTCCAAGCAGCCAGGCTAATAATCCTGAAACAACACCTAGAGGACCAAATTAAAGCTCTCCAGCTTAGGGTCAAGCCACCTGTCATCTGACCCTAGCTTGAATAGTAATCATTCCTAACCTCTTTTGAGCATTTACCATGTGTTAGGTGCATTACACTGTGCTAAACACTTTGCATCTTTCCATTTAATCCTCACAGCCAGTTTAGGCAGGCGTTACTATGTCTATTTTACAGATGAGGAAACTGATAACTTGTCCTTCTAGTCATCTCACTAGTAATTGACAAGCCAGGTTCAATCCCAACCCAACTCACTTCAAAGGCCAGTCTCACTAAGGCCACCGCCTTTCCACCCCTGCAGCCAGTTGGATGTCTCACTGTTGCTCCAGCCCAGGGTACGCAGGCTGTGGTCCTAACTACAGAATGCCCATCTTCCTCCCTTCCCCCCACCCAATTCAGAGTCTGCTCAAGTCCCACTTCCCACATTCAACCACATTTATTGAACCAGGTGCCCTCCAGGGAGTTGGGGACAAGGAAATAGATGAGATGCCATCCTGGCCTGGAGGAGCCCATGGGGCAGAGAATCCTTCCCAAAGCCAGCTCTTAGCTCAACATCCATCCTTTCCCACCCTCTCTGAACTCCTCTACTCAGCTTACAAACCTTCTCCCCATCCATGGGTATCTGTCTGTCTGTTTGCATATCTTACAACACCTAGCATGCAGACCCTCATTCAATTCATTCTGATTCTGTTCCTCTTTACCTTTCTTGCTGAAGCTTCTGCTTAAACAATTGGCATGAATCTTGCATTTCAGATCAGACAACCGGCTCAGCTTTTTGGATATAATAGTGCTGATCAAAACAGAAGCTTTTCCCAGGCTAGCATTTTGGCTTCAATAATAGAAGGCTACACTGAAATCAAATTCATGATATTGCTAACAGCTCCTCCTCACTCCCTGGACCTGAACACCAGCCATGACAGGTATAAAAAAGTAAGTTCAGCTCTAAATTTCACAAACATAATGCTGAGTGAGAAAAAGCAAGTTAAAGAATATAGACTATAAAATACTGTTTATGTAAAAGCTTTGCTATGGTTTGGCCCTATGTCCCCACCCAAATCTCATGTCTAATTGTAATCCCCACATGTTGAAGGAGAGGCCTGGTGGGAGGTGACTGAATCATGGGGGCAGACTTCCCCCTTGCTGTTCTCATGATAGAGTTCTCATGAGATCCGATTGTTTGAAAGAGTGTAGCACTTCCACCTTTGTTCTCTCTCTCTCCTGCTCTGGCCATGTGAATACAGTACCTGCTTCTCCTTCACTTTCTGCCACGATTGTAGATTTCCTGAGGCCTCCCAGCCATGCCTACTGTACAGCCTGTGGAACTGTGAGTTGATGAAATCTCTCTTCTTCATAAGTTACCCAGTCTCAGGTAGTTCTTTACAGCAGTGTGAGAACAGACAAATACAGGTTTTAAATACATATGTGGCAGATTCTCATCTCCCATCCCACATGTTCTTCTGATAATGTGACTTTGATGTTGAGAGAGAGGGTCTGTGTACCCTCTCCTTGAAATTGATGGATTTTGTTACTGCTTTGACCAGTAAATTATGGCAGAAGTGACGCTACATGACTAAGGCTAGGTAATGAAAATGTAATGCACTTCCACCTTGTTCTCTTAGGCACTTATTCTTGGAGACCAGCCACCATGCTGTGAGGAAGCTCAAGAAGTCCATGGAGGGATCCATATGGAGAAGAACAGAAAGCCCTGGCCCACAGTCCCCACTGAATTCCCAGCTGATGGCCAGCCCCAACTCGCCATGTGAATGAGCTATGTTGAAAGTAGATCCTCCAGGGGCCCCAAAGAAACAGACACCATGTGGAACAGAGATGAACCATCCCAGCTGAGCCCTGCTCAAACTGTAGATTTCTGATCAAAGTAAATGATTGTTTTTGTTTTAGGCCACTAATTTGAGGTGGTTTATTATAAGGTGTTTCATATTGTCAGGTAAACCCGACACTATATGATTTATGAAATATGAACAGCAAAATCATCATGGGTGCTTTTGAGGAAGTGGATAAGGAGTAAAATCTCCAAAAGGGATTTTAGCTTTACCTGTGATGGCTTACATACATACCTACATTTTTATAAAGAAGAATGTGTACATATATTATTTGTGTTGTTCTTAACTATACAGGGAAAAAGACTGACCAAACATTAACATTTGTTATTTCTGTGAAAATGGATGATTGGGGCCAGGCACAATGGCTCATGCCTGTAATCCCAGCACTTTGAGAGGCCAAGGCGGGTGGATCACTTGAGGTCAGGAGTTCAAGACCAGCCTGGCCAATGTGGCGAAACCTTGTCTGGACTAAAAATACAATAATTAGCCAGGCGTGGTGGCAGGCATCTGTGATCCCAGCTACTTGGGAGGCTGAGGCACAAGAATCATTTGAACCTGGAAGGCAGAGGTTGCAGTGAGCCGAGATCGTGCCACTGCACTCCAGCCTGAGTGACAGAGCGAGACTCTGTCTCAAAAAAAAAAAAAAAAAAAAAAAAAAAACTAATAAAATAAAATGGATGCTTGTACTTTTCTGCTCTGTTAACCTTTCTAAATTTTTTTTTAAATATGGCACTGCAAAGATTCTATGACTGAGGTAAGATCAGATTTAGCGTCTGTGATTTGGAGACTGCATCTGTTTCTTTCACCATCTCTCCAACTCTCCACCTCTTCTCTTCTTTCATCTTTTCATTCCAAGGCTCACCCAGTGCCCCTCCCTCTCTGAGATCCTGTTTTCATACGGCTCCCTTAATGTTCATGTCCCTCCCTGAAATCTGTATTCAGTCTCTTTCTCTGGGGCTTCCCCCCTCCCTATAGGCCTCGAGAGGTACTGTCCTTAGTCCTTTACAAGGTCAGTCCCTTCACTTAACCCCTCCTGCCTCTGATAGGATCCTGCTCGCCAACTGTCCCCAAACTTCCTTCTACCTTCAACTCACTTTGCCTCTCCCATCTACAGATAAGCTCAAGTTTGTACCATTTATAAATTAAAACACAGATGACCTCCAGCTACCCACATGCATCTCTTCTTCCCAATACAGACGTGTGGCTGTTCCCTGCTGCCACGTTCAGAGTCTCCACCCCCCACCCAACTACTGACCCAACGCCCTACATTCTGACACACATCGCCCTACATTCTGAACCCTTCTTAACCAATGAAACAGCTTTCAGAGGTCCCCAGTGGCCTCTGAAATGCCGGTTCTCAAGGACACTTCTGCCCCATCTGCCTTGGCCATGCAAGCATTTGCCAAGGGCCACACCCCTTCTGCCCTCTCTCCCTTGCTCTGGGGCGACGCCCATCTCTCACTCCCCTCCTACTGCTCCTTCCCTCCGCTCAGCTTCTTCTCCTTAGCTGCTGAGCAGGAGGAGAAGCTGGTCCCACTGGTGTCAGCATCCCCCAGAGGTCTCTGCCGACTCCCTTCTCTGTCTCCCTCCTGTTCCCTTCCTACAGCTGCCTTGATGGTGAAGACTCCCTCTCTTCTCCTAGGGCTTGGGCCTCCCCTGAACACCAGCCCTCCCCCCACCAATTGCAGCTGTTTATTGGTAATTACCCAAAGGTAACTCAAACTCCCCATATCCAAACTAAACTAATTCTTTCCCTCAAATCAGGCCCAGTCTTGCTCCTATATTTCCCTTCTCAGCTCCAGGCACCATCATTGACTCAGTTGTCTGGTTCGGAGGCTTAGAAATCATCACAGAGCTTCCTTTTGCTTTATCTCCCACTTATAATTGGTTAGCAAGTTTGGTGCATTACTCTTCCTAATTAGCTCTCAAATGCAGACTCTGTCTCCCAGAGGCCCAGGCCCTCATCATTTCTCACCTAGATTCCACAATTACCTCCTAACTACTTTCCCTGCAGTCTGCACCACTCCCCTTCAAACCAGGAGTCACATGTCTGCCAGAGTGAACTTTCTAAAAGGCACATCTGGTCATATCATGTCCCTGCTTAATATCCTTCAATGGAAAAAACTCCAAACTCCTTAGCCCAGCATTCAAGGCCCTTCATGATCCAGCCTCCTCCCTTCTTTCTAGCTTCAACCCCTCCCAGGCCCTCACTCAGATTCCAGGCTTCCTTCAGCCCTCAATGCTGTGCCACACTTTTCTACTGTCATCCATGTTGCTTTCTCTGCCGAGAATGCCCCTATTCATCAAACGACCTCTACTCCTCCCTCAAAACATCTATCAAATGTCACCTCCTCTGGAAGACCAGTTCTTAGCATGACCAGTGTTCCCTCCTTCTGAATCCCATATCGCTGTACTGAACTAATAGTTTGCATGTCAGTTTCCCCAGGATATGCACTCTCTGAAAGGAGGGGCCATGGCTATTTGTTTCTATATCCCAGAGCCCAGCACAGGCCTGCACTTAGTTGGGCCTCCATACATTTTGCCTAAATATAGAGCTTCCTAAAATCAAACCTGAAAATTCAGAGGATTCAAATTAATATAGGCCATTATGTAATTGGTGCTGAAATGGGGAACTAGAACATACCAGTTTCTGCCCCTAGGAGCCATAGAAAATTGGACCTACCTATGGAATCTTTGTGAATGATTCTTTCTCTCATACATAGAACCTTTTGATGATTAAATTTGCCACTGTTGGCCAGGTATGGAGGCTCATGCCTGTAATGCCAACACTCTGGGAGGCCAAGGCAGGAGATCACTTGAGCCCAAGAGGATGAGGCTGAAGTGAGCTATGATCATGCCGCTGCCCTCCAGCCTGGGAAACAAAGTGAGACCCTGTCTCAAAAAAACCCACAACATTATCACTGTTATAACCAATGGGGCAAGAAGATGGGAAGGGAATGAGAAGGTGCCCAAGGGGAGAAAGAGAGAGTTACCCCAAATCCTACTTAACCACACAATTGGCATTATTCCCACTCATTCCCAGCTTCTTCCTTGCCCCTCTCTGCTTTTCTCCATCTAAAAACATTCCCAGAGAGTTGAAGCCCTTGCCCCTATCCAACACCTGTGGTGCTGTCCAACAAGCAAATTCCTGAAGACAAAGGGGCATGCAGAGTGGTGGTGTGATCCCATCATTCTAGAGCTTGCATGTGGATTTCCGTAAACTCCACTGCCTATTGTAGGCCCTGGGAAAATAGGGCTGGGCTAAGCTGGCAGGTGATTTGAGGAGCAAGAGAAGAACCCTTGACAAAAACACTGTTTCCCCATCACTGCTTCTACCTGAAGCCACCATGATGCCTCTGACATGGGTCTCTGTTCAAGCCCTCCCTCAAATGCAGTCCAGCTAATGCCTCAGTGAGGTGTTAGATCACTCCAAATGGCCAGATCCTCCCCACCCCTGGTCCCACCCTGGCTCCTGGTCTCACCTAGATCAAGCCACACCCCTCCTCCTGCCCCCAGCCACAGCCAAGCCATAAGAAGCTCACTTTCCCTTGCTGCCCACAACCCTCTCACCCTCCTAGGAGCCGCCCCTCCCACTGCCATCCCTGAAAGCTGCATAAGGGATCCTCCCTCCATCCAAACTGCCCCAGAGGTGAGAGGGAGAGTTAAAGGGAAGAGTCCTGGGGTCAGAGCCCAGGAAATTAAAAGTGAGAGCCAGCAGCTGCGGAGAATCCTCCACCGCCACTGGTGTCTCGTCTTATTTAACTGGAGAAATCCCCAGAGCAGGGTCCTTAACTTCTCCTGCCATGGCCCCGCTGGCAGCAGGGAGCACTCAGGAAATGTTAAGTAAAATATCTAAGAGGCTCCCCGCTGAAAGCCCTTCATCCTTAGGCGGATAAAAAGCTTCAGACCAGAGTGTATGATCTTGAGCCCTGAGGGCAAAGGCATGAGCTTGGCCCAGATTCAAAAAGGAACAGAGAGCAGGACCAGCCTAATGATCGGTGGGCAGGGATGTTGTCCTCTGGGTAAGGGGACGGCAGGTCCTCAGATGGCTGCTTGGATGACTCCCCAGCCATAGACATGTGTGGCACCAAGCATCCCCACTCCCCTGCCAGTCTGGGCTAGTAGCACCAATAAATCAGCTGAGCAGTCAGGGGATGGAAGGATTCATGTCTCCCAGCACCGCCTGGCCAGTGAGGCAGGACTCAGGGTGCCTGGAGCAGATATAAGCAATGCTGCTTGCTTGAGAGCAATTATGAGCCTCCGTGGGGATCAGATCCAAGACCGTGACCTCATCAGCTACCCCTTCAAAAAGCCAACCATGGAGCTGCTGACAGCTCCACCTGATGAGGCCAGGGCCACGGTGGCTGGTGAGCCACAGCCTTCCTACTCCTCTGAAATCCAGCCTCCCAGACCACTCTGCCCAGAGCCAGCCCAGCCCAGCCACCTCTGTAGCTCCCTGGGTCCCTGTCTTGCCTTGCCAGTGAGACTGACCTCTTGGAGGTTAGGTAGCATTCCCTGCCGTATTTCTCCCCAGCTGCCGGCTGGGAGCCAGGCACACGGGGGTATTCAAGGGAGCACGTTGGCTGACTGAGCAATCTGACGACAGGGTTGGCAGAGCATGATGGGTTGGCTTGTGCATGACTTCTGACTGCCCCTCCCCTGCCTGGCTCAAACACGCCCCCACAGTGGGAAACACAGAGGTACCATCTACGTGGGCATAAACACAAAAAGTTAAATAACAAGCTAAGCCAGCAACAGAAAGGTGTCACAAGGCAGAATACAGCTCATTGTGAAAGGAGGCAGATGGACAAGAAGGGCACAGGTCAGGGAGGAGATGACCATGGTCTAAGTTAGGAAAGCTTCAAGAAGAAGTGTGATTTAATCTGAACCTTAAAGGGGGTGGCTTGAATCAGCAAAAAGGCTGCTAGAGAGATTTCCAGGTGAAGAACACACCTGGACATAGGCGTGGAGTGGCAAAGCACGGAGCGGATTCGGGCCTGGGTGAACTCCTAAACAACTGAGGCACGGGCTCTCTGAGGGTGGGGACAACCGAGAGTCAAGGCCACGGAGCTAGCGTGGAGCTGATCATGGACTAGCCTATACCCTAGATGCGGGGTGGACTTGATCCAATAGGTAGGTGATGGTGGCAACAGGGATCCAATTAGCTACAAACCCAGCCCTTCTGCTTTAAGAGGAAACTCACAAGTGAAGGGTCCATGCCTGGGCCTTCAACAGAGGTGGCAATCATGCCCACAAATCAATAAGAAGAAGATGACCTAGTAGAAACATGAGCAGAAGACCTAAATAGTAGCTTCAATAAAGGATATCCAAACGGCCAATAAGCATTTGGAAAGGGGCTCAATTATTTTAGTCATCAGGGAAGTGCATGTTGAAATGGAAGAGAGATGCCATGTACGCCCACCAGAATGGCTAAAGTAAAAAGACAGAGAATACCAAAACATGGAGGAGCAGGAATTCGCCATCACTACTGGTGGGAGTGTAAGTTGGCAAAAGCATTTTGGAAAATGCATACCCTACAATGACCAAGCAAAACATACATACCCCGTGACCTAGCTAGAGAAATGTGCTTCCCAAAAGGCATGACAAGTATGTTCGCAGCAGCACTAGTCATAACAACCCCAGACTGGAAACAACACAAATGTCATTAACAGTGGAATGGACAAATCAGTTGAAGCACAATGACACAAGGAAATACAACACATCAATGTGGATAAACCATAACTACATGCAACAACAGGGTGCATTTCACAAACATCACACAGGGGAAGAAGCCAGTCACAAAAGAGTGTATACTGGCGAATGTGGTGGCTCTCGCCTGTAATCCCAGCATTTTGGGGAGGTGGAGGCAGAAGGATTGCTTGAACCTAGGAATTTGAGACTAGCCTGGGCAATATAGCAAGACCCCATCTCTACAAAAAATATTTTAAAAATAGCTGAACGTGGTGGTGCATGCCTGTGGTCCCAGCTACTTGGGAGGCTGAGGTGGGAGGACTGCTTAAGCTGAAGGAGGTCAAGACTTCAGTGAGCCACGATGGTGCCACTGCACTCCAGCATGGATGACAGAGTGAGACCCTGTTTAAAAAAAAAAAAAAAAAGAGTGTATACTATATTATTCCAGTTCAAAAACAAGCAAACCTTTTCTATAGTGCTAGAAGCCATGCTTGGGGGAAATTGAGGCATTTCCCATTCACTAAGGATCATTTCCAACCTCTAGAGTGCTGGTGATGTTCTATTTCTTGGTCTGGCTGAAGGTTACCCAGGTGTGCTCGGTTTGTGTATATTCATCCAACTATCAACACTTAGGATTTGTTCACTCTTCTGTGTACATATCATATTAACTATTTATGTTATATATTATAATACATATTTTACTGAAATATATTACAGTAAAAAATTTTAATGTATTTTTGTATATATTTAGGTGTACAATGTGACATTTTAATATACATATATATAGTGAAATCATTACTACAGGTAAGCAGATTAGCCTACCTGTCCCCTTCCATAGTTATCTTTGCTCTTCGCAAATGTTCAGCACATGATTCGGTATGATTAACTGTAGTCTTCCTCCTGTAGATGAGCTACTAGTCCTGCTCATCCTACATGACTGCAAGTTGTACCTTTGACCTCCTTCTCCCCATCCCTGGTAACCATTGATCTACTCTCCGTTTCTATTTATTCAGCTTTTTTTTTTTCAATTCCACATATAAGTGAGATTATACAGTATTTGTTATTCTGTGTCTGGCTTATTTCAGTTAACATAATGTCCTCCAGGTTCATCCATGCTGTCACAAAAAAACAGCATCTCCTTCTTTTTTAAATGGCTAAATAACATTCCATCGTGTATATGCGCCATATTTTCTTTATCCATTCATCAGTGAACTTTAAGTTGTTCCCATATCTTGGCTATTGTGAATAGCGCTGCCATGAACATGGGGGTGCAGGTGTCTCCACTAGCTGAAAAGGGAGCATGTGTAGAACTGTGTCCACGGGAATTTGTCTCTGGGTGTCTCTGCTCCAATGTGCCCCTCACCCGTGATGTATTTGGTTTCAGTTGGTTAGTGAGTTACTTCCTTTGGCCCCTTTATTCTGACTTACCATGTCACTCAGCATGTTGTGAAGCCTACCTTCTGTCCCCACAGGCCATGATGTTCTGATGAAATGCCCCATCCTGACTGATCCATCTCTAACTCACTGACTTCTAGCACTGACACCCAACCCCCCTCTCTGGCACCTGATGCCCTCCAGGACACAGCAGGGGGGATGACATGCTCAAAAGGTATTCCAGGAATATCTGTGCAGCAGTGGGCTGTGGACAGGGTTGGGGGAGTGACCAGCCTAAACTAGGACAAGGGCAGTGGCATGCAGAGGAGGACATGGAAGCCGGGAAGAGAGAGGTTAGACCCAGTGGTCGCCTGTGAGGGGAAGTCTGAGAGTTCAGCCCTGTCCTGGCAAACCTGTCGATGAAGTGGCCACCTGAACAAACAGTGCATTTCCTCCTAAGGAGTAAAATAAACTAAAATAGAGCCATTTCCCACTCACCTGGCTGGTATTCATCATTCTCTTGGTACAGTTCAGTTATAGGTTAAGAGAAATAGAAGAGGGGGCTGTTTAGAAGAACCAGATCTGCACCAGTGCCCCCCACCACCACCTGCTATTCCAGGCCCCCATCCTAACACCTCCATTGCTCACACCAACAGAATTCCATTAGCAATGTGGAGAATCAGTTGAGTTTAATTATTCAAATCCAGGCATCAGGGGCTTTTAAATGAACCCATTCTTTCTTCCAGAATTCTAAAGTCACCAATATTTTAAAAATAAAAGGTCTCAGATCTCCTGGTCTCTCTTGTCAGTGGACACACTGGCATCAGCCCTTCGTTGACCCAGCTTCTTTCCCAGGTAATTCACCGCATCACCCCACCTCACCACATGAAGGGATGCTTGGGCGGGGTGGAAAAGAAAGTTTGAGGGAAATGCTACCCTTGGAAGCCGGTGTCTGGGTGAGATGCCTGCATTATTCCTTTTTAATGCTGGGTTGCAAACTACACCGAGTGTTTTATTTCAATCCACACTGAAGCATATTTCAGGGCAAATTTCCTATTGCCTGTCACAGCTCAGGGGAAAAATGAATGCACATTTCCCCAGCTCCATTAACTAGGGAAACAGGCTCACATTGCTAGAAGGCATGTTTCCTGCAAGCAAGGCGAGGGAATGAGATCATCCGGACACAGTCTCAGAGGCTCTGGGGCATGGGGGTGTGCAGATGCAGGAGCTCTCACCCTCTACACTCCTGGGGAGGAGTGCTCCTGCCAGGAAACCCCCAGGGTAGGGGCAAGCACATCCACCAGAGAGAGGGTCCGCCCGGGAGGACATGACCCTGGGCCCCTAATATGGTTTGGATATCTGTCCCACTCAAATTTAATGTTGAAATGTAACCCCCAATGTTGGAGATGTGGCCTGGCGGGAGGTGTTTGGGTTGTTTGGGTTACCCTGTGGGGGTCCCCCTTCGCCTTCTGCCATGATTGGAAGCTTTCTGAGGCCCTCGCCAGAAACTGATGCTGTCCCCATGCTTTCTGTACAGCCTGCAGAACCGTGAACCAAGGAAACCTCTTTTCTTATAAATTACCCAGCCGCAGATATTTCCTTATAACAACATAAGAATGGCCTAACACAACCCTGTTAACACTTTGGTCCAGGAGTCCTTGCTGTCACCTTCTTGCCTCAGTCTGCCTTCATGTCATCTCTATCTTGTCTTAACCTCAGACAGACAGACAGATAAGGTCTCAAGGAAAGCATTCAGCTCACAGCTTCTCTCTTTCCTTCTTGAAGGTGGATCCCTAATGCCTATGTCCCACTGGCCTGAGAAAGAAGTGGCATGATAATGGGGGGTGGGGGAGCTTCCCACTCTCAGGTCCTCCTGAGGGGCCAAGGACAAGTCCTCCTGGTCATCCTGAAACCCATTCCCTGCACCTCTAGGCCTGGACAGACAACAGCTACTGCTCTGACCAGTTCCCACCCTCTGTCATTCCTACGTCATTGTCCCAAACAGGCCCCTGATGCTAGCTCTCTGCCTCTTCCAAATCATTTTTCATACCCTGCCAAAGGCACGCCCCTCTGCCAGTGTTTGCTTTCCTCTCTAGCTCTTCAAAGCCCACCAAAGGGCTTCACACTTCTGAGTCCTCATTCTTGTGATTCCTTCTGCTTGAAACATGTTCTTCCCTTTGTGCATCTGGAAAATGCCTACTCTTTCTTCAAGCACCAACTCAAGCTCCTGCTCTGTGAAGTCTTCTCTGATTCCCTTGGGCGGACCTGACAGCTCCCCATGCTGAGCTGCAGCCTGACAATCTATATTCACTTACCCTTCTGTATTCAAATGACCTGTTGACGTGCTTGGACTGTGAGTTTGTGAAGGGAAAGGGCTGTGTCTTAAGCATCTTTATATCACCACGGCTTAGCAAAGCACCTGCCCTCCCAGTGTGTACTCCACCAAATGTTTGCTAAATGAATGGCTGAATTCTCACAGGCGCCACTGAGGTGTGTGTCCAGTTCAAGTGCCCTCCCCTCTGAGTCCCCTCCCCCTACGACCCAGCCCCTGGTTTTCTTATCACCCTTGAACTCCAAAAGCCCGTCTTGGGTAAGCTGGCCCCACCTGGCCCTAAGTGCTCCATCCCTGTGACAGGTTTGTGCTGCTCTCTCCTGACATTGTCTTCATCTCTACGTGAGTTACTCTCACTCTCTATCATGTTGCTCAGAGACAGAGCAGAGCCTTGACTCCACGGGGCCACTCTCTTCCTCCCCGCAGAACCTAGCTCTGGGTGGGGTGTGTGATCGACCTTCAGCTGAGCGTGACAACTGCGTGTCTGTCAGACAGAAGAGGCACCTCTGCGGAAGAGGGCCTCCCCTTGACCAGACGCCAGGGAGAAAGAGCCTTATACAGAAGTTACAATGAGCTGAGGTTGCGCCATTGTACTCCAGCCTGGGCAACAAGAGTGAAACTCCATCTCAAAAAAAAAAAAAAAAAAGAAAAGAAAGAAAAAGAAAGAGCTTTATAAATGGTGCAGCCAACAGCATATGCGGCTCAGACCGGGGGGATCAAGGATTCTGCAAAAAAAAGCCTTGCTTTTGTTTAAGAATAGATCCTCTGTTAATTTTTCCCTTTGGGAATCTGTGACATAAAAGCCACCCTTTTTCTCCTCCTGTCTCTTCCTATCTGCCAAGTTCTTTGTACCTAACACTGAACTGAAGCTGAAATAAGCAAGGGAAAAAAAATGTCTTTTCACAATGTCATCACAACTCTGAGGACACATTAACGGGATGGAGGCGGTGCCCTGGATGACAGCATGGGCCTGTGTCATGCTGCAGCCCATCTGGTCAGCGCAGCCCCTCCTGTAGCATAGGAAGAGAGCAGAGACCCCATTTGTGAGCAAAAGCCTGGCTCTCTGGTCACTGACACCCCCCCATACCCAGGGGCTAGCTTTCAGGACAGGACCCAAAATGCTTTAACACTCTACTCTGCAATGTGAACTCTGGCACATCCCTTTACTTTCTGAGTCTCAGCTTCCTCATCTGCAAAATGTGACCTCCCATAGTGGCTCCGTCTTTCTCCTCCAGCCCAGAAGTGTGAAATGAGAGGATATGGGGAAAGCTCACTAAGGTTTTTATTCATTCCTTAGCAGTGATGGCCCTGTCGTTATGCTCTGTCCTGCCCCCGTGGGCGGCACAGTCGAGGGTCTGGAACAGGCTGGGACTGCATAAGGCAGGGGACAGCAGCAGGTCCTCCCTGTTCCCCCTGCAAGGATACTCCGATTCGGTCCCCTGGACAGCAACCAGGTATCAAGTGGAGAAATGTGTCAAGTTGGAGATGAGAGATAGCTACAGAGGGATTTGGCTCTAAACCCAAAATCCTGAATTGCATTTTCCTCTCTGTTAAGCAAGCATTACTCATCCATCACCCACGCCTGCGATTTTACATGAGACCTTGAAGAGAGAGATCTGCAGCCCAAGGAACAAGAGGACACATTCGTTTGCAGCAAGAAGGTCTCCGACTAGAGAGCAGGAAGAACTTCCTGATGGTGGAAGGAGCTTGTGAAATGCTGAAAGGGATGGTTGAGGGCACTGGCCCATCCACGGGGTCTTTTAGAACTGGTGAGCATGGTCTGAGTTGAGTTTTCATTCTTAAAGTAGAGATGTCCCCGGGTGGCCTCCTCACCCAGCCTCGGATGGTGACGGGAGTCACAAAGACAGTGTGGTGGGGGAAAGATCCAAATGGGGAGTCAGGACATGGTGTTCTAGATGTGGCCTGCAGCTCCAGGAAGGTTAACGGCTCACGGAGCAGCTCCAACGGGCCAGCCTCAGCAAGGGAGGGAACTTTCAACCCCCTTGTGGAGCCCGCCCCCAGACTGAATCTCCTGAGACCCCTGAATTACTGGATCTGATCTATAAGGGAAGGGATCGCTCTCCTCCCTGCTGAGCTGTGATCAGGAAAGGCAGGGGCTGGTGTGGCTGGACCACTCTTAGCCCCCTACTCCCTAAGGAAGGGAAGGAGATTAGCACATACCCCTGAGCATACATATTGAGCCCACCACCTCACATGTGCAATGATAAGCCTCAGATCCTCCCTCAACACAAACACGTGTGCACACGTGTGCATACACACACAGATATTCCCATAACCCATCCCCCATCAGGGACCAGCCAGCTCTCTCAAGCACATGGATGCTGGTGGCTGTAATTCTATCCTGGGATCCCAATAACATAATTCCTGCAGAGTCAGTGGGGAAAGTGAGGAGGGGATGAGGTGAGCATGGAGTGGGGAGAAGAGACCAAGGGACTATCTTGGCAAACAGCTCTGTGGAGTGGCCTTGTGGGAGGAGTCCGGCTCCACAACTCACTAGCCGTGTGACCTCAGGCAAGTCATTTAATCCCTCTGAGCACCCCTTCCTCATCTGCATACTAAGGTTGTTCTACAGAGTTATTTTGAGTGTCCAGGGGGCAGGGAACACTGTGGGGGAGCAGGGTTTAACTCATTCTCTGTCCAGCATCAGCATCCTCCTGATCCTCTCAGACATCCCAGGGCTGCAGGCTGCTCCTTTACCACTAGTGATTCCTCCTGGTAGTTCCCCAACATTCTGAATGTTGGGCAGTGTAGACACCCCCACAAGGTAGGTAAGTCAGGTCCCGGAATTAAGGGCCTTTCCCCCTCCCCTGTAAAGTACTTCCCCCGGAAGTGCCCCCCTATCACCCCACAGCTCTGAGTCAGGGAAATCCAGGAGTCCTACACCTACCAGGAGGGCAGCATGAAACATCTGATTACACAAACCTGCCACAGTCCCTGCTGAATATTTCATACAGGAGCAATGATCCATTAGTCACCATCAATTATTCATCTCTGTCAGGGCCAGAGCTGGGGACGCAGCAACGGAACAGCTGGAACTGAGACCTACACCCACTCTGCCTCCACTCCCCCTGAAGGCAACCAACAATCTCTCCTACACCCCACCCACCCACGGTCCTACTGAGCGCCCACCTCTGAAAAGTGTATGCAGTCATCAGATGGATACTGCCCCACTGAACAGATGCCCAGCAAGTCACAGGCCAAGCTGAGCCTGGGACATAGGAACCTCACAATGAAGATTTCCAAGAAAAGAGAAATAGACACGCTCTCTTTATCAAGTTTGACAAGCATGCATGGCAGCAGGTTGATGTAGCAGAGGTGGCTGGGCAAAAAGTACTGGGCTGCATGTTCCTGAGAAAGACACCCACTGCTAGCCCTGCTCCAGCGCCATTCTAGAGGTCTCCTTTCTTCACAAGAGGTTACAGATACATGGATTCTCAGAGCCAAAGGGAAAAGAGCCTCAAGCCCAAGCCATCAGTGCTGCATGAGTCCCTCCAGTAATCTAACAGTTTAATGGTCCCTGGCCTCTGCTGAGACATGCTCAAGGACAAGGTGGTCACATCTCCTGCGGCAAGCCACCAAGTCTCTGGACGGTTCTAATTCTTCAATATTCATTCGACAACTATTTACTGAGTATCTTCCAAGTGCTAGGCACTGAATAAGGCACTGGGTTTACAACTAAAACAGACTAAGTTCTTGCTCTATTAGAATTGTCTTCCTAAGAGTGAAGGAAAACAATTCTAATAGTCTCTGTGTAACTTGTGCTTCCTTGACCTAGAAGATAAGATCCTCTCTAAGACCCAAAGCCTTGGGCTCACTGCAGTAAGACTAAGTTCCAGGGTCTTGTGCCCTGGAACTGCTCCCGTATCTGGGCAATGCTTTTCAGGTCCAGACTTGACCACGGATACTCCTGGTATTTGAGGTTTAAGCCTCCAGTTCTCGTCCTACTCACACATGCACACAACAGTCTTCTCTGCTAAGCAAGAGTCTGCCTCCACTTCGTCCAGACCCCTCCGCCCCCTAAGAAATGGTCACTTGGCATCTCTGAAGGGAGCTTAAAAGCAGGAGCTTCTTTCTGAAAGGGGAGATAGGCGGTAACCTAAATATTGCCTGAAATTTCCCCTTTTGTGTTCGGCAGGTTGTGGAGGGTTCCAAGTGATCCCACTCAGTATACAGAGCCTGGGCTAGCTTTCCCATGACCAAAGGGATGACAGTTACACCTTCTGCTCCAGGCTAAGTGCCCTGGGCCAGAAAACAAGGAGGGCTTGAATTCTCAGTTGGTGAGAGGCATGGTGAAGACATGTAGATTGGCCAGGCACGGTAGCTCACACCTGTAATCCCAGCACTTTGGGATGCCAAAGTAGGAGGATTGCTTGAGCCCAGGAGTTTAAGACCAGACCTGGGCAACACAGTGAGAGCCCGTCTCTATAAAACACTTAAAAAACTAGCCACATGCAGTGGTGTGCACCTGCAGTTCCAGCTACCTGGGAGGCTGAGGCAGGAGGATCACTTGAGCCCAGGAGGTCGAGGTTGCAGTGAGCTGAAATCATGCCACTGTACTCCAGCCTGAGCAATAGAGAAAGACCCTGTCTCAAAAAGGGAGGGAGCGAGAGGGGGAGGGAGCGAGGGGGAGAGGGAGAGGGAGAGGGAGAGGGAGAGGGAGAGGGAGAGGGGGGGAGAGAGAGAGAGAGAGAGAGAGAGAGAGAGAGAGAGAGAGAGAGAGAGAGATGGGAGAGGGTGGGAAGAAAAGGAGCTGGAGAATAGAGGAGAGTTCCCTCCTCCCTGCAGGTTTCCTGGAGCCTGGAAGCAGAGGATGACCCTATTCAGATGAATCAAGAGGCCAGAAATGTGGTGCAGCCCTGCTACAGGCATACAAGGACACAGCTACCGTCTGGCACTCTATTCTCTCTCCCACCATCAAAGCACCCCCAGCCCTCATAGCTCTGGAGAGCTGCCAGTCTCTGCCCAGCACTCCACTCACATCTGGCTCCACACCACTCTATCCAGCCATGCTTCCTCCTCCCACTGCAGGCTGTTCCCACTGCAGCCCAGCTCTCCTACTGAAGTGGTGTCACTGCGACAGAGGGAGGGAGGGAGAGCCCAGATCTGGTACCCTGCTCTGACCTGACATAGAGAAGCCTTGGCTCTCCCCTCTAACCCCTATGTAGCTTGCTCCCCTCCAGGCGTGCTTATTCAACTCCAGCCTCATTTGGAGGCCCTATCCCCAGCTAAGCTCACATGCCCACTACCTGCCACAAAAACCTACCTAGCCCACCAAGAAAGGCTGCATTTTGCCTATGGGTGGGGCAGGCAATGAGGTATCTGGGATAATAAATATTACAGGGAAGAGTCCCCTGCTCTAAACATTTCAACAAGCTGGAGAAAGATGCAAGGCGCTGACTTTGGGAGAACATTGCCAGATTGCAGGACCTGAGGTCATGGCTTTCTATCACCTACAGGTTAAACTGGCCCCACTCTAACTCAGGCCTTGCATGTTAAGATTACTTTTAAAGACTTTCTGGAAAAGGCAATCATGGACACTCAGGCTCAGAGTGTGATTGAGCTTGGAGCTCATCCTCCTCATTTTACAGATGAAAAAGTGGGGCCCGTAAAGAGGAGGTGGCTTGGCTAAGATGTTACAGTCAGTAAAGGGCAGAAACAATGTTATACAACACTAGTTTTCTCCTCAGCCAGCTTCTACCTCCAAAATTGGAAAGTTAGGGCTGGGGGCAGTGGCTCACACCTGTAATCCCAGCACTTTGGGAGACCGAGGTGGGAAGATGGCTTGAGCCCAGGAGTTCAAGACCAGCCTGGGCAACATAGTGAGACTTTATCTCTACAAAAAAAAGTTTTAAAAATATTATTGAAAAAGAAAGAGGAGGTTAATAAGGCAGGAGAAGGAGGGGGAGGAAGTTAATAGGACTCAGCTTAAAATTTTTTAAAAATTTCAATAGGTTTTGGGGGAACAGATGGTGTTTGGTTACATGAATAAGTTCTTCAGTGGTGATTACTGAGATATTGATGCATCCATCACCCGAGCACTCAGCTTTTGACCCTACTGTCTGTGAGCAGAGGAGGGCAGCACTGAGCTCTGTCCATGGTGCTGAACCTCCCCATCTGGAGAAGCCATGGCTTGCATTTCTAAATACTGTTGGGGTTTCCAGAATTGCAAGGGTGCTACGGAGGATTCAGGGGCAAATTGATGACACAATCCAAGAGGCCATTTAAGTGAAGGTGGCAGAGACTAATTCCAAAGAGATAAATAGGCAGACCATATTTCAAGACAGATACCCTTCAAGACCATGGGGAAGGGTACAGTGCACAGTTCAAACCTCTCATTTCTACTCATCGCCTGCATCTGGGCATGACCACCTGACCCTACAATACTGAGATACAAGTCCTTTCAGAGAAGCTGAGTATGAGAAAACAGCATGACTTATACTGATGACTGAAACAGCCAAAGGGGAAACTTTCTAAGAAGGAAGCCACTGGAAGGGCAAGAAAAATTTGGAGCATGTGTAACAGGATTTGGGGCGATTTAGATAGGTCCTGCCAAGAGGCTGGAGGTTTGGAATAAAGATCTTTCAAGGTCATACCTCCAAAGTCCAGGATCATGACTGTGACCCTCCTGTGGGTCCCTGGAGTCAAGTTTGGGACAGTATCAAAAAAAAGATGCACTGTCCATTCCTCCTCTTGTTGCTGAGATTGTGTTAGTCCATTTTTGCATTGCTACAAAGAAATACCTGAGGCTGGTAAGTTATATTTTTAAAAGATGTTTAATTGGCTCATGGTGCTTCAGGCTGTATAGGAAGCATTGCACCAGCATCTGCTTCTGGGAGGACTTCAGAAAGCCTACAATCATGGTGAAAGGTGGAAAGGCAAGCAGGCACATCACATGGCAAGAGCCAGAGCAAGGTCGGGGGGTGGTGCCACACACTTTTAAACATCCAGATCTCTCATGAACTCAGAGCAAGAACTCACTCATTACCACGAGGAGGACACCAAGCCATTCATGAGGGATCTGACCCCATTACCCAAACACCTCCCACCCGGCCCCACTTCCAACACTGGGGATCACATTTCAACAAGTGATTTGGAGGGGATGAACATCCAAGCCATATCAGAGTTTTATGCATTTTCTAGCATAAATCCTTAGATGCCCCTGGGATACATGTGTAATGGTATCAGATTTGTGTTAGAAAAAAGGAGCTGAGTCTATCCTGAGCCCCAGACTGGCATTCCTGCTGAAAGAATCTAGAAGCTGCATTCTTCACAAGGCTTGGACTCTTCTTTTTCCCTTCAATATTGAGGGTGGATGACTGTGGCTTGCTGGCAGGGCAAATGTTCAGCATGTGTAAACAGACCACATACAAAGAGGCTGTTTTAGTAGGCGATGCACAGAATCCTGAATTTAAGTGGGCAGCCTGCCCACGTGGTGAGGGACACCTGCCTGCCCTATTGCAGGCTTGACTATCATAACTTAAGTCTCCTGAGGCTGAATTTACACACACACACACACACACACAAAGCCACACACCATCCCTAACTACAGCAATAACATTACGGCACTGATAAAGGAAGGGGTTCCGCCCTGCTAAGCCCTATTATGTCCAGCATTATTCACCACCACCTCCTCGTCCTTTCCCTCCTCCTTCTCCTCTTCCTTCTTCTCTTTGTTCCTCTTTTTCCTCTTCTTCCCCTTCTTATTCCTCCCTCTACCCCTCTCCTCTCCCTCCTCCTCCTCCTTCTCTCCCCTCCGACACTTTAATATATTTATATAAGTTGACTGGTTGACAACTGTGCATACATTCTTCTCTCCAACATGTCTATACCCACACTCATATAAACCTTTGGCTGGAAGGAATCATGATAGTCAATTTACCTTTTCTCAATATCTATCCTATCCCAGACCAGTCTTCTCTGCGGAAGGTCTCACCCCCTGCTTGGTCTTTTGTTACAATATCTAACCATATTTAGTGTTTGAAAATTCCTCCTCATATCTACCTAAAATCCTTCATGTTATAGGTTAATCCCATGCCTTTGTGACCTTATGAACCATTTTTTGAAGGTGTAGAGCACCTTCCTCAGTAGAAGTGGAAAGCAAGTTGTCATTGGACCTTTTGTAATCTGCAGACAGACACAAGCATTAATGCAATACACCCCTGCTCACACACACAGGGAGACCTGTGACCCCTGGTAACAACAAAAAGTCTAAGGACACAAAGAACCCTTGGGAGGGCATCTGACCCATCACCTTGATCTAGAGATATAACTGCCTCAGGGCCTCCTGAAGAAAAGGCTTCATGGCAGCCCAATCCCACAACTTCAAGGAACCCATCTCCAGCCCTTGTTTCTAGGTCTGAAACATGAAACTCCCTGGCCTCCCTTACCCTCCAAACCCAGCCTCCCCGGCTCCCGCAGTGTCAGCAACTAATACACTTCTCAGAGCCATATTTATATTATGGCAGGACAAGAGAGCAAAGGTGTAATTGAACTCGATTTGATTGAGTGTGACAACTGCACAGTTAGCCACAAGTGTCATTGAGAGATGTGAATTGGGGATAGTTTATGGTCAAAAATTCATTTCCAAGGGGACCTGGCATCTTCCTCTCACAGACATCCAGACAGCACTGACATCAGTGGCAACGTGAGGAGAAGAGATTCATGGACTTGTCTGAGGAAGAGACCTTGTAAGGTCATCTATCGCCCCTGCCTCCATGCAAAACATCTCCCACTGAAAGGCTCTTTCTCTGCCTTTCTGAAACATTTATATGACACTCTCCCTTACACCTCTTTAATCACCTGCCAGTTGTCTCAGTGCTATAAGCAAGTGCATCTGCCATGTGCACTCCTCCATTTGTGATACCACGGTCCCGACTCTGGGCTTGTTCTTCTCCTCCCTCCTGCTCTCTGGAGTTAGTGGACTTTTCAGCCCTGTTTCTAAATTCCTTTCTCAGTCTCCAGTGGAAAAACTATAGTTTGCCTTTGGAAACGTCTAATGTTTTTCTGAGACTCTGGGAAGGGACTTCAGGGATTTTTCTAGTCAAATCTCCTCATTTTACAAAGGATGGAACACAGAAAAGAGAGAAAGTGACAAGTTCACGGTCACCTGGGGAACTAGAGGCAGAGCCAGAAATTCCAGTCCCCTTTACAACCCAAATCGTGCCTCCCAGCTCAGAACTCTTCCTATTGACCCTTCCAGGGGTGGTGTAACATATGTACCAGGTGCACACACCCCTGGCAGTGCCAGAGAGTGGATCTGACACCCCATGAAAAGACCCAGGATGCCTATGGTGGCTGCCTACAGAGCCCAGACATCATGGTGGCCATGCACGCATCATGTTCCCCACCCTGCTAAGCCCCCATTATAAACACTCAAAGTATTAAGCACTTTTTACTTCATTCCAATGATCATAATTGTAATTAAATAATTGTAATTAAATAAACAATCGCATGATTATTTTAATGTCTTGCTTCCCTCTGCCTGTAAGAGGCATGAGGGCAGGAACTGTCTGTTCCGTCTTCATCACAGTTGCACAGAGAGCTTGCTCCACGAATGTGTTCCTTGGATAAATGAATGAATGACTGAGTGGGAGCCTAGGGAAGTGTGGCCTGAGGCACATGGGAGCCTGACCAGTGTCACACAGATGAAAAGCTGCAAGGCCAGGGGTCCCAGCTTCTAGTCCTGGCCCCAACACTGAGGAGTGAGTAGACGTAATATCATGAATTTTCCTTCTCTACAGAACTTTGGACAAAAAAAGGCATCTTAGCACTATGGAATGTATTTGAAGCAGGGGGATCAGGTGAGCTCTTCGCATTGGTGCAAGGATTTAATGAGTCTATCTGCCTTCATCCATACCTTTCCTCCCCATCACCTCTCCCCCACCACCTCTGTCATTAGGACAGTGACCTAAGTCCCAAGCTTTGGTCCCAGACACATGGTCTCATTCACCTTCCTACCAAGCCCCCATTTCTGAGGACAACAGCCCCTATCAATGCTGCCTCCAGTAAGTGTTCCACTAACGGCCGCAGCTGAGCAAGCTTCACTGAGAGCATTAGCTCCTAACGGCAGATGGCAGCTGCCACAGGGTCTGGAAAGGCAGCAATGGTTGGGGAAGCCACAGGTCCAAAGTCTGCAAGAAAACCACATAACTACAAGGCACCAAGCCAGAACCCAGCCCAGGATCTCACATGGAGCAGTCCTGAGCCCAGCCGGTAAGTGGCGTGTGGACCAGGAGAGGGGGCCAGCGTCACCTGAGCAGTCTCCTTCCAGCTGGAGATAAGGCCTCAGGTTCAATTTCATCCCCACTTTCCAAGGAATGTGAGAGGGAGGCACCTCTGCCCATGGGCAACCTGCCAAGAGCCATGTGTGTGGCCTGTTTGCATCGGTACACGAACTTGTGTAAAGTTGTGAGTCTTCCCTACTCTGAGCCGAATGTCCTGACTTGCTGCGAACCTCACGCAAGAAGGAAATGCTCTCTGAAAGTAGGGCAATGGCCAAGACCCAGAAGGGGCTGTTTGAGGAATCTGTCCAGTTTATTTGGGAGAAGAAAACAGCCAGAGCCTTGTATCCCAGGACTCAGGGTCCCAGGGGTCTCGATCTGCTTTAGGTGTCCTCACCACTGACACACACAGACACACACAGCAACTATGTGTGCTGATGAGTGTGCTGATTAATTTGATTGTAATAATCACCATATAAGGTATATGTATGTCAGATCATTACATTGTGCATCTTGAATGTATACCATTTTTATTTGTCAATTACACCTCAATAGAGCTGGAAAAAATAAAATGTTAAATTTATAAAAAGAAAACCCTACCCTAGGAAGACTGCTCCAGTCTGCCTCCAAGCACTTCCACACTCACTATTGATTTCTTCCTTGCTGATAGCTGCCAGGCCCAGGGTCTGTCTGCAACACAGCTCCTTGGTACGGACAGGAGGAGCCAGAGGGAAAGAAAACACAGCAGGGGATGCGGGGAGGGTGAAGGATCAGGGATCCGGTTCCTGCGTTAGCTGGATGACCTCCACAGGGCAGCGTCCAGGGTCTCACCACCCCCCCAAGGAAAGTTCACTCTGCTCAAGTGACCCCTCTCACCACAGGGAATACTCTCCCTTTCATCTTTTACCATGTCTAGGTCTTTCCCCATGCCTGGTCTAAAATGGGTGCTAGAAGCAGCCCCTACAGAGAGGTACCTGGACAGCAGTACAGTCAAGGTTGGCCAAGCTGGAGAAGGAGCCACGTGCCAGGGCAATCAATTACCCAGCCCTGTGCCCGCTGAAGAGCAGAGAGACGTGTGCTCCCCATTATGCCAGGTATGCCTGGGTAGACATCTGACCTCGTCTGAAGGCGGTTCCTCCACCATCCTGCAGAGCCTCCCCGCCCTCCGCTTCACTCATCCTCCCAGGAAGAACTGACCACATTCTCTCAGTGCCAGAGCCACAAAAGCCACAGAAGGGACATGAAGACTGCCTGGCCTTCCTGTGAAAAGAGCAGTCATCCTTGGAGGTTGGAGTGCTAAATGGTAACTACAGCAGGCAGTTGTCTAGGCAGACAGTCCAGACTCTCCATCCAGCTCTCAGCTTTTCTCTGTGGCCTCTGAACTATGTACACCGACCCCCAGACTCACCAGGCAGAACAGGAAGGGTGGATAGGAATAGGAAATAGGCACTCAGTACAGCAAGAAGAATGTGGCTAGACACAAGAAAGAACTTCCTCACTCTTAGGGGTCACCAGGGTTAAGGACTGATTTTACTTCCTAGAGATTGTACTTTCCAGCAGACAACTCTTAGAGGGCCTGCTCAATGAGGAGCTTTAGGTCCCCTACAAAAGACAGGCCAAGGGAAGCACTTCAGGTCCCCCATTTGTGGAGGATTTCAGTTCTGAGGGGGCTGGGATCTAGGTTTCCTCTGCATCCAGAGCTGTGTGGATAGAACCAGTAACCAAACTGTCTTTTTTTTTTTTTTTTTTTTTTTGAGACACAGGGTCTTGCTCTGTTGCCCAGGCTGGAATGCAGTGCAGTGGTATGATCTTGGCTCACTGCAGCCTCAACTTCCTGGGCTCAAGAGATCCTCTTACCTCAGCCTCCCATGTAGCTGGGAATACAAGCATGCCACCACGTCCAGCTAATTTTTTTTATTATTTGTAGAGATGGGGTCTCGCTATGTTGCCCAGACTGGTCTTGAACTCCTGGGCTCAAGTGATCCTCCTGCATTGGCCTCTCAGAGTGCTGGGATTACAGGTGCGAGCCACTGCACCCAGCCTCCAGTGCCCAAATTGGACTGGCACAACCAGCTCTAGAGAGAGTCCCACAAACACCAGCCTGCGGCAGGGCATTTGTCCATGGTCCCCAAACAGTGGACCACCTGACTCCCTTCTCTGCAGTGTGCAGCATGAGCAGGGTGTGGCACTGGGACAGACAAACTTGAATCTGGATGTTATTCTGCCACCCAATAGCAGTGTCACCTTGAGGACATTTATTTACCTTTCTGGGACTATTTTTCTCTGTAAATAGGGGTAATAGATCATGTACTCTAAAACTGGATTGTAGTGATAGCTGTATAATGTTGTAAATTTACTAAAAATCACTGAACTGTACACTTAAACCAGGTGAATATTATGATCTATAAATTATACTTCAATAAAGCTCAGGCTTGTTATAAAGAAAAAATGACAGAATATACAGGGAGCTTTTTTATCCAGTGTATGAACATTTGCTGAGGTCCTGCTGCACAGGCACTGGGCTCTACCGGCTGAGAGGCTCCATCCAGCATGGTCTCGTATGTCGGTTTTCCCTTGATCACCGTTGAGTTGATTGCTTGCCATGTATTCTTTGAGAAGTCACATTCCCTCTCTGGGCCTTGTCTTTAAAATAAAGAGCTGGACTACAAAGTTTTGAAATCTTTGGGAAGCCTCAAACCCCTTCCTTTAAACAGAAGCTTAAGAGAATTCCAGTATAAGAACCTCAATAGGCAAGGCAGATAAACGCAGGGTTGCTCTGGTGAAGGTAGGGGTTGGGACAGTCAAGGGGGACTCTCCCTAGACACCCCTCTCTCCCAACTCCAAGAAAAGCTCCCCTCTCCAGGCAGCCCTGGAGGGAGCCTCATCCCCAGAGGCCACCTGGAAGCCAGGGGCTAGGTGCTCCCTGGGCTCCCTCCACCCCGTGCAGCTCTGGACTTTTCTGTTCCATGCAGCCTGCCCAGCAAGGCTGCCAGGCTGACTCTGGACTTCTGAGATACAGAGAATGCCCCCAGGTTCTGCCCTGTGACACGAAGCCCCGCACTCTAGGGGAGCATGAGGTCCTTACTAAGCATTCACTGTGTGCCCGGCTCTGGGCTGGGCTTCACCTAGGACAGCAGTTCTCAAACCTTTTGGTTCTAAGACCCGTTTATTGAGGACCCTCCAAGAGCGTTTTCTTATGTAAGTTAGATCCATCCATAGTTACCATATTCAAAATTAAAACTGAGAAATTTCTAAATTAGCTCAAAATACAATAGTAACTCATTACCTGTTAATACAACATATTTAATAAGTAACTATATTTTCCAAGACCAAAAAAATATATAGTAGACGTTTTCTCTAGTAAAATATCTAGTAAGAAGGAGGCCTTGTTTCACATCATTGCAAATCTCTTTAATGTGTGGTTTACTAGAAGGTAGCTAGAGTTTTATATCAACTTCGGTGTTCGGTCTGTCTGCAATACATTACTTTGATTGAAAGATGAAAGAAAATCCAACCTCACTCAGATATGTAACTGGAAAGGGGAGGGGTATTTAATAAAGCCTTTTCAGATCATTGTGGATATTTTTCTTTGATATGACATCACTGCTCCCCAAGTGGTAGCTTCTTAAAGACTGGCTGCAGTGGGGAATCTGAAACCTTGCACTTGGAATGCTTGTTTGCCTCTGTGCATGATTTTGTGACATCATTCATTTATCATTTCGAAGATATTGGCTTGCCGAATTGTGAAGATCTTTCAAATATTGATGAATTTCATTAAACAATATTAACAAATCACATCTATTACTATTCCCACTGATCTTATCACAAAAGTCCTTTTCATAGTAATATGTGTGAGTTTTCCAAAATTCTAATTTTTGCTTGAAAGCTTAAATTTTATCATTGGCCACAAATACTGCCAGTTGTTTTTCTGGAAGTGACGAGCTCACTTCGTTCATTTTTGCAAAAATGCCTGCTCAACACCCAAGTCTGAATAACTGGAGTTTGTTGGTTGTTCTTTCAGATAAAATGGTATCCCATGGAAAAATGGCTAGTTCAGCCTGCAACTCAAACAGATGCACAGGTGATGGGCACTGTTCAGTTGCTTGAGAAATTATTGTGTAATATTTCTGTAAGAAGCAGAAGTGCTTTATGTGTACTTCTCATTCCATCACAGAGAATATTAAAAAGATGTGCACTCCAGAATCAAGCTTCAATATAATTATAATCTTTGCTGCTTCATGAAAAGAAGACATTCTTAACTGAAAATGGCATTTCATTATTTACCAATTACTTTGCTTAGCGGGTGTGTAGTGTGGAAGAACACAAAGACGGGTGCAGTGTGATACTATTACCTTGATTCATGGTAAGGTGCCAGCAGCTTCACCCACCACTGCTTTAGCACCATCAATGTCAAGCATGGGAATGGCAAATAACTTTATTGCCATCATGGAAACTGCTTTGACCTTATGGACCCCCCTGAAAATTCTTAGGGACTCCCAGGGACCCGTGGCCCCCATCTTGATTACTGCTATAAGGTAAACTTCACAAGGGCCTGTTCCCTGTGTGTTACTGTCTCCATTTTCAGATGAGGACCCCGAAGTTCAGAAAGTTTAAGTAACTTGCCCAGGGTCACACAGGCAGGAAGTGGCAGTCTTGGTTTGACCTAGGCCATCTGACTCCCAGCCACACACACGCTGCTTCAGTTATGCCCTACAGAACATGCTGTGGGGGCCTCTCCTCTGCCCCTTCCCCATTGCCTCACCTCCTGAGGTCTTTGGGGCTCACGATCTACTCCAGGGGAGGCACGAAGACACCTCCAGGTTTGCAGTGGTGAGGACCTGGGCTTCTATTACTGTCTGCCCCAGGGCACCCCTGCCACCCTCTACCAGTAGGAGACCTAATGGGGGTGGAGCACGCCTCCCTGGGAAGCCTCAGACGTCTGGGGCTGGCTTGCCAATGGCAGGCTCAGTTCTTGATGCTTCCCTGCCTCCTGCAGCTGCAGCAGCAGCAACCAGCACAGTTCCCAGCATCAAAGAGCTAATCCAATTTCTCAGCTGTGCTTCCCCCTTCGCCTCCTGCAATGCCAGGATTGATTTGGAAACAGGGCAGCCTTATTAAAGTGATGCCTTTTCCTACTCGTGGGAGAGTCAAACTGGGAGAGGGAGCCCTCCCACAGCCAATTAACTCCATGCTTCCCGCTAACACTGATCCTAGCCACAGCCACCCTTGAGTTTCCTGGGGTTTACCTGTAACTCTTCTTAGCTCCTAGTGGTGAGGATGGATTTCAGTCCTAGGTCTGCTTCCCTCCAAGACCCAAGAGCACTTAACCAATAGGTTCTTGTTCATCCTTCCTGCACTTCTAGAGGGTTGCCTGGGTGGTCCCCTCTCCTCCTGCTTGCAGGCCTCCACCCCGTCTCCTAACATCCCATCTTAGGCCCTATGACCGGGCCGTCACTTGGTCCATCTGAGTTGGTACAATGAAAGATACATGGCAGACAGCCCCAAGAGGGATAGAGGTAAAGACCTGTACATTTGTTAAATGGGCTTTTCTCCAAATAAACACAGGAGGCAGAAGACAAGGACAGTCCTCAGAGACCTCTACCACCCTCAGCCCAAGCCCCTCTCCAGGCCCCCCTCCTTGCGGCCTCACAGCTCTCCTCTAATCTAGGGAGTTAAGGTGTAGCAGAAGCAGAGAAGGCCCCGCTCCAGAAAATGCTTCCTTTCTACAAATAGCATAAAAACTGCTTCCCGAGTCACTTTGTAGAAGAGGAAGGACATGCACAACACATCTGGATCATTAGTTCAGACTGGAATCAATGGTGAGGAAAAGAGATTTCTCTCAAACCACCCAGCCCTTAGGGAGCAGAGGTTCTCTGGGAAGGTCTTTGGAGCTCAGAGCACTGGCTGACCTTGGGGAAGGCATTTCTGGTCTGGAAAGGAAAAAATGAGCACCACCTCTTTGACGCTACCACCCTCCCACCCCCGGCCACCGCTCCCCTCCCTCCGCCGCCCATACACATGGCCCTACCCAGCTCAGCCCTGCAATACCACAAATGCCTCATTTGACTTCAGAGGAAAATGGAGCTAAGAGTAGGAGTGAGGAAGGGAGTAAAAAGAAGGGCGGGGGAAGGAACAAGTGGGGAGGGAGAGATGAAGGTACAAGGTACCCTCTCCTGTCTCTCACATGCACACTACTGCAGGTGGTTACAACTCTTTTCTGTTTCTCCACAGCTGAGCAGGAAACTGGGAGAAGAGCCCTTCTCCCCTGCAGCCTCTCCCTCTTGGCCTCCATCACCACTCTCCTAACCCCTGCCAAGCCCTGCATCTGATCCTACCTGAGCTAAAGAAGCAGAAGGTCCGGAGGGAGCCTGTGATTTTTGCCTCGGTCACCTCTTACAAATGCGGTGGGCTGCTGGGCTCGCCCTAACCCTGCATCACCCCCAGGCTGCTCCTTCAGTCTACTCGGGTATGGAAAGGGTTAAGCTCCTCCCATCCCCTCCTTCCTTCATCCCATTTCTCCATTCACTTCTATTTTCCCATATGCCTAGTGCCAAGCTCACAGTTACAACCACTTACACCCTGTATTAAGATGCATGGAATAGTAATGGGTAAATTCCGTCTCTAATTGCAATATTTCCTAATTACTAAATTCCAGAGCCACTGTATCAACCCAATTATGGCAAGTCCTGCCAGAGTTCTCCATGGTCTGAGGACTCCCTGCCTTACTGAGAGGCACCTGACAAATGCCTCGGGGGAGCTTTCCTGACTCCCCACCCAGCTGCTGTCCTCCCCTGGTCCCAGACTGTCCAGTGATGAGGCCCTTGGGCTTCTAGTTTCTCTGCAGGGGATGGGAGGAAGTGAAGCAAGCTTTGTGATTGAGGAAAGCCTTGTGTTGACAGGCGACTATCCTGGGGTTGGAGAGCATCTGGGAGCCCTGTCACTCTGCACCAGCCACCATCAATGCTCCCAGCTTCAGAACTCCACTTTGGGGGCTAGGGGGACCCAGGAGAGGAGGAGAAACAACATGCCCTGGCCTTGGGGAGCGCCCAGGCTGATAGAGGAGACACGGTTATTTTGAGTTCTCCTTTACATCCCAGGTGCCTTTTACAGAGTAGGTGCTTAGTGCATTGGAGTGGAACGTGGAGGAAAAGGCGGGAGGAAAGTAGGAAGTAAGGAAGGAATGGGGTGCTCTGGCTCAGGCTGAGTTTAGACTCTGGCTACACCTGCACGCAAGGGTTGACTTTTGGGCTGTGAGTCCCATAGGGATCTGACTTCTCAGGTCTGGAGTCTCCGAAGGAGAGAAGCAGTCACACACCCACTAACTCCCATTCTCCCTGCCTTTGCAAGGGGCCCTCCTCCCCAGCCCACCCCTAGGACCCTGAATACACACATATGCACACACACACGGCTGCTGGGCTTCAGAGGAGCCGTTTAATTGCCGAGTTGAAACCTGCAAGGGCTTTTGGTGCTGATGACATCAGCATGCCATCACAGATAGGGCTGCTGAGGCTGGAGCAGCTCTGGATTCAGCGGGGTGTCCCATCATGCACTCAAGACTGCCCACCCTGGGGCCTCCCTCCTTGCTTCAGAGCAGGTGTTCCTGAAGGAGGTGCCAGAGCCCTTATGGAGAGCCCAAGGAAACCCAACATCAGGGAGGGAGAGCTGATTCAATTCCTCCAAGGAATCACTGCCTAATTTTTGTAAAGGCTGCTGCCTGATTTAAATCACCCAGCCTCCTGCTTCTACTCAACGCGTTAGTGGCCTCATCCCAAGGACCCGCACCTGTATTCTCGGGCTCCATTTGCCATAGGTAGAGCTGGTGAGAAGCGGCGAGGAGAGGAGGAAGGGTTCTGACCACTCAGCTGCTGTGGCCTGGAAGGCCCCCTGCAAAGTGCCTATGATCTGGGGATTTTGAACAACCACACAACTTCTCTGGGGATTTTGAACCACACAACTTCTCTGGGCCTTTGCCCGTTCATTGTAAAGTGGGGACAGCGATGGCGTAGCCGAGGACTGCAGTGATGAGAGCTTGACCGCCCTTGTGAGCCGCTCTATCCCCGAGCAGGGGAGCAGGAGGCGCAGGGAGGAGCCCTGAGGTTCCCTGTTGTGCGGGACCCACACTGACTTTGCCCTTTCTTATGCCTGATGCTTAGTGTTACTGACAGCAAAAGCTGAAATCCTGAGGTCCCCGGCTAAAGTGACCAAGGAAGGGCCTCTCCTGACTTTACAGCAGCAGGTAACCCCCCTTTCTTTCAGATTTGGAGGCTGCTTGGCCATTTTAATGGACCCTGCTACTCACATCCTACTTCCCTAAGTGTGAGGGGCTTTCAGAATCTAACCTCCTCCCTGGCACTCAGCCAGCAGGGACTTTATCCTCATCAGAAAATGATCCAGGGAGGAAGCTTCTACAATATCTACTGCTCATCTTGGATTTTGGGAGTCCTTTTTTTTTTTTTGAGACCGGATCTCACTGTTTTCCAGGCTGAAGTGAAGTGGCATGACCATAGCTCACTGCAGTCTCGACCTCCTGGGCTCAGGCGATCCTCCTGCTTAACCTGGTGTGCCACCATGCCCAGCTAATTTTTAAATTTTTTGTAGAGACAGGGTCTCCATATGTTGCCCAGCCTGCTCTGGAATTCCTGGGCTCAAGCGATCCTTCTACCTCAGCCTCCCAAAGCGCTGGGATTACAGGTGTGAGCCACTGCACCTGGCCTGGGGAGTCCTTCTGGATGTTTAATTTTAGACCCAGCCTCTCTAGGGGAGGGGGCTGGCAGCTAGGTGTTCCCCTGCCCTCCAGGCTCACAGTGACTCTCAGGTCCCTCTGGGCCTGGATCCAAATTTACCCATCACTCTGGCTACTTCCTTGAACTGTCAGTTCCAGAGATGAAAATGAAGGATTGCTGGGACAAATCCTTCCCAGAAATCAAGCTTTGGCAAGAAAAGACTCATTAGGCATAAAAACCGTCTTCGAGTGAGGGGGATGAAATGCAGGACTGACCACCAAGACGGTGAGGGCAACTCCTTCCCTTGAGTTTTAAGAATATCAAAGGTGGACAGTGCTCCCTGCAGCTGGAGAACCCAAGACAGTGTTGTGTGTGTGGGCAGGAAAAGGAGCACGCAGGCCACCCAAGGATGAAAAGCACTTACTCCTCCCGCGCCAGGCACTGTTCTACACGCTTTACAGGAATTAACCCATTTCATCCTCACCAAGAACAATCTACGTCATAGTTACAAATTTTAGCTCCATTCTACAGATGGCAAGACTAAAAAACAGAGTGTGATTGACTCGCCCAAAATCACAGCAAGTGGCAGAACCAGGATGAACCCTGGCAATCTGGCTGTAGTCACTATACTGCCACTTAGAAAAAAATCTCTGACTTGATGTTTCTCCAATGAAACTATATTATTTATCACAGGCTTCTGGAGTCCAGGAGAAGCCATAACTGAATCCCAGCTTCTCTGGCCTGGCTTCTCTGACTGAGTGGAAGATGAAGAATCAACTTGTTGCCTATGGATGGATTATTCACGTAGGGAATTTAGAACTGCATCTGTCTGGTGGTCCAGGGGCTACTTCTAAAATAACACGAATAGTTATCAGTTCTACAATACTACCCTGAGAGTTAAGCATTATTACCTCTGTTCTTTAGAGAAAACTGTGCAGACATTGTCAGATCATCCTGTTACATGCTCTCGAAGCTTCCTACATACCTTCATAACTCTTGGCACAGTCATGATGAATTCTTTATGTAATTATCTAATTGTGTGGTATTCACTAGATTGTAAATGCCACGAGGGCAGGAAACAGGTCTGTTTTGTTCCCACCTGAATCTCCATTGCCTAGCACAGATTCTCAAAATGCAATAGTGGAACGAATGCAGAAGGGATGCTGAGTGGCTCAGTAACATGTGTAGGGCCTGCGGCTGTGCTCACCTCCCCACCCAGAGAGACTACAATAGTGGCACATGGTAGGTACTCACTAATAAAATACTTGTTGCAAATGTCAGACTTTGTACTTAGCAGCCCTGGGATTTGAACCCAGGCCTGTCTATCTCCTAGCCTCCATTCTTTGGTGCTTCATATTTAACCACTGCACTGAGTGACCCTGCCCCCCCATTACTCCCTCTGACTTGCTGTTCCAGTTCTTAAAGAGTATCCCCACCACCCTGGACCTTCAGTGGTGGGGATACTCTGGCTTCAGCTAGGACCTGCCTAGACTGGGGAAGTCCACAGAGCAAATCCCAAAGCCAAGTGAAGTAGTGTTTCTACTCATCTGCAGCCTTAAGTCCTCCACGAGGATGCTTCTGTCCAGGGAAGGGAATGATGGTCATTCTTCCAGGCAAATGAAGCCCAACCTCCTCCCACTCTGTCCTCACTGCCTTCTGTCCCCCTGCTTCCAGTGCACTCACTGCCCCTCTATCTACTCTCCCCTGAGAGGGCGGCACAGGCCTGGCGGGGAAGAAAAAGGAGACCCCATTGAGATATGATAATGTTCAGATGGAGGCAGAAAGAATGACTAGAGGTCAGGCTTGCCTAGGGGCTGGGGAACACTGGGGTAGCCTGGTCCCCAGGGCTTGAGAAGGGCAAGGAAGAGGCTTCTCCAGCCACCTCCAAAGCCCACCCCCAGGTCTCTGCAGTATCATAGACAGCCCTGTCACACCTGCCTGGAAGCTGCCTAAGGGTAGAAGGAATAAAACGAGCTCCAGCTGCAATGTGAGGGCAGGTGAGCCCAGACCCAGCTCCAGAAAGGGTCTCCTCGGCCCTGCGAGGTCTTCAGCAAGGTACATGCTTTGCCCAGGTGAAACCAGCTTCAGTCCTAAATTGAAGCCAGTTGCAAGCTTCTCTAGGTGAAAAGTCAATGTTTACGAACACCAACACTTTTTGCTTCCCCTGGTCCTGTTCTGCGGATGTCAGACCCCAAAGCTGAAAAAGAAATGTTCCTGCATAATCACCCCCTTCCCCCAAAAGAAAACCCAAGTTCCCTGGACCAAGCTCCTGGACTGCAGAACAAAGCAGACTCCCAGCAGAGTGGTCTGGTCTCTCTTCCTCCAGGGAATGGTGGGCCAGGTCTATGTGAGGCTATAACCTAGAAACTTTCCTCTGCCTCCCTCTCCTCCTCCTTTGGCAAGACAAGGAGGGGAGAAGGTAAGGATTAAGCCCAAAAGATCTCCAGAAAAAGCCAAGCCTCTGGGGGGAGTCCTAGAGGGTGAAGCCAGGGATCTGCCTGGCAGCCAAGCAGAGCAGAGGCAGCCACCCTGAGGGAAAGGTGGTTCAGTCGGGGTTCAGTGGGCACTGGCCATTTTCCAGGGGCATGGGAGGAGATGGGTTGGAGTTGGACTCCCTAGGCTGCAGTGTGCCTGGCGTGGACCCCTGACGCTGACTCACCCCCAGGGCCCTGACACACGCTGCAGCTTGCAGTGCCTGCCAGACCACCACTCTCATTCCACAGGACCAGGATGCCAGGCACGTCCCACTGCATCAGAGCCACCCTGCCCCCTTCCACCTGCCACTCGGGCCCGCCTTTGGGGCACTGGGCATGGCTTTTTTCAGCACCTCTGCTGGTCACAGAGATGTTTCTAGCAGCCCCAAAGCTGGACTTAGTCTTAAGTAGGGAGAGATGGTTGAAAGGATTAAGGGCTTCCCTGCTTCTGTCACCCCCTCTAATGAAGTGCCAGGTTATGGGGATCCAGACAGATTGGATGGAGGACAATCTATTCCACCTGGGAGAGGCCCCGCAGGGCGGCAGCAGTAGGGGAGGGAGAAGGGCACCCTTTTGCTTTCCAGGTCAGACCCCAGTTCACCTTTCTGGCTTCCTGGGCGCCCCCAGATCCTAAGGACTTCCTCCTCCTTATAAGCTAACTCAACCTGTACTACCTGCCCACGGGGCCTCTGCCCTTCCCTCCCCACTGCAGTGGCCCCTCCTGGGCCAGCACCTCTTCTGTCCTTGCACTCCCTTCTCCTGCTGCGGGGAGAGCACCTACTCTGCCACCTCAGCCAGGGGTAAGGGAGGACACTGCCCTGCCAGGAGACACCCCACGAGCCATGGGCTGGGGGTGTCCTGGAGGCACCTGTGGAATGTGGGGATGAAAAGGGAGGAGACAGGATGAGGGGGCCTGGCTTAGTGGGATGTGAAACGATAAAGCTCCACTTTTTAGTTGAAAAATAAAAGCCCTGTGCCCCAGAGGTGGGGGAAGGAGCATAGGCAGGGGAAGGGGGCACCCCAAATGGGAAAGGTACATGGAAGAGTCCAGAAAAGGGAGTCGGGCTGTCAGCACCCGCCAGGCTGCGAGCCTAGCCCTTGGGGACAGAGCTGAAGCAGGGACGGGGCGTCCTAGGTCGTGCTGAGTCATGAGATTTGGAGAGAGGGGAGGGGCGCCTCCAGCCCCTTCTTGGGCCCCTGCCCCAGCTCCTCGTGCCCGTTGCTTCCAGATGGCCCCTGCAGTCTGTCTCCCCAACCTCTCCCTGACCCAGGGTCTCCGGCTCCCAGCGCCCAGACCCCACCCCCCGCCCCACTTCCCACGACGGCGGTGCCAGGGGTCCCCGAAGCTTGAGACTGGGGCAAAAGAACCTTCCTTGGAGACCGCTAGGGCTGGCGGGGGCTGGGCTAGACGCGAGTGGGTTCGTCCCAGGGAAAGGAGAGAGGGACGGGGGCGCAGAGCCGGCCGGTGCAGGGGACGCGTGGCCCGCCCCTCTCTGCAGCAACCCGCGGGAGGAAATCTGCCCCCAGCCCAGCCCCAGTCCCTCAGAGGAGCCGGCTCCTCGCCCCTCGGGTCCGACTCCCCGAGACGAACCTTCCATCCGGACGCTTCCAAACTCCCCCAAAGGACGGGGCAGACTCCCGGCCCCCTTGGCCTCAAACTTCCCCAACCCTACTCACCTCTCGGGACCCAGACCACCCCGTGGCCCCTCGACTCAGTAGCAGGAAAGGAGAAACTTTGGAGAGGGAGGTCCGTGCCCCCACCGGCGGGGGTATGGACTTACCGGAGAGCGACCCGAAGGAGGCGGGAGAGATCCGGGGTCTCCAATGTGAGGGGGCGTCGGACGGCAAGGACGCGTGGCTGGCGACGGTTTCGCAGGGGCGCCCGTTCCCCTGGGGGCGCGAAGTCCCCGCTCCACCGCTGCCCCAACTCGGCTCCGAAGTGCCTTTGCCGCAAGACTTGCTGAGCTTAGCAGTCTGCGCCGAGGCGGCAGAGGGAGGGGGCCTGATCGATGGGCGCGCGCGGCGAGCGCTGCAGTGAGGGGAGGAGACCAAGCGGCGTGGGAGGGCGGGGACCGAGGCGGAGGAGGCCCGGAGGAGGCGGAGGGCGGGCCTGCCCCCCGGGACGGGTTCTTTCTGCGCAGCCCCCCAGGCGCTCGGCGCCCCCGCCTCCTGCTCAAGGTCAAGGAGGCTGCTTCCCCAGCAGGAAGGCGGACTGGAAAGGAGCTCTATACTCCCCACCCCAGAAGGCTGGTCTCCTTTCTAGCCAGCTCCTTCTCTCCAACTTCCCGAACCCACTGCAGCTCAAGGCTAAATTATTGGGCTCAGGAGCCCCCATCCCCATGGCCATTTTGGGATCCCTGAGCCCCTAGCCTCCCCTCCTCCCCTCTCCGCTTAGGTCACCGCTACCTATATTGGCCACCTGGATGGTGGGGGCTTCTGAGCCTAAAGGTTGGGTGAGAGAGAGGAGGATGCTTGAGAGAAGACAGCGGTGCCTGAGGCCTATGGAAATAGAACAGCGGAGGGGAGAGTAAGAACTGCAGGGTGACAAGGAGAGAGGAGCTGGAAGACGGTAGAAAGAAAAGGAGGACGCTACTGGTTATTAAAGACAGGGTGTTCACACATGTTAGTTTGCTTAATACGTAAGACATCCCTTTAAGGTGGGCATTTTGCGTGGGCAGTTTGCAGGTGGGGAAACAGTCCCTGAATGGTGCGTTGGACCAAGGAGCTGCAGACAGTTAAGTGGTGGCATTTCGGAAGAGCCTGGGAGAAAGAGAAGGGTGGCAAGGGCAAAACAGAGCCCTTCCTAACCTACCCAGGAGCTGCCAGGGCAGCACCAGAACTTCCTTACAGCACAATTTGAATATCCGCTTTAACTCTTTTGGAGTTAACTTTTTTTTTTCTTTTTTTTTTAGACAAGTCTCACTCTGTTACCCAACCTGCAGTGCAGTGTGCAGTGGCGCGATCTTGGCTCACTGCCACCTCTGCCTCCTGGGTTGAAGGGATTCTCCCGCCTCAGCCTCCCGAGCAGCTGGGATTACAGACGTGCGCCACCACACCCGGCTAATTTTTGTATTCTTAGTAGAGATGGGGTTTTGCCATGTTGGCCAGGCTAGTCTCGAACTCCTGACCTCAAGGGATCCACCCACTTCAGCCTCTCAAAGTGCTGGGATTACAAGCATGAGCCACTGCGCTTGGCCTGGAGTTAACTTTTATAATAGGACTGTAGCATCCTGCCTCGCTTTTGGGTACAAAACCGTACATGGCCTGAGGTCAGTCTTCAATACGTACTAGGTGAGTGAGTGAGAGGTGGAATGAATGCAATATGAGGAGATGCAAAGAACAAGTGGGATTCAGGCTTTGGGGAGAGAAGAGGCAGTGGAGGGCACTTTTCAGATCACTGTGCCAATAATACCAGGTGTTACTGGCAGACCATCCCCAGTTGGAGACTATCCCCAGTTTGGCTTGCCTCAGAGCAAGGCGGCAAGTGGCTGCCGACTCAGTGGATGTTACGAAAAAGGTGGGGGAAGACCTCTGGGGAGTCCTCAATCAGGCTGAAGCTGTGCTCACAGCCCCTGAGGCACAGAGGCCCTCCCCCTTCACCTGTGGAGCAGCCAGAACAAGGGCAGTGGAGGAAATGGGGAGCCAAGTTACAATGGACTAATGAGACCTTTACATTCAAAGAGGTTACCCACCACCCCCACCCTTAGCCAGGTGTGTTCCAGGACTTGTTGCTTCCCCAAAGGGGCTGGCTCTACTCTATTCATTCCTTCCTGCTCCCCATGCCAACAACCAGTATCTGCAGGACTCCAGCCAGAAAGAGGGCTGCAGCCCCCTCGCACAGAATCAAGCCAAGCGAACTGGCCTGATGCGCTTCAACTTTTCCACGGCAGCAGACTCAGCTGCCTACTGTTCTGATCAAAGCCTTGTGTCAATCTGGTGCCCCAGCTTCTTCTCCTAAGCACGTCAGAGGAAGCCAGCCTGCCTTCCCAGGCTATTAGGAGAGTCAGAGCTGTAATCAATTTGGTTAAATGAAAAATGTGGTGTCGCTGGCTACAGCCTTAATGTTCTTTTAATTCATCAGGACCAGTAGTGTCTGGGTTACAAACCTAATCAAGAGCTCAACATCCCTCTTGCTTATTCCCCCAGGCTTCAGGAGCTGGAAGAGGAAAGAATGGAAAAGACATCCACCCCCTCCACACCCAGCCTATTATTAGATACTTTGCTTTTCAACTGTTCATCATTGTAGAAAGATGAGCCTCTAGTATCTTAGACCAGCATCACTCAATTGCATGCACATGCAGGGCCATCAGGGCAATCCCTCTGCTTCCACACAAGGTCATTTTGAACCCACAAAAGGTGGGGGAGAGCTATCTAACACTGAGCGTTTTTCAGGAAGAAAGTCTACAACTCCCTCAATTACATTGTTTTACCACTTTCTGCTGAATAGTGTGCTTCCTGGTGGCTTCATTTTCTGTTTTTTTCTAGGGAGGAGAGAGAAGAGAGCAGGGAGCTGCTGCATCGTGCCCCTGTCACAGCTTTCCCTGGGGACTGAAAGCCCCTGTACTTTTCCTGCCTGCCACCCACCTTCTGCTTAAAGAATTCCCTTTTTGTCCATCCTTGATCATAGGTCTACTAGCACTTGCACTACCTCACACTTGGATTGTTTCCCTGATGTTCTGGTCAGGCCTTCATCCCTGCAAACTTGTTCCAAGCCCTGCTGTCATAGTTAGAGCAAACAGAAATGAGCTGGGACAGGAGAGAGAGTCTTCATCACCGCTGACCTAGCCAGCTCCCATTTCCTGCTTTCTCTTGATACACACAGAAACAAACACCCCTTCAGAAAGCTGTTGTTCTTGCCCTCCCACCCCCTGCACATACCCGTATTATTCTTCCAGAGCAGTTTGTATTGTTCCTGACAATTAAGCAAACAATGACTAAACTCTCCTCTGAAACACGCCTGCTTTACTGGTTGTAACTGAGTAAATGGTTCTTTAAAACTTACAGCTGGGCAAAGTGGCTCACGCCTATAAGTCTAGCCCTTTGGGAAGCTGAGGCGGGCAGATCGCGAGGCCAGGAGTTTGAGACCATCCTGGCCAACATGGTGAAACCCCACCTCTACTAAAAATACAAAAATTAGCCAGGTGTGGTGGTGGGTGCCTGTAATCCCAGCTACTCAGGAGGCTGAGGCAGGAGAATCGCTTGAAACCAGAAGGCGGAGGTTGCAGTGAGCCGAGATCATGCCACTGTACTCCAGCCTGGGCAACAAGAGTGAAACTCCGTCTCAAAAAAAAAAAAAAAAAAAATTACATGCAATTCCTATCACTAAAGGTCTTGGTTTTCTTCTTTTAATCTAATTTTGTAGACATACCAAGCTTAAATATACTTTAACTTTTATTTAAATTACCCTATACTACCTATACTCTAGCTCCACTGAGCTATTTTCATTTCCCTAAGCCACATGATAGTAGCTACCTATTTTGCTAAGGCCCTGCTCAGTGTTTATAACCATTATACTACTTACTCTTCAATAATATATGTCTGGCCAGGTGTAGTGGCTCACGCCTGTAATCCCAGCACTTTGGGAGGCTGAAGCAAGCAGATCACCTGAGGTCAGGAGTTCGAGATCAGCCTGGCCAATATGGTGAAACCTCGTCTCTACTAGAAATACAAAAATTAGCCAGGCATGGTGACAGGCGCCTGTAATCCCAACTACTCGGGAGGCTGAGGCAGGAGAATCCTTGTGCCCGGGAGGCAGAGGCTGCAGAGAGCTGAGATTGTGCCACTGCACTCCAGCCTGGACAACAAGAGTGAAACTCCATCTCAAAAAAATAATAATAACATATTTCATTCTACAGTCAACTTTTAGATATCCCATAATATACTTTTTTTAAATTCTTTTCTTTATTTTACTTTATTTATTTATTTATTTATTTATTTATTTATTTATTTATTTTGAGATGGGGGTCTTGCTCTGTCACCCAGTTTGAAGTGCAGTGGCACAATCAGGGCTCACTGCAGCCTTGAGGCTCAAGTGATCTTCCTGCCTCAGCCTCCCTAGTAACTGGAACTACAGGTGTGCACCACCATGCCCCATTAATTTTTTAATTCTGTGTAGAGATAGGGTCTCTCTATGTTGCCCAGGCTGGTTTTGAATTCCCAGACTCAAGCGATCCTCCCGTCTCGGCCTCCTAAAGTGCTGGGATTACAAGCGTGAGCCACTGAGCCTGACCTCAGAATGCTTTCAATACAGAAGACATGAACTGATCAGATGTGGGGAAAGAAATCAAACATAAGCAAAATAAAGATAAATATAACTATCATATATCATATAATCTACATGATATCTTAGGTTTTAATAAAAAAGAAAAACCCTAGTCTTCCAACCGGCAGTGAAGGCCAACTCTTCGAAAAAGCTGATTAAGTGGACTATAATTATTTCTTCTCTATGCAATGAACAAAATAAAAACAAATAACTCTGAGCTCAGATAAAATGTTTAAATACAACAGAATGGGGCAGACAGAGGACTACTGGATCTATAACATTATACTCCTAGAGGGGAAGCTTTTTAAAGTTTTCAAGACCATATCTGGCATGTGGAAGAAAGTCACTAGGATGCAAATAATAATCACAGAATTTTATCAGATCCCAGGAACTAAAGAATGTCATGAGGACCTTGTCTTTTCATATAGTAACAATGATTGTTTTTCCTTCTCAAAGGAAATATCAACCTACAACACCAGAGCAGACCCTTCTTCCTTCTGCAATGAAGTACCAGTCACAGTTTTATGTCCCAGGTAAGTTTCGCTGAGCCTCAGTTTTCCCCCTCTCATAGAAGAGAAGGTTCTTCTGAGGTGCTCACCTTCCGGAATGTGAAGAGCAAATGGCTCAGACTACTAATCACACAAGGGCAGGATGTCTCTTCTTACCAGAAGGCAACTGTAGGCTTTGAAGCTACCCATCATGGGGGAGATGAAAAGCAAGTCAGTTGAAACATTTTCTGAATAATTAACCCTGGTGCTTTAATATCCGTGTGTCCATTAAAACTCTCCATAAATTGGAGTTGTATCTCAGAACTGCCCTTGGGATGTGCCCTAGCTGTGGAAGGCAAGCACCAAAGCACAAGAAGCCACAGCAGAGACATGTGGGAAAGAAGCTCTAGGACTGATACGGTCCTTTCTTCAGTATCCCAAGTCCATCTGCCACTCTTCTCTGTAGCTCAGGAGCAAATCTGGAACAAGTCTCTTAAGCTTCGTATTTGTCCACGTACCCATCACCTATCCAGTCAATAACATTTACCACGGCCGGGTGCGGTGGCTCACGCCTGTAATCCCAGCACTTTGAGAGGCCGAGGTAGGAGGACCAGCTGAGGTAAGGAGTTAAAGACCAGCCTGACCAACACGGTGAAACCCTGTCTCTACTAAAAATACAAAAATTAGCTGGGCGTGGTGGCAAGCGCCTGTAATCCCAGCTACTTGAGAGGCCGAGGAAGGAGAATCTCTTGAATCTGGGAGGTGGATATTGCAGTGAGCCGAGATTGCACCACATCCTGGGTGACAAGAGCAAAACTCGGTCTCAAAAAAGAAAAAGAAAACAAACAAACAAACAAACAAAAACACCCGGAAAAAAGCAATTGCCTAGAGTGCAGATAATACCACCACCCAGGGTATTATCTGTCAGGAGCCCTGCAGGGAGCGGGCAACGTGGAGGGGAACACTTAAATACTTCAAGGATTTCACAGCCTCCTTGATGCAGGGAGTGAGAAACATGTACCAAAAGAAAAGTATAAGATGCTGTGGGAACCAGAGAGAGAGCCACTAACTCAACCTGGTAGGAAGTCAAGAAATAACGGCAGGCTTCCCTGATGAAATAACCTTTCAGCTACCACCAGAGGAAAGACTGGTTTTCTAGGTAGGCAATGAAGAGAATGGCATCCCAGGCAAAGACAGCAGTAGTGGATAAAAGTATACAGTGCACTCATTGAAGAGCTTAAGCACTGGAGTCAGAAAGCTATGTGACTACTCTAACGCCTCAGTTTCCTTATTTGTTAAATGAAGACTTCACCACCTACTTTGAGGGATTGTTGTGAAAATTAAATAGTATAATGGTTCTAAACAGCAAGCAGGGCCTTAACAAAATAGGTAGCTTCTATTATGTGGCTTAGGGAAATGTAAATAGCTCAGTGGAGCTAGAGTATAGGGTAGGTTTGGGGAGGAGGGAAAGATCAGAGGCAAAGGCAAGCTCATGACAGATTCTGTAGACCAACTGTTTGGATTTTCTTCAGAAGGTAATGGAAACCATTGAAGGAATCTAAGCATAATCCATTTTATGCTTTTAGAAAAACCACTCACAGCTGGAGTTGGGTTAGAGGGCCTGTAAGTTCCCTTCCTTTGCTGACTTCTGAAAGGAGGCTGCATACTACATACTGCCGTGCTCACCACTTTGGATTCTGGAGACAGACTTCCTGAGTTCCAATCTCGGCTCACCTCTCAGAGGCCATGAGTTAGTGACTTCATTTCATAGCAGCATGGTGAGAGTCAGCTTAGGTTATCTGATATCTAGGACAGTACCTGATGCTCAGTCAGTGCTCAGTGCGTATTGAGTATTACAGTAACTGTTATTATTTCTGGCTCCAGAAGACCAGCAAGCCTAATGATGATTCTCTACATTGTTTGCTCCAGAGAGGTTGAGTGACTTTCCCAAGGAAGCCCAGTGAGTCTAGAAGCCATGGGATAGCTGCCTACCTCCTCATACTGTCTAGGGCCTGGCTGGAGAAAAGTTCAAAAAGGAGGATTGAACACCCTTTGTTAGATCCTGTTCCTACCACCCTAACCCCTGGCCACAGAACATTGATTGCACATGGTCTCATTTCTAGACTCAAGATAGCTGTGTGTGTGTTCGTGTGTGCACGCACATGTGCACACATGCTAAGACCTACAAGCAAAACATGTTTATTGGTCTTTTTAATTATTTATTTTTGAGATGGAGTCTTGCTCTATTGCCTAGGCTGGAGTGCAGTAGTGCGATCTTGGCTCACTGCAACCTCCTCCTCCTGGGTTCAAGCAATTCTCCTGCCTCAGCCTCCCAAGTAGCTGGGATTACAGGCGCCCACCACCATGCCTGGCTAATTTTTGTATTTTCAGTAAAGACAGGGTTTCACCATGTTGGTCATGCTGGTCTCGAACTCCTGACCTCAGGTGATCCACCTGCCTCATCCTCCCAAAGTACTGGGATTACAGGCGTGAGCCACTGTGCCCGGCATTGTTGGGTCTTTTTTCTGGGTTTTGGAGCACTGTCTAGGAGCTTCTGCCCGAAAACGTTCTGCTATCCCAAGGGCAACTTACCTTGGGTCCAACCAGCCTAATGCCGTGGTTTCCTTTCCCTAGTCAGGCCAGGCACCTTAAGAGTTTCCACACATTTGCTTATGCAGTTCCCCATCACTAAGGTCTTCTTGTATGGATTTGCTTTGGTTGCCAGGAATGCAATATACCTAGCCTCAGTCCCAACTGAGGTGGCTTTGCTGATGGTGGGTGGAGGAGTTGAGAGCTGAGTACCATGGTAGAGCTGCCATCCACACCCCAGCAGGCCCCTGAGGGCAGGGTCCCTGCCTACAGACCTGAGTGTCTGCCCTCTGGGGCAGCAGGTACCGTAGCCTTAAAGAGGCAGCTGAAATGCATTTGTGACTTCAGTGAATTACCCAAACCAGTTTAGGAAAAAAAGAATGTTCACTCAGTTCTCTAAAAGAAGGCTTATATAAGCCTCACTCAACTACCGGTGGGAGAAAAACCACAGCCTTTAAGGGCATCCATCAGCAGCTATGTTGGGGAGTCGTTAGGAATGGTTTACTGCTTTGTGGAACCACACATCTGAGAGGCGGCTCAAGAGTACTCAGCGGCCTTCCATCTTGTTTATAGGGCTCAGCCTCAGGAGCCAGACTGTCTGGGTGCATCCTGGCTGTCTATGTACCAGCTGAATGGCCTTCAGTCTTAACCTCGCTGAAGCCCAATTTCCTCATCTGTAAAATGGGCATGATAGTATCAATCTCATTGGGATGTTGTGAAGATTAAATGAGTTAATATATGCAAGGGATCCAGAGCCTGGAACGTACTAAGTGCTGTGTTAGCTTTTATTATTTCTCACCATGAAGTGTGCTAATGTGAAATGCCTTCTTCCTCAGCTTGCCCTAGATGTACATCTTGTTCTGGCTACACAGAAGTCACTGAAGGTACAGAGCACAGACTCCTGGGACCTCTTCCCTAGTTCTTCTCCATTCACACAAAGAGTTGCCTCAGTATTCAAGGGAACCACTGAGCCAAAGCCTGTCCCTAGTCAGAGAACCATTACTGGAACAATTTGCAGCCAATGCCCCTGACTTACCTTAGGTGGTGCTTTAGGGAGCTGCAGTCAAACCAAACTTATGAGGGGAGGGGCAGATAAGGACAGAGTACCCCTGGGGACCTTGTAAACCAGTCTTATTTTAAACATGCCAAGGCTCCATCTTCGGCAAAGCCACATGGCCAGTTTGGCAATAACCTTATTTCAAGTGTCAACTCAAATCAAATTTTCACCTTTCCTAAGCCTTGCTCTTTCTTCTCTAGCTCCATCACAATGTGCACGCACACTGGAACAAGAAACTTGAAACATTATTTTACATAGTTTCCTTCTATATTAAATTTCAAGCTCCTTGGGTATAGTGCAGTGTCCCCGTTCTATACAAATCTACAAAGCCTAGTAGGTGGTTAGTATGCTAGGCACATAACTGGGATCATCACTGGCTTAGGGATTGGCTCCACCTCAGGTAGAATGAGAATCCAAAGCCTGATCTTCAGTCTTAGGTCTACAGCCCAGTCCAGCCTGGGCAATAGCAAGACTCCATCACTAAAAAGATAAAAATTAGACTGGGCATGGTGGCTCACACCTGTAATCCCAGGACTTTTGGAGGCTGAGGCAAGAGGATAGCTTGAGCCCAAGAGTTAAAGACCAGCCTGGGCAACATAGTGAGACCTTATCTCTATTTTTAAAAAAACAGAAAAAAAGAGTAAAAACTAAAAAAAAAAAAAAAAAACATTAAATCTCCAACCTAATCTTCCAAACAGCAAGCAGGTTAGATATACACAATGAACTGAAGAATTTTGTGAGGGGCAAAACATTGCAGAAGATTAGATCCTGATGTCTAACTTCAGGGCAGGTCACAGACCAGAAACGGAATGGAGAGTGGCCTTAGGTATTCAAGTCTTTCCACCACCGCTTTCCCTCCCGTGGAACTAGGAGGGGAAGCAGCTCAATCCTGGTCCTCTGCTGCCCTCTTCTGTTGCTTATTAGAAGCTCCTCCTGGCTTGTCCCGAAGGGCCTGGAAAACAGCCACTTCCTCTCCAACATCCCATCCCACCTGCCCCACCCTATGGTTTCAGTATATTAGGGGATTGATATTACAAGCAAGAAAGATAACTGTGATTGCCATTAGTTCAGACTGGGCTACTAATTTGTCTTCCTGAGCAAAAAAGCAGTAGACTTGGGCACAGCCTTCCTTTTTTTTTTTTTCCTTTTTGAGATGGAGTCTAGCTCTGTTACCCAGGCTGGAGAGCAGTGGTACGATCTCGGCTCACTGAAACCTCTGCCTCCTGGGTTCATGCCATTCTCCTGCCTCAGCCTCCCGAGTAGCTGGGACTACAGGCGCATGGCATCATGCCTAGCTAATTTTTGTACTTTTAGTAGAGACGAAGTTTCAACATGTTGGCCAGGCTGGTCTCGAACTCCTGACCTCGTGATCTGCCCGCCTCAGCCTCCCAAAGTGCTGGGATTACAGGCGTGAGCCACCGCGCCCGGCCAGCCTTCCTTTTAAGAACGCTGGAGTTGCCCCCACATCCAAGGATCTGGCAGATATGGAGCATGCTCCTTATTTTGAACTCTAAAGCTAACAAGTTATCCTATAGAGGCAGATCTTTTTTTTAAGCTTACAAGTGAGGGCACAATTTTGCATCAAAATTCCAGCCTTCCACCCTCACCCACAGGGAAATATTACCTCATGTGTTACAAGGATTAAATAACATATGTAAAGCCCTAATAAGACTGGGCGCAGTGGCTCACGCCTGTAATCCCAGCACTTTTGGAGGCTGAAGGGGGCAGATCACTTGAGGCCAGGAGTTGGCCAGGAGTTCAAGATCAGCCTGACCAACATGGTGCAATCCCATCTCTACTAAAAATACAAAAATTAGCCAGCATGGAGGCACAGGCCTGTAATTCCAGCTACTTGGGAGGCTGAGGCGTAAGAATCGCTGGAACCCAGGAGGTGGAGGTTACAGTAAGCAGAGATCTCGCCACTGCATTCCAGCTGGGGCGACAGAGTGAGACTCTGTCTCAATTAAAAAAAAAAAAGCCATAAGAACAATATCTGGTAGTTAGTGCTATAGAAGTGTTTTGTTTTTGTTTTTGTTTTTGTTGTTTTTGAGATGGAGTCTCACACTCTCGCCCACGCTGGAGTGCAGTGGCACCATCTCGGCTCACTGCAAGCTCTGCCTCCCAAGTTCATGCCATTCTCCTGCCTCAGCCTCCCCAGTAGCTGGGACTACAGGCACCCGTCACCACGCCCGGCTAAATTTTTGTATTTTTAGTAGAGACGGGGTTTCACTGTGTTAGCCAGGATGGTCTTGATCTCCTGACCTTGTGATCTGCCTGCCTCGGCTTCCCAAAGTGCTGGGATTACAGGCATGAGCCACCGCGCCCGGTGCGTCTTTTTTTTTTTTTTTTTTTTGAGATAGAGTTTTGCTCTTGTTGCCCAGGCTGGAGTGCAATGGCACGATCTCGGCTCACTGCAACCTCTGCCTCCCAGGTTCAAGTGATTCTCCTGCCTCAGCCTCCCTAGTAACTGGGATTACAGGCATGTGCCACCACGCCCGGCTAATTTTGTATTTTTAGTAGAGACGGGGTTTCTCCATGTTGGTCAGGCTGGTCTCGAACTCCCGACCTCAGGTGATCCACCCACCTCAGCCTCCCAAAGTGCTGGGATTACAGGCATGAGCCACCGCGCCCGGTGTTTTGTCTTTTAAACTCATAGATGTGATAGAGGTCATAGTATTAAAAGGACATGGGATTGGAGTCTGGCTCAGCTACTGGCCACAAGCCTTATGCAACTTCTGCCCATATCCCAGTTTAAGTCACACCTCCTCCACAACTGATTCCTCGGTGCTCAGTCTATAGGCCATCTAGCAAAGGAGATAATGATACCTTCCTATGTCCGCTTCCCTGAGGACCTCATCATTCTGGACTCATAAAAAGCCTTCAGTAATAATACATGCCAATTCTGTCCTCCACCCTTGTCCAGTGAAGGTGGCTCTGGGGTAAGGAATTAACAGTGAAGTTTCCGATCAGCACACTTTGGCCCTCTGTCCAGGGCCGCCTTTCCTTGTGGTCATCACTTAAATTGTAATGCCTATACCAAGAGCACCTCGACTCTTCCCATTTTCCCTTTGATCTATACATAAACCTATCCCATGACCAAAGTTTAGAGGAGGAGGTATGCAAAGACCCAAAGGTTTTCTCCGCTATTAAGGGCTGGCGACTTACAACCCCTAATAATCTTAACTGAAGATTAGTACCTAAACTCAGTGTCATGTTTTTCCCTCCTTCTGACCAATAGGACCAGCCATCAATATGGCAAGAGGATACATGGCCCTTATGGAAACCGAATGGTGCTATCTGGTGGCCAAGCTGAAGTGGCAGCCAGAGTTGCCCTAAGTTTAGCCGTGGCTCAAAGGACACATACTGAATGAAATCAATGGGAACGATGTTGAGGTAAGTGCTTGCATATTCAGTCACACTGCCTTATTCTCTCTTCTAACTCCCCTCTGCTTAACTGGACATTCTTTTCCTTGATTCAGTAAGACCTGCTTTAGTTGTTCACTCTTGCTCCTTGAAGGGTTTGAGTGGAGTGTGAGGTGGTATGGAAATGAAGAGGGCACAGAAACAGGCTGTGGGCACTCATGTCCACCATGTCCTCTGCTAATCTCCTAAGGCATGCCAAAGTCCAGAAGCCTGTGCCCAGGATCTGCCTCTTGTGAAATTGCCTAATGTACAGAGGTATCTGTGAAACACACCATGTTAAGGACCATGGGTTCTTGGTCTCAAGAGGGAAAAGGAAACTAATCATTGAGGCATTTTGGTCATTTGAGGGTGGCCACTTCAAGGCTAAACATGGCTGCTAGATTTCAAGACATCTCTAAAAAATAAAAGTACTCCACAAACAGGGCTATAAAAAAAAATAAGTGATCTATCAGTGACTGGAGGTTAAACCCTAAGTCACATTTGCCCACTCTATTCCCTGCTGGCTGGAAGTAAGAGGAAATGTGGGGACAGCAACAGAGATGAAGCAGGTTCACCAATTCCAGGACCAATATTCTTAGTTCTTTGAGACATGTAGAATGTCCTGGACAAGGAACTAGCAAAGCAACCAGACCAAGAGCTCCTCCTTACAATAAGGCTAAGGCCCAGATCAGGGATAAGGCCCGCATATTATTCCAAAGCCCACCTCTCCTAAGGACGGGCTTAGTGAAGTGTTGCTTCATCTATTTAGTTTCCATGCCTGTGACATAGTAACAGTGACTATGATGGGTTAAAAGCATTAAAAGAACAAAATTCCAAGTGTGCTATAACTGGCCAGTGGATTAGGATGGCTTCAGAAGCTATGGAGCATCTTAAACACCAGGCTTCTCCTAGGAGCTTAGAAAGTCTTGCAAGAGGCCAGGTGCAGTGGCTCACTCCTGTAATCCCAGCACTTTGCGAGGCCGAGCCAAGCAGATCACTTGTGGTCAGGAGCTCGAAACCAGCCTGGCCAACACGGTGAGACCCTGTTTCTACTAAAAGTACAAAAATTAGCTGGGCATGGTGGTGGGCACCTGTAATCCCAACTACTTGGGAGTCTGAGGCAGGAGAATCACTTGAACCCAGGAGGCAGAAGTCGCAGTGAGCCGAGATTGCGCCACTGCACTCCAGCCTCGGTGACAGAGTGAGACCTCATCTCAAAAAAAAAAAAAAAAAAAAAGAAGAAAGTCTTGCAAGAGGCAGACCAAGTGATTTAAAAACAGACACTCTCTTGCATGTAATGCCAGCACTTTGGGAGGCCAATGCAGGATGATCCCCCAATGAGCACAGGAGTTTGAGACCGGCCTGGACAACATAGTGAGACCCCATCTCTACAAAAAAACTTTTTTAAAAATTAGCCAGGCTTGGTGGCCCACACCTGTAGTCCCAGCTACCTGGAAGGCTGAGGTGGGAGGACCGCTTGAAGCACGGGAGGTGGAAGCTGCATTGAGCTATGATCACGCCACTGTACTCCAAACTATGTGAAAGAGCAAGACCTTGTCTCAAAAAAACAAAAACAAAACCAAAAACCACACACACACACACACACACAACCAGATACTAATACACTCTTAAGCAACTTCGACCAACCTATGCTCTCCCTCTACATTCCTTCTGTAAAATATACTCGTGGTCTCGGCCTGCCGAGCACCTGTGGCCTGCTCTCACCAAGTAGTATTTGTTCCTAATCATATACTAGGTCAAATTGTTATAGTAACTATGTTTTGACTATTACATAAACCAATGAAATGAGTGTGTAAAGAGTTTTTATAAAAACCAGATTGAGTTAGTTGTAAAACTGTCTATTTAGGTGGGTAAAATTCTTACAAAAGATTGGAGAAAATGATAAGTATTTAGAATTCTAAAATCAAATTCCTAGGCCAGGTGTGGTGGCTCATGTTGGGAGGCTGAGGCGGGTGGATCGCTTGAGGTCAGGAGTTCGAAATCAGCCTAGCCAACATGGTGAAACCCTGTCTGTACTAAAAATACAAAATTAGCCGAGTGTGGTGGTACATGCCTGTAATCCCAGCTACTTGGGAGGCTGAGGCAGGAGAATCATTTGAACCTGGGAGGTGGAGGTTGCAGTGAGTCGAGATTGTGCCATTGCACCACAGCTTGGACAACAAGAGTGAAACACTGTCTCAAAAAAAAAAATCAAATTTCTTTTGTTGTTCAAATTCTTTATGCATTTTAAAGAAGCTCAATCAAGCTCACATCATAGATAATGCATTATGGCTATTATGAATGAAGGCCCTCATCCCCAAACTAATTTTTCTCAATTTTAGTGTTTATTAAATGGATATACATATTTATGATTTAGGTTAAATATATCTTTCTCATCCAATAATTTAACTTTTTTATTAACTGTTGAACTACTTGTCCTGATCATACACAGAAGGGGCTTGTGTGTGTGTTTGTGTGTGTGTGTGTGTTCACAGCAGAATCACAGTCAGTGAGAACGTATTGGCAAGGGCAGAAAGGAAGCATGGTTTGAAACCGCACTCTTCTCCAACTTCTAGCTAGGTAAGTTTGCCAGGAGCTAAAAGTTTTGGTGTTTAGAGGGGTGCCTTTGGACATTTATTTTAAATAGAGAAAATAACTTTTGTTTCCTCAGAAAGGCAACTTTTTAATTTCTCAATTTTCCCATCCAAGGGGAGGCAGAAAGAATGTTCTTTGGCCTCCACTCACCTGGAACAGGTCAAATGACCTCACCATTCCATTCCTCTACTGCAATGCAGCCGGTTATCCTGAAAATAAGAAACACACCGAAACTCACCACTTTCTAGCCCTTCATCCTTGCAAAATTAACCCAGAACACAAACAGGGAGCTGGATTATCTGTTCTGTTGTTGACTGGTTTTAAATGTTCCATTTATACTGATAAAAACGTAAGGTGTATTCCTATGTAAGCAATATTGAAACATGAAAAACTTGTTCACATAAATTTGAAGGGAGAAGTGAAAATATACACTTTACAAATTGATTCTTTACATCTTGAAGATGGATTTACAACAGTATTACTTTATACAAATTCCTACTTTATACAATTTTTTGTTTAGGCAGCTTTTCAGTAACATTTCTATAATAAGTTACACATGAAGCCTCCCAAAAGAAAGCTGAGAAGCTTAAAATAGCCACATGCAAAGGATTGATGACAGAGGGGCAAAGAGGGCGAAGCCATCACACTGCTGCTTCATAGTCACTAGGAGTTGAGGGACCCTGACCCTCATACATAGCTCAATAAAGGCCGACACTGGGATCTTCATTGCTTTCCTCAGCTTGTCTTCCCAAGAAGCAATGTTTCATCAGAAGGGATTGGGTTTTCGCCAGCACTATGGCAAGGAAAGACTATTTTAATATAGGCTGACACTAGCATGGACTAGTATGTAGTTAGTCTGATAATGAATAACCAGCTCTGGCTTAATGCTTTACAATGGGCAATGACTCTTAAAATCCTTGTTGTCCAATTCTGTCTCCTGTTACAGGTATATAGCATCTGGAATCCATTCCGGTATGTGTCATATGGCAAGAAACATAGGCAAGACTGAGCCCAGAAAAACACCCATGGGTACTAAATACCAATCAATACCTGCTCCAAGCCAGAAGCAGGTCTTAACAGACTGCCAAATATCCATCAAGATTTTTTAAGTGAAATACAAAGAGGCAGAAACCCATTACAAAGGGCCTTCAGAGTACAACCCAAATCAGTAGAGAGCCATGTTTCACCCTCTTCCAGGTAGAGATCTACTCTATTCTTAGGCTAATCTTGCACTAATACCCAAAGGGCCATGTTGCTTTTGATGGTGGGTATAATGGCAAATCAGGTGCATTTCAGACACTTCTGCCAAAATATCCAAAGCCTCATTTTCTTAAGCTCTTCACTGGAGAATGAAGCAGGGAAATTCAGGTTTTTAACAACCTCCATCACCACAAGTGGCATCTCTCCTTTAGGTTAACTTAAGATAGAAAAATGAATCCCACCTCCTAGGATACTGAAACGAAGCTGTAAAGAAGTCAACTTCCTTTACATAGTCCAAATTACATAACCTTTCTCCAGGATAGAGGCTACATATAATCAAGCCCTTTATTCTATATAAGAAATCCCCCAAAGTCTAATCTGGAAGGAAAAACAAAAAACAAACAGTATTCATTTAGGTGAGGTGGAAGGCACACCTCATCTACCCTTTCTTTCTTTACCCACTGACCCTCCTTCTGGTTCAGGCTCTAACTTAACACAGTCCCTTCCCCTCTCCCACCTCACAAAGCTGCAGGACTACTGAGATGGAAACTGAAGTGTCAGTTTCCATGTGCATTTTATCATTTTCCCCTACAAGTTCAGAGGTTTCTCTGGTACAGGCCAGCTTCACAGCTAACACACAATGAAACATGGTTTTTAGATCACATCAGTCTGTAGTCATTTTAGGGATACAACAAAGGCATAAACTGGAAAGTAAACGTTATCTGTGTTCATTAGTAGTGTGATGGTGTACAAGGTAGGAGGAATACTGTAGGAAAACTGGAAGATAAAACCCAGGCTTTGTTATTTACTAGTAGTACAGTGTAGCTTTGGGCAACTGACATTCTCTTTAAATTCAGCATCATCACACATAAAATGATCAGTGGTTCTCATCCAGGGAGGGAGTGGTTCAAATACACACATGCCTACCTTTTCTAACTCACTCAGAGATACAAAGATCTGACTTCCTCAAAGATGCTATTGTCAGGGACTGTGTACCACCACCCACAGGTGAAGAAGAAAAACTAGTGGGGATGGGGGTAGGGGTTGTGCTTACTAAGATGGCAAAAGCTCTCTAAAGGCAGTGGCTTTATATTAGCAGCAGGGTCTCCTTTTAAGCTTAATTTCTCAATGGAAGGTGAGGACTGGGACAGTTGGCATCCTATCTCAAAGTCGGGGGTGATGGAGGGGATTCTAAGAATTTGAATACTAACAAGGCCAAACCACGATGATTCCAAATTGTACTCTGGAGACTATTCTTCTCTATTGGCCCCAGAACCACCATCAGACGAAGAGAAACATCACAACAACTGCAGAAAACTGCAGACAACTAGAAGTCATTCTTAAAGAGATTTAATTATTTGAAGTGCATAAAAGGGGAGGGTACATTTAAACCTCTGCTATATCACAAACTGCTGTTTTTGTTGTTGTTTTATTAAAGACCCACCAGTTTTACTCATCTTCAGGTTTATGGCTATAGAATGTGGGGAAAACAAAAATTGGCAACAGAATAGGAAAAGGTAAGCAAAAGTCTGGTCACCAGAATGTCTTCTCCACTGCAGAACAGACCCCTTTAAAAAAGAAAAGCAAGGAAAATAGCTATGGGCTATCCACAGCCAGTAATGATAGCTACAGTTAGAAAGAAATGAGAAAGGAAACCAGGAGGCAGAGTCTGGGAATTCACAAGTCTCCTCTCAAGACATATACTAAACCCGGACCTCTGTGAGGATTAATTTTCCTTAGATTTCCTTCCAACGTCTTAACCCTAAACCAAGTTCCCCTGTCAATTCAAATATAATAAAGGCAGCATTCCACAAGGAAGACTGATTTGAGGATTGAAGTGATTTGCCAACATTCTGAGAAAGCTTATTTTAAAAGAGCACGGCTTTAAAGATAGGTTCTAGTCCTTGAAGACAGAGGGGTTCTTTGTTAGTGAGGGCTGTAGGCATATGGCCCACCAAACAGAGCAGGACACAAAAGAAGAATCCCCTAATGTTGTTTGCAGGCTAACATCCACTGCTACTGCAACCTGGTTGGGCAGAGGCAAAAGCAAGCAGCCCCTTCTGGCTGTGCAACAGTAGAGGGGCAGAAGAAGCTGTGCTCTAATGGCTCTAAATAATCAGCATTTAGTGTTATGTTAGGACGAAGGATTTATTCCACAATATAAACTGTAACATTTGATACAAGCTACCAAAAAATAGGGGAGAAAGGAAGGGACAGGGAGAAAGCCAAAATACAGCTGTGGCAATTACTTACAGAGAAGTCTCTTTTCTACATCACTAGTTCATCAGTGACACTAGAAACTAGACATTTGTGTTCTGTACATCAATCAATCGCTAAAGCACCAACACACTGTTTGGAAGTTTGTTTTGTTTTGTTTTAATTCCAGCCACTGAAACCAACATAGAAGTTATTGCTCAGATAAATAAACCTAGTCTACCAGGAAGAAGAAAAGTGGATAAAGGAAAAGAAGAAACAAACAAAAACTCCCAAAGTGAAAAACTTAAAAATTTCCCCAATGTGGTAACAGAGTAAACAAGGGAGAGCTTCCTCAAATGAGGATTTACTGGAATTTCTGGTGGGTGCCCTTTTGGGCACTGGAAGTGAGTTGGACTCTTAAGCTGGTAAATCCCAGAGAGAGGTAAAATTTTAATGCTGTACATGAAAAGGTGCAAGCTTCAATGCCTTCCAAATTGGTGGGAACCCCTGCAAAAAAAACAGTCAGCTTTTCAAACCTCAACAACCACAAATAGCTCTTAAGGAAAAAATACAAAAAGTGTCAAAAATTTTTTTAGTTGTTTTTTCTTTTCTTCAAAGAGTCCTGGAAAAATGATCCCATAAGGAATAGAAATAGCACCGTTTACAGGCTGGCTTGAGTACCAGTCCTGTAGCTTTGCTGAGATTTGAAGAAATCCTCTTGGTTGGAGTCCTGAATTACATTAAGTAGGGGGGTATCTGTTTTTGTGTTTTTACTTTCGGCTTGGTGCGTCCTTCACAGTACAGCGCACACAGATGTAGTCTTCTTTCTCTGCCATCTCTGGGGAGACACCAACACAGACCTGATGAAACCACTGATTGCAGCTGCCATCACACTGGACCCAGTCCACCTGGTTACAAAGAGCAGGAAGATGGGGTTTTCAGAGGAAAAAATGGATTCAAAATTGGGCAGGCCAGCCTCAAGAAATTCAGGCCGTTTGCCAATAACAGCCACTGTCCCACCACTGGGACCTCTGGCACAACAGCTAAGCCAAATGAGTGTAGCTGGCCCCCTAGCCAAAGCAACCGAGTCAAAGTCATTCTTCAAGTCGTGTCTGCTTTGGGGTTAAGACAGCGCTGCCCTGTGATAAGTAAGCCAAAGGGCATCACATCAGCATCCCTCCCACCTTCTTAGCGCCGGGAAGGTGAAAGCTGGAAGAGCAAGAAAAGGAAAAAGGGAAGAACAAGAGTTTCTTCAAGAAAAGGGAGGAGACCCAGGAACGATGGTAAGAGCACAGATATCAGTGGGGGAAGGGCTGAGCAATCCATTCAGATCAGCTCAAAGCAGATAAGCAGAGGAGAAAGACCCAGCGAGATGAGGTCTAGCTTACAGGGTTTCTGAGTTAAGGGAAAGCACGTCCTCTATGGCCCAAACCTCACTGACCTCATCTCCTTCTGGCTGCAGGCAGCTCACAGCTGGGCAGATGGCATCTTCATCCTCAGAGTCTTCCTGTTCGGAATAGGATGTGTCTGAGGGCAGGGAATGAGTTTCAGCAGAACGAACTAATTCATAGCTACGCTCTCTCTCTAACTTGAAATTGTTCATGTCCTTGGGGTGGCTCAGTTTGATTTTCTTCTTTTTGGGGGTCCGCATTTTCTTAACTCGTTCCCACCGCTCACTGGAGAGGCCCTCTCTTTCCAGGCGTCTCTTCAGTTTTCTCTCAAGACTGTTAATTCCATCTCGCTTCCCTCGGCAACAGTCATTCTGGGTGGAAGATAGGAAAGTTCAATTTTCGCCTATGGGTCACCTATTACTAAAACTAATGAAGCTAAAGAGAACATGTAAATTAGAAATCAGATGATCCCCCAATCTACACGGGAAAAAAATACTGCATCTTAACCACTCCCCTCCCAGTCTTGTATAAGACAACCAGTTTGGGTTTAACATACTTCCTTCCCCTATCACTGTTAATGCTACCAAAGGATCACTGGAAAAAGGAATGTTAAAGACGTGATTACCCTTCCAATTAACCAACCAATACCAGAAGATGGAGAGGTGCCCACTAAGAGTCTTCCTTTCACCAAATCCCTGAATGACTAACTACTATAATAGTTTCTGTCTAGGTGTTTATGTCTATCCTGTGACCTACAGGCTCCTGAGGAACCACACTAATAATCTTCCTTCTTGAAGGATGTACACCCCCACACCTTATAGGTGTAAGGCGCATTAACTGAACACATTCAATGATTGTGCCATACTACTTGGTATGGCAAATGAAATTTGCCATGAAAAATGAAATTCTAAATGCCAACATCAGCCCTCATGCTATCTTTAGTGAAGTTCTTCCCTAATTTGGCTTCAGGCTTCCTAGTAGATTTCTATCCTAACTATATTCTCAGGGGCCTTAAATGTGATGGGTCAGTTAGTTCACTAGAAGGAAGTGGCAGCAGCCGCAGTATCCTTAACTATGTTAAGAAACAGGACATTAAGGAGTATCCTTCAACTAAGTCAGCATTCAAAATGGGTCATCCTCAGTCTAATCGCCCAGTCCTCACACCAGCTGTCTGGTTATGTTTCGAGGAGTAAAATAAAGCATACCCCCACCCCAGACTGTGCCTTGCCCCAGAAGCCTCTCAGACACTCACCTTCTCACTGCTGGGTCTCACTGGTGAGCTTCGGTCAGTCTGCTGAGCAGGGCTTGGCTTTGCAAGTAAAGTCTGGTAAAGTTCCTGAATTTCAGGAAGGGATACCTGGAGCAGCTGGGCTTCCATCAATAGTTCATTCACTTCTGGACTAACACCTGTAAAAGACCAGACCAAATCAAAATGATAACAACAAAGGGTGTTTCACATTCACATTTGGGTTTATGAGACAAATAGAAGGACTGCCCCTAATACCACTACTACCCTCTCCTTCTTAAATTACAAATTACCTTCAGTTGAAGTGAGGTTTAATGTGCCTAAAGCCACAATATAATAAACAGAGCCAAAACTAGATTTCCTAAGTCTTCTGATTACTAGTATTAATTATACACTGAATCCTCTTCTCATTTACCTTATTGCTAATGCAGAAGAGATTGTACTTCTGCCTTGATGACTTCTAACAGAAAGCACAGAAACAGACTGATGGCCACAGTGTCAACAGTCTGAGTAGATCAAGGAGCTCTAACCACATTACTAGACATACACTGAGATGCTATGACTAAGGATCAGGACTCTAGCAAATGTGGATTATCCCTAAGATTCTCCACAAGTCTCCTAAGTAATGAAGCAACAAGAGAGCCCATGACTTAGCATCTGACTTAAAAGCTTGGTGTTTATCAGCTGGTGTGGCATGAACCCTTTCATCCCTGAGGACAATGGATATAAAGTCTTCCTCTCTGTTCCTTTGCATTTATAAGCCTTCAAATAGGATCCCTTCCCTATTTTGCAAATACATAATAGCCTATATCCTACATTTCAGCATAAAGTCCTTTTTATGGTACTTGATCATCTATAATAAAAACCTAGTAATACAAGATCACTCATTACTATCCAGCCCTCAACGTAATAACAAAATACAAACCATGGAGGGGGATACAACTTCGTCCAGTTGAGAAGGGGGAGTGCAAATATGAGGTTCTGTTGTCCCAGTCATCAGGCAAAGAAAATGATGTTGTGCCAGGAGGTTGAGATACCTAATGGAGGGAAAACGTTTTATAATAAAATCTCTTCAGGATTAAAAATACTCCCATTAGTCCAATGACAGTAGCTTGCATTACCCAGGCAGGCAACCAGGGGAAAAAAAAAAAAAAACAACTTGATTTTCCCCTACTGAAGAGTCTCCTGGCATTTCAGAACTGGCCAAATCAACTCATATCTTCCCAAAGACCAAGCCTTTAATCTTTCCAGTTTTACTTGGACTGATTTCAGAGATGTAAAGAAGGCCACTGGGAAATAAGCCACTTTCTCAGTGTGAGAACAGATCATACAGCCTTTTAATCCTTTTCTAATTCTCCTTATTGAAGATTAAAATACGATGAACACATATGTACCCCTTTGAGTAAATCAAATGAGGACCTGTCAGAAATCATCCATAACCACTTTCCTATCTTCCTTAGTGTTTTATTAAAGGAGCTAGGGGAAACACTCCTTTGACCATGAATTAATATAAGAGTTGTGTCCTTTCCCTTTACTAAGAAAGGTAAACTCCTAGCACATCCTGGGTAAAGAACACCAATGACTCCACTTTGGGAGTGTGCACAAATGCCACAACTCATCTATGCAACAAATATTTAATTCATCATCTATGTGTCAGGCACTGTATTTCAGAAGCCTGCAAAGAAATAAAAAACCAAGGAAACAAATATGACAGACTGTTTTTTTTTTTGTTTGGTCTTCATCTTATCAACAATTTAACTCATATAATCCATGTGTCTGTGCTCATATGGCACAAGAGAGTTGTGGTATCTCTGGTACAGAGATGTTTACCAACTTTAAAAACCATCAGATTAACCTCATAAAGATTGAATACTGTCTTCCTGATTGTACTTTTCTATTGTCTTCACATTCTTTTACTGCAGCCACCTATGGAAGATAACAGAAAACTCTGCCCATCCAGTGATGTCAAAAGAATCCAGCTTTTGGCAGAAAGATCGCAAATGGTGTGTAACCCAGGAGCTTTCCTCTGAAATAACACAGTGCTCAAACACTTCTTCCAAAAAATATTTTCCCTTAAAGGGCAAAAAGCGATAAAAGGCAGGAAGTGTTTTCCCTTTCTACTAATTGACTTACATGAGAAGAAGCAGGGTAAAAAACTTTTTAGTCAAGCAAAGACTTAAAGATACATCATATACGTATATGTAAAATATAAATGGGTCAGCATACATATAAATGAAAAAATTATTTGTATCTGTGAAAAGCTAAATATGTGCTCTATAGAAAGAGTGCCTGGGAAACAACTTCTAATAGGAGCAGAGGAAATTAAAAGAATATGTTATACCTGCATGGTCTTGAAGTGGGAAGCTACAGGTAAAGTGGGTGCTGTTAACAGTAAAGTGATCACACCAAGGGAATAGCAACACCAAAGCTACAGGTTCGAGAGAAAGGTACAGAGCTTTGCAAATTCCAATAACCCAACAAGGAAAGTCCAGATTCACCTTGTTTGTGTCTGACACCTGTCCTGCTGAGGCTTGCCATCTGCTATATAACAGTCCTGAGCCCACTCGATCTTGCACAAATTTAAGATTCCCTGACGAAAGCAGTTGCTGGGCTCTGTGCTGCCAGTTCACGGTTCTTTCAATCATATATCGAAGTGCATCTCCCTCAGGAAGGCGAACTCGGATACGCTGAAGGGAGGCGAGCAGGGGCAGAATTTTCTCTAATGGAGGTTTCTCTGACCTCCGACAATGGGGACAAAGCCAGATTCGCAGGCCCTGTGAAATACTGGGTACCGCCACACAACTGGTGTGGAAAGCATCCCTGCAGAGTTCACATTGAATCATAGGGGCAGCTGGGGCCTTCTGACATAGGCAGATTTTTATATCCACATCTTGGAGAGGCGACAGCAATTTCCCTTCATTGGCGAGTCTGAGAGACTGCAAGGCTTCCATTTCCCTTAGGCGAGCTTCCCCAAGAGTTGCCATCTGAAAAAGAGTTAACAATCAAGGATGATGTCCGAGATGGCTTGGCCTTCCCCTAAAACTCAGAGTCCTAGTGGTTAAGAGCATGGGATCCTGAGTAGATCATCTGTATTCAAATCCTGACTGCCTCATACTAAGCTGTGAGTGACCTGGTGCCATGTATTCCATTGTGGCTAAATTTCTGCATGTGTAAAATGGAGGTGATAATAGTGCCCACCTTACAGGGTGAGATGACAAGTAAGAGATGTGGGATAGGACACTCTTTGCCTGGCACATAGTAAACAAGTTCTCAAAAAATCTGTCACAGTTAAAAAACCATTTCCAATCACCACATCTATCCCCTTTCAGATCCATCACGATTCACCAGATGAAGCACCCTTACAAGGCCAGAATAAACTCTCCATTATCTCTATTAAAAAAAAAAAAAAAAAGCCTAAAAGCAAATCAGGTAAAGACCTTTGGGTATATTAAAAAAAAAAAAAAATCCACTTCTTTTGTAAATATAATACACAGGTAATATGTGTGGGTTATATGATAACAAGGTAACTTCTGACAGCTTAGAGATGGAAAGCAAATGACTAACCTTTGAGTTCTACCATAAATTAACAGATAATACGTAGGGAGAATTCTTAAAACCAGGGGTCTACAGACAGATGGACAGACTAAAATCTACAAAAGATACTGCATATAAAGTTTCAAACCAACATATATACACCTCAGGAGAGGGGGACTGTAACTTTCAGTTAGTCTTTATAAAAACAAACCACAGATGGAATGGAGGACCTCTGATGGCAGAATTCTGTCTAGAACCTGACTGAATATACGAATATACACTAAGAACATCTGTGTCAAAATACCTAAATAAATCAAGGCAACCCATGTCTATCACAAGAGGTCTGGCAGCTACAAAGAAATCAATGGGAGAAGGTGTCCAGATCCACAGATGAACCCATTCAATCTAGTCCCAGTAGCAGGTATACATTCCCACTCTAGAACGGGCAATGCTTTGTGCCATTAAAAGCATCACATAGCTATCCCTTTTTTATCCCGATAAGGTGCTTAATGTGTAACATTAGTTATACATTGCCTCATCTTCTTTAAACTATCATCTTTGAATCAACAGTATTTACTAAATGCAGGTCAGAGATGTAAGGTATTCCAGATGAGTATCAAAGTATCCAGTAAACTTTTAAATGTACTTCTTAACTATAAACTAATAAATTAGCATTGCATTTTCATACATCTATTAATATTAGTCTCAATATCTTTAGTTAGCATTCCTGGATCAACCCACAGGCACTAAACAAGACTGTTTCTGTGCCTGCAAGACCCTGAGACTGGGAAGCCTACCCTGAATCTTTCCCACCTCTATGCATCTTACCATTCAAAACTCTTAACACTTGACAATTTTCAAAAAGTCTTTTTAGTAAAACTGAACGCTTTCAAGTTACTCTACTTGCCTTCTCCAAATTCCTATAAAACAGAAAGGGTTAGAAATTATTCTTCCCAATAACATAGAAAGGAGAAGAAAAAAACCCTACATACAGCTGAAGCAGTCTCCTTGCTTTCAGTTAAAGCTCTCTCCAGGTCACTCAGACTCTCTAATTTGGTGCTTTTTTTCTTTCCATTTGGCAAGGGCTCCTTTAACTTTCTCTGCTTCCTTTTCAATCCCAAAAGGCCAATATCACATCGAGGACACAGCACCTAATGTGGGACAAGGCACAACCAATGGTAAAATAAATTTCAGATAAAGCATTATGTAGGAAGTCCCAAAATAAAAGCCTAAGCAGTAAAAAGGATGTGCATTTCTTAGTATTGAAGATTTTCTTTGGAACATGCAACCCTGAGGCTCTCCTTTACAAAAGGAGGAGGAAGACTCATAAAAGATAGACTGATTCCTTATTCAATTAAGTAACAAGTTAAAAATGTGATATATACTGGTTGATCCCAGTCATGATGCACAAGCAAGTTTACAGAAAATACAAAAAGTGCAGTTAAAGCACTTTTAAAAAATGGGGGAGATCATTTATCAGGCTTACTAAATTCAGGTGGGCGAAGCACGGCCAAGTTTAAGAGTCCAATTTCAACACAGAGGAATTTCACCCAATAGGAAAAAATTTTCTTCTTTAGATACTGTTATGCTAAATCAACCAAGAAAACATTTAAAGGTTGCTTCACCAGAAAATTAGAAGAGTCTCCCTGGCTTTACGGGAAGAACAACTCACAGAATATAGATTAATCTGTGATGTCATCTTTGTATGTGATGAACTGCATGTTTTACCAAACTAGGAGATCTAAGGTCTTGCAGATGAGCTGGTTGTAAACTTACCTCTAAGAGAGAATATGGAGAATTCTCAGTCAAGAATGTATTAACAGCACATTCTTTCCAAGCCTGAACCTCAGCTACTAGGGTTTCCAGTCTTGGCAAAGAATTCAGATGTACGGGGATAGATCGGCCTCGTGTAACAAGTTCTATGAGTGTGTCTAACACTGGCACACGTCCTCCAGCCTAATAAGTCAAGAAAAATTACAGCAGTTTAGAGAAAAGAACACTTCTATGAAAAACAGGAAAAGCTTAATTCAGATTGGTCCATTGAGTACTTCAGATTACTCCATGATCTCAACATGCTAAATTCACAAACGCTGACTAACCTGCCAGCTGACCAATGATATTGGGGGTAGAAGTGACATTTGTTCCTTCATTACACAAACAGAGAACCTAGTTTGGGTCTTTTGTTGGTGGTGGTGGTGGTAGTGTTGTTTTTTTTTTCTTTTTTTAAGACGGAGTATCACTCTTGCCTGGGCTGCAATGCAGTGGTGCAATCTCAGCTCACTGCAACCTCTACCTCCTGGGTTCAAGCAATTCTCCTGCCTCAGCCTCCCGGGTAGCTGGGATTACAGGCACCCATCACCACGCCCAACTAATTTTTATATTTTTAGTAGAGATGGTGTTTCACCATGTTGGCCAGGCTGGTCTCAAACTCCTGGCCTCAAGCAATCCTCCCACCTTGGCCTCCCAAAGTGCTGGGATTACAGTGAGCCACTGTGCTGGGCCTAGAGAACCTAGTTTGTGCTAGGCTCTAAGGATACAAATGTGAACATGGCATATACTGTGGTCCCTTTGTTCTATTTATACCCTTCTAAATTCATTCATCTCATTGGTTCCTATTAACAGTTTGAAAAAAATTTCAACAGAAATGAAGGTTTGTAGTAACTCAAGACTTTCATACTGAATTACACAAATAAAAGGCAACAAAACAATATTTTACCCCAATCCACTCACCAATGATTAATTAAAGCAACTCAATATAAATTATTCAGGAAACTAAAATATAAGTTGAGACAGCCCAGTGGTTCTCTAACTTTACCATGTATAAGAATCATCTGGAAGGCTTGTTTAAACACAGTTTCCTTAGTCCTATCCCCAAATATTCTAATTCAGTGGGTCAGAGGAAGGTCCATAAATTTGCACTTCTAACAAGTTCCCAGGTAAAGCTGCTGTTGCCGATGCTAATACTGCTGGTCTGGGAACTGTATTTTTAGAAAGAGATAGCCAAACTAGGAGAGTAAAAGCATTAAGGTTATGGAGGATGAAATGCATTGGTGTTGCTCCAATACAATGTAAAACTTAGCATCACTAATGGTAGGTCATCCAGATATATCTCCTGTTGTGATGCAATATAGAATATACAGTATTACCTGACATTTTAATGCATTATATTAAAAAAATGTTTAACTTGGATGCACCAGGGCTTTAAAACTAACTTCCAATTTATAGGAAATACAGAGAACAGAACACTCCACAAAGAAACAATCAAACAAATCCAGAAGGTGGAGCATACCATGGGATAACTGTCTAGTCAGTGACATGAGAAAAAGTGGGGTGGGGAGGAAAACGCTACAAGATTAAAAGAAACTTAAAGAGATGACAATTAGGTGCAACATGTGTTTCTGGGTTAGACAAACAGCCATAAGGGACATTTTTGGGACAACTAGGGAAGACTGGGTAGGTTGATATTTTGCTGCCTTTGATATTTATTCTTACAGAATTAAATCTGTTAGGGCATAAATGTTCTGATGGACACTTAAGAATGTGACTCATAAATTAATGCTATTCCTATGATATTTAATTTAGAAATCCGAGTGCTTCCTATGTGTAAAGCAGAATACTGCATAACATTTAAATAATCCACTAAATAGGAAGTAGTTCCTTGTTGTTAGTCATGTGTAGCAGTCCTTAAATATATGATGCAAAAAAAAGGTAGGCTACTTTTTCAGGAATGAAGCAAAAAACTTGCCTTTTGCCCTTAATGGCACTGTTACAAACATAGTAAGTAGCATATACATATAAAATATGAAGGAAATAAACTCATCCAGAAGCATGCCCTTGCTTTCTGATTTTATATGTCAGCCTCTCCTTACTGCCATGACTTCACCTTCTGGCTGCTAGCAATCATGGAGTAAAAAGGAGGACCATAACTAAAACTAATTACTACAATACCAACTATCATTGACAAGTGCCTGCATCTAAAACTCTCATTAACAAAGTTTATGTCCATAGTAAATACTTTTGTTTTTGTTTTTGGCTTGCTGGAGTCAGTCCTTAATTATGTAATCTCCTCAAACAATATATCTTCTTTTCCCTATTAACAAGAACAGATGCAAACATTTGTCTAGAATTGTCCTGTTTGGTATTTCTTGTTAGCAATTAGCCAATTAACACCACTTAAAATTACACAAATATTCAGAAAGCCAGATCGTATTTTATTTCTAGAATTTGAGGACTTCAACAAAATAGAACTTGAGACTTTTTTTTTTCTCAATAGGTCAGTAACACCTATTGGTTTATGATGATAAGAGATAAGGGAAGACATCCCCCATCAAACACGTTTCAAATTAAGTCATTCAGCCAGTCGTCTGAAAACTGGGAAAATCATATTAAAGAATGAATTCTTTTTGTACCTTAACAATGCTACAAGTGAATTTAATTCTTTTTTTAAACTTATATACAGGTCAATAAGTATAACATCTAGCATAAAACCACAAATACTTGGTGGAAATGACTTTGGATACTTTGGATAATTACTTTGGAACTGGGTAGGTTTTATTTCTTTTGTAGGGTTGGGAGGGTACTTTTAAGTCACTACTTCATGAAAATTCTGGGCCTTGGGGCTTAGCTGGGCATTTAGTCATATAACTAGATTCACTGAATTTGCTATTACTGATTGTCTGAACTTCAAAGTTGTGGACAAGCCAACAAGAGGTAATCATACTTATCAAAGAGTAGAAAACTACTTTCTCTCACTACTTCATTGTTAGCTCTTTTGCTTCAATCTGCAGTCAAGTACTCAAGTTTGTTATGAAAGACTCCCCAGCTCCCAGAAAAAGTTGGTGACACTGTCTAAGCTTTAAATATTTGAGACAACTGGTCAGGATAATAGCTGGTAAGTACATCCAAATAAGTATGAATAGAATTAGTCTTCTGGTCAACCCCTAAAATACTGAAACTGTGCAGCAAGATCCAACGTATTATTCTTCACAACTTTCCAATATTGCTCTTTTTTTTTTTTGCCTTTTTTATTTTTATTTTTATTTATTTATTTATTTTTTATTGATCATTCTTGGGTGTTTCTCGCAGAGGGGGAGTTGGCAGGGTCATAGGACAATAGTGGAGGGAACGTCAGCAGATAAACAAGTGAACAAAGGTCTCTGGTTTTCCTAGGCAGAGGACCCTGCGGCCTTCGGCAGTGTTTGTGTCCCTGGGTACTTGAGATTAGGGAGTGGTGATGATTCTTAATGAGCATGCTGCCTTCAAGCATCTGTTAAACAAAGCACATCTTGCACCGCCCTTAATCCATTTAACCCTGAGTGGACACAGCACATGTTTCAGAGAGCACAGGGTTGGGGGTAAGGTCACCGATCAACAGGATCCCAAGGCAGAAGAATTTTTCTTGGTACAGAACAAAATGAAAAGTCTCCCATGTCTACTTCTTTCTACACAGACACGGCAACCATCCGATTTCTCAATCTTTTCCCCACCTTTCCCCCCTTTCTATTCCACAAAACCGCCATTGTCATCCCGGCCCGTTCTCAATGAGCTGTTGGGTACACCTCCCAGACGGGGTGGTGGCCGGGCAGAGGAGCTCCTCACATCCCAGTAGGGGCAGCCGGGCAGAGGCGCCCCTCACCTCCCGGACGGGGCGGCTGGCCGGGCATGGGGCTGACCCCCCCCACCTCCCTCCCGGACGGGGCGGCTGGCCGGGCAGAGGGGCTCCTCACTTCCCAGTAGGGGCGGCCGGGCAGAGGCGCCCCTCACCTCCCGGACGGGGCGGCTGGCCGGGTTGGGGGCTGACCCTCCCGCCTCCCTCCCGGACGGGGCGGCTGGCCGGGCAGAGGGGCTCCTCACTTTCCAGTAGGGGCGGCCGGGCAGAGGCGCCCCTCACCTCCCGGACGGGGTGGCCGGCCGGGCGGGGGGCTGACCCCCCCACCTCCCTCCCGGACAGGGCAGCCGGCCGGGTGGGGGTCTGACCCCCCCACCTCCCTCCCGGACGGGGCGGCTGGCCGGGCGGGGGGCTGACCCCCTCACCTCCCTCCCGGACGGGGCGGCTGGCCGGGCAGAGGGGCTCCTCACTTCCCAGTAGGGGCGGCTGGGCAGAGGCGCCCCTCACCTCCCGGACGGGGCGGCTGGCCGGGTCGGGGGCTGACCCCCCCACCTCCCTCCCGGACGGGGCGCCAATATTGCTCTTTATGGATGCACTTACACATTCTGTATATACTTTTTAAAACCAACCTGCAGGCCCTCTACATCCTGAAGCCAGTCTCTGGCTCTCTGCACTGAGTCTTTCAGAGCCGCACCATTGGGCAGATATGCAGGGATCTCTTCGATTTCCTTTACTGCCGTAGCAAGGCTATTCAATGAATGTCGTGGCCTACAAAATGCAAACAAAGACTTCTTAGCATTTTATATGATGGTTCATTTTTCTTATGGTTACCAAAAAAACTAGCATTTCAAAGGAAATTCAGTATGGCAAATAATTTTTTTCAAATGACATTGTCTATTCCTGTTGAAAATTATCTGCACTGTTTTCTTGCAGAACAGTGCCTATTAACTCTCACACATTTCTCTTTAAGACTCCTTGGAACCGTATTAACTGTGAGTTTAAACAGCTTCACCTATTTGTAAATATTTTCCTCTCTCAAAGACACGATATTAACAGGATCCAGGGAAATTTCATTAAACCAACTCTAGAAAAGGTGTGTCCAATTGAATTATTCATTTTTAATCAGTAAAATAAGAAAAAATTAACATTCTTTTACTCAGGTCCCAAAGCAGCTCCAAATATCTCAGCTATTTCTACATGTCTTCCACATGCATAATAACCGCAGCTACTGAGCACTTGCCATAGACCAATCATTGTGCTCTGTGTTTAAGCTGGAGATAACTGTCCAACCTTCCCAAAGAAAGAGAAGTCTGCTTTTTCACCTGGCCTTGAGGAGACTCTTGGCTTTGTCGTCCCAGTGCTCTGACACTGTGAGCAGTTCCTGCAGCCGGGCCATAGCTTTCTCCACTGCTGAATACGGGGCCAGCCCTACCCCTAGGTCTATGAGACGTCTCATATCATCTAAAGTAAGGGAGCTGGGGTCTAGGCAAGCTTGCTGCACCTCTTCTAGCCAACGGGCTTGTTCCAAACGGATACGCATCTCAGCAAGCTGTGGAAGTTCAACATCAAATTCAAAGCTGACATCTAGCAAGTCCTGCAGCTCCGCAGCACTAGGCGTTTCCTCAGAGAGTAGTTTCTGACTATGCTGTTGAAAATCTTCTACACGATTCAAGAGATCCTAAAAAAAAATACACAGGTTGTTGCATTAAAACAGTAATTTCAGTAATTGGCTTCTTTCAAACTTAGAATCTTAAATTCATATTCAATGAGATCCCATTTAATTTTAGTAATAATATAGGTAAATAAGATAACACATAAGCCAACTAACAGCAAATACTAAGTGACTATAACAGACACCTTATCCCAGCTTAAACTAGCTGAGGTCACTTTCTCTTTTTTTTTTTTTCTGCAACCTCCGCCTCTTGGGTTCAAGCGATTCTCCTGCTTCAGCCTCCCAAGTAGCTGGGACTACAGGCATGCACCACCATGCCCGGCTAATTTTTCTATTTTTAGTAGAGATGGGGTTTCACCATATTGGTCAGGCTGGTCTTGAACTCCTGACCTCATGATCCACCTCCTCAGCCTCCCAAAGTGCTGGGGTTACAGGTGTGAGCCACCATGCCCAGCCAAGGTCACTTTCAAAGTAAAAATTTCCAACTTTATTTCCCCTCTGTGGATCTACTATAATCTCTTTATATACATATACCACTCAATAGGTTATTAAAAGCATCTGCAAATAAATGTACATATTAATCATCAAAGAAGATTACTTAGTAATATCAATAGAGTTTATATACAAAATACAGGATTACCAAAGTATTCTCCCACACATCCCTCTATGGTTACCTTTAGTAATGGTGTCTGACTGAGGACACATGGAAGAGCATACAGCTGTGTTACAAACTGCCGGAGCTCATTCACTGTCAACTGATTTTGGGATTTCCCTCCACCAGATCGATATCTGTAAAGACAAAGGCCCAAGGAAGCCATATAAGAATACATACATGTCCACCACACCCAGGTGGTCACAGAAATTCAAGACAGGAGTCACAACAGGTTTCCAAACATAGGTGCCAAAGAATCCAAACTCACGCAGTCAGAAGCGCATACCTAGTTTGCCTTTTGCCATTAAGCAACTGCTGCGCAACAGAGGCACACTTCTCTGCATCCTGTGTGACTAGGCGAAGGTGTCGCAAAAGATCATTGTCTGGGAATTTCTTCATTTCAGATTCTTCAATTAAAGCCTTGAAGCTGACAAGGCCTAGGAATGAAGAAAAAAGTCATATTTTCTGTAATCATTATGTTTATTACTACTGGTATGAAATTCAGAGGAGACTGGTTTTGTCAGTTCTTGTCTAGAAATGTAACTTACAAATGTTTGCAATGCTTTAAATTATTAACAAATTTGTTGATTTGATTTTTGCAGGGTGGTGGCTGAACACGGAGTTTTTTAAACAAGTGCCTAGAGTTGAACTTAAATATAAAAATGCTAAGACCTGACATGTTTTAGGGCGGGTACAGTGGCTCACGCCTGTAAATCCCAGCAATTTGCAAGGCCAAGGCAGGAAGATCACTTGAGGCCAGGAGTTTAACACCAGCCTGGTCAACACAAGCAAGATCTCCTCTCTACAAAATTAAAGAACTTAGCCAGCCATGGTGGCACACAACTGTAGTCCCAACTATTTGACAAACTAAAGCAGGAGGATTACTTAAACCCAGGATTTCAAGGCTGCGGTGAGCCACGACCATGCCACTGCACTCCAGTTGAGATGACAGAGCAAGACCTTGTCTCAAAAAAAAAAAAAAAAAAAAAAAAAAAACACCTGGCATGTTTAAAATAGACAAAAAGAAGAAAACAACTGACTTATGAAAGCAAAGTAAATATAAATCTTATTGTGGCTTGAACCACTTCTTCCTCCTGCATTTTATTCTGCAGTTAGTGAGTAACTAGTGTGCTCAGTTACTAGAGCACAGGAGACTCAGAGACAATGATATTGCTCCTTTCCCCTAAATAAAAGCGGGTGGAGTTACGTGTTGGGCTACAGAAATGGAAGCAAGTGAAAACACTCTGAAAGAGAAATGGACTGGTACAAAAACAGACACACAGACTAACAGAACAGAATAGAGAACCCAGAAATAAAAAGGCACACCTACAACTATCTGATCTTCAACTAATCTAACAAAAACAAGCAATGGAGAAAGGATTCCCTATTCAATAAATGGTGCTGGAATAACAGCTAGCCATATGCAGAAGATTAAAACTGGACCCCTTCCTTACACCATATACAAAAATTAACTCAAGAGGAATGAAAGACTTAAATGTAAAACCCAAAAATATAAAAACCCTGGATGACAACCTAGGCAATACCTGTCAGGACATAGGCACAGGCAAAGATTTCATGAAGATGCCAAAAGCAACTTCAACAAAAGCAAAAACTGACAAATGGGATCTAATTAAAGAGCTTCTGCACAGCAAAAGAAACTATCATCAGAGTGAATAGACAACCTACAGAATGGGAGAAAATACTTGCAAACTGTGCATCTGACAAAGGTCTAATATCCAGCATATATAAGGAACTTAAAACAAATTTACAAGAAAAAAACATTAAAAAGTAGGCAAAGGATATGAAAAGATACTTTTCAAAAGAAGACATACGTATGGCCAACAATCATATGAAAAAAAGCTCAACATCACTGATCATTAGAGAAATGCAAATCAAAACTACAATGAAAGGCCGGGCGCAGTGGCTCACGCCTGTAATCCCAGTACTTTGGGAGGCCGAGGCAGGCAGATCACAAGGTCAGGAGTTCAAGGCCAGCCTGACTAACATGGTGAAATCCTGTCTCTACTAAAAATACAAAAATTAGCTGGGCATGTTGGCACGTGCCTGTAGTCCCAGCTACACAGGAGGCTGAGGCAGGAGAATTGCTTGAACCCAGGAGGTGGAGGTTGCAGTGAGCCGAGATCGCACCACTGCACTCCAGTCTGGGTGACAGAGCAAGACTCCGTCTCAAAACAAAAACAAAAACAAACAAAAAAAACACCACAATGAGATATCACCTCATACCAGTCAGAATGGCTATTATTAAAAAGTCAAAAAGTAACATGCTGGCAAGGTTGTGGAGAAAAGGGAACGCATATACACTGTTGGTAGAAGTGTAAATTAGTTCAACGATTGTGGAAGACAGTGTGGTGATTCTTCAAAGATCTAAAGACTGAAATACCATTTGACCGAGCAATGCCATTACTGGGTATATACCCAAAGGAATATACATCATTCCATTTATAAAGACACATGCATGTGTATGTTCACTGCAACACTATTCACAATAGCAAAGACATAGAATCAACCTAAATACCCATCAATGATAGACTGGATAAAGAAAAATGTGGTACATATACACCATGGAATACTATGCAGCCATAAAAAAGAATGAGCTCGTGTCCTTTGCAGGAACATGGATGGAACTGGAGGCAATTAGTTAGCAAACTAACACTAGGAACAGGAAAGCAAATACTGCATATTCTCACTTATTAAGTGGGAGCTAAATGATGAAAACACATGGATGCATACAGGGGAGTAACACGTGAACACATACAGGGGAACAACACACAATGGAGCCTATTGGAGGGTGGAGGGCAGGAGGAGGGAGAGGCTCCAGAAAAATAACTAATGGGTACTAAGCTTAATACCTGGATGATGAAATAATCTGTACAACAAACGCCCATGACACAAGTTTATCTATGTAACAAGCTTGCACATATACCCCTGAGGTGAAAAGTAAAAAGCAAAAAACAAACTATATTTTCATAAGAAAAAAGAGAGAGAGAGATATAAAGGGTAGCAGTGACTTTCAAAGGTAATGACAAGTGCCAGGGACCTTAACTTTAATTAGAACTAAGAAGTGATAAACTACCATTTCAGAGACTCCTGATTTAGTGTCATGCTGCCTTTGTCACAAGATGCTTTGTTTTTGTTTTTGTTTTTTTAAAGATTTCAACATCTTTGTAAGAAATGTGAAATTTTTATTTCTGAGACAAAAATAAAGGTTTCCTAACAATATCGTTTTTGTTAAGTAAGTGATGTTGCACAACTCATATAACAAAATTTCACTGGGATGTAAGGGCAACTGCCTTATCCACTCTTGGTTTTAAAACCTTCTCTGCCGGTGCTCTGTAAACCGGGCTATGTAGAGGGGCTAACCAAGGATGAGGTCAGGCTGTTTCAAGAAATGTTTTGTTGACTTTAATTTGGCTACATCACAATAAGCCCCAATTTGCCAATCACCAAGTCACTTTCTGTATCACATACTTTTCTTCTTGTTGATCTTTGCCTCCAAAGCTTCATTCACATTCAAGGCCCATTCGTTGTAAGATTCTGCTCGAAGCTTCAATGCATTCATCATAGGGTAGAGATCATCCAGCGTGTACCTATACCTGGAAATAATACCACCACACTTAGCTTTGAGACGTGTAGCTTTGGAGAAAACTAGATGTTTTATACTTAACATTTCAGCCCTAGAACTGCGGTATCATTGAGCTTTTAGTAAGGATCAACTGTTTTCCATAGGAAAAAAAATCGTTCTTCCTACTTACCGCAATTTATATTTGTAAGGAGGACAGGAACACAATTCTTTTACATGATGCAGGCAAACAAGAAGGCCAGGTTTACAAGAACAGGAGATGGCAGACATGAAGCATGTAGTTTTGCATTTTACACACTGACGTTCATCATCTGGCAACAGCTCAAAATCCATTCTTTCCGAATCAATCACTCCCTAGAATAAAGTATACTTTAGAGAGACCTCCAAAGGATAATATAATCCACCAGCCCAAGACAAACATGCAGTAGTACTTGAGTCTGAAAAAAAAAAAAAAGCTTTACCAAAATAGGGATGCATGATTAAAAATGTGTGGCATACAAAGAAACAAATGACCTAGCAAATACAGGCAAGTTCATTTGTCTAGGGAGATCTCCTTTTTCAGACAAGGCAGGTCCTTATGTTTGGTCATTTTGATCTGAGTATGAACACCATAGGACTGTAAAACTACTGAGATTAGTTATCTGTTCTACTACAAATTAGCCTTGTCCACATTTTGGGTATAGATAAGAGGTATAGATAAGATTAAAAGAAAGGAATATGTTTCCTACTTCTGAGGAAATATGGAGAATCTATTAAAAGGACAAAAATAAAAGGAAAGAAGATGGGACGAGTGGAAAAGACTATCGTGCAGAAATTGAGTTTGGGAAGATGCTGAGTGGTCTCTCAGCCTTTTACAGGAAGTTATATGAAAGGATATCATTAACTGAATAGTTAGAAAATTTGTGCAATAGCAAAGACTAAAGTCATAATTAAACATTTCCTCCTAAAAGACTGTCAGGAAAAATAAGGTCTTGAACCAGTAAATTTCAACATAATCTGTACCACCTAACATCTAGAGAACCCTTCTTGGATACACCTTTTGTCATTTAAAGACCAAACTTCTATCACCTTTTCTCCCTATCTAAAACTGGATCCTAATCCAGCCTTGAGAATGCCAGTCGTTTATGAACTACTGGGCTTCTTTCTTTTATTCTGTTATCCTGTATTTTAACCTTTTAACTATTTCATATCTGCCAATTATATGGGCCAACAAAGATGAGGAAGGTAAGGAAAATGCTAATTAGATTTTGGTTTTATTCTTGAATTGGTCATTAAAAAGGACTTCATGGGATGGAGAAAGTTAACATTTTTGTTTAAAATAAGATTAAGGACCAACTCCATGGATTTTAATTGAGAATCAATCATGTAGTTCATACCTAATTTTAATTTGTAAATTCCATATATGGAAAAAGTCTCAGAGTTCTAAAAATGAGCTACCATTTTTGATGTAAGACTTTGGTAAGTTACTTAAACCCTCTGGGCACTATTTTCCCCCAACTGTAAAATATAAGAGGGTAAGGTAGGTAACCTGCTGTTAAAATGTAAATGGGCTGCAGAGAGCCAATATTCCAGGATTCTACCCAAAAAGGCACATATTTTTAAAAAAAAAAAAAAAAACAGTATTACTATTTGCAGATATTATTATTCTAAAAGAATCCATGAAAAAGCTACTGGGAATTAAGTGACTTTAGCAAGGTCTCAGGAGACAAGGTCAATATACAAGTCAATTGTCTCTCTAAATACTAGCAATAAACAATTAGAAATTCAGTTTTTAAAAGTACAATTTATAATAGTGCCAAAAAACATGCAATATAAAATTATACTATGTTCATGAATTGGAAGACTCAATATTATTAAGATATCAATTCTCCCCCAAACTATCCATAGTTTCATGCAGTCTCAATCAAAATTCCAACAGGAATTGATTTGGTAGAAATCAATAAGCTGATTCTAAAATGTACATTAAAAAAAGTAAAAGAGATAAAACAATTTTTTAAAAAAAACAAAGTTAGAAGACTCATACTACCTGATTTCAAGACTTCTTAGAAAGCTACAATAATCAAGACCATTTAGTATTAGCAATAGAATAGATGCATAGATCACCAGAACACAAGAGTCCAGAAATAGACCCATACTTATGTGGTGAATTGATTTTCAACAAAGGTGCCAAAGCAATTTAATGAAGAAAAGATAGTCTTTTCAAGAAATGCTGCTGGAAGAACTAGATATCCACATGCAAAAAAATGAACCTTGACTCATATTTTTGAAAAACAAAAATTACTTGAAATAGATGAAAGACCTAAATGTAAAACTTCAAACTATGAAATTCTAGATGACTTTGTAGGAGAAAATCTTTGTAACTTTGGATTAGGCAAGATTTATTAAATAGGAAACCAAAAAAACATGATTCACACAAGAAAATAATTAACAAACTGGACTTCATCAAAATGAAAAACTCCTGCTTGCTGAAAGACACTGGTAGGAAAATCAAAGACAAGCCACAGACTGGGAGAAAACATTAGCAAAACACCTATCTGATTTAAAAAAAAAAAAACTGGTATGCAGAATACATAAAGAATTATTACAAAAACCAAATGTTTTAAAAAAATAAAGGGCAAGCCGGGTGTGGTGGCTCACGCCTGTAATCCCAGCACATTGGGAGGTTGAGTTGGGTGGATAGCTTGAACCCAGGAGTTTGAGACCAGCCTGGGCAACATAGTGAGACCCTGTTTCTACAAAACATTTTTTTTAAAGGGGCAAGACATTTGAACAGCTACTTCAAAGAGACATATGTACATGTGGCAAATAAGATAGTGAATAAAAATTAAAACCACGAGATACTACTATACATCTATTACAATGGCCTCAAAGAAAATAGGCTTTAAAAAGACTGCTTAAAATGATATTAAAGTGCGTAAAAATTTTACTAAATAATACCCAATGACAACATGCAGTTGGATTTCCATAAGCCTTACCAATTTACGGACAGTTTCTCTTAAAGCTTTCTCATCCTCAATCATAATGGCCATGTCTTTCTGAACAGTTGAAGCCACTACAACATCTAATACATCAGCCTTGGAAGCCATCTTGCAGATCATCTCATCGTGGGAAAACACACAATATCGATGAAGCAAGCGATAATGCTCCACACACTGTCGGCCTAATGGCAGCTGTATCAAAACACGGAAAGAAAAAAATAACATTCATCTTTCTTCTATTTCCAAACACCTCTGACCCATTATTATCAAATTACCAAACATCACACTATGGGTCTTAACACGTATCATTTACCAACCCTAAAACCAGACTCTGGGCCAGGTAGATGGCTCACACCTGTAATTCCAACACTTTGGGAGGCCAAGCCTTGCTTGAGTCTAAGAATTGGAGACCAGCCTGTGCAGTATGGTGAAATCCCATCTCTACAAACAAATATAAACATTAGTCGGGTGTGGCGGTGCACGCCTGTAGTCCCATCTACTCTGGAGGCTGATGTGGAAGGATTGCTTGAGCCTGGGAGGTCGAGGCTGCAATGAGCCATGATTGCACCACTGCACTCCAGCCTGGGTGACAGAGCGAGACTGTCTCGAAAAAATTTAAAAAACAAACAAAACACCAGACTCATAAAATTCCTAGCCTAGGCCCTATTTATCTTTGCATCCCAAAGATCTGTAATCTTACATATCTTAATTAAAAAGTGGTTAAAAAAAAAAAAAAGACCCAGCATATTAACAATGTATGAGTATCTACAACAATGTAGAATCTAATTAGAAGTATGACCTTATATATTTCCTGAAATAATTGTGCTGAACTGGTATGATCAACCTACTTCAGGGAATAATACTCTGAAAAACTACTTAATGGGAAATAAGTATAGATATAGCAAGTGCCATTATAACAAAGTTATAATTCATTAGCTTTAACACCACTTAATCTAGAACTTTTTAGGTAAATGAAAAGTATTAATACAAATATAAAAATTAAACTTTACAACTAATGAAACCAAATGTGTCCTTAAATTGCTGTACTGCAGATAATGTAAGCTAGTACTATACAAAGCCTTTAGACTGGAATTATTTATCAGTTTGCAATGAGATACTGAGCTTCAGCCAGAATGTAAATCAATAGACTCCATTCTTCATCAACAAAGTCTTGCTACAAAAGAAAAAACATCAGCTGAACTAAGCAGTATGCTTAGGTAATTCATGCTTGATTTACACTGTGGTACAAGTGCTTTATCTCATTGTGGACTGGTAAACAATTTGCAGACTGACCAGCTGAGCAGTAATGGGTCAAGGCAACTATCCATGTGACATTTATTTATTTTTTTGAGACAGAGTTTCAGTCTGTTGCCCAGGCTGGAGTGCAATGGCGTGATCTTGGCTCACTGCGACCTCCACCTCCTGGGTTCAAGTGATTCTCCTGCCTCAGCCTCCCAAGTAATTGGGATTACAGGCGCCCACCGCCACGCCTAATTTTTGTATTTTTAGTAGAGATGGGGCTTCACCATGTTGGCCAGGCTGGTCTCGAACTCCTGACCTCAGGTGATCTGCCCACCTTGGCTTCCGAAAGCGCTGGGATTATAGGCATGAGCTACCGCACCCAGCCCACATGACACTTTAAAACATTATATTCCATTTCCTCAGGAAAAACAATAAATTTGAAAAGGTTAACTACATTGTAATTACATACCCAATCAACAGTGCAGAAGTTAACAGCCTCAGCAAAATTAAAACCCTGGTTAAAACCACTGTGGTAGGCTCTTGGAAATGTAATCACAAACTCCCCAGCACACTGATTAGTTCGGTAAACCTAAAGAGACAGAAATTGAAGATTTTTGAGTTTCTTAAAGAGTGACATTGTTACTAAAGACAATCTGGACACAGTCTATTAGATAATTTTCAAAAAAAGGCAGCTTTCTGAAATTGAGCCAGAAAAAACAAATTATTATAGTAGAATATCACCTAGAGATACTAATTTATGTCACAAGATGGAGCAGTATCCCAGACTACCAAAGTTGATTAGTATCTGAACACAAAACAAAAATGTGCCCATATTAAGGTTCAAGGTATAACTTTTAAAAACAGCTGCAATTAAGAATATCCTAATATATTATTATTACCCCTCAAGTAGCATCTTCTACCACCAATTAAAGCAATCCCACTCTATTTCAAGAATCTCATAACATACAGAGGTCCTCCTCATTTGGAACTCAAACTTACCTCCCATCATTCCCTTCTTCCTACCACCACCCTCACCCCAAAAGTACCTATATTGCTCTAGGCACACAAATCCTTATACTGAGCTTATTATTATATAATAATATTAGATTCCTTTTCAAGCATCTACATTTCTACACCAATGCTTACCTAGTGTACGGTCCCCCAGAACAAAAGCATCAACATCCACTAGGAGCTTGTTGGAAATGCAAATCCTGAAGCCCCACTCAGACTAACAAAATAACAGGATCAGAAATTCTAGGGGTGGAGACCAGCCATCTGTGTAGTAATACGGCCTTCAGGGTTCTGTGTAAAGACTACTACCCATCACAGGAACACCATATCTTCTACTTGGAATACTTCCTCCTTCCCTGACTCTGCCAAACATGTGATAATTTATCAGAGTTCCAGCTCCTACTACAGATGTCATCTCATTTAAGAGCCCTTTCTGATTCTCAATAGAGTTATTAGATCAGTCTCATAGTTGTCACCACTGTCAAACCACACCACCCTTGTATTATCTGTATAAACATTATCTTTTACTTCAGATAATGAATCCCTAAATGCACAAGGAGTTCATTCATCTATCTCTGTAGGTCCAGAATCTAACTCCAGAAAGTTTGCTCAATTATTAAAGAACCAGGGTCAGGTCTCAATTAAAGCAATCTACTCTTAACAAATTGGAAAAAACAGTCAACATGAGGAAAGAAAAATATTATGAGAAGAAATACCAACTATGAGGAGATGGTGAGATTGTGGTGCTTACTGGTGATTACTTTCTAAGCTATGGTCCATGCATAATTTATAATGCCTCAAATGAAAGTCCTTTCTGTTGTCTCCATTGACTAGCCTATGAACCCAAAAGCATAAACTTTAGGTCACAACAAGTTCACTTTAACACTGTAAATGTATCATTTACATTTTATTTAGCTAAGATGGACTCTTCATACATTTCAATATGGCTTCCCAAATGTCTTCAGAGTATTCTCCAAAAGGAAGCCAGTATAGTTGTGCACCATGTAACAACATTTTGGTCACAGACAGACCACATATCAATGGTGATCTGTAAGATTATAATACCATATTTTCACTGTACCTTTTCTGTTTAGATACATTTAAATACACAAATCCTTACTATTGTGTTACAGCTATCTAAGGTATTCAGTACAGTAACATGCTGTACAAATTTGTAGCCCAGCAGCAATAGCCTACACCATACAGCCTAGGTGTGTAGTTGGCTATACCATCTAGGTTTGTGTAAGTACACTCCATGAAGTTCACATGACAACAAAATCACCTAGCAACGCATTTCTCAGAACATATCCCTGTTGTTAGGTTTCCCATGACTGTATAGTTGTCACTTCATTTAGCAACCTCTAGACTTTTCAGTCAGACTGGGCACCCTAAAATACAAGCTCAAGACCTTGAAATAGATTTTCACTTATAAATACACTAAAACCAATGAATTGCAATTATTACTTGCAAAGGAAGGCTGTTTAGCAATCTAGTTATCAGCTGCAACAAATTAGTTTTTGTGGTATCTAAGGATCCAGTCCTACTGAGTAAATGTACAGTACTGCAGCAAAACAGCTGTTTCTGCTATCAAGTCATGCTATGGAAAACACAGAACTAAATCAACATCATAAAAAAGTGAATAAAAAGGAAAAAGAGAAGTGGTGAATTAAGCTTGAGTGGCAGGAGGATTAACCCAGAACATACAGGCACTTCATGAGTCATCAGGGTATTGGGGTTCATGATGGTCACAAGCTGATGGAGGAGATCCGGCTGGGACACAAAGAGTTCTGGAGCTAGTTTCTTCATTACATTTTCTAGCTGCTCAGCAGCATACCCTGGGACTCCATACCAGGTTTTTGGCTCACCCCTGGAAATAGATTATAAAAATAAATCAATCTGCAACACCAACACAAACAAAATGGGTTACCAGTTCATATTTTTCAGACTCGGCTTTGTAAGACTACGCAAAAAAGGAATCCACAAACTGACGAAATATCATTAGAAATGTGAATGTGAGCCAGGTGCTGTGGCTCACGTCTGTAATCCCAGCACTTTGGGAGACTGAGGCGGGTAGATCACGAGGTCAGGAGTTCAAGACCAGCCTGGCCAACATGGTGAAACCCCATCTCTATTAAAAATACAAAATTAGCCAGGCATGGTGGCAGGCACCTGTAATCCCAGCTACTTGGGAGGCTGAGGCAGAAGATTCACTTGACCCCAGGAGGTGGAGGATCCAGTGAGCAGAGATCACACCATTGCATTCCTGCCTGGGTGACAAGAGCAAGACTCCATCTCAAAAAAAACAAAAAAGGAATGTGATGTGAACATATGTAATGCATTTTCCCCCTTCAAGTATGAACAGAAGACTTTCCATCTGAACATCTGAAGTCCCTCTCCCCACTCTCATTTTTATCTGACTCTTTAGAAAATGCAGACACCTAGAATTTCTCTTTTGTTGTTGTTGTTTTTTTTTTGTTTTTTTTTTTTGAGACTGAGTCTTGCTGTGTTGTCCATGCTGAAGTGCAATGACGCAATCTTGGCTCACTGCAACCTCCACCTCCCAGGTTCAAGCAATTCTCCTGCCTCAGCCTCCCGAGTAGCTAGTATTACAGGCGTGCACCACCATGCCCAGCTAATTTTTGTATTTTTAGTGGACACGGGGTTTCACCATGTTGCCAGGCTGGTCTCGAACTCCTGACCTCAGGTGAACCGCCCGCCTCAGCTTAGTGCTGAGATTACAGGCGTGAGCCACCATGCCCAGCCAATATCCAGAATTTCTAAGAATATAAGGTATCGTATTCACTTCAGGATATGTTGTTATCACAGTTTCCTAAAGCAACCCACAAGGGTAAGGCAACTTTCCATTTTTCTTTTCCCTTGCCCATTCTGGCAGACGAAGTTAAATCAAACACTAGTAAGGCAATTAGCATTTCTAAGGAATTCTTATTCTTCAAAGGACTTTAAATTATCAAACAATTTATCTGTATCATCCCTGCGAGGTATGGTAAATATAATATTCATTTTACAGCTGGGAGAAACTGCCTAGGGAAGCAGAATTAATTCTATACATATATATGCCAATTCTCTTTCTTGTGGTACATCCTCAAATTCCTTGTGTGAGGATTTGAGTGAGTTACAGATTTTCAAATATTTTTATATTTAGAAGAAAAATAGAGAAGAAAACAGATGTGAAGAAATGGCTTGAAGAGTTTAAAAAGTAAAGAAGCCCAAATATCTGCACATCCCTCCCGCCTTGCCCCCTCAATGTGCACACCAAGATAAGGCTCACTCTACTGTGCATAGTGATACCTGAATTCAACACAACAAAAGAGAGGCTAGTCATTACACAGACCTGGAGGACACTGTGGTACCTACTATAATTCACGCTTCTCCCAAAGGGGTATCCAGGCTAGCACTGCCACCAAATGGGATTTTCTATAGTAAAAGTAACTTTTATTTAGAATATGCTTTTTCTATAGGTAAATACTTCTTTTTGTTTTGAGGCAGAGTTTCGCTCTGTTGCCCAGGCAGGAGTGCAATGGTGCGGTCTCTTGGCTCACTGCAACCTCTGCCTCCCAGGATCAAGTGATTCTCCTCCCTCCACCTCCCAAGTAGCTGGGATTATAGGTGCTCACCACCACACCCAGCTAATTTTCATATTTTTAGTAAAGACGGGGTTTCTCCATGTTGGCCAGGCTGGTCTCGAACTCCTGACCTCAGGTGATCCGCCCATCTTGGCCTCCCAAACTGCTGGGATTACAGGCGTGAGCCACTGCACCCGGCCTAGACAAAGACTTCCTTACTTCAGATAAAAACTACCCTTCCCCCAGAATTACGTTGTTCTTGCAAAGTAGTGTGTGTGCAATTTCAGGGAATTCATGGATGCTCTAGGAATCTTAAGAACCACTGTCTTAACTTGTCAGGATGCCTGTTCTAACAGAAGTGAAAAACCTTAGGGAAAAAAGTAGTTCAATGCTCTTCAGACACAGTTAAGACACATCTGCACTGAAAAGGAAAGTTTTCCTATCCAGCATGCATACTACTCATGGGTTCTTTTTGGAACTTCTCACCAGTGCAAGTAGTTAATTGAATAGCTCCAGTGGTCTTCAATGTGCCAACAGAATGAAGAAAAGCACATTCCCACATACAACCAAGGAAGTTTCATGCCACATATATCAGCAGTAATATGTGCAAGGACAGACTGCTCCATCACTGGCATGTTGTTCAAATTCCAGCCACTATCAAGATACTCCTAAAAATAAGAAGACAAAAGAGGATAAAGGTTTAGCTATACAATGCTAACGTTTTAGAAGGCCAGCTAAAAATATTATCCTTCAAAATAAAAAAAGAAATGTGGAAGAGGAGGGGCCACCATGCTGACCTTCTAGGATGCCCAGAGATTCGTTTTGCCCAGTTTTGAGCTTTGTATAAATGGACTCACACAGCACATACTTCTGTATCTGTCTCTTTTTAAATATATATAGAGGAACATAAGCCATGAGTCCACTTTAACAAAGTTCAAAATCAGGCAAACTAATCTATAGTGTTAGAAGTCAGGATAGTGATTATCCTGAGGGCATAGTGCTCGTCCTGAAAGAGGAAAAGTAGTGAAGGAGAGCGGGCGAAAAGGGAACTTCTGGGGTGCTGGGAATATCCTATTTCTTGTTTTAGTTAGTGCTGGTTACATGGGTGTGTTCAGCTTGTGGAAATTCATCAGTCTGTATACATATAACTATGTACTTTTCTGATCATATGTAATACTTTCAAAGAAAACTACCAAAAAAAAAAAAAAATCACACTTTCCTACCAAGATAGAAACAGAACTCTTCCTAAGAGTTCGCTAGTATGGAAAAAAATACTCAAAAATATTAAAGTTTGAAAATAAATAGACCTGGTCTCAGGCCTTCAGGTTTTCTTCAGAAGGAGAAACCAAGGTTATAAAATCTGAAGGCAAAGGATGATAAGTAATTTTCCCCTATGACCACAACATAGTGACATAGTTAGGACTAGAATTCTTCTGTAGGCTCTTTCTACTTTTCTTGAAATCATTAAAAATCTGGTAATTAAGGATTTGCTAAAAGTAATCATAAGTTACTTCAAGCCAACCAAACAGAATTTCAATAAATACCTCAATTTCCAAGCCACTTATATGCCTACCTCTTCCTCAGGTGAGAGTTTGATTTTCCCATCTCGGACAGGAAAGCCACTGCCAAATTCCTTTGAGGCAATGTCAGCTCCATATTCCACTGTGACATCCTCCTCAATAGTGCTTACTAGTCTCCAAAATTCTTTCTCAACAAGCTCTGTGGGGACCATCTGGAAATACAAGGAATAGAAAAAATGAGTTTCCTCACAAACTGTCTGTGACCAATTAAGCTCAGTGATGGGAATCAAAGAACAGCATCCTAAGGAAAAATTGTGTCTATAATGTTCTATAATTGATCTTAGGCAATTCAGGAAACCTCTACTGTCTAAAAGGAATTTATGTTCCTCTATCACCAGCCAGGCCACAACTGTAAAAGGGAGCCAAGGAAAGCAATTATTTATGACCGGGAGATATTTCTGTGTTTCAAAAAATGTAACATAAACTGTATAGTAATAATGGTTAGTTGTGTCTGAATGACGTATAGCACTGTACAGTTGACAACAGCACAGTAATAAGGTTTGTTGTTTCAATGATGCTTTATACTTTGAGATGCTTTCAAATACATTACCTGAGTCCATCCTTTCATTCTTTTCACTGGACCTGTCTGAGAGCAATGTAGGCAACCAACACAAAAAACACAGTATATAGCAGTGGTCGCCAGTGTCCCTGTGTTTTTGGCACCAGGGATGGGTTTCATGGAAGGCAATTTTTCCATGGATGGGGAAGGGCAGGGCGCAAGGGCTGGGAGGTGGGGGGGGGATTAGATTCTCATAAGGAACATGCAACCTAGATCCTTTGCATAGGCAGTTCACAATAGGGTTTGCCCTCCTATGAGACTCTAATGCAGCCACTGATCTGACAGGACGCAGAGCTCGGGTGTAATGTTTGCCCACTGATCACCTCCTGCTGTGTGGCCCTGTTCCTAACAGGCCACCGACTGGTATTGGTCAATGGCCAGGTTGGGAAAGGGTGGTTGGGGACTTCCAGTATATATGATATAACAAAAGGAGCAACTTGTAGCAGCACGCCCTTAGAATAAAGAGTCACCAGACTAAATGTCAATCTGTTGTTAATCTGGTGTAAATCCAGAGGCAGGTAACATTTAAATGTCTATCCCTCAATGTCCTCATCTAATATTCTGTCAAAATATACAGTTAACCACAAATAGAAGAGGTTACATGCAAGTCATCAGGATTGGTTAAGCAAACATATTGGCAAATATTATAACACATAAGGAAGTCAAGAGAACTGAAAATTCAAATGGAGTATAAATTTAAGTCCATTAAATAAGCAAACATTTTAAGTAACTAATAGCTGATGTTAGAGGTGCTGGGGAAAAACAAATTCACTCATATATTGCTGGGATCCATAAATTGATACAGCAACTGGGATGGAATGAGGGAGAATGACTCTCATCTGACCTCAATAATCATCCCAAGAAAATCATCCAATTAAAGAGTACTACATGCATAAAGGGTTTGCTGCAGTGCTTTATTAGTAGTGACAAAAATCATAGCTTAAATATCCAGAATTAAAGCATTACATTTTGGTGTACTCATTTGATGGAGTATTAAATGCTGAATGGAAAATGCTTATGCTTCAAAGTGCATAAAGGGGAATTAAAAATGGACTCATCCTGAAATTTATAATACTAACTTATGATTACATAACAATATACAACAAATGTGTTCCCAATGCATAGTACACCTTGGCACACAGCAGTCATTTAATACATTTTGTGAAGTATTCTTTATATTTGTTGGGCCAAAATGATTGCTGATGATTTTCTTTATTAGTGTTCTATTACTGGTGCTGTATAATCTGTGTGGAAGAGGTATCTTTAGAGAAATTCTAAAATAAAAAATTAGAATGCTTTTTAAAGTATTGTGAAATTTTAAATACCACAAAACAAATTAAAGTTTCATTCTGCTTTCTGTGTGACAATGCCTACTAGAGTGAGGCCTCAACTAAAAATGGGTCTTCAGGTACACTTTTCTCCAAAAGCTATTAAAATCCTAAATCAAAGCAGTATATATGTACATACATGGACTGGCATGTTGAAGTAATCAGATTTGAACGCATCTGCCATTTCCCCAAAAGTACGGAGGGTATAGTCCCTGGCTGCTTGTTCAAAGCCAAATGCTTCTTGTGGCTTACTACATTCCTGAAAATAAAGAAAATTACGTTCTAGGTGACACTGAAAACATCAAGTATACTTGGTCAATCATCAAGCTGGCAGATAAAAAACAAGGCTTTAATTTGTTTATTTTACTTCTATGCTAGGTCTACATTATAAAAATAAACCTGCCTGAAAAATGTGGTTATTTTAATAAGCAAGTGAAATACATTTTATTTATTTGCTAATGAGCAAATAAAATGTCAATTTTAACAACCACAACTTGGATAAATTTATATATTTATAAGAGGCAGGCTAAAGACTCGACTTCCTTCAAAATCAAATAATGTTTTCAATACTGAAAATGAGAGCAATAATGTCCTCCTGGGAGTTAAAACTATAAAATCAACATACAATAGATCAAAATAGAGATAAACCACTTGATGGAAACAGAATGGCTCTCAGGCCAGCAATATTTGATTATAACCTAATACTGGGAGTTAACAGGGGCAGTATAAGCTGCCTTAGATCTTTGTGAGCCAATAGACTTGAATATTCCAGATCCATTGATAAGGTCATCCCTATTATGAGGTATTAAATAATTTATCCCTGTCCCATGCCTAATAACCTCCCATTGATGGAGATATCCTTATGTTGTAACATAGCTACGTGGAAAAGCACTCAAACCTTTATAGCCATGCTATACTTAAAATAAACCTCCTTACTATTATAATTCAACCCTAAGAAGGGTAATAGACTGACTGCTACATAATATTAATGCAAAATAATCCTAATGGCTGGGTGCAGTGGCTCACACCTGTAATCCGGCACTTTGGGAGGCTGGGGCAGGAGGATCACCTGAGCTCCGGAGTTCTGAGACCAGCATGGACAACGTGGCAAAACCCTGTCTCTACTAAAAAATACAAAAATTAGCTGGGCATGGTGGTGCAAGCCTGTAGTCCCAGCTACTTGGGAGGCTGAGACGGGAGGATCACTTGAGCTGGGGAGGCGGAGGTTGCAGTGAGCTGAGATCACGCCACTGCACTCCACTGTACTCCAGCCTGGGTGATAGAGTGAGATCCTGTCTCAAAAAAAAAAAAAAAAAAATCCTCATGAAGATAATCGTAGATCCTTTTTAGATTTTACCAATGACAGCATGCACTATTAAAAACATCAGTAATCACAGTGCTACATGAAAATGTCTCTATAAATGAAAAAAGCAGATTACTAATAATTACTTATATAATGTAGCTCCATTTGTTTAAAATAGAAAAAAGTCTGGATGAATATACACCAAGACATTAACAGTGGTTATATATGCATTGTGAAAGCATAACTCTACTTTTTAAGTTGTTCAATGTTTTAATAATTCTTGCAAAGAGCATGTGATGCTTTTTATAAGAATTAAAAAATAATAATAAGATACTTATTACAAATTATTTTCTGCCTCTTAACTACCCACATACATTGTGGAACTCACTTCTAAGACCTCTTTCCTATTCAGGTCCATCCCAGTTTTCTTCATGGGCCTCATTACTGTCGACTGCCAAATCTAAAACCCAAAGGCAGGCCAAGTGAGATGGCTCAGACCTGTAATCCCAGCAATTTGGAAGGCCGAGGTAGGAGGACTATTTGAGCTTAGGAGTTCGAGACCAGCCCTGGGCAACATGGTGAAACCCCCTCTGTACAAAGAATACAAAAATTAGCCAGGCATCATGGCATGGGCCTGTAGTCCCAGCTACGTGGGGGGGGCTGAGGTGGGAGAACTGCTTGAGCCAGGGAGGTTGATGCTGCAGTGAGCCATGTTTGTGCCACTGCACTCCAGCCTGGGCAACAAAGTGAGTCCTTGTCTAAAAAAAATAAAATAAAATAAAATAAAAAATAAAACTCAAAGGCAAAGAAAAATGCCCTAAAAAAATTTTTCTAGTGTTACCTCTACTATTAATTATTACCTGAGCCAAACACTTAGGACACCTCCAGTCTCCCTTGGGAACATCATGGAGAGGTGGGATCAAGCAAAAGGTATGGTAACTGTCATCACAGCCATCACACAACAGTAGCCGGTCTTCATCATTGCCACTGCCACATAAAAGACAGACATACAGGTCCACCTGTAGCAATAAAAGTGGGTACAGAACAAAGGAACATGAGCTATTATTTGATTTTCTAAAATTCTAGAAATGAAATGGATCTGAGACATAATCTAGTCTCTACATCCTGCTACAAATGCTTCAACCTCTATAAGGGATATTTTAAATAAAAATGTTTCACTTTCTATGAAGGATATTTCACAATACCTCATGCATACCAAATCTAAAGTGGAATCTCCTAGCTTTCTCAACTGTCATGTGTTTAAAGTTTGTTATTTAAAGACCTAGTTTTTAGTAGGTTCCAAAACAACAAGATGCTAAGGTTATAGGCCAAGAGTGGTGGCACGTGTCTGTAGTTCCAACTACTTGGGGAATTGAGACAGGAGGATTTCTTGAGCCTGGTAGGTCAAAGTTGGAGTGAGCCCTTATTGCACCACTGCGCTCTAGCCTGGGTGACAGAGACCCTGTCTCAGGAGAAAAAAAAAAAAGATACCAGGTAATACATTACCAACCTAACCAAAAGTAGAATTTATGAAGGAAAAATACAAGTTTTCCATATTTAAAACAAAACTGTCTTAAAGTTAACCACATTAAACTACCAATTTAGGCCTGGCACGGTGGCTTAAGCCTGTAATCCCAACACTTTTGGGGGCCCTGGCAGGACTGCTTGAAGCCAGGAGTTTGAGACCAGCCTGGGCAACATGGCGAGACACTGTCTCTACAAGAAATTTAAAAAAGAAAAATTAGCCGGGCATGGTGGTGCACACCTGTGGTCCCAGCTACTTAAGAGGCTGGGGCAAAAGGATCCCTTGAGCCCAGGAGTTCAAGGCAGCAGTAGCTATGATTGTGTCACTATACTCCAGCCATCTCTAAAAAAATAAAAATAAACTATCACTTTTAATTCTAATTAAGGGGACATGGTTCAGAAGTTCCCCTAATGCCCAGTGATAAAGCATAGTTATTACTTTTTATGGGGTATACTGTATTCCCCCCAAAAACTCACATGTTGAAGTCCTAACCCTCAGTACCTCAGAATGTGACTATATTTGGAAATGAGTCCTTACGGAGGTAATCATCCAATATGACTGCTGTCCTTATAAGGACAAAGATATGTACAGAGGAAAGACCATGTGAAAGACAGCCATCCACAGCCAAGGAAAGAGGGCTCAGAAGAAATCAACCCTGCCAACACCTTGATCTCAAATTTCCCAGCCTATACAACTGTGAAAAAATAAATTTCTGTTGTTTAAGCCACTCAGTCTGCGGCACATCCTTATGGCAGCCACAGCAAACTGATACATTACTCAATACTAGAAAGCTGAGAATTCAACTAAATGGGGAGTCTGTTGCAGTCTATTTATTGTAGCAAATAAAAATCTAGCTCTGTCAGTTTTCTGATTGTATTGGGGAGAGGGGGTGGGGCAGAAGGTGACATTTATGGAGAGAACATTCAATTAGAATAATTTCTAGTTCCAAGAAAAAAAAGCACCGTTTCAGGCTCTCAGAAGGGGGCAGAGAAGAACCAGATCCTTTCTAATGCCATCAGGCTTTACTTTTAATAAAAGTTTTCCACAGAATAAACAGCTCCCAGCCCTCTAACTCTGCCATGTCCTCTTCCCTATTCCTAACTGCTTTCCTTTGTTCCTTTTCCTTTTCTTCCTTCCTTCTCTACTTCCTTTTCATTCCTTCCTTCCTTCCTCTTCCTTCTTCCTTTCTCTTTTTTGTTCCTTCTTTTCATTTCCTTCCTTCCCTTTGCTAGCTGGGAAGTTGGAAAACACTAACTTGGATTTTTGAGCGAGCCTTCAGCTCATGTAGAAGTGAGCTAGTGATTTATGAGCAATTCTATGTATAATGAGCTAGATTACAGTTCATTATTAGTCAGTGCTAAACTGAATGTATTCCAGAAAATCGCAGTCAATGCCGCCCCGGATGTTACTACCATCTTTATAGTATGATCATGTATTTCCTCATTTATTAACTAACACTATAAACTGACTTCAGAAGATATTTTTATTGTCAGACACTAAGTTAAACAATCTTATTTAAGGTACAAATTTAAGTTTAAACTTGGGGGTAAAGGGGATTAAAGAAAGGAAGGGAAGAAGGAAAACAGGAAAGAAAAAGGAGAAAGGGAGATGTCACTCACAGCATTGGTGGCTTTTTTAGATCGACTCTTGGGCTTTTCCTTCTCATTTTCTACAATATAATCTTTCCTCTCAATAGGTTCTTGCTTGATGCTACTCTTCATTTCTTTCTCTGTAGGAGGCAATCCAAAATTAGCTCTTTATGATGCTTTTCTCCACTTCCTCATCATCTCCCTCCCAAAGCACATACTGTACACAAACATAATTTCATGTGTGTTTTCACATTTTAGTAGCAATAGCACCCAGTATACTTTATTCAAGGGCTCAAATGCTGATTACTTTATGATAAAATGCAAACTCTTGTGCCATTTAAATTTCAAGATGTAGATTACTTCTGGAGATGTCCCTCAGGTTTGTATGCTTTCAAAATAGGAATTAGTTTTCTCAAGACCAAGACATAACATATACCGATGAAATCAAATTCCTGTTGGCCATGACTACAAGAGACCAACAGTTCACCAACTATATCTCCTCCACATAACACATTATCTCTCCATGATCTAAGATGACTTCCTGGTCATCCTCCTGGTCTCCAAATTCCTGGTTCTGAAGACTGAGAAGTTTGGCGAAAACACTGGCTATCAATTACTGAACTATCATGTGGTAGGCATTGTGCTCAATGCTTTCCATAAAGTATTTAATCCTTCACAACAAACCCATTTCAAAGGTAAGAAAACTGATGTTAAAGTAAATCAAGAAACATCTCTAAGGTTACATAACTAGTTAGCGGTTGTGCCAAGATTACTGTATTACTTTATATTGTATCTCTATTACTTTCCTGTGCATTGTGCTGCCTTTCCACTAGTTCACTAATCCCTAGGTTGAACAAATTTTAGTAACTTCTTAATTTGTATGTGCCTCCTATATAGGATATAAGATTTCTCTTAAAAGAATCTCAAATCCACCTCTCAGTGACTTACATCAAGTGATACCCAGGCAAGCAATTAACCACAATTCAGATTTAGGAAGCATGTCTGTTTGCCTTGCCTGAAATAAATCTATCAGACATTCGGTCAAAGGCACCTATGTTTTTCACAAATTACTTAAGTAACTGCATTGAATCAAATTTCAAAGTAGCAACTTGCTACAGCTGAGAAACTCATCCACACTCCTAATATGCATACATATAGTTTCTGTTTCTCTCTCCCACTAGTCAGTTAATTATGAGAACAAGGACACTGTTGATATATTAAGATTTTCTCAAAGCCCAACCCAGTGACTACTATGTACTGGCTGCTCTAAATTTTACTTTTTAATTTTTTTCTATTGAATTTTCAGCTTATGTTTACTTATGAATAGTTATTTTTACTTTATTTACTTTTTCTTTCCTATTCATTGACAAATTTTCTTACCATTTTCACATTTTGGAGTTGGACAACCCATTCGACGTCTCAGATTATGAGTTCTGGCTTCCGTTGTCTCCTCGGGTTCTATTTTAATATTCATGGCCTTAAAAAAATTGTCATATACATGAATATTTCCTTTAAGAAGAAATAATCTTTAAAAATCCAACTGGAATCTCAAGGTGACTATATCCTACCAATTGCCTCTATTAACAGGGCATTCAAAACATACTTCTCTCTCTTCCTAAGGAAGAGAGCTCACCTTTGAAACTACTATTAAAGCATGAATGAGAAATTTAAAAATAGGGAAAAGTTGGCCAGGCACAGTGGTTCACACCTGTAATCGCAGCACTTTGGGAGGCTGAGGCAGGCAGATCACTTAAGGTCAGGAGTTCAAGACCAGCCTGGCTAACAGTGAAACCCTGTCTCTACTAAAATTACAAAAAGTAGCCGGGCATGGTGGCACGCACCTGTAGTCCCAGCTACTTGGGAGGCTGAGGCAGGAGAATCGCTTGAACCTGGGAGATGGAGGCTGCAGTGAGCTGAGATGGTGCCATTGCACTCCAGCCTGGGTGACAGAGCAAGACTCTATCTCAAAAACAAACAAACAAACAAAAAAACAAATAGGGAAAAGTCAAAGGATCAAGAACAAATTGTGGCTGGGCGAGGTGCCTCACACCTGTAATCCCAGCATTTTGGGGGGGCCAAGGCAGGTGGATCACTTGAGGCCAGGAGTTTGAGATCAGCCTGCCATAATGGCAAAACCCCATCTCTAACTAAAAATACAAAAATTAGCCAGGTGTTGTGCACACCTGTGGTCCCAGCTACTCAGGAGGCTGAGGCATGAGATTTGCTTGAACCCAGGAGGCAGAGGTTGCAGTGAGCCAAGACCACACCACTATACTCCAGCCTGGGCAACAAGAGCCAATCTCTGTCTCAAAACAAAGAGAAGTGTTTCTATTCAAATTCGGAAGAACAATTCTTATTTTCCTCCTAGAAGGTTCTTGGTTCTTATCTATTTGCTTTATGCTTTATTCAATCATCGCAATAAGCCAAATCCTAAGTAGTTATATAAATGTCATAACTCCATTAGCCTCTAAGAGTTTGCTGACCTATTCCAAGGTCTGTCAGTATTTACAGAAAATTTTGCTTCCACAATAATTTTCCATAAATTATTTTAATAAACTATTATTATAAACTACACACTTCTAACATCACTAAACTATTAAGGGCTCCTTCCTCATTGAGGGTATAGAAGCCAATCTCAGTTTCTATTATTTCTTAAAGTGCTGATACTTATTGGTAAAGCAAATAAAACCATTTTTTGTGGTAATACTGAAGTATCTGTGGAACTGTGCTTTCTCACTTTGCCTGTGTTTATTCATACATTTTAATGATGTCCACTGCTAAAAGAGTTTATTCCATGGGCAATATCATTACTATCAGGTGTCATCAAGGCAGATGTAGGCATCCACAGCACTGGGGCATTTCTTATATACACATGTATAAGATCAAGAATATGCTCAAGAAAGAACTGATTCATAGATTAATTTACTTTAAACATGCTTATGGGCTTCAAATAACCATATTTTCCTATTCTGGGCAGTCTCCTTCATTCAGAAAAAGTGAATCACTAAATTTTTTTCCTATCTCCAACTTACCAAAGTGAAAAACTATTCTCTTATTTATCTATTTCTTCAGAAAACAAAATGGCTGATTTTTTTCATTTTTGATAATTATTGAAAACCAGTTACTGATTTAGTATGATTAATGCAATATGAGGCTTCCCAGCTCTAAACAGTTCCCTATATATTATCTCTGAGTCCTAAAACTCACATATCCATCAGGCTAGGCAGGAATCCAAAACCTTCATACCTCTGGTATGGGAACGAGATCACTAGAAAAATACTCTTCTTCCTTTCCCAGGGAAAGCTTCTCAGAGCAGAAAAATCTTAAAGCAAATAATCCTTCTCTAGCCTGGACAACACAGTGAGACCTTGTCTTTATTAAAAATTTTTTTTTAATTAGCTAGGCATGCATGGCATGCATCTGTAGTTCCAGCTACTTGGGAGGCTGAGGTGGCAGCTATCACCTGAGCCTGGGAGTTCAAAGTTGCAGTAAGCTATGATCATGCCACTGCACTCCAGTCTAGGTGAAAGAGCGAGACCACCTATAAAAGGAAGAGGCTGGGTGAGATGGCTCACGCCTGTAATCCCAGCACTTTGGGAGGCCAAGATGGGTGGATCACGAGGTCAGGAGATCGAGACCATCCTGGCTAACACGGTGAAATCGGTCTCTACTAAAAATACAAACCAAATTAGCCGGGCGTGGTGGCACACGCCTGTAGTCCCACCTACTTGGGAGGCTGAGGCAGAAGAATTGCTGGAATCTAGGAGGCGGAGGTTGCAGTGAGCCAAGATCGCGCCACTGCACTCCAGCCTGGGCAACACAGCGAGACTCTGTCTCTAAAAAAAAAAAAAGAAGTCTGAGAAAAGTGGCTTTAACTGTCTTCTAACCACTCTGTTTAAAAAAACTCCTAATCTTCATGTTTTCTAGCCTTAATCTCCATTAAACAACGCCAATTTTGTGAGGGTAATGGGCAATCCAAGTAGGAACACAGGAACACCAATTCTTCTAAGGCCTTGACTGGTAATAAGCGGCTGTCTGTCCAGGCAGCATAAATTTAGAAAGACTTATTCGATTCCTTACCCCTTTGATGGTACAATTCACCCAAGTGTAAAAGCTGGAATACAAACAGCATCCCTTTGTGAGATTAACAAGGTTCAAAACTACAAAGAGCACACACATGAGAGAAATCCAGTGCCAGACAGCCATTGGTATTAGGGCTTGAGAATTCCTTTTAAATTAACCTCATGAGGCTCTTACCTCTGCTCTCATGCGTTTTGCTCGTCGGGCTGGGGGGCACGTTTCCGAAGGCTGCACAGACTGCCTCTGGGGAATATCATGGGGTTTGTACTCCTTGTCCTTAGTGTCTGTGGTCAGGTTTGGCTTCTGCAAACACTAGAAATAACAACTGTACTGATAAATTCCCTCCTTTTTTTTTTCACATCATAAGTTTATTGACAAACATATCTAGCATGCCACATGAGTTCGAGTTTGATCTACTTCCAGAGGCTGCACCTCTTAAAATACTCTTCATATCTGTTAAATGGAGGAACTGAAACACCCTTATGTTTTAAGCAGTTGGTGTCTTACTACAAGGAAGGGTATAGCAAACGCAGATCCAAAGTACAAACACATCTTAGCTAGTAACGACCACTTGTTTTCCACTGAAAATGGCAAATTCTTCCCAGGGCCCTCCTCACAGTGGCTCCTACGGACCACAGAGGCTGTGAACCTCCGGATGCTCTAGCCCAACATAGCGCTGCTGGAAGCTCTGCGAAAGGTGCAGAGACCGAGGAAGGATGAAATGGCGGCACCTCACCAAGACCTTTTTTTCACGACCTTGTTCCCCGGTGTGCAAGGACTGAAAGGATTCCCTCCTTTTTTAATCTTAGAGAGTTTCACTGGATTTTTGTAAGGTACATTTTACAACTATTTATGTAGACAACAGGCCTACAATTTTTAAAAATCTAAATAAAAATAAAGACAAGTCTGCAGTTACCAACCACATACATACATCTATACAGGTTTAAAACATTAAAAAAAATTTTAACAGGTGGTGTTGCTTTGATTTTTCATTGCTGACATCATCAGGTTACAACAGGCCATAACAGTCTCAAGGCATTCCCAATGAACCACTTGGAGTTATTTGTGCTTGCGACTGTCAGTTAATGGAAGGTCCATATTGTTAGAAAGGCCCCTTATAAGCTCCCAAAACAATTTTCCATATTAAAAATCTCATTTTTAACAAGTGTTCGGAATAAAAAAAAATAAGGAATCCAATATGTTTTCTAGATTTTACAACTGTATAGTTTCAGATATAACTAGCAAAGTTATCATCCAAAGATATCACCTGAATTGAGAAAACAGGTCATTTGACTAAAGTAGTCTTCCTCACTAGGGTTTCCATTTACCACAGTATATCCCTACAAAGTCTAACTCGCAAGGCAAAGATCAACGGGTAGCCCACAGCAATAACTTTGGTTCTGATCAGAAATGCATCTCTTCTTTGGTTTTTCTTTTTAGTTTTATTCTAAGCTGGCTAAAGGAGGGTATTTAATGCCAATATAACATTAACACGACAAAATATTGCCACCGAAGCTAATATGAATTTCAGGTAAGCACTACTTTTTCATAACAGGACCCAGGAACATCACGAAAAACCTTTGTAAAAGTAAGTTCCAAAAGTAACCCTCTAGGGTGTGTTATAGCAGCTATATCTGGAATGAGATACGTGGAAATAACAACCTTCCTGAAGCACTAACACTATGAGCATAGTTACTACCATAGAATCTCACTAATGAGATTCGCCCCTTTCCCCCTCACATTTGCAGAAATACAGAGACTGGGCGAAGAACAAAATAAAGTACAAAGCAACACAATGATAAAATTTATTTCTAATAGTTAAGAAATATGATATACTATTAAAAACTGACTCATTACTTGTTAACAAGTAATAAATCTACCACTGGTAATAGCGCTCTATAAATATTAAACATTCTGCTCATTCTACTTAAACCTACATATTGATTTGATCCAGAAAAGTTAACTATTCTTTTTTTTTTTTTTTTTGAGATGGAGTTTCGCTCTTGTTGCCCAGGCTGGAGTGCAAAGGTGCAATCTCGGCTCACTGCAACCTCCACCTCCCAGGTTCAAGCAATTCTCCTGCCTCAGCCTCCCAAGTAGCTGGGATTACAGGCATGCACCACCACGCCCGGCTGATTTTGTATTTTTAGTAGAGACGGGGTTTCTCCATGTTGAGGCTGGTCTCAAACTCCTGACCTCAGGTGATCAGCCCGCCTCAGCCTCCCAAAGTGCTGGGATTACAGGTGTGAGCCACTGCACCCGGCCTACGGCCTATTATATTCTTTTTTTTTCTTTTTTTTTTTTTTGAGACAGAGTCTCGCTTTGTCGCCCAGGCTGCAGTGCAGTGGCGCCATCTTGGCTCACTGCAAGCTCCACCTCCTGGGTTCACGCCATTCTCCTACCTCAGCCTCCCAAGTAGCTGGGACTACAGGCACCTGCCACCACACCCAGCTATTTTTTTGTATTTTTAGTAGAGACAGGGTTTCACCGTGTTATCCAGGATGGTCTCAATCTCCTGACCTCGTGATCCACCTGCCTCAGCCTCCCAAAGTGCTGGGATTACAGGCGTGAGCCACTGCGCCCGGCCGCCTGGCCTATTATATTCTTAATAGTTAAGCACTTACATTCTGAAAAAAGTTGGTCAGGTGCAGTGGCTCAAGCCTGTAATCCCAGCACTTTGGGAGGCCAAGGCAGGTAGATCACTTGAGGTCAGGAGTTCGAAACCAGCTTGGCCAACATACTGAAACCCCGTCCTTACTAAAAGTACAAAAATTAGCCAATGTGGTGATGCATGCCTGTAATCCCACCTACTCGGGACACTGAGGCAGGAGAATCGCTTGAACCAGGGTGGCGGATGTTGCAATGAGCCGAGATCATGCCACTGCACTCCAGCCTGGGTGACACAGCAAGACTCTGTCTCAAAAAAAAAAAAAAAAAAAAAAAAAAAATTATGAGACAAATTAAACACCCAACAATTGAGAGAAAAAAATATTCTGTTTTTTGAAAAAATTTGTATAGAACATTGCCTTCTATTCTATAACAAGTCCTCAGTTGAGCATTTAGAGTATGTTTAATGAAAGCATGCAGAGGGGAATAAAACCTGTTCATCATCTAAATTAATCCCCTTTATGTATCCAATGTACTTTCTATTTGACACACAAAAGTATGAGTGATTAGGAAAATACTAATTGAGCTGAATGACATAAATTGTATTAAGTGGATGATCACAAATTCAGATGCTATATACGTGGTTCCTATCTCCTACTAGTTAGTCTCAATGGTTCCATCATCTATGGTCAGCTTGGTTCTGTAAGGACTTTGCAGATCTAAGAAAATCATGCCCTGTAGTTTTTTAGAATAAATATGAAGAGCTTTATTATTTTGTTCCAAACCACAATTAAAAATACACACGATATGGTTTTATATCTAATGTTATTAACATACAGACGCTAATTTTAACCTTTACTTGAGAAACCAGGACTTACAGGTGATTAATATCATCATCATGCCATAATCACATCATCCCAAAGACAGAGCAATCCCTTAAAACATTTAGAAAACATGATGATGCAAGATTGAGGCCTCTGTTCCACTGGAACAGTGCATCAACTTTTCTCAAGCTTCCTGAAATTTAACTTACACCCTACTTCACCCTTTTGCAATAATTCCTTTACTGTACACCTCTGTTTTTCTTAAGTATATGTTCTTCAATTCTTCTCTCCCTAATAACTATTTCAAAAATCAGAAATAGGTGTAAAAATTTACATACAAGGAATATTCATCATAGTATTATAATAAAAAACTAGAACTGACCTAAACATTCTACAATAGAAGACATCAAAATAAAGTCTGGCTATAAAAAACGGATTGCCGCAGTCATTAGAAATTGCATTTTCAAAAACTATTCAATGATACAGCAAATGCTCATATGATTAGTAAAAAAACCTAAGATGCAATGATGTATATGAACAGTACACTTGAATTTGTGAATGTATGCATAAAAATAGCCGTGAGAGAAGTAACAGGTGGAAGGATCAGGAGTGATTTTATTTTTGCCATACTTTCCTATGTTTTTAAACTTTCTACAAAGAATGTGTATCACTTCCTAAAACATACTTGGCACAGAGTAAGTCCCTCACAAATATCTACCTATATTGTAGATGCAATGTTTACAAAAGGGTACCTTTAAATGCTTATTCCTTTCAGACTCCTTGATTGTATAAATACTTAAGTGCTTTTTAACCATAAAACTACATTGCCTTTTTAAGTATATAAGTGACATGTTTCTAAAATGTTACAACCCACAAAGCATCATTAAAGGGACTCTCTCTCCCTTTATTCACTATCACTTCCGTACTTAGGAAGAGTTCAAGAAGAGAAAATTAATCTACTATGGGCAACTGTATCTAGATCTGACTATAAGAGGCAAAAAGGTTCCACATTCAACATTCTATTTTTTATTTTTTATGTTTGTTTATTTATTTATTTTTTGAGACAGTCTCATTCTGAGTCTCATTCTGTCACCCAGGCTGGAGTGCAATGGCACGATCTCGGCTCATTGCAACCTCTGCCTCCCGGGTTCAAGCAATTCTCCTGCCTCAGCCTCCCAAGTAGCTGAGATTACAAGTGCCTGCCACCACATCCAGCTAATTTTTTTTTTTTTTGTATTTTTAGTAAATGCGGGGTTTTGCCATGTTGGCCAGCCAGATCTCGAACTCCTGACCTCGAACTCCTGACCTCTGGGGATCCACCTGCCTCAGCCTCCCAAAGTGCTGGGATTATAGGCATGAGCCACCGCACCCAGCCTATTTTTTATTTTTTTAAGTTTTTGTTTATTTTATTTATTTTTTTTGAGAAGAGTCTTGCTCTGTCACCCAGGCTGGAGTGCAGTGGCACAATCTCAGCTCACTGCAACCTCTGCCTCCTGGGTTCAAGTGATTCTCCTGCCCCAGCCTCCCAAGTAGCTGGGACTACAGGCACGCACCACCACGCTCAGCTAATTTACGTATTTTTAGTGGAGACAGGGTTTCACCATGTTGGCCAGGATGGTCTCCATCTCTTGACCTCATGATCCACCCACCTTGGCCTCCCAAAGTGCTGGGATTACAGGCGTGAGCCATCGCGCCCGGCTCACATTCAACATTCTAAACAATTTCATCCATGGGCTCACTAAACATTCATATAATGTATTAAAAAAAAAAGTTTTGAATGTCAGATTGGCTACTTTCTTCTAGGCTAAAAAGTGTTCACCTGGAATCAATAAGGGAGAGAGGGAAGAAAAAATCTACTGGATTTAAGCATTACAGATGGTGTGTTTGTGTGTGTATAGTATTAGGACAGGACTTTGGTTAGTGATTTACCCCTCAAAAACTATGTTATTCTCTTCCTACCTCTCTACAGCACAGAAAACAATTCTTAAAGTTATAGGACTCACTGCTGTAGTCCTAAAATAACTCAAAGGGTGTGAATGGATAATGACACCCCTCTTCTTTCTACCAAGGCCTGGAAATAAATGGGAAGCTTTTACAGTACTGTTTTACCTAAAAGTTTTTAAGTGAATAATTTCACAAATACCATTTTGTCAGAAATGAACTTGGCTACATAGGAATTACTAGAAGAGGAACCCGTTAGCTATGTAGCATTATAAAATCCCCTTTTACCATATCAACATTCTGACAATCTCCTCAAAAATCTCAGCTGGCAGAAGAGAACAGGTAGGCAAGTTATTTCACAGCTTATACCTTCATATGACAGCCAGGAATACTTTAGCTACTTTAAATTTAAAGAGAATGCAAAGTTGTAACAAGTAGATAATAATCAACTCCTCAGCTTTGGACAGTAAAAAAATTTCCTCCACAATCTTACTCATTCCAGAAACAAACTTCTAAGTATAGCTGCTCTCAAAGCAGAACAAAAACACTAGAGGAAAAAACACAAAACAAGGTCTTTTTTTTTTTTTCAGACGGAGTCTCAGAGTCTCGCTCTTTGCCCAGGCTTGAGTGAAGTGGCACCATCTCGGCTCACTGCAACCTCCACCTTCCGGGTTCAAGCGGTTCTCCTGCCTCAGCCTCCCTAGTAGCTGGGATTACAGGCACACGCCACCATGCCCAGCAAATTTTTGTATTTTTAGTAGAGACGAGGTTTCGCCATGTTGGCCAGGCTGGTCTCAAACTCCTGTCCTCAGGTGATTCACCTGCCTTGGCCTCCCAAAGTGTTGGGATTACAGGAGTGAGCCACCGCGCCCCACCAAAATAAGGTCTTCTAAAACAAGGTCTTCCAAACACAATCAAGGCTTTTTCATTTCCCTGAAAAGACAATGTACCAATAAGTAGTAAGATAAAACAGGTTAAGGCTAGCCCCCAAACTTACCCTTAGGCTGTCTCCGGACAGGAATAAGTTGTAGGGGTTGAGAATTCGTTCATAATGCCCTCTGATATGTGAGCCCACTGCTTTGCCAGGAGCAAACCCCATCTTGGTAGCAATTTTGGTCCATTTTCTATCCTTGCAAACAACTGCAAATCCACCTTCTTCTGCAACTAACTGTTAAAATAGCAAAATTAGAAACAACTATATGGAAGTCACTTCTAATCACATCTAAGTATGACTCCAAGGGGAAAATGTTCTTGGCTATGGTTATCTTTTAAAAACATGTTTTGCCAATCATATATATATACACACACACACATATATATACACACACACTATTAATTTTAAGTTAGAAATTTTCAACATCTCTCTTGACAACATGGTCCATAAACATTTTGTCCCCTCTAAGCTACTTTTCACATCCCCAAAGCAATCATGTGGAAAGAACCAGGTTACCTAAAACTAAATCTCTACCAAAGAAGGGACTGTAATACTTGGTCTTATTCTGGGCTCTTAAATAAGCCTCCAAAAACTAAAGACTAGGATGCATGCCAGCATGTTTGATGGAAAGAATGTAAATTTCAGAATCAAATGGGCCTGGTATTGAATTATGGCTCAGCTTCTTTTTTTTTTTTTTTCTGAGATGGAGTTTCTCTCTTGTTGCCCAGCCCGCAGTGCAATGGCGCAATCTCGGCTCACTGCAACCTCCGCCTCCTGGATTCAGGCGATTTTCCTGCCTCAGCCTCCCGAGTAGCTGGGATTACAGGCATGTGCCACCACACCCAGCTAATTTTGTATTTTTAGTAGAGACGGGGTTTCGACATGTTGGTCAGGCTGGTCTTGAACTCCTGACCTCAGGTGATCCACCCACCTCGACCTCCCAAAATGCTGGGATTACAGGCATGAGCCACCACGCCCGGCCATGGCTCAGCATTTTTTTACCTTTTTATCACCCTGAGCCTCAGTTTCCTTATCTGTAATAAAAAGAAATAGCTTGCAGAATTTTTGTAAAGTGTGAAAATGAGAAAAACAGGTGGAAGCAAAATATTCCACAAGGCTTCAAGACCTGATGATCCTCATCACTCAACTGACTTGAGAATCTCATTTCACACATCTCAAAAAGTAAGTTTATTTGTTCTTTCTTTTTTGAGACAGGGTCTCGCTCAGTTACCCAGGCTGGAGTGCAGTGGTGCAATCACAGCTCACTGCAGCCTCCACCTCCTGGGCTCAAGTGATCCTCCCTCCTTAGCCACCCAAATAGCTGGTACTACAGGGCCCGTGCCACCATGCCTAATTTCCAAATTTTTTGTAAACACAGGGTTTCCTTATGTTACCCAGGCTGGTCTCAAGCAATCCTCCTCCCTTGACCTCCCAAAGTGCTGAGATTACAGGTGCGAGCCACCTGGCTGAGCAATAAGTTCCTTTTTAAGGCAAAGAAGATCAAATTCATTCTGTCAGTAAGATTATAAAATAAGTAAGATGGTCATTAGCTCTTTACCTTATTAAGCTGAAATAAGTCCAAGATCTTCCTCTCCACATGTGGAATTTTCAGAGTACTTCCCTGTAACTCCCAGTACTTTGCAATCTGGTCCAAGAAATTCAATTTTACACGAGTTTGGGCCTAAAAGACAAAGAATTGAGTTTTCATCTCATTTAGCTTATTTTAAAGCTCCTATTACCTGCCATTATTTTCTTTCACAGAATATTTAAGTACAATACCACTTAAAAAAATTTTTTTTTAATTTAATGCTCTTTCAGCAAAATCATATAATACCACTTTCTAAATTCAGTGAGAAACGGCCAAAAATACACAAAATAAAGCTGGTTAAATAATTATACATGGCCGGCCGGGCACGGTGGCTCACGTCTGTAATCCCAGCACTTTGGGAGGCTGAGGCGAGCGAATCACAAGGTCGGGAGTTCGAGACCAGCCTGGCCAACATGATGAAACCCCCCATCTCTATTAACAAAAATCAGCCTAGTGTGGTGGCGCGTGCCTGTAATCCCAGCTACTCAGGAGGCTGAGGCAGGAGAATTGCTTGAACTCAGGAGGCAGAGGTTGCAGTAAGCTGAGATCACACCACTGTACTCCAGCCTGGATGAGACAGTAAGACTCTGTCTCAAAATAATAATAATTATACGACTGGGTGCAGTGGCTCATGGCTGTAATCCCAGCACTTTGGGAGGCCGAGACGGGTGAATCACGAGGTCAGGAGTTCGAGACCAGCCTGGGCAACATGGTGAAACTCCGTCTCTACTAAAAATACAAAAAATTAGCTGGGCGTAGTGGCAGGGGCCTGTAATCCCAGCTACTCAGGAGGCTGAGGCAGGAAAATCACTTGAACCTGGGAGGTGGAGGTTGCAGTGAGCAAAGATCATGCTACTGCACTCCAGCCCAGGTGACAGTGCAAGACTCTGTCTCAATAAAAAAGAAAAATAAAAAAATAATAATTATACATGGTCGGGTGTGGTAGCTCACACCTGTAATCCCAGCACTTTGGGAGGCCAAAATGGGCAGATCACTTGAGGCCAGGAGTTTGAGACCAGCCTGGCCAACATGGTGAAACCCCATCTCTACTAAAAATACAAAAATTAGCTGGATGTGGTGGTATACGTCTGTAATGCCAACTACTCAGGAGGCCGAGGCAGGAGAATCACTTGAACCTAAGAGGCAGAGGTTGCAGTGAGCTGAGATTGTGCCACTGCACTCCAGCCTTGGTGACAGAACAAGACTCTTGTCTCAAAAAAAAAAAAAAAAAAAAAAAATATATATATATATATATATATATAATATATACACACACATACATTAACTCAACAAAAATTTAATTCAGGCTGGGCATGGTGGCTCATGCCTGTAATCCCAACACTTTGGGAGGCCAAGGCAGGCAGATCACCTGAGGTCAGGATTTCAAGACCAGCCTGGCCAAAATGGTGAAACCCCATCTCTACTAAAAATACCAAAATTAGCCAGGCTTGGTGGCACACACCTGTAATCCCAGCTACTTGGGAGGCTGAGGCAGGAGAATGACTTGAACCCAGGAGGCAGAGGTTGCAGTGAACCAGGATAATGCTGCTGCACTCCACCCTGGGTGACAGAGCGGGACTCCATAACAAAAAAAGTAAAAATTTTAATTGACTTTTTTAAAAAATTTAATTCAGCCCCTACCACGTGACAGACAAAGAATTAAACACTCAGTAAACCTTCCTGTGATGTAAGCAGGCACTCTGAAAGGAACTTAATTAGTACTGTAAGCACAATTCCATATAAGTGTTTAAAATTATATGGCAAGTAAATATGCTTTTATATGCCCAGCTTTGGGAGGCAGAGGCAGGAGGATCGCTTCAGCCCAGGAGTTTGAGACCAGCCTGGGCAACATAGGGAGACCTCAACCCTACAACAAAAACACAATTCTGTGTGTGTGTATCTTCACATATGTAAATATATATATATATAAAATACAGGGTCTTGCTCTGTCGCCCAGGCTGGAGTGCAGAGTGCAGTGGCACAACCATGGCTCACTACAGTCTTGACCTCCCAGGCTGAAGCAATCCACCCACCTCAGCCTCCCGAGTAGCTGGAACTACAGGCACACACCATCACACGTGGCTAATTTTTTAAACTATGTTTTAGCAGAGACAGGGTCCCGCTATGTTGCCCAGGCCAACCCTCCTGCCCCAGCCTCCCAAAGTGCTGAGATTACAAGTGTGAGCCACCATGCCTAGCCAATTCGATATTTTAAAGACCTGTTCTCTACAGAAAGAAATGTTCTTATTTGCTCAAATACAAATCTAAAAACAGATTTACAATGGTGATTCTGTAACAATTTTAATATATCGTAATAATTTCAAAGACGGTCCCCCTGGAATACAGGCAAACAGAACAATAGTGAAGACATTACCTCCAATTCATTCAGTCTCTGGATACGTGGCGTAAAATGAAGTTTATCAACATCACATGCAAATGGTGGCTGCCAATCCTAGGAGAAAGCAAAGGCTCTTATTAGAATAACTTATAAGCATTTGACATTCAAAAATTTGTTTTAAAATTAAAACCCAGGTTAGGTAAATCTTATTCTAACCAATCAAACAAAATAGAACACAGAGTAGTGGTTTCTCAACCTTTTGTCCATGAGAGCAGCAAAATATGTATGAACACCCTTTCCCAAATAAATGATATATCACATATACACCTCTCCCCACAAACCTTCCCACTGAGCAATGTCATTGAGCCTGTAAAAAAAAAAAAAAAAAAAACACTCATTTAGGCAAAAGACACTTTGACTTCTGTATTACCATAGACATACCTCATTTTTTATATAACAGCTATATGTCTATAACTTTAAAAAACACATTTAACCTTCCAGTCACATTAACTTTTTTAATTTTTTTTTTTTGAGATAAGGTTTCACTCTGTTGCCCAGGCTTAAGTGCAGTGGTGTGATCACAGCTGGTGGAAACCTCTGCCTCCTGAGCTCAAGCGATCTTCCACCTCAGCCTCCCAAGTATCTGGGACCACAGGTGAACACTACCACACTCAGCTAATTGTTTAAGGTTTTTTTTAGAGACGAGGTGTAGGTACATGTATTGCCCAGATCAGTCTCGAACTCTACAGCTCCAATGATCCTCCCACCTTTGCCTCCCAAAGTGCTGAGATTACAAGTGTGAGCCACTGAGCCTGGCCCACCTTAACTTTTCTTATTAAATTGAGGGTAAATTCTACAGTGGTGTCAGGGGGAGAAAAACTGACATCCAAATCCAATTTTAAAAGTCATCCTTGGCCGGGCAAGGTGGCTCAACCTGTAATCCTAGCACTTTGGGAGGCCAAGGAGGGTGGATCACCTGAGGTCAGGAGTTCAAGACCAGCCTGACCAACATGGTGAAACCCTGTCTCTACTAAAACTACAAAAATTAGCCAGATGGGGTGGCAGGCGCCTGTAGTCCCAGCTACTCAGGAGGCTGAGACAGGAGAATCGCTGGAACACAAGAGGCAGAGGTTGCAGTGAGCCAAGATCGCGCCATTGCACTCCAACCTGGGCAACAGAGCAAGACTTCACCTCAAAAAAAAAAAAATTTGTCCTTAATATGTATACTCGTATAGACAACTGTTCTCTAGAGGAGAATTTTCCTATCATGGAAGAACTGCCATCATGAGGAAGTAATCAGACAATTAAATATATATATATACACACACACACATATATGTATGAATTGTTACCTACGAAGGGAGAAAACTGGAAATGAATGTCTACAACAAGAGAACAGCTAAAGGTATAAAAATGTGTTAATAGGTTTCAGTCTGGGATAATGATGAAAGGGTCTGGAGGTAGACAATGGTAATGGCTGTACAGCAATGTAAATGTACCCAATGCCACTGAACTGTATCCTTAAAAATGGTTACAAAGGCAAAAATTTAATGTTATGTACATTTTAATATTTTAATACAATGAAAAAAGCAAAAAAGGAAAAATGTACCCTGTAGCATAGATCTTTTATTTATTTATTTACTTATTTATTCACTTTTTGGAGACAGAGTTTCGCTCTGTCACCCAGGCTGGAGTACAATGACGTGACCTCAGCTCGCTGCAGCCTCTGCCTCCCGGGTTCAAGTGATTCTCCTGCCTCAGCCTCCCGAGTAGCTGGGATTACAGGCATGTGCCACCACACCCAGCTAATTTTGTATTTTTAGTAGAGGCGGGGTTTCACCATATTGGTCAGGCTGGTCTCAAACTCCTGACCTCATATGATCCGCCTGCCTCGGCCTCCCAAAGTGCCGGGATTACAAGTGTGAGCCACCGCACCCAGCCTAGATCTCTATTTACTAATGTGGGAAGATTTTCCCTATATATGTTAAGGGGTCGGGGGGCGGAACAGGCTTTACAGTAGAAAAATAAAACACTGGAAAGCTATCTAGAGCAAAAAGGCTCACAATAGTGGTTGTCCTTACTGGCAGGGTTATAGGTAATTTTACATCCTTGTTTGTTTTAAATATAATCCAAAATACATTAAATATTTATTAAATAATAAATGTATTATTTCAGATTGTGTGAATATATTAATGAGGAAATTCACAGCCTTTAAACTCAATTTTATACCAAGTTTATCCTAAGAGAACAATTCAACCGGCCAGGCGCGGTGACTCACGCCTGTAATCACATCACTTTGGGAGGATCATGAGGTCAGGAGATCAAGACCATCCTGGCTAACACAAAAAATTAGCCAGGCGTGGTGGCACGCGGCTGTAGTCCCAGCTACTCAGGAGGCTGAGGCAGGAAAATGGTGTGAACCCGGGAGGCGGAGTTTGCAGTGAGCTGAGATCCCGCCACTGCACTACAGCCTGGGTGACAGAGCGAGACTCCGTCTCAAAAAAAAAAAGAAAAAAAAGAAAACAATTCAACCAGAGTTGAATGGCCAGGCGCACTGGCTCACACCAGTAATCCCAGCACTCTGGGAGTCCGAGGCAAGCAGATCACCTGAGGTCAGGAGACCAGCCTGGCCAACATGGCAAAACCCCGTCTCTACTAAAAATACACAAAAAATTAGCCGGGTGTGGTGACACATGCCTGTAGTCCCAGCTACTCAGGAGTCTGAGGCAGGAGAATCACTTGAACCCAGGAGGTGGAGGTCGCAGTGAGCCAAGATCATGCCTTTGCACTCCAGCCTGGGCGACAGAGTCAGACTCCGTCTCAAAAATAAATAAATAAATAAATAAATAAATAAATAAATAAATAAAAAATAAAGGAAGAAAAAACAAAATACATGAATGAAATTAACTGCAGCATTACATTAGGAATGTACGATTATTATGGTATTACAATAACATTGAATATTATACAGCATTTAAAAGTGCTAGATTTATAAAGAGTTCATAACAATCAATAAGACAAAATAATAACTTACAGAAAAATGGGCAAATTGTATCAACAGCCAAAAGGGAAAAATGGCCAATCATAAGACTGGCACCCAACTTCACTCAAAATTCAAGAAATATACAAACTCTCATTGTTTTTAGCTATCAGATTAACAGCGCATGCCTTGTGACCCAGCAGTTTTGTTTATTTTTATTTTATTATTATTATTTTTTGAGATGGAGTCTCATGCTGTCACCCAGGCTGGAATGCAATGGCACAGTCTTCACTCACTGCAAGCAAGAATTGAACATCCCGGGTTCAAGCAATTCTCCTGCCTCAGTCTCCCAAGTAGCTGGGATTACAGGCATGTACCACCACCATGCCTGGCTAACTTTTGTATTTTTAGTAGAAACAGGGTTTCACCATGTTGGCCAGGCTGGTCTCGAACACCTGACCTCAAATGATCCACCTGCCTAAGCCTCCCAAAGTGCTGGGATTACAGGCGTGAGCCACTGCGCCTGGCCATGACCCAGCAATTTTCTGATAGGAATTTACAAATATCTATTACCACTCACAACACCTCAATATAGGCAAAAGGAAATTCACTGCAAAATTCCTTCAAGTTAAAATGTAAGTATCAGTAGAGAAAAAGCTAAATAAATGTTGGTATATCTACAACCAACAATAAAATACCACTCAGCTATAATAAAAAATATCTAGATATTCTAAATATGGAAAGATACCCAAGCATCAATGAGTAAAAAACTAGAACAAAAACATGTATTAGGTTGGTGCAAATGTAATTGCAGCTTTTGCCATTACTAAAAAAAAAAAAAAAAAATACATATATATGTGGCAAAAGCTGTAATTTTGCCATTACCTACATATACATATGACAAAAACCACAATTACGTTTGCGCCAACCTAATAACATTGTGTTGAATTTTACATATGCAGATTTTAAATAATATCACAATAATAAGGAGAAAAGAGGCTTTTTTAACATTTCAAATTTGTGCTGTTGGAACTTATCATTATAGACTGCTTTTAGTTTAGAATAAAAATGACGGCCAGGCACAGTGGCTCATGCCTATAATCTCAGCACTTTGGGCTGCAGCAGCAGGAGGATCACTTGAAGCTAGCAGTTTGAGACCAGTCTCTATCCGTCTCTACCAAAAAATGTAAAAATTAGGCATAGTGGTGCAAACCTGTAGTCCTACCTACTCAGGAGGCTAAGGCAGGAGGATGACTTAAGCCCAGGGGGCTTAAGTTTACAGTGAGCTATGATTGTGCCACTGCACTCCTGCTTGGGCAACAGAGCACGAACCTAGCTCTAAAATAAATACATAAATGAAATTTTGTTTTGTTTTAGTGATAACAAAGACTTCAATAAAAATGCCCGCCGGTGATGCATGATAAAATGTTAAGCTAAAAAGCAAAGGTAATTATCGGTAAGGCCTTCAAATGTTTAACATAGTTGTACTGCCTTTTTATGGTTAATGTTTTAAATGTCAGTTAAAAAATACTATACTTTGTTAAAGTTAAAAAATACCTCCATCCCAAGTGAAAAAGATTAAAGTCTGATTTATTTTTGTTTAGCTCAATAACTAAAAGCCAAAGTAATGTGTTTAATTTATACAGAACACATCCTAGCAAAAGGAAATCACACTGCTTCTTGATATTCTATGGTAGGCTAACAGGAAGCCTTTATATTGCTCAGAGCTTTGCTTCCAGTGTGTTATAAAAGCTGTTGGTTTTCAGAAATGAATTGATCTGGGTTAAGCTGAGATCAAAAGCATATGAAAAATAATGTGTCAGAATATAGAAGTAAATGTTCAAATATTTAGTCTTAACATACTTTCAAAATGGCCTGAAAATTTTAACAACTAAGACTTACAGGTGATATATAATGTTATTCCCTGATTGATCAGATAATGTACCTTCTAATACCAAAACACAATTATAAAGATATTTGATGTTCTCAAAAGCCTGTATATTAAAGTTTTACAAATTAAAATGAGCTTCTATGTATGAATATATACACAATATACTTATTTTAGCATAAAGCTAAAATGAATCCTGAAAATGATTCATCAAATGGAAATTAGTACATATCTGTCAATAAGGATGCTCATACAGTGGGTATAAATATGTTTAAAACTAAAGAAATAGTTTGAGAAGATCATTTTTGCATGAAAAATGGATCACTACAAACTCTGTCATCTCTTCTGGTTATAAAGAATGAGAGAAGAGATAAATGTCATTCAGTTTTGGGACATTCACTGTCAGCTGCAAAACTAGACTCCAATAAAAAAATTAAATTTATTTGTAATGTTCACTATCATACGGAACTAAAATACCTTTGGCAAAGTCTGACCTCAATGGGACACGAATTTTTTTTTCTTTTCATTTTAAGTAGAGATGAGGTCTCGCTATGTTGCCCAGGCTGGTCTGGAACTCCTGGGCTCAAGCAATCCTCACACCTAGGCCTCCCAAAGTGCCAGGATTACAGGTGTGAGGCATGGCAGAAGCCAAGCCATGACTTTTAAATGGGGGGTAGGGGAAGCCATTATGAAAGGTAAATACAACAGATCATAATAAAGCTTCTAAGGTGAAAATTTTGAAAAATAATCCTCAAATTATGTAGTCAAATAAATAATCCAAATCCCCACTTAGAAACATTGCGATAATGTTTAACTTGATGCTTAAGTGTCTAAAAGGAATATAATGTAAGCTGGCCAAAAAGTAAAACTTGTACTCCCTATCAATAAAACTGATCATAAATCACTTTTTCTAACATAAAACAGCCTTTTCATACTAACTAGATGTAATAAGAATTTGCAGATTACATGCAGTTCCATATAAATTCCTCACTGAGATTATTTTAATTTCCTTTACTTTCAAAACTTGAAAGTAAGCCAGGTGTAGTGGGGTTCACACTTTGCGAGGCCAAAAGGGGGAGGACTGCTTGAGCCTGGGAGCTCAAGACCAACCTGGGTGCTGAGTGTGATGGCTCATGCCTGTAATCACAGCACTTTCGGAGGCCAAGGCAGGAGGATCACCTGATGTCAGGAGTTTGAATCCAGCCTGGCCAACATGGCGAAATCCCATCTCTAATAAAAATACAAAAATTAGCCGGACATGGTGGCGCATGCCTGATAAAATACCTCTCTCATTCTTTATAACCAGCTACTCAGGAGGCTGAGACAGGAGAATCACTTGAACCCAGGAGGCGGAGGTGGCAGTGAGTGGAGATTGCGCCATTGCACTCCAGCCTGGGTGACAGAGCAAGACTCTGTCTAACAAGAAAAGAAGAGAAGAGAAAAGAGAAGAGACCAGCCCAGACTCGGAAACATATTGAGGCTCTGTCTCTACAAAAAAAAAATTAAGTTAGCCAGGCATGGTGGCATGCACCTGTAGTCCCAGCTAATCAGGAGGCTGGGGTGGGAGGATTAATTGAATCCAGGAGGTCAATCCTGTAGTGAGCCACGATCATGCTACTGCACTGCAGCCTGGGCGACAGAGCAAGACTGTCTCAAAAAAAAACAAAAACAAACAAAAAAACTTGAAAATAGTTTTATTTTAACCCTTACAAGATAAAGTACAAGAACCTTATTATTTAAAAGTTCAGGCCGGGTGCAGTGGCTCACGCCTGTAATCCCAGCACTTCGGGAGGCCGAGGCAGGCGGATCATGAGGTCAGGAGATCAAGACCATCCTGGCTAACACGGTGAAACCCCATCTCTACTAAAAAAAAATACAAAAAATTAGCCAGGCGTGGTGGCGGGCGCCTGTAGTCCCAGCTACTCAGGAGACTGAGGTAGGAGAATGGTGTGAACCCGGGAGGCGGAGCTTGCAGTGAGCCAAGATCACACCACTGCACTCCAGACTGGGGACAGAGCGAGACTCTGTCTCAAAAAAAAAAAGAAGTTGAATTAGTTTCCTTAGGACTCAAAAATGTATTCCTTAGGAAGGCAATTAAGTAGAAAGTTGAAGCTTCAAAATCCTCAGAGGCCTGAGAAACATCAGGTAAACATTTTCCTCAGTGCCAGCATTAACTTAACAACAACTAAAAGCAGATTTAACTGAGAGAAATGTTTAAAAAATAAAGTCAACCACTGTGAGAACAACTTTCAAAAGATGCTGAAGATTTTTCCAAAAAATGCCAGGAAAATTCACTCTGTAGAGGATGTGCTATTAACATCCACATATTTAATATATTAGAATACTGTTTTTATCCTTCTAATTATAGAAAGGCTGTCATTTTGAGATCTGATAATTAGCAAAATGAAAAAGTATATGCTCTACAGAGGCTACGAAAGTTGGCTCTAACTCCCTGCAGACAAAACCAATTAGAAATCAGTGTCACAAAAGCACATTCTTGTTAGTTTACCAAGAATAACATCAACTAAGGACCAAAGCATTGTTTTAATTGTATATGTTCTATGAAACCCAGTCATCATAGAATAAATGCACTTGCAAGTTAGCAAATCTTTCAGGTGAGGATGACAAAATTTAACTTTAATATAAAGATCAGAATAACAGATATATGAAACATAAAAGACCACTTTCTCATCAAATGAATGGTTTCAGGTCAGTAATATGCCCTTAAAACACCTGCACAAATGCAAAAGGTAGAACTAGGTCTATCACAACCATTATAAACTCCTATAAAAGACAAGCAGAGTTAACTATTTATGAGCCCCTGATGGAGTCTAATTGCCACTCACTGATAGGTGTCTATCAGAAAAGTTTTGTACGACAAAGAATTGCATTCAAAGTCTTCCAAACAGGGCCAGGAACGGTGGCTCATGCCAGTAATCCCAGCACTTTGGGAGGCCCAGACAGGCCTTGAGGCCAGGAGTTCAAGACCAGCCAGGCCAATGTGGCAAAACCAAGTCTCTACAAAAAATACAAAAATTGGCCGGGCATTGTGGCGCACACCTGTCATCCTAGCTACTCAGGAGGTTGAGGCATGATAATTGCTTGAACCTGGGAGGCAAAGACTGCACTCCAGCCTAGATGACAAAGTGAGAGCCTGTCTCAAAAAAAAAAAAAAAAAGTACAGACTACCTTTTAGGACTGTGGTGAGAACTGATTTTACAAATATAAAGGTTTTTTCATTAAATTGTAAAGTAAAAGTAACAATTATAATTATGTTAAGTTCTGACCACTGAAATATGAATCTTCCTATACAAAAAGCGCTGCAACCTCAACTTTCAAGGAGCATCTGACCTCTAAACCTTACTTACCTTTAAGGACCTTATCCTTCCAGCCTAACCCTAGCTGGCATGTAACTGTCAACTAGCACATTTTATCATAGCCACTTTAACACAGGTTAAAGGCCTCCTCTGTATTTCTCCATTTTAACCTCCTCTATATTTTCCCATTGTTATTTCTCTGATGGTCATTTTTTTTAAAACACAGTGAGGCCATTTACCTTTACCTTGTACATCAAAATAGATGTCAAAGAGGACAGATTCTCAAGTCACACTGCCTGGGTTCAAATCCTGGTACTACTGTGCGGCTTTGTACTAGGTTAAGTTCCTTGTACCTTACGTATGTGAATAAAGGGATAATTGTGAGGGTTAAGTAAAATAATACAGGTAGAACCCTCAGACAACATTTACTTTATTTAAGTAAATGGTCAAAAAATATTAGTTTTGGGAAGGTGTGGTGGCTCACGCCTGTAATCTCAGCACTTTGGGAAGCCAAGGCGGGCAGATCATGAGGTCAGGAGTTCAAGAGCAGCCTGGCCAACATGGCAAAACCCAGTCTCTATTAAAAATACAAAAGTTAGCTCGGTGTGGTGGTGCACACCTGTAGTCTCAGCTACTCAGAAGGCAGAGCACGAGAATTGCTTGAACCCAGGAGGCAGATGATGCGGTGAGCAGAGATTGCACCACTTCATTCCAGCCTGGGCAAACAGAGCAAGACTCCCAATTAAAAAAAAAAAAAAAAAGTGCCGGTTTTTCTCAGGAAAATATTCATGTTGCAAAGCTTTCGTTTCCAAGTGGCCTAATGCAGGCTTGTTTTTTGTTTGTTTTTGTTTCTGTTTTTTAAGAGACAAGGTCATCCAGGCTGGAGTGCAATGGCATAAACTTGGCTCGTTATAGCCTCGATCTCCTGGGCTCAAGTGATCCTCCCACCTCAGCCTCCAGAGTACCTGGGAATACAGGTGCACACCACCATGACCAGCTAATTTTTTTTTTTAAGAGACGGGGGGTGGGGGGGGGGGTCTCACTATGTTGCACAGGTTGGTCTCAAACTCCTGGCCTCAAGCAATCCTTCCACTTTGGCCTCCCAAAGTGCTGGGATTACAGGTGTGAGCCACCACACCCAATCCAACCTTGCTTTTTAAAATAAGAGCACATATTGTTAGATTTCCATGCTTAAAGAGCTGCTAAGATTTTTTAGATATATAGTTCAAGGGTAAAGGCAGACAACACACTGAGAGTAGATCTGCTGGGATGGCAATGGAATTGAACTTGTATACTGTAAAAGTTAACACTGTAGCCAGCAAACCTAGGTATGGTTCCATGATAGCAGTATTTCACATTTATTAGGTTGGTGCAAAAGTAATCACAGTTCTGCCATTAAAGCAAAAATGCAAAAATGGCAAAAACCACGATTTCTTTTGCACCAACCTAATACCATGCCATTTCCTGTGTGCCCACTATACAAAACTTCTTGACTGCATGTTCTTTTATTGGGGCAAAAGCTAGGCAACAGAATAGATTTAAAATAATTTTAATACAAATGTAAGGCTTATTACTGAAGTTTTAGAAAATACACATATTGGCCGGGCGTGGTGGCTCACACCTGTAATCCCAGCACTTTGGGAGGTTGAAGTGGGTGGATCACCTGAGGTCAGGAGTTCGAGACCAGCCTGACCAACATGCAGAAACCCCGTCTTTATAAATATACAAAAAGCTAAGATCTTAGACCAGCCTGACCAACATGGAGAAACCCCGTCTCTACTAAATATACAAAAAGCTAAGATCTTAGCTTTATTCCTACTGAGTCATGTCTTTGCAGAATCAAGTTTCCCTTTTTTTTCTTTTTCTTTTTGAGACAGGATTTTGCTCTGTCCCTAGGCTGGAATGCAGTGGCACAATCATAGCTCACTGCAGCCTCAAACTCCCGGGCTCATGCAATTCTCCCACCTCAGTCTCCCAAGTATACATGCATGCCACCACATCAGGCTAATTTTTTAAAGAAATTTTTTGTAGAGTCAGTCTTGCTATGTTGACTAAGTTGGTCTCAAACTTTTGGGCTCAAGGGATACTCCAACCTTTGGCCTCCCAAAGTGCTGAGATTACAGGTGTGAGCCACCCATCCGACCAAGTTTCCCTTTTTAATACTGCAATAACTCAATGTTTTGTCCTTAGGAGTCCTTTAAAATCTTAAAAATTGAGGACCTCAAAGAATGTTAATTTACATGGATTGTATCTATAGATTTTTTATCACATTAGAAATTAAAACTGAAACATTTTAAAAATGAGTTAATCTCTTTAATCTGTAATGCATTGTATTATTTTGCAAATCTCTTTAATGTCTGGTTTAATATAAATAAACTGGGTTTTAATTTCTTCTCCAATCAGGTGTGGTATATTGTTTCGGTTAAAAGTATGTGAAGTAGGCCGGGTGCGGTGGCTCACACCTGTAATCCCAGCACTTTGGGAGGCCAAGGCAGGCGGATCACGAGGTCAGTTCGAGACCATCCTGGCCAACGTAGTGAAACCCTGTCTCTACTTTAAAAAAAAAAAATACAAAAAATTAGCTGGGCATGGTGGCGGGCGCCTGTAATCCCAGCTACTTGGGAGGCTGAGGCAGAATCGCTTGAACCCGGGAGGTGGAGGTTGCAGTGAGCCAAGATCACACCACCATTGCACTCCAGCCTGGGCAACAGTGTGAGACTCTGTCTCAAAAAAAAAAAAAAATTATGTGAAGTAAATCTGGCCTCTCACAGATATTTAGCTGAAAGGGGGGAGTTTTCTTGGATCCACTGAAAGGGTCTTGGGAACCCTCCAAGGGTCCTCGGCCCACACCCTGGAAGTAACTGCCCTATTGAACGCCCTGCAGAACACCCCATACAATCTGTCCTTCCAAAGAACTCTTTTCATCCAGATTTAAAACACAGCCCTTTCAAGTGTATTCTCCATTCACTAATAGTGATTTATTGACCGCCTATTTTTACAATGTCAACATTTTTAGAAAAGTTATACCTGGGTCAACCCAGTCTTCCCTAAAGTCCTATCACCAAAAAGACCCTGAAAATACCAACACAATCATGTAGACTTTTAATAGTCATTATTAAAAATAAGTACCAAGGAATGAGAACTTGTATTATAACTTTTACAGATAGGCCATGGTGAAAGCTATCAGTTTTAAAGAACTTGTTTCAAAGATTATTTTAGCTTCTGAATATGAAATACTTGGGAATGCAAAGCACTGTTTCTACGGAATATTAGTAAATAAAAATATAGTAGTAATAAAGGGATATGCCATGGTATTTACTTTTTAAGCATTCGTCACATTAAATTCCTCTTTTACCACTTTTAATAAAACTTGGCAATAATAATGATCTGTATTGTATTGGTATTGGTATTGGTATTGGTATTGGTATTGGTAGGTCCTCTAAACAGGAAAGCATTATTTCTTTCATGTCATTCACAGACATTTTATGATACTTCAATCACTGAATGGGATGAGAAGAAATTTCAGATCCTTCCCCCTACATCAATTATAATTGGTGCACATATTACTTCAGCATGCCTATATCAAGCCATGCTGTAATCAAGTATATATAATTTCACAGCTTTTCCAAGGAGGTTCTCTAGTAACTAGTTTTCATTGTGTTTTTTCCATACCTAGAATCCAGGGAAGAAAAAATTTCTGGCAGAAAACTGAGGCTGCCAAGGTTAAGAAAGGATTATATACTTTAAAAAGATTCCAAAAATGATCTGTCTGTCAGGGGGAAGGGATTTAGGAAAGAGGTTGGACTCTGACCCCAACCTTGCCTAAGCAACACCCAAACCTACCTGGGCACTAAGGGCAGGGGAAGCTTAAACATCCCACACCCTAACTTTAAGGCCTCATTAGATCTGCAAACACACGCCTGGAGATTCAACATCAGGGTCAAGAAACGAACAGAAGTGAGACTAAAAATCAGTTTGAGCCTCAAAAAATACTACGAGATGGCAAAATCTTTGTTGTGTCAATATCCCATCTAAAGATGACACATTTGCAATAGTATTAAAGAAAGAAGGGCCGGGCACAGTGGCTCATCATGTCTGTAAGCCCAGCACTTTGGGAGGCCAAGGCGGGTGGATCACTTGAGGTCAGGAGTTCGAGACCAGCCTGACCAACATGGTGAAACCCCATCTCTACTGAAAATACAAAAACTAGCGGGACGCGGTGGTGGGCGCCTATAATCCCAGCTACTGGGGAGGCTGAGACACGATAATCACTTGAGCCCAGGAGGCAGAGGTTGCAAAGTGAGCCGAGACAAGTGAACTGAGATGGCGCCACTGAACTCCAGCCTGGGTGACAGAGCGAGACTCCACAGGAAAGGGAAAGGCAAAGGGAAAAGGAAAGGAGAAAGGAAAAGGGGAAAGGAAAGGAGGAAAGGGAAGGGGAAAGGGGAATGGAAAGGAAAGGAATTAAGACAAATTCAAGACCAGCCAGAGCACCATGGCGGGACCCTATAAAAAAAATTTTTTTTTTAATTAGCTAGGCATGGTAGCATGCACCTGTAGTTCCACCTACCTGGGAGGCTTAAGACAGACAGAGAGAGAGAGCAAGAGAAGCAAGCCTGAGCAACACAGTGAGATACCATCTCTACAAAATGTTAAAACATTATCCAGACATATTGGCACGTGCCTGTAGTCCCATCTACTGCAGTGAGCTATGGTGGCGCTGCTGCATTCCAGCCTGGGAAACACAAGACCTCATCTCTAAAAAATAATAATAAGGCTGAGTGCAGTGGCTCACGCCTGTAATCCCAGCACTTTGGGAGGCCGAGGTGGGCAGATCACTTGAGGTCTGGAGTTCGAGACCAGCGAGGCGGGCGGATCACCTGAGGTTGAGGGTTCGAGACCAGCCTGACCAACATGGAGAAACCCTGTTTCTACTAAAAATACAAAAAATTAGCTGGGCATGGTGGCACACACCTGTATTCCCAGCTACTCAGGAGGCTGAGGCAGGAGAATCTCAAACTCGGGAGGTAAAGGTTGCGGTAAGCCGAGATCACGCCACTGCACCCAAGCCTTGGCAACAACAGTGAAACTGTCTCATAAATGAATGAATGAATGAATGGATGGATGGCAGGCCAAGGGCAGTGGCTCACGCTTGTAACCTCAGCACTTTTGGAGGCCAACCAAGTGGATTGCTTGAGCCTGGAAGTTTGAGACCAGCCTGGGCAAGGTGGCAAAATCTCATCTCTACAAAACATATTTAACACAAAAATTAGGCCAGGCACCATGGCTCATGCCTGTAATCCCAGCACTTTGGGAGGCTGAGGTGGGCAGATCACTTGAGGTCTGGAGTTCGAGACCAGCGTGGTCAACATGGCAAAACCCCATCTCTACTAAAAATACAAAAATTAGCTGGGCGTGGTGGCACACGCCTGTGATTCCAGCTACTCAGGAGGCTGAGGCAGGAGAATTGCTTGAACCTGGGAGGCAGAGATTGCAGTGAGCCGAGACTGCACCACTGAACTCCAGCCTGGGTGACAGAGTGAGACTCTGTCTCAAAGAAAAAATAATAATAAATATAAAAATAAAAATAAATAAAAGAGTTGCAAGAACCTACACCCTAGGCCCCTTTTGCCCTTCCACATAGCATTCAAGGCACCATCTTGAAAGTGGAGACCAGGCCAGCACAAGACATCAAACCTGACAGTGCCTTGATCTTAGAGTTCCCAGTCTCCAGTACTGCAAGAAATAAATTTCTATTATTTATAAATTACCCAGTCTCAGATATAGTTATATCAACACAAATGAACTAACATACTGACCAAGCTTCAAGGCTAGATCTCCTACTTTAAAGAGATAAGGATGTACTAATAATACATAGGCATGCTCAATTTAGGATGGTAGATAAAAGTATGTCAAAAGATCTTAAAAGAAACTTACCCTATGATATATTTCAGACTATGCTGTGTGACTGTAGTAGCGCTGGTATTATCAAATGCTTTATTTCTTTCAAATTTATTGCCATAGTCCAAAGTAAATTTGATTTGAAAGATAACCCACTTTAGCCTAAAATATGAGGAAGTTGCAGTCTGATAAAACTGGTTTTCTTTTGAATGGCTGCCTGGTATCAATGGGATATACTCTATAAAAACTGTAATTATCTACTTTTCCAGGGTTTTACAGCTGTGTCTAGAGTTGAGACTTCAGAAATATCACCATTAAGCCACCTAAGTCTGAAATACTAACAATGAACTTACTATTTTCTTCTTAGCTTCCTAACAACACATTTCCTGGTACCTCCAACCAAATTCTCTTCCTTCCTTGAATATTGTTGTTTTGTAGGAGGATGTCATGACCCTCATTCTCATTCTACACACCTATTTCCTCACGCAACCCTACTCTAATCCAAGTGAAGCAAAGCCTTCCCAGACAGCTCCCTCTCATCCATCTCCATATCCCCCCAACCTTTAACCACTCGGTACATAACTTCTATTCCTTGCATACGTCATACTTGCTAATCTTTCTCACCAGTCAATTATGAGTTCCTTTATTTATTTTTTAAATTTATTTATTTGAGATGGAGTCTTGCTCTGTCACCCAGGCTGGAGTGCAGTGGCGCGATCTCGGCTCACTGCAACCTCTGCCTCCCAGGTTCAAGCGATTCTTCTGCCTCAGCCTCTGGAGTAGCTGGGACTACAGGTACATGCCACCATGCCCAGCTAATTTTTATATTTTTAGTAGAGACAGAGCTTCACCATATTGGCCATGCTGGTCTTGAACTACTGACCTCGTCTCAGCCTCCCAAAGTGCTGGGATTACAGGCATGAGCCACCTAGGACTTTAACACAATGCACTTACTGACATATCAATAATAAGTACTGAATTGAGACCACAACCAACTCCAAGGACTCAATTCATTTCTTCATTCAACAGAGCTGATAAAAAGAATTGCCCAGTTTTCTGTAGTAGAACTGAGAAATTTCTGATTAATTTGAAGTCAACAGGTAAGATAATTCCTTATTTTTTCTTTCTTTCTTATTTTTATTTTGTTTTCTATATTTTGAGGGATTTTGGTGTTTAGATTTTTTTTTTTTTTTTGAGAATTCCTTATATTAGCTGCCTAAACCTGTCATGAAATTACCTAAACCAGTGGGTCTCAAACCTAGCAGAGCTTCCGGAGGAGCTTTTTAAAATTCAAACACTTAGGCCCACATGAGATTCTAATTCAGTTATTCTGGGATGAACCCCAGAATGACTTTAATGGGAGGCAGTGGTACATTTATATAGGGAGCCCCGAGTCCTAAATACTCTTCCAATGTGAAGCTGAGTGGTCACTGGAGTTGATGAGCCAGGAGTTTACATATAAATGAGCCAACAAACTAACAGTATATGAATGGGCTAAGTTCAAAAATACTGATAAGTAGATAAAACACACAAATCTAAATGGTACTTTGATAACTGTATACATGCAGCTTACTATTGTTATTAATGAATTCAAGTCTGGGTGGCCAGAAGGAAGAGAGAGAAGACCACAGTCAAAAAAAGACTGTAGGCCGGGCACAGTGGCCCACGCCTGTAATCCCAGCACTTTGGGAGGCTGAGGTGGGTGGATCACGAGGTCAGGAGTTTGAGACCAGCCTGGCCAACATGGTGAAACCCCGTCTCTACTAAAAATACAAAAAAAATTAGCCGGGCATGGTGGTGGGTGCCTGTAATCCCAGCTGCTCCGGAGGCTGAGGCAGGAGAATCGCTTGAACCCAGGAGGCAGAGGTTGCAGTGAGCCAAGACCGTGCCATTGCACTCCAACTCCAGCCTGGGCCACACAGCGAGACTCCCTCTCAAAAAAAAAAAAAAAAGACTGTAAGGGGAGATGAAAGAGAGAAGCAGGCTAATTTCTAGGATCTATGAAGGGAGCCATTATATATTAAATTAGAAGAACACTGAACTTGGGAATAAAGAGCCATGGTTTGCAACATCCAATTTGTCCTTTCAAGGCTGTGTCACCTTAGGCAAGTCAAGTCTCTCAAGCTCAGTTTGTTTCCTTTTCTATAAAATGGATCTGCCTTAGCAGCAAAAACCAACAAATATGTTGCTTTTGTTTTTGTTTTGCTGAACCTACCAGGATACAAAGTATATATGCAAAAATAATAGATTCATAATTTCCCATTAATCATCTCATGAAATCACAATTGTATCATTACTATGGTTATATAAAAGGCAATGCAGTAGTTCAGAGCAGTAACTGAGGACCTGCACAGCCTAAGTTCAAATCTGGCTCCACCAGGATTTGGGCTAGATTCCTTCCCTCTTTGGGCCTCACTATGTAAAGAAGGGCTGATATTTTAAGCTGCCCATTTTACAGATAGGTTAATAGAATAAAGCTCTGAAAATAGTCATGACCCTCCTTAAGGTTAGGAGCTCAAGGATAACATGGAAATAATGGAACACATGCCAGAAACCCAACATTTTGATTCCTACTCTATTCTTTCCACAAAATCTCTATTCTCTTGAAGTTTTCATTTCCTAGCTGGCTAATGTTACCCCTCAAAACCAAATTATCTTAGAATCCTAAATCAAATTCTAAACTTTGTTCTTGTCAAAAAAATCTTGATGAGCAACTATATATTCTATAAATCAAAAATATATTTTAGAAATGGAAGATGGGAAAAGCCACAAGGTTACCAGAGAAAAACAGTAGTTATAGAGGAACCCAGAAGAGTGGGCTGCTACCAAGCACAATTTTTAAAAACCCCAAACCCATACTCTACCACAAATCCCTGAAGCCAGCCTCCCACTGGAAAATTTGGTGGCTGTTCTCAATTTGTCCAAAATACATCATATTGGATGAAAGCCTCTCTGAGACAGGCAAAAGTCTAAAGACCTGGAATTTTACAAAGTGGAGGTAATACTCAAATTTCACTGTATAAACTTCTCTTATATCCACCCCTTTCCCCACTGTCCTATAAAGATAACAGAATACAAATCCTAAGGGCTCCTACCTCCCATCTCTTCCAAGTTAAAGCCTGGCAAGGATGAGATATTACCATCTGGTTTAAATGTCACCAAATGATGAGTTGGTATAACCACAGAAAATTGGGAGGATCCTGCCTTAAAGACCTTGTAATTATGTGGGCTTGATAGGGATTTGTTCTTTGTTTCTGGGGTTATGTGATTAGAGTAGTATTAAAATGTTTCAGTATCTGTAGCCTGTAGTATGTATGCCCCATAAGAATATGTGCTTAATGAAAAGTTCCAATCAAGTGCTTGAAACACACTAAGTTTAGGCTTTAGTTCTCTGAACATTACAATTTGGTCAAGCCAGTGAGATGGCAAAAATTAACTCAAGAATGCACAACAATCTGCCTAAGGGCACATAAAGTACATAGCTGGGAAAAGAAATCTTAGCCTAGCTATCTACTCCTAACAAAAATACCTAAGCATTTGACAATTTTAAATGGTACATATACCATTGGGGAGTGTCTTAATACATTTAGAAAGCAGTATTAAGTGACTGATTCAAGACCAAAAAATCCACATTAAAGTCACAATAGAAATGTAGCATATGGTAGTCCCCACCCTTATCTGGAGGGATACATTCCAAGACCCCCAGTGGATGCCTGAAACCATGGATAGCAAATACTAAACCCTATATATACTATGTTTTTTTCCTATACATACATACCTATGATAAAATTTAACTTATAAATTAGGCACAGTTAGAGATTAACAATAACAATTAAACAATACACTGTAATAAAAGTTACATGGGGCCGGGTGTGGTGGCTCACACCTGTAATCCCAGAACTTTGGAAGGCTGAGGCGGGCAGATCACTTGAGGTCAGGAGTTCAAGACCAGCCTGGCCAACATGGTAAAACCCCCAACTCTACTAAAAATACAAAAATTAGCCGGGCGTGGTAGCAGGTGCCTGTAGTCTCAGCTACTCAAGAGGCTGAGGCATGAGAATCGCTTGAGCCCAGGAGGCAGAGATTGCAGTGAGCCGAGACACACTACTGCACTCCAGCCTGGGGGACAGAGTAAGTCTCTGTCTCCAAAAAATAAATAATAAAAAATAATAATAATAAAAGTTACATGAATGTAGTCTTTCTCTCAAAATATCTTATTGTACTGTCCTCACCTATTTTTGGACAGCAGTTGACAAATTCTATCCGTGGTTTTCCTTTCTGCAGATAAGAGGAGACTACTAGAAGCTGGGCGCAGTGGCTCACACCTGCAATCTCAGCACTTTGGGAGGCTGAGGCAGACAGATCATCCGAGGTCAGGAGTTTGAGACCAGCCTGGCTAACATAGTGAAACCCCATCTCTATTAAAAATACAAAAATTAGTTGGGCGTGGTGGCACGTCGCTGTAATCCCACCTACTCAGGAGGCTGAGGCAGGAGAATCACTTGAACCCAGAGGCAGAGGTTGCAGTGAGCTGAGATCGCACCATTGCACTCAAACCTAGGCAACAGAGCAAGACTCCATCTCAAAAAAAAAAAAAGAGGGGACTACTCTCTACATGGGTTTACCTAAGAGGCAATGTTATGAGGTCCAATAACAGAAGATATATTTGAATAAAAAACTAGGAAATTTAAGTTTATATGATTACATAGGGGTCCTAATTAACTTTTTTTTTTTAACATAAGATTGTCTAATTGTTGGTAAATAATAAAATATAGGGAGTAAAATACAGGGAGTCAGTCTTGGTGCAAGGTGAAGATTGTCTAATTGTTGGTAAATAATAAAATATAGGGAGTAAAATACAGGGAGTCAGTCTTGGTGCAAGGTGAGGCCACAGAGCTGTAATGGGCCTGACCAGCCTCGCACTGTACAAGCACCAATCTAGAGCTAGGACTGAAGCTGCAAGATGACTGACAGGACTCTGGGGGCATTAGCTCCCTCCAACAAATGGTGGTCTCACGTTTCAAGGGCTGTGGTCACCTCCTTCCTCGTGACACCCCTGGACATGGTGGAAGGTCCATTTGCAGCCTCAGTGCCCGCTGGTGGCCAGTGAGCTGACACCTTCCTCCAGACTTCAGAGCCTCTCTTATGCCAAGCTGCCCTCCTCTCTCCAATCCTGTACTACAATGGTGTCCTGGAGCCTCTGTACCTATGACCAAATGGTCCCCGCTGTGCCACCTGGTTTTAAGACCCTACCAGCTTCACTGGCACCTTGGATGCCTCTGTGAAGATTCTGAGGCACAAGGGCACCAGGACCCTGTGGAGTGGCCTCCCAGCCACCCTGGTGATGACTGTGCCAGCTACCACCAACTACTTCACTGCCTACAACCAACTCAAGGCCTGCCTGTGTGGCTGAGCCCTTACCTCTACATAACCTTGGTAGCTGGTGTGCTGGTCCACCCTGGCACTATCACTGCAATCATCAGTGCCCTGGAGCTTATGCAGACAAAGCTGCAGGTTTAGCATATGTTATACTATGTGCTGGTACCTGTGTTTGAGCTCCGGTGGCTTAGAGTGGTTGGTGCTCACTGTGGCTGTGCCGGGGCCCCACTCTCCTTAGAAATGTGCCCTTCTCAGCCCTGTACTGGTTCAACTACGAGCTAGTGAAGAGCTGGCTGAATGGGCTCAGGCCAAAGGAACTCCATGGTCCCATGACAACCATAGGAGTCAGCTTTGCAGCTGGCAGCATCACCATGATGCTGGCTACAGTGCTGACCCTAACCTTTGTCGTGATGAAGACTCAACACCAGGCCACACTCGGAGTGATGGAAGCCGTGGAAGTGACATCCCTGGATGCGGACTCTACCTGGTTGCTCAGAGGTGGATCTGTGCCAAGTCGGGCATCAGAGGGCTCTTTGCAGGCTTCCTCCCTTGGATCATCAAGTCTATCCCCTCCTATGCTATCACGATCACCACTTATGAGTTCAGCAAAAGTCTCTTAAAGAGACTCAATCAGGACCAGCATCTGGGCCATTCAAAGGGGCAAGGAGGCAAGGACCCCCATCTCTCCAACAGATGGGGAAAGAGGGGAGGAGGGACTGAACCCCTCAGCCCTGAGGGGAGGATCCTTGTTTCCATTCCCGCTGTGCAACAGCCCCAGGGGTCCAGGGGTAGGCTGCCCCTCTGGGCAGCCCAGGCCATCCTCAGACACAGCTTCCTCCTGCTGCTTCCATCCTGGGGATCATCCATTTCCTACCCTCCAAGTTCAAGACCAAATCTGCTATCTGCCCCTCCCCTATGTTTCCCTCTGTGCTTGCTGTAGCTGGGCCTGCCCCAAGGAGTCAAGATATCCTGGGACCTGGTCTAGTCTCCCTGCTCCTTTGTTAATTCCTTAAGTCTAAATATAATTAACTTCAATAAATAAATAAATAAAAGAATAAAATATGATGGTGGCTCTTGTCCTAAAATATTTTCTTAAAAGATCTAGGTAAACATTTTTCCTGCCACTTCTACTTTTCTCCCCACTTTACAAGTAGGATAATTGCAAAATTACTAGACTTCAACTATTGACCCCTCCTGTCAGACATGAATTGAGATTATTTAAATTATGTTAGTAAGTACAATATCCTTCTATTTGCGTGGCTTCCACAATGTCACAGTCATCCCATATTAGGGGAAATTTAAATCACTGTAAACCCTTCTTAATACAAATCTCACCAAACTAAACTCCTGCCTATATACATGCACTACATAAGACACACAAATGCACCTGCAAATTTTCTGAAATAATTTTTAACAGCTCTACCTTTTAAAACATGTTAATCTCACTAATCTGTTTAGGGACAGGCCGGGCATAGTGGCTTGTGCCTGTAATCCCAGCACTCTGGGAGGCCTAGGCAGGTGGACTGCTTGAGCTCAGGAGTTCAAGACCAGCCTAGGCAGCATGGTGAACCCCGTCTCTATTAAAATAAATACAAAAACTAGCTGGGCATGATGGTATGCACCTGTAGTCCCAGTCCCAGCTACTAGGGAGGCTGAGGTGGAAGGATGACTTGAGCCCAGAAGGCGGAGTTTGCAGTGAGCCAAGATCACATCATGCTGCACTCCAGCCTGGCAACATAGTGAGACCCTGTCTCAAAAAAAATAAAGATTCAGGGACAGAAAAGCTTTGTCTAAACCAATTGAAGGATTATAGTCTATATATTCTAGGGTTTTTTTTGTTCGATTGGTTTTTGTCTTTTTTTTTTTTTTTTGTACAGATAGGGTCTGCTATGTTGCCCAGGCTGGTTTCAAATTCCTGTGCTCAAGCAATCCTCCCACCTGCACCTCCCCAAGTGCTGGGATTACAGGTGTGAGCCACTATGCTGGCTATACTCTGGTTTTGATGATGGGTTTTTGCCTTTTTTTGGGGTTGCGGGGTGCGGTTTGCCTTTTCAAGTTTCACTTTTAAAACATCCCTTCATGGCCAGCCTGGCTAACATAGTGAGACACCATCTCTACAAAAAAATTTGAAAAATTAGCCAGGCATGGTGGTGTGTGCCTGTAATCTCAACTAAATGGGGGGCTGAGGTGGGATCATTTGAGCCCAGGAGTTCGAGGCTCCAAGGAGCTGTGATTGTGCCACTGCATTACAGTTTGGGCAACAAAACAAGAAAAAAAGAAAACAATCCCTTCACAGCCAGGTGCAGTGGCTCATGCCTGTAGTCCCAGCACTTTGGGAAGCTGAGGTGGGAGGATGGCTTAAGGCCAGGAGTTCGAACCAGCCTCGGCAACACAGCAAGACCCTGTCCCTAAAAAAAAATAATAATTCTGGGTGTGGTGGCATGTATACCTGTGGTCCCAGCTATTCAGGAGGCCGAGGTGAGAGGACGGCTTGAGCTCATGAGGTCAAGGCTGCAATGAACTATGATTGCACCACTGCACTCCAGCCTGGGCAACAGAGCAAGACTCTGTCCCCGGGGGACAAGGGGAAATCCCTTCACTATATGGGAAAATGAGGGATGTGTACTTGGCACTAACCCTTGTCTCACTAAATCTGTCCCCAGACTCTTCTTAGCAATGAGCAAATAAAGCTTTGGGATTTAAGCTCCTTGCAATCCATCAATTAATTAGTCTGGACAGCAGCCCTAGGTCAGTGTCAGATCCCCTTAGAGCAGATGACAAGCATACGTTGCAGAAAAATGACTTTGTCCAAGGTCATGATGTAACTAGATTGAAGACTCTACCCACCTATTTTTTAAAATCTAGAAAATACCCCTCCTGTCCTCTTTTACATAATAGAGGAACTGGCTTTTGAAAAGTAATTTTAACCCGGGCGCGGTGGCTCGCGCCTGTAATCCCAGCACTTTGGGAGGCCGAGGTGGGCGGGTCACCTGAGGTCGGGAGTTCGAGACCAGCCTGACCAAGATGGAGAAACCCCATCTCTACTAAAAATACAAAATTAGCCGGGTGTGGTGGCAGGTGCCTGTAATCCCAGCTACTAGGAAGGCTGAGGCAGGAGAATTACTTGAACCTGGGAGGCGGAAGTTGCGGTGAGCCGAGATCACGCCACTGCATGCACTCCAGCCTGGGTGACAAGCGTGAAACTCCATCTCAAAAAAAAAAAAAGTAATTTTTAAAAAAGAAAAAAACGTGATAAATAAAAATATACATACACACAGTCCCCTTGATAAACCTCTTTTTTATCCCTGCAAAATAATAGTTAAATTTCACAGCATTTTACAAGAGATTACCATGTGAAATGAAATCAACAAGTTCTAAAAGGTCATTATGTGACCACCTGCCTGGTGGCATCTCCTATCTCAGAAATGAAGTTATTATTTCAAGGAAGCAGGGAGAAGTCTTTAGATTTTAAGGGACATTAATAGAAAATATTTTCCAATGACCTAATTTTTAAATTGAACCTAACAATCTAACAAGTAATTCATCAGACTCTTCAAATTCTCATTTCCCTAAAACTTCTTTTCCAGAAAGGGACTTTTGTTTTGTTTTTGTTTTTTGAGACGGAGTCTTGCTCTGTCACCAGGCTGGAGTGCAGTGGTGCGATATCGGCTCACTGCAATCTCCACCTCCCAGGTTCAAGTGATTCTCATGCCTCAGCCTCCCGAGTAGCTTGGGACTACAGGTGCGTACCACCACGCCCAGCTAATTTTGTACTTTTGGTAGAGACAGGGTTTCACCATGTTGGCCAGGATGGTCTCAATCTCTTGACCTCATGATCCACCTGCCTCGGCCTCCCAAAGTGCTGAGATTACAGGTGTGAGCCACCGCACCCAGCCATTTTGTTTTGTTTGTTTTTGAAACGTCTTGCTCTGTTGCCCAGGCTGGAGTGCAGTGGCGTGATCAGGGCTCACCGCAACCTGGAACTTCTGAGCTCAAGCCATCCTCCCACCTTGGCCTCCCGAGCAGCTGGGACTACAGGTGCACGTCACCATTCCCAGCTAATTTTTTGTCTTTTGTAGAGATAGGGTCTCACTATGTTTCCCAGGCTGATCTCAAACGCCTGACCTCAAGCGATCCTCCTGCCTGGAGCCTCCCAAAGTGCTGGAATTACAGGTGAGAGCCACCATGCCTGGCTAGAACATCATTCTGTTTCTTGGTTACTACTGATGTCAGCTCTGTTTTGTCAGGCTAAATACCCACTCTGACCAGAAGGCCCCTTCCTAAGAAAAGAAAGTTCAGATAAAGTCTGGCCAATACAAAAATGAACAGATAAAGAAATGAAGTGATGTTAGCAGAGACTAACCTCCACCCACCAACCGACTCCAACACCTCCATGTGCCAACAGACCTGCAGCTGGTCAAGTTACTTGACATGTCCCAACAAATGTGTAACAAAGCAACAAAGCCATTGACTAAAACTGAGAAATACTATCCCCAACCTAATTGGGCAAAATGACCATCACTGACTGAAGGCTAGAAAGCTCACCTCATAATTGCCCAAATGTCACTTATAACCTGAATAGGACAAAAGCTAAGCTAAGCTGTTCTTTACAAATGAAGATCCCTAGTTTTGTCTCAACTCCAATGCTGCTACTCCACTTTCTGCTCTTCTATCCAGGAAAATAGCTAAAGTAACTATTCTTTACACTTTTGTGTATGCTTCACATTTTTTGTAATAAAATTTTTTAATTTACTCCCTGAAGTGACGGGTCTGGCAGAACAAAATGATTAGTTTTTATATCCGAAAGAAAGCTTAAATGCTTAAAAAAAAAAAGCAGCAGCAGCACATATGGGATGACTCTAAGGCCATGTGTAAAGATATATGCTGATGGTGCTTTAAGAAGGATGGTCTACAGTTAAAGGACTGAGTGTCTTAAATCATGGTGGGGGGTAGAGGACTTAAAAGAATGCATTCCAGTCAAATTCTGCATCTTTGTTCCAAACATCCTACAATTATGGAACTGAAATGCCTCACTGTCCTAGAGACATCTTTTCTTCATTAATCTGGTTCATAAACTTGGTTGTAAAAAGCAAATTCAAAGAATTCATCTAATAATGACAGAAAAAGAAACATTTCTGAATGAATTTGTGGAAGTGTACAATTTAATTTTTCATTTAATTTTTATTTACAATTTTCATTTAATTTTCATATTAATTTTTCCTCTTTAATCCCATGCAAGGACACAGCAGTTAATAAATACTTAAGAAATACTTCTCAATTGCATACCATTCTTATGTCTAAAACAAGTTTCTCACAATCTGGATTTTATAAATCCAGTTATTAGTATCTCAAACTTTAAATAATCAAAAGTCAATGGCAGCAGCCTAAGAATATGGCTTTCCCAAGGTATCAACTCACCCACCCACTCACCCCAAAGAGACTTGTCGGTACGCCCTCTGGTGAGTCCCCTTCAAGAGACCCAAACTTAAATTTGAGAATGTGTAGCCCTCCAGTTCCCAACCTTCATTCCATCTTTTTTTTTTTTTGAGGCTGCCAATGATCTGTACTATAACAGGTATATTAGAAAATACCAAATTCTCTTAGAGAAAAAAAAATTGCACAACAATCTCAACACTGAGAGGACTGTCCAAGGATGAAAGCAAGGTACTCCTAGGTTAGTAGTTTTTCAAACCTATAGATGGCATTTGGAAAGAAGTACACGCATAGGCTTCAAAAAACCCTGAACACCAGAAACCTAATTAGCACTTTCATTTTAGGGGCACGGGCTTTCCCTTATCCTTTTCTACAGCCAACCTTAATGGGGTCCAATTAAGGCAACAATGAAAGGTTACAAAAGTCTACAAAAAGGTCCCATTACAGCATTTAAACAGGGTTCATTTTTTTTAATCAAATAGTTTACACTGTTTTTTTGTTGTTGTTGTTTGTTGTTGTTGTTGTTGTGTTTGTTTTCTTTTTTGAGCCTGTTGCCCAGGCTAGAGTGCAATGGAGTGATCTCGGCTCACTGCAACCTCTGCCTCCTGGGTTCAAGCAATTCTCCTGCCTCAGCCTCCCGAGTAGCTGGGATTGCAGGCGCCTGCCACCATGCCCAGCTAATTTTTATATTTTTAGTAGAGACAGGGTTTCGCTATGTTGGCCAGGCTGGTCTTGAACTCCTGACCTCAAGCGATCCGCCCACTTAGGCCTCCCAAAAGTGCTGGGATTACAGGCACGAGCCACTATGCCCAGCCCTGTATTTTTTTACCCAAGAGAAAATTCCCCCACTGGCAGATTTCTACCCACTTATAAATGTAAACCAGTAAACACATTTTTCACTAATCTATCAACCTGAAATACTCTAATACTCTAAGTCTAGGCCAACAGGTCATAAAGAAAATTACCCTAGAAACAGAGAAAGAATAAAATTAAGGTTTAATAATTTTCTCTTAATTTTTCTTATCAGTGTCTCAACAAAATAATTCAGGCCAGGTGCACTGGCCCATGCCTGTAATCCCAGCACTTTGGGAGGCCAAAGCGGGAGAACTGCTTGAAGCCAGGAGTTCAAGACCAGCCTGGGCAACATACTGAGAAACCGCATCCCTACAATTTATTAGAGGCTGAGGAGGGAGGAGCACTTGAGCCCAAGAAGTGGAAGCTGCAGGGAGCCTTGATTGCAACACTGCATGCCAGCCTGGATGACAGAGTGAGATTAAAAAAAAAAGGAAATTTCAGGCCCTGGCTTTTAATAGAGAATGTTTATTAATGTTTTTCAAAGGTAATTCTCTACTCATTTCGCTCTTTTAAAAGTTTAGATTGCATGTTTAAAACCATACCCTATAACCATAGGAAGGGAAGGAAATTTTTCCAGTGGGGGTGGGGACTCAAATCTTTAGCTGACTCATATTTGCAATATCATTCACATTACATTCTTAAAGTCTACACGTTTTGTTTATTAGTTCACTAAGAATTACAACTGGGTAGATATGTTTGTGGCTACTAATGTGCCCAATTTACCACTGGCAAAGTCAAATTTAGCTAAACACCCATTCAATAACTACAACAAATGAAGTTTGTTTTAGCTTTAAGGTAGACATTTGTGGCCTAGGTGCGGTGGCTCACGTCTGTAATCCCAGCACTTTGGGAGGCCGAGGTGGGTGGATCACCTGAGGTCAGGAGTTCAAGACCAGCCTAACCAACATGGTGAAACCTCGTCTCTACTAAAAATACAAAGTTAGCCGGGCGTGGCGGTGCATGCCCACCCAGCTACTCAGGAGGCTGAGGCAGGAGAATCGCTTGAACCCGGGAGGCGGATGTTGCAGTGAGCAACATGACGTTGCGCCATGGCACTCCAGCCTGGGCAACAACAGCAAAACTCCATCTCAAAAAAAAAAGGTAGACATTTGTGGCCTAGAACTGTAGGACTTAATCCAACCTCCTACCAGGTTTTTCTCCTGGGCATTATAGTCCTAAATTTGTCTTAAAAGGTAGTTAGGGGTCGGGGGAGGGGGGAGGGAAAGCATTAGGAGATATACCTAATGTAAATGATGAGTTAATGGGTGCAGCACACCAACATGGCACATGTGTACATATGTAACAAACCTGCACGTTGTACACATGTACCCTAGAACTTAAAGTATAATTTAAAAAAAGGAAAAAAAAAGTAGTTACAAGTGAGTTCAGGGTTTCTTTTGAGGGAGATGAAAATGTTCTACAATTGATTGTGGTGATGGTTGTACAACTCTGAAAATATCAAAAACCACTGAATTACACATCATAAATTCGTGAATTGTATGGTATATTTCAATAAAAGGGTTTTTTTTTTAAGTAGTTATAAGTTCTTCCTTTGCTCAAGGATGTTTCTACTGATAAGCCTCTTCTCTAAACGTTAAAGGCTTAAAGTGGCCAAAGATACAAGTAGGGAAAGATTTCATGACACCAAAGAAATAGGGAAAACAGAGAGAGGGTTAGGCCTAAGTCGATCAAACCCCAAATTAGGGAGAATGATACGCTGGAAAGGGAGTAAATGAGCTCCATATCATTAACACTTCTACCATACAAAGAAGTGTATAAGTTCCTCCCTCTTCTCTAGGAGTGGAACCAACAGGCTCACTCAAAAATGGTGACTGTATTAAAACATTTAAGGGCAGTTTTACACTTGGCTATAAAGATGAAGGAATCAAACTAGTAACCACAAGAAGTTAAAGCTGAAAAATTTTTGTCTCTTGTGGCCTCTGGGGTTTGATTTAAACCTTCTCCGGACACAAAGAAGAAATCTGTGGAATCTAGGCCCGGCACGGTGGCTCACGCCTGTAATCCCAGCACTTTGGGAGGCCGAGGCGCATGGATCACCTGAGGTCGGGAGGCAGAGGTTGTGATGAGCCACTGCACTCCAGGCCTGGGCAACAAGAGCAAAATTCCGTCTCAAAAAAAAAAAAAAAAAGAAATTTGTGGAATCTATCTATGGCCAAATGTGAGACATTTGAAAGCAAGAAAATAAGTTACTAAAGCCATAAATATATTCCTATCAAAATTTGGGAGACAAAAAAGTATTTACTGAGCAGCCAACTATTTTTCTGCCTAATAGTTACACCCTTAAAATTACTCATCTCCAAATACCACAAAGTGATATGGAAAAATATCATTTGTCCTTAAACAGACATCTAAGTACAGTATCATGGAGGAAATTAAAAATTTGCATTTTAAAGGTGACAAAACCAGAAGCCAGATGAATTGTAAATTTAAGAAGGTTTTGGTCCAGAAAACAAGCCTGGTTATCCTACATAGTTGATATAATTTGAAACAAAGGTTTGTATTAAACTTCAAACTCAGATTTGAAGTATAGTCTTCTTGACTTAATCACGTTTTCTCACATTTATCTTACTATATTTTCAAATTTCTGAGAACCCCTAAGCTGCCATATACAAAATAATGTAAGTACTCTAAGTTTTCAGAAGCCAAGCAGTTTGGGAGTCTCACTGAGAAAGCAGCTATAAACTGAAACTATATTAAGTACCATTGGTAAAGATACAAAGGTAAGAACAAAAGGAGACAGAAATGTTTTATACTTCTCCTTACCTTCTAACAAGTAAAATACCAATAGTTCCAATTCCCCTTCTAATATAACCATTTGTGTTCCAAAAACTCGGTGAACAAAAATCATCCAGAAATACAGACATTATATATATCACCATGGAAAATATTTCACACTTCTTGAAGGGTTTTTTTGTTGCTATATATCAACTATATGAAACCACTTGTTCACAGTTAGCTTTCCCAAAAACAAAACAGTTTCTAAAACAAAGACTGTTTACATCTCTTAAGAAGCCTTTGTTCCAACAAGACCCCTCTTCAAGAGCTACAACTTCTGGAAAGATTTCCCTTTTTGTGGTTATATCAACAACAAATACTCTCAAACTCTTTCCATTTGGCAAAGGAGTTTGTTAAACAAAGGAGGAAGCAAGTCCCCTCCACACAAAGGAGGTCTCCAAACAGAGTACTGGTTGTATTTGTAGATTATTGGTGCCTCTTTAACCCCTTTCCTCAGGCTGTACTATGTAGCACTCTCAATACAAAATGGTGGCCATCATGTCTGTCTGACATTCAGAGTGAGAAAAAGGCAATTCGATCACACATTTTGCAAAGATTACCATTAATATTCTAGCCAAGATGAGGAAATGGGTAGCCAAGCCTAACCAGAGCAACACTATCTTTTCAGAAAAAGGGCCCTCTAAAAGGCAAAGAACAAGAAAACAAGATAAAGGATTTACCCCAGCCCTGGTATACCACAATACCAACATGGAGGACACCTCCCAGGAACCTGACTCCCCACGTTTTGGTTACTAAGAACTTAGTCAAGTTACCCAATTTCTGAATAAAATCCCATTATGCAAATGTGCAATATTCATATTCACCCTTCCTAGCATGTGACATGAAGCTACATTACTACAGTGTGAAACATGACCTATTATTCAAGAATTAAAACCTTGGCTCTAACCAGCCCTGTTATAACTTCTGCAGGCCTCTTTGCACTAAGAGAAACGTACTTCCCTTAAGCAGCAAGAATCAACCTTGCCCACTTCGCTGTAAGAAATGGATCTATTTTCAAACATTTCCCTCATATTCGCTGGCCAGTTATTTTCTGAAGCATGTATTTCATCTCCATTTTCAAACTTGCTTAAGAAAAACTAAAGTAGGTGTCCGTGTTTTAATTTGGGGCAGGGAAGGGTTAAGAAGCCTTATTTTCAGGGATCTCCCTGAAAACAGCTTTCCAAAACATAACGATTACAAACAGAATCCCTACAACTCAAAATGTCATTACAAAAAGCAAGCTTAAGGGAGAAAGGGGTGGGAAGGGGTCTTCCTCTACTTAGAAGTGGGGGTGGGGGAAGAGAGTGGGGAGAAGATTCTTAAACAGCAGGAAAGGCAGTTAAACCCGCTTCCCAACGGTCCCAGCCCGTCCAACCGCCGCTTAGGCCAACTCGGACTCAGACCCTCCCGAAAGGTGGGCAAAAAAAACAGGGGTGTAGGAGCGCACCCAGTTCCGGCCACGGAGGAAGGAGTTGGCCGGGCTCTCCTCAGCGAACGTTGGAGCCGTTACGGATGGTTTCAGCAACACCCACCCCTCACTCACTGCCCCCAGGCCCGAGGCGCTGTAGACAGGGCTGGAAGGGCTGCGGTGGGTGACTGCCTTTCAGTGCCCGGAGCCTGAGGGCCGGGGGAAACGAGCACGAAATCTTCGGAGGTCTCTCCGTCTGACGTTCCCCTACAAACACGGCCTCGCCCGGACCCCATCCCCACCAGCACAGCCCAGGCCTCCCCGGGGAGCCGAGCGGCTGAGCCAGAAGAAGCCGGGAGTGTGCGCGTTCGGGAGCGCGGGCGGGCATCGGGGCCCACCGCCGCCCGTCCTGCCCCCGCCGCCCCAAAAGTGTCCCCCAGACACTAACGCCCCCCACAAACATCCGCTCCGGGGCTGGACCCGCGGCTCCTCCCCGCCCCCAGCCAGCGCTGGCCGCCCCCTTCTTGACCCCGGCCCGGGGGACACCTGGAGGCCCGGGGACCAGGCGGTGGAGGGGTGCCCTGGTCTGGAGGGTGGGGCGCCCAGGTGAGGGCCGCTCCGGGCCGACGCCGCCACCACACAAAGGACCAGGGGCTCCCGCCGCCATATTGAAAACTTTCCTCCTCGCACGACAACTCGCAAGTCCCCCACCCCCACCCCACCCCATCACACACCCCCGCACCCCGGGAGCGGAGGCGAGGACCAGCCTGCCGAGCCTCGCCGGGCCCACAGTCCTCCCTCCAGCCCGCGCCTCCGCCAGGCTCCGTGAGGAAACTCCCCCGCGACCACCCCCGGCTCCTGCCATCACTCCATCCGGAACCGAACCCGAACCTCCGCACCCGGCCGCCCGAGCCCCGCGGCGACCCGGCCCTCCCATGGCACCGCCGAAGCCCCCGGTTCTCCCACGCTCCTCATCTCCCACCCTGGAGAAGCCCCCGTCTTCCTCCCCCGGCCTCAACTCCGACCTTCTAGGCAGCCCCAAACTTGACGAGGCCGGCGGGGCGACCGGCTCCCCGCCCCCCGCGCCTCGGGCCTCCCCGGACCCGCGCGTCCCCGCTCCCTCCCCCAGCCACGAGCTGGATCCGGGGTGCTGGCGTGACTCACCGGCGGCGGCCGCACCTTACAGATGCCAGTCTGCTCGGCTATGGGCCGGATCTTGTGGATGAAAGCGAAGGGGTCCGCGAACTCTTCCCAGCTGGGTTCGAAGACCGGGCACTCGGGTGGAGGCAGGAACTCGCCCAGCGGGCCCGGGCCCCCGAGGGGCAGCGCCGGGCGCGGGCCTGGGTGCAGTGTGGTGGCCGCCTCCATCACCGCAGGCTGGGCAAGGGCGAGGCGAAGGTGGGCTCCGGGACCGAGGCTGCGAGCTCCGCTCGGTCCGAGACCCGTGCAGACGCGGCTCGAGCAACAGCAAGTCCGAGTTGTACGGGCAACGGCAGCACCTTGGGCTTTTTCAGCCTCCGACGACGACGTCTCGCCGCAAGCCCACGCCGTGCGCCTCCGCCGCCACGGCGAGGAAAAAGAGTCCCACCCCACCCCCATCGACCCACCCTCCGCGCGCGGCTCCCCGCCCCGCCCCCGAATCGGGCGGGGCCGCGCCTTCCGCTGTGGATGGAGTTTATCCTTAGGGTTTCAGTTGAGCCAACTTTTATTGACCATTTACTATGTATCAGAGTTCCTGCCCTGAAGAAGTTAAGTCTGGTAGAAAGGATCAGTCCCATAAGCCAATCATTCAATCACGTCAGTACACAATGGTAGGTGCAGTAAAACCCAGGAGGGGGTTTTGGAAAGAGTATTGGAAACGGAGAAGGATTTTCCAGTAGAGATAACAGCTTGAACATACACATAGCATGTTCATGAGAAGGCAATAGTAGTAATAATAATAATAACGTAACATTTTGGGGCACTTTCATATCCTAGGCACTGTTCTAATTGCATCGCATGATTAATCACACAACCCTATGAGATAGGTACTCTTATTTCCACTTTACAATAAGGAAAGTGAGGCATAGGTAGGTTAAGCAATTTGCCATAATTCACATGGCTAATAAGTGATGGAGACTATTGGGAGGTGGAGATGTTGCAGGGAAAATAATCATCCACAAACAGTCTATGACGAGGTCAGACTTGAGAGGGGCGAAAGACTTGAAATAATCCAGACAAGGAATGATAGGATCTAAATTAAGGCAGTGGTGCTGATAATTATGAGGAAGGGATGCAAAGGTAGGAAATAAAATTAGGACATAGTGACAGATTGAGGGGGGACGACGAGGTATTAAGATTCAGATGTCTGGCGTACCTGCCTGAGTAGATGCTAGCCCGTTGGCATTGCTGGAACATTCACCCCAATTATATACAGAAGGCGAGTTACTCAAGGGAAGAAGATACTGTGTTCATTTCTGGACATTTTGAATTTGAGGTGTCTCTGGTACATACAGGTAGAAATACACAACGGGGTATCCTTCAACAGACTGAAGGGTATAAATCTGAAGGGGCGAGATCAGAATTGGAGATATAAATCTGGGAGTTATGTGCTTATGGGTGATAGCCGCTATTTAATGCTACTGTGTGTAAAGCACTGCTCTAAACGCTCTGCATGTATTAGCTCACTGAGTCTTCACAACCACCATATTGAGTAGGTACGATATTATCCTCATTTTGCAGAGCAGGCAACGGAGGCAAAGAGGTTAACGAACTTTAAGAGATACGAACACTTTTGAGGCGCCTTTTTTCTTTTGGCGGGAGACGGGGGACGGGGGTGGGGGGGTAGTGTCCAGCAGCCTCAGAAAAAAGGAGGAAGCTCAAAAAGTAGAACGTCAACATTGAAATGACCTCTTTCATCCAGAAAGCTGCCAAACGTATGCAAGGAATGTTTGTCAAGATCTTAGTTCGCTTTCAGATTCACCTAGTGGAAGGAAATCTCTTATGCTTAAGAAGTCTTCAATTAAAAGGGGGGATGGGCGTGGGGGGAGAAGAAAACCGCCTTCCCTTCAACAAATTTTTCCCAGAGGTACCGGGCCCAGGAAAGAGTTCACAGTGGTCCTGGGAGAACGTATTCCTTTTCTTAGCTCTCCAGGGCTTTGGGACCTGGAGTCTTTTCCTGCTCCCTACTGCAATGGAGAGTCAAGCCCAGGGGACAGCTAATACACTATTAAAAGAATTATCAGTGCAAGATAGATATGCGATGTGGCAAGTTATAATAGAATCTAGGTAGTGGGTATAGAGGAATTTGATGCAAATTTCTTTTAACTTTACTGAATATTTAATAATACTAAATAAAAGTTGGGTAGAAGAATTATCGTCGATGGCTCTTTGGTGCGCATTCTGGGCCTCCGAGGGTCTTGATGAAGCTCATGTAGTGTCATGTGCTCTCTCGGGAGAGCGTTGACTATTTTCACTCCTAACGTTGGCATCCTACGAGCCAGGTAGGCATAACTTTGAGACAAATTCTAGACTTACATGAGTTATGATTATTATTTAACTGAGATGGACAGGAAGAACAAGCCTAAGAAAATCTTTCCCAATTCTCAGCTGCGTCCTACGATTCCCTCTCGCTCCCAACTCTCAAGGTCTCCCAGTCCGGCTTCCTCCATTTCCGGTAGTGACCCTAAGTGATGAGATTCTATCGCTCCCAGATCAGGCCGCAGCTGTTTGGCTCCCAGCAGACCCGGTGTGACGTTAAGGGACGGGGCGGTTGCCGGCGTCTTGAGGGGAACCTAGGGACCGAGAGGACTCTCCGGGAAGGCAGCCGCTCCCCCGCCCACAACAGACGCTCCCCTTGCCCTTTATGATGTTTACATGGGCGGAGGGATCCCTCCCAGCTGACAGCCACACCGCGCCGGCCCTTCTTTTTTTAAAGAGCCTAGCCACGGGCGCTGACTGGCCGGCAGCCGGGCGCGTCATCCTCCGGGGGCGGGGCCCGGGCCGCATTGTCTCGTCTAGGGCCGGCTGGACGCCCCAGAGGCCGGACCTGGGCAACCCCAGCCTGGAGGTGCCGGGGCCGGAGCTCCCAGAGGGCTGGGTGCGAGGCCTAGGCGGGGTCAGGTTCGGGTTCCTAGGCCATAGCGGAGCTGCAGCCCAGGCGGCCGGAGCGGAACCCAGCCCCGCTCCGAGTGCCACGTCTCCAGGAACCCCCTCCTTACTCTTGGACAACACTCCGCCCCCGCCCGGGCCTCCGTCCCCCAAACCGCCCTCATTTGTGCAGCGCCAGATCCTTCGGACACATCCCTAGGTGTCTCCATCCTCATTCGGTCCATCCAACTCCCAGACCTCACGTCAACCGGCTGCACCCCACTTTCCAGCCTGCGCCCCAGATCTGCAGCCTTCGCCCCTAGATACACCCGCCTGGTGATGAGGCGCTCCTCGCGTTCCTTCCGGTAACCGCGTTGCGAAGACCACGCTGCCGGGTTGCAAACTTGGGGGGACTTCCTCCCTCCCCTCCCCCTGGGCGCCGTGCAACTGCCCTGGGACCGGGTTCTGGGATGAGGGGGGCAGACCGGGCTCCCCAGCGGCCGGCGCAGCACGTAGCGCACGTGTAGGGTCCGCTCCCCACCCCCTCGCCGCCTCTGACAACTTTTCAGGGCTCCAGGTGTCCGTGAGCCTCCCTTCCGCCCTGGCCTCCGGTCTCTGCCTTGCTCGTGCTTCTACCACCACCCTTCCCCTCCCAACCCGGTGGATCCTCTCGTCTCCCCCAGTCTCCAGTGCACCGGCTTTCCCTCGTCCTCTGCGCAGTCCATCTCAGCTCATCTCTCCAATTCAATGCCATCATCTCTCCTCACCATCTCTCGGTGCCCTGGAATGTTTGCTGTCAGATGTCCCCTGTGAAACCCACAAACGCTTGCGATTTGGCCTCCTTGTTTTATTTTGTGTAGTCCTACAACGTCTTGTTACTACCCCCTATTACAACACTTATAACTCAGTATTTGTCTTTTTTCCGCGGTGTCCCTGCACTCTCCCCATACATATTCCTCTCCTGCCAGATTGTAAGCCTCTAGAGGGAAGAAGTAATGTCTCTCTCCTTGGCACCAGGCACGTGGCACACGCTCCACAAATATTTGTTGAAAGGGAGGGTAAATGGCCTTGAGTTTCTGTGGCTACCATTGGCTGAGGATGGAGCTTTGGGCTGGACAAAGAAGAATCTGGTTGACCACATGAAGCAGGAAGGAGGCTCAGAACGGTGTTGAGGGAGCCTCCACAATGGGTGGGCACCACAGGTGAGATAAACCCATCCTCCCCCATTCCCTGCCCTGCTTAATTCCCGGGAACCAGCAACCCCTCCTATGCTATCGTCTACTGCTGAGCTGGTCCCTTATGGTGGACTTCTGTGCTCACTGTTCTGCTTTAGCCCCAGCTGTCGGGGCTGCCCTTGGGGAACAGCTTACACCTTGACCAGGCGCTCATTTCTGGGTTTCTGTTCTTGGGAAGCTGGGTCTGGGTCCTGGGAGCCACCTGGTAACTAATAAATACCTCTTCCTCCTCCCATCTGCTCTTCCTCTCCTGTCCTGGAATCCCTCTCTGATGACTCAGCCCAACTGAGATCCAGGGTAACTGCACCCTCAGTCCTGGGCTTTGGTTTACCTGGGTGTGGGGCTCAAAGGGCTAGACCCTTGTGGGGGTCAGGCGCTGACAAGTGGAACATTCCCACGGTGCTGCCAGCCCTGCCCACGGGGATTGGGAGGGGCAAAGTTAGCCACACCAGGGCTTCAGGGCGTGTTTCTTCCCATTCCAGTTGGGCAACTTGAGAAGCCCTGGACTCCCAAGGAGCAATCCTGTGAGCTGCTTAGAGAAGCTGTGAGGATTAGAGGGAAACTCATGTTCCCTGTTCATCCCGCAGTGGCACCACCAGCACCCCTAATTTGGGTCTCTGGGCTGAGGGGCCCCTGGCAGCATGCTCAATGGCCTTGGATAGCTGGAATGTTTGGAATTGCCTGCATCTTGGATGAAAGTCTTAACAATAGAATGAAAACTGCTGCAACACTGTGTCAGCACTTTACAGACCACCACTGTAAATTCCCAGTTGAAACTGGGAATTTGGAATTCCATGTTCAACCAAATCATGCTGAGTGCCCAGCACAGCGTCTGACACACTAAATGCTACAGGTGAATTCCCTTTTTCCTCTTTCCTGGCAGGAAGCGGGGATAGGGGAACCACTAGAAATACTGTAATAACATGAATAAGACAAGGCCATTAGCCGGGAGCAAATCATAGAACATCAGCCCTGTGAAATGAGTGGTATTAGTGTTACCATTTTTCAGATGGAGAAATTGAGACTCAGAAAGGTTAATTAGCCAAAAATCACACAGACAGTAATAGCAGAGCTAGGAAAAGAATGTTCATCCTAGTACCTAACTTTGATCTTCCCAAAACACCAAACTGACTTCTAAAGCTGAAGAAAGAGGACACAGAAGCTTCATCTCAGATCTCACCACCAGCTGCCCCTTAATCTGCCAACATCGAACCATTCTCTCCCCTCTAGACTACAGTGGCTTCAAACTTTGACTTATCTCCAGTATTTTTTTGTACATAGCAATAGCAACAAAAGTTTCACAAAACAATATTACCTTTGTATGGCCAGGCACGGTGGCTCATGCCTGTAATCCCAACATTTTGGGAGGCCAAGGCGGGCAGATCATGAGGTCAGGAGATCAAGACCATCCTGGCCAACATGGTGAAACCCCGTCTCTACTAAAAATACAAAAATTAGCCTGGTGTGGTGGCGTGTGCCTGTAGTCCCAGTTACCCAGGAGGCTGAGGCAGGAGAATTGCTTGAACCCAGGAGGCAGAGCTGCAGTGAGCTGAGATCGCACCACTGCATTCCAACCTGGGCGACAGAGCAAGACTCCGTCTCCAAAAGAAAAAAAATAGCCACGTGTGGTGGCACACACCTGTGGTTCTAGCTACTTGGGAGGCTGAGGTGGGAGGATCCCTTGAGCCCAGGAGTTTGAGGCTGCAGTGAGCTATGATTGTGCCACTGCACTCCAGCCTGGGTGACAAAGCAAGACCCTGTCTCTAAAAAGTAACAATAATCGGCCGGCACGGTGGCTCATGCCTGTAATCCCAGCACTTTGGGAGGCCGAGGCAGGCAGATCACAAGATCAGGAGATTGAGACCATCCTGGCTCACACAGTGAAACCCCGTCTCTACTAAAAATACAAAAAATTAGCCAGCCATGGTGGCCAGTGCCTGTAGTCCCACCTGCTGCGGAGGCTGAGGCAGGAGAATGGCATGAACCCGGGAGGCGAATCTCGCAGTGAGCCGAGATTGCGCCACTGCACTCCAGCCTGGGTGACAGAGAGAGACTCTGTCTCAAAAATAAAATAAAATAATTTAAAAAAAAACAATAATCTTAATTTCAGTCACTCCCTCTATATTCCCCATGAACAATGGAATTTTCCCAGAATATCGTCTACATCATATACAAAATCAATAATTATATCTTTTCTCTTCCATTTATTTTTCACCATTTATTTTATTCACTGGTCTGTATTTATTTATTTATTTATTTTTGAGACAGAGTCTCCCTCTGTCACCCAGGCTGGAGTGCAGTGGCGCGATCTCACTGCAACCTCTACTTCTTGGGTTCAAGAGATCCTCCTGCATCAGCCTCCCGAGTAGCTGGGACTACAGGCACAGGCCAAAACGCCCGGCTAATTTTTGTATTTTTAGTAGAGATGGGGTTTCACCATGTTGGCCAGTCTGGTCTTGAACTCCTGACCTCAGGTGATCTGCCTGACTCAGGTGATCTGCCTGACTCAGCCACCCAAAGTACTGGGATTACAGGTGTATAATCTGCCACCCTGCCTAGCCACATTTTCCTTCTATCTCTACCCACAGCCCTTCAACCCCAGGGATCACTTTGTGCCTTATCTTTATAGCACCCTATGCTAAACAGGTGCCACATCTAAGACCAAGAAATAGCATAGAGTCTTCGAACCTCTCAAGACCTGAGTGAAAGCAAGAGTTAAAAACTCAAATGCCTGTGTAGAAGCCAGACAGGTACATGGGGGAGGTGAACAAAGTGAAGTCTGTGGAGAGGTGAGAATGCAAGTCCAGCTACTGGGGGCCATCACTGCTCAGACCAGGGTTGCACCACGTTTCCATTTTTCAAGAGAAGCCAGTTATTTAGGCTTTTATATAAAAGCTCTCCCAGTTTTTGTTTGTTTGTTTGATTTTTGTTTGAGACAGAGTCTCCTTCTGTCACCCAGACTGGATTGCAGTGGCATGATCTCATCTCACTATAAACTCCACCTTCCGGGCTCAAACAATTCTCCTGCCTTGTCTTTCCAAGCAGATGGGATTACAGGCATGTGCTACCACGCCTGACTAATTTTTCATTTTTAGTAGAGACAGGGTTTTGCCATGTCGACCAGGCTGGTCTCAAACTCTTGGCCTCAAGTGATCCGACCACCTCGGCCTCCCGAAGTGCTGGGATTACAGGCGTGAGCCACGCCTGTTCAGCTCTCCTAATTCTTTTTTTTTTTCCCCCCTGGCTGGAGTGCAGTGACACGATCTCAGCTCACTGCGACCTCTGCCTCCCAGATTCAAGCTATTCTCCTGCCTCAGCCTCCCAAGTAACTGGGACTACAGGCACGTGCCACCGCACCCAGCTAATTTTTTATATTTTTATTAGAGACAGTGTTTCACCATATTGGTCAGGCTGGTCTCAAACTCCTGACCTCATGATCCACCCACCTCGGCCTCCCAAAGTGCTGGGATTACAGGCGTGAGCCACTGCACCCAGCCTCCAATTCTTAAATGTTCAATCTTTCATCAGATTTTTAAGAAACAGTGTGTGGGCCAATTACACATGCCTGTGGCCACGCCCCTTCTCCACCTGCCAGAAGAGACTAGTGGGATGATGAGATTCTTGCCCTTCAGAAAAAACAATGGTTGCCAAGGGAGCATTAGCTACGGTACCCAGAGATAAATGCTGGAATGGAGGTGAGCTCCTGGCCCATCCCTACCCTATGGGTCTAGCTCATGCTCTTAGGCTTAAAGGAGAACTCTGGCTTCCAGCAAAGTGCAGAGCCCACTCCTGGAACACACACTGGCAACAGGCACACTGTCATGGATGGCCACCCCTAACTGCAATGTGGATGAGGAACCTGGGTGGGGTGTCAGGGCTTTTTAATATTTATTTCTCCTTCTCTATTTTTTGCCTCCTCTAAATCCCTTAGAAAAGTGGGAATCAGATGGCAAGATACAGAAAGGTTCTCAGAGTGTTGTGCATCTGTGTGAAAATCTAAAAGAAAAAAAACTGGGATGAGGATTTAGGAATAAGGGAAGATGGACCTCTCAGGTATAATGGGAAAGCAAGCAGTGCTGGTCTCCATGGTTGAAGATGGTAATCATTCCTTACAGAAACAGCTAACATTTATTGAGTGCTTGCTATAAGCCAAGAATGTTTATGTGGATACTCTCTTTTTTCTGTTTTTAAAAATAATAACTATTTATATAGGATGATCTCTTTTGATCCTCGTAAGAACTCTTGAAAGTAGCCATCATTTATTTTTATTTTTATTTATTTTTTGTTAGCCCAGCCCTGTCCTGGGTAGCCATCGTTTTTATCTCCATTTTATAGATGAGGAACTGGGGTTCAGAGAGGCTGTCATTTGGCCAAGGTCACATGGACAATAAGTCTTGCAGAACCAGATTCCAGCTCTGGCTGTCTGAGTCCCGAATCTGAGCGCTTAACCATCACCCATATACTGCCCTTCTCTGGAGTACTGCCCAGTCCCCCTGACTGACACCGCTGTGCCCCTAGCACCTAGCATAGTGTTTGTTGAAGAAAGATGACCATTCACCATTATCATGTAGTCCCTATAATTGGCAAGTTAATAAATACTTGTTTAGCATGTTCTCTGGATCAGGTTTTATGCAGAGTGCTATGGATACAGCACTGAATCAAACAAAGTCCCTGCCCTTTAAGGGCTTATATTCTAATCTAGTGGATGGAGACAGACAATAAACACACACACAAAGAAGTAAGTTAGCTTCTGGTAGAAATAAATGCTGAGAGGCCAAGCGCAGTGGTTCGCGCCTGTAATTCCAGCACTTTGGGAGGCCAAGGCGGGCGGATCACTTGAGGTCAGGAGTTCGAGACCAGCCCAGCCAACATGGCAAAACCCTGTCTCTACTAAAAATACACAAATTAGCCAGGTGTGGTGGCGCATGCCTGTAATCCCAGCTACTCAGAAGGCTGGGGCAGGAGAATCTCTTGAACCCTGGAGGCAGAGGTTGCAGTGAGCCAAGATCGTGCCATTGCACTCCAGCCTGGGCAACAGAGTGAGGCTCTGTCTCAAAAACAAAACAAAACAATGAAATAAATGATGAGAAAAACAGAATACATGATAAAACTACTGGGAGGCTGGAATGGGAGGGGTGGCAAGCGCTGTTAGCCACAGTGATCCAAGGCAGCAAAGAGAACATCAGAGCTCAGATCTGAATGTTAGGAAGAAAGCAGCTATTGGAAAATCTATAGTAGAGAGTTCTAAGAAGAACATTGAATGTCATGAAGATATTGTAAAATTAAAAAAAAAATAGAAAAAAATTTTAAAGAGGAACAGCATGTGCAAAGACCCTGAGTCACGAAACAGCTTGGTATGTCCGATGGACATACCAAGAAAAACAAAAGAAAAAGAAAGTCCCTGAGGCTGGAGAGTGGGGAGGGAGATGAGGTCAAAGCAGCAGGCAAAATGCTAGATCAGGGGGGCGTGGTGGCTTACGCCTGTAATCCCAGCACTTTGGGAGGCTGAGGCGGATGGGTCACTTGAGGTCAAGAGTTCGAGACCAGCCTGGCTAACATGGCTAAACCCCGTTTCTACTAAAAATACAAAAATTAGCCGGGTGCGGTGGCAGGGGCCTGTAATCCCAGCTACCCAGGAGACTGAGACAGAAGAATCACTTGAATCCAGGAGGCTGGAGGTTGCAGTGAGCTGAGATCGCACCACTGCGCTCCAGGCTGGGCGACAGAGTGAGACTCTGTCTCAAAAAACAAACAAACAGCGGCCGGGAGCGATGGCTCACGCCTGTAATTCCAGCACTTTGGGAGGCCGAGGTGGGCAGATCACAAGGTCAGGAAATCGAGACCACCCTGACTAACACAGTGAAACCCCGTCTCTACTAAAAATACAAAAAAATTAGCCGGGAGTGGTGGCGGGCACCTGTAGTCCCAGCTACTCAGGAGGCTGAGGCAGGAGAATGGCATGAACCCGGGAGGCAGAGCTTGCAGTGAGCGGAGATCATGCCACTGCACTCCAGCCTGGGCGACAGAGCGAGACTCTGTCTCAAAAAAAAAAAAAAAAAAAAGCAACAACAAAAAACAGCAACAAAAAAACCAAACACTAGATCAGGTGAAAGCCTGCACACCATGGGTAGGAATTTGGGTTTCATCTTATTTGCAGTGGGAAGGCACTGGGGAATTGTAGGCAGGGAGTGGGTATCACTTGATTTACAATTTGAAAAGGTCTGTCTGACTGCCATGTGGACAACAGATTGCAGAAGAATCAAGGTAGAGGTGAGAGATCAATTAGGAGGTGGTTGCAGTAGTTCAGAAGATGATTTTGAAAAGTGGTCATATTCTGGGTAAATTTTGGAGGAAAAGGTAGCAGGATTAAATAGACTGTGGAGTATTAAGGAGAAAGAAGGCTGGGTGTGGTGGCTCACACCTATAATTCCAGCACTTTGGGGGCCAAGGCAGGAGGATCACTTGAGGCCAGGAGTTCAAGACAAGCCTGTCCAACATAGCGAGACCCTGTCTCTATATAAAAATCAAGAGTAAAAGAAAAAACAAGGAGAGAGGCACCAAGTATAACTCCCTGATTTTTTTTTTTTCTCTAACTGGGTGAGTGGTGGTGCTGTATACTGGGGTAGAAAAAGCTTGGGGAGGAAATGATTTGGGAGGTAGGAGGAATCTGTAGTCTTATTTTGGTTCTGTTAAAGTTGAGATATCTTATCATCCAATGGAAGATGTTGAATAGTCAGGTAATCTGGAGCTCAGGATAGGGATCAAGATAAGAGTCAGGGCTAGAGATAAGATTTGGGAGTTACCTGATAACATACATACACACATTCATGTATATGTGTGTGTGTGTGTGTGTGTGTGTGTATCTATATTACAGCCATGGGACTCGGATAAAATCACCCAGGGAAACTGTGTAGGAAGAGAAGAGAGCCCTATGTGACTGCTACATATACAAGGTGGGAAGAGAGTGAGCCAAGAAAGGAAACTGAGAGGGACCAATCAGCGTGGCAAGAGAGATGCCAGAGCAGAAAGTCTTTTTTTTTTTTTGAGACGGAGTCTCGATCTGTCACCCAGGCTGGAGTGCAGTGGTGCAATCTCGGCTCACTGCAACTTCCACTTCCCAGGTTTAAGCGATGCTACAGTAGCTGGGACTACAGGCGCGCACCACTGCGCCCAGCTAATTTTTGTTTTTTTTTTTGAGACGAGGTTTCACCATGTTGGCCAGGCTGCTCTGAAACTCCTGACCTCGTGATCTGCCTGCCTCGGCCTCCCAAAGTGCTGGGATTACAGGTGTGAGCCGCCGCACCAGGCTGCACCCCCAGAAAGTCTTTCAAGGAGGCAGTAGCGGTCAACTGAGTCAAAGTTGCAGAAAGGTTGAGTAAGATAAGAAGGGAGAATGTGAAATGAAGCGAGGCTAATTAACAAAGACAACACTTTCAAGGGGCTTTGCTGTGTGCAGTTGTAGAAAAATGGCACAGAACTGGAAAAGAACACGAATTCAGGGAGGCATTTTGCTTTTTGCCTTCTTCCTGCTGGAAGATAATAAACCTCCTTTTCCTAGTGATGAGAATCGTCCAGTAGAAAGGGAGAAGTGGATCACGCAGAAGAGAAAGGAAGTGGATCATGCAGAAGAGAAAGAGGATAACTGCAGGGGTGAAGAACTTGGGAAGGCGAGAGGGAGTAGGAGTCCGAGCCTAAGCGTCAGTGGAACCAACAGGAGGGAAGGAGAGAATGTAGGAGATACATAAGGAAGTAGGGGACACGGTGCGGGTGGGGAGGTGAGTGCTCAGTATCTAAAAAGATACTGATGCTGGTCTTTAGGGTGAATGCGAAGTCATAGCTCCCAATGATGAAGCACAAACAGGTCACATGTAAGTCCTGCATGTGCATTCCTCTGACAATGGGGAGTAGGTGGCTAGGACACAACAGTAACATCACAGAGGGAGCTTAGCTCAAGGATAGAAAACTGGGGAGACCTTTGTTTGCTGTGCCTGGCCTCACCCTCTGTTCATTACTCCTAGAGTGACTGGTCCTTATCACCCCAGCTCCTTTTTGTTTTTCTGTCTCCTGCCTTTTCCAGAAGTCTGTTGAACTCAAAGGGCTGAATGACAGCAGTCTTCCCTCCGTGACTGGGAAACTACACGGGAGGTACCAAAGGGGAACAGAGCTATGCCTGTGGTGGTGAAACCCTTTAACTGCAATTAGAGCCTTATTCCCTGCCTAAAGCCTTTTTTTTTTTTTGAGAGAGAGAGACAGAGAGGGTCTCACTCTCCCCTAGGTTGGATGGAGTGCAGTGGCACAATCTCAGCTCACTGCAGCCTCGACCTACTAGGCTAAGGCGATCCTCCCACCTCAGCCTCCCGAGTAGCTGGGACTTCAGGCATGTGCCACTACACCTGGCTAATTTTACTTTTTGTAGAGACGGGGTCTCACTATGTTGCCCAGGCTGGTCTCCAACTCCTGGCCTCAAGTGATCCTCCTGCTTTGGCCTCCTGAAATGCTGGGATTGAAGGCCTGAGTGCCCACACACTTTCACTGGGTGATCTTTATCCAAGTCCCACCTCGCCTGGCCCAAAAGCCCCCACCCCTTTTTTTTTTCCCCTGAGGTGGAGTCTTGCTCTGTTGCCCAGGCTGGAGTACAGTAACACAATCTCGGCTCACTGCAACCTCCGCCTCCCAGGTTCAAGTGATTCTCCTGCCTCAGCCTCCTGAATAGCTGGGATTACAGGCACATGCCACCATGCCTGGCTAATTCTTGTATTTTTAGTAGAGAAGGGGTTTCGTGATGTTGGCCAGGCTGGTCTCGAACTCCTGACCTCAGGTGATCCACCTGCCTCGCCTTCCCAAAGTGCTGGGATTACAGGCGTAAGCTACCATGCCCAGCGGTGTATACACACACACACACACACACACACACACACACACGCACACATTTATGGTCTAGAGAAGAGAGGCCTATTTCTTTTACATGAAGAGGTTTGTATGTGAATCACCTATGGGACTAAAAGTCTTTCCTAAAGGAAGCCAAGTAAGAAAAGTTTAATCTGTAAAGCCTTACTACTATAAGATTTTTTTTTCCTCATCACTGTGATTACCTGGAGATATAAGTATTATTGTTATTATTTGTTTTTCTTAAACAGAGGTGGAGCTCTCCCTGTGTTGCCCAGGCTGGTCTCAGTACTACTGGGCTCAAGCAATCCTCCTGCCTCAGCCTCCCAAAGAGCTGGGATTCCAGACGTGAGCCACTGTGCCCAGCCTACTTTTATAACTCATCAAAAAGCGAAGTGGCTAAGGGAGAAAAGCATGTTAACCTCTACCAAAATACTAAACTGGAAGGCATCCCTGGAATGGGGAAGATTAGAGAACAGTATGGCCTCAGGAGCACAGAAATCACTGACTACAGCTTTTCTTTTGTGTACTGATCACACAGGGAAAGAATCAAGAAGGGGTGAGAAGGCATGTTAAAGCCTTTCCTCTGATAATCTTGAAGCAATCAGAGAAACACATCTCACTAGAGAAAAAACACTCACAGAGGAAGAGAGCAGCATACAAGCACTTCTGAGGCTGAGCCAGCCTGAATTCCAATAACCCAACATGCAGGAAAGGATTTTTTTTTTTTTACTCTAAGTTAACAGAATCATGTTCTAATCAAGGTCTGTGAATAAATTAAGGATACTCTTTATGAAAAAAAGTGAAAGACACCAATTTGGCATGGCATTTGGCAACACTTCAGGTTTAGTTGTTTTAATAGTTTGATTTGGTTTTTAAAAATGTGGGAGGCAGGGTGTGGTGGCTCACGCCGGTAATCCCAGCACTTTCAGAGGCTGATACAGGAAGATCACGTGACCCCAGGCATTCAAGATGACCCTGGGCAACACAGGGAGAGCCTATCTCTACAAAAAAAAATTTTTTTTTTTAATTAGCTGGGTGTGGTGGTGTGCGTCTGTCATCCCCGCTACTTGGGAGGCTGAGGTGGGAGGATCGTTTGAGCCCGAAAGGTCAAGGCTGCTGTGAGCCATGATCACGCCACTGCACTCCAGTCTCAGCAACAGAGCGAGGCCTTGTCTCAAAAAATAAAGTAAAAAAGCAGGGGTAAGGAAAGTACAATGGCCATCTGTTTACTCAGATAAATTGACTGTATCAGCCAGGCACGGTGGCTCACGTCTGTAAACCCAGCACTTTGGGAGGCCGAGGCGGGCGGATCATGAGGTCAGGAGATCGAGACCATCCTGGCTAACAAGGTGAAACTCCGTCTCTACTGAAAATACAAAAATTAGCCAGGCATGGTGGTGGGCACCTGTAGTCCCAGCTACTCGGGAGGCTGAGGCAGGAGAATGGCGTGAACCCGGGAGGTGGAGCTTGCAGTGAGCTGATGCTGTGCCACAGCACTCCAGCCTGGGCAACAGAGTGAGATTCCGTCTCAAAAAAAAAAAATTGACTGTATCACTAAAGCTTCAGCCAACCTTCATCATTTTGAGTAGGGGAGACTTTGGGGAAGTTGAATCTCCAAGCATATGAAGTGAATGCAACAAATATCATCACGGGACATGTGATCTTCCTTCTTTAGCAGGGAATAAGGCTCTATTGTATCAGGTTCCTAGATTAGATAAAAGGGTGTGCTTGGATGGCAGGCACAGTGGTTCATGCCTGTAATCCCAGCACTTTGGGAGGCTGAGGCGGGCAGATCACTTGAGGTCAGGAGTTCGAGACCAGCCTGGCCAACATGGTAAAACCCCGTCTCTACTAAAAATACAAAAATTAGCCAGGCGCAGTGGTGCGTGCCTGTAATCCCAGCTACTCGGGAGGCTGAGGCGGGAGAATCGCTTGAACCCAGGAGGCGGAGGTCATAGGGAACTGAGATCTTGGAAATAAGTTAACAATGAGGAAAGATAGAATATGGGGGCAGACATGGGGTGGTTAATACAAGTGGAGAAGCCTTCCAGAGGGCAGAAGGGAAGTTCTAGGCATGGACTGGAGGGAGAGAGTCCTCCAGCTGTACACGTTGACTTCTTGCTATAGGAACCGTATCCTGACGCAGACGCGATGCGGTGTTCCATCAGGAAATGCTTCATACTCTCAGTGGGCATCGTATTCCTGTGGCCCTTCATCACTTTGAAAATCCCCAAGGAAACTGAAGATGATCAAAATGTGATGACTGTCAAAGGCCAAGTAGCAAGCCTTGAGCCTTGCTCAGTTTGGGAACTGGGAATATAGGGTGGAAATGGTGTGGACAGGCAGATTCTGGAAAGCCCCTGGGCTTTCTTCCTTCCTGACCTTTTCACCTGAGAGCAGGAAGCTCCAAAGGGAATGGGGGTATGGACCTGGGCCTATTAGTCCATGAAGAAGCTGTATTTATTTTCCTTATTCGTTAAGGTAAAGAAGACAGCAAATACTGCTTGAGCCCTGGATATTTTAGCCAATGGCCAGGCATCCTGAGAATGTGCCAGGCTCACTCTAGGGAGAATGGTTCACTCCACCTCTTTCCCTAGAAAAGCTTATGGGAAGCCACTGGGGTGTAAAATTTGTTCTTTTTATGAAAGGATATATATGTTTGCCCTTGTCAATGCCCCCGGAGGCCAGTTATAACAGCCGGAAGGACCCAAGATCACTAGAAGACTGGCAGAACCTCACCTTCAAATATATGGAAAAAATCCAGAAGAGAAGAAAGAGTGAGTACCAACAAGAAGGAGGAATTCAGCATCCCAGGGGAAGTAGGGACAGCCAGAGAGATCAGGCAGATAGGAAGGAAAGCAGAAGAGGGAAGGAGAAAAACAGACTGTGCCCAGGAATATTAGAATCCGGCAGACAATGGCCAAGTGTGGTGGCTCATGCCTGTAATCCCAGCACTTTGGGAGGCCTAGGTGGGTGGATCACGAAGTCAGGAGTTCGAGACCAGCCTGGCCAAGATGGTGAAATCCCATCTCTACTAAAAATACAAAAATTAGCTGGGCACAGTGGGGGACATCTGTAATCCCAGCTACTCAGGAAGCTGAGGCAGGAGAATCGCTTGAACCTGGGAGGCGGTGGTAGCAGTAAGCCAAGATCGCACCATTGCACTCCAGCCTGGGCAACAGAGTGAGACTCCTTCTCAAAAAAAAAAAAAAAAAAGAATCTGGCAGTTAATTCTCTCCTCCTTCCCCAAGGCAAATATTTATATATCAGCAGTATGAGGAGGAAGGAGGAAAAAGATAAAGTTGGCTACTACTTTTCTTTTTTTCCCTTCTTGGCCAGTTACTAAAGTTAATTGCTATAAGAAGGTGGAATCACTAGATTAGAGAACATTTGGATCAGAAGGGGTCTTAGAGTCGCATAGTCCAACTCCCCCAGTTTATGGATCAGGAACTAAACTCAGGGCTGAAGGGACTTGCTCAAGATCACACAATCAGTGGCAGAACTGGGACAAAAACTCCAGGCTCCTGACTTCCAGGGGAAGTCCTTTTCCTAATATACCTCCTTCAAAGGGCAGCTTTGGGAAGACGACAACAATTGACAACAATATAATAATATAATTGACAACAATTATAACTATTATAATAGCTAACATTTATTGAGCCCCTAAACCATACGCCACAAAGTTCTAGGCTCAAAGAAGACTGAGCAGAACCCACAGACACTCAGCATCACCTAGCTTAGTACTTCTCAAACTTTACTGTGCATACAAGTTACCTGGTGATACTGTGAAAATGCAGCTTCTGATTAAATCTGAGATAGGGATCGAGATCCTGTATTTGAAATGAGCTTACAGAGCAGCCTGATGTTGCTGGACTAAGGACCACACTTCGAGCAGCAAGGATGTAAACATCCCCTCCACCAAGGGAAAAACAGGTGGGAAATAAGAGGGAGGAAGGAAGAGTGAAGGTCCCACATAGGATCCCAACCCCTAACCCTTCTGACAACCGTCACTATTACTGTGCACTGACAGTTGTCCCTATTTTTACCTCTCCTCAGCATGGCTGACAGTGGGGAATCTCATCAGTGCAGCAAGGGGATGGAAGCAGCCTCTTGTACACATTGGTCTCCCTGTTCCGTGTTTCTTCTAAGGCTGAGCAGAAACGTCTCACGGTGCTGGTCCACCTGGCAGATTCTGACCTCACCTGGCTCAGAGAAACTCTTGCCCATATTTCAAGCCTCTTCAGCCCACAGATCTTGAAAGGGCAGTTGCTACTGATCCATGCTTCATCCGATGCCTACCCCACTGTGGAGAGCATCAGGGATGAGGCCTTTCATGGCGAATTCTACTCCAAGCAGAACGTAGATCATGCCTTCCTCATGAGCTTTGCCACAAAGTTCTCTGATTACTTCCTGTTAATAGAGGACAATGTCTTTTTTGCCCCCAACTTTGTCACCCACATTCATTCAAGGGTGACCACCATGAAGTCCAACTCGTGGGTGCTAATGGAGTTCTCCAATATGGGCTTCCTTGGCAAACTCTTCCACAGCAGGGACCTCCCACTCCTGGCCCATTTCCTCCTTCTCTTCTACAAGGAGAAACCCCTTGACAGCCTGATTTCTCATTTCCATACGCTCCTGGTCCAGGAAAGCCCAATCCTCTGCAGACCTTTCCTATTCTACTGCAGGGTCTCCTACACTGCCTTTGATCACAAGCAGAAGGCCACAGCACTTCAGAAAAAGAATGCCGATGGTCCCAACAACCCGCCTGGAGCTGTCTTCACTGATATGCAGGTTTCCGATGTGCATTTCCCCTGGGAGGCCTACACTCTGGATGAGTCATTCTTTTGGACACACAACATTAGTATAGGAAACCACCTGACAGTGATTCTGAACCATCCAGCAAACCTGAGCAGGGTGCAAGTGATGACGGGCTCCATTGTGGAATGGGAGGTACGCCCTGGAGAAGGGGCAGGTGGAGCTGGGCTACCAACCTGAGGGGGTGCCGCAGCACTGCACCAGCTTCGCCTTGCTGGGACATCTTTCGGAGGGGCAGATGGATCAGAAGATACTTCTGAAAGGTATGGGGTACCACGTGAGCTGTGTGAGGCTGGTGGTGAAAGCTGGTCAGGCTGGGGGGCTCATGATCAGGCATATCTACCTCTGGGAGAAAAATGACAAATAGCAAGTGGATCAATGCTGAAGATAAATCAGTAGGGGGATGAAAAATTAAAATCTTAAAGCCACTTCATTCTAGTCTATATGAGTGACATAGGGGAGACACAATGGAATGAAGGGCAGACAGAGAAGACTATCAGTCTGTTGGTGCCGCCAAGATGTCAGGAGACTTGTTGCTTCCTTTCTATCCAAACAACTCTCATAGGATATCTTTTGCTGTGGCATATATAGCTTATCCGAATTTGGGGAGAGTTTTGGTCACTCCCAAAATATTTAGATACCTGGGATGCTGAGATCAGCCCAAATCAAGGTGTCCCTGTGTATACATGCGTGTGCATGTATGCACTTCTATGTTCACACGGAGGCAGAGGTGGGGATGAGGTATGTGGTCACAGGAGGGCAGGCAGGAAAATCACGGCTGAATCCCTAGAATTGACATCATAAAAAGCCATGAAAGGGACTCTCATTAGAAGTTAAAATCTCCGAAGTGCAGGAAAGTAGCAGATGGACAAATAGCAATAAAACGAATCCCTTAGCTCTATTATTGAAGCTGTTTCACAGTGCCAATCTAGTTCCCTCCTTTCCTCCCCAACAAACTTGGGCACAAATAGGTTTTAACTAGGCTGGGTATGGTGGCTCATGCCAGTAATTGCAGCCTCCCTTAGGAGGCTGAGGTGGGAGGATCTCTTGAGGCCAGCAGTTCAAGACCAACCTAGGCAACACGGCAAGACCCTGTCTCCACAAAAAATTAAAAAGTTAGCCAGGTTGTGGTGGCATGTGCCTGTGGTCCTAGCTACTCAGGAGGCTGAGGCAGGAGGATCACTTGAGCCCAGGAGGTTGAGGCTGCAGTGAGCCATGATTATGCCATTACACTCCAGCCTGGGCAACAGCGTAAGACCCTGTCTCCAAAAAAAAAAAAAAAAAGTTTGTAACTAAAGCTTCACTCATCAGCAATTCATTCCTTAACTCTGGTTTCTGTGTCCACACTGGCCTCTGCATCCACAATGCTACTGAAACTCTTCCCTATTTGTCATGACGAGAATAGTCAAAACCCAGTGACTTTTTCAGATCTCATTCTCCCTAACTTTCTGCAGCAATACACAGTTCTAATTATGTCTTCCTTCTCAAAATTGTCCTCTTCCTTTACTTCTGGGACTCATCAGATATTTATTGAGTGCCTACTACATGCCAGGCACAAAAAAAGCTCCTATCTGTGAAGAGGGTTTTTATGGGAGTAAGATATACACAGGTGTGTTAAGCATCACATTGAGGTTAAGTACAGGGTCCTTGGGAGCACAGAATTGCTGTTCCCAAAACATTCTTGAGGATTTAGGAAAGGCTTTCTGGAAGATGTAACATCTAAGCCTAGACCTGCCAGATCATTAGAGAAAATAGCCAAGTGATATGGGAAGAGAGGCAGGGAGACTTTCCAGTAGAAGAAGCAGCATGCGGTGAAGTGGGCCAAAGGTGAGACAGAGTAAATCATTTAGTGAATCTGGAGATGGAGGGCAAGCCTGGGTGAGGGTAACGCAGAAGATGAAGCCACAGGACTAAGAAAGGGCCAGCTTAAGAAGGTCAAAGGAGGTCAGGCGCAGTAGCTCATGCCTGTAATCCCAGCACTTGGGAGGCCGAGGTGGGTGGATTGCTTGAGTCCAGGAGTTCAAGACCAGCCTGGACAACATAGTGAAAACCTGTCTCTACAAAAAAAAAAAAAAAAAATAGCCAGGCTTGATGTCATGTACCTGTAATCCCCACTACTCAGGAGGCTGAGGCGGGAGAATCGCTTAAGCATGGGAGGTGGAGGTCTGCAGAGCCCAATCCTCTGCAGACATTTCCTCTTCTACCGCAGGGTCTCCTACACCACCTTTGATCACAAGCAGAAGGCCACATCTTGCTGTGAGCCAAGATTGCGCCACTGTACTCTAGCCTGGGTGATAGAGTGAGACCCTGTCTAAAAAAATAAATAAGTAAAAAGAAGGGCCATAGATAATCAAGTGGCAGAAAGAATTGTCTTTTCAACAAATGGTGTTGGAACAACTGAATATCTACCTGCAAAAGAATGAAGTTGGGCTAGGCCTGGTGGCTCACACCTGTAATCCCAGCACTTTGGGATGCCAAGGTGGAAGGATTGCCTGAGCCCAGGAGTTCGAGACCAGCCTGGGCAACATGACAAGACCTAGTCTCCGAAAAAAAAAAAAAGAGGCCGGGCGTGGTGGCTCCCGCCTGTAATCCCAGCACCTTGGGAGGCTGAGGCAGGCGGATCACCTGAGGTCAGGAGTTCTAGACCAGCCTCAACATGGAGAAACCCCGTCTCTACTAAAAATACAAAATTAGCCAGGCGTGGTGGTGCATACTTGGGAGGCTGAGGCAGGAGAATAGCTTGAACCTGGGAGGCAGAGGTTGTGGTGAGCCAAGATCACGCCATTGCACTCCAGCCTGGGCAAAAAGAGCGAAACTCCGTCTCAAAAAAAAAAAAAAAAAAGAAAAAGAAAAATTAAATTAAAAAAAAAAGAATGAATTTGGACCCCTAACTCACATCATATAAAAAATAAGGCTGGACATGGTGGCTCACGCCTGTAATCCCAACACTCTGGGAGGCTGAGGCAGGTGGATCACCTGAGGTCAGGAGTTCAAGACCAGCCTGGCCAACATGGTAAAACTCTGTCTCTACCAAAAATACAAAAAATAGCCAGGTATGGTGGCATGTGCCTGTAATCCTAGCTACTCAGGAGGCTGGGGTAGGAGGATCCCTTGAACCCAGAAGGTGGAGGTTGAAGTGCACCGAGATCAGGCCACTGCACTCCAGCCTGGGAGACAGAGCAAGACTCCATCCCCCTCAAAATAATTAACATAAAAAAGCATTATAGACCTAAATGTAAGAACTAAAACTATAAAATTCTTAGATGAAAACAAAAATATCAATCGTGATCTTGGATTAGGCAAGTTTCTTAGATATGACACCAGAACACAAGCACTCAAAGAATAGATAAATCAGACTTCAACAAATTAAAATTTTTTGTGTGCTTCAAAGCAACTATTAAAGTGAAAAGACAACAAACAGCATGGAAAAAAAATTTGCAAATCATGTATCTGATAAGAGACTGGTATCCAGAATATAGAAAGAATTATTTATTTATTTATTTATTTATTTATTTATTTATTTATTTATTTGTTTTTGAGATGGAGTCTCGCTCTGTTGCCAGGCTGGAGTGCAGTAGCGCGATCTCTGCTCACTGCAACCTCTGCCTCCCAGTTTCAAGCGATTCTCCTACCTCAGCTTCCCGAGTAGCTGGGACTACAGGCGCGCAACACCACGCTCGGCTAATTTTTGTATTTTTAGTAGAAACAGGGTTTCACCATGTTGGCCAGGATGGTCTCAATCTCTTGACCTCGTGATCCGCCCACCTCGGCCTCCCAAAGTGCTGGGATTACAGGTGTGAGCCACCGCGTCCAGCCACAGAAAGAATTCTTACAACTCAATGATAAAAAGACAAATAACCCACTGTAAAAATGGGCTAACGGATTTCTCCAAAGACAACATACCAGTGGCCAATAAGCACATGAAAAGATTTCATCATCAGTCATTAGGGAAATGCAAATCAAAACCACAAATGAAATACCACTTCACACCCACCAGGATGGCTATTTTTTTTTTTTTTTTTTTTTGAGACAGAGTCTTGCTCTGTCACCCAGGCTGGAGTGCAATGGCATGATCTTGGCTCACTACAACCTCTGCCTTCTGGGTTCAAGCAATTCTCCTGCCTCAGCTGCCTGAGTAGCTGGGAATATAGGCACTCGCCACCACGCCCAGCTAATTTTTTGTATTTTTAGTAGAGATGGGGTTTCACTATGTTGGCCAGGCTGATCTCAAACTCCTGACCTCATGATCCACCTGCCTTGGTCTCCCAAAGTGCTGGGGGTCCAAATTCATTCTTTTTTTTTTTAATTTAATTTTTCTTTCCCTTTTTTTTTTTTTTTTTTTGAGACGGAGTTTCGCTCTTGTTGCCCAGGCTGGAGTGCAATGGCGCGATCTCGGCTCACCACAACCTCTGCCTCCTAGGTTCAAGCTATTCTCCTGCCTCAGCCTCCCAAGTATGCACCACCATGCCTGGCTAATTTTGTATTTTCAGTAGAGATGGGGTTTCTCCATGTTGAGGCTGGTCTAGAACTCCTGACCTCGGGTGATCCGCCCACCTCGGCCTCCCAAAGTGCTGGGATTACAGGCGTGAACCACCGCGCCTGGCCTCCTTTTTTTTTTTTTTTTGGAGACTAGGTCTTGTCATGTTGCCCAGGCTGGTCTCGAATTCCTGGGCTCAGGCAATCCTTCCACCTTGGCATCCCAAAGTGCTGGGATTACAGGTGTGAGCCACCATGCCTGGGTGGCTATAATTTTTTTTTAAAGGAAAATAAATGTTGTCTAGGATGTGGAGAAATTAGAACCCTCATACATGCTGCTGGGGTTGTAAAATGGTGCAACCACTTTGGAAAAGCATTTAGCAGTTCTTCAAAATATTAGAATTGCCATATTATCAAGCAATTCCACTCCCAGGTACATACTCAAGAGAATGAAAACATATATTCACACAAAGGCTTATACATGAATGTTCATACCATCATTATTATAAACAAAGCATGGTAACAATGAACATGTCCACCAACTGATGGATGGGTAAGGAAAATGTAGTACCTTCATACAGTGAAATATTATTCAGCAATAAAAAAGAATGAAGCACAGATACATACACATATGAACCTTAAAAACATTCTGCTACATGAAATAAGCGAGTCACAAAAGGCTACATATTGTATGATTCATTGATATGAAGTATCCAGAATACACAAATCCATAGAAACAGGAAGTAGATTGGTGGCCAGGGGCTGGGGAAAGGGGAATGGGAAATGACTGCTAACAGGTGTGGGGTTTCTTTTTGGAATGATGATAATGTTCTGAAATTGACTGTGGTGATTGTTGCACTACTCTGTTAATATGCTAAAAACCATTAAATTTGAACTTGGAAAAGAATGAATTTTGTGGTATGTGAATTATATCTCAAAAAAAGTTATTTAAAAAACAAACCAGCCAGGAACAGTGCCTCACACTTGTAGTCTCAGCAACTCAGGAGGCTGAAGTGGGAGGATCACTCGAGCCCAGGAGTTCCAGGCTGCAGTGAGCTAAAATCACGCCACTATACTCCAGCCTGGGCAACAGAGTGAGACTCTGTCTCAAAAACAAAAACAAAAGGCTGTAGAAGCAAATGAAAGGGTTTAGGCTATCTTGATGGTAATAGGGAATCATCAAACAGTTTTCGGAAGGACAACAAAATGATCCGAGTTGTGCTTTGGAAAGATCACTATGGGCATCATGTGAGGACTAGATGAAAAGAGGTCATGATGAGGAAAACAATTAAAGAAGAAAATATGGGCCAGGCACGGTGGCTCACGCCTGTAATTCCAACACTTTGGGAGGCCAAGGCGGGCAGATAGCTTGAGCTCATGAGTTCAAGACCAGCTTGACCAACATAGTGAAACCCTGTCTCTACAAAAAAAATACAAAAATTGGCTGGGTGAGGTGGTACATGCCTGTAGTCCCAGCTACTTGGGAGGTTGAGGTGGGAGGATGGCTTCACTCCAGGAGGCAGAGGTTGCAGTGAGCTGAGATCCCACCACTGCACTCCAGCCTGGGCGATAGAGCCAGACCATACCTAAAAAAAAAAAAAAGGAAGAAGAAAATATGTATAAGGTGTCGATTTCAGTGCCTGGCATATAATAGATATTTGATAAATGGCACTTCCCTTTTCTTTCTCCATGGACTGAGATCATATCAGGGCACTCTGCCTTAGACAGTGACTGAGGCCTCATTCTCATGTCTACAGGGGCTGCAAGACAACATAGCTGGGTAAAGTAGGCCTGGTGTAAGAATCCAGTAGCAGCCAGGCATGGTGGCTCATGCCTCTAATCCCAGCACTTTGGGAGGCCAAGGCAGGCGGATCACCTGAGGTCAGGAATTTGAGACCAACCTGACCAACACAGAGAAACCCCGTCTCTACTAAAAGTACAAAATTAGTCAGGCATGGTGGTGCATGCCTGTAATCCCAGCTACTTGGGAGGCTGAGGCAGGAAAATCTCTTGAACCCGGGAGGCGGAGGTTGCAGTGAGCCGAGATCACACCTTTGCACTCCACCCTGGGCAACGAGAGTGAAATTCTGTCTCAAAAAAAAAAAAAGGAATCCAGTAGCAAAAGTGTCATTATAACTGACAGCTGAGGCTCAGCCTCCATGTCTGGGGGATGGTGGAGAGTGGTAGGCTCATGGCAAACTCAGGTCTGCATGCCGTCTCTGAAGCTCAGCGTTACTGGACAGGTGCCCTGGGGGAAGGTGGGTCCAGCATTGCAGATCTGGTCATTTGTCAAGAGAAGTTGGAAATTTCAATTTTTATGTTAGACCTCTCAATTTTCTGAATGCTGGCAACTAATTCAGAATGTTATCAACAGATGGTTTTAACACAATGGCCAGGTGCAGTGGCTCACACCTTTAAATCCCAGTGCTTTGGGAGGCTGAGGTGGGAGGATTGCTTGAGCCCGGAGTTCAAGACTAGCCTGGGTAACAGAGTGAGACCCCCCACCTCTACAAAACAAAAACAAAAACAAAACAGAATCATCATCAACAACAAAACAACAAAAAAACACTACGAGCCACTGTTTTGCTCTGTTCCGGGGAGGCTTTCTCGAGTTAACAGTTTTGCCTCAGGTTACCAAGTACTTGATTGGGTTACAACTTCCTGGAAATCATTTTTAGCTTCAGAAGCACTGGTCCCCTAAACGGATTCCTGGGACATACCCCTATCTCTGTCAGTAACACTAAGCCCCTTTGAGCGTGTATTACTCTGCAGATGGCCGAATCGATCTGTTGTTGATTCTATTAACTCCACTTTCAGAGGTTGGCATTTTCCTCGTACTGACCCACCCACCCTATTTGAGGCTTAACATTGTTTAGGACGAGCCAGCAGATGATTTACAATGAGTGTTATTATTCAAAAGAAAGTCCTATATTTGCTACAGACTGGGTGTGGTATCAAAGGTTGGAGGGGCCTGGAGTTTAGGGTGGAGTTCGGGCCAGGTCCTGGCCAAGCCCTCACATGCGGGCAATGTGAGTTCAAGTCATACACAACCAAGTGGGCATGCCATGTCCCCCAGATAGGCCTCCTTTTTGTGTGCTGGGTCGTGGGTTTCACCTTGAAGAAGGTGAATGGTGAGCATAGACAATGAGGGAAGTTATTATGGGGTTGGCAGGGGAAATGCAGTTAGGAAAGAAAGGAACATAGGTCACCACATAGTCCCAGGGGCTCTGGTGATAAGTTCTGAGAATGCCACCCTTCCTGGGCCCTCTTCTCCTTAAAGGTAACGCCAGGAAGGGAGGGGGTTTATTGCCTGACTGAGCCTTACTGGCCTCCCATCCCCCAAACCTTCTTCTCTGGGACATTCTTTTTTCCCTAAAGTGGAGGCCTTGCCTTCTGTTGAAGTGAGGGTTAGGGCAGGGGAAGACAAGAAAGTCAGCTTGATAAAACTTGCTGGCCAGGCATGGTGGCTCATGCCTGTAATCCCAGCACTTTGGGAGGCCGAGGTGGGTGGATCATCTGAGGTCAGGAGTTTGAGACCAGCCTGGCCAACATGGCGAAACCCCATCTCTACTAAAAATACCAAATAAATTAGCTGGGCATGGTGGTGGGCAACTGTAATCCCAGCTACTCGGGAGGCTGAGGCAGGAGAATCACTTGAACCCAGGAGGCGGAGGTTGCAGTGAGCTGAGATCACGCCATTACACACCAGCATGGGTGACAGGAGCAAAACTCTCTCTCAAAAAAAGCAAAAACAAAAACAAAAAAAAAACAAAAATAAAACACAACATGCCTTAATTTTCCTTGGGGGAAGTGAACTCTACAAGGAGATCAGCCTTGGTTACCAGAAAGCAAGATGCTTCTCTGAGCATAAATGCTGCTGTTGTCCTCCTCCAACTCCTTGCTTGGATTTTTTGGGACAGGTGAGATGCGGAGGTTAAGGGGCCTTGGGCTTGGGTCTGATTTCTGGTTCACTCTAGGCCCTGGTCTCTTCATAAACACTTTCCTCCAAATCTTCATTCCATGCCCTGCCAACCTCATTCTGGCCTCTCACAAGCTGGACACCGTCTTACAAAAAGCTCAAGGAATTAAGATTCTGTTTTTGGGAAAGAGGAAAGGTGACATCCTCAAGTTAAGGAAATGTTGCTTAAGAGGATTTTTGGAGAGTTGAATAAAAGTGAAGGGGCTTTCTAACAAGGAGGTTAAAACCATGGCTTTTGGAGTCTGAAAGGGTTCAAAGTTTACCTGTCATTTACTAGCTGAGTGACTTTGGGAAGTTACTTTAACTTCTGGACCCCATTTTCTCATCTGGTAAAATGGGGTTACGAATACAGGCTCTGAGGATTAAGAGGTGAGAAGTACAATGAATACTTAGAACATTGCTTGGTACTTAGCACTGAAAAATGCTAGCCATCGCTAGTTTTACCAAAGAAAAAAGGAGAAAAGATGATGTGGTTCCTGGCAGGTGTTCGGTGGCTCCCTGACACCCACATTCTCCGCACCCTGCCCGGAACCTCCTCCCTCCTTGTCTGCATTAGTAATCCCTGCCTCCTCTGCAGGAGCCAGCTCAGCGGCCCCTCCTCTGAGCTCCCAGGGCACCTTGAGTTGGATTTGTCTGGACATTGGGTTCCTGTTTTACCTCCAAATCCACTGCTAGAGCTCAGTGGATGTTTGTTGAATTAGTGAATAATCCCTTGCTTTTGTATGTCACTTCAGTTCATAAAGCTCATAGGAATACATTATCTGATTTAATCTTCAGAAGCACACTGCAGGGAAGATCCTGTTTTATGGATTAAAAATATACATATATGAGAGACCGGTTACCTGGAGTCTGCATGGTTCATGCAGATTGCGACAACCTAGACCCTGCCTGAGGTACAGCTCCTGGGTCACCTCATGCAACCAAAGGTGGGCGTCTCGGGGAGGTTCCCACCAGCGCAGGGAGGTGGCTTCTGAGCAACCTCACTAAAGTCTCCACCAAATTGCCAGCAGGGCCCAGGCCTTTCCCTGACTGTCCCAGCTCTCTCAATGCAATGAATCTGGGAAACCCAAACATCCTGCCCCTCTTACCCCATCAGACCTGCCCTTCCAGGGATATGGCTTTCCCTCACCCAGGGAAAAGGCTGAGGGGGCCTCAGGCTGCTGTGGGGGACATGGGTGTCCTCCTTTCTTGGTGACCAGCAATTTGACTTTGGCCAGTGTGAAGAGTGGGGCTCTGATGGGGGTGTGGGAGGAGGAAATGAAGTGGGAGCACAGCCCGCCCCCATCCTCTTTGCAGCCTCTGGGGTTCCCCTCAGGTCTGTCTGGCAGCTGTCTTCCCCACTGACCTCTTTTCCTCCCTCTGTGCTGGCCACATCCTTCCTTTATCAAAAGCAGCTGCTTTGGGTTCTCCTGAATTGCCTTTTAGGTGAAAGGCATTTGTGTTTCTTGGTAGCTGGTTCCTGCTGAGTAAGGCGGGACAGGCTCTGGCTTCCCAGGTGAGACTGGAGAGGCCAAGGCAATCCTTCACTCCTGGAGAGCTGGGGAGGAGCCCACACCACTGGGGCAATTGAGACCCCGTCCCCTCCCCTCCCCTCCCCTCCACTCCACTCCACTCCCTTCCCCTCTCTCCATCTCCAGGACCCAGCAGCAACCCTTTTTACTCCAGGTTTCTCATTCATCCAAACATTTACTGAGCTCCTGAGTGCTAAGCACCTGAGAGGAGGGTCTCAGTGTCAGTGTCACCTCCTCCACGAAGCTTTGGAGCTCTCCCTGGGAATAAGTAAGCTCTTCTCTGGTTATTATAGTTCAAAGGAAGGTGCACAGACGGTGGTGCCACTCAAACTTGGGTTTTAATTCCAGCGCTATTTACTAGCTGAGAGATTTTATGTTATTTAACCTCTCTGAGCCAGTCTCTCCACCTATGAAACAGGGATTCCAGCTAGCACACAGGGTTGGCACTGGGGCTAAAGGGAGTTCTCCATGTAAGGCAAATGAGAGACACTTGGAGGGCATCAGCTCAACTCTCCCTCTCCAGGAGATGGAGGTGCCTAGCCTTCAGCATTTGTCAAGCCTGGCACCCTCTTTCACCCCATCACATCCTTCCATGGGGGACCACAGGCTTCAGCCCATTCCAAGGGCCTCTGTTGCTCCTGCTGACGTATCCCTAGGGGCTCCAGGGCAATTGCACACTCAGCCCTGGTCTTTGGGCTGCCCCCTCACCAGGTCTGGGCTCCTTCTTTGTTAGGAAGCTTCAGACAGGCTCAGGCAGGCAGGACATTTCCACTGTTGCCAGCCCTGCCCCAGGTAGGTGGGGAGGAGCAGATTTCTCCCACCCAGTGGCCTCAGGGCATAGTTCTCCCTTTTCTGGTTAGGCTACTTTAGGAGCCCTGTGCATGCAAGGAGCAATATTGTTATCCATGAGGGCTAAGAAATGGGGCAGAGAGACCATCCAGGCTCTCTGGGTCCCCTACAGGCATCATCACTTCCCTTGGGTGTGGTGGTGTCTCTCTGGTAGGAGAAAGAGCAAGAGGTGGGGCAGAGGTGTGGTCTGGATATGTAATTTCAGACATCTGACCTTCAATTGGAATAAGGATTCCAACTGTCTTTATCTGTAAAACGGAGGTAATATCTTCACAAGGTTACTGTGGCAATCAAATGAGACTAATGTGTGGGAGGGTTCAGAACTGTAAGGCAAGAAATCCATCACAGGACATTGCCCAATTTAAAGTCCTTCCATGGCTTCCCCATAGCTTTTGGGGTACAAACATGTTTACCACAGCCTCCACCCAGCTCACTAACCTCATCTCCCACCATCTGACCCACATGGTTCTTGAAGCTGAGCTCATGCCTGCTCTGGGTCTCCTGCATGCGCTACTTCCTGGTCCGGACTTCCTCCATCTAACCAACTACTCATCATCAGCTTTTTAATCTTTCTCAGAGAAGCCTTCCCCGACTCTTCACACAAGGCCAGGGCTGCTTGTTACTTGCCCTCTTCGGACCTTCATTTTTGCACACTTACAACGAGTTGTGTGACTGTCCAAGGTCTGCATCCGCCCACCTCTGTTCCCTGAATGTGGGCTTCCTGAGGATAGGTACTGAGCAGCATGCCGACAGTATCTCCAGGCTTTGCAGGGCATTTAGCACACGGTAGACATTTTATTTGTTGAAAGAAAAAAGCAGCCGGGCGCGGTGGCTCATGCCTGTAATCCCAGAACTTTGGGAGGTTGAGGTGGGTGGATCATGAGGTCAGGAGTTTGAGACCAGCCTGACCAACATGGTGAAACCCCATCTCTACTAAAAATACAAAAATTGGCGGGCATGGTGGGGCACGCCTGTAATCCCAGCTACTCAGGAGCCTGAGGCAGGGGAATAGCTTGAACCCGGAAGACAGAGGTTACAGTGAGCAGAGATCATGCCACTGCACTCCAGACTGGGGGACAGAGCGAGACTCTGTCTCAAAAAAAAGGAAAAAAAAGAAAAGAAAAAGGCTACTGATTCAGAGGCAGCTCCGCCCCCAGGCCCCCAGGCTCTTCATCCACTCTCCTTAGCCTGAAATTTGTGGCATTCACAGTCCTCCCCAACTCCACTAGACTCAGCAACTGCTCTTAGTCCAGCAGAGGAATCAGGAGCTGACTTTCCTCCTTGCTCCTCCCTATCAAAACTCAAAATTCTGGTCACTTGCAACTTCCTTCTTGACTCCCTTTCATGAGACCAGAGAACGCATGGCCTGTTTACCATGTCACCTCAGTTTCTAGTTTGGGGCTGTTGTGTAGATGGATCACTTGCCTATTAGTAAACCTCCTGAGGATGGCTCCCATCCCTCCCTGTTAGGCAAAGAGCAGAGCCTCTCGAATCCAAAGGCTTGAGCACAGGTCCAAGTCCAGCACTGTCCCAGTTGTTAAGGCTTTGGACAGATCAATTACTGAACCAGTTTCCTCATCAGTAAAATAGAATACCATTTCACAGAAGGGTGGAAATCAGGAGGTACACAAATTACGGTGTTCGACACTGCTAAGCACTCTATCTGTGCAGCGCAATGTGATAGACTCTACTTCATTTTCCATGTAGGGTAACTGAGGCATGGAGGGGTTACACAGGCGGCTCGCTCACACCACCATTAAAGTAGTCTGAACTCAGGCAAGCTCCCCCAGGAGACCCAAGCCCTTTCCTAACTGCCAGACTTGCTCTGTTCCCTTAAAGTCAGGGGCAGAAAAGGTGCTCAGCAGTTTCAGGTTATTTTGATTCAAATTTGGCTGGGTGTGGTGGCTCACGCCTGTAATCCCAGCACTTTGGGAGGCAGAGGTGGGTGGATCACAAGGTCAGGAGATTGAGACCATCCTGGCTAACAAGGTGAAACCCCGCCTCTGCTAAAAATACAAAAAATTAGCCAGGCGTGGTGGCGGGCGCCTGTAGTCCCGGCTACTCAGGAGGCTGAGGCAGGAGAATGGCGTGAACCCGGGAGGCGGAGCTTGCAGTGAGCCAAGATCGCGCCACTGCACTCCAGCCTGGGCGACAGAGCGAGACTCCGTCTCAAAAACAAACAAACAAACAAACAAACAAAAAAACAAATTCACCAAGGCAGCTAGGGAGGTTTGTTTCCTGGAGCTCACTTGGAGCTTGTAGAAGTACGTGCTGATGTCACAAACAGGGATGTAGAAACTTTAGAGATTCCCCTTCTCCCTCCTGTATTAACAAGTGAACTAGCTGGGCGTGGTGGCTCATGCCTGTAATCCCAGCACTTTGGGAGGCCGAGGCAGGCGGGTCACAAGGTCAGGAGTTCAAGACCACCCTGGCCAATATGGTGAAACCCCATCTCTACTAAAAATATAAAAATCAGCTGGGCGTGGCGGCGGGCACCTGTAATCTCAGCTACTTGGGAGGCTGAGGCAGGAGAATCACTTGAACCCGGGAGGTAGAGGTTGCAGTGAGCTGAGATCGTACCACTGCACTCCAGCCTGGGTAACAGAGTGAGACTCCTAAAAAATAATAATAATAAAATAAAATAAAACAAATGAACTCCCACCTTGTTCTTGCAAGGGAGGACAAGAAATTACAGTGTAATGATGAGACAAGAAGAAATTACTATGTTCAAAAGAGGTGAAGGAACTTGAGTCCCTAACACTATTTCACTATTACAAATTTTTTTTTTTTTTCTGAGACGGAGTCTCGCTCTGTCGCCCAGGCTGGAGTGCAGTGGCGCTATCTAGGCTCACTGCAAGCTCCGCCTCCCGGGTTCACGCCATTCTCCTGCCTCAGCCTCCGAGTAGCTGGGACTACAGGTGCCTGCCACCACGCCCAGCTATTTTTTGTATTTTTAGTAGAGACGGGGTTTCACTGTGTTAGCCAGGATGGTCTCAATCTCCTGACCTCATGATCCACCTGCCTCGGCCTCCCAAAGTGCAGGGATTACAGGTGTGAGCCACCGCACCCAGCCTGATTTCAAATTTCTTAACCTCGGCAAGTTAGCAATTTTTTTCTTTTTTTTTCTTTTGAGACATAGTTTCACTCTTGTCGCCCAGGCTGGAGTGCAGTGGCCCAATCTTGGCTCATTGCAACCTCCACCTCCCGGGTTCAAGCTACTCTCCTGCCTCAGCCTCCCAAGTAGCTAGGATTACAGGCATGTGCCACCACGCCCAGCTAATTTTCTATTTTTAGTAGAGACGGGGTTTTGCCACATTGGCCAGGCTGGTTTCGAATTCCTGACCTCTGATAATCTGCCTGCCTTGGCCTCCCAGAGTGCTGGGATTACAGGTGTGAGCCACTGTGCCTGGTCATTTCTTCATTTTTTAAAGCTATATTTTGTTTGGGCTATGAATGTCAGAATGAGGAACCTTTTTTTTTTTTTTTTTTGAGACGGAGTTTCGTTCTTGTTGCCCAGGCTGGAGTGCAACGGCATGATCTCGGCTCACTGCAACCTCGGCCTCCCGGGTTCAAGCGATTCTCTTGCCTCAGCCTCCCGAGTAGCCGGGATTACAGGCATGTGCCACCACGTCCGGCTATTTTGGTATTTTCAGTAGAGATGGGGTTTCTCCGTGTTGGTCAGGCTGGCCTCGAACTCCTGACCTCAGGTAATCCACCCGCCTCGGCTTCCCAAAGTGCTGGGATTATAGGCATGAGCCACTGTGCCCGGCCGAGCAAACTTTTTTAAAGCTATATTTTGTTTGGGCCATGAATGTCAGATCGAGGAACCTTTCTTAAAACATGCACCAACACAGTTTTACTGCATTCTTGTTTCCTTAAATGTCTGAGGCTCCTAGGGCAGTGGTTCTCAACTCTGGCCGCACATTCGCCTCACGTAGGAAGATTTTTACTTACTTATTTATTAATTAATTTTTTTTTTTGAGACAGAGTCTCGCTCTGTCACCCAGGCTGGAGGGCAATGGTCTGATCACTGATCACTGCAGCCTCAACTTCCCAGGCTCAAGCGATCCTCCCGCCTCAGCCTCTTGAGTACCTAGGACTACAGGTAAGCATCACTATGCCCAGCTAATTTCTTATATTTTGTGTAGAGATGGTATCTCACTATGTGGCCCAGGCTGGTCTCAAACTCCTGGGCCCAAGTGATTCTCTCCCGCCTTGGCCTCTCAGTGTTGGGATTACAGGTGTGAGCAACTGCACCAGCCTAGGCTGATGGAAATGTTCTGAACATGTTTAAAGAAGGCTAAACTCTAATGTTCACTGGGTATATTAAATTGACTTATGATCAGTTTATTAGGATGCAAACCCATCATAAGTCGAGGAGCAACTGTATTTGTTAAGAGCTTCCCACGTTATTCTAATGTGCAGGCAGAACGGAGAAGCGCTGACCTAGAACCGGTATTCTCAGTGTGGTCTCAGCCAGCATTAGCATTGCCTGGGAACTTGTTAGAAAGGAAAATAATCAGGCCTCACCCCAGATCTCCTGAAACTCAAGGGGTAGGACCGGTAATCTGAGTTTACAACTCCTCTAGGGGGTTCTAGTACAGGCTAAAGAACTCTTATGGAGTCACTCAATTTTAAAGCAGAAAATAATCAAAAAGGGTGTCTTACCTAAGTCTGTCCTTTTGTTCTCTGGGAAAAGGAGGGAGAGTTAAACAGCTTCCCAACATGTTCTTGGCAGAGTCAGACCTAGAGGCTGGGTTTTGCTCCCCACATGCAGTCCCCTCCTCCGTTGTCCTGTCCACTCTTGCACAGCCTTGTGTCAGACAGTCCACAAAGGATACAATTCCTACCACCCTGTACATGCCTGTTACCTTTCCCATCAAGAGGCAGACTTGATTTCTCCCTGTTAGTTCACTAAGGTGGCTGCAGCAAAGTGCCACAGACTGGGCAGCTTAAAACAACCAAAATGGGCCGGGAGCGGTGGCTCACGGCCTGTAATCCCAGCACTTTGAGGCCGAGGCAGGCGGATCACGAGGTCAGGAGATCGAGACCATCCTGGTTAACAAAGTGAAACCCCGTCTCTACTAAAAATACAAAAATTAGCCGGGCATGGTGGCGGGTGCCTGTAGTTCCAGCTACTCGGGAGGCTGAGGCAGGAGAATAGTGTGAACCCGGGAGGCGGAGCTTGCAGTGAGTCGAGATTGCGCCACTGCACTCCAGCCTGGGCCACAGAGTGAGACTCTGTCTCAAAAACAAAACAAAACAAAAAAAAACAACCAAAATGTATTGTCTCATGGTTCTGGAGGCCAGAAGTCTGAGATCAAGGTGTGGGCAGGGCTGTGTTTCCTCTAAAGGCACTAGGGAAGGATCTGTTCCGGGCTTCTTTCCTAGCACCTGCTAGCTGTGGCAGCATAATGCCAATCTTCACACAGCCTCCTGCCTGCCTGTGTGTGTATATGTTGAAATTTCTCCATTATAAAGGACCCCAGTCATATTGGATGAGGGGCCCACCCTACTCCAGTAAGACCTCATCTTCATTAATCAAATCTACAATTACTTTATTTCCAATTAAGGTCACATTCTGAGATACTGGGGGTTAGGAGTTCAAAATTCAGTGTTGGGAAGACACAACATTGTGTCTCCCATTGAATGTGGGCCTTAAGGCCTAAGTCTTTTTCTTGAGACAGGGTCTCATTTTGTCACCCGGGCTGGACTGCAGTGGCATGATCTCAGCTCACTGCAACCTCTGCCTCCTGGGCTCAAGCGATCCTCCCACCTCAGCCTCCCAAGTAGCTGGGATTACAGGCATGCACCACTACACCTGGCTAATGTTTTGTAGAGACAGTGTTTCGCCATGTTGGCCAGGCTGGTCTCAAACTCCTGAGCTCAAGCAATCCACGTGCCTCAGCCTCCAAAAGTGCTAAGATTACAGTCGTGAGCCACTGCTTCTGGCCAAGGCCGAGGTCTTAAGAGGCCTCACAGCTTGTTTTTTCTCTCTGGAAGCCAACTGCCATGTAAAGAAGTCCAGCTACACTGCTGGAGAAAAAAGCCCTGCAGGATAAGGGCTAAGGAGAAAGCAAGGAAGGCCCCCGGCCGTGCCGGCTGAGACGTAAGATGTGCGAGTGTGGCCATATTGAGTTCTTGAGTGGCCCCAGTCAACTCCACAGAGAGGGTGCACTGCCACCAAGCCCTCCCACAAACTACAGAAATGTGAGTGAATCAATGGCGGTTGTTTGAAGCCACTAAGTTTTGGGGTAGTCTGTTACATAGCAAGACATAACTGCGACACGCCTCACACAGCACAGGGCCTTCGTAATTTATGCTCGATTCCTTCTGTTGGAAGCCCTTCTGTCAGAGGCCAATGCCTGCCTATCACTCAGATAAAATATTTGGGTCTCACTGCTAGCAGAGTGGCTGGGAATGAGGACAAAGTTGTGCTTGTATTTAATGAATGGCACCCTCTGACCTACCTAAAAGCTTCTGAGAGCGCGGGTGAGAAGCTGGGCCCCTGGCGTGAGCAGGGGAGGGAGCAGAGAGGTACTGAGGGGCGCTTTGTGCGGGTGGGCTTACAGCCAGAGCTCGGGCGCACAGAGCCAATTGTGTGGGCTCCAGGACACTGGAACCTCGGGGGGTAAGAGGAGGAATACAAGTAGCGAGAGGCCTTGGCTAGGGGAAAATTGGAATAATTAACCATTGAGAATGAGCGTCTTCAAAAGAGCTTAATTTTGGGGAAATGAAGAGCTACAGAGAAGCACAAAGAAGTGATTACTTAGAATAGGAACAGAGGATTATTATATGGAGAATAGAGATGGAAGAGAAAGTGCTTAAATACATAAAGCCCCTTTTCCTCCCCCATGACGGGTTATGGTCCCAATCATATTGATAACAGCGAACACTGATGACCACTTACTGTGTCCCAGGTACTATTCTAAGCACTGTCTATTTAATCCTCAAGATGACCCTGAGGGAGGTACTACTGTTCTAGTCTCATTTTATAGATCAGGAAACAGGCCAGTAACACGACCAAGGCCACAGAGTTATGAGGTGGCAAAGCTGGGATTCAAATCCAGGTATTCTGGCTTCACAGTCTGTGTTCTTCATCACCTGTGCTGCTCTTTTTCTTTCTTTCTTTTTTTTTGAGACACAGTCTTGCTCTGTCACCCAGGCTGGAGTGCAGTGGCACGATCTCGGCTCACTGCAACCTCCATCTCCTGGGTTCAAGCGATTCTCCTGCCTCAGCCTCCCAGGTAGCTGGGATTACAGGTGCCTGCCACCATGTCAGCTAATTTTTGTATTTTTAGTAGAGATGGGGTTTCACCATGTTGGACCAGGCTGGTATCGAACTCCTCAGGTGATCTGTCCGCCTCGGCCTCCCAAAGTGCTGGGATTACAGGTGTGAGCCACCGTGCCCGGCCTGCTCTGTCCTTTCTAACGCCAGAGCACTGTCTCATCACACCTCTACAGAGCCTTAATCTCAGCAATTAGACATGGCTTGTGCTGGGGCTAGTAAAATCCACTCCAAGGGGCCCAGCCCTCAGGGGTGGCGACTATTTTGTAGTGTGATGCTCTGGAACAAGATGACCACACGCGCGAGGCACTGCCACAGAAAATCCTCCATGGGCCTGTCCACTACTTTTCTGACAGCCTGGATGCAGCTCCTCCCAGAATAGGCACTCACAACCCTTTAAGAACCTGCCCAGACTTGATGAGGGATAAAAAAAATCAGACTCCAGATCAGCAAGACAGGATAGGGTGTGGGAGGGATGCCTACACCTAAGACACCCTTATCTTTTTTCCATTTCTTCCCAGTTGCTGGGTTCCACATAGAGACATGTGGTGGTCGGGGTGGGGGTGGAGGTTGTTCTTTTTTTTGAGACAGAGTTTCATTCTTGTTGCCCAGGCTTGAGTGCAATGGCGTGATCTCGGCTCCCCACAACCTCTGCCTCCCAGGTTCAAGCAATTCTCCTGCCTCAGGCTCCTGAGTAGCTGGGATTTCAGGCATGCGCCACCACCACGCCTAATTTTGTATTTTCAGTAGAGATGGGGTTCCTCCATGTTGGTCAGGCTGGTCTCGAACTCCCGACCTCAGGTGATCTGCCCACCTCGGCCTCCCAAAGTGCTGGGATTACAGGCATGAGCCACCATGCCTGGCCGAGGGTGTTCTTAACTGGAGGTTTAGTCCAAGTCCCTGAATTTATAGACAAAGACAGCATCCAGAAGAATTACTTGACAAGGTCTCTACCCCTCCCTCAAGTGAGAGAGAGGGTCATCTCTTTTCCCAGGGCTGATATACCACACTGTCTTTCTTCCTGAAGACTGAGGACTGGGGAGGGGTGGGGAAAGGAAGCACGTGCTGTCAGCTTCCGCATTCCTCCTGTCCGCAAGGGAATTCCATACAGCCTCCTTAGCTGAGTCCTGCCACATTTCTTTTGAGCAGGTGTTCAAGTCCCCGGTGAAGCCAGCATCAACAGCCCCCCAGCCTGCTCCTCAGGCTGCCCAGAGTGCCCCAGGAAGTACGCAGAGACAGTCCCAGCTCGACACCCTGAACTTTCACTAGGATTTGGTTTCTAACTTTGTTCCCTCTCTCCCTGGCTAATGAGCCAGCTTCACTGTGAAGGTGCCAGGGATATGAGAATCATCTACATTTATTACCATCCCTTGGATTCTAATCCCAGACATCTAAGGCTTTAAGTGGTCACCGTCTTTCTCCCACCATAAGCTGGGGCTCCAATTCCTATCTTCCTGCCTCCCACTGGGTTCAACCTAGCTCAGTACCCAAGTATGCATGGGATGGGGGACCAGGACTGCGCGGCATGTGATGAACACACACCCTGCCCTCAAAGGTTTACGCGCTGGGGGAGTCCCTCTCACTCTTTGGCACAAACCTTTCACTTTGGTCAGAAGATTCCTGTTCCATGGACACACAGCCTACCCGTGTTGAGTTTTCATCTCTTTTCCACCACTCTGCCTTTCACCTTAAGCCCCAGCATTAGGGAGCCTGTTACAGTTCTGAGATAGTATGCTGTTCCCCCCGCCTTGTTCCTTCCTGGTCTGTCTGGCCAACTGACTCAGCCTCCAAAATCCACTGCCATTTACCGCAGGTTTGCCCTGCTTCTGGACTTTAGTCACATTTCTACACATATTTGTCATGTTATATTGTGATTTATTTAGAGCTTCCCCTTCCTAACTTTGCCCTCTTCCAAGCTTAGACTCAGAGGGCAAGTAGGTTTCATGCTGCGTGTGCTGGGGACTCTCGGCCCCAACAGGGCTCGGAAGCAGGTGGGAAAGTGCATGCTCCTGATGGAACTGGGGGCTAGCCTTCACCTGCTTTATCTTACTACTTATTGGTACATTGTCTTTTCAGGGAAATGAAAAGGCCTTCAGTGTGTTTGGAAGATCTTGTTTTAGAAGACCTTATTTTGGCTGGGTGCAGTGGCTCAGGCTCGTAATCCCAGCACTTTGGGAGGCCGAGGCAGGTGGATCACCTGAGGTCAGGAGTTCAAGACCAGCCTGGCCAACATGGCGAAACCCTGTCTTTACTAAAAATACAAAAATTAGCTGGGCATGGTGGCAGGCGCCTAAAATCCCAGCTACTCGGGAGGCTGAGGCAGGAGAATAGCTTGAACCTGGGAGCCTGAGGCAGCAGTAAGCTGAGATCGTGCCATTGCACTCCAGCCTGGGCAACAGAGCAAGCCTCAGTCTCAAAAAAGAAAAAAAAAAAAAAAAAAGTAAAATGAGGTCATAAGGGTAGATTCTAATCCAATAGGACAGATGGCCTTATAAGAGGAGGCAATAAGGACAGAGGCCAGAGATGGCCATCTGCAAGCCAAGGAGAGAGGCCTCAGAAGAAACTAACCTGCCAACACATCTTGACCTTGGACTTCTAGCCTCCCAAATGTGAGGCACATTTCTGTTGTTTAAGACACCTCATCTGTGGTGCTTTGTTATGGCAACCCCAGCAGACTAATACAACATCTAAAACTGAATTCTTCTCCAAGCCTAAATGGGAAACATGGGAGGGAGAACATCTCATGCTGTCCAAGCAGCAAGTCACCCATGACCCTTCTCCCTGTGTGCCATGTCAACTGGTCACTAAGCGCTGTGACCCAACCCTTTTACTCTTCCCTCCCCCATCTCACTGCTCTGGTCCAAGCATTGGTTTTTCACCTTGATAACTACAACAGCCACTATCCCTCTACGGTACTGTGCCCAGAAATCTATCCTTCTTGCAACTGTCAAGCAATCCTTTAAGGCAAGATTTCCTTTTTTTTTTTTTTGACACGGAGTTTCGCTCTTGTTCCCCAGGCTGGAGTGCAATGGCGCGATCTCAGCTCACTGTAACCTCCACCTCCTGGGTTCAAGTGATTCTCCTGCCTCAGCCTCCTGAGTAGCTGGGATTACAGGCATGTCCCAACAGGGCCAGCTAATTTTTTTTTTTTTTTTTTTTTTTGAGACAGAGTCTCGCTGTCTCGCCCAGGCTGGAGTGCAGTGGCGCCATCTCGGCTGACTGCAAGCTCCGCCTCCCGGGTTCATGCCATTCTCCTGCCTCAGCCTCCCCAGTAGCTGGAACTACAGGCACCCGCCACCACGCCCGGCTAATTTTTTGTATTTTTAGTAGAGACGGGGTTTCACCATGTTAGCCAGGATGGTCTCGATCTCCTGACCTCGTGATCCACCTGCCTTGGCCTCCCAAAGTGCTGGAATTATAGGCATGAGCCACTGTGCCCAGCCATGGCCAGCTAATTTTTTTATATTTTTAGTAGAGACGAGGTTTCTCCATGTTGGTCAGGCCAGTCTCGAACTCCCGACCTCAGGTGATCTGCCCACCTCGGCCTCCCAAAGTGCTGGGATTACAGGCATGAGTCACCGCGCCCGGCCTAAGATTTCTTAATCTCAGCAGTATTGACATTTCTGGCAGGATAATTCTTTGTGGTGTGGGCATGTCTGTTCTGTGCTTTGTAGGACTGAGCCACATCCCTGGTCTCTATATGCGACATGCCAGATCACCCCTACCCGCAGTTGCAACAGTCAAAAACGTCTCTAAACATTGCCAAATGTCCGCTGGAGGGCAAAAGTGTCCCAGGTTGAGAACCACTGCTTTAAGGATGGGTTATCTCTGAATGCAGGCACCTGAATACCACTAAACATTTTATACAGGAGAAAGTTCAAATTTCTTTGCTCCCCACAACGGCCCCCTAACATCTAGAATAATCCATGGCTCATAGTAGGTGCTCAATAAATATTTGAAAAAGAAACCCAAACCAAGGTCATTCACCCCTGTACCTTTTTCTCTAGTTCCTTCCCCTGTTCCAAAGTCCAGCTACAAGCTAGTCGAGATCACCCAAACATAACGTGCTTGCGTTTTCCATATTTTTTCCTGTAACAGTCTCTGTCTTGAACCCTGCCCTGTACCCCAACTCATTGTCAGCATCTGGTGCAAGTGCCAGTCCTCCTGGAAAGCTCCCCTCGTCTTGCCTGAGGCTTCCTGTGGCCTCCAGACACTGTGCATATGTCTCACCCACTCTACTGAGCTTTAAGCAGAGGGAAGACAGAAAAAGAGCAGCTTCCTCACTGCAGGTGGGTGTACTAGTGCAGGACACTGAACGCCTAGAAGCAGCAAGATGAGTCACATCACAGAATCTCAGTTCTGAAGGTGGGGATACAGGGTAGAGCTGAGAATAGCACAAGTCTTCATGAGGGAAAAGTTAGGGCCCAAGACTCTGTCTTTCACTTTACACAAGCAGAATACATCCAACAGAAAACAAGTTTACACCCTGGGACAGTCAAATCTAAAACTCTGGCCTCAGGTACAGCGCAGACTGTAGGCGAGGAACCAGACTGAAAGCCGGGCAGAACTTACTGAGAGTCTGCACTACAGAGAAAAAGAAACAGTCAAGGTCTCCTGTCCCATCTATGCGTTCTTGGGGGTCAGAAACTGTTGGATTTCTAATAGGGACCGGGTACTTTGGAGGTGCCCTGTCTTCTCTTAGGCCACTTCCCCTTAGTTTTCAGTTCTGCATCACCAAAGTAACCACCCTCTCCTCCAAGGACTCCATGGAGCCAGCTGAGCATGGGGACCTGGGTCTTCGGGCAGTTATAAATGGAAGCCAATGGGACCTGCAGGAAGTCATCTAGGTTTAGATCTTGTTATGACCAAGACTGGGACTAGAGTCTATCTGACGCATCCTCCAGTAACAACATCCGTGAGAAAGCCGGCCCAGGAAAGGCAATGCTTACCCATGCTCATGCTTCAAGTAGAATAGAGCTGACCATTGCACAATATGGGTTTGAGAGGCATAGGTCCACTTAGAAGTGGCTTTTTCAATAAAAATTGCATTGAGTGTGCCTGCCTTCCCTTTCACCTCTTCAACCCTCTTTTGCCTCTGCCACCCCTGAGATAGCAACAACTCCTCCTCTTCCTCCTCAAGGTAAAGATGAGGATGAAGACCTTTATAATGATCCATTTCCACTTAACGAACAGTAAATACACTTTCTCTTCCTTATGATTTTTCTCTAGCTTACTTTCTTATAAGAATGTGATATATAATACATTACTAATGTGTTAATTGGTTGTTTATATTATTGGTAAGGCTTCCAGTGAATGGTAGGTTATTAGTTAAGTTTTGGGGCAGACAAAAGTTATACGTGGATTTCTGACTGCACAGGGTCAGCACCCCAACCCCTGTGTTGTTCAAGGGTCAACTGTGCTTGTTAAGACTCCAAGAGTCTCTCAGTTTCAGGTCACAACCCCAAGGCAAGAATTTCTCTTCTCCATCCTCACCCTATCAGAGGTTCCATAGTTTGAAAGGAACCCAGGAAAGGCTCTCCCAAGGGACTGGGCCCTATCTGGGGCTTGGAGGTGGGGAGGTGGGAGTTAAGGTCAGGCAAAGACTGAACAAAAACCCTTCCTGTTTATTTCAAAAGTACAAAAAGAGGGATGGGTCATAGATGAGAACATGACTTACCTTCCATTCTACCTGGGTGCCAGGAGAAGAGGTATGGCAGCTGCTAGGTTATCCAAATAAATCATCGAGCTTGCTACCCCCAGCTTTAACTGACTCATTCTATCTGGTATCTCATCACAGGAGAGTGCTCAGGGCTAGGAGTCCAACCCTCACTGGATGTTCACCTTCCTGTGGCCTGGGGTATGTGCTCAGGGAGGGGTGGTCTCTCTGCATGATGGATTGAACTGCTAATATGTATGAATCCATGGGCCCAGTGAGAGGAAGAGAAGGAAAGAAAACATCAGCTCACTGGTTTCCGGGTGAAGATACCGGCAGAGCAGACCAGGGGCACCTGCCAAACATCAACAGATCCAGATCCGTTAATAGGCACTTTAATTAATTAATTAATTAATTAATTTATTTATTTTTTGGAGACAGAGTTTTGCTCTTGTTGCCCAAGCTGGAGTGCAATGGTGCAATCTCGGCTCACTGCAACCTCCGCCTCCTGGGTTCAAGCGATTCTCCTGCCTCAGCCTCCTGAGTAGCTGAGATTACAGGCATGCGCCACCACGCCCGGCTAATGTTTCGTATTTTTAGTAGAGACAAGGTTTCACCATGTTGGCCAGGCTGGTCTCGAACTCCTGACCTCAGGTGATCCACCCGCCTCGGCCTCCCAAAGTGCTGGGATTACAGGTGTGAGCCACCAGGCCCGGCAACAGACACTTTAATAGAGCAGGTTTCTCCAACCTCTTTCCCTTCCTTCTGTGCCCTTATTCCACCTCTACCCAGTACTAGAGGAACCAGTAGGTTAGCAGTCTCCTAGGAACAGCTTTGGAGAAAGACTCTGGAGTAAAATAGAAAAAATCAACCGCTATAGCAAGGGAGACTTGTCTTGCTTACACGAAAGAAAGGGGGCACAAGTAAGGATACACACCCATGTCAGAGCCACGCTATTAGCGAATTAAGACAAATGACACAGTAGGTTGAGGCCCTTGTCTTTTGGGGACTATGGGGACTGAGGGAAAGGGGGAATACAGCCAAGCAGAAGACTGTCAGACCTCTCTGCTCAGAAATGCAAATACAGAGGAAGATGCTAAAAAAAGGAAGAGGCCCAACATGTGGGGACCAACCAGCACACAAGGCCACAGCCCCTCTGGACCTAAGCATGCAGTTCCATGGTAGGGGCAGTCTGTGACCCTGGGCACTATGCTGTAGGCTCTGGGATTCCCTCCTTTTGGCAAATACCCTCCCAGGGATCAAGGAGCAAGGCTCACAGATGCTGGGAATAAGTCTCTAGATTAACGCTAGTAACCAGTTTCCTGAAGCCAAAGCAAGGCCACAGATGACATTTAGGCAGCCCCAAGGCTCACTGGTGCTTAAGAGAGCAAACACGTGCTAGAATTAAGTGTCCAAAAACCAGAGTAGGTAGTTCCAGGCCAAGAGTATGGGTGGCCCTCGCCTTTCTGGCAGGGGCTGGGTTAGGTTCTGCTCAGTGGCCTTGCCAGGAACAAAGCCTGGCTCCATGGAGATTCTCTGTGGTTTAAGAATACATAAGCTTGCAACCTCTCCTGGCTGAGGGGACTTTAAGCACATTATTTAAAAGCAGCCTGGCCAGGCGAGGTGGTTCATGCCTGTGATCCTTGCACTTTGGGAGGCTGAGGTGGGCGGATCACCTGAGATCAGGGGTGTGAGACCAGCCTGGCCAACATAGTGAAACCTCATCTCTACTACAAATACAAAAATTAGCCAGGGATGGTGGCGCATGCCTGTAATCCCAGCTATTCAGGAGGCTGAGGCAGAAGAATTGCTTGAACCTGGAAGGCAGAGGTTGCAGTGAGCTGAGATCACGCCACTGCATGCCAGCCCGGGAGAGAGAGTGAGACTCTGTCTCACAAAAAAAAAAAAAAAAAAAAATAGCTGGGCACAGTGGCTCACGCCTGTAATCCTAGCACTTTGGGAGGGTGAGGAGGGCAGATTGCCTGACCTCAGGAGTTCGAGACCAGCCTGGGCAACATGGTGAAACCCTGTCTCCACTAAAATACAAAAAATTAGCCAGGAGTGGCAGTGTGCACCCATAGTCCCAGCTACTCAGGAGGCTGAGGTAGGAGAATCGCTTGAACCCAGAAGGCGGAGGTTGCAGTGAGCTGAGATCGTGCCACTGCACTCCAGCCTGGGCGACAGAGTGAGACTCCGTCTCCAAAAAAATAAATAATAATAAAATAATAATAAAAGCAGCCTCCTTGAACCTGGACTGTTCCAGAAGGGGCCATTTGTTTAGTCATTAGCTTCTGCCAGAACCTTTTACTAATAAATTGATCTCTGACACCACATGTGAGCAGATATGCCTAAGCCTCTAAAACAACAGTTCCTAATTTCCTCATTAGGAACTCCGTTGAGAATAAGAGATACGGATCTTCTTGCCTAAAAGTCTCATAGGCACTTTTAAGATTTACTTCATAGCCAGGCATGAGGTAGTGCCTGTAGGCCACCACATGGGGAGGCTGAGGCAGGAGGATGGCTTGAGCCCAGGAGTCCAAGGCTGTAGCATGCTGTGACCACATCTGTGAGAATAACCACTACATTCCAGCGCATGCAACACAGCGAGACCCTGTCCCTTAAAGTAAGTTGTTTCGTATCTTCATAGTCCCAGGCTGGAGACCACTGTTTTTTTTGGAATCCTATTTCTTGGACCCTGCGTTTGTAAGGCATCAGGACAGAGCCCTCAAGTCTAAGATGGCTGCTGCGGAGAGGCCTGTGAAGGCAACCTCTACTGCCCTCTCTTGGCCATCAGGCGGGAGGAGTGGTTAGACGTGCTTGATTCCTTGTGGCACTGAAGTCCTGCAGTTTCTGCCCCGGAATGCTGGGGGCAGATAAACTTTCGGCAGCTTTCATTAGAATCTCTAGAAAGCTTACTCTTCCTCGAACTGGGCTGGAGACAAGGGGGTACACATAGGGACCCCTGTGAAGTTGAAGTACCACAGCCTGGGTGCTGAACCGGCGAAGGCGTGTCAGGGTGGTCCGCTCACACAGGAGGGAAGCAGTGCCAATCCTCCACTAGACATGCCCTGGCTGGAGGCCCTAGCAGCAGAGGCCACCCTGCCCTTCAACTTAGAAAGACATTAAAGGAAGCTGAGAAGCTTAAAGATGGCCCACTGCCTGGGCAGAATTCCACAGAGTTCCACATCGCTTGCAATATCCATTGTATTTGTAGGGGGTCAGGGAACAGTGGAATGAGATACACACACAACTGTGGTGCGAGAGACCAGGTGTTACAGGTGCCAGGACCCCTAGAACTCCTCATGCTCATCCTCGCTGTCCAAAGATTCTGTGCCTACTTCATAATCCTTCTCCAGGGCAGCCAGGTCCTCTCAGGCCCAGAGAGCTCACCTTCCTCCATGCCCCTGTCCACATAACAGTGCATAAATGCCCGCTTGGCATACATCAGGTCAAACTTTTGGTTGAGGCGGGCCCAGGCCTCAGTGATGGCTGTGGTATTGTTTAGCACGCAGACTGCCCGCTGCACCTTGGCTACAGCACCCCCGGGCACCACTGTGGGGGACTGGTAGTTGATGCCAACCTAAGAAAAAACAAAGAAGTATAAGCGCCTGGTTCTGTGTTTCCTGGAAGGGTCTGTACAGGGATCCCTGGAACTAGGGAAGGGGCATTTGTCAACTTGTAAGAAACAAAGAGGAAGATGATCACCACCACAAGGAAACAAACAAGTCTAGAATGAGGGAGCTTCTGCAAGACAAGACTAGTGCCTTCAAAGTCAGTCAAGAAAAAGGGGGCCGGATGCGGTGGCTCACGCCTGTAATCCCAGCACTTTGGGAGGCCGAGGCGGGTGGATCACCTGAGGTCATGAGTTTGAGACCAGCCTAGCCAACATGGTGAAACCCTGTCTCTACTAAAAATACAAAAAATAGCCGGGTGTGGTGGCGGGCGCCTATAGTCCCAGCTACTCGGGAGGCTGGGGCAGGAGAATTGCTTAAACCCAGGAGGCGGAGGTTGCAGTGAGCTGAGATCACGCCACTGCACTCCAGCCTGGGTGACAGAGTGAAGCTCCGTCTCAAAACAACAACAACAACAAAACAAAACAAAAAACAGGGTCTCGCTCTGTTGCTGAGGCTGGAGAGGGGGGTGCAATCATAGCTCACTGCAGCCTAAACCTCCTGGACCCAGGTGATCCTCCCACCTCAGCCTTCTGAGTAGCTAGAACTATAAGTACACACTAGCAAGACTGGCTAATTTTTTAAAATATTTTGTACAGATGGAGTCTCACATTGCCCAGGCTGGTCTCAAACTCCTGGGCTCAAGCCATCCTCCCACCTCTGCCTCCCAAAGTGCTGGATTACAGGCCTGAATCACTGCACCCAGCCCAGAATATATAATACATTTTAGTGTTTCTCATCCTCAAAAAAAAAAAAAAAAAAAAAAAGTCAACTTCCCATTAGTGTCTCTAGGGACAACAAGCTGACCATGTCCTAAAGGCAGCCTATTCTTCCCTTAAGCAGCTAAAGATCTTCCTAATATGGAGGCAGAAACAGTCTGTTTCCCAGATAGCCTACCCCTCATTTCCATTTCTGAGCTACAGGACAACTCTTCCACACTAGCAAGCAGCTATTATTCCTGCCTGTCCTCCTGTTGTGGTCATGTCCACAGCAGTGTCATGGGGCAGGAAAGCTATATATGTTTTCTTTTTTTATTTTTATTTTTTTGAGACGGAGTCTTGCTCTGTTGCCCAGGCTGGAGTGCAGTGGCGCGATGTTGGCTCACTGCAAGCTCCGCCTCCCGGGTTCACGCCATTCTCCTGCCTCAGCCTCCCCAACAGCTGGGACTACAGGGGCATGCCGCCATGCCCAGCTAATTTTTTTTGTATTTTTAGTAGAGACGGGGTTTCACCGTGTCAGCCAGGATGGTCTCGATCATCTCCTGACCTTGTGATCCGGACACCTCGGCCTCCCAAAGTGAGCCACTGCGCCCAGCCGCTATATATGTTTTCTAATGCCACAGCTGCCATCTTTAATCTTTCTGGAGTCTTATCCCACAACAAAACCCAAAAAACAAACTAGGTCATATGCCCAGCACCCTGGGAAGGTCAACTGATAACAGGGTGGGGCATAAATGCGTGCTTCTTCCTTATTACCGCAAAAGGAAGAGAACGCATCCAGACGCAGAACACAAGAAGCCTCTGACCTTCTGATCCGCACTTTCCCCATCATCTGATAATGGGCCTCTCTGGCTTCTGAAAGCCTTCCCTTCTGAGCAGGAGCCTATAGCACGTGGTTATGTCCCTAGCACAAGTGACAAGGAGGCCATTCTCCCCATGTGACTGGCAGCCCTAGGGAACGCCTTTTTACCAGGCTAAGTAAGATGAAATTGATACTTTTCCTTTCATCAAGGCAATCTTTCAAGTAGAACCCACGCTGGCTTACAGTCCAAAGGCCTGGCTTCTAGACCAGCTGAGACCTATCCAGTTAAAGGAATCCTCTAGCGGGGCACAGTGGCTCACACCTGTAACACTTTGGGAGGCCATTGTAGGTGGATCACCCATGCGCAGGAGTCTGAGACCAGCCTGGGCAATATGGTGAAGCCCCACCTCTCCAAAAAAATACAAAGTTAGCAGGGTGTGGTGGCACAAACCTGTGGTCCCAGCTACTGAGGAGGCTGAGACAGGAGGACTGCTTGAGTGCAGGAGGTCGAGGCTGCAGTGAGCCAAGATGACGCCAGTGTACTCCAGCCTGGGTGACAGTGAGATCCTGTGCATTTGTTCCTCACACCTCCTCTGCAGGAAGCTCCCGTCTTAGCAGGTACACAGGCCATGTGCTAACTGCCCTTTACCCCCACTTGCCTTGAAACCTGTGGGACACGTCCGCAAAACAAATATTTGCTTGGTTTTAATGGTGGCAATGGTGGCATTCTCGTCCTTGGGCACCACTTCTCCACAGTAGAGCAGGCAGCAGGCCATGTACTTGCCGTGGCGAGGGTCACACTTGGCCATCTGATTGGAGGGCTCAAAGTAGACACTGGAGATCTCTGCCACTGAGAGCTGCTCATGGTAGGCCTTCTTAGCTGAGATAATGGGTGAGTAGGTCACCAGGGGAAAGTGGATGCGAGGGTAGGGCACCAGATTGGTCTGGAACTCTGTGAGGTCCACGTTGAGGGCACCATCAAAACACAAGGAAGCAGTGATGGAGGACACAATCTGGCTGATGAGCCAGTTCAGGTTGGTATAGGTAGGGCGCAGGTTGTGGCAGCAGAGATCATAGATGGCCTCGTCTACCATGAAGGCAGTCTGAGTGCTCCAGGGTGGTGTGGGTGGTCAAGATAGAGTTATAGGGTTCTACAACTGTCATGGACACTTGGGGGACTGGGTAGATAGCAAATTCCAACTTGAGCCAGTGCCATCCCCAAAACTATGGAAGATCAGGAAGCCCTGAAGCATGGTGCACTGGTCTGTCTGGAGCAGGCAATAACATCATTAAGGATGTAGATGGCATGTCACCCGTCCCAACCCTCTTCTCCTGAGGAAGCTTCTGTGTTGAAAGCTACTATTACCTAACTATACTTGCATTCACTTCTGTATTTTAGAAAGACTTTGAAGTATAGTTTATACTTAAGTGTGTGCATCTTTTGGACATACAATGAATGATTTGACATGCGTAGACACCTATATAACCAAACCAACAGAGATACAGAAATTCCCATCACCCCGAGAAAGTTCCTTTGTGTCCTTTTGCTTCGCCTCCATAGAGGTGAAAAAAGATCACCTGTCCAGGTGTGGTGGTTCACACCTGTAATCCCAGCACTTTGGCGTACCAAAGTGCTGGGATGGCAACACCCCATCTCTACAAAAAAATACAAAAAGTATCTGGGTGTTGTGGTGTGCACCTGTAGTCCCAGCTACTCAGGAGGCTGAGGCGGGAGGACCACTTGAACCCAGGAGGTAGAGGTTGCAGTGAGCTGTGACTGCACCACTAGTGGCATTCCAGCCTAGGCGACAGAGCAACTCTCTCAAAAAAGAAAAAAAAAAAAAAGATCACCTACAGGAGGTTTGGAGTTCCTAGGGAAAAGATGACTTGGAAAGGCAGTGTTGTGCATACGCAATGGTAGGGATGAGGAAGGACGGATGATTTGCACTCAGAGAGCCAGGCCCTCTCTGTTTTGTTGCCCTGCCCCCTAGTTACAGCAGAGTGGGAGTGGTGGTGGCATCCTGTTGAACATACAGATTACCAGGCCTCACCTCAGACTGGAACCCAGGAACCTGCAGCTTTAAAAAGTACCCCATGTGATGCTGATACAGCTGTTTCTTGGGTAAGAAAATCATCAGTCTATACCAGACACATGGTAGTGACAGTATAAAAGAAGTCTACCCCTAGGAGGTATTTTATTTTCATTCTTGAGGAAGGGAGCACAGAATCCTACTCCTCAGGTCACTTCCAAGTCCTCAGTCTCTACCGAGCAGCAGAGAGTATGTCTAGGCAATCCCCCTACAGCAACAGGGCCAAAGTCCTGGCTCACAGGCAGCCTCACTGGTGGTTCTCAATGCCTCGGATAGGGGAAGGGTGAACTGGTGAAATGGTTGAGTGCTAAACAGGAGCCCCTCCCACCTGGACAGATCTGCATAGGAGTCTAAGAACAACAAGCTGAGCTGCTGTAGAGATGGATCAAAGGTCAAAGAAGGCTTGGATCAGACAGACCTGGCAAAGCGAGGAACCATCAGGGCAGAAGCTTGAGTCCACAAACTCAAGGCAGAGCAGTTTATTCAGGCTTCCAACCCTAGATCCGTACCCAGGACAGAAAACACATATCCCCTTAAGAGAAGCTGAGTGGACTGACAGGCTGGAGGAATGATGTCAGGTACCAGCACAGGCTGTGGTTGCCTCCCAGCCAGGAAGAGGGTTAAGGATGCAACGACCTCCTGTAGGTGCCAGAGGCCTGCTCACCAGTTTTCAGATTCACTCCAGCACCAAATCGATGATCTCCTTCCCCGCAGTGTAGTGGCCACGGGCACAGTTGTTGGCAGCATCTTCCACGCCAGATATCAGCTGTTCAGGGTGGAACAGCTGCCTATAAATGTCAGTTCTTACCCCATCTTGAGGGGAAGAAAGGACAAAGGTAAGACAAGCTGGTTCATTCCCCAAGGGAACGCCAGACACCAGAACCTTTGCTGCTAAGCCTCCCCAGGTACAACTGCTCAACAGAGTGATGATGCACGGCATCTTCTTTTTCTTTTCTTTCTTTTTTTTTTTTTGAGACAGAGTTTCACTCTTGTTGCCCAGGCTGGAGTGCAATCACGCGATCTTGGCTCACCACAGCCTCTGTCTCCCGGGTTCAAGCGATTCTCCTGCCTCAGCCTCCCGACCAGAGACCCACTTCTAAGGCCAGGTCCTGCCTGGGCTTGAGACGGGGAGAGCAGGTGGCACCTTCAGTGGTCCCTTCCCTCTACAGCGACTTCATTGTGCTAGGTGAGGAATCAGAGTGGTGTTAAGGAGAATCTCACTTCACTTTCGAATAGGGTAAGAATACAGACTAATGTAAATTTTCACCATGGAAAAAGAAAAGAAAAAAAAAAGAATACAGACTAATGAAGAAACCCAGTGCACCATTTAACATCTAAAATAACAGCTTTAAAAAATGGAGGAGGGGTAGAATTGTCACGATTAGAAAACAGAGGAGATCCAGATGCAGAAGGGAGGAAGCAGGAAAGCCTCCGGAAGCCAGCAACAGCCAAGTTCACATAGGCCCACATCCTACGTGGGGGGGGCCTATTTCAGTTAAGGCTAAGCAGGAGGCCAGTATGAATGTTCTTGGCTCCCTGCTTCTTACGCAATGGGCCACCCTCAAGAGTCTGAGGACAGGGAAAAGCAAGTTTTAAATTTCTGCTTTTACATCTGCTCCTTTCTGCAGTCTGCGTTCTAGGCCTGATCCCTGACTCCTATCTGGCAGTTTCCTGGCAGAGTTGTGCGAATGATCTTCCTCTCAATATAGGAAGCCCCCAGGACCTCTTCTGAGGACAGAGTCTAGACAAAAGCAATAGACTTCAGACTTCAATGCTGTTCATGGCAGGGGACTGCTTCCATCTCAAGTATTTTCCCCTTAAGCAGAGCTCCCATCTGACATTGGCGCTAGCAAAAACTATGGCCTGGGGGAAGGAGCCCCCACTCCTCCGTCCACTCACCTATGACAGCAGGCTCCAGGTCCACAGACAGCCCAGGACACATGCCTGCCAGGCTGGGTCTCCCTGAAGAAGGTGTTGAAGGAGTTATCACTGCTCCCCAGGGCCTTGTGGCTGGGCATGGTGCCACTGGGCTGGATGTCGTGCTCCAGGCAGTACAGCTCCCAGCAGGCATTGCCCATCTGCACTCCGGCCTGGCCCACATGGATGGAGATGCACTCACACTGTGAGGGTGAGCAGAGGAATATGCCAGGGCATGAGTGGTGTGGAGTGAAAAGGTGGGGACTTGAAAAGCCTTCCCTGGGAGCACCCCTTGTCTTTCCTCCCTAAAGGCTGAAGCTTAGTGTTACCTAGTCCAAAGTTCAGACGACTGGCCGGGTGCAGTGGCTCATACCTATAATCCCAGCACTCTGGGAGGCCACGGCAGGCAGATCACCTGAGGTCAGGAGTTCGAGATCATCCTGGCCAACACAGTGAAACCCCACCTCTACTAAAAATACAAAATTAGCCGGATGTGGTGGTGGGCGCCTGTAGTCCCAGCTACTCAGGAGGCTGAGGCAGGAGAATCACTTGAACCCGGGAGGCAGAGGTTGCAGTGAGCCGAGATCACAACACTGCACTACAGCCTAGGCGAGAGAGCAAGACTCCATCTCAAAAAACAAACCAAAAAACCAAAGTCCAGAAGACTCGGTTCTCTTTCCAAGCCTTCCCATACTTTAAGCCAAACCACCTTCAGGCCCTCATTTTCCTTCATTCACTCAGAGCTTAAGAAGGTGGTTATGCCTAGGTCTCTGGGGCAGGAACTAGAGAAAGCCAAAACCAAATAGCCAAATCCCACTGCACAGTGTCCTCCCTGCTGTTTGGGGTGCCTTGGGAAAGCTCAGAGTCCTGTATTCCAAGACAGGCCCACCAAGAGCTTCTAGATTCAAGCACTGGGGCCTAGAAGAGGAGGTCTCCCATGGGCAGCAACTGTCTCCCCCACATCCCAAAAGGGCAGAAGACTAAGTTCAGACCTGTGGATCAACTGAGGAAGCAGCCTTGGAGTTAGAGCTAGCCTTCTGAAAGCTCACCCACAAACTCCCCTTTTGGGGGGACAGGCACCTACTCTAGACACCTGTCCCTGCCAACTGCAGTACAGGCAAGCTAATCCAAGTCAGTACTCCTAAATTAAGCGTCGCAGCGGAGACCAGAAGACCCACCCTACCTTTCGACTCTTTTCACTCAGGTAACTCCTATGATGGATAAACCCTTCCTCCCTTCTTCTGGTCCTTCACCCAACCCACGGTCTAGGGGGTCAATTTAAAAGGGCCGAGCACCTCCCAGATGTAGAAGGGATCTTCTAGGGTGACAGTAGGCAACAGTTTAACAGTCTTAGGAACTACCCTCTAAGACAGCCTCAGAGCCTTTAAGGGGGCTCAGAGCACAGGCAGGGATCAAGAGGTTTCCGGGGGGTACAGGGACCTCTGTGTACCCACCCCAAGTTCTCAGGCTTTTTTTTTTTTTTTTTTTTGCTTTGATTTCTTTGAGACCGAGTTTCGCTCTTGTTGCCCAGGCTAGAGTGCAATGGCGGGATTTCCGCTCAACGCAACCCCAGCCTCCCAGGTTCAAGCGATTCTCCTGCCTCAGCCTCCCGAGTAGCTGGGACTACAGGCATGCGCCACCACGGCTGGCCAATTTTGTATTTTTAGTAGAGACGGGTTTCTCCATGTTGGTCAGGCTGGTCTCGAACTCCCGACCTCAGGTGGTCCGCCCGCTTCGGCCTCCCAAAGTGCTGGGATTATAGGCGTGAGCCACCGCGCCTGGCCAGTCAAGTTCTCAGTTTTAACAGAGGGACCTCAAGTCCTTGGGCACCAAACAGGAGAAAAGTGGAGTCAAGAACATTCTTTTCAAGGCCCCAAGAGCTTACAGGAATCCCTAGTCAAGTATGGGGCCAAAGGGCGAGGACCTCTACCTCTGGCCAGAGTCGGGCGCCCAAGACAAAGACATTCAGGGGAACAGGTTTTGAACTGGAGAAACCTGTTAGAGCTTCCCAATCATCCTGGACCTTGCCTCCTGCGCGGCAATGTGATCTCAGAGGGAGGCGGGGACCGCAGCTACAAGCGGGCACCTCTTTGTCCAGGACCGCAGCGGGAGAAATACGGGGCGGGCCCTAGATCCCCTCCAGGCTCCAGAGCGCGCTCTGCCGCAGAGCCGACTCCGCTGCCCGACCTTGAGCGCAGCGCACAAACGACCCCACCATGTTCTCGCCCACGCTTTACCGCTCGCCAGCCTCCCTAGTCCCTCAGCGCTTCTGGGGCGCTCAGAACGTTTCTAGCTCGCACCGCCTCCCGTAGGGGAAGCAGGGTAGAAAAGTGGTGCCGGGACTCCTCGGGCGTCCCCGGGCTTTCTGCAGAGCCCACCTTCGCCCTGAACGCCCAAACACCCCTGGCATCCCCGCGCAGCCCACCCCACACCCTGGACTGCCGGGGCGCCCTTCCGTTTTGCGCTGCGGGCCCTTCCCACCGACCCCCCGTGCGCCCCCGGCATCCTCCCCATCGTGCGACACCCTCCCCCGCACAGCATCCTTCACCATGGTTGATCCAGTAGTTGAAGTTGGAGGGTCGCTGACTGCAGACACCATACGGGTCTCCAGCAACACCACGAATCCCAACGCGCGGTTGCTGGCGGGACCTTATAAATCCCCGGAGAGCCGCCGGTTGTGTCTCCTGGCGGGGACTCCCATTGGGTCGCAGCTGGACAGAGATCGGATCGTCCCCCGCGCGACTCTCACTGGGCCAGGCCCCCACCGAGGCCCGCCCCTCTCTCCGCTATTGGCCAGCCGCTTACGAAACAGCCCCGCCGCAGCGGTCATTGGGCAGTTGGTAAAGCCAAAGGGAGGCAGAGTCGGGCGTCCGCGTCCTCCCGGCCAGCTCGACCGTCTTCTCTATTGGGGTGAGTGCTGGGTCTACGAGGTGGAATCTTTGGGGGAAACACCCTCATTCTGTTTTAGTTTTAGGACTTTGCACCAGTGACACCGCTGACCTGATTCGAAAAGTGTGTCGGCCTTGGAGAAGGGTGCATACTTAAGTTCAGCAACCACTGCAGAAGGAAAGATGCTGTGATGAGAACCGACTGCTGGGAGTTTCCAGAGCGGGACAAAATGCGGCTGGGGTGGGTAGGATAGGCAAACAGGCATGGGAAAGGACATTGCAGGCGCCGGTAGTTGACGTTTACTTCCCTTTTGACCGGAGCAACTGCTCAGGTTCAGGTGACTCGGGTTCCTGCAAGAGCAAGGGGTCCGGGCTGGCCAAAGCAGACTGAGGAGGGCCTGTAGGGTGGAGGTGAAAAGGAGGCGTGGGGCCTTCAATGCTAGGCTGGAGAGCTTGCATATAATTTCCCTGGCATATAATTTCAAACCATCGAGGGGTTTTGAGCAGAGGAGTGATGTGATCACTGCAGCATTCTGAGCAGTACTTAGATGTTACTTGTGCATTATTTTTTTCCAGTGGTGGTTTCATATTGTTCCATGCTAAAGAGCATTCACATACTTTTCCCTTTTTCCAAACTTTTCCTTAGCTGAGACGTTTTACTTCGAAATATCTAAGTGTAACAAATTAGCTCCTTTCTTTTTGGGAGGGTTAATTGGTGTTTGGTTTATCAAATGATTGGCCACCCCGCCCAGTGATTACCCTTAGTATTTGTGAGGCACATTCCGGAGGAACCCAAAGCATCGCCATCTCCTCTTCATCCCCACTTCCCAGTGGACAGGTGATTGCATCCAGTTTGTATAGAATCAGGCTTGGAGACTTGAATTACCTGAGGAAAATCTGCAGCTGATATGACTTTCTGCTGATAGAACTCAGGAAGACCCTGTCACTGGCCATTGTGACATCAGACCAGCTGTCCCCTGGATGCCTGCACCCATTTTTACACAAGACTCTAGCCATGTCATTCAAAACTTTCCTGAAATGTTTTGAAACGAAATGCTTGGTCAGGTGACTCAAGAAGGTTTAAGTCCAGAGTGCAGAGGTTAACTTCAAAGTCTGTAAAGTATTCTTTGGTCTCAATCCTTGTTAATGGGCTTCATGAGGCTGCCAGCTCTAAAGTAGACGCCTCTGGTTAGGGGATAAGGTGAGAGAATGTGGGCAAACATCCAAATAAGTGCTTTGAAACCTCATGTATATAGAGTTAAGACACGGCTATTCATTGGCTGTCACTACCCCTAGCAAAACAACTCAAATGTTGCATTTGAGTTGTTGCCTTCGACTGAAGGCAGGCCTATCAATGATTAAAATAAAGCTACCTAGTAATAAACTCAAAACATCATAAACTCAACACTATCATCTCTTGCTTGCCTCACCTCATGAAGCACTCATTCCACCTGCTGGTAGAGTCAGCCAGTTAAAAATGTCTTTCCATTCCTGAGTTGACTCTAACCCAGGGATTATAAATACATTTGAAACAGTGACATTCAGTGTTATTTATGGAAGCTGCACAATCCCCCATCCCCGCCATTGGCAGTGCACTTCTTTACATCAAACTGATGAAAACTAATCCTCTTATAAGCTGTTTGGAGTTATTTCTATTATCCAGACTGCCTTCTATCTTAGAGTTTTATTTCTAACTTTTCCTCCTCCTCTACTCTATATCACCCTACTTAACTCCTTTGCCATTACAGGCACACCATTTTCACATACCTCTTCAGGAATTTAAAATATTCCAAAATTCAAAGAGTCTCATTGTTGCTGGAAAAAGGGGTCCAATCCAGACCCCAAGAGAGGGTTCTTGGATCTCACGCAGGAAGGAATTCAAGGCGAGTCACAGAGTGCACAGTAAGAGGTAGTTTATTGAAAGCTACTCAGTTACAGAGTAAGGTGTCCTTAGAAAGCAAGAGGAGGAACGTGCCATCCCTGTTTTAAACTCTTCTTATGTAGGGGTCTTAACCATGTTAAAGCTAAGTTATGTCTACATGCTGGTGGGCTGACAGCATGACAATTTAGGAGTTTGTTGATTGAAAGAAAGTTATCCTTGGCATTTGAGTGTGTAAGTACCTCAAAGCATGATTATAACTATCTTAAAACCATATATTATTACTCAATGTCAGGACATCTGGACATTCTGCTGTCATAGGAGTTTGTCCTCGCAGGCATTACTAAACTGCTCCCTTAGCCAAAACATCTTATGGCCACGGGTGGTGACTGGCAAGGAATATGCCTTGCTGGTTTTAGATGGAGTTGTTTTTTTTTTTTTTTTTGAGACAGAGTCTCGCTCTGTCACCCAGGCTGGAGTGCAGTGGCGTGATCTCGGCTCACTGCAAGCTCCGCCTCCCGGGTTCACGCCATTCTCCTGCCTCAGCCTCCTGAGCAGCTGAGACTACAGGCGCCCGCCACCACACCCAGAGAATTTTTTGTATTTTTAGTGGGGACGGGGTTTCACTGTGTTAGCCAGGATGGTCTTGATCTCCTGACCTCGTGATCCGCCCGCCTCAGCCTCCCAAAGTGCTGGGATTATAGGCGTGAGCCACCGTGCCCGGCCCCTAGATGGAATTGTTTTTTAAAATGGTATCAACCTGGCTCTCCTATGCTCCTATTTCCCTAACATAATCCTCGATTTATAAGAGATCTCTTAATCTTAAGGAGAGATGAGGTGTGAAGGTCATTCTTCTGTAACTTCTTCTTGCTGATTTTATGGGCATAAGATTGGAGAAGTAAAAATTATCTGTTTGCCCCATCTATGGGCCCAAAGGTGTCTTTATTTCCTGGGTCAGAAAATGGGATGGGCTGGAAGCCTTGTGCCAGCATTATGTAGAATTGTAATCTAGAAGACACAAACTTCACTAGGAGTTAAACAAGTAAGGTGCTAAGATTGGTAATAACCAGACAGCTATCAAAGGTCCTAAGAAGGGCAAAAAAAACAGTGAGACTCAGGAGGGAGCATCTTTTTGAGATGGAGTCTTGCTCTGTTGCCCAGGCTGGAGTGCAATGGCATGATCTCAGCTCACTGCAACCTCCACCTCCTGGGTTCAAGCAATTCTCTGCCTCAGCCTCCCAAGTAGCTGGGATCACAGGTGCCTGCACCACACCTGGCTGATTTTTTTTTTCAATCAATTTAGAAAGTTTATTTTGCCAAGGTTGAGCACACACTCATGACATGACACAGCCTCAGGAGGTTCTGACAACACGTGCTAAAGGTAGTCGGGGCACAGCTTGGTTTTATACATTTTGGGGAGACATGAGACATCAATCAATATGTGTAAGGTGTACACTGGTTCAGTCTGGAAAGGCGGGACAACTCGAAGTGGGGGCTTCCAGGTCATAGGTAGATAAGAGACAAAAGGCTGCATTCTTTTGGGTCTTTGATCAGCCTTTCACTGAATACACAATTTATATGGAGTGGGGAGTAAAGGAATAGTCACGCTGATGCCTTAGTCTGGCTCAGTGGATCTGCATTTTTGCATAAACAATAGGGCAGAAGAAGCAATCAGACGTTCATTTGTCTCAGGTGAGCAGAGGGATGACTTTGAGTTCTGTCCGTTGTCCTGCACCTGAGAACTGGGCAGCCTCGTCCTGAGCATGACGGAGAAGGGGACCTGGGGCTAGGGAATCCCTGATTCAATCATGCCACTCCCCAGGAGACGTTCGGAGCCCAGGACATGTCGGGAATGAGGAGATACGAGGTGGCCGATTTTTTGTATTTTTAGTAGAGACAGGGTTTCACCATGTTGGCCAGGCTGGTCTTGAACTCCTGATCTCAGGTGATCCACCTGCATTGGCCTCCCAAAGTGTTGGGATTACAGGCGTGGGCCACCATGCCTCGCCACAAGGGCACTTTTAATGGTTGATCAGTTAAGACATGGCCTGTCACTATTCATTGCCTGTCACTACCCCTAGCAAAACAACTCAAATGTTGCATCCAACTGAAGGCGGGCATATCAATGATTAAAATAAAGCTACCTAGTAATGAACTAGGGATTGATGTCTTGGTTATATTTATGCAACCAGGCAGTTTGTTCATATATTTTCTGTAGATCTTCTTCTATTTGACTGGAGGTGTTTACACGAGTGCAGCAGGGTTTATTGATTATAGTGCAAATACTCCCCCTTGTTCAACCAATAAGTAATGTAGTGCTAATCTATTATCCATTGCTATATTTGCTAAGGAATCAAGGAAGAGTTTTGATTTATCTAAAGCCTCCCCCATTTTATAAGACAGTCTGTAGAATGAAGTAAAGTTTTGAAGAGTTGTCTTGGGATAGGCAAATTTTCCCTACGGGGCCAATAAACCACTGGCAGCCCCAACTCCAGCCAATATAAGGCCAGCTGCCTGCTTAGCTCTCAGGTGAGTGATGTTATGTAATTATATATTAAAGAGCTTTGCTTGTTCTATTATACATTGACCCCCGAACCAAACATTATCAATACACTGTGTATCCATGGGTTTCCATGATCCCAAATGAGAGACAAGTTATTTATAGGCTGATTGAATGGATGACCACATAGCCACAGGTATAATCCGTTGGGGGTGCAAACCTGTATGGGATGGGAGTTGTTAAGAAGGTTGAGTACCTGTAGGAGGGACTGAGGATGTTACTTATCTCTTTCTTTGCAAAACAACAGCTTTAGATCTTCTAGGGGTTCACAAGTGTAGGTTGTGGTGTCTTTCTCAGGTGCCTGTGGGGACTTGTAAAAAACAGGTTTAATCTTGGACAGGTGTACTCAGCTAGTGAGTCCCCGAGGCTTAACAGCAGTGGGGGTGCCGTGCTTAACAATACTCCCCAATAAGGGCCCTTTCATTTTAGTTGTAATTGATTTTGGGGAGATCCTCCTTTCCAAGGTTTTTTTTTTTTTCTTTTTTTTTTTTTTAACAGAGTCTTCCTCTGTCACCCAGGCTGGAGTACAGTGGCATGATCTTGGTTCACTGCCACCTCCATCTCCCAGTGCAAATGATTCTCCTGCCTCAGCCTCCTGAGTAGCTGGGATGACAGGTACCCACCACCACACCTGGCTAATTTTTGTATTTTGAGTAGAGACGGGGTTTTGCCATGTTGGCCAGGCTGGTCTTGAACTCCTGACCTCAGGTGATGCACCCACCTCAGCCTCCCAAAGTGCTAGGATTACAGGCGTGAGCCACTGTGCCCAGCCTTCTTTCCAAGTTTTTAATAAGACTAAGTCTCCTGGTTGAATAGGGGAGCTACGAATATTTATGGCAGTGGCCTGCCTGACACAGGTATATTGAACAAACATGCATGTAACATATGACTCTGTTTACGTTGCGGTGAAGACTTAACCCCACACCTGGTCATAGATCCTGTTTATAGTTTGATATCTTATTGCCATAAATAATCTGTTCTGTAAGTTTTATGATTTCTATTTTAATGTTAATGCTGGCCAGTTGTATCTGAATCCCAAGAGGGGAAATGTGTAGTGAGGTATGTCTGACCCCCAGCTTCCCATCATAACCTGAACTAGTTTTTCAGGGTATTTTTTTTTTCTTTGAGATGGAGTCTTGCTCTGTTACCCAGGCTGGAGTGCGGTGGTGTGATCTCAGCTCACTGCAAGCTCCACCTCCTGGGTTCACGCCATTCTCCTGCCTCAGCCTCCTGAATAGCTGGGACTACAGGCGCCCGCCACCACGCCCGGCTAATTTTTTGTATTTTTAGTAGAGACCGGGTTTCGCCATGTTAACCAGGGTGGTCTCGATCTCCTGACCTCGTGATCCACCCGCCTCGGCCTCCCAAAGTGCTGGGATTACACGTGTGAGCCACCACACCTGGCCTTTTTCAGGGTATTTTTAAAATTCTCTTTGGCCAAGAGGGGGGTCTGCTCTGTTGGGGGGCTTAGGGTTTTATTTTTTAGTTTATATTCCTCCTTTTTTGTCAAGGTATGCCAGAGGCAGTATTAAAAAATGAACCAGGCTGGGCACAGTGGCTCATGCCTCTAATCCCAGCATTTTGGGAGGCTGAGGCAGGTGGATTACCTGAGGTCAGGAGTTTGAAACCAGCCTGACCAACATGGTGAAACCCCGTCTCTACTAAAAATACAAAATTAGCTGGGTGTGGTGGCGCATGCCTGTAAGCCCAGCTACTAGGGAGGCTGAAGCAGGAGAATCACTTGAACCCAGGAGACGGAGGTTGCAGTGAGCCAAGATCACACCATTGCACTCTAGCCTGGGTAACAAGAACAAAACTCCATCTCAAAAAAAACAAAAAACAAAACAAAACAAAAAAACAAGAAAATAAAACTCCAAGAGTTTACGTTTTATCAAGATAATTCCTATGCTATGTTTATTAGGATTTTGGTTACTAAAAAAACTGAGATTTAAAGGGTTAAAGCTTTTTTTTTTTTTTTTTTTTTTTGACAGAGTCTCTCACTCTGTCCCCCAGGCTGGGGTGCAATGGCACGATCTCGGCTCACTGCAACCTCTGCCTCCTGGATTCAAGCTATTCTCCTGCCTCAGCCTCCCGAGTAGCTGGGACTACAGGCACGTGCCACCACTCCCGGCTAATTTTTGTATTTTTAGTGCAGATGGGGTTTCACCATGTTGGCCAGGCTGGTCTTGAACTCCTGACCTCAGGTGATCTGCCTGCCTCGGCTTCCCAAAGTGCTGGGATTACAGGTGTGAGCCACCATGCCCGGCTACCTTTTTTTATATAAAATTATCCTCTTTATAACTTGCCTTACCAAAAATACATCTTCATTTCCAAAACTTTCCTCATCTCTCTCCCCTATTTACTGGTTCCTTTCTACCTTTTTTCATAAGTAACCATTTTCTTTTCTTGAGATGGTGTTTCACTCTTGTTGCCTAGGCTGGAGTGCAATGGCACAATCTTGGCTCACCACAACCTCCACCTCCCGGGTTCAAGCGATTCTCCTGCCTCGGCCTCCCAAGTAGCTGGGATTATAGGCATGCACCACCACATCCAGCTAATTTTATATTTTTAGTAGAGATGGGGTTTCTCCATGTTGATCAGGCTGGTCTTGAACTCCCAACCTCAGGTGATCCATCCACCTTGGCCTCCCAAAGTGCTGGGATTACAGGCATGAGCCATCACGCCCAGCTTTTTTTTGTTTTCCCTGAGATGGAGTCTTGCTCTGTCGCCTAGGCTGTAGTGCAGTGGCATGATCTCGGCTCACTGCAACCTCTGCCTCCCGGGTTCAAGCGATTCTCCTGCCTCAGCCTCCTGAGTAGCTGGGATTACAGGCGCCTGCCACCATGCTCGGCTAAGTTTTGTGTTTTTAGTAGAGACGGCGTTTCACTATGTTGGCCAGGCTGGTCTCCAACCTGTGACCTCAGGTGATCCTCCTGCCTCGGACTCCCAAAGTATTGGGATTACAGGCATGAGCCACCGTGCCCAGCCATAAGTAACCTTTTTTTTTTTGAGTCGGAGTTTCGCTCTTGTTGCCCAAGCTGGAGTGCAATGGTGCGATCTCGGCTCACCACAACCTCCGCCTCCTGGGTTCAAGTGTCTGTCCTGCCTCAGCCTCCTGAGTAGCTGGGATTACAGACATGCGCCACCATGCCCAGCTAATTTTGTATTTTTAGTAGAGAGGGGGTTTCTCCATGTTGGTCAGGCTGGTCTTGAACCCTGACCTCAGGTGATCTGCCTGCCTTGGCCTCCCAAAGTGCTGGGATTACAGGTGTGAGCCACCACACCCAGCCAAGTAACCATTTTCTTCTTTTTTTCTTTTTCTTTCTTTTTTTTTTTTTTTGAGATGGAGTTTTGTTCTTGTTGCCCAGGCTGGAGTGCAATGGTGCCATCTCAGCTTACTGCAAACTCCGCCTCCCGGGTTCAAGCAATTCTCCTGCCTCAGCCTCCCGAGTAGCTGGGATTGCAGGCATGCGCCTCCACGCCCAGCTAATTTTGTATTTTTAGTAGAGACAGGGTTTCACCATGTTGGTCAGGCTGGTCTTGAACTTCTGACCTCAGGTGATCCGCTCACCTCAGCCTCCCAAAATGCTGGGTTACAGGCGTGAGCCACCGCGCCCAGCCCAAGTAACCATTTTCAAGTCCATAATTTGAATTGACCCTTAGATGGCTTCTGAATTAGACAACATTATTCTTTTTCTCAATAAGACTAGTTCTCAGGAGGCTTTTGCCCTCCAATGCCACCCAGAGAGATGCTGAATTAAACAACCCAAAGAATGAAAACCATCATGACCAGAAGGAAAATGACAGGCGTAAGCTTAGGGCATACAAGCCGAGGATCGCGTGTGTCACTAGCGAGGCATAGACAGCAAATATGCAGCTGAGAAAGGGGACAAGGGGGACTGAGAACCAATAGGTGCTGGCAAATATGCCTCTGAACCTCAATTTATCCAACAGCCCTGGGTAGGGGCCTCTAACCCCCAGTTCCCAGTGAATATAAAGAAACATGAGCATCCCATGACTCCTGGGGCTCAGAAGGCTCAGCAGGAAAAGGAACAACACAGGGAAGGGAAGGAACGCAAAGGGCACTCACTTGTCTGTGAATCTGAAAACTTAAGAAGCATTTTATAGAGAAAACCATTCCACAATCCTAGAAACATGTTTTTCCGTATCATAAACTTTTCTTAATTGGATATAACTCAGACATCCATCAAGTAATCCAAGGAAAGCTATGGACCAAAATTTTTGTTAAAGTTTTTATGGAAGTTTGGATTTTTTAGGGTTTGTGTTTGTTTGTTTGTTGTTGGTGGTGGTGTTTCTGAGATGGAGTCTCACTCTGTGGCCCAGGCTGGAGTGCAGTGGTGTGATCATGGCTCACTGCAACCTCCATCTCCCAGGCTTAAGCAATTCTCCTGCCTCAGCCTCCCGAGTAGCTGGGATTACAGACATGCACCACCATGTCAGGCTAATTTTTGTATTTTCAGTAGTGATGTGGTTTCACCATGTTGGCCAGGCTGGTCTCAAACTCCTGGCTTCAAGTGATCCACCCACTTTGACCTCCCAAAGTGCCGGGATTACAGGCGGTAGCCACCACACCCGGCTGGAAGTTTGGTTTTTAAGAAGCCTTTTTCACATTTTTTTTCTCAGTGTCAAATTATTCTCTAATGTTTCCATTTTATCTAGAACTGACTGAATTGTATAAGAAAAACAAAATCTCAGCCAGGTGCAGTGGCTCATGCCTGTAATGCCAGCAGTTTGTGCGCCTGTATTCCAAGCTATTTGGGAGGCTGAGGCAGGAGAATCGCTTGTACCCGGGAGGCAGAGGTTGCAGTGAGCTAAGATCACGCCACTGAACTCCAGCCTGGGTGACAAGAGCCAAACTCCGTCTCAAAAAAGAAAAGAAAAGAAAGTTATCCTTGGCATTTGAGTAAGTACATCAAAGCATAACTATAACTATTTTTAAAACATATATTGTTATGCAATATTGGGACAGCTGGACGTTCTGCTGTCATAGGAGTTTGTTCTTGCAGGCATTACTAAAACAGCTTCAAAACATCTTATGGCCATGGGTCGTGACTGGCAAGGAATGTGCCTTGCTGGTTTTAAGCTGGAGTTGATTTTAAAATGGTGTCACCCTGGCTTTCCATGCTCCTGTTTCCTTAACCCCATGGTCAACTCTAGTTTTAAAGCAATCCAAAGTATCCTGATAAACCTGCATCCTTTCTCTCTATATATCCTCCCCATCCTCCTCCACCACATAGCAATGAAGTGACACTGTGAATTGAAGTAACACCCATCAGTCTGGGCAAGGGAAGGATAAAAGAAGTTCGATGGAGAGGCTTTTATGGGAACAAGAATATCCTGTTAACCTAGTGGTGAAGAATCAAGGTAAACAGTGATAGACCAGGACTATGTTTCAGGATTTATTCTTGAGCCAGTGCCAAGACTGTACAGGCAGTACCTGGCTTTCAAACGGCGGAATTTCTTTCTTTCTTTTTAAATTTTATTTTGTTTCATTTTTTTGAGACTGAGTCTCGCTCTGCCACCCAGGCTGGAGTGCAATGGTGCGATCTCGGCTCACTGCAACCTCCGCCTCCCAGGTTCAAGCGAGTCTCCTGTCTCATCCTCCCAAGTAGCTGGGATTATAGGCACCCACCACCATGCCCAGCTAATTTTTTTGTATTTTTAGTAGAGACGGGGTTTCACCATGTTGGCCAGGCTGGTCTTGAACTCCTGACCTCAGGTGATCCATCCACCTCAGCCTCCCAAAGTGCTGGGATTACAGGTGTGAGCTACCTCGCTTGCCCTGGAATTTCTTACAAATACCTTAGAACAGTTGCCCAAGCTGAGTGTCGATATGAGCTTTCTTTTCTTACTGTCTTAGCTTGAAATTTATTTCCCCTTTGACTCAGGCAACTGCTCCCTAGGACAGAACCCCCAGTTTCCAGCCAATCCCTATTTTACATCTCATTTCAGGGCCCATTCAGGACACAGGGGAGAAGGGATGATGTATAAACCCATGGAGTTGCTCACTCTCCTCTTACCTCCTTGAGGCAGTAAGTGTTCCCAGCCCACATTCTATCTCCTCAGTAGTTTCCCTATCATTATGTAAGTCAGAGTTTATCCTGATCCCCAACTTGAAATAGACTGTCTGGGGTCACCAGGTTTGGATTGTGAAGGGACCCTGCCCTCACAGCAGCAGAGGCCTTGCTCCTGGCATTCAGCATTAGCATTGTTTGTTATGGTGCTGTGCTTCCGGTACACATATGGGCTTGTGTCATAGGTTAAAAACTACTCAACATCCATTGTTTCTCTCCAAGGCAAAATGCCTTCTAAGTTTCAACTGACTTCAGGTGAATTTGATGGTCACTCCTGCCACTTAACTCTAAATTCTGACACCTACAGATTCCAGGAATTTAATTTTCCAAACACAAGAAAATCTTGGTCTTAATTGAATGGTTGGTTAGCACATTAGCTGGGCGTGGCGGCACATGCCTGTAGTCTTAGCTACTCAGGAGGCTGAGGCACGAGAATCTCTTGAATCTGGGAGGTGGAGGTTGCAGTGAGTGGAGATCACGCCACTGCACTCAGCCTAGGCATCAGAGGGAGACTCTTTCTAAAAAAAAAAAAAAAGAAAAGAAAAAAAAAAAAAGGTTAGCACCTGCTGAGGTTAATATCTTTATTCCCTCACCCTCTGAAGACTTAGCCATGGTCACGACCACATTGAAATACTCTCTCACTAACCTGTATAACTGTTTTCACTGTCTTTTTCAAACAGCATTGAAAAAAAGTACAGTACCTGTTCTATTTTTTTTTTTTTTTTTTTGAAACAGAGTCTCTGGTACTCAGGCTGGAGTGCGGTGGTGTGATCTTGGCTCACTGTAAACTCAAGCTCCTGAACTCAAGCAATTCTCCTGCCTTGGCCTCCCAAAGTGCTGGGATTGCAGGTGTGAACTGCCACACCTGGCTCCCCGACTATTCCTGTATCAGAAATGTAACTCACCCACTCACCACCAGCCCACACTCTGGGTTCTCCTATCACTCCACTGCCTGCTCCTCGGCTGATCACAATGGAAGAAGAGATCATGGCACTTGTCATTGACAATGGCTCCAGCACATGCAAAGCTGGCTTTGCTGGGTATAGTTCCCCGAGCCATGTTCCCCTCCATCACTGGGTATCCCTGGCACCAGGGCATGATGGTGGGCATAGGCCAGAAGGACTCCTACCTGGGTGATGAGGCCCAGAGCAAGTGCAGCATCCTGACCCTGAAAGTGCCCCGTGGACCACCGCATCATCACCAACTGGGATGACATGGAGAAGATCTGGCACCACACCTTCTACGATTAGCTGCACGTGGCTCCCAAGGAGCACCCAGTGCTGCTGCCTGAGGCCCCGCTGAACCCCAGGGCCAACAGAAAGAAGATGACTCGGATTGAGACCTTCAACACCCCAGCAAGGTACACAGCCATCCAGGCTGTGCTGTCCCTGTACACCTCTGGTTACACCACTGGTATTATCATACACAGCTGAGACCCACACGGTGCCCGTCTACAAGGGCTATGCCTTCCCCCATGCCATCCTGCGTCTGGATGACTGGCACCTGACCAACCACCCCATGGAGATCTTCAGGGAGCCCAGCTACTGCTTCACCACCACAGCCAAACGGGAGATCTTGTGCAACATCAAGGAGAAGCTGCGGAAATGGCCACCACAGCGTCCTCCTCCTCCCTGGAGAAGATCTAGGAGCTGTCCAAGTGGTTCCAGTGTCTGGAGGCGCTGTTCCAGGCCTCCTTCCTGGGTATGGAATCTTGTGGCATCCACCAGGCCACCTTCAACTCCATAAAGTGTGATGTGCACATCCGCAAGGACCTGTTTGCCAACATGGTGCTGTCTGGTGACACCCCCGTGTACCTGGGCATCACCTACATGATGCAGAAGATCACGACCCTGGTGCCCAGCTCCAAGAAGATCATCACCTTCCCTGAGCGCAAGTCCTTGTGTGGATTGGCAGCACCATCCTGGCCGCCTTCCAGCAGATGTGGATCATCAAGCAGGAGTAGGATGAATCAAGCCCCTGCATCACCCACTGCAAATGCTTCTAAATGGACTGCAAGCAGACGCGTGTCATGTGCTTCATGGATTAATGCAGAAGTATAAATTTGCCCCTGGCAAATGCATACACCTCATGCTAGCCTCAATAAACCAGAATAAGCCTTTCAAAAGAACTGGTCCTTGAAGCTTGTATATCAGCACCGGATTGTAGAACTTGGTGCTGATTTTGACTTTGTTAACCGTTCCCTTGGTATTTGTTTAATACCCTGTACATATCTTTGATTTATACCCTTAGTACATGTGGCTCAGTAACTTCATGGCTGAGGTGAGGACATGCTTGTGGGAGGGAAGTCTGTGGCTTGGTGGGTCTGTGTGACCTGCAGTCTCCTTATCTGTGCAGGTACTAAGGTGTCAGAGAGCTCAGTGTTCCAGGATTTTCCTTTTTTTTTTTTTTTTTTGAGACAGAGTTTCGCTCTAGTTGCCCACACTAGAGTGCAATGGCGCAACCTCGGTTCACTACAACCTCCGCCTCCTGGGTCCAAGTGATTCTCCTGCTTCAGCCTCCCAAGTAGCTGGGATTACGGGCATGCGCCACCACACCCGGCTAATTTTGTATTTTTAGTAGAGACAGGGTTTCTCCATGTTGGTCAGGCTAGTCTCAAACTCCCGACCTTAGGTGATGCACTGTGCCCAGCCATTCCAGGATTTTTCTAGAGCCTGGCAAGAGCTCCTGAACCAGTTTCATTTCTGTCTTGCTGGTCTATTAGTGTTAAGTCTTGAGCTAGAAGCGGTTTACATTTACACCTGTAAATTTATTCATTCTTTTAATTTATGTAAGTTTTTTGTACATAATTCTCAATTTTTAAAGAGATGACCACAAATTTTGGTTTTCCACTGTTATTTACATAAGGAAAAATAAAGTGCTGCAGTAAACCAAAAAATAAATATAATTCGCTCTAACCTCTAGCTCCATTTTCAAAAGTCTGCATGAACTTCTTTAAATTAGTCCCATTAAAATGATAACACTACTCAGCAGAGTTTATTTTAAATTCTCTTCAAAACTATTTACTGAACTATTATAAATTTGTCAGACACTAGGCCATGCACCAAGAGCAAATAGGATATTCTGAGTCCTTATTCTTATGAAATTTATCATCCTTAGAAGTGAGGAAGTAGAGTCAGGCATTTAACTTTTTTTTTTTTTTTTGAGACGGAGTCTCACTCTGTCACCCAGGCTGGAGTGCAGTGGCGGGATCTCAGCTCACTGCAAGCTCCACTTCCCGGGTTCACGCCATTCTCCTGCCTCAGCCTCCTGAGTAGCTGGGACTACAGGCACCCGCCACTGTGCCCGGCTAATTTTTTGTATTTTTAGTAGAGAAGGGGTTTCACCGTGTTCTCTATCTCCTGACCTCATGATCCGCCTGCCTCGGCCTCCCAAAGTGCTGGGATTACAGGCATGAGCCACCACACCCTGCTATTAACTTTTAAATATGTATAAATTTAGGAGATAATGGAAATGAAATGCTATCTGATTTTGAAGGGAAGAACTGATGTTTAGAAAAGTGGGCTTTATATAGAACCACTACTTACATTCTTTTAAAAATCTTACTGTCACCAGGCATGGTGGCTCACACCTGTAATCCTGTAATCCCAGCATTTTGGGAGGTTGAAGCAGGAGGATCACTTGAGGCCAGGAGTTCCAGACCAGCCTGGGGAACACAGTGAGACCCCATCTCTCCAAAAAAAAAAAAAAAAAATAGCCAGGCATGTCAGCATGCACCTGTAGTCCCAGCTACTCACGAGGCTAAGAGGCAGGAGGATCATTTGAGCCTGGGAGTTCGAGGTTGCAGTGAGCCGCCATCGTGCCATTGCGCTCCAGCCTCGGTGACAGAGTGAGGCCCTGTCCCAAGAAAAATAAAAACCTTATTGTGAAAATACATGTTCAGAAAAGTACACAGAAGATGTACAGCTCACTTTATTACATAGCAACTATCAAGATTTTAAAATGTAGAACATTACTAGCATTGCAGAAGCTCTCCTCATGCCCCCTCCAAATCATTACTCCTACCTTTATCATAAATCAAGTGTCCTATATGCGTGGGTCTGTTTCTGAGCTCTTTTGTTCCATTAGTCTGTCTATCCTTGTGACAAGCTACACTGTCTGTCCAATAGAAAAATTCTCCCACCTTGTTTTTCTCCATGACTGTCTCGGCTACTCCTCGTCCTCTGCATTTTCATTTAACTTTTACAATCAGTTTGTTGAATTTCACACACACAAACTTGAGTTTTTGACTGGGATTTACTGAATTTATACATCAGTTTGAAGTTGAGATTGTTAACAGTATTAGGAGTTAACAAACTTTTTTCTTAAAGGGTTAGATAAGTATTCTAAGCTCTGTGGGCTGAGGCAGAATTGGAGATATTATATACTTACATAACCATTTACAAAACATAAAAATCGGCCAGGTGCGGTGGCTCACACCTGTAATTCCAGCACTTGTGGGAGTCCATGGTGGGAGGATCACTTGAGCCTAAGAGTTTGAGACCAGCCTGGACAACATGGCAAAACCCTGTCTCTACTAAAAATACAAATTAGCCGGGCGCACTGGCACATGCCTGTGTTCCCAGCTACTCAGGAGGCCGAGCTGGGAGGCTCGCCTGAGCCTGGGAGGTTGAGGCTGCAGTGAGCTGTGATTGTGCCACTGCACTCTAGGCTAGGTAACAGAGTTAAGATCCTGTCTCATAAAAAAAAAAGTAAAAACTATTTTTAGCTTGAAAGTTTCTGAGCCTCAATAGGTACTGGCTGAATGAATTTGGCCTGTGGGCTATAGTTTCCTGGCCCCATGAATTTGTTTTCTTTTACTTTCTCTCAGTAATGTCATATAAGGTTTTGTGTTGTGGTCTTACATATCTACTGTTAGTTATGTCTAACCCCTAGTTTTCTAGTTCTCTCCTCAGTTGTGCCTAAGCTGCTGTTAAAGCATTCCAGTGAACTTTAGAGACAGGGGCTCACTGTTGCCCAGGCTTGAGTATAGTGGCATCATCATAGCTCACTGAAGCTTCTAACTCCTGGGCTCAAGTGATCCTCTCACCTCAGCCTCAAAAGTAGCTGGGACTACAAGCAGGTGCCACCACACCCAGCTATTTTGTTTTTTGTGGAGACAGGGTCTCACTATGTTGCCCATGCTGGTTCCACTGTATTTTTTCTTTTGTTGAGACGGAATCTCTCCCTGTCCCAGGCTGGAGTGCAGTGGCACAATCTCGGCTCACTGCAACCTCCGCCTCCTGGGTTCAAGCGATTTTCCTGCCTCAGCCTTCGGAGTAGCTGGGATTGCAGGCGTGCACCACCATGCCTGGCTAATTTTTGCATTTTTAGTAGAGACAGGGTTTCACATTGGCCAGGCTGGTCTTGAACTCCTGACCTCATGATCCGCCGGCCTTGGCCTCCCAAAGTGCTGGGATTATGGGCATGAGCCACCATGCCCAATCAAGTTTCCACTGTATTCTTAATTTTGATTATTGGATTCTTACAAATTCTAGAATTTACTTTTTAAAAAAACATGTTCATGTAGCTGCTGAATTCCCAAACTAGTGTCTCTCCTTGAACATGGTAAGCAGTTATTTTAGTCTGATAGCACCGATGTCTCCAGCCACTGTGGGCCTGCTATCTTGTCTCACGTGCCTGGTTACATCTTGTTGTACTCAGGATATTGTATTAGCAAAATTGTAGAAAGAATCTGGGTTTAGGATAATAATAACATCCTCTAGAGAGGGGTTTTGTTTGCTTATCCAAAGAGTTTGGGCAAACTACCACTCTGGGATCACCTTAATCTAATTTCAAGGATTAAGATCCGTAATCGGAGGCTGGGCTGCAGTCCCGAGAGCCTGTTTCCTACACCGCCTCACCCTTATTCCTGGGGTGCAAAAGACTGAGGGCTTCAACCAAAAGTGAGTAACACCACCAAGTCCATCGCCCTTTCACAGGCCCCATCCCCTACTTCTGAAAGGCTGCTAAAATCACTGCTAAGCCTCTGAATCACCTCCAAGTTTGGCAAATGCTCCCAGGAGAACGGTGGCCCTCACACCAAGCCCACCTCCCAGGGTTCCCATCTCCTCTGCTGTCCTGGTTTAGCAATTCTTCAAAGTCAAGTCGGCTCTCTTGGTGTGTTCACACAGATTTCTAAAGTATTTTGTCCAGCCTTTCTAGTTAACCAGTGAGCTGGGTAGTCCAAAGGACCTATCCACCATTATCAGAAGCAGAAGTCCTCATAGTTACTCAGTTACATGTGTAGCCTCATATACAACATGGTGACAATTTGTGAAATGTCAGTACACCACTGCCCATCTTTGATTCCATGTTTTTGTAAAACAACAGACAATTATGTGGAAACAATCAGGCTTTCACAAAATCAACTGCTCTCCCCAATAGAAAACGGAAGTTTCTATACTCGGAGCAGAAAGCACAGGTTGCCTCTATCTACCCACAGCAAATAGCAGCTGATTCACAAGTATGTACTGAGAGCCTATTAGGTGTGAGGGAAATGAAGAAATGACGTTTGCATTTTATAGCTGACTAGATAATCAGTTGGTTGACCTTAAGCTAAACCCCAAGGTTCAGGTTTCAGCTCTCCTTTGTTTTTTCAATTTATATATTCTTCCCAAGGACATGCAGAAATCTAATTTCCATTGCTTAAATGCCTTTATTTCTTTCAGATCAAACTGAAAAGGCAGAATAGCAACCTGATATTTTTGGCTACTAGGGCAACATTTGGCAGTTCTCAAAAAAGGAAATAGAAATGACCGATACGTATATAAAAGTTTCACTAGAAATAAAATAAATGCAAATTAAAACAATGAAATACTATGGTTTCCTATTCAAGTCGCTATATATTTTTTTGTTGTTACTGTTGTTGTTTGTTTGAGACAGGGTCTCACTCTGTTGCCCAGGCTGGAGTGCCAGTGGTGTGATCTTGGCTTACTGCAGCCACCATCTTTGGGGCTCAAGTGATCCTCCCACCTGAGCCTCCCAAGTAGCAGGGACTACAGGTATACACCACTATGCCCAGGTAATTTTGTTCATTTTTTAAATAGAGATGGGGTCTCACTATGTTGCCCAGGCTAGTCTCAAACTCAATTTAAAAAATGCTTAGCTTAGGTTCTGGCTTGTGATGTGAGGGGCCATGTGCCCCTAGAGGCATCTACTTGGGTTTTGCTCCTGACTTGTGTGGATAACTCTGTTTTTCTGCACATGCCATAACGATGGACATGTGACCGTTTGTCGGAAAAACACAGTTCTCTCAATTGCTTACTAAAGCTCATTCAGGCTAATTGGAGAAGGAAGCCATCTTTCCAGGGGAGTAGGTTGGTTGCAAAACTGTGCCCAAGGCCACCTTGCACTGCAGTCGGGGAGCCCTTAGAAAGTTTGGGGGTAAAGGAATGAGGAAGCAACTAGAAAACAATGGAAGGGACTTCAGATGGTAAGGTTTCTGTTTAGTACTTATTTCAATTTTAGGCCTCCTGAATAGTAGAGGTGGTGACAGGAGGATACCTGAAACCTTGGTTATATAATAAACTTCCTTCTACGACAGTGAGTCATTTCAGAATAGAAATGATGGAATAATTGGAAATCAAGTTGAAGGCTTAAACACGTCTGCTGATATCAAACTGTTAGAGCAGCCCCGGAGCTATGGAAATTTGTATCCATGCATCTGGATGGAAGTTTGTATCCTGGGTTGGCACAGAGATTCCAGTTGAACCAAAACTCCATGAGGACCATGCCCAGTAGGTTCAGTAAATGATACTATCCATTAAAGAAGTCTTGCCTATGAACAAAAGAAGAAAGTTACTTGTCCAGATGTGGCAAATTATAAACTTTTGTATAATGTGGCAAAGGCCTAACCCTCATATCCTACACCCTCCACTCTCATTCTAAGAGAGCCTGAGTAAACAGCCAGGGCTGGGTTTTCCTTGAATGGCTGCCAGATGGGGTTAAAATCTGCTTCTCACCTTCTAGGCTGTAGCAGTGAGGAGCTAATATAAAAAGAAACTACAAGATTTCAAGGGAAGAGGGACCACACCCATCTTCACAATAAAATGTCATTCTCAACCTAGAGCAGAGGTGCTCAAACATGGTATTAGAGATGCATCCAAAGTAATGTTTCTGGTTAGTGGTTTAAATACTGAGTTTTGAAAATGCTTTACCTTTAGAAAGAATAAATTACTGTAGATCACAAGGGTAGCCATACAACAAAGTCACTCTCAGATATTTGTATGCCTTCTTGAATGAGAAAAAGGCAGATTTCAACTATTAGTACATAAGCATCTTTTGTTATGTGTCATCATAGCTAAAAGGTTGAATACTGCTCTTCTAGAGCAAGAAAAAGCGGGAGCCCCTGGGCAAAACAGAGCCTAGGGAGAATGCCAGGGAAGAGATGAGATTTTTGGAGGTAAGCACAGTGTCCCAAAACTGGGGGAAAAGGGAGCTTAGGAAATGTGATACAAAGTGAACTAAGCAGGAGGCATGTACTTGAGGCTTTAGGAAGCAGGATTAACCCTCTGCATGTTCAAATGGACATGCTGGTACTCAGTATTTATATTAGCACAGACAAGAAGGCAGCGGAACAGTTATACCACATTAAAGGCCAGTTCTTGTGGGGAGTAGGTTTATCTTTGGAGATGGAGCTGAGTACCCCTCCCCTCAGTTACTCATGGGAAACTCGTTCCAAGGCCACATAGAAACTGTTCTTGTCATCTAGGCAATGCCAGCCAATTGGTCCAATTTCACAGTCTGCGCAGACCAGAAACTTGATGTTGCCCACGTCCTTGGTGAAGCCCACATTCTCAAAAATGAACATGTCCTCAACCAGCCAGTGTTCCTGGAGGAGATCGCCGTCAGGATTGCTGCCGTCAGACAGAGCTGGCTTCTTTCTCATGGAGGGAAGGAAAAGCTGCAGTGGGAAAGAACATAAAGAACGCAGAAGTTGAACTGGCCCAGTTCCATCAACACCCCCGTTCTAGGTACACTTCACATTGCTCCCTAGCAGGAATGACAAAAAAAGAGAAGCCCTCTCATTAAGCTGTAGACGATGATGCTGGGTGGCTCTTCTTTGCCTCTGGTCTCTGCCCTGATTCTTTTTTTTTTGTGAGACAGATTCTCCCACTGTCGCCTAGGCTGGAGTGCAGTGGCGCGATCTCAGCTCACTGCAACCTCCGCCTCCTGGGTTCACGCCATTCTCCTGCCTCAGCCTCCCGAGTAGCTGGGACTACAGGTGCCCGCCACCACGCCTGGCTAATTTTTTGTATTTTTTTTTTAAGTAAAGATGGGGTTTCACCGTGTTAGCCAGGATGGTCTCGATCTCTTGACCTCGTGATCTGCCTGCCTCGGCCTCCCGAAGTGCTGGGATTATAGGCGTGAGCCTGATTCTTAAGAGAAATGAAAGAGGGGCACCAGCTGGGTGGTCTGGGAACTCGGTTTCACTGCTGTCCTCAACATGGGCCCCACATGGTCCTAGTTTCCCCGGCTCATTATGCTTCAGGCACACTGGCTTTCTTGCCTTCCTCAAACAGCATTGGTCTGTTCTGCCCTCAGATCTTGGTATGGCTAGCTCCTCCTCAGTAGTCAGCTCAAACATAGCCTTCTCAGGAGGTCTTCTCTAACCAAACAACCTGAATTAGCTTTACTTACTGCCCACTGTATTTTGTTTAAATAGTTTTATTGAGGTATAATTGACATATGAACTGCACATATTTTAAATGCACATTAGCTTGGGCAACATAATGAGACCTAGTCTCTACAAAAAGTAGTTTGAAAAAATTAGCCAGGGCTAGGCGTGGTGGTACACACCTGTAATCCCAGCCCTTTGGGAGGCTGAAGCAGGAGGGTTGCCTGAGCTCAGGAGTTCAAGACCAGCCTAGGCAACATAGTGAGACCCCCATCTCTACAAAAAACACAAAAATTAGCAGGCTGTGGTAGTGCACACCTGTAGTCCCAGCCACTCATGGGGCTGAGGTAAGAGGATTGCTTGAGCCCAGGAGGTGGTTGAGGCTGCAGTGAGCTGAGATCACACCACTGCTCTCCAGCCTGGGCGACAGAGCGAGACTCTGTCTCAAAAACAACAACAACAAAAAAAATTAGCTGGGTATGGTGGCAAGTGTCCGTAGTCCCAGCTACTCAGGAGGCTGAGGTGAGAGGATCACTTGAGCCGGGGAGATTGAGACTACAGTGAGCCAAGATCATGCCACTGTACTCCAACCTGGATGACAGAGTGAGATCGTCTCAAAAAGTAATAAAATAAAATGCACAGTTTATTTCACTTTAGCACATGTATACTGGTGAAACCATTATCATAATCAAGATAATGAACACATTCATTTCCCCTGGAAGTCTCTTCATGCCACTCCTACTTGTTTATTGCTTATTTTCTGAAATTATCGTATTAATTTATTGGCTTACTTATTTACCACGTGTCTACCTCAACTAGAATATCAGCTCCTGGAAAGCAAGGAGCTTACTTTGTTCATTACTAGATCTCTAGTGCTTAGAATAGCAACTGGTATAGAGCAGGATCTCAACTATTTGTTAAGAGAATGAACATAGAATATCTGGCTTTGATCTATTCCATCACTATTAGGGATATACTGGATTTATCTTATAAAAAGAAAAATCTAGTTCTACAATTTGGAATTATTAGCTCTAGGATGCTTGTACCCTCCAACCTATATGACTTCTCAATCATTAGGAGAAGGCCTCTGGCACGCACACACACAGTTGCTTTAATTTCTTCAATATGGATAGTGTATACACTCTTAGCTGTCCCAGACTACCGCAAAATATCATGCCAGCCAAGTTTGTTACCCCTCTGCTCCTCATATGGCTGCTGTCATATCACTTATTTCCCATTTCCCACCCCACGATATACTTTTTTGTTTTTTTGTAATTAGAGATGGGGTCTCTCTACATTGCCCAGGCTGGGTTTGAACTCCTGGGCTCAAGCAATCCTCCAGCCTCAGTCTCCCAAGTAACTGGGGTTACAGTACAAGCCATTGTGTAATACTGTTACTCCAGTCATTCTTTTTGCCTCATGTTAAAGGTGTCCTTAACACTTTGTTCTACCTTAAACAAAAACAGCAACAAGTAGAGGCAAAGAGAGTTAGGAATCAAAATTAAGGAACCAGGAAACCTGGATTCTAGTCGCATCTGTAACTTTCTGTGGGCCTCAATTTTCCTAAATGTATTTCTGGCTTATCCCCTATACTGTAGGTGTGAAATCTCACATATCTTCACATAGATGGAGTAAACTTCAGTGGACTAGTTAAGACATCTAACCAATCAACCAAGAATTCAGTGTGTCCAACAAAACAGAAAACTGACTAAAGCATTAGTGTTCAGGAGGTGCCCAACAAAAGATCACCACCTTCCCTCTCTCGGTTCCCATTTGTAGCACAAAGCATCACCTGTCCAGTTGTCTCTCCTTTGATTTGTGATTTAAAGGTACTACCATAATTAACGGTCCATTCAAGGCATCATATTGGGTCCTGTTTGCTCTATTCCTCAACATTCCCATTTTAACTTAGATCATCTAAGTCAGGCCCACAAGACTATACTTATATATATGCATATGTATGTGCATCTCTGCCTGGATCTCAACCTATTCACTGCAATGCCAAGGACCATTGCTAGGGCCAGGAGATTAGCTACAACATCCGGAATGTAATGAGGCTTTCTGGATAGACTACTGGGGATGGCAACAAAAAAATTAGTATGTAATTTGAGGCAAACTCAACTTGGTGCGAAGTTGCCAGTGAGATCTCTGACCAGATGGGTTGGTTACCTTTGTTCTGTCAGGACCCCAGCGAATCCTGGACAACCTCTTCAGAAATAGACAGAACGCCACAACTCAGTGAGACTCTGCTGATATACTACTAACAGCACCCTTTTAAAAATAAAATACTACCTTTCTCATTGTAAAAATACATTTTCATTATAGAAAACTTGGCAAGCATGCTATAATACAGATGAGAATAAAAACTGCTACAATACAGAGTACACTTCTGTTAACTTTTTCGTAATCTTTTTCCCTTCTGGGAGTTACTTGTGTTGTTTTCAAAAAATTCTCTGATAATCCTTCCACCAAGAGTGGAGTCCATAGCCCTCTCCTTTGGTCTGGGCAGGCCATGGTGATTGCTTGACGAATATATGCAGTGGAAGTGACAGGCTGGTTAGAAAATGGCATGCAACTTTTGCCACTTCTCATGGGACACTTGTGCGGGGAGCCTTCAGCCACTGTGTTAGAAGTCCGGCTATCCTGAGGGTGCCATGTGGAGACCAGGCTGGGGGGGTCCATGTACGGACGGAGGTGGCCCCAAATCCTGTTCCAGTGCTCAGGTGTGTGAGCCCTCCCAGCCCACAGGCAGACGCGTGACGGAATGACCTTTCTGATTGCCATCACATCAGAGACCCCCAGTGAGAACTGCCTCGCTAAACCCAGTCGACCCCTAAATTCCTGAGCAAAATACATCATTGTTCGGGCCGGGCACAGTGGCTCATGCCTGTAATCCCAGCACTTTGGGAGGCTGAGGTGGCCGGATCACCTGAGGTCAGGAGTTCAAGACCAGCCTGGCCAACATGGCGAAACCCCCATCTCTACTAAAAAAATGCAAAAAATTAGCTGGGCATGGTGGGGGCACCTGTAATCCCAGCTACTCGGGAGGCTGAGACTGGAGAATCTCTTGAACCCAGGAGGCGGAGGTTAGGTGAGCAGAGATCGTGCCACTGCACTCCAGCCTGGGCAACAGAGTGAGACTCTATCTCAAAAAAAAAAAAAAAAAAAAAAAAAAAGAAAAGAAAGAAAAAGATGCTTAACAGCAACCCTGGCTTCTACCCACTAGATGCCAGTAGCACACCTCCCTCATTCTGACAACTAAAAATGTCTCCAGATATTGCTACATGTCCTCTGGAGGTCTGGGGATGCGGGAGGAATCGAGAAACACACTACTTTAGACTAAAGAACTCTGGAATATAAGATACAGTAACTCCTAGGCCCTGGATCACCTCAAAGGTAGGACTGGCAATCTAGTTCTCCAACTGTTCCCATCTGCAGACTACTAGGCTATTGCACTGGGTGGAGCGAGAGAGAAAGCTGTAGGCCACCTCTAGCCAGACTCCTTACACCTTTCTGCAGGCTTAACGGCTGGGAGCGCTCCTTTAACACCTGCAGAGATGAGTAACAGCCCTGCTGTAATTGCCCTAATGGTGGTTTATCTGCAATATGTCACAGTTATGAGAAAAAAGAGCTACCCCGAACCTTTACGGGGTTTACCCCAAAGCTTTAGTTAAGGAGCTCAGCATCTCAGAAGCTGCTTGTTCTCTCTAAGGATGGAACTGTTTTTCCCCACCTTAAAATGTGTGACACAGAGCAGGGAAAGGACTAATAAATAACTGGTTAGAATCTTCCATGAAATTTTCTACCTTCTATTTACATCATGTCCTAGAAGTTATATTTTTGCTCAAATTAGTATTTGAGAAAAGAAAGGAGAAAACAATTAGGACTGACAGTAAGGAGAACACTGGGTTGGATTACAGCTGAGTTGCTTGAGTCCAGAAAAAGGGATAGGATTCTTCCAACAGTTCTTTCTCAAGAAATAGGAAATTTCCAGAAATACTGAAGCCATTGTTAAAAAACACAACCCAAAAAAAAAAAAACCCACCTTTTTGCCTTTTTAAAAGAGGGAAAACATTTTAAAACACATAAAATGCATTAAAAAAATTCTTAGGCCCCTTTCTAGAATAGGGACCACTGTGTTCGTTGAGAAACAAAAAGAAATGTAACATATATAATTTAATTTGCTCACACAATTTTTGGCAAAATCAGTTTAAAATAGTATCAAACAAGAATTAAGAATTTTGACTGGTTGGAAGCTGCAGTGAGTCATGCTTTTGACAGAGCACAACGGGGAACGGGAACGGGGAGGGGAGGGGAGGTGGGAAGGGAAGGGGGGAAAGGAAAGCGGGGGAAGGGAGGGGAGGGGGAGGGGATGGGAGGGGAGTGGGAAGGGAAGGGAGGGAGGGGAAGGCAGGGCAGGGCAGAAGGTAGGTCCTGCCGGGCGGAGCGGCTCACCTGGCCAACATGCTGAAACCCCATCTCTACTAAAAATACAAAAATTAGCTGGGCATGGTGGCGTGCACCTGTAATCCCAGCTACTTGGGAAGCTGAGGTAGGAAAATCACTTGAACCCGGGAGGAGGAGGTTGCAGTGAGCCGAGATCATGCCACACACTCCAGCCTCGGCGACAGAGGGAGACTCCATCTCAAAAACAAAACAAAACAAAAGAAAGATCCTGGCCAGGCACGGTGGCTCATACCTGTAATCCCACCACTTTGGGAGGCCAAGGTGGATGAATCACTTGAGCCCAGGAGTTGGAGACCAGCCTGAGCAATACAGTGAGCGCGTCTATGTTTTTTTCTTTTTTCTTTTTTTTTTTTTTTGAGACGGAGTCTCGCTCTGTCACTCAGGCTGGAGTGCAGTGGTGCAATCTTGAACTTCTGCCTCCCGGGTTCAAGCGATTCTTGCCCCTCAGCCTCCCAAGTAGCTGGGATTACAGGTGCCCACCAACACGCCCAGATAATTTTTGTATTTTTAGTAGAGATGGGATTTCACCATGTCGGCCAGGCAGTTGTTGAACTCCTGACCTCAAGTGATCCGCCCAACTCAGCTTCCCAAAAGAGCTGGGATTACAGGTGTGGGCTATGTTTTGTTTTTTTTTTTTTTTTTTAAAGAAAAAACAATTAAGAATTTTAAAACAAACTATAAACTCCATTTAGAAGTCTCTTAATTTATGTCAGTTTATAAAATTAGACAAAACCTTGCCATGGAAAAGGAGTATGGGAACTAACCTATATTATGGGCTATATACTCGGCACAGTGCTAAGTGCTTTTATACAAATTCTTCCCTCTATCATCATCTTCATTTTACAAGCTTGTCCAACCCGCGGCCGGCATATGGCTCAGAACGGCTTTGAATGCGGCCCAACACAAATTCGGAAACTTTCTTAAAACATTATGAAAAATTTTTTTTTTTGCAATTTTTTTTTAAGCTCATCAGCTATCATTAGTGTATTTTGTGTGGCCCAAGACAAGTCTTCCAATATGGCCCAGGGAAGCCAAAAGACTGGACACCCCTGTTTTACACAATAGCAACCTGCATCTCATGGAGGTTAAATAACTTTTTTTTTTTTTTTTTGAGATGGTGTCTCGTTCTGTTGCCCACACTGGAGTGCAGTGACTCAATCTCCGCTCACTACAACCTCGGCTTCCCAGGTTCAAGCGATTCTCCTGCCTCAGCCTCCCGAGTAGCTGGGATTACAGGCTTGTGCCACCACCCCCAACTAATTTTTGTATTTTTTTTTTTAGTAGAGATGGGGTTTTGCCATGTTGGCCAGGCTGGTCTCACACTCCTGACCTCAGGTGTTCCGCCCGCCTCGGCCTCCCAAAGTGCTGGGATTACAGGCATGAGCCACCGCGCCCAGCCTAACTGTTTTAATGTTAATGAATGATAGTCAGGACTCAATTCCATGTATGTTTCAATTCCAAGATCCATGTTCTTTCCACTGACTCCATAATGCCACTAACTTCGTAAAATTAATTGAGAACTCTACTCCTAAACCTTGAAGTCTTAAAAGAACCCCGGGACCTCCACCAATCTCTAGATCAAAAGTCATCAAAATACCTACAAAACAACAGACACAGATTCCCTTTTTTCCTCCTTTGATGAAAGGCTGTTTTGGACGAATGGGTACCTCTTGCTCTTCTACTAGACATTACACTTCACCATCTGTTCAAGCACGTGAAATAATAAAATGATCTGCATATTTTTAGAAATAATTTTGAATGATAGGATGTGTCTATGGTTGAAATGACATTATATTTGCACTTCAACACAGTTTACCGAAATAAATTTTTTTTTCAACTTTCTCACTTGCGATGATGGTGGTAGGAAGGGTATTAAAATCCCTAAACTGAAGGGAAAAAAAAAGTTTTTCTTCGAAATTTACTTCCAGGACGTCAGGGATCTACTGCACTTGAAATATGATTCATCTGGAAAACCACAGGCTTCCAGTGCCTCGGTAAAGTGGGTAGGTTACCAGGGTTATTTTGCCGCGTCCCCAACACCAGTTGTTCCTGGGGATCCTCTGTGGAGCAGATAGGTGCCCGTCATAAATGAGACGGTGAATTCAGGACTGGCGGGTGAGGTCTAAAGTGGGAAAGGAACCCAGCAACACCCGCGGTGAGCGGCGGCCGAGAGGCACCTGCCGGGTCCTGCAAGCTGGCGGGAGCTCCGAGAGCCGGAATGGGGCGCCTCCCTTCCACGCGCCCGCGGAGCACCGGCCTTGGACGGCGGCGGGGCGCACGGCCCGCGCTCGAAGCCCCCCCGGGGGCAGAGGGCCGGGCTGGCTGGGCCGGGTGGCCCAGGGAAGGGTTCCCGCGGCAAAAGATGCCGGGGCGGGACCCGGTTCCCTCCCTAGCCTTCAGCGGCCCCAGGGGCGGAGCCTCGCCGAGCTGAGGCCCGAGGGGCGGGGCTTAAGGCCGCGCGAGGAGGGCGCGGTTGCCGGAAATTGAAGAGCCGGGGTTCAGATTCTGACTGCGGCGGCTCGTCGGGGGAGACTGTGGGTGTAAACGGCCTCCAACCTGCCTCCCTACCTGTCGGCGAGAGAAGAGAGCGGTCCCTGGCTGCAGCACCCGGGAGCCGCAACGCTGGCACAGCACCGCCTTCCGGTTTCGGCCCTCGGCTGACACTAACTCGCTCGGCTGCTCCGCTGGTTCCATCGCCGCTGCCGCCACAGGCTCCTCAGCCACGGCTGCGCAGACGCTGTCTCTGCTGGCTCGTTATTCACTGCGCTGGCGCGGCTTGGCAGAGGCGGGGCGGCGAGCGGACGGTCACTATGTCTCTGCGCAGGCGCCCGCTTCCCCGCTCTGGACTCTACTGCGCAAGCGCCTTCATTCATTGCCTAACCTAAGTGGCTAGGTGTCGGCAGGCTTTGTGACAGGGACACTTCTTGGCACCAGTGACACATCTCCATACCCACCTGGCCACTGGGCTTCACTTAAAACCTAGACAAATCATTAGGTTGACCTTACTGTTTAGTTTTCTGGGATCTGAATTTAGTCTCCTGAATAAATGGGGACATTATTGGGGGCAATATGAAGGGAATCTGGGTCGGACTTCCCATCAAGTTTTAGCCACATTAGCTTCTTCTATAGGAAACTACTTAGAGGGGCATGTATCTTTTCGGTATTGGAAAAAGATGCGTGGAAACTTTAATTGCTGGTCTCTTCTACTCATTGTGACCATTTACTATGCGGCAAAATGTGTCAAAGCGCCTTTAGAAACTTACTAAATCATCAGTTTCCTTACGGGGTCGGCACGCTTGTGCACAAAATGAGAAAGGTAAAGATCAGAAAGGTTGCAGCACAACTCTAAAGCCACTGCTCTTAATTAACTAGGATTGTCAGGAAAGCAAGATTATTTCAGACAGAACAGTATTATATATGAACAAGGGTGAGAACAAATTTAGGAATGGTTAGTAGACCACTGTGGCTGACCCACATTACACGTGGGGAGAAGTGGTAGTAGAGGTAGGTAAGGCAGAGTGGGCCCAGAGCTCCATGGCTTTAATGTCATGCTAAGGAATTTAACATTAATAACATGAACAATGGGAATCTGTGGAATTTTAGGCCAGAAATAACTGTTCGATATTTACTGTCTGCTGTATGTTAAGCACTGTAATGATCCTATCTGTGCTTCAGAAAGATAACCTATGAATAAATAGAGGGGCTAGATTGAAGAGAGGAAAAAGAGTAGAGGTAAGGTATCAGGTAGCTATTACCTCATCAGTCTAGCTCAGAAAGGCCCTGAAGCTAGCAGAGGGAACAAAGATATGGGAATGGACTTGAAACAATTAAAATTGTACAGAACTTAGAAACTAGCTGGATGTCTGTATTGTGATGGGGGTGACACAAAGCAACTGCTGGTTTTCCCAGGTTAGATAACTAAGTAGCTGGTTGCCAGTTATGGGAGCTTAAAAAAATAAGATGAACCACCAAATTAGGGGTATCTCTGTGTATGTATGTGAGCACATGAAAGTGTGTACGATTGTGAAGAGTGAAAAAGGAGCTGTTTTACGTGTTGATTTTTCTGTAGAACATACCATTGTGGCTTCAGTGTATGAACTATTTGTGAAGTTGGTCTGAAACTCATTAGTCAGCACTGAAGACAGCATAGGAGCCATCAGTCCTTCACCCTCCCCTGGATCTCTTCCTGAGATAGGAAAAGTCACGTTTTATAGGCTTTGGTTTAATTAGCATGCACAATCCATCTGCCAAAGTTGGTAGGCATCTTTTAAGGAAAATAACTTCCTCATGTGGCTCCTCCTTCCTTTTGCTCTGGAAGCATCAGGACTGTTTCAGTTTTGCAGGCCTTCCGCATAGCTGTTTATATCACATGCCACAATTCAAAGCAAATGGAAAAAAGGACTGGTGTGACTGAAACCCTGAAATTCAAGCGCGTGCTAAGTGAATTCAAGATCTTTTCTGTATTCCTTTTTCAAGTAACTCCAAGCGTCAGAGGGGCTAATGAATATGGCAAATCAGGTAAATATTTTACTGATGAGAATCTCCAAAGTGTAAAGTGGCTACCTCTTACCTGTGTCTAACATAGAAATAGCGGAACTAGTTGGCAAACACACAAGATGAACAGCTTGAAGAGACAGGAGCTACGGCTGATCCCTACATCTTTCCCTCCCAAATATCTACTAAAGGCAATGTTGGTTAGCCACAAACTCTCGGCATTTGAGACCGTTGATTTTTAATATTTTCTTAAAAAAATACAAAGGAAATTAACTCTGTAGGTCAATACAACTCAGGGAAAGAGGGAAAAATGGAATTTCAGAGCAAAGGTTGTTTAGGTTATCACATTCCCACACTCCTAATACCCACAAAACAAGAATTTCACTCCATGACACAGAGGAACATTGAATGGTAGCTCAGAAATGTTGATAGCTGAGGTACTGAAACTAACAAAAGGATTTTGGTTGTCCTTGATTATTCTGTCCTGTGATGAATAAAATCTACACTAAAGGACAGGTAAGGAAAACTTATAGCAGAAAAAAGACTAGATGTACCAAACACAGCAGTACAAACCACTCCTTGGCAGACATGTGCTTCTAAAAGAATGGGGCAGTAATCAGGTAGCTGAACTACTAGGCTACTGTCACTCCCAGCCCATCCCCAAATAAATAGTGTGGAAGTGTAATAGTGTAGTAGTATTTGATCCAACAAAGAAAGGCTTTCACCCCCATTCAAGGCAAACATTGCCATGGCTAGATGAGCCCTGGCAGGTAATAAGATGACTGTAAAATCACAGGTTCTTCTAGTTTATCCCCAGTTATACTGAACTCCCACATTGATGTCATCTTCTCTCATCCCAACATTTGTTCACTCTTTTATGCTGTCTCCAGTGCGAAAGACCTCGGGGAAATAAAAAGATCCTTCAAATAATATACCCTTCTCAGTCTTCCAGGTTATGTAATACTTCAGTGCTGTTCTAGGTTCACTCACAATCAAATTCAGTTTAATTCACTTAATTCTAACTTCAATTCTGATATACAAATCCTGACCTCCAAAAGAAGTGTCAGATGAGTCTCTCTCTCCCTTGTCCCCAAAGTTTTGTGGGGCTCTCCCTTTTGTTTCCCTCTAGAATGGAACTGTGTTGCCCCTAGCTACCTGTATATGAGAAAATGTAGTTGTTCCTGGAAAAAAAAAAAAAGACTTGGATTTTACCAAGTTTACTTAAACTGGTATCTTTCCAATCATCTAGGCTGGATATTGCCCATATCTAGTAGGCTATACTCACCTTAGTTCTTTGCAACATATGAGGCACAACATACATATAGTACACCAAGCATGTGGTAAGTTAGAAATGACAGGAAAGTGCTCCCCAAAGCAGTGGGAGAGGCAATGTGGTCTCTCACATCCATTCAATGTGCATTCTTTTTCCTGGAATATCTGTTACCCACCCTTCTCAGGAACAAGAACCAGGACGACGGGGAGTATGTGTCAAATAAGTACAATCATCACTGCACTGGTGCCTGTAATCACCCGGTGCACATAGTGAGAAACAGACATTCTGGAAAGGATTTTTGATTCTCCCACTAACTGTCCACTGGACTGGTCACTAGCTCTGGATGGTGCTCCAACAATGGTCACTTCTCGCGGAGAACACAAACACCAGCATCACAGCGCTGGGTTCCCATGGATGTCACGACTTCCCAGCTGTCGATGATAGGGTCATAACATTCAATGCTACTTAGCAGGGAATTACCATCATATCTGAGTGGGAAAGAAGCAAAAGAAAGAAATGAGTCAGCTGCGTGCAGTGGCACGTGCCTGTAATCCCAACTATGCAGGAGGCTGAGGTAAGAGGATTGCTTAAGCCCAGGAGGGAATTTGAGACCAGCCTGGGCAACATGGTGAGACCCTGTCTCAATAAAATTTAAAGAAAGAAAGAAAGAAATTAGCCTTCTATTCCTTTCCACACAAGTCCTTCATTAAGGCTGCCACTGGAGGCCAGGCATGGTGACTCTCACCTGTAATCCTAGCACTTTGGGAGACTGAGGTGGAAGGATTGCTTGAGCCCAGGAGTTGGAGACCAGCCTAGGCAACATAAAAAACTAGTCTGGCACAGTGGCGTGCACCTGTGGTCCCAGCTACTCTACTCAGACTCCAGCCTGGGTGACAGAGCAATACTCTGTCTCTAAAAAATAAAAAAAATCTAATAAAAAAAATCAAGTTGCCACTGGAGATGTCTACCCCTACCCAAGTCTTGTCTCTGTCCAAAAATGAGGATCAGATCACATAGACTCTTGCTCTGGCTACATATTGAGTCTGGATTCGTTTCTAAATCCTCACCCTGCAATTGCATAGAGTCTCCCCCGAAGCACTGTGGCCCCTACATAGCATCGTGGAGTGGTCATACTGGTGACAGTTGTCCAGGAATCAGTGCGAATGTTGTATGCTTCAACGGAAGAAAGGTGGGCTGTACCATCAAATCCCCCCACCACATAAATATGGTCATTCAGCAGGGCTACTCCTGCACCTGGGGAAAATGAATGCATTAGCAAATGTATGGTACTAAGCCTAGAATCTGAATTATAGAAATAAACTACGGTCACTAATGACTAGCTGAGTTCTACAGTAGATGAGGGATATGGAATGGGCCCACACGGGCCTAGAATAATCTAGTCCAGCACAAGTTATTCCATCTATAAACCCTTTGGCTTGGACTTGAAATGATAAAAGATAAATAATAAAAATGGTTCTCTTCTTTACTTTCATTAACTCAGAGCCCAACCCTTCTAATTAGGAGAAAGGGAGGAAGTGAAAAAAAGGTGGCAATAAAGGTAGATGGAGGGAAAGGAGTTGTGATTATGGTTCTGAAGCAATTTTTACCCAGAGTAAGTAAACTAGAACAGCACAGTGCTCTCTCCTTTTCTATATCCCAGCCTGCTCCACTTCAAAAAGCTCTTGGTGAAGGTAAGTAGCTACTCTTTTGTCCTTATGCATTAGAGACTTTATTTAACAGATATTTATTAAGCATGTACTACACAGGCAAAATTGTACTAGATATTCTAAAACGTAGGGAGAGAACAAAGACATGAAGGCTTTTGCTTTCAAATTTATAATCTAGTTGTAAGTATCAACTGTCTTTATCCTAGTATTTAGAGAAAACAGAGACAAGGAGGAGAGCAGAATCTCATTTTTACATTAATCTACGGTTTGTCCCATGCACCACCATTATATATGTAAAGGTCTGACAGCATCGCCTATTGTCCCCTCCCTCAGATCTGGTCTTACCAGAACGCTTGGTGGCCATTGGTGTAACATTAGTCCAATGTCCTGTATGAGGGTCGTATTTCTCAACTGAATTTAAGATATTCAAGCCGTCATATCCTCCTGGAAGACAGAGACCATTCCAGAAAGAGTGGTAAATCCTCATGCCCATTCCTGGTCGGTTTTTTTCTGAGTGCTTCAACTAATTATTTTAGTTTCAATTTTCCCACAAGAGTTCCAATAACTCTAAGAGAAATCTGACATTATGCTTATAAGAAAAAGATAATCCCAATTAATGGAAAATATATTAAGACACACCAGGGTTTTAGTTGAAGGGAAGTCTATGAACGTCATTTTGGTAAAAAGGAATCCTTACCCACAGCCCATTACCCATTGAGTTCCCTCCCATTCCTGCATCCCAGACTCAATACCTAGACAGTAGATCACTCCACTGGCCACTACGAGTCCGGCACCTTCCCGGGCTGTCTGCATATCTCCCAGCATGCTCCACTGGTCAATGTTTGGATCATAGCGCTCCATACTGGTGTGACGCCTGCTTCCATCAAAGCCTCCAGAGACATAGATCATATCTGCTCAGAATAAACAAATTACAGACTATTAGAGAATGAGAGATTTCTAAGAACTCTTTCCTCTACAAATTTTCCAAGGGTCCTTTAAAAGTCTGAGAGCAAAAACAAAGTATTTTTAAATGAGATAAGTCAATTAAGTTTTATAGACAAGGAAGACATCTAAAAAGAATGGGGTAAAACAAAATCCTTAAAAGCATTCAAAGACCACCTAGGAGTTTGCAAAAACACAACTAGTGCCAGTTCCCCACCCAGCACATTGGAACTTGATTTGCCAACTTTGTAGTCAATAATGAAACATCCATGAATATTGAACAGCTTCTATTACACTGATATTTCTGAAAGCAAAAAGGAGTATTTGTCGGCTGGGCACAGTGGCTCACACCTGTAATCCCAGCACCTTGGGAGGCCGAGGTGGGTCAATCACTTGAGCTCAGGAGTTAGAGATCAGCCTGGGCAACATGGCGAAACCCCATCTCTACTAAAAATACAAAAATATAGCTGGGCATGGTGGTGCATGCCTGTAGTCCCAGCTACTCAGGAAGCTGAGGTGGGAGGATCGCTTGAGCTTGGGGAGGTTGAGGCTGCAGTGAGCCGTGATCACACCACTGCACTCCAGCCTGGGCAACAGAGAGAGACCCTGTCTCAAATAATAATAACATTTGACCTTAATTTTTTCTCCGTATTTCATGCTCCTGCCAGACAACAGGAGAGGTTAAAAACCCTGGTCCAGCCACAGTAAGATGGAAATAATTGCCCTGCACATCCAGCCTACCTCCCAGGGTGGTGGCTCCAGCAAGACCTCGTCGGACATTCATAGGGGCCACAGAATACCAGACCCCATCCTCATCTGCTGTGTAGTCTAGACATTCCACTGAACTAAGGCGGGAACGGCCATCATAGCCACCAATGACGTAGATCCGGTCATGAAGGGACACTGAGGCCACATAACGTCTCTTACGAGTGATGCTCTATGGATTTGGAGAGAAGAGGTACAGAGCATTTCAGTTAGGCAAGTTTTGGGCCTTACCTTTTGCTATCTTCCCTGTTGTATCTGCACACCTCTCTGCTTCTTCACCTGTCATCATGAACCCTCCTTAAGTGGTTCATCCTCAAGTGGCTCCCAAATAGCTACCTACTGAACGAAATGCCTGTTGTGGTGCTCTTAAAGATACAAGCTTTCTGCATCTCTGCCTCTTTCCAAGGCTTCCAAAAGATTTAACAGCTTTCTGTTATCCAATATCTGACTCCTTTCTCTTCCATAAGGCACTGGGCTAAGAGACTGATATCCTTCCATAAAGTAGAAAAGTATTCCCACATTGCTAATCAAAGGATGAGGATTTATTATAAGAACCTTAAAAGGTAGGAGGGTTGGATTTCCATGTTTTCTCAGAAATTACTATTGTTCATTCAGCACTGAGAGACATGCTGAGGGAGACAGATACAAACTTTTTTTTTCTGAGTTGGGATCTCACTATCACCCAGGCTGGAGTGCAGTGGCACAATCACAGTTCACTGCAACCTCGAACTCCTGGGCTCAAGCAATCTTCTGCCACAGCCTCCCAAGTAGCTAGGACTACAGGCATGCACCACCATGCCTGGCTAATTTTTTTGTTTACTTTTTTGTAGAGACAGAGTCTCACCATATTGCCCAGGCTGGTCTTGAACTCCTGGCCTCAAGAGATCCTCCCATCTCAGCCTCCCAAAGGGCTGGGATTATAGGTGTGAGCTACCACGCCCAGCCCAAACTTCTGAGCTCAACTGAACACTGGGTTCAATTCAACACAATTTAACATTCAGTTCAGTTTAACACAGCACGACCAATGAAATGTGCTAGGAATTATACAGACAGCTTAGAAAGGCACCTAACTAGTGGTGGCCATCTGAGTTTACCTTGACACAGGGCCACTGACATTTCTAAGGCATAATCTTCTAATCTAAACAGTCAAAAACTGTTAAGTAAGTACCTACTATATGCACAAGACTGTTGTAAGAAACATCCTGTTATTAGGCTTTTCTACTCTTAAGGCTGGATTAGCTATGATCTGGAGGCAGAGACTGAGGACATTTAACATCCCTCCCAACGAATGGTTTCACCATTATTTACTGGCAAAAAGCTCCACTCCTGAGTCTTGGGGTCATATTTCTCTACCACATCAATGGGAGACTGCTGGCTTCCAAAGCCCCCAACCACCAAAAGCACTTCATTGGCTCCTGAAGACAAAGGCAGAAAAAAGATGGGTTAGTTCAGCATCCCTGGATGGGTAACTAGTCACAGGGAAGTGTCAACAGAAACAGTTCTAGGATGTCTTGTTTTATGTGGCTGAGGGATGCAATCCGAAATGGGAGATAATCATAAGGCTGTCGAATGGGGAGTTATTTTTCCTTGAGGCTGTAGCTCTCGAGTCTCTGAAACTTAAATTTCTGGACATTAAAACTCTAGAAAGCAAACTTCAACATGACACTGCACCATTTCTTTTTCTTTTTTTTTTTTTTTTTTTTTTTGGAGACAGAGTTTCGCTCTTGTTGACCAGGCTAGAATGCAATTCCATGATCTCGGCTCACCACAACCTCTGCCTCCTGGGCTCAAGTGATTCTCCTGCCTCAGCCTCCCGAGTAGCTGGGATTACAGGCTGTGCCACCACGCCCAGCTAATTTTGTATTTTTAGTAGAGATGGGGTTGGTCAGGCTGGTCCCGAACTCCCAACCTCAAGTGATCCGCCAGCCTCGACCTCCCAAAGTGCTGGGATTACAGGTGTGAGTCACTGTGCCCGGCAACACTGCACCATTTCAACCTATTGAGATGACTGGCTGACATAATCCTTGAGGTCTTAAGTGCAGGTGAGAGCCTAAAGGCACTCTCTGCACTTAGCCTGAAAAACTCAAATTGGGAGGTTTTTTGTTGTAATGGGGAAAGAACTCTCCTAACCTTGTCACAAAAAAAGCTACATGTTGAAACTTAGGATCCAAGTGATGGATTTAAAATCTCTTTTTCTTTTTCTGAATTGAGAAAGGGTCTCGCTATATTGCCCAGGCTGATCTCAAACTCCTAGCCTAAAGTGATTCTCCTGCCTCAGCCTCCCAAAGTGCTGGGATTACAGGAATGAGTCACTGTGCCTGGCCTAAAATCTCTTTTCCATGAACACTTCCTTCTCCAATTTAGTCAACTATATGATCACATTCCCTGCCAATTCATCAAAACCACCAGGCAACAAAAGACTAGAGTTTTAAAGGAAAAGTCTTTTTCTCTATTTTCCCAAAGAAGCTATTCTGACAGCCTTTATATCTTCCCCTTCCCCTAACGCCTTACTCTGATAAAATATTTCCTACCTTGGCTTTTGGAGACAGGGTCTTGCTATATTGCCCAGGCTGGTCTCAAACTCCCGGCCTCAAGCGATACTCCTGCCTTAGCCTCCCAAGTAGCTGGGATTACAGGAATGAGCCACAGCACCTGCCTTGGCTTTTTTCAAAGAGCAAAGTCTCTTTGAGAAAATCCCCTGTGCATGTGCTCCATTAGAACTCATGGAGAGAATAGTTAGCTGGAGCTTTGGAAAATTCAATCACTAGGAAGCATCTAGGAGACCAAAGTGATCTTATGAGTAACCTGGACTTGAAAGAGCAAATGTAGTACCTTGAAGCTGACAGGAAACACAGATAAACCCCTAATGAAGTAATGGATTTGACAATTATCATCAATTGCTGGGCTAGAATCATTATTTCAAAAGCCAATATATTACTATGAGACATTGAGTGCTTCCTAATGGTGATGAATAGGAAGGACCACACTACCACCTCGTCTTTTTTCCAAAAAACTGAGCCTGACTCTTAACAAGCCTCTAATCCAACCACTAGTTTACAGGCAATACATGGGAGAAGAACATGTTAAATGACACTACAAAGATGCAACAGCAGAGTCTAGAATGTGGGAAATTCTACAGGTCGAACAGCTTGGCTTCTTCAAGAAATAAACTGGCTGGGAAAAACCAAAACAGGATGGAAACTTTTGGATTAAAACGAGACTGAAAAGAGACATGAAATCACGAGCAACGTGTGGACTTTGTCTGGATTCTGATTTGAACAACATAAGTACTCAAAAACAAACAACAAAAAATTATGGAAAAAAAATTACACAAACACGTGAGAATAAGGAATTGTGTGATTTTAAACAGTGATAATGGCATTCTAGATGTGGCAGAATTTTTTTTCCTTATCTTTTAGAGACACACGTGGAAGTATGACACATAGGCATGGAATAATATCCAGTCTGGAATTTGCTTCAAAATAGCCTGGGTGCAGTGGCTCATGCCTGTAATCCCAACACTTTGGGAGGCCAAGGCTGGCAGATCACTTGAGGTAAGGAGTTTGAGACCAGCCTAGCCAACAAGGCAAAACCCCGTCTCTACTAAAAATACAAAAATTAGCTGAGTGTGGTGGCGCACACCTGAAATCCCAACTACTCGGGTGGCTCAGGCATGAGAATGCTTAAACCCAGGAAGTGGAGGTTGTAGTGAGCTGAGATAGCGCCACTACACTCCAGCCTGGGCAATAAGGCAAAACTCCATCTCAAAGAAAAAGCTATGTGTTGATAATTGTTAAAATTGAGTGATGGGTATGGGGGATCATTATATTACTATTTTTATGTTTGAGATTTTTCTTAATAAAACATATACACTCACACATAAACCACGGAGTTTTTCTAAGAGGGCACTTGTCTTATGTACTTGCCAAATAAAGTGGACCCTCTCCAAAGTGAGCCAGCAAGTAGGTCTCAGGAGTCAGCTCCTTCGAAAATCAAAGCATGGCCAGGTGTGGCTCATGCCTGTAATCCTAGCACTTTGGGAGGCCAAAGCAGGTAAATTGTCTGAGGTCAGGAATTCAAGACCAGCCTGTCTAACATGGCAAAACCCCGTCTCTACTAAAAATACAAAAATTAGCCGGGTGCAGTGATGCGCACCTGTAGTCTCAGCTACTTGGGAGGCTGAGGCGGGAGAATCACTTGAACTGAGGAAGAGGTTGCAGTGAGCCGAGATTGCACCACTGCACTCCAGACTAGGCAACAGAGTAAGACTCCATCTCAAAAAAAAAAAAAAAAAATAATAATAATAAATAAAAAAATCAAAGCATAAGAATGAAGGGTTCTTTAGTGATTGAAGTAATTTTATGTCTGCCTAAAATTACTTCAAGTTGGGAGAAGCTAGGACCACAAGTTATTTGTTTCTTCTTTGGGAACACTATTTCCCTACCTATTCCTTTTTCTTACTCCACCTCTTTTCTTCCTGACTTGAATAGACAAGGTAAGTGTGATCCTTCTATCCAAACACATTTCCCATGTAGATGAATATGCCAGCAGATGATGTATGTATGAATAAAAATTCCCACACCAACCAAGAGGTACTTCCTGTGCTATGCAAATTTTAAAGTTTTCTATTGATTTTTCAGCTCTTATTTCTGTTGCTTTATATAACTCCCTGCCCCACCCCCCAACCCCCCAAAAATAAATATATATATCTAAAGAAGTCAGGCACAGTGGCTCATGACTATAATCCTAGCACTTTGGGAGGCCAAAGTGGGCAGATTCCTTGCGCCCAGGGGTTCGAGGCCACTTTGGGTAACATGGTGAGACTCCCATATCTAGAAAAAAATAATAAAAAAAAATAGCCAGGTGTGATGGCAAATGCCTGTAGTCCCAGCTACTCCTGAGGCTGACATGGGAGGATCACTTAAGTCCAGGAGGTTAAGGCTGCAGTGAACAAGGTCGTGTTCCTGCACTCCAGCCTGGGGAACAGAGTGAGAACTTGTCTCAAAAAATAAAATAAAGTAACATAAAATAAAGAAGGCTGGGCGTGGTGGCTCACGCCTGTAATCACAGCACTTTGGGAGGCCGAGGCGGGTGGATCACTTGAGGTCAGGAGTTCAAGGCCAGCCTGGCCAACATGGTGAAACCCCATCTCTACTAATAATACAAAAATTAGCCAGGTGTGGTGGTACACACCTGTAGTCCCAGCTACTTGGGAGGGTGAGGCACGAGAATCGCTTGAACCTGGGAGATGCAGGTTGCAGTGAGCAGAGATCGCACCACTGCACTCCAGCCTAGGTGACAGAGCAAGACTCTGTCTCAAAAAAATTAAACACAAATACAAACACAAAAATTAGCCAGGTGTGGTGGTGTGCATTTTGTAGTCCCAGCTACTCCGGAGGCTGAGGCAGGAGAATCACTTGAACCTGGGAGGCGGAGGTTGCAGTGAGCCGAGATCATGCCGCTACACTCCAGCCTGGGTGACAAAGCAAGACTGTCTCAAAAATAAAATAAAGAAAAAACCCCTCTCTTTCTTGATATGATTTCATTCAGGCACCTTTTGAAGGGTGGGAGAAAAGAAGTAGAAAGGAAATAGATTATATTAAAAACACAGATAACTGACAGTACTTCCTGTTGGCTGAAATTTTCCCAATAAACACTCTGGTAACTATATGTCTACAGTGGAACTTCGTAAGAGGTGTTGGTGTGATGTATAAAGGAGTTTGTTTTGTTCTGTTTAAAAGACAAGGCCTTCCTCTGTCACCTAGGCTGGAGTGCAGTGGCACAATCTCAGCTCACCACAGCATCGACCTCCCAGGCTCAAGCAATCCTCCTACCTCCCAGGCTCAAGCAATCCTCCTACCTCAGCCTCCTGAGCAGCTGGGAGCACAGTGTGTGCCACCAAACCCAGCTACCTTTTTTTTTTTTTTTTAATTTTTTAAAGAGAGGAGGTCTCACTATGTTGCTCAGGCTGGTCTCTAACTCCTGAACTCAAGCGATGCTTCTGCTTCGGCCTCCCAAAGTGCTGGGATTACAGACATGAGCCACTGTACCAGCCACTCAGGGGTTTTATGGCTCTAAATGGCTGGGATCCTTCGATCACTGATTCCCAAACTTCTTTGCTGTGAAGGACTCTCTTCATTATTTTTCCCGACAGATCCTGTGTTTTGACAGACTGTCTACCAAAGTGAGTTTAAGTAATTAACTTCCCCGCAACTGCCAACAGAGCTTTTGATAACTATGAGAGCAACAGTGTTTCACACTGAATGGATATAATTTTAGTTAAATCTGAAGTCTTTATTTAGCCTGTTCAGCTTTTTCTAGCACAAAAATGATTTTCTTTTAGAAAATTTAAAAATAACTCAAGGACTAGTATAATCACCATCCCCACTCACGTATTACCCCTCCCTGTTGAAAAGAATTGAAAAGTATTTTCCTTGTGATTATAAAACATATAATATACATTTTTACTGCTAAAAAACTTGGAAAATACAGACAGGTATTATGAAAAAAAAATTACCCATAGTTCCACAATACAAAGACACACCAAAATGTAACATAATTTCCTTCCAGCCTTGTTTCTGCACATTTATAAAACACAAATGGGGGCCGGGCACAGTGGCTAGCGCCTGTAATCCCAGCACTTTGGGAGGCTGAGATGAGTGGATCACGAGGTCAGGAGTTCGAGACCAGCCTGGCCAACATGGTGAAACCCCATCTCTAGTGAAAATACAAAAATCAGCCAGACATGGTAGCACATGCCTGTAATCTCAGCTACTCGGGAGGCTGAGGCAGGAGAATCGCTTGAACTTGGGAAGTGGAGACTGCAGTGAGCCGAGATCACACCATTGCCCTCCAGCCTGGGTAACAGAGCGAGACTCCGTCCAAAAAAAAAAACACCAAAAACAAACAAACAAAAAAACCTACAAATGTGACCATATTATATTGTATCCTGATGTTTTTCATTTTCCAAATATATGAATAACTCTTTTAGTACATGGTTATAATATTCTTAGGCATTTCAGGGTTTATAATTTTGGGTTATAAACAATCACATAAATAACCCTGTGATAAATATCCTGAATATGAAACTTTTCCTGGTTGTTTTCTTAAAGAAATGGGAAGAATGCTGAGTAATGAACCTGAATTAGAAAAAAATTTTTTGAGCCAGGCATGGTGGCTCACACCTGTAACCCTAGCACTTTGGGAGGCCAAAGCAGGCAGATCACATGAACCCAGGAGATCAAGACCAGCCTGAGCAGCATGGCAAAACCCTGTCTCTACTAAAAATACAAAAAATTAGCCAGGTCTGGTGGTGCACACCTGTAGTCCCAAGTCCCAGCTACCTGGGAGGCTGAGGTGGGAGGATCACTTGAGTCCAGGAAGTGGACGCTGCAGTGAGCCAAAATCATGCCATTGCACTATAGTGACACAGTGAGACCTTGTATCAAAACAAACAAACAAATGAAATAGATCACCATGGTGGCATACGCCTGTAGTCCCAGCTACTGAGGAGGCTGAGGTGGGAGGATTGCTTGAGCCCAGAAAGTGAAGTTTCAGTGAACCAAGATCATGCCACTGCACTCTAGCCTAGGAGCCAGAGTGAGACCTTGTCTCAAAAAAAAAAAAAAAAAAAAAAAAAATTACTTTGAGACATAAGGTGACTTTTTGAAGCTGTTACCAATTACACTCCCACCAACACTATAAAGGTGCCAACTCATTCTACTTTCTGAGGCACTGGATAGTTTTTAAATCTCTGACACTCTGGTAGGCAAAAAATTATGTTTAATTCTTTATAACTAATAAGACCCTATTATTAATTAGGTTGAACTCCCTCCCTTGTATCTAGTAGCCAGCTTTACTTGCCCTTCTGCGAACTGTACACTCAAATCTTTATTGTTTCTCTCATGCATTCTTGTTTTTTTTTTCTTTTTTGAGACAAGGTCTTGCTCTGCTGCCCAGGCTAGAGTGCACTGGTGCAATTATGGTTCACTGCAGCCTCAGCCTCGACCTCCTGGGCTCAAGCATCCTCCTAGCCTCCCACTTCAGCTTCCCTAGTAGCTGGGACCACTAATTTTTTTCTTTTCTTTTTTTTTTTGAAACGGCGTCTTGCTCTGTGGCCCAGGCTGGAGTGCAGTGGTGTGATCTTGGCTCACTGCAACCTCTGCCTCCTGGGCTAAAATGATTCTCCTGCCTCAACCTCCCCAATAGCTGGGATTACAGGCATGCGTCACCATGCCTGGCTAATTTTTATACTTTTAGTAGAGACAGGGTTTCATCCTGTTGGCCAGGCTGGTCTCGAATTCCTGGGCTCCATCGCCTGCCTCAGCCTCTCAAAGTGCTGGGATTACAGGTGTGAGCCACTGCTCTTGGCCCTGTCTCATGCATTCTTATGAGCTCTTTACACACAAATGGTTTTAACCCTTTAACCCTTTATCTATCTATCTATGTATCTATCTATCTATCTATCTATTTATCTATCTATCTATCTATGAGATGGAGTTTTGCTCTTGTTGCCCAGGCTGGAGTGCAATGGCACGATCTTGGTTCACCACAATCTCCACCTCCCAGGTTCAAGCAATTTCCCGAGTAGCTGGGATTACAGGCATGTGCCACCAAGCCCGGCTAATTTTGTATTTTTAGTAGAGACAGGATTTCTCCATGTTGGTCAGGCTGGTCTCAAACTCCCGATCTCAGGTGATCCACCTGCCTCAGCCTCCCAAAGCGCTGGGATTACAGGCGTAAGGCACCCTGCCAGGCCAACCCTTTAACCCTTTAAAGGGTTGTTCCAAACCTATGTTCCTAATTTATCATAATTTTGTATATGATTTTTTTATTTATTCAAATATGTTTTTATTCTTTGTCATTTCTTCCACTATTTTGTGCCTAGAAAGTCCTTCTTCCCCAGAAGAACTCCTAAGGTTTTAATGTTTTAACCCTAAGTTGGAGACCAATACTCAAACAATCTGACTCGTGTAAAAAAAAGCTAGTGAAAGAGTCAACCTGAAAGAAGCCTGTTTGTTCTCTGCCAATGATGGAGTACTTGTTAAGTGAGATTTTTATCTTTTTAATGAGAAAAGCTTGTCTAGGACATCTTACAAGAACAGTGTGAAAAAGCACATTTCTAAAACTGAAGAACCTGGCAGTGGCATGGTCATTATTTTTAGAAAGAGGGGAAGGGGAGTGTGTGTGTGCTGTGACACGTTGTTAGAGAAATAAGGCAGATGCAGGACTGCTAAAATAACAGGGTTCAGAGACTCACATTTCCATTTGCACTGATCTTTAGTTCAAAAAAGGAGACAGCCACAAATTAGAAAAGTAATTTCCATTATATCTTCTTTGAGACAGTAATGGGTAAGGTTAATAACTAAAAATCCCTTATTTGGCAGGCTATTTTAACTTGGCTGTCAATTTAATTTCCTTCTGCTGTATGCAGAAGAGTCATTATCCTGGTAGCTGGTTTAGCAGCCAATATGCATAGAGATGGGTAGAGGACATGATGGTAAGAACAATCTACCTGCTAAGGCACTGACAAAGCGATACTAAGAATCTAATTGGAAACTGCTTCAGCATTTCCCTTCTAGAACTTCTGAAAAATAACCTCAAGACTATGAAGATATATAGATTTATAGTTTAATCCCTTAAGGTCAGGGCAATAAGCAAGTTCTCTAACCAAGCAGGAGCCCCTTCTGCTGCCTGTTCAGAGATATGCAAGAAATGTACCTCCAAAGAATCTTCTGGGTTTACTGATTCACAAAAATTTTCATTAGCTTTTAGTTCAATTTAATAAGCAAATAATGAGTGCTATCATGCAAAAAGGAAACATTTTTCTGTGTTGGAAAGTACCTTAGTGACTGAACATTAACTCTGTTGATATAAAGAACTGGTAACCCAGAGAAGTTAAAGGACTTGTCCAAACAGCAAGTTACTAGAGTGAGTGTCGGAAATTGGAGTAAAAATCAAAGTAAGCAAAATGTCTTATCTCCTAGTGCCAGGTTCTTTCCACTACATCACTGGCTTTCATGGTATAGGTTGAGTAACCCTTATCTGAAATGCTTACGACAAGAAGCGCTACAGATTTCAGACACTTTTGGATTTTTGTAATATCTGCATTATTTCTTTGCACAACTATTTGCGCATCCCTAATTCAGAAACCCCAAATCCAAAATGCTTCAATGAGCATTTCCTTTGAGCATTATGTTGGCACTCAAAGTTTTAGATCTTGGAGCATTTTGAATTTCAAGATTTTCAGATTAGGGATACCCAACCCGATTTTTTTTTAGACAGAGTCTCACTCTGTCGCCCAGGCTGGAGTGCAGTGGCGTGATCTCAGCTTACTGCAGGCTCCATCTCCTGGGTTCACGCCATTCTCCTGCCTCAGCCTCCTGAGTAGCTTGAACTACAGGTGCCCGCCACCACACCTGGCTTTTTTTTTTTTTTTTTTTTTTTTGTATTTTTAGTAGATACGGGGTTTCACCGTGTTAGCCTGGATGGTCTCGATCTCCTGACCTCGTGATCCACCCGCCTCGGCCTCCCAAAGTGCTGGGATTACGGGCATGAGCCACCGCGCCCGGCCACCCAACCCAATTTTTAAAAATAATAATTATTTTTTAAAAAACAAAAGTAATGGCCAGGCGCGGTGGCTCATGCCCGTAATCCCAGCACTTTAGGAGGCTGAGGTGGGCGGATCACCTGACGTCAGGAGTCCGAGACCAGCCTGGCCAACGTGGTGAAACCCCGTCTCTACTAAAAAATACAAAAAATTAGCCAGGCGTGGTGGCACACACCTGTAATCCCAGCTACTTGGGAGGCTGAGGCAGGAGAATCGCTTGAACCCAGGAGACAGAGGTTGCAGTGAGCAAAGATTATGCCACTGCACTCCAGCCTGGGCAACAAGAGCAACGCTTCGTCTCAAAAAAAAAAAAAAAAAAAAAAAAGTTCCTACCCTGGGAGGAAAGGCAAAATTGGGAGTTTATTGTTTAATGGGTACAGAGTTTCAGTCTTGTTAAGACAAAAAGAGTTACAGAGATTGATTGTATAACAATGTATTTAACATGAGTCAACTGTACATGTAAAAATGGTTAAGATGGTAAATTTTATGCTAAATATATTTTATTTAATTAATTTATTTATTTTTGAGATGGAGTCTCACTCTGTCGCCCAGGCTGGAGTACAATGGTGCAATCTTGGCTCACTGCAACCTCCGCCTCCCGGGTTCAAGCGATTCTCCTGCCTCAGCCTCCAGAGTAGCTGGGATTACAGGTGTGCACCACCACACTCAGCTAATTTTTGTATTTTTAGTAGACATGGGGTTTCACCATGTTGGCCAGGCTGGTCTCGAACTACTGACCTCAAGTGATCTGCCCACCTTGGCCTCCCAAAGTGCTGGGATTACAGGTGTGAGACACCGTGCCCGGCCTGTTACATATATTTTACAAAAAAGAAAAAAAAGACTTCCATCCAGAAGGTATACAAATATTTTCCTATAATTTCTTCTAATATTCTCATAGTTTTTCACCATTCAGTCCTTCAATCTATCTTGTGTTGATATGTATCTGTGTATAAAGCATATGAAACACAGATCACATTTTGTCATCTTGCAGTAGTAGAAAATACCATCTACAATGCCCTATCTAAAAGTTCTCTTTTTAAAAAAATGCAGTATCTTTGAGTGGTAAGATTATGGATGATTTTTATTTATTTTTTGCTTCTCTGTATTTCTACAAGTTCTACATTGAACATGCAGTACTTATGCCATTAAAAAATATAGGAGAGGGAGCCAGGCATGGTGGCTCATGCCTGTAATCCCAGCACTTTGGGAGGCCAAGGTGGGTGGATCAATTGCAGCCAGGAGTTAGAGACCAGCCTGGTCAACATGGAGAAACCCTGTCTCTACCAAAAATACAAAAATTAGCCAGGGATGGTGGCAGTCGCCTGTTGTCCCAGCTACTCGGGAGTCTGAGGCACAAGAATTGCTTGAACCTGGGAGAGGTTGTAGTGAGCCAAGATTGCACCACTGCACTCCAGTCTGGGTGACAGAGCAAGACTCTGTCTTAAAAAAAAAAAAAAAAGGAAAAAAATTATATATATATATATGGGAGGCCTGTAATCCCAGCACTTTGGGAGGCCAAGGCAGGTGAACTGCTTGAGTCCAGGAGTTCAAGACCCAGCCTGGGCAACAAAGGAAGGCTCTGTCTCTACAAAAAAATATAAAAATTAGCCAGGCATGGTGGCACGTGCCTGCGGTCCCAGCTACTTGGGAGGCTGAGGTGGGAAGACTGCTTGAGTCCAGGAGGCTAAGGCTGCAGTGAACCGAGATCACGCCACTGCACTCCACCCTGGGCAACATAGTGAGACCTCATTTCTATTAAAAAAAATAAAATATAGCGGATAAATCACCATTCTACCTAAACCCATCAGTGAGCAGCTTAATTATCAACTAACACCTTAGCACGCATCATGAGTCCTCAGTCAGATAAAAGGAAACAATAAAACAAAATACCACCCCATACATATAGAGTAATTCATAACTTATAAAATGTTTTTATACACTATACACCTAGGCTTTTGGACAGTGAAGCAAAGAGAATAGGAAGTGGAAAGTATGGTGATATCTGAGTATTTAGTGTGTGCCAGCTATAGTGTTAGGTATCTTATATACATTATCTCATTCAATCCTCCCAACACTGAGATAAGACACTAACTCTCATCTTAGTGGTAGACATACAGGCTCAGATAAATTGATACCTTGCCCAACCAGTCATTGCTGGGGCTTGGATTTGAACCTAGGTCTATTTGCTAAGATAATAGCTAATACACATAGTTATTATGTGCCAAGAAGTGTTTTAAGGCTTTACATAAATAACTTTATTTACTCTTCATAACAATGTTACAGGCAGGTGCTACGATGATTCCATTTACAGATGAGGCAACTGAAGCACACAGAGGTTAAGGTTCCTGCCCAAGTTAATAAATCTAGTACGAGGTAAACTGGTACCTGCACCAACAGTAACTGCCAAAACCCATGTACTTTCTACCACACTGGGCTCCTTTTCTTCCTCTCTTCATTCCGGAATGGAAAAACCACATAAGGGGAAGTGAAGAGGTGGGTGGAAGCATATACTACTTACCTGCCATTATGTGGCACTAAAATTATCTCTAATTCACAGAATCTAAATAATATTGACAAAAAATTGTAACATATTATGTAATGCCTGACAATGTATAAAGTGCTTTTATATTTTATCTCATTTAATTTCCAAATAATTATGTGAAGTAGATAGAGAAGACATCCTTGATTTATAGGAAAGAAAGCTTAGAGTGGTAAAGTGACTTGTCTGAGATGATAGAAGAAAAGGTCTGAAACGAGGTGTCTGTACTTCTTATAGAGTATTATTTTCAACTATGTTGTCACCTGCAAGAAGTAGTTGAAAAGCATCCCCTCATTCTGCCGAGATACCAGCTTACCTAGGCGAGCCCTTGTCCTGGGTCCCTGCATCTGACTCCGAAGTTCAGGCCTCAGATGAAACTTCTTTGCTTCATCAACCAGATCCCTGCATTGTAAACTACAGCGGATGAAAGGCTGAAATATAGCAGACAGCAGAGTTAGGCACTGGGGATACCTGTAATACTATAAGAGTACAAAGAGCACATGCAAATAATTAACTTCTGACTACAGAAAACCAGTTTGCAAAGCCCTGTGATTCCAGGAGTATTGCTGGTAGTAACCATGCTCTCGGTTTCCAGAAATGATTTTTAAAATTTACTTGAAAAATAGATAACATACTAGATGGATCAAAAATCAAATGATATAAACAGATATGTTGAGCAGTATTTCCCATCTATCGCAGCGCTTACATTTAACTATTTTTACATAGTTTGGATGCCCTTCCAGGGATTATGCAAACACAAGTACATAATAACTAATAAGAATTTTAAGGGGAAAACCAAAAAGATTCTGTTATTTTCTGGGTGACAGGAAGAATCATATTTTGTCTGAAATATCTCCCCCAAGGTTCACAGTCCTGTTGTAATTACCATTGTCTATTTCTGACAGCTCTGTACTGGACATCTTTCATTTGCCTCCCAACTCACTCTGTACCTTTTTCCACTCTGCTCTCTGGCTCAGAAGACTGGCCTATATGAACTGTGTCAATAGGGCTTCCTATGCCTTCTAGCTTCTGGTTGGGATCAGCCCAACCAAAGGTCAAGGTTTCTCTCAAGGCAGTGACTCTACACGATTCTCTTTCCTTTAAGGTTCTAGTAACCACTCCTCAACCTTGTCCCTTCAGGCTTAGGGGTTGTTAATAGCTTATGTCCTAGATCCAGGTTATTTCACTGTCTTTTGTTGTTTCTCTGAACTTGCGCCTTTGTAAACAGCTTCTTTATTAAAAAAAACTCTTCTAAAATTGTCCTGTTTTGAGTATAGCATCTGTTTCCTGTTGGGACCCTAAAGGACACAGCTCTAATTAAATGGCACCTCTATTAACCTGACCCAAGAAGTTCTTAGTCGAACTGGAAAGGAAAACAAACAATAAATAGTAGTAAACACTTATGTACAAAGACTTGGTTTTAAAAGTTTTCACATAGTAACTTACTCAATGCTAACAAGAACCTATGAGGAACGTACTATTATCATCCCTGTTTTACACATAAGAAAGCTAAGGCACAAATATATTAAGACATATTAAGTTCACAGAGTAAGTGGTGAATTTGGGATTTCAGGCCCGAGTCTGGTTCCAGAGTCTGTGCTCCTAAACACAATGTAAAGAACTAGACACAAGGGATATGTGAATTGGTTGTAAGAAAGACAGAAATCACAAACAGGAGAAAAAGAGTTTGAGATGTGACACTGACCATGCTGCAACTTTTCTAATGTGAACAACTGAAAAACTGTTTGTAGTTAACTAAGAGATCTAGGGCTGGGCCAGCAAGAGGAACTCTTCTTGCTGGGTTACCTACATATTATAAATCAATGCTCCCTCGAAGTATGGTCCAGGCAACACAGGTGGTATATATGGTAAAAATTATGAAAAAGTATCACAGAGAACTTAAGTTGGAGAAACACTTTTATAAATAAACTCAACATGATATGATTAAAGTTGACACTAAAATGCATCAAACTCCTTTCATGCTGGCTTTACCAGAAGTCAAAAATGAAGAGGCTTGCTAAGTGTGGCATAAGGGCAATTTGGAACAATTTATGTTTAATGGAGAAGGGGACAAAGTTTATTATCAAGTGTTTATATAAAACACTCAGAGGCATGTAAAACAGACAGCAAAACACAAAATTGAACCACAGATTTTCATTTGTGTCAAGAGCCTGACTTGCCAAGAAATTCGCTTTTCTTAGAAATATGCTTGGGGACTACCCAGCACCACTCTCACTGGCATTCCTAGAGAGGCAAAACAGGAGACTCTGTGCCTACATTAAAATACTCAATTTTGAATACATAACACTAAGGTAAGAGTCCGTCAAGGTTTTGGATCCTGAGAGTGTTGCACTACTTACCTCAGCATCTATTACATCTGTGATATACCTGGGGGTTAGTAGGGGCATCCGCACATACTGTAGCAGGTTAGGCAAGGATTCTTCCCGCTCTTTCTTGGCATGCTTCACCCAGTTGATGACAGCCTCAAAGACTGGCTCTTCAGAATCCACCTGTAAATGTATAATTACACACCGTGGATCCTACTTTTCCAATTAGCTCACCATCTCAAAACGTAACCACGTTCACTTTTTCCTTCCTGCTTCCCATTGCCCACCACCATTATTTCCCATCTTCCAGAAATAGCTAGGCTCTTGGGAAAACAATTTTTTTCAGACACAGCTAACAGACCAGGAAAAGAATTATAGTCAATTTGGGTTAAAAAAAAAATATATATATATACACACACACATATATATATATGTATCTCTCTCTCTCTCTCTCTCTCTAAGATAGATAGTACCTAATAAATCACCAGTCACGTATTGGCCTTCGTTTCAGAATTTTTCCCATTCCTGAATTGCTTCTGGTCTTCTCTATAACTTTAAGGAAGGCAGGTGGGGGAATCTGTTGCCTTATTCGAAGTCAGCTCTTGAAATAATTTTAAGTCATAATTGTTATCTAATGATCTCCAGGCTCACCCCTCAAACTGTTCACCCAAGCCTCTGAAGCAGGAGCTTCTCTAACATCACTATGTTGCAGTTTTCAAAAGCATTATCGCCTTTCTGCCTGTGGACGCCGCCGAAGAAGCATCTTTAAAGTCTCTCTCCTCCCTGCCGTCATGTCTAAGTCAGAGTCTCCTAAAGAGCCCAAACAGCTGAGGAAGCTCTTCATTGGAGGGTTGAGCTTTGAAATAACCAATGAAGAAAGCCTGAGGAGCTATTTTGAGCAATGGGGAATGCTCACGGACTGTGTGGTAATGAGAGACCCAAACACCAAGTGCTCCAGGGGCTTTGGGTTTGTCACATATGCCATTGTGGAGGAGGTGGATGCAGCCATGAATGCAAGGCCACACAAGGTGGATGGAAGAGTTGGAGAACCAAAGAGAGCTGTTTCAAGGGAAGATTCTCAAAGACCAGGTGCTCACTTAACTGTGAAAAAGATATTTGTTGGCAGCATTAAAGAAGACACTGAAGAACATCACCTAAGAGATAATTTGAACAGTTTGGAAAAACGGAAGTGATTGAAATCATGACTGACTGAGGCAGTGGCAAGAAAAGGGGCTTTGCCTTTGTAACCTTTGATGACCATGACTCTGTGAATAAGACTGCCATTCAGAAATACCATCCTACGAATGGCCATAACTGTGAAGTTAGGAAAGCCCTGTCAAAGTAAGAGATGGCTAGTGCTTCATCCAGCCAAAGAAGTCGAAGTGGTTCTGGAAACTTTGGTTTGGTCGTGGAGGTGGTTTCGGTTGGCATGACAGCCGTGGTGGTGGTGGTGGATATGGTGGCAGTGAGGATGGCGATAATGGATTTGGTAATGATGGAAGCAATTTTGGAGGTGGTGGAAGCTACAGTGATTTTGGCAACTACAATAATCAGTCTTCAAATTTTGGACCCATGAAGGGAGGAAACTTTGGAGGCAGAAGCTCTGGGCCCCTATGGCGGTGGAGGCCAATACTCTGCCAAACCACGAAACCAAGGTGGCTATGGTGGTTTCAGTAGCAGCAGTAGCTATGGCAGTGGCAGAAGATTTTAATTAGGAAACAAAGCTTAGCTGGAGAGGAGAGCCGGAGAAGTGACAGGGAAGCTACAGGTTACAACAGATTTGTGAACTCAGCCAAGCACAGTGGTGGCAGGGCCTAACTGCTACAAAGGAGACATGTTTTAGACAAATACTCATGTGTATGGGCAAAAAACTCGAGGACTGTATTTGTGACTAATTGTGTAACAGGTTATTTTAGTTTCTGTTCTGTGGAAAGCGTAAAGCATTCCAACAAAGGGTTTTAATGCAGATTTTTTTTTTTTTGGCACCCATGCTGTTGATTGCTAAATGTAATAGTCTGATGGTGATGCTGAATAAATGTCTTAAAAAAAAAACAAGAAAGAAAAGCATTATCAATTAGCCTTCAAGGAACTACTGTGTATTACGCACTATGCTATTTGAGAAGATATATTTAATTAATCATCTGGGGAACTTAGATCTAAGCATACATATGACCAATTAGATAATGTGAGATACACTCTAAAAAAACCTACACTACATCACTGGAAGGACTTAGGTATATAATAACACCTAGGACTTCCCAAAGACAGACACCTGAATAGAGGTCCTGTGCCCCTTCTACCAGCCCCTACAGAGTACATATTCTGGGAGATACCTTTCAGAGTGTCACTGTGAATAGATAAAAAAAACTTTTCCTAAGAACTGTGATACTCTAAAAACGCAGATGTTTCACAAAGTTCATTCATTTGAGGGCTTTACTGAACCCCACTCTTAACTGCCAGGCACTGTCCTGGAAACTGATTACACAATGGTGAACAAATCAGATATGGTGAACAAATCAGATATGATCCTTGCTCTTAAATGGGGAGTCAAACTGCTAAATCAGAAAAATGAACAATCTCACTATTATTGCATACTACATAGGAAAGGTACTGGGGCTATGAGACAGAACAACATGAGATTTCCTAGTTTAGACTGGTGAGGCAAGGAAGGCCTCCCGGAAGAAGCAACAAATTGAAATCTGATGGATGAGTAGCAGTTAGCCAGGGGGAGTAAGAGAGTACTCCGAGGCAGACAGAAGAGCACACTAAAAAGCACTAGAAATGCATTGTCCAATACACTACCCATGCGTGGCTATTTACATTCACCGTAATTAAAACTAAATTAAAAATCAGCTTCTCAGTTGCATTAGCCACATTTCAAGTGCCCAACAGCAACACGGGGCTAGCGGGAGCAAACCAGACACTATAGATATAGAGTACTTCCATCTTCATAGAATGTACTATTGAACAGCTCTGTTCTACAGCAAAAAAGAACTGGCAGCTTGAGGAAATGACTAGAAGGCTAGTGTAGCAGAGTGAATGAGGGTGATAGAGGAGTAAAATATGAAGCTGGAGAGTTAAGCAAGGGCCAGGTACAGAGAGCATTAGAATACTGGATTTGACTCTCAGAGCAACTTGAAATCATCCGAAGGTTTCAAGCAGGCTAGTGATATGATCATATTGATGTTTTGTAAAGATTATCCTGGCTACTGTGGGTAGAACAGTTTAAAGGGCCAAGAGCTAGAAGAGGTTAGATGCTGCTCTGGTACATTAGGCAAAAGGTGACGGTGCTTACTGGACTATAGTTGTGGCAGTGGTGAGCCACTGGAGAAATACTTGGGAAGTTAAACTAACCCAGGCAATTGTTGGATAAGATGCAGGGGAGGGTATAGAAGATGTCCTTGATCTTAACTTAAAACTTTTATATGATTGGAAAATAGTTTTAAGCAGATACATGATAGACTCTGACACATTCTAGGTTAAATTAGATATATCAATTTAAAGATAGAGTTTTTCAATCATGAGCAGAGGTTTTTTAGTTTGCGTTTTTAAGACTAATCAAATGGGCTGGGCGTGGTGGCTCACGCCTGTAATCTCAGCACTTTGGGAGGCCGAGGCGGGTGGATCACGAGGTCAGGAGTTTGAGACGAGCCTGGCCAAGATGGTGAAACCCAGTCTCTACTAAAAATACAAAAATTAGCCAGGTGTGGTGCGCACGCCTGTGGTCCCAGCTACTTGGGAGGCTGAGGCAGGAGAATCGTTTGAACCCAGGAGGCAGAGATTGCGGTGAGCCGAGATCGTGCCATTACACTCCAGCCTGGGCGACAAGAGCGAAACTCCGTCTAAAAAAAAAAAAAAAAAAAGACTAATCACATGAAGCAGCAGGTGTGGAGCAAGAAGAAAGAAATCTGTAACTGATTGTGGTCAACAGTTGTAAACACCACTGCCCTCAGACTAGCCATGAGCAGACAATCATGAGCAGAAGATAGAATAAATTAGAATTGCAGAAAAACAGCTAACAGGGAAGAAAAAACCCAAACATTAATGCCTCACTACAGAGAAAAATAGATTTTCTCCACAATACATTTTCACAAAGAATTCTCTTGAGTATTAGGTACTGGCGTTCTTATTTTATGCTCAGAACAGTCCTGTGTACTCAGCACTAATATCTACATTTTATAGAAGAGGAAACTGAAAATTAGTGGTTAGGTAACACATGCCACCCAGCCAAGACTAAATCCCAGTTGGACTCTAAAACCCATGCTGTTTTAACCAATATGACATCCTGCTTCCCATTGTTTTAAGTACTATTATTTTATTTAATAAGAGGGAGCAATAGCAACTGGGAGTCAGACATCTGGTTCCTATTTCTGGCTGGTATAGGGAACAGAAAAATATATGTCACTTGCTTTCTTTCCAGAAAAAAAGCAAAGGGCAGTCTTGACACACACTTAAAAAAAAACTACACATAAGAGTTCTCAAGCTGTTTTTCATTTAAGCTTCTAAATAAGGTTAGTTATTTGTTCTCTCTGCCCCATCCAGTTTTATTCCAAAGCCTGTATAGTTCCAAAAGAAATGACTTCTATGATTATTTCCTGATTTGGACAATTAGAAACAAACTGAAAACATGACGAGCTCATAGTTGAGTGATTAAGAGAAGAGACTCTGGAGCCAGACTACTCGAATTTGAAACCTGGCTCTACCACTTACTAGTGGTGGTATGATGGTTAAACTCCAATCTTCACTTTCCTCCTGTGAAAAATGAAGATGTGAGAATTAAATGAGATAAAAATACCAAGAATGGTGCCACTAGAATGGAAGCTCCAGTGGACAGGGATTTTTGTTTTGTTCATAATTTGATCTGCAGCACATGGAAATGTTCTGGGCACACAGTAAGTGTTCAACAAGTATTTAGTAAGTGAACCAACAGTAAATGCTGAATAAGTATTAGCTATTATATGTAGTGAACGTCAAATCTGTAGTGCTCATTCTATTCATTGTATTTTCCAATATGTGTACAAATCAAGAAAAATCAAGATATTCTAGTGAATTGCCAGTTTCCAAGTCTGATGAATATGTTTTTTGGCTATGCCTGCCACTTCAGCACAAGGATACAATGTCCTACACTAAGAGGCTGAGAACTAAGATTTTAGCAAATTCTTGACTCAATAGCATTTGCAACAGCAGCTTCTCTGGGCTGATACAGAGCCCAGTATGTCAGGCTGGAAAATAATTCCTCTACAGTTGGAACCAATGTGACCAATGTGCTCTAATCCATTTTCCCTCAGAACAGTCACTAGAGAAAGGTGTAAAGAAACACTTGGCTAAAATTTGATAAGAAATATACTTAAGGCCAGGAGCCGTGGCTCACACTTATAATCTCAGCATTTTAGGAGGCTGAAGTGGCTGATGTCAGGAGTTCCAGAGCAGCCTGGCCACAATAGTGAAACTCCGTCTCTGCTAAAAATACAAAAATTAGCTGGTGTAGTGGTGGGCGCCTGTAGTCCCAGCTACCTGGGAGGCCGAGGCAGGAGAATCACTTGAACCCAGAAGGTGAAGGTTACAGTGAGCTGAGATCACACCACTGCACTCCAGCCTGGAAGAAGTATACTTAAGACCTGTTATTATATTACACAAATATCCTAGTTTTAACAAAATAAATCAGGAGAGAGTAATCATTTAGTTTATGGAAGTATATTAGAGGCTTTCTTTAAATGGTATTGCCTGAGCCTAGCATTGCTTGAGCCTAGCAGTTCAAGACCAGCCTGGGCAACACAGCGAGACCCCATCTCAACAAAAATTTTAAAAAATTAGCCCGGTGTGGTGATGTGCAGTTCCAGCTACACAGGAGGATGAGGTGGGAGAGCTGCTTGAGCTCAGACATCCAGGCTGCAGTGAGCCATAATTGCATCACTGCACTCCAGCCTGGGTGACAGAGTGAGACCATCTCAGAAGAAAAAAAAAAAAAATTAAAGAATTGGACCACTGGAGATCAATACTATGGGCTTCAAAGACATCTAATAACTATATTGGACTTCTCACTCCAATTCTCAGCCTAACTACAAACCTATATGCAATAAAACTCTGCTACTGGTACTCTGATTTAGAATTAGGATTGACTTTTCTTCTGTGTAGGTTAAGTCACTGAATGCCTGCCTGGCACAGGTAGTATCCCCCTGGTAGGTGAAGTATTATTCCTTCTTCCCCCGCAAGAGACAGGGTCTCCCTCTGTTGCCTAGGCTAGAGTGCAGTGGTGCGATCATGGCTCACTGCAGCCTCAAACTCCCAGGCTCCAGAGATCCTCCCACCTCAGCCTCTCAAGTAGCTGGGACCACAGGTGCTCACCACCATGCCAGGCTAATTTTATTTTTTTGTAGAGACAGGGTTTTGCCATGTTGCCCAGGCTAGTATCAAACTCCTGGACACAAGCAGTTCTGCCTCAGCCTCCCAAAGTGCTGGGATTACAGGCATAGGCCACTGCACCTGGCCTACTATTCCTTTAACATCCAGTTCATGTGTCCCTCCCTTCCAACCGCTGCATCCTCACAAGACAGTTATGATTTGGCTCCTGCTTCTGTAGATCCTCACTTCCAAACTTTTGTCTCTTCATTTCTGATCCACTCCTGAGCAAAGGTTTATTCTTCTTTCTTCTATGTAATGTCCTTACTTTGTATAGGCTCACTATTCTCATGATCCTCTTTATAACATTTTTTTTGTCTATATCTCTGTCTCTACTAGCAGGTTGTGAATTTTCTGAAAGCAAGAACTATATTTACCCACTTGGGGATCTGTAGCACCTGGCATAGTTAAGTGCTACATAGTAGATATTCTCAATAAATGTTTGTGAAATGAGTGAACGGGTAATAGAGAAGTGGTCTACAGATACCTACTTTACTTCCAATTTCTGCTTATTCTATACTCTGTTGAATAGTGATTCTTACCCACTGGGATCATATATCTAATTGAAGAAAGTGGCAAACTCCCTCTCCATAAAAATGCAAATAAATTTGGTACAGGAGGGGTTAATGAAATCTTTGAGCCAAAATGCACACTTAATTATGAAGCCCTGATGGTAAGTAACTGCATCCTATTTGCAAGTTTTGTAATTGCCCAATCTTGAAGAAACCATAACATCAAGACAAATCCGTACCTGAATTTCGTCGCACTTGATTAGCTTTTCCACCTCTCCTTGACTCAGAAGAATGAACTCTTCATGCTGTACCACTTCAGGAAAATGCTTCTGGCTAAAAACCTCAGCTGCTTGCATCAGGTCAACACAATTGTGGGTTTCAGCAAAATCCCTAATACCCAGGCAATTAGAAGGGTCCAACTGACTTTCTAAGAACTCACAGCAGGCTTGTTTCACACCTAGGACAGACACAGGCAGCAAACACTTTAGAATAGTTGGACAGGTGTGATCTAGGATATATTCTTGTATCTCAGCATCTTCTCTACATGTTATCAGATGAACCCTTGTTTCAACACCTAAGAAACAGATTAGAAATTCTATGCTTAAGGAACTTAAACTCTATTTCTGGCTTATGTACTGTGCCACTTTCAGCAAGACCTTTACACCTGTCTCTGCTTAATCTTTAAAATGAGTATTGCAAGATGAATCACATCCAGAGACCTGGCACAATTCAACAAAAATGCCTATAAAACTCTTGGGAATCAAACTATAAAACCAATTGCGAATTCAGCATAATGTATCCATTTTCTACTCTACATGAAAACTTACTAAAAGACTAGAGTGAAAGAAAAGGAGAAGATAGTAATAACAAATCTCATATTTATCTAATTGAAAAGTTCAGAGTATTTTAATGTTATGGCTATGCACTAATGCAAAAGCTTCACACTGTTTAAATCATGTATTAAAAACTAAAAGTGTGTCAATTATGTATATATAAAAACTGAAAACATAACTGAATGTTAAAAAAGAAAAACTGGGGACCAGGAACGGTGGCTCGTGCCTATAATTCCAGCATTCTGGGAGGCAAGGTGGGAGGATCACTCGAGCCCACGAGCTTGAGACCAGCCTGAGCAACATAGAGAGAACTCATCTCCACACAAAAAAATTTTGTTTTAATTAGCTGGGTGTGGTGGCATGCACCTGTGGTCCCAGCTACTCAGGAGGCTGAGGTGTGAGAATTGCTTGAGCCCAAGAATTCAAGGATACAGTGAGCTGTGATTGCACCACTGTGCTCTAATCTGGGTGACAGAGTGAGACTCTGTCTCAAAAACAAAACAAAAAACCTGGGAATTGTAAGGGAAAACAAACCACCTGTAATCCTGTGAAAATATCATACTTTAATATTTTGTGCATCAATTTAAATTTCATGTATCTTAATGAAATACTACCACTTAATGGCCAGATAGATAAAGAGTATCCATGTAGGCTATGTATAGTATCACTTTTTTATTATATTTCCTTATAGGTGTGTTACATACATGTATGTAAGAAAACACATAATTTCTCCTTCCTCCATTTTTTTTTTAAAACAGAAAAGGTGCAAATGCTCTCTTTTATAGAGCCAAATACTCATATCTGGAGAAGTTCCTTTATAGTGCTATTGACATCTGATCTCTTATTGCTCAATGAGACAAAAGCCATGGCCAGCAAACATGAACATCCATAGTTTGTCTCCAAAATGTTCATGATTAAGTTTACACTATTAATTTTCAACCTTTCCAGGGCTATTTTGACATAAACAATAGCAAGTTTTAATGTCTGTACCTTTCAACTGAAGCAGACAGGCTGCAGGAAGCAGTTCTTGTACATTCTCCACTGTCACATGTACTGTTTCTGTGTACACAAAGTCCAATAAAATTTCCATGGTAGAGGCAGTCAAACCTTGGATGTCAACATAAGGTTTCCCCTTCTCTGAGAGCTGAAAATTCAAAAGGTATAAAAGAATGATGGTTATAATTCCACAAGATAAAGGCAGAATCTCATATCTAAGAGCTTAGAGATGTTAATAATATTAATTGAACATTTATCTTTAAAAATTACAGGCCAGGCGTGGTGGCTCATGCCTGTAATCCCAGCACTTTGAGAGGCTAAGGCAGGCAAATCACCTGAGGTCAGGAATTCAAGACCAGCCTGGCCAACACAGTGAAACCCCGTCTCCACTAGAAATACAAAAATTAGTTGGGCATGGTGGCACATGCCTGTAGTCCCAGCTACTCAGGAGGCTGAGGCAGGAGAATTGCTTCAACCCAGGAGGCGAAGGTTGCAGAGAGCCAAGATTGTGCCACTCCACTCCAGCCTGGGCACCAGAGTGAGACTCCATTTCAAAAAAATAAAAAAGAAAGAAAATAAAAAAATAAAATTATGCTCTATTTTGTTGGATTTTTTTTTTTTTTTTTTTTTTTTTGAGACGGAATCTTGCACTGTTTCCCAGGCTGGAGTGCAGTGGTGCCATCTCGGCTCACTGCAAGCTCCACCTCCTGGGTTCATGCCATTCTCCTGGCTCAGCCTCCCGAGTAGTTTGGACTACAGGCGCCCGCCACCACGCCCGGCTAATTTTTTGTACTTTTAGTAGAGACGGGGTTTCACCGTGTTAGCCAGGATGGTCTCGATCTCCTCACCTCGTGATCCGCCTGCCTCAGCCTCCCAAAGTGCTGGGATTACAGGCGTGAGCCACCGCGCCCGGCCAATTTTGTTGGATTTTAATAAAGCAAATATGGCACATTATCTGTAGCTTTCCAAATGAAGTAGGTAGTTATCTATACGCCAGGAATAAGTAATAGGTAACACCTTCCTGGAATAGTAATTTTGCCAGTGAATAACTTTAAAAATCTATTTCATATTAAAATACAGATGTATTTACAGAATAGAATGCAAAAGTTCCATGAACATAACACTGGTCCGTGAACTTTTAAGATAAGACACAATATTTCAAAGAAATTTCATGTTCGTAGAGGAGCCTGTGGGTTATAACTCCAGTCTCTCCAGGACTACCTAGTTCCTATCATCTGTCCTTAGACTACTTTTTTTTCCCCTTTGTTGAGATAGGGTCTTGCTCTGTTCCCCAGGCTGGAGTGCAGTGGTGTGATCTCAGCTCACTGCAACCTCTGCCTCCCAGGTTCAAGTGTTTCTCGTGCCTCAGCCTCCCAAGTAGCTGGGATTACAGGAGTACACCACTACAACCAGCTAATTTTTTTTTTTTTTTTTGACACAGTCTTGCTCTGTTGCCCAGGCTGGAGTGCAGTGGCGTAATCTTGGCTCACTTCAAGCTCCACCTCCCAGGTTCAAGCGATTCTCCTGCCTCAGCCGCCTGAGTAGCTGGGACTACAGGCACATGCCACCATGCCTGGCTAATTTTTGTGTTTTTAGTAGAGATGGGGTTTCACCATGTTGGCCAGGCTGGTCTTGAACTCCTGACCTCAAGTGATCTGCCCACCTCAGCCTCTCAAAATGCTGGGATTACAGGCGTGAGCCACCATGCCCGGCCCTTAGACTGCATTTAGTAATGACGAAAAAGAACATGCAGGTCATCCTAAGGGACTTTCTTATGTAACATCATCTGAATACAAATAAATTATTTGTTACTTTTTCAAAATATTGGGTTAGACTAACTGAATTGTTAGCAGTATATTTAGTCTAAATTGTTAGTAGTATATCTTCTTGAAGCTATGAGTATTGATGAGGCCAGATAATCATAGAAAACTGTTTAGCTAAGAGAAGAAATCTTCAATTTTACAGGAAACTATCTGAAAATACCTTATGAAAATTTTACTAGATCTTAATCTTAGTTTAGAAATTCATTTTACTTAAAAAACTCTGGTGCATCTCCATTATTAACTAAATGGCTTTAACGTTTTTTATTTCTCCATCAGCCAGAGAATAACCAAAAAGCACTCTCTACCAAAGCCAAGAACAAAATCAATCCCTAACACTAAAAAAGTCACTAGCACATTATTTTGAAAAAACATATTAGGTTTTATTAACATTTAATACAGTACTAATATTCATAAACAATTACTATCCCAACACATTAAATGCATTTAATAATTATGGTACTGAAATATGTAAGTACATGTATTCCAGAAATTTCTCATTCAATAAACTACATTTCCATCAAATAGTTTAAATATGGAAACAATTTCACTATGTAAGAACTTAGAGCAATTATACATTTTACAGTTATATTTTGCTTTAGAATTTTTCAGCATGCTTCTCATTTACTACTATTTCATCTGATTCTCACAGCAACCTGGTAAGGTAGTTAGGTCTGATATTATTACTATCTAAGAGATAAAGGGGGGCCGGGCACATGGCTCAAGCCTGTAATCCCAGCACTTTGGGAGGCCGAGGTGGGTGGATCACAAGGTCAGGATATCGAGACCATCCTGGCTAACATGGTGAAACCCCGTCTCCACTAAAAATACAAAAAATTAGCCAGGCGTCAAGGAAAAAAAAAAAAAGAGAGAGCGATAAAGGGTCTAAAGATCAAAGAAGATCCAAGACTTTTTTTTTTTTTTGAGACAGAGTCTCGCTCTGTCACCCAGGCTGGAGTGCAGTGGCGTGATCTGGGCTCACTGCCAGCTCCGCCTCCCGGGTTCACGCCATTCTCCTGCCTCAGCCTCCCGAGTGGCTGGGACTACAGGCGCCCGCCACCACGCACGGCTAATTTTTTGTATTTTTAGTAGAGACGGGGTTTCACCGTGTTAGCCAGGATGGTCTTGATCTCCTGACCTCGTGATCCACCTGCTTCGGCCTCCCAAAGTGCTGGGATTACAGGCGTGAGCCACCACGCCCAGCTGAAGATCCAAGACTTAACCAGTCACTTAGCTAGTAAGAGACAGATATCATTCTTATTAAAGTATTTCAGGAAAAAAAAAAGAGAGAGAGAGAGAGACAAAACCCAGGTCCTCCTGCCTCAGTCTTTGTGATCTTTCAATCAGATGACATTTGAGGAGCATTTCATAGCTGAAGAGAACAAGGAAACCATCTAGTTCAACTACTTTATTTTACAGATCAACCCAGTGAAGTTAGATGGTTCCCAGGGTTTATACAGAATTGCTAAGAGAACTAAGCCTAGAATCCAGGTCTCTGGACTCTCTCCTTTGAACAATTACTCTCAAAAATAAAGACAAAACCATCTAGCATTTCCTTGCCTGATGTCAGTTTTTAAAGAAAGAAATCATCACTGATGAGAAAAAAAGAATTCATTTCCAAATAACAAAAGAGTAAAGACACTATTTTCAAGCTGACAAAAAACAGGATGCACAACATATAATTAGCAATCAGCCGTTCTAGTTCATTTCTTGCTCAGCAGCTGCTGGGTGACACTCTCTTTACCCAGTTAAATTCCAAATGCTTCTGATGATCTTGGGTATATCTCATGGAGAACAGTATAGGACAGGGATCTGCCTTGGTATATCACACAAGTTTATTTAAAAATTAGCCTGAATTAGTTGGAATGACCTGTCAGGTTCCTGTTTTCCCTACTAGCCATGTGACTGAGCATTGGCTCATAGTATTTTTAACTATACCAGTTTTAAAATTAGATTGTAGTATATAAAATTCATACTTCGGAGGCTAAGGCGGCACAAGAGTTACAAACTGTTTGGGCTTTAGAGTTGGAAAATATAAAATGAAATCCCACCTCTAGCACTTACAAGCCATGGGACTTTGGGCAAGTGATTTAATATCTGAAACCCTATTCCTTCATTTGTAAAATGAGATGGTAATACCTACCCCTAGGGTGAGTCAGATATGCACAACAATTACTAGCACAGTACCTGGCCCATAAAAGGTAGTTATTACCATCACAGAATACGCCTCTCCCATTCTGATTCAGCAGCAATATCTACACTAAGATGATAGAACTAACTAAAAAAAAAACAAAAAACAAACAAAAAACTTGTGCTTAAAAAGACTTTTAAAACAGTGTTTTCATAATGAAATATTTCAGGCATACATGTAAGTGTAAATTATATAATAAACAGTGATGCACCCACAACTGAGCTTTGAAAAAATAAATCAAGATAATTTATTTAAATCTGCTCTTAAAATGAGACTTGGGATCTTGAAAAACAAAGATTTGCAATGTTATTTTCTGTTCAGCTTTCTAAGAATATTCAACACAATATATTCAGCAGCCTTACTATACATTTCAAGTATTTTGTCAGGCAATTACTAAGTAGTGTTTCTTAATACTTTGTGAGCACTACCTGTATTCTCTCAAGCCAACCTTTTCCTAATTCCCTTTGTTAAGTGCTTATGAGTTAACATCCTTTCTCAGGTTATACACTCAACGCCTGTACAGCTATTCATTAAAAACTCTTCTTCCTTTCATTTGAAGTTATCCTAAAATTTACACTGATTTTCTTCACATATTGTTAGGAGGAGTGGGATGTGGTTTGAATCCTACTCCTCTCTCCTTCCTTCCTCCTTATCCCTCTGGTATTCACTTAAAAATTTTTAAACTTTAGAAGGAAAAAAGGCTGGATGCCGTGGCTCACACCTGTAATGCCAGGTGTGGCCACTCTGGGAGGCCAAGGCAGGAGGATTGCTTGAGCCCAGGAGTTCAAGACCAGCGTGGGCAACATAGTGAGACCCTGTCTCTACAAATAAATAAATAAAATTAAAAACAAAAAAAGGAGAAAAATTGGAAGACAAATTTAAGAAATAGTAAAATCCAATAGCTGACATGTGTGTTTTACTACATATTACACTATTCTAAGCACTTCCTATGTTATTTCATAAAATAATCTTCACAACAACCTTAATAACCATGTGTTACATATTACTATTATCCCTAACTTAAAGATGAGGAAACTAAGGCATAGTCATCTAAGTGGTAGATCTTATCCAGAATCTGCCAAAACATCACACTGTAAAAATTCAAAATTATATCAAACTTCCACTATTTTATTCAGTGAAATTAGACAACTAGAGTTCCACGGGTTTCATTTGTGTGGGGCTAATTTACCACTTACCTCACTAGTGAACATGGCACAGAAGTAATCACTACAGGCAGCCAGCACAATCCGATGGGCAGGGAAGTCTTTCTGCTCTACTCTCAATGTCACATCACAGAGGGTATTGCTCTTCCTGAGGGAGTTCATTGAATTGAGGATGGATTTAGCATGAGTATTTGTCATTATGTCTTTGGGGGCCATAATGCCTCCCATAAAGCAGTGCGGAGAAAGAACAAAATGGGTCCTTGGATTCTGCAACTACAAGAGGGAAAAAAAAACAATGAGCATATTCAAAGAACTAGGGCAACTGAACATATTTAATTAGCTTTACAAATTAAGAACCTAAGAGGCTTCCTCAGACCCAAACATACACAAGTTGAGGGCACTCCTATGCCTGGCATCACCACCAACCACTAGCCACTATCTAGTCCATGTAAAAGCTCTCTCTTCTTCCTCTGAATTCCTCTATCACGGAGTGTCCCTACCACTTGACATTTAATATGATCAATGCTGAAATGTAAGTAGAGATAAACAATATATGTCTTGTAAATCTTGACAAGGTTCTTGTCTCAAATGATAAACCGAAAATATAAAATTTCTTAAAGGTGTTATATTATTACTATTTAATGTCCTTAAGTAGATAAGTATTTAGAGCATACATAAAAAGAGGATCCTGCTTTATATGTATGCTTTCTATCCTAGAAGTTGCACAATAAATGTTTAGAATTTAATGTAAGAAAAAGTGTGTATTCAACTTCAACTTAGAGCAAGAAAGGCCACTCAGTAAAAATAAACTTTTTTCTAAAGAAGTATCCAAATGATATGTCTGATGACTTCCAAACATATCTGGATTTCTTCTTAAAATGAAACTTCAGGCCGGGCCCAACAGCTCACTCCTGTAATCCCAGCACTTTAGGAGGCTGAGGTGGGTGATCAGTTGAGGTCAGGAGTTTGAGAGCAGCCTGGCCAACATGGTGAAACCTAGTCTCTACTAAAAATACAAAAAATAGCCAGGCGTGGTGATGCGCGCCTATAATCCTAGCTACCAAGAAGGCTGAGGCCCGAGAATCACTTGAACCCAGGAGGTGGAGGTTGCAGTGAGCCGAGATCACACCACTGCACTCCAGCCTGGGCAACAGAGCGAGACTCTGTCTCAAAAAAAAAAAAAAAAAAAGAAACTTCAATTGAGGACCCATTACCTACACTGAATAATGGAAACCACGCAAGTTATCGATGGACTTACACTTGCTTAAGATATTGAAGCTCTTCAACAAGAGGGTATTCCTACTCTACATCTGTGAATGTCCATTACTGTTAAAGAATCGATATTGGAATCCAAAACTTTCTGAAATGATCCGGGGGGAAGGAAATCAAACTGTGGTCTCCAAAAGTCCACAAGTCACAATTAATCTTTCAACAGGAAAAATGAGATCCTAAATTCTCATCTACTTCTGTTTGTAGTTGGCATTTTACTCTATAAGCACTATAGATAATTCCTCCAACAACTCTGCAAGACCCATTTTACAGAAAAGCGGGTGATTCATCAAAGCATATGTTTTTCAAAAAGACTTAAGTCAACTTAGTTGCAACTCTAGGGGTGTAAAAAGGTCTAGAACAAATGTCCATTTACTATGAAGACAGCCCGGGGGGTCTTTTATCGTTTCCGTGTCAAAATGACAGTACCCCGGTGCAGAGTGGTCTTCCTTCTAGGGGATTCCTGCCTCAACACTCCAAGTCTCAGCATATCCTTCATCCTCACCCTTCTGAAGTGACCTATTTTCTAGAACTTTCGTTAACATCTGAATGGAGGGATTCCACTTCGGGAGATTCGGGGCAGGGAATGGGTAGTAAACTCGGGAAAGACTAAATTCTAGAGAAGGAAACGAAGTCCTTCCTCCTAATACCACCAGGCATATGGCCGCCACCGCCAGGTGGAGGTATCGGAGAGGGGCAGTTCAGGGGGAGAGTTGAGAGGGTGACCGAGGCCAGATGCCCCACCCCACTGCCAGCCTTCCTCCTCTGTTGGGCATGTCTCCCATTCCGCCTTGCAGGGAGACCAAGGATGGGGGGTAGGGCCATAACCCGGAGTTGACGGACAGGAAGGGAAGGGCTGACTGCCATCACTTCCGCGCAACTCACCTCCGCTCCCGAACCCACACAGCCGCACCGGGCCCGTCCCCAGCCTGTGGGGATGGAGTGCGGCGCGGGGCTAGCAGGCGGCTCGGGAGGAGCCGAAGCGCCGCCCAGACCCGGAGGCTCTGGAGGCTCTGGAGCCGTCCGGGTCTGGCCCCTGCGGCCGCGCGACGTGATGACGCAATGCAGCTGGAGCACCGCCCTCCCCCCGCTCCAGAGTCTGCGTCACGTGAGGAGGTGGTGTCACGTGACCTGTCTGTACCCTAGCGCGGGGCTTCTGTACGCTGCTAGGAAGCCGAATTACAAAAAGGTCGGGTGGGCAGGGAATGGTGGCTCACGCCTATAATCCCGGCACTTTGGCAGGCCGAGGCGAGCGAATTACCTGAGCTCCGGAGTTCCAGACCCGCCTGGGGATCACGGCAAAACCCCGTTTCTACAAAAAAAAAAAAAAAAAAAAAATTAGCCCGCACCGCGCCTGTAGTCCCAGCTACTCGAGAGGCTGACAGGAGGATCACTTGAGCCAGGCAGCAGAGGTTGCAGTGAGCCAGGATCGCCACTGCACTCCAGCCTGGGCCACAGAATGAGACCCTGTAAAAAAAAAAAAAAAAAAAAAATGTCCAGGCGTGGTGGCTCACGCCTGTAATCCCGGCACTTTGGGAGGCCGAGGCGGGTGTATTACTTGAGGTCAGGAGTTCGAGACCAGCCTGGCCAACATGGTGAAACCCTATCTCTACTGAAAATACAAAAAAATTAGCCGGGCGTTGTGGCACGCGCCTGTAATCCCAACTACTCAGGAGGCTAATGCAGGAGAATCGCTAGAACCTGGGAGGCGGAGGTTGCTGAGCCGAGATCGCGCCATTGCACTCCGGGCTGGGCGACCGACTGAGACTCTGTCTCTTAAAAAAAAAAAAAAAAGGCCAGGCGAGGTGGCTCACGCCTGTAATCCCAGCACTTTGGGAGGCCGAGACGGGTGGATCACGAGGTCAGGAGATCGATTCTGGCTAACACGGTGAAACCCCGTCTCCACTAAAAATACAAAAAAATTGGCTGGGCGTAGTGGCGGGCGCCAGTAGTCCCAGCTACTCGGGAAGCTGAGGCAGGAGAATGGCGTGAACCCGGGAGGCGGAGGTTGCAGTGAGCTGAGATCGCGCCACTGTACTCCAGCCTGGGCGACAGAGCAAGACTCCGTCTCAAAAAAAAAAAAAAGAAAAAAGAAAAAAAAGAAAAAACAAAAAAAAGGCTGGATGTTGTGGGGTCCGGCAGGGAGCCTGGGAATGTATCTACAGCTCGGCGATTGGCTGAGCCTGAGTTCCTCCCTACCGCTCACTAGGCAGGGCAGGCAGAGAGAATTCCAACGCTTAATATGCCAAGCATCTGATTGCAGCAAGTATGTTTTACCTTCCAGGTACTGAGGAACTTTTTGACATCGAGAAAACCCACAGAGGCCTCAAATTTATTCACGTCCATTGTCCACAATGGCCTTTTCGGGCCGAACAACGCTGCGGCGAGAATCCTCTGAGCCTTAGGATCCACAGACCTCAGTATATACTCTGCATCATAATGGGCCCTGTCATCACCACTGAATTGATTCTAAGGAAATTCTAATTGATTCAGGAAATTCTAATTTATTTTGGTGCACTTAGTGACTGAAAAGGCAAAAAGCTTAATTAGTTCAGCTTATCTGAATGTCTAGACAAATTGTGTTTGGTAATACTATTATGCTCTGTGAGCCCTTTGATTCTTTTTTTTTTTTTTTTTTTTTTTTGAGACGGACTCTTGCTCTGTCGCCGAGGCTCGAGTGCACTGGCGCGATCTCAGCTCACTGCAACCTCCGCCTCCCGGGTTCAAGCAATTCTCCTGCCTCAGCCTCTCCGAGTAGCTGGGAGTACAGGTGCACACCACCACGCCCGACTAATTTTTGTGTTTTTAATAGAGACGGTGTTTCGCCATCTTGGCCGGGCTGGTCTCGAATTCCTGACCTCGTGATCCGCCCGCCTTGGCCTCCTAAAGTGCTGGGATTACAGGCGTCAGCCACAGCGCCTAGCCCTTTGATTCTTAAGGGTACTAAAACCATAGCCAAGTGGGTAGCATTCTAAATTTACAACGTGTCCCCATCTTCCATGTCATACCTTCCTGATCTAAAACTGTCCCTGACTCACACATTGTAGAGAAGAATGCAAGATTGGTATATTATTGGGGGCATTTTGGAAATATTCGTCGATTTTAATAAAATTTTCCTTCACATATACTCGTGCACATGTAAAACGATGTATGTACAAGATTGTTAACTGCAGCATTGTTTGTAGATTAGATCAACAACAACATTAAATGTCCATTAATAGGGGACTGATTCAATAAGGTATAGTACATCCATAAAATCCAATACCATGAAGCTGTGAACAATTTATATACTCTATTATTGGTGTAAAAAGGTGGAAGATATATTCATATTTGCTTGTGTATGTGTAACATGTATTTGAAAAGACAAAGTGGTAACCTTGGTTTCTTTGGGGAAAGGAACTGTTTGGTTGTGAGACAGGGTGGGAAGGAGATTTTTGCTCTTTGTAATTTATTTTGCCTTTTGAATTTTGCTTCATATGAATTAAAAATAATGTTCAGAGCCTGGTGCGGTGGTGTACACCTACCTGTTGTCCTATCTGCTTTGGAGACTGAAGCAGGAAGATTGCTTGAGCCCCGAAGTTCGTGACCAGCCTGGGCAACGTAGCAAGAGCACGCCTCAAAATATATTTATATGTTCAATTTTTTAAAAAGTAAAAATAGGCTGGGCACAGTGGCTCACGCCTGTAATCCTAACACTTCGAGAGGCCGAGGCGGGCGGATCACCTGAGGTCAGGAGTTCCAGACTGGCCTGGCCAACGTGGCAAAACCCCGTCACTACTAAAAATAAAAAAATTAGCCAGTCATGGTGGCCTGCGCCTGAAATCCCAGCTACTCAGGAGGCTGAGGCCGGAGAATCGCTTGAACCCAGGGAGCAGAGGTTGCAGTGAGCTGAGATCACGCCACTGCACTCCAGCCTGGGCAACAGAGCAAGGCTCCATCTCAAATAAATAAATAAATTAATTAAATTAAATAAAAAGTAAAAATAATTCCTTGTTTTCAGGATGTAAAATAGTACTTTAATGATATTGCCTAATTCCTGACTGTTAAATTAAGGATTTTTCCAAATATGAGAAGGAACTTAATAATAAAAGAGGCTTTGTTTAGAGTATGCCTACTCCTTTTATTCACAAAATAAAAGATGGAGAAGTTGTTAGCAAGATTATCACACCAAAGGAACTAGTTCAGACTTCTGACTTTTTTCTTCTTTTATTTCCTCTTTTTTGTTAATATTTGTCGGTACATAGTAGGTGTATATATTTAGGGGGTACAGAGGGATTTTGATACAGGCATATAATGTGTACTAATCACATCACAGAAAGTTGGGTATCCATCCCCTCAAGCGTTTATCCTTTGTGTTAAAACAATCCAAGTATACTTTTAGTTATTTTAAAATGTACAATTCAATTATTATTGACTATACTTACCCTGTTCTATCAAATACTAGGTCTTATTCATTCTTTCTAGTTTTTCGGTACCCGTTACCCTCCCCACCTTCCCCCAACCCCCACTGTCCTTCCCAGCCTCTGGTAATCATCCTTCTACTCTCTATCTTTGTGAGTTCAATTGGTTGGTTTTTAGATCCCACAAATCAGTGAGAACATGCGATGCTTGTCTTTCTGTGCCTGGTTTATTTCACTTAACATAATGACCTTCAGTTTGATTCATGTTGCTGCAAATGACAGAATCTCATTATTTTTAATGACTGAATAGTACTCCATCATGAATAAGTACCACATTTTCTTTATCCATTCATCTGTTGATGGACACTTGGGTTGCTTCCAAATCTTAGCTATTGTGAACACTGCTGCAACAAACATGGGAGTGCAGATATCTCTATGATACACTGATTTACTTTCTTTTCTTTTTTTTGAGACAGAGTCTCACTCTGTTGCCCATGCTGGAGTGCAGTGGTGTGATCTCGGCTCACTGTAACCTCCGCCTCCCAGGTTCAAGCAATTTTTCTGCCTCAGCCTCCCAAGTAGCTGGGACTACAGGTGCAGGCCACCATGCCTGGCTAATTTTTGTATTTTTAGTAGAGACAAGGTTTCACATATTGGCCAGGCTGGTCTCAAACTCCTGACCTCATGATCTGCCCACCTCAGCCTCCCAAAGTGCTGGGATTACAGGCATGAGCCACCACACACAGTTGATTTACTTTCTTTTGGGTATATACACAGTAGTTGGATTGCTGGATTGTATGGTAGTTCTAGATTTAGTTTTCTGAGGCGCCTCCAAACTGTTCTCCATAGTGGTTGCACTAATTTACATTTCCACCAATAGTGTACAAGGGTTCCCTTTTCTCCACATTGTTGCCAGCATTTGTTATTGCCTGACTTCTGCATAAAAGCCATTTTAACTGGGATGAGATGATATCTCATGTAATTTTGATTTGCATTTCTCTGATTAATTATGTTGAGCACCTCTTCTTATGCCTGTTTACCATTTTTATGTCTTTTTTTGAGAAATGTCTAAATATTTTGCCCAACTTTTATTTTTTAAATATTTATTTATTTATTTTGAGACAGGGTGTTATTCTGTCACCCAGACTGGAGTGCAGTGGTACGATCTCGGCTCACTGCAACTGCTACTCCTCAATGCTGGGCTCTAGCGATCCTCCCACCTTAGTCTCCTGAGTAGCTAGTATTGCGGATGCATGCCACCATGCTCTGTTAATTAAAAAAAAAATTATTTTTTATGAGAAGAGGTCTCACTATATTGCCCAGACTGGTCTGGAACTCTGGACTAAGCAATCCACCTGCCTCAGCCTCCCAAAGTTGGGATTACAGGTGTGAGCCACTGCACCTGGCCTTAACCAGATATAATCAGATTATTAGATTTTTTTCTATAGAGTTGTTTGAGCCCCTTATATATTCTAGTTATTCATCCCTTATCAGATGGGTAATTTGAAAATATTTTCTCCCATTCTGTGGATTGTCTCTTCACTTTATTGATGGTTTCCTTTGCTGTGCAGAATCTTGTTAACTTGATGGGATCCCATTTGCCCATTTTTGCTTTGGTTTCTTGTATTCATGCAGTATTACTCAAGAAATTTTTTCCAACCCCACTGGAAACAAGAATCTTTAAAAAAAAAAATAAAGAAATTTTTGCCCAGACCAATGTCCTGGAGATTTTCCCCAAAGTTTTCTTATAGTGGTTTCATAGTTTGAGGTCTTAGATTTAAGTCTTTAATCCATGTTGATTTGATTTTTGCATATGGTGAGAGATAGGGGTCTAGTTTCATTCTTTTGCATGTGGATATCCAGTTCCCCCAATACCATTTATTGAAGAGACTCTTTTTCCCAGTGTATGTTCTTTGGCAGCTTTGTCGAAAATGAATTCATCATAGGTATGCGGATTTGTTTCTGGATTCTCTGTTGTGTTCCATTGTTCTCTCTGTGTGTTTTTATGACAGTACCATGCTGTTTTGGTTACTATAGCTCTGTAGTATAATTTGAAGTCAGGTAATGTGATTTGTCCCATTTTATTCTTTTTGCTCAGGATAGATTTGGCTACTCTAGGTCTTTTGTGCTTTCATATACATTTGAGGATTGTTTATGTTTCTGTGAAGAATGTTACTGGTATTTTAGAGATTGCATTGAATCTGTAGATTGCTTTGGGTAATATGGACATTTTAACAATATTGATTCTCCCAATCCATGAACATGGAATATCTTTTTATTTTTTGATGTTTTCTTCAATTTCTTTCATCAGTGTTTTATAGTTTTCATTGTAGAGATTTTTTATTTCTTTTTCTTTTTTTTTTTTTGAGATGGAGTCTTACTCTGTTGCCCAGGCTGGAGTGCAGTGGCATGATCTCGGACTACAAGCTCCGCCTCCCGGGTTCACACCATTCTCCTGCTTCAGCCTCCCAAGTAGCTGGGACTACAGGTGCCCACCACCGTGTTAGCCAGGGTGGTCTCGATCTCCTGACCTTGTGATCCACCCGCCTCGGCCTCCCAAAGTTCTGGGATTACAGGCATGAGCCACCGTGCCCGGCCAAGATTTTTTATTTCTTTGGTTAATTCCTTGGTATTTAATTTGTGGTTATTGCAAATAGGATTACTTTTTTTTATTTATTTTTCAGATTGCTTGCTGTTGGCATATAGAAATGCTACTGATTTTTGTATGTTGATTTTGTATCTTGAGACTTTACTGAATTTATCAGTTCTAATAGTTTTTTGGTGGAGTCTTTAGGTTTTTCCAAATGTAAGATCATGTCATCTGCACGCAAAGATAATTTGACTTTTTCCTTTCCAATTTGGATGGCTTTATTTCTTTTTCTTGTCTGATTGCTCTAACTAGGACTTCCAGTACTATATTGAATAACAGTGGTGAAAGTGGGCATCTTTTCAGGTTCCAGATCTAAGAGGAAAGGCTCTCAGTTCGATACAAGCTGTAGGTCTGTCATATACAGCTTTTATTATATTGAGGTATGTTCCTTCTATCCTTAGTCTTTTGACAGTTTTTATCATGAAGGGATGTTAAACTTTATCAAATGCTTTTTCAGCATTAATTGGAAGGATCATATGATTTCATTCTGTTGACATGATATATCACATTGACTGATTTGCATATGTTGAATCATCCTTGCATCCCTTGGAAAATCCCACTTGGTCATGATGAATGATCTTTTTAATGTATTGTTGAATTAGGTTTGAAAGTATTTTGTTAAGAATGTTTGCATCAATATTCATCAGATATGTTGGCCTGTAGTTTTCTTTCTTTCTTTCTTTCTTTCTTTCTTTCTTTCTTTCTTTCTTTCTTTCTTTTTTTTTTTTGATGTGTCTTTGTCTGGTTTTGGTATCAGGGTAATACTGGCCTTGTACAATGAGTTTGGAAGTATTCCCTTCTCCTCTATTTTTTGGAACAGTTTGAGTAGGCTTGGTATTACTCTCATTATAAATGTTTGGTAGAATTCAGCAGTGAAGCCGTCAGGTCCCAGGCTTTTCTTTACTGAGAGATTTTCTATTACAGATTTGATCTTGTTACTTCTTACTGGTCTGTCCAGGTTTTGGATTTCTTCATGGTTCAATCTTGGTAAGTTTTATGTGTCTAGGAATTTATCCATTTCTTCTAGGTTTTCCAATTTATTGGCATATAGTTGCTCATAGTAGCCATTTTTTTTTGTTTTGTTGATCTTTTGTATTGTTTCCTTCATTTCAAATTCATTTATTTCTGCTCTGATCTTTATTATTTCGTTTCTTCTACTAATTTTGGGCTCTGTTTGCTCTTGCTTTTCTAATTCTTTAAGATGCATCATTAGGTTTTTTATTTGAAGTTTTTCTTCTTTTTTGATGTAGACACTTTTAGCTATAAATTTCCTTCTTAGTACTGCTTTCACCATATCCTATAGGTTTTGGCATGTTGTCCTTCCATTATCATTTGTTTTAAGAAATTTTTCAATTTCCTTCTTGATTTCTTCATTGACCCACTGGTCATTCAGGAGCATGTTGTTTGATTTCCATGTGTTTATATAGTTTCCAAAACTCCTCTTGTTATTGATTTCTAGTTTTATTCCATTGCGGTCCGAGAAGATGCTTCATATTATTTCAATTTTTTTGAATCTTTTAAGACTTGTTTTGTGACCTAACATATAGTCTGTCCTTGAAAATGGTCCATATGCTGAGGATAAGAATGTGTATTCTGCAGCCACTGGATGAAATGTTCTGTAAATATCTATTAGGTTAATTTATTCTATAGTGCAGATTAAGTGCAATGTTTCTTTGTTGATAGTTGATATTCTGTCTGGGAGATCTGTCCAGTGCTGAAAGCGGAGTGTTGAAGTCTTCAGGTATTATTGTGTTGGGGCCTATCTCTGTCTGTAGCTCTAATAATATTTGCTTTATATACCTGGGTGCTTCAGTGTTAGATGCATATATGTTTACAAGCGTTATATCCTCTTGCTGAATTGTCCCGTTTATCACTATATAATGATCTTCTTTGTCTCTTCTTGTTTTTGTCTTAAAATCTATTTTCCTTTACATATAAGCATTTCCCCTAATAAAATCTTTGCACATATAATTTCATCTTAGCAAGTGCTTTCCTGAGAACTAGACTAACACACAGGACATCTGAGAATTTCTTTGGGTCCTATTCATTTGCAATAATCCAAGTTTACTAAAGTTCCCAAAGTTGCATTTTTTAAAAATTGAAAATGGGTGTTGTATTAGTCTGTTCTCTCACTGCTAACAAAGATATATCCCAGACTGGATAATTTATAAAGGAAAAAGGTGTGGTTTTTTTTTTTTTTTGAGATGGAATCTTACTCTGTTGACCAGGCTGGAGTGCAGTGGTGCAATCTCTGCTTGCTGCAACCTCCACCTCCCAGGTTCAAGCAATTCTCCTGCCTCATCCTCCCAAGTAGCTGGGATTACAGGCATGAGCCACCATGCCTGGCTGGTTTTTGTTTGTTTGTTTGAGACGGAGTCTCACTCTGTCGCCCAGGTTGGAGTGCAGTGGTGTAATCTTGGCTCACTGCAACCTCTGACTCCCAGGTTCAAGTGATTCTTGTGACTCACCCTCCTGAGTAGCTGGGATTACAGGTCTCTGCCACCACACCCGGCTAATTTTTTTGTGTTTTTAGTAGAGGTGGGGTTTCAGCATGTTGGCCAGGCTGGTACTGAACTCCTGACCTCAAGTGATCTGCCTGCCTCGGCCTCCCAAAGTGCTGGGATTATAGGCATAAGCCACCATGCCCAGCCAGGAAAGAGGTTTAAGTGGCTCACATTTCAGCATGCCTGGGGAGGCCTAGGGAAACTTACAATCATGGTGGAAGGGGAAGCAAACATGTCCTTTTTCACATGGCAAGAAATGCCAAGTAAAAAGGGGGAAACCCCTTATAAAACTATCAGCTCTCATGAGAATTGACTCACATGAGAACAGCATGAGTGTAACCACCCCCATGATTAAATTACCTCCCGCTGGATCCATCCCAGGACACATTGGGACTATGCGAACTATAATGCAAGATGAGATTTGGGTGAGGACACAGCCAAACCATATCAGATGGCTTATAGAACACACACACAGACACACACACACACCCCAAATTTAAAAAAAATAGGAAAATATATATTTTTAAATTTTATTATTATTATACTTTAAGTTTTAGGGTACATGTGCACAATGTGCAGGTTTGTTACATATGTGTACATGTGCCATGTTGGTGTGCTGTACCCATTAACTCGTCATTTAGCATTAGGCATATCTCCTAATGCTATCCCTCCCCCCTCCCCCCATCCCACAACAGTCCCCGAAGTGTGATGTTCCCCTTCCTGTGTCCATGTGTTCTCATTGTTCAATTCCCACCTATGAGTGAGAACATGCGGTGTTTGATTTTTTGTCCTTGCGATAGTTTGCTGAGAATGATGGTTTCCAGTTTCATCCACGTCCCTACAAAGGACATGAACTCATCATTTTTTATGGCTGCATAGTATTCCATGGTGTATATGTGCCACATTTTCTTAATCCAGTCTATCATTGTTGGACATTTGGGTTGGTTCCAAGTCTTTGCTATTGTGAATAGTGCCGCAATGAACATACGTGTGCATGTGTCTTTATAGCAGCATGATTTATAATCCTTTGGGTATATACCTAGTAATGGGATGGCTGGGTCAAATGGTATTTCTAGTTCTAGATCCCTGAGGAATCGTCACACTGACTTCCACAATGGTTGAACTAGTTTACAGTCCCACCAACAGTGTAAAAGTGTTCCAATTTCTCCACATCCTCTCCAGCACCTGTTGTTTCCTGACTTTTTAATGATCGCCATTCTAACTGGTGTGAGATGGTATCTCATTGTGGTTTTGATTTGCATTTCTCTGATGGCCAGTGATGGTGAGCATTTTTTCATGTGTTTTTTGGCTGCATAAATGTCTTCTTTTGAGAAGTGTCTGTTCATATCCTTCGCCCACTTTTTGATGGGGTTGTTTGTTTTTTTCTTGTAAATTCATTTGAGTTCGTTGTAGATTCTGGATATTAGCCCTTTGTGAAAATATTTTTTTAAAAGAAAATGGATGGCTTATAGAGATAAGTTAGGCTCTCCCCTATTTTTTGATTTACTGATAGGAAAAGGGGTAAAATCAGATTCTTAGCTTTTATGCTTTGCCTTTCTTTAATCCAAGCTCATCAGTGTTTTTGTCATTTGTTCTGTAATGCCTAGCACATAACAGGTCCTCAAGTATTTAGAAAGTAAGTGAATGAACCAGAAGTATGCAATTAGAGAAAGAAGGTAATAGTTACTTGCTGCTAGTTAGCAGTTCTGACAAAAGCAAGGGAAGATATTGAAAACATGAGCAAAAGGAATTTTTAAGTGATCTGAGTCTTTAGAACACGAGCTTTAAATGAGAATGACCTGGATTCAGATACTGGCTCCAAACCTGTCCATCACCTTAGGAAAAATTATTAGTTTCCTGGAGGGATCTGAATTTGCAGCCACTAGTATTGAACTGGAAGGAAACCTAGAGATCACACCTGATGTAACTCCATCCATTTTCTAGATGAGGCAATAAGCAGATTCATAGCAGCTGAAATCCAGTGTGGTCCTCAAATCTGTTAGGTGCTAGGCACTATGGAATAAGTAAATGACAAACACTGATGAACTGTGATTAAAGAAAGGCCGAGGCGGGCAGATCACTTGAGGTCAGGACTTCAAGACGAGCCCTGGCCAACATGGTGAAACCCCATCTCTACTAAAAATACAAAAATTAGCTGGGCATGGTGGCATGTGCCTGTAATCCCAGCTACTTGGGAGGCTGAGGCAGGAGAATCGCTTGAACCCCAGAGGCGGAGGTTGCAGTGAGCCGAGATTGCTCCATGGCACTCCAGCCTGGGCAACAGAGTGAGATTCTGTCTCAATTAAAAAAGAAAAAAAAAAAAAAAAAAAAAAAAGGAGGCCAAGAATGAAAACTGAGAATCTGATTCTATCCCTTTCCTATTAGTGAATGAAGAACTAGGGGAAAGACTAACTTATTTTCTAACTACATTTACTATGTATTCCACAGAGTCAACGATATAAAATGACATACCAAAAGTACCAAATAGGTGCCCAATAATGTTATCTCTTAGATCATCTTTCCCTGATCTTGTCTAGTACGGAGAAATGAAGAAACACACATTAGGTTGTTTTTTATTTTATTTTATTTTTTTAAGAGATAGGCTCTTGCTCTGTCACCCAGACTGGAGTGCAGTGGTGTGATCATAGCTCACTGCAGCCTCCAACTCCTGGACTCAAGCAATCCTCCCCCACACACTAGGCCTTCTCAACAGCTGTGGATCTCATTTCCTTATCTAGAAAATGGAGTTGGATCAGATATGATCCCTAGGTTTCCTTCCATTTCTTATACTAGCGGCTGCAAACCGAGATGCCTGCAGAGGCCAGCAGATGACTGCACTGAGACCATCACCCTAGGTAGGGACCATGATGAACTGGAGTGCACCAGCCTTCTATAAAGGACATACATAGCTGCTTTTGAGTAGCAGTTGATTGCTCTCACTGTGCAAGGCCAAACATGTCTACGGATGTTTTTGATGTACAGGTCATCAGTTTGTGACTTCTGCCAACAGTTCCTTAAGCATTTTTTAAGACTTAAAATGGTTTTGGATTAAACATATAAAACACTCATTGCATAAAGGCAGTGAGTATCACATGATCTTAGGCAAAAGGATCACGTAGGTGCTCACCACCTAACTTAAAATAACAAACTTTAAAGATTCTTAGTCCTTCAGAGGTAAACATTATTCTAAATTAACATTCCCTCTTTAAAGTTTTTACCATGTTTGTATCCTTAAACCTATCATTAATTTAGCAATTTTCTTAATTTTACATACATGCAATTATGCAAATGTATTCTGTTGCTTCCCTCCCTTCCTGCCGATCTTATTTCTGAGGCTCAACCATGTTGTTGCTTGTCACTGTAATTCATTTTCACCAGCAGTGTTTCGTTATATGAATACACCAAGATATAGTTTTCCATTCAACAGTTTGGGACATTTGGCTTGTTTGCAACATTTTGCTACTACAAACAGCTGCAATGAACCCTTTGGTACAAGCCAGGTTTTTCCAAGAGCGGTGTGTTTGAAAGCGTGAGTAGCGACCCATTACTGAGTCATGAGAACAATTTAGTGGGTCAGCCAGCACTGTTTTTAAGTGAAGTAACCTAGGTTAGATATCAGATGCATTTCATATTGTATAGTGTCATTTCACGAAATGTTTGAATGTTGTCAACATGTATACACTCTTTGTGTGTCCATGTAAAGTGGTCCTGCAATGTATACTTCCACCAGCAGCATCTGGTCTGCTCTACATCTGCACCAACACTCAATATTAGGCTTCTAATTTGGTTTCAGTCTGGTTGGAGTAAGACAGATTATCATTTTGGTTTTAATTTACATTTCCTTGGTTACTTGAGGCAGAGAAACTTTTCCTGTTGGTGTAGGTGGATTATTTTTTTAAAAGGATAATTTGTTCTTCCATTGTAGAAACTTGACTCTTGACATGAACCCAACTTTAACTCAAAAAGACTGCCCTTAAACTGCCTGCATTAGCTGAGAAGTGATTACTGATATCTTGCGCTATATAATGAACAGAACTCATGTCAGGTTGAGTACAATTCACAATAGCACCGAAAAGCATGGAATGACCCCTGGATGAGACAACCTTAGGCAACATGGGATATATCCCTAAACTTTGGGATGTATTCCAACACTTTTGATAATCTTCTAATTATTATTACTATACTTTTTTTTTTTTTTTTTTGAGGTGGAGTATCGCTCTGTCTCCCAGGCTGGAATGCAGCAGCATGATCTTGGCTCACTGCAACGTCCACCTACTGGGTTCAAGCAACAAGTAGCTGGGATTATACCTGCCCGCCACCATGCCCGGCTAATTTTTGTATTTTTAGTAGAGATGGGGTTTCACCATCTTGGCCAGGCTGGTCTTGAACTCCTGACCTCATAATCCACCCACCTCAGCCTCCCAAAGTGCTTGGATTAAAGGCGTGAGCCACTGCATCCAGTCTATTATTTTTTGAGACAGTCTTGCTCTGTTGCCCAGGCCAGAGTGCAGTGGTGTGATCCCAGCTCACTGCAACCTCCACCTCCCGGGTTCAAGTGATTCTCGTGCCTTACCCTCCCGAGTAGCTGGGATTATAGGCGCCCACCACCACGAGGCTAATTTTTGTATTTTTAGTAGAGATGGGGGTTTCACCATGTTGGCCAGGCTGGTCTCAAACTCCTGGCCTCAAGCAATCCACCCGCCTCAGACTCCCAAAGCGTTGGGATTACAGGCGTGAGCCACTGCACCCAGCCCTGAGAATCTCCTAATTATTGAACACTACTATAGCATACTGATTTCTCTAACAAGATGGTCTGTTCTTTTCAAATGGCTCTATGAAAAAAAAAAATTTAAAAATGTAAAAAGATAATCCATGCAACAATTACATAAAAAAGTAAAGCTGTATTGGGGAATGGATGCTAGGAATTCAATTAGGTCCATTTATTGGCCTGCATGTGCCAGCCTGTCAATGCCTATGATTCAAATTTGTGCCTCAGGAGAATCTGAAATTATCACAGGTCTTACTTAATGTTTTGGAGTTGTGTGCAAATAATCAAGACCATACATGTGAAATCTTTGAATGCCAAGTGTCTTCTGTACTTTCTTTTATTAACATCATAGTCTTTGCATCAAGATACATAGCAATGATAGCAGGTTTCTTTTTAAAGCTTAGTATTAAATATTAAATATCTTTCCCCATTTAAATTTTACATTACTCTGCCAAGAAAAAAAAAAAATTAAAACTCAAGTTACTTGAAGCCTGGACACACTTCCATGATTAGCCGGGCTAGGTAAAAGTTGGTGGCTTTATTCTTCCTGCTCTATAAGCAGATCCAGGCCCTAGAAAGATGGGACCAGGGTATATAATTGTTTTTGAAAAGTGTGCTACAAAAATGGATGGCCTGTTATAAGCCAGGATACAAAGTTAAGGATGGGGGTAAGGGAGGGACATTTTCTTCCAGAAGAAAAGACAGAATTTCTGAAGAGTCCCAGTCCATAATTTTCCCAAAATGGTTGGAGGAGAGGGTAAAATCTCAACATGAGTTTCAAAGTACTGTCTCTGTGAGGGGCCGGTAGATGCCTTGCTGAGGAGGGGATGGCTAAGTTTGACCATGCCCCATCCCCAGCTAGGAGAATGGAAATGGAAAGTTTATTGCCCAGTGGGTGTGAAAGTGGGCTGAAGCTTGGTTGGTACTGAATTCTCTAAGAGGTTTCTTCTAGAAACAGACAACTCAGACTCTTCCTCTCACTTCAGCAAAGAAGTTATTTTTAAAAGCACTTGGGAAGTTCCTCCTCCACCCCGCAGGTGGGAAGGCTCAGAGAAGGGTGTCATCAGTACAGCCGCCTTCTAGGCCGTAACGGAATTCCTGAAGGTTGGAGACTCCATAGAAGTGGACAAAGGCTGCTGCCACCACCAGGACATGGAAAATCTGATGAGACTGGAACTGTAGGAATAAAAAGAAAAGAGCCTTTAGGATAATGCAAGGAGGAATAAGAAACAAGTAGGAGAAAGCATTTGCTTCTTCTAGTTTATCCTTAATTAAACAAATTTGTTAATAACATTAAAGTGGTATATTTAGAAAGTTTTAAAAACACAGTCCTTGTCAGAGATACACCAAAATGTTAATATTGATGATTTACCTTCAATGCACATATATGTACCTCCAAACACTATATGATCCCAGTCTCATACCACCTTTTCCTCAGCCCTTTAACTTTGGGCTGTTCACTCACCATCACAGGACCTGCTGGAAGATTCATTTCTTACCCATATGTCAAATTTTCCAGGAAAGAAGCGCTCAGGAATTCGAGCAGCATAAAGGCCAGCTCCAGTGATGTACATCACAGCCATGAGGAAGAACCAGCCCATCTGGCCCACTGTGGTGGCCTTGACAAAGCCCTCAGCGATAGTAAAGTGCATGGTGGGCACGACGCCACTCAAGCCAAGTCCCAGGAACACGCCTGAACAGAACAGACATAAGACTGTCAAACAAGGAAACAGCCACCGCATGGAAGGCACTGCTGTCTTACTCTGGAATTTCAATGTTTATGATAATTAGCTATTTTTGGATGAATAGTACATGTTTAGGAAACTTAGCTACAAGATGGATAACACTCAACAGATATTTCTTCTATGTCCTGAATGGGAAGAAGCTGTGTAAGTGCTTACTACCTTTTAAGCACCAAGAACAAAGATCTCATATTCTTCATTATCTGTTAAGGAATTTAGGTAAAAATGGTATGTCAAGACTCTCTGATGGCTAACTTGGGTACAGAACTTAGATGTCAAGGCTTCAGTTGCCTCCCAAGTCAGAGAAGCATAGGATAGGCTTCCTGTTAAGATCATAAAAGTCTTACATAACCAGAACTCTGACCTCCTGAGTAGACAGATATACCCAGATTAGCAGTTATCCTGTAGCTGCTGGGACACACAAGTAAGGCAAGAGCAAGGGAAGAATGGGTATGTGTCTCATCATTACACTACACATAACTGAAGGGCAGGGACCACCTCTCCATCTTTGTAAATACCTTTGTTTAAGCACAGTGCATGGCACGTGGCTGGTGCTTGATAAATATTTAATTATTATTATTTTTTTCTTTTCTTTCTTTCTTTCTTTTTTTTTTTTGAGATAGAGTCTTGCTTTGTTGCCCAGGCTGGAGTGCAGTGGCGTGATCTTGGCTCACTACAACCTCTGCCCCCGACCAGGTTCAAGTGATTCTCCCGCCTCAGCCTCTCAAGTAGCTGGAATTACAGGCACCTGCCACAACGCCGACTAATTTTTATATTTTAAATAAAAACAGGGTTTTACCATGTCGGCCAGGCTGGTCTCAAACTCCTGACTTCAAGTGATCCGCCTGCCTCGGCCCCCCAAAGTGCTGGGATTACAGGCGTGAGCCACTGCTCCCGGACAATATTTAATTATTTTAACTGAAGGTTAAAACATAGCAGATATTAATTGTAAAGGGACTAAAGACTAGTGGTAATTGGTGGTGTTGCTGCAAGTAATAAAAGCTTAAAATAAGAGTCCAGATGAGATGAGACAACACAAAGATGTTTATGCTTGTAGCTATTACTTTGTTACCTGTTTATGCTCAAGGTATTTTCATTCACCAAACCAGGTATTCCATTCCCTTAGTAAAATGCCTCTGAGTGTTTTAATTTTAATCCCTTGGTCTGAGCTTGGGACTCGGGTCACTAAAATTACTGTGCTTGCTACATTTTTAAACTGTCACAAACCAAGTATAAGAGTAGCTACATCTGTGCTTGCAGTTAATTGACCAGCTGGGTAATGATCTGTCCTATTGGCATTCTACTGAAATAGTATGACACTGGGGGTTGAGAACTGAGCTTTGAAATTGATGCTGTTTTGAAAGTTCTGAAACACAAATCAGGGTTTGGGTGGGGTTCTCAAGCTGCAAACCTTAAGGCTCAAATAGGTTTGAGCCTATCAGGCCTAAGGTCTAAATACCTCTGAGGTGTACGTACATCTTCCGACCTACCTGCTCTTGTCTGCCGGTGCTTAGGAGTGGCAAACCGGTCCCACTGCGCCACAATGATGGCAGAAATGCCCAGGACACAGACGATGGAGAGGTAGATGAGCCGTGGCTGTGGGGAGCAGTAGAAGGAATAATAGAGCCAGGGGACAAAGCTCCCCATAATTAGAAGAGCAATCCCTGAATAGTCCAGTCTAAAAAGAACCACAAAAATGAAACAAATCAGTGGGGGAAATGAATTTGTATGGCTCATTTAACTAGCTCTTTCTGTTCTCCACCTGCTCCCAGATTTAACCATTCCCTCAATCTATCCTGTATTGTAGACTCCCATACAATCTATCCTGTATTCTGGATTAAAATTCCACAAGGTCACTTCTATTTTACGATGGAAAAATCTCTAAGAATCCCCATTCAAAGAACTCTATCCCTTTCCCTTACTAGTGAACAGCCGTATCTCCCATAGTAGACACTTGAATTTAGAAATTCCATCACAATCCAGCTGGTTCCCAGCATCACACTCAGGAAAGGCTTTGAAAATTCTCCTATTCTGATAGAATGAGTTCTAAAAACAAAATTCTTAAATTGGGAGTAGTATTAAGGGATACTCTAGCTTTTTCTATCTTAGTTGACTTTTTAAATGAGGAAAATGTACCTTCTTACTGGTGTTGTTAGAAAAAACAAAATAATACACCACTGTCGCCACCAAAACCAACAATAACAACAAAAACAAGCAAACAAATAGAACCTCAGGCTCACGGCTGGGCAAGAGAGAAAGCACACGATGATGGACATCTGGAGCTTCCAGCAATGCATGGGCAGCAAAGATAAGCTTTACTTGACTGCTGGGTAGGAGCACCAGCAGAATGAAGCATAGACTATTTACCACACCCTACTTTGGCTTGGGCTAATAGTAAGTTACGCTTGTACAAGGTCTTGGAAAGCAGCCAGTGCACTGGCACTCTAAGCCTCACAAAAGATAGTGCTTTTCAGGTAGAAAATATATTCCACAATTGGTCTCTCCATCTGTTGAAGAGGATGCAGTAAGTCTGTTCATGAAGTGTTTAAGAGAAAAGCTTCATCACCCCACTATCGCCACAGAACAGAGAGCCTTTCCTCTGGCATATCAAGAAACCTTTAGGAGTGATATGAGCTCCTATCACCCAGTAAGCACTGGGATCTCAAGATGTGACAACAGTGCACAGTATTTTCCTATGGTGTTCTTTTAACTCACTTGGAAAAAGTCCGAGAGACTTTCTCTGAATGACAATAGACGGTGTGAAAGAGCCAGGAGAAGCTGAGGCAGAGCACTGCACCCAAAAAGAACATCCCAAAAACCACCTTCTCCTGTAGAGGGGCCATGAAGTACATATTTGGTCTGAGCATGGTCAAGATTCCCAAAAAGAGAAACAGCACGAAACCTGCAGGAGGGTAAAATAAAAAAAACCTGTAAGAAAAAAGGGAATGTGTACACTTTGATGGTTGATGTTTTTGAATCAGAGAGCTACAGGCAACATCACTAATCATCAGGGAAATACAAATTAAAAGCACAATGAAATACCACCTTACTTCTGCAAGAAAGGCCATTATTAAAAAGTCAAAAAACAACAGATGTTGGCATGGATATGGTAAAAGGGGAATGCTTATACACTCCTTGTGGGAATGTAAATTATAAACTAGTATAACCTCTATGGAAAAGGGTATAGAGATTCCTTAAAGAACTAAAAGTAGAGCTACTATTTGATCCACCAATCCCACTACCAGGTGTCTACCCAAAGGAAAAGCAGTCATATGAAAAAGACACATGCACATGTATGTTTATTGTAGCACAATTCACAACTCTAAAGATATGGAACCAACCTAAGTGTCCATTGACCAATGAGTGAATAAAGGAAATGTGGTGTATGTACACCATGGAATACTACTCAGCCATAAAAAGGAATGCAATAATGTCTTTTGCAGCAACCTGGATGAAGCTGAAGGCCACTATTCTAAGTGAAGTAACTTAGGAATGAAAAATCAAATACTGTATATGTTCTCACTTATAAGTGGGAGCTAAGCTATGAGTACGCAAAGGCATATAGAATGATATAATGGACTATGGAGACTTAGAAGCGGGAGGGGGAGATAGGGGTGTGAGACAGAAAAACTACATATTGAGTACAATGTACACTACTAAGGTGATGGGTGCATTAAAATCTCAGAATTCACCAGTATATAATTCATCCATGTAACCAAACCCCCCCCCACCCCTTTGTAACCCAAGAGCTATTGAAATAAAAAAAAAATCAGAAAGCTATGAGGTTTAGCTGTGTAATTGCAGTCCAATGTTTCAAAGAAAGTGGCACTGGTCACAGAAACCCAGACAAAAAAGACCATTTTTTGAAATGTTGGCATTTTACTTTTACAGTTGGAAATTACGAAGTACAAGGAATTGTCTCCACCTAGAACAGTTCTGCCAGGGATCACAAAAAAATATCTAGTCCCAATTTCTTTGGTTTCTAGGCCTTTTACTCTCAGTCTTAAAGATCAGTGATCAAGGGTCAACCAAGGTTATTAGCTTAAAGTCATTAGTAGTTTAAAGGTAGAATCCCAGCTGCCAATCGATCTGAACAACTTTGTTGGGCTCTATAATCCCTTCGCAGTTAGGGAGACAACAAATTCCACCTTTCCCCATCCAAATCACTCACCAAGCAGATGGGTCCAGATGTTGCCAGTTTCTGTATGAATGCGGAAGATGCTCTTGAAGCAAGCCCGAAAGGAGGGCATGGGAGGTCTATGACCATGTAGCAGATAGTCGTTGTCCTTTAGCCAGTCAGGGAGCACATCATATGGGATGACCCTCCAACGTCCCTCCCAGACCTAGAACATATACACTTTCTCTGGGTAGGGCACTAGATAGTACCTTCCCCAAGGACAAGCAGTGATGGAGAACTAGTCTAAGAAGATGTCAGTCAGGCTCTGAATGGTCCTAGGTAATAGTGGAGAACCAGCCTGGACTGGGGGATATCCAAGACATAGCATGAATGGGGCTAGCAGAGTCCTGACTCATATTTTGACCATTAAAAAAAAAAAAAAAATCCTGGCTGAGTGTAGCGGCTCATGCCTGTAATCTTAGCACTTTGGGAGGCTGAGGCAGGTGGATCACCTGAGGTCAGGAGTTCAAGACCTGCCTGACTAACATGGTGAAACCCTGTCTCTACTAAAAACACAAAAAATTGGCCGGGCATGGTGGCGGGCACCTGTAATCCCAGCTACTCAGGAGGCTGAGGCAGGAGAATGGTTTGAACCTGGCGGGCGGGGGTTGCAGTGAGCCGAGATTGCACCACTGCACTCCAGCCTGGGCGACCGAGCAAGACTCTGTATTCAAAAAAAACAAAAAAACAAAAACAAACAAACAAAAAATCTCTTTGTCTTTGTTTCATGTTAGTTTATCTGGAGAAGTTTTAGGTAAGTGTTTCTCAACCTTTTAAGAAAATATGGTCCAACCAGGCTGGGCGCAGTGGTTCACGCCTGTAATCCCAGCACTTTGGGAGGCTGAGGCGGGCGGATCACCTGAGGTTGGGAGTTCGAGACTAGCCTGACCAACATGGAGAAACCCCGTCTCTACTAAAAATACAAAAATAAGCCAGGCGTGGTGGCACATGCCTGTAATCCCAGCTACTCGGGAGGCTGAGGCAGGAGAAGTGCTTGAACCTGGCAGGCAGAGGTTGCAGTGAGCTGAGATCGTGCCACTGCAGCTGGGAGACAAGAGCAAAACTCTGTCTCAAAAAAATATATATATATATATGGTACAACCTCCTTTAGGCTACTTGAAATTTCAAAATTGATATACTGAATAAAAACAAAAAAATTATAAACGTTGTTTTAAAAAACGTACAGATCCCTCCTTTGCCCCTCTCCAGGAGATTCTATCTCATGTCTCATCCCTCCCCCAATTAGATTCTAAGTTCTTACCACATCTTTTTAGAGTAGGGGTTCTTAATCTAGGATCCATGCACTATGGACAGGATCCAGGGAATAGATGGAAAAAATTGTATTTCCATTTACCTCTAAGTAAATTGAGCATTTTCCTCAATTATAAGCATAAGCAACAAACCACAGTATTAGTAGAACTTGTGGCTTTGTCACCAATAGAAATCAGATACTCTCACACATTAGTTCTGCAGGTATCTCAAAATACTGTTTCTATTCATCATTACTTAGAAATTACAAATTTTAATAAAATACATTAGTGCTCATCATTCATGTATATTTAATGTGTTAACAAAGGCATTCATATTACTGTCATATTGAAATATTTTGATGACTTCCAAAGGCGCCCCTTGCATAGAAAAGAATCCGTTTTAAGAATATATTTTGAACAATGCCTCACAGAGTAGGCAGTAAAAATTTAGCCAGTCTTCACATTGATTTACCTCATCTTAACCAAAAAACAAATCCACTCCTTCCCAGGAATAAAAGCTCTTCGACCCAGTGCAAGCTTGCTGGCTGGGGACATCCCAGACAGGCCTGCTGCCCTTCCCCTTCCAGGACAGAAGCTCATAGGCCATACCTTGTACACAAACTCTTCCATCTTCTCCATGGCGTGGTGGGCTTGCAGGGGAAGTGTCAGTACCCGCACCTCCTCCTCTTCTTCCTGGGGCACTGGGCATGTTTGCTCTTCTTCAGCCTATGGGGGAAAAAACCCACAACAATCCAGGGAGTCATCTCATAAATTGTACTATTCCAGAGCAGAGAGACCCAGAAAAACCCAAACCTAATGCCTTCTGCCCAGCCTCTTTCCTACAGAGGGTCTTGTGGTCTCTTCTCCAAAAGCATACACACTGAGTTTACAACACTAGTTAGAAATTTATTAATACTTCGTAAATGCTGGAGTGAACATTCTATGCAGTGCGTAAAAGAAGGACTGTCACAGAGACTAGCATTGGGGGAATACACCAGCTCTAGGTACTGAATGACATCCTTTTCTTTAGGATAGTGGTTCTTAACTTTCCTCAGTTTCCCAAAGAGTTCTCTTTTCTAAGCCATTACATTTTCTTTCTTTCTTTTTTTTTTTTTGAAATGGAATATCCCTCTGTCACCCAGGCTGGAGTACAGTGGTGCGATCTCTGTTCACTGCAACCTCCGCCTCCCGGGTTCAAGCAATTCTCATGCCTCGGCCTCCAAGTAGCTGGGATTACAGGCGCCCACCACCATGCCTGACTAATTTTTGTATTTTTAGTAGAGATGGGGTTTCACCATGTTGGCCAGGCTGTTCTCAATCTCCTGACCTCACGTGATCCTCCTGCCTCGGCCTCCCAAAGTGCTGGGATTACAGGCTGAGCCACCATGCCCAGCCTACGTTTTCAAAACAACGAAAAAGACACAGAGTCTCAGAGAGTTCCATAACAATAATTCTGTTCAGAGTTCCCTGTTCACTGACTCTAGGGATGCTGTCATGATTGAAACTTTGTATCTACAGCAGCTCCCAGGAGTACCAGGGCCTCAGAACTGGTTCCATGGAAAACAGCGGTACTGACTCCAGGGCCTAAAAAAGCGCACCCAGAGGGCCGGGCGCGGTGGCTCACGCCTGTAATCCCAGCACTTTGGGAGGCCGAGGCGGGCGGATCACGAGGTCAGGAGATCGAGACCATCCTGGCTAACACGGTGAAACCCTGTCTCTACTAAAAATACAAAAAATTAGCCGGGCGAGGTGGCGGGCACCTGTAGTCCCAGCTACTCGGGAGGCTGAGGCAGGAGAATGGCATGAACCCTGGAGGGCGGAGCCTGCAGTGAGCCGAGAACGTGCCACTGCACTCCAGCCAGGGCGACAGCGAGACTCTGTCTCCAAAAAAAAAAAAAAAAAACACACCCAGGAGAGCACTTGCCTGTGAAAGGGAGAGAACTTTCTCTCTCTCTATCCCAAGGCTCCGAATCATGGCTATAGAAAGCCTGGCAGTTCAACTCCTTTTCTGGGCTATTTCTCTCCTGTTGCTGATGGTCACTAGTAAACACATGGTCCATCTTAGATTTTGTGCTACAGCTTCCAGCCAGTCTACCCTAACATCCATTCTCTCTCTTCCTAAGTAACAAAGCCCACGGTTTTGTTCAGGGTGGCAATGTTACTGCAATTTTACTCAGGCTGCACTTTCTAACCTCCACTGCAGCTGAATATAGTTATGTAAGTAAGTTCTGGCCGAAGTCTTATGAGGTACTTCCTGATAGTCCCTTTATTTATTTTTGTTTTTTCTGAGAGGGGGTTTCACTCGTTGCCCAGGCTGGAGTGCAATGGCACGATCTCGGCTCACTGCAACCTCTGCCTCCCAGATTCAAGCGATTCTCCTGCCTCAGCCTCCCGAGTAGCTGGGATTACAGGCGACTGCCACCACACCCAGCTAATTTTTGTGTTTTTAGTAGAGAGGGGGCTTCACTATGTTGGCCAGGCTGGTCTCGAACTCCTGATCTCAGGTGATCCACCTGCCTCGGCCTCTCAAAGTGTTGGGATTACAGGTGTGAGCCACCGTGCCCGGCCCTGATAGTCCCTTTAAAAGGCAAAGAGTTGGCCGGGCACAGTGGCTCATACCTGTAATTCCAACACTTTGGGAGGCTGAGGCAGGAGGATCACTTGAGCCTAGGAGTTTAAGATCAGCCTAGGCAACATGGCGAGATCTTATCTCAATAAAAATAAAAGGGAAAGAGAGGGCCTTTCTTCTCGTTTCCCTTTCATGGGGGGTAGAATGTGGGTATGATGGGCACATATTAAGAGTGATGGGAGAGCAACACAGGTGCCTGACAGTGGTGGATCCTCCATATCAGCCCTGGATTGGTTACTTCTGAAATTCTTTTGCTTGAGAGACTTCTGTCCTGTCAAAACTGTAAGGATTTTTGTGTGTTATATGAAGTCAAACCTAATCCTAATTGACTGCTTCCTTCATTCATTCAGATATTTACTGATTATTTATTGGACTGCAGGCCTTGTGCTAAGCACTGGTGTTACAAAGATGAGTGCATTCCCAAAAGCTTACAATGGGGAAAGCAGACAACAAGATGTTTATAACAGTATCATAGGGACTTGGATAGAGACATTTCCAGGATGCAATGTTCCTCCTTTTGGACGGTGAGCTCTTAAAAAAGAGAAAATGACAGAGTTCTAAGGAGAGAAACTGAACAAGGGGATGACTCCTGGGAAGATGACTTACTTTGGGTGGGTTGGCGATTACCCGTTTGCCCTTCTCTTCTAGCAGGGGTCCCAGTTCAGCCAGTTCCACCGTGTCAGCTTCCCTGTTACTGGCAGGAGCCCCATTCCCCTGTGCCACCACAGATCCTTTGTGGGAAGACATCTGGCTGGTACCTCAATACCCTGCAGCTTCAGCTTGGGGAAAGGTTGGGGTCTCTCAGCCCCAGGGGGCAGAGATCTCCCTCTGATGGTAGACACTAAAAGAAAATACAAACATGAAGGATTGACAATTTATTCCTCTTACAGTTTCATTTCTATACTCTAATACTGAATAAGAAGCTAATCAACTCATATCCTGTCCCCAATTCTAAAGGCCAGTTAATTGCTTAAATGAAATCTATTCCTGTCCTCCCTCTTTAATGTCAACCTTTACCCAGAACCTCACTAATCTTATAGGTAAGGCTGAAAATGTAACACCTAGTTGCTTGCTTTCATATGATCTATGGTTACTGCACCAAACTGTCACCATAGAAAAACAGCTACCCACCCTCAACTCCCTCCCACAGGTATGGAACCATTTAGTGAGAAGAATCTCATCTATCACTCCCAAAGCTCACTCTGCCCAAGAAAGGCCTAGCTCTGAGACCGAGGAATAAAAATATAAAGCCAACATCTGGCTGCAATTACTACAAGATCATCCAGGCTTAGAAATGAATTAAATGCCAACTGAACTCAGTTAGACCTTATCTACAAATGCTCTGATAAATGTGTCATACATACAAAAGGAACTTGGTTGTGGGACAGATGCCTAGTGGTTAATTTCTCTGCGAAGTCTACTAATTCTATTACAGGATTATAGCCTGAGTTCAACCCTGGGATAACAAGCTTTCATCACAATCTGTCCTGCAAGCAAGCAAGAACTTACCTGGAAGCAGGAAGGTGAAGACAAGGAGGCAGCCCCAATTTACCCTTTGCCACACACATACCTAATAACCAGCTCCACAATAACTTGTTTCAACCACCACAACCCATAATCTAAGCCCTACTCAAATGAGTATTTCAGAAACTAGAGACAGGCACACACAAAATCAGAAAAACCCAGAATTCCATTTTCTAGGAAAAATCTCAGACACTTTAGGTTTTCCTGGGTTGGATTTTCACAGTAGTCTTTAAACAGGCCTCAGGGAAATGCAAATAAAAAAAGAGGGAAAGAGGGAGAAAGTTTCCAAAGATTTCCACTATGCTGTAAATTATTAGTTCTCTCCCCACCTCTACCCCCATACAAAGGACTTTATTAGTTATAGCAATAGCAGTAGCCAGAATATTAGCATTTTCTTGCATTGGTTACCCAAGCCCCACCCAAACCCAAATAACCACATTGCAATGCAGGGAGGGCCAGGTAACAACTGCACATGGAGTGGGTTGCATTCCGGGAGAGGAAACTTAAGCTTAGGGAGCCCCAATCTTTTATATTGGGCAGTAAACATAACTTTGCTCCTGAGGGAGACACTATATCATCCATGGCTATTCACTATATACAAATATCTTTGATATCTTGTGTCAGTTCTTTTTTATCTAAGAGTAATCACAATTCCTTCTCAGGGATTATAAATCTCTTTCTCTGACTCCCTAACTCTCTCTGTCTCTCCCCCTCCTTCCCTCCTGGAGCTGGGACACCCTTCTTTTCCTGCCCTTGGACATCAGAAACTCCAGGTTCTCCTGCCTTGGGATTCCGGGACGTGCACCAATAGCCCCTTGGGTTCTCAGGCCTTCAGCCTTAAACTGAACCAGTTATGGACTTTCCTCATTGTCTAGCTTGAGATGGCATAGTGTGGGACTTAGCCTCCATAATCTCATGAGCCAATTCCCCGAATAAATCCCATCTCTATCCATATGTATGTATCCTATTGGTGCTTTCTGGAGAACACTTACTAACACATCAGGTAAGGGCAATCCTCAAGCTTCTAAACAGTCATGAGTCATGCTATGCTCAACCCACAAGCACAGTTGAAAGCAACCGGCAATCTAGTCCAAGAGAGACAAAAACAATAACTTGCTATACAGCAGACCTTTATATGGTGTCAACACATAGACAGTTCCTCTTCCTTTAAATGTGCAAGACTCTGACGAGATGCCAGCACACAGTCATAGTGAACAATTGAGCTAAGGAGAACAGGAAGCTGGAAGCCTATGAAAACCTCGAGGATGGGCAACCCGTGTGAGAGGGACACAAGGAAATCTTTCTCAATAGGCTGACCTCAAAACATATTTCCTCAAAGTGAAGTACTACTGAATCAGCAGCTTTACTAAAAAATACTTTATATCGCAAGCAAAAAAAAAAAAACCAAAAAACAACTTTATATCACAAGCAAAAAACATAAATATTTTTGGGCATCTTAGATAAATCTGAAAAGAGGGGCACACTTAGCTTGTTACTTACTAAGTTACTGTTGGAAGTAACTTAGATCAGGCTACCAGGGCAGAAACAAAACAAAACAAAACAAAATTCTGGTTCTGAGATGCAATACATGGATCATAAAATAATAAATATACTTTATTTTAGTTAGAACCCATTTCAAAATGAATGAATGAATGGGGCAGATTCCAGCTTGCCAGCATATGACTTAGCTTCTAGCCACTTAGATAAGGGCTTATGTGCATTTTCTTGTGCTTGTGGTGGCTTCTCTTATCCCTTTCCCCAGAGTAAGTCAACACATTCATTGAATATTTAGCAAGTGTATTTAGGACTAGCACCCTAAGGCATTCTAAGACACTGTGCAAAATACAAGACACTGTGCAAAATACAAGTTGAACAAGTTATAGTATTGTTTTCAAAGAGCCAGATAACATAGGTAGTTTGTGATATGCACAAAAATAAGTGATACAATTTGATTGCTCCAGGAGGGCAGTGGAGGGAGAGAACCCCTCAACTAGAATGGTCACACACTAAATTTAGTAACTTTGAGTGCTATGTAACTATTTTACTAGAGGCAATGAGAATAATATAGAGAAAATTTAAGTTGGGCAATTAGGGTCCAAAGATCATGTGCAGAATCCAGATTGGCATTCTTACTAATTTCATCATTTGATCTGAAAAGTTTTTATGCCCTCAAGTCTTCTGGCTATCATCAAAGTCTTTTCCTTTTTCAGTCCAAATCATTTACTATTAGTTCTTCCGATTCCCTCTAGCTCCTCTATCACTAGCTCCTATACCACCTCTCTACATCTTCTAGACCCAGAGTCACCAAAACCTGAGACCCCAGTTAACTCACAAACCAGCCATCAGCTACAACTCATCATACAAAATATATCATCATGCATTAAAGTACATACAATGGAGGTCAATGGAGATCATGTCATCATAGTGAGCAAAGTCCATTGTCCAGTTTGGTCTTCTAAACTGTAGTAACACAGAGACAGGAAAGGGAGAGATAGGGATCGGACGTCTGGCAAGAAAGAAGAGCAAATAATACTAGGATCTGAAAATACCACTTCTATGGGGTGGATCACTCACAAACAATGGAGAATTACAAGTGTGTTTTAGTCTATGGTGTAAAATCAGAACAAACCCCTAAGGTGTTAGAACGATCCTAGGTGAGCCAACCTTCTGCCAGCTTTCTATGTCCTTACGTATTTTAGAGGAAATGCCTTTCCCCTCAAGCTTGCCACACCCAATACTGCAAATTATATTTGAGCCAAACTCGACTGAGTGCATTTTTGATGAGATTTCTTCAACTCAAGCTAATAAACCTTTACCACTAAGCTTTCCAACTGGGTAAACCTAGGATATTAGAGAGTAAAGCTGTGGAGCAGGGAGGTTGTTTGTACTCCTATAAATAAGATAATCCTGTGCCAAACATGGGGAAAAGATTGATTTTTAATCACCAGCCAGTTAGCTGGAGAGTTATTTCACTTATAGTTTTTGGAGACATTTATATTGTGAACCAATTCCCAAGTTTTCCAGGCTACGGCACACCTTTCCTGGAGGCAAAGACACAAAGTTTCTAAGAGTTTAGTTCCTGGGCCTTTAGAGAGTCTATGGGTAGCCTCTATCCATACCTAGCTTGATTCTTGTCCTAAAGCAAGACCAGTCTAGCAGTATAGATAAAGAATACAGCCATTTTTCCCCTATCTACTGTCTCTTAGGCAGGATAATTTCACAGCTTTGTTGGAGAAATATGAATCAAAGCAAAGGCACATGTTTGAAATCACCGAACTACAGTATATAGGGCCTCAGCTCTCCTACTCGATGCCAAGCGTCCCAGACTCTGAAGTGGAAAAACAGTCTGACTTCCTTTGTAGCTCTTCCCCAACAGAAGTCTTTTTTTTTTTTTAAAAGGGTCTTGCTCTGTCATTCAGGCTGGAGTGCAGTGGTGTGATCTCAGCTCACTGTAGCCTCAATGTGCCAGACTCAAGCGATCCTCCCACCTTAGCTTCCCAAGTCTTAGTAACCGGGACTACAGGCATGTGCCACCATGCCCAGCTAATTTTATTTTTTTGTAGAGACAAGGTCTCACTATGTTGCCCAGCCTTGGCATCCCAAAGTGCTGGGATTACAGGTATGAGCCACTGTGCCTGGCTGAAGAGGTGTTTTTGAGCCCTGACAGACAGGCAAACTTTGCTAATGTCATGACAAAAAAAAAAGTGAACAGTATACAGGCATATGAAGGATTTTAATGCCAGCCCATTTTTTCTTTTTGGAGTCAGGGTCTTGCTCCCAAGTTCAGCCAGTTCCAGGCCCAGGCTAGAGTGTGTGGCACGATCATAGCTTACTGCAGCCTATACTCCTGGACTCAAGCAATTCTCCTGCATCAGCCTCCCAAAGTGCTGGGATTACAGGTGTGAGCCACCGTGCCCAGCCAATGCCAGCCCCCACTTTTATTTTTGGAGACAAGGGCCTTGCTCTATCCCCCAGGGTGGAGTGCAGTGGCATGATCTGCTCACTGCAACCTCCGCCTTCCAGGTTCAAGCAATTCTCTTGCCTCAGCCTCCCAAGTAGCTGGGATTACAGGCACCTGCCACCACATCCGGATAATTTTTGTATTTTTAGTAGAGACAGGGTTTTGCCATGTTGACCAGGTTGGTCTCGAACTCCTGACCTCAGGTGATCCACTCGCCTCAGCCTCCCAAAGTGTTGGGATTAGAGGCATGAGCCACTGTGCCCGGCCTATGCCCCCAACATTTCTGAGCAGGAAAATGGGAATCAACTTTTAGCATGGTGAGAGGAACAAAATCCAGGAGGTGACATTAGGGACAAATGGACATAACAACGTTGATGAGTACTGGTCCAAGAAAAAAAACTCACCATAATTCACAAAGCGTCTAGATATAAAGACGACTGCTTATCTTACCTGTGTGATAATAAGTAGATGGGACAGGATAATGTAGCAGGAGTGTTAAAGGGTTTCAGTTTGGCTTTGTATTAGAAGTCAAAGGAAATTTCCTATGGGAATAGAGAACAAATACACTGGCCTAGAAAGAAGGGCAATTTCTAACCTTCATTAATCTGAGAATACCGATTGATTACTTACAATACGCATGGTGTTGTGGCCACAGAGACAAGGCAAAGAGGAGTCAGAGGGTTGAAATGGTTGTTGGCCTCTAAATGGGGGAAATAACTTTCCTAATATCACTACAAGGCTTAGTGCCATTATGTGCAGGAGGAATTCAAAAGAAAAGTGCAACTTTAGTTGAAGTGATCAGAAAAAGTTTTGTGGAAGATTTTATGACAGGAGATTGATAGATAGAGATGGAAACAGGGCATTCCAGGAGGGTATATGGTGTGAACATGCCATGAAAGAACACAGTCCCCAGGGCAGTAAACAATTCATTTTTCCATAGAGTCCTGGAAAGGTAAAATGAGGCCAGACTTAAAAAACTGAAAATAGCCTAAAAGCCTACTTAAGGTGGTGTACTTTATAAATCAGCAATGGGGATCAGTGGATTAATGTTGCTCCCTGTTATTTTTCTGAGATTCTCTCCTACCTGCAGGCAAAGTCTTGACCATTGAGAATAGAAAGCTTTCAGTTTCTACTCTACAATTAGGTATAGTTTTGCGGAGGTCTACCATAACATGGGCCTTCACAGGTAACATCAGTTTTTATGACTGATTTCCCAAGTGCAAATCACAATATGGGTACATAAAAGTTATTCCTGGAGTAAATACATTTAGTAGCTGCAAGCCGGTACCCTGACATTGCAATCTGTTTAGCACCACCCTAAATTCCTGGCAGTATACAGATAGTATACAACCTCAGGAACCGAAGTTGCACCATCGTAGCCTACCCAACTACTAGGAAAAGAGAAAAGCAGTGAACCGACCCCACTATTACTTCATTTCAGAAAAGAACCAGCCATTACAATCATTTGTTTTGTAGATGGCAGCCTATGTATTCTCCGCTGTATTTTCTAGCCCGTCTTCTGAATCACTTGAGGGAAGTACTATGGTTAATCTAGTAAAGTACCATGGCCTCCTAGCGCTCCTTTGACATCTGAAACGGTGTAAACTGAAATTGGCCTTGTCAGTTTCCCATTCTCCCAAAGAGCACCAGAAACTGAGGGAAAAAAAACACTTATCTATTTTCTTAAAAATCGAAGGCTTGAAGACCAAAATTCTCAAACAGAAGATAGAATACATCAATCCTAGATACCTAAGGTAATGAAATTTCATTTTCCCCCAAAGTACCTTCGATTCTGCCCCGCATTTCAGCCTTCAGGATTACCTTAACCCTGCAGAGCGATCACCAACCTCCCTTCCCACCCCATCAAAGTGAGGGCACTGTCAGGACTTGACCTGCCAAAGATTGTTGGTGGAGGAACCTTAGGGCTTCCTGGCAACCCAATGCGGCTGTTCCCCGCTGAGAGGCGGTTCGCGACCTAGGCCCGCAGCCCTCCCTCCCCACGCGCGGCGGCCTCGGGGCCAGGCTTAACTCTGGCTCTCTGGTCCCGATCTGGGGAACCCATGCATCTCCACCCCGTGGGGCTAAAGGCGCAGCACTCACAGGACTGCCGGGAGTCGGGGGACAGCCGGGGACGAGCGCCCACCGCACCTAGGCCGCCTCGGAGGCGGCGCGCAGTGGGAGGGGCCGGAAATGTTTACAACCTGACCGGCTGGATGCCTGGAGGCCAGGCGGCTCCTTGGCTGGGGCCCGAGCCCCCTGGCAAGTCGGAGCGGGTTCCCCCAACAGCTGTCTCCTCCGCAGGCCTGGGTCGGGGCCCCCGGGGTCCCCGCGCTCCCGCCGAGTCCCTGCCCACCGCGCAGCCCCTGGGAGACTTACAGCCGGGCAGGCGGGCTCTGCTGGGGGCCGCGGTCCCCCGCGCTACATCCCGCGGCGCTGGAGGCGGCCTGCGGCCGAGCGGCCCCGATCTTCAGCGCCCTCCCCGCGCCGGAAGGGGCGCGCGACCTCCCGCGTCACCTCCGCAGCCGCGTCACCTCCTCGCGGGCTCTGCCTGGGCCCTCCAATCCTAGGCCCTCTCGCGGAGTCCCAATCACAGGCCCGCGCCCGCCGGCCACACCTCCCGCCCCGGGCCCCGCCCTGCTGCCCCGCCTTCCCTGCCGCCTGCCCACCTCCCCGCCGCAGCCAGGTAACCTCCACCCGCCCCGGGGTAGAGGACGTTCGTCGGATTCTACACTCCACCTCGTTATCGCAGCCTGAAGTGCGTGATGGAGAAGAAATTTCAGAGAATGAGACAGAACGTCGGGAGGGAATGCTGAATTTTCTACCATACACCTTATCTCATCTCCTCTGTCCCCAAGGCTAGTCGTTTCACCTCTGAAACACTTCTTAATCTCTTCTTCAACCGCATGGTCCTTCCTTCCCTTCCACAAACTATTTATTGAGCCCCTACCATGTGCCAGGCCCTGGGCTAGACCTCAGTCTGCCTCCTGTTATTTTCTTATCAGAGAGCAGAATTGTTTCTAACTACTCTTGCTGGTGAACCCGTGCCCCAGTTCCTGCTCCCACAGGCACCTAGAGTGCAGATCGCGAGACAACATAGGGTAGTGCAGCCCTTGTCTGAACCACACAACACAGAAGGGGATTTCAGGGTCTGGCCATTTTCTCATTTCTCCCAAGAATGAAATAGTATTATTTTATTCCCACTTTTCAGATGAGGTAACTATCATTTGGAGGGGTTCACTAATATGCTCAAGGTCACAGACTGGCCAGGGACAGAAGCTTGGCTCTATGTGACTCTAGAGCCCCATGCTCTGGAGCCCCAGATACAGCAATACACAGTTGCTGAAAAGCAGAAAAGCAATGTCAATCTTCCTCTTGTGAGCAAACCTTTAACTCACAGGATTATCATAAGGATTAAACTATCTGATGTAGATAGAGTACTTGGCACAGTACCTCAATATGGCTGTTAACTCAAAAAAATTTTTAATTTTTCTTTTTTAGGGACAGGTTCTTACTGTCACCTAGGCTGGAATGCAGTGGTGCAATCATATCATAGCTCACTGTGCAACTAGTGCCATTCTAGAGGCAGAGAAAGTGACTCATTGTAATCTGATATAGGTGCTTCAGGGACGTGGGGTTAATTCTCTTGGTCCTAGTTAAAAGCATGGGCTCTGGAGTCACATAGAGCCAAGCTTCTGTCCCAGGCCAGTCTATGATCTTGAGCACATTACTGAACCCCTCCAAATGATAATTACCTCATCTGAAAAGTGGGAATAAAATAATACTATTTCATTGGGTCTTTGTCAGGATTGAGTGAGATAATTCATGCAGGCTCTTATTATGAGGCCTAGCCAATGGTAAGTGCTTTATAAATGTTAGCTATTACCGTGTTGCCATTTGTATAAAACCCTCAGAAACTTTTCACTGTCCACAGGATTGAGTCCAGGTTTCTTCAGCATAGTGTTTCGAGGCTCTTTGCGAGCTGGCTCTAACTTCTAAGGCCTCATCATTCTCCATTTTCCCTCTGGCATGTTGGGCCTTGGTGAACTAGTTCTCTGAAGTGAACTTCTCTTTCATTCCTCCAGGCTGTTGCACATGCTGATCCTTCTGTTGGACTGCCCTTCTCATTGTCTGCTGCAAGATGCCAGCAGTTTACAATGCCCACTTCTAGGTTTGACTTTGGCCTCAGACAATCCTAAATTCACATTTAGGCTCTGTCAGCCACTGACCAGCTGTATGACCTTTGGTAAATTATTAATCTTCAGCTCACATGATTATCATAAGGATTAAATTATGTGATGTAGATCGAGTACTTAGCACAGTACTTGGTACATGGCTGTTAACTCAAAACCATTTTTGTTTGTATTTTTAGGGACAGGCTCTCAATCTGTCACCTAGGCTGGAGTACAGTGGTGTGATCATAAGATCATAGCTCACTGCAGCCTCGAACTCCTGGGCTTCACGGGATCCTCTCAACTCAGCCTCCCAAGTAGCTGGGCTACAGATTCGTGCCACCATGCCCAGTTAATTTTTTATTTTTGTAGAGATAGGGTCTCACTATGTTGCCCAGGCTGTCAAAAATGTTACCTCTCTTTCCCCCCTTCCTCCCTTTCTGAATCTTTCTCAACCTCTTCCCAGCTGCACTTTGTATGTACCTCTGCTATGGTATTAGTCACACTGTTATAATTATTTGTCACTTGTTGGCCGGGCGCAGTGGCTCACGCCTGTAATCCCAGCACTTTGGGAGGCTGAGGCGGGCGGATCACGAGGTCAGGAGATCGAGACCATCCTGGCTAACACGGTGAAACCCCATCTCTACTAAAAATACAAAAAGTTAGCCGGGCGTGGTGGCGGGCGCCTGTAGTCCCAGCTACTCGGGAGGCTGAGGCAGGAGAATGGTGTGAACCCAGGAGGCGGAGCTTGCAGTGAGCCGAGATTGCGCCACTGTACTCCAGCCTGGGTGACGGAGCGAGCCTCCGTCTCAAAAAAAAAAAAAAAAATGTCATTTGTCTGTCTTAGACTGTGAGTTCTTTGGGGGTCTAAGACCAGTGTTGGTCACACTTTTATCCTCAGGGCCTCGCATAGTGCTTGGCACATGCCAGATCCTTAATAAACATTTGTATGTTGAGTGGATGAGACAAAAACCCATGCAAGACAAGGAATGGTGATCTTCCACGCAGGAAATTCTCTTTACAAGCCTGCTTCACTATCTGAGCCCAACGTTCCTAAGCAAGATTTTCCTTCCTGGAGGTGAGGTGGCTGAGACTGTGTTACAGAGCCCAGTGCCATACACATATTAGCTGATCAAGAAATGTTGGATGGAACACCACCAACAGAATTTACTGAAGGTTCTGCCCTGGGGAGGAGTGAATTCTGAGGGTCCCACAAATCTTTCTCTCAGAAGCCCCAGAAACAGCAATAGACAGTTGCTGAAAAGCAGAAAAGCAATGTCGACCTTCATTCTGAGCCCACCACATTGTTTTGTTGCAATGGGAGTAACAAAGAAGAATCTGGAGAGGCTGCCCTAGTCCTACCCTGGGAAAGGGAGTAGATTGGGTCATGCTACATAGCAGAGGAGAAGGGTACTCAGGACAGATGAGCCTGGGGGAGGCCAACTCTATCTGGGCATCAACAATTCCGGCCAGGGCTGGTGATGTCAGGTTACTTTTTAAAGAAGAAGGCTTCCCTTCCAAACAGAAAGACAACACTTTGATTTGTGTGCCAGGTTCCCTGAAGGATAAATATGGTGAAGGATAGGCCAAGAGAAGGAAGAAGGGGAAGAGTGGCCTATCAAGGGAACACTGTGAGGGGCAGCTGGGCTCAAAAATGTCCCCTCTAATGTGTGTTCTCCTTCCCCCACCTCGAGAGCCTCCAGGGAGAAGCGGAGCTCTGGCTCTGCTGAGACAGCTGCTGAGATGATCACTGAGTCTGCTGGCAGCTCACATTTCAGCACATGGTACAACTTCTCAAAGGTTCTTTGGAACACCTGGGAGAGTTGCATGGTGGCAAACCCTTCCTCCCTAGGTCCTCGGGGATTTGGAAACAAGGACCCCAGACACAACAACCCTTTCAATATCACACAGGGGCCTCAGCCCCATTTATTTGCACAGCCAGGGGTTCCTGCCACAAACAGCAGTTTTCGATTATCAGTAGCTGTTTCCCTCTAGCCTGGGCAGGGGCTGAGAGAGACACACACAGAAATATGATATTTCAGACTCCTTTGAGATCTGAAGAAATCATTTCCTCCTTTCTTGCCATCTCCATAAGACCACCTCTGGAAGTATGCTATGCTCAACTTATACTCACACATACAGATTTGCTCATAGGTTGAACAGTGAAGTTTAAGTAAAACCCATTGCACAGACTGTTCCTTTCATCACAGACACAAAGAAGGTGAGAGTAAGATGCTATCAAGGAACTAGCCAATCTTGGACCAAGCGTACATGCTCCCTTCCTTCTTACTCCATGGAAGAGACTGCTCCATGGGCCTCTCCTGGACCTGTTGCCACGGGGAGATTTAGGAGGCCATCCAAGGAGTGACTGAGCCTTGGCCCTCTTCCATGGCTACAGGAATATTGTTCCTGCAGGTACTATCCAGATTTCAGCTCTAGATGTAACTGAAAAAACCTGAAACTCTGAGGAAAGGAATCTAAGGCTTATAGTGCTTGAGTACTGATGGGGAACAACTGCAGCGAACAGCACCAGGGAAGCTGGAGGATGCTCAGTAGGTGAATCGCATCTTTTGTGAGTAGCCCAGTTTGTCCAAGTTGGGATGGCAGGCCAGCTGCACCATTGGGGGTGGCCCACAAAGCAGTACCAGCACATCATCCCCTGGAGCGGGCAGGTGTTCCCGGATCATGTCGGCAGTCACAAAGCCCTTGCTGTAGGCCCAATCTGAAGTATGGGGAGAAGAAAGTACTTAATACTCCAGATACATGCTGGCAAGGGGGTGTGGTGCCATGAGACTGGGGAGGGCCCTGAAAGGCTCTGGAGAAAGTGTCAAGTGGTAGCAGCAGCTGGGAATGGGTATACTCAGCCTGCCTCAAGCTGAGCCTTAGCAGCACCGCCATCCCTGTCACCCACCTGGTAAACAGGAACCCAAAGGAAAGGGACCAGGAGATCACTGTGTCTGTGCACTCAGACTTCCGAGTTGGCAGTGTGAGGCAAGGTTGATTTCAATGAAGCCAGAATTCACAAAGGGGCAAGGCTTTGATTTTGACGATGAGGGGATAGTGGGATGTCCAGAAATGGGAAGGATACCTTTTGGGGGATGATCCAGAGTGAACCAGAGCTTAAAGCGATTGGGATAGCGGGCCTGCAGTTCCTCTAAGTCCTCCCGCAAGATGATATCCTTTTCTGTCTGAAATGCAAAGGGGAAGGAAAGTCTTTAGGAGTCTTCTCAGGCCCACATAAAAAGTTTTCTGCTATACAACTTTCCAACTAAGAAAAAGAATGTTAAGGGAAAGCAAAAGTTCTAGGAAATAAGCAAGACTTGCAGTGCTTTTAGGGAGTTAGGATGAGGAGAAGAGGGGAACAGCCTTTATCTACACATTATGAAGGAACAAAGATGAATATTTAACCAAGAAGATCTAAGTTTCTGTGCTCCAGACTAGATACCTTAAAAGTTTTCTTCTTTCCTTGGGGACCAGGGAAGGAATTTGATTCAGTGCTCTGTCCTTTTCCTCCTTATTGAAAGAGGACCCTGTGCCTTACAGAGGGGACCTTGGGCAGAGGCTAAAACAGGGCACTGGGCCAGTTCTGCCCATCCATACCACGTCTCTCAGCCCTACCCACACAGCAACTTTGAAGTCTTAGGGTGGAGGAAAACAAACCAACCTGGTTGGCAAAAAGCAGAAAGCACTGGGTTGGATCTTCAGGGACTTTCAGGATGGCCCGGATCAGCTGTAGCATTGGGGTGATTCCTGCATGAAGATACCCCACAGTGAAATGTAGTGGCCACACTCTCTGCCCTGTCCTGGCTCCTTAGCTGACCAGCCCTTTCATCTTCATTCTGCTCATTCACCACTCCACTCCATTTTCCTTTAGCATTCTCATCCTCTAAACTCTTCCTGCATATTCTCCAACATCTGTATTTCCGGGCACCCTTCAAATTCATCTAAGTTCATATTGTAGAAATCTTTCTTAGGAACTAATCTAAGACTCTTCTGAAAGTCCTTTGGAGGCTAGGACTCCAGTGTCACAAATGACTACAAGTACCTCCGGATTCAATGATGAGGGTTCTAGAACACTGTATTTGCAGAGGTTAAGTGCATGTACTTAGGCACTAGGCAGAGCCAAATACTAATTTTGCTCCAGGCCATTACCAGTGAAATAACCCTGTGGAAATCATTTAGCCTCTCTGGAACCCCATTGTCTCTCTGTAAAAGGAAAAGGCTAGTACCTACTTCATAGATACCTATATATGTGTCTAATTTTTGTGTCTAATATATAGTAGTGTATTAGACTACACAGTGTCTAATGCACAGTAGTGTCCAATGCTAATTTTCTTTCTTCCTAGCTAGTCATTCCTAGCTGCTTCTCTCTTCTCTCACCTAAAACTATTAGATCCATTCAAAATGAGGAAAGCTCATTTAATTTGTTTCTCTAATTCCATCAGTTAAAATTTTTTTTGGTTTCTACCTGCTTATGATTTTGTTTTTCAGATACTAGGGAGTTCTAAGCATTGCTGGAAATCCCCTGATGAACAACAGCTTGGCTATGGTTACCAGTCTTCAGAGGGTCACCTAGGAATTTGCATGGCAACAGTCAACAATGGTGGGAGAGAAAGGCCCTCAGTGTAATGCACCTGTCCCGCCGGCAATCATTCCCAGTTTCTTCGCCACTCGGGGTTCTGGTGGAGATTTCTTGTTGGGCTGAATGTTAAAATGCCCTGAGAGGTCAGGTGAAGAGAGCAGTGGAAGAATAAAGTCAATACAGCGAACTTAGAAAACAAATGCAGAGTTGAAAATATGCCTGAGGCCAGTTGAGCAGCTGCTATGACATCTGATCCTGGAGCTTGGGTGGAAGCTTGAGTTGAGCCAGCCCTGACAATAATATAGTTGAGGGACAATGGGGCCAGGGCTATCTGTGAGTCAGTTCAGCGCCACACAATGTATCAGCTGCTTCTGGCAAAGTGTCACTCCCTGGTGAAGGAGACAGGCACAGAGCCAGGTGTGAATCTATTTTCCCAAGTGGCACACAGCAGCTCCAGGGACTTGCTAATGCACCCAGCTGTTCCCATGGGAAGGGCTGAAAGCTATCTCTGGCTCACTCCACAGCTCACCCAGGGGGGCAAATTTTTGAAGGTGGGGAAGAGGGGCACATGTTTGCTTTAGTAATCTCCACAGCTGCCATGGCTAGGGAATTCAAGTGGAGGAGGAACTGCTTCCTGTGGCAAATGGGGCTGAGAAACATGCCTTTCTATTGTATCAGCGCTATGTTTAGAAGGAAGGGCGGCCCTGGCCCTTACGTGCATACACATGTGTACACACAGCCATACTGTGCCAAGAGGACTATGGGAACTGATAAAGTGGGAGACAGGCTCAAGGAGAAGACAGGTCATTACCTTTTCCAGTGTAAGTGAGCAACCCGCTTGGCCCCCGAAACTCCACCACATCCCCAACCTTCAGGCTATCCAGGTACTGAGACATCTTCCCTCCCTCAGGAAATTTGGGGTGCACACCCTTCAGGTAGACCTTACAAGACAGAGAGAAAAATACCTTATTTGGAATGTCACTGGTTTCTGAGCCCCATGTTGACTAAACCTCCCTGAGGCTGGGGCAGGGATCAGATATGTGCTATCTTTTCCCCGTCTACATACTTTCTTTCTTTCTTTTTTTTTTTTGAGTCAGAGTTTTGCTCTTGCTGCCCAGGCTTGAGTGCAGTGGCGCAATCTTGGCTCACTGCAACCTCCGCCTCCTGGGTTCAAGTGAGTCTCCTGCCTCAGTCTCCTGAGTAGCTCATACTTTCTTCACATCCACAGAGTACATACCATTTCCTGCTGTCAGGCAAATCTTAGAAATTTCTACAAATCCCAGAAAGAATGGGTAAGCAGCCCCTGGGTCCCTTCCTAGCCCCTTACCTTGATGACAAGATCCACATAGCCTTGATCCTCATCACTGGTGACAGGAGTGTATGGCCTGATGACCAGGCTGCCATCAATTCGGGTGGAGAGGTAGATATGTTTGCCTGGGGACCGTGCAGAGAGCTACATAAGGGTTGTCTGTGATGTGCTGCATCCCTCAAAATACTCAAAGAGATTTGAGAGAACAAGATGTCTTGCTTCCTGCTGTGGTCCCAAGGAGCTACAAGGCAGGGAAGATTTGCCCCATTGAGCCCTCAGTTGGATCTCTTATAAGCGCCCAGTTGAGGAAACACTTATTTCCAGCGTTTCCTGCCAGTTACTGCCAGGACCTTGACAGATGAGCCAAAAGGGTCTGGGCAATGGGAAAAAGTTAGTAGTGCTTGCTCAGAGGGAGTAATTAGCAAATCCTGCAGGGAAGAGGCAAGACTGTTGAGTGTTAAAGCTGGATGGGGGTCATGGAAGCCACACTCTAGAGGGGCCCAGTGGCACCTCACAGCTTGGAGGATGCAGAGCCAAGTGGGGGAAGGGGAATGGTGTGTGGAGCAAACCGGTTGAAGCAGCGTGTTTCATGAGATCCCAGGAGGGGAGTCACCTTCTGAGGATACCAGGGAAAGGAGCCCATTCCACACTTTCCTTACCCACAGGCAGCCCCAGAGTGTGGTGGGCGGTGGGCAGGGCAAAGCGGAACCTCTTGGTGTTGTGGCTCACAGTCTGGAGGGTGGAGGACACAAGTGTTTCACCAAGCGCGCCTGGCGCTGCCACGTCCCTTGGACATCCCAACCACCGTGGGTGCTGTACCCTCCATGCCAGGAGCACTCTGGTCCCCTCCTTCACCCTGGCCCTTTCTTCCCCAACTTACCGTCTTGTCTAGCAGTCGTAGCAGGTACTTTTCATTGGGGTCCAGGAGAGTGACCTGAGGCCGGCGGGACCTCCGAACCAAGTAGGAGCCCACAGCCAGGCCGAGCAGAGTGACCAGCCCCACCCCCAGGGAGGCCAGCAGGACGGGGCTCTGTGGGTAGAGGAGGCAGCGTGACCGCCAGGCTGGGTAAGAGCCCGGGGCTTGGGTGGTGACCGTCCCAGGGGTGGCGATCCCGAGCTCCAGCGCGGAGGCATGCCAAGGGCAGAGGGGTAACCTGGCGGAGTCCCGAGCCCGGATGTGCGGGATCGGGACCCCAGCATCCACGGTGGGCCCAGAGCCCTGCGGGGCGGGGTCGGCAGCGACAGCCCCTGGTCCGGAGCTGAGTGGCCAGAACCAGATGGGGAGGGGTCCCCCAGTGGAGGATACTGAATGAGGGTCTTACCGTCTGGATCCCCATGACGGAGCGCCTTTTCCTCCACCACCTGACAAGCCGACAGATCCCACAATGCGCCGCGGGGCGGGTCGGAGGGCGGGGCAGGCCGGGGGCGGGGCCGGGCAGGAGGCAGGACCTCGCGGCTGGGGGGGCAGGAGGCGGGGCCTGGCGGGGGGGGGGGGGGGTGTCTGTCGGGGGCGGGGCCTAGCAGGAGGTGGCGGCGGCGGGGCCTTTTGGGGGCGGGGTCCGGCAGAGGCGGGGCTGGGCCCCTCTGCGCGCCACCCTTTCCCTCCGCTACTCGGTGGCTCAGGGTCTCCGGTGCTTATTCAATACTTTTTTTTTTTTTTTTGAGTCGGAGCCTCGCTCTGTCGCCCAGGCTGGAGTGCAGTGGCGCGATCTCGGTTACTGCAACCTCCGCCTCCCAGTTTCAAGTGGTTCTCCTGGCTCCGCCTCCCGAGTATCTGGGACTACTGGCGTGCGCCACCACGCCCGGCTAATTTTTTTTTTGTATTTTTAGTACAGACTGGGTTTCACCGTGTTGGTCAGGGTGGTCTCGAGCTCCAGGGCTCAAATAATCTACCCGCTTCGGCCTCCCAACGTGTTGGGATTACAGGCGTGAGCCATCGCGCCCGGCCCCAAGATCTTTTAAGACCGCAGCTCCAGCCTCTCCTCCCAGCGAGGTGGTCCCTGCCACTTCGACCCGCTTATATCCGAACTGGATGGGAGTTCTGCCTAAGGTAGAACCACGCTAAATTGGGGGATTGGAAATCTCTTGAGTCTGCGGGTGCTGAGCGGAGAGTGTAACGATGAACCAGAGACAGGCTCAAAGTAGAGCAGAAGGGCCTGAAGTTAATCATTGTGCAGTCACCTTAGTTTTTCAACCGGCTGAATTGCAGCAAGAGAATGGAACAGCCCAGAGGAGTCTCTTACAGGAGTGAACAGTGGCATGGCAACTTCATTTCCTTTTGACAAAAGACTGATTTTGTTTACAGCGCCAAGCCGTCAGCCTATCAGGATGATTCAGGAGCTTCCTTTGGTTTCAAAGACCAAGCTTCACATCCTGATTTGGGTTCTTGTGCCCTTAGGGTCAAAGAAGTGGGCTTTGGAGGCAGAGTGTACAGAATAAGAATCTTGCCTCTAGCACTTATTGGCTCTGTGACCTTAGATAGCTTACTCAACCTGAGTTTCTTCATCTACAGATGGATATAAGATGGATATCTACAGATGGATATATATTATTATCTACAGATAGATTGTATCTAGTTCATAGCTTTGGTGTGAGGCTTCAGTGAGATATGTTAACGTGCTTAGTGTAGTGCCTGTCATAAAGCAAAATATTCAACAGTTGGCAGCTACTATTATAACTTAAAAGACAGCACAGAGGGTCAGCTATGGTTTTAGGAATGAGCTCTGCCTGGGGCACAAGCATGGGACAGGAGGAGGCAGGAAAAAACATCAGGAGCCGCTGGAGCTACAGATTTCCCAAGATGACCATTCTTTCTCATACATGAGTTTCTCAACTAGAATGACATTTGCTCTTTGATATACCGTGATGGATGAGATCTCTGCAGATGTCAGTGTCAACATCTTAAACTAATACCATCAGGGCAGCAGGGACATTAGAGCCCCCAGTTTTCAGTTGTATTTGGTGAACTCTGTGAATGATCCAAGAGATACTTAGTTTTCCTTTTCCTCTCCACTGGCTGAAAATGTTCCTAAGACCCCAGTACATGTTCCTCTGAATTTTTTAAGCAGCCTGCACACTGACTTGAGGGAAGTGAGTGCACCAGATCATGGTGACATGCCAATCCATGCAGAGAGGGTTGAAAAGGGGAAGGAAGGGACCCTTCCTCTTTTCTGTTCCGAGAGAATGAGGCGATTATGTTCCGGTGCTTCTGACATCCCCACTGCTGGCTTGGTTAAGAAGCCACACTACTGATCCTTGCCACTGCTCCACTCTGGCTAAAGAGGTTCTAGGCCTTCCTCCCTCTAGTGGATAGATGTGGCAAGAGAGGGGGAAGTATGGAACGAAAGGAGAGCATAACTACAACTCGGGCTTCTCTCAGTGATTGCATTTTCTGAACCCCAAAGTGGCACATTCTAACAAGTGTGAGTGTATCACTGGGAACCACAGGACAGAATGGTTGGGTGTGGGCTTATCCTGGAAACTAAGTGTTGGACTCAGTAATTGTGGGAAGGCTCTTTTGCTCCTGAAAATGAATGCTGCAGGAGTGGTGGGAAGGGGCTGATGGCCTGGCAGGTCTTCCTGTCTCAGATTCTGTGGTGAATTGAACTCCACTCCACCACGACTCATGGTAATCTTACATTACTCCTAGTTTGGAGGAAAAGATAGGCATTTCTGAATTTTTATTTAACCCAATCTTTTAAGTTTAGGATTTCCTCCTGGGTATACAATAAAGAATAGAACAGGCTGGGTTCACGCCTGTAATCCCATCACTTTGGGAGGCTGGATGGATCACTTGAGCCCAGGAGTTTGAGACCAGCCTGGGCAACATGGCAAAATCCTGTCTTTACAAAAATACAAAAATTAGCCAAGTGCGATGGCGCTGGCCTGTAGTCCTAGATACTAAGGAGGCTGAGGTGGGGGTATTGCTTGAGCCTGGGAGATCAACGCTGCAGTGAGCCATGATTGCGCCACTGCACTCCAGCCTGGGCAATAGAGCAAGACCCTGTTTAAAAAAATATATATATATAATGTAGTGTGAGGGGGAAGTAGAATTTCAAACCTGTGTTTTATAATTCTGAATTAGGATGTAAAACTCAGTGGCCCTTTTTAGATAAGATATCCAGAAAGAAGCTTGGAGGAAGACTTGCTCATACTGAGGAGATGGCATGGAGGAATCAGACCAGGAGATGTAATAATGACAAAAAAATTAACATTTATTGAGCATGTGCAATATAGCAAGAACTAGGTAAATTGCTTTTCACGTATTCTGACAACATCCATTTAATCCTGACAACAACTGTGAGATAGATATTATCATTAGTAGTCTCATTTTATGGAGTGGGGGGAAACTGAAGTTTAGGACAAGTAAGTCACTTGCCCAAGATCACCTACTAAATGGCAAACTCAGACTGCATACCAGGCAGCTTGATGTTGAAAACTAACAACCTCACACCCTTTTTGAACTTTTCTTTTTTTTTTGAGACGGAGTCTTGCTCTGTCACCCAGGCTGGAGTGCAGTGGCGCAATCTCGACTCACTGCAACCTCTGCCTCCCAGGTTCAAGTGATTCTTCTGCCTCAGCCTCCTGAGTAGCTGGGATTACAGGCATGCGCCACCATCCCCGGCTAATTTTTGTACTTTTAGTAGAGACGAGGTTTCACCATGTTGGCCAGGCTGGTCTCAAACTCCTAACTTCGTGATCCGCCTGCCTCAGCCTCCCAAAGTGCTGGGATTACAGGCGTAAGCCACCGTGCCTGGCTGAACTTTTTAGTATGGAAACTATCAAACATATACAAAAGTAGACAGAACAGTATAATAAAGCCCGACGTACCCATCACCCTCTTCAACAATTATTAAATCATGGTCACCTTTCTTTCATTTCTTCCCCAGTCCGTTCCTTCCTCCAGTATTATTTTTAAGCAAATCCCATATTTTTTATAACTTTGTCCTTAAATATTTTAGTGTGTATCTTTAAAAGCTAAGGACTTAAAAATAACCATAATACCATTATCACATGTAAAAATAATTAACAACAATTACTTAGTTTCATCAGATAGCTAGTCAGTGTTCAAAGTTCCACCTGTCTCTTTTTTTTTTTTTTTTTTTTGAGATGGAGTCTCACTCTGTCGCCTAGGCTGGAGTGCAGTGGCATGATCTTGGCTCACTACCAGCTCCACCTCCCAGGTTCACGCCATTCTCCTGCCTCAGCCTCCCGAGTAGCTGGGACTACAGGCGCCCGCCACCACGCCTGGCTAATTTTTTGTATTTTTAGTAGAGACGGGGTTTCACTGTGTTAGCCAGGATAGTCTCAATCTCCTGACCTTGTGATCCATCCTCCTCGGCCTCCCAAAGTGCTGGGATTACAGGGATGAGCCGCCGTGCCCGGCCTTTTTTTTTTTTTTTTTTTTTTGAGATGGAGTCTCACTCTGTCACCCAGGCTGGAGTGCAGTGGCACGATCTCGGCTCACTGCAACCTCTGCCTCCCGGGTTCAAGAGATTCTCCTGCCTCAGCCTCCTGAGTAGCTGGGATTATAGGCGACTTCCACAGCGCCCGCCATGGCGCCTGGCTAATTTTTGTATTTTTAGTAGAGAAGGGGTTTCACCATCTTGGCCAGACTGTTCTTGAACTCCTGACATTGTGATCCACCCGGCTCGGCCTCCCAAAGTGCTGGAATTACAGGCATGAGCCACTGCGCCTGGCCCCAGCTGTCTCATTTTAAATTTGTAATTGTCATACATTAAAATAGACTCTTGGGCATACAGTTCTGTGAATTCTAGAATATGTATAGATTTGTGGCACCACTATAATCAGGAAATAGACCAGTTTGATCACCCTGCAAATCTCCCATATGCTATCCCTTTATGGCCACATCCTCCCCTTACCTTTAACTCCTGGTTATCACTGATGTGTTCCCTGTCAATACACTTTTGCCTCTTTATGAATGTCACATAAATAAAGTCTATACAATATGTAAGCTTTTGAGTGGATTTCTTTCACTCAGCATAGTTTGAGATTCATCCAAGTTATCATGTGTATTTACAGTCCATTCTTTTCATTGCTAGTAGTATTCTGTTGTATGGCTGTATCATAATTTGTTTATCCATTCATCAGCTGAAGGACATTTGAGTTATTTCCAATTTTTGGTGATGATTGAAATTGCTTTAAACATTCATGTGCAGATTTCCATGTGAACCTAGTTTTTATTTCTCTGAAATATCCACAAGTGTGATTTCCGGATCACATGGAAGGTGTATATTTAACTTTATATAAAAAGCTGCCAAACTGTTTTTCAAGGTGATTATACCATTTTGCCTTCCCACTAGCAATGGATGAGAATTCCAATTGCTGCGGCATTTTCATTAGCAATTGGTATTGTCAGCACTTTTGATTTTGGCCATTCTAATAGGCATGAAGAGGTATCTCATTGTGATTTTACTTTTTTTTTTTTGTTTTTTTGAGATAGAGTCTCCTCTGTCACCAAGCTGGAGTGCAGTGGTATGATCACGGCTCACTGCAGCCTCAACCTCCCAGGCTCCAGCGATTCTTCTACCTGAACCTCCCTGAGTAGCTGAGACCACAAGCAAGTGCCACCACTCCTGGCTAATTTTTTTAAAAGTTTTGTAAATACGAGCTTTCACTTTATTGCCCAGGCTGATCTTGAACTCCTGGGCTCAAGTGATCCTCCCGCCTTGGCCTCCTAGAGTGTTGGGATTACAGACATGAGCCACCATGCTATCCTCATTATGATTTTAATTTGCATTTATGTAATGGTTGATGATAATAAACATGTTCTTATTTGCCATCTATATATCATCTTTGGTGAAGTGTCTGTTCAAGTATTTTGCCCAGTTTTAATTGGATTGTTTTCTTCCACTTGAGTTGTGAGGGCTCTTTTTTTTTTTTTCTCTTGAGATGGAGTTTCGCTCTTGTCGCCCAGGCTGGAGTGCAATGGCACAGTCTCAGCTTGCTGCAACCTCTGCCTCCAGGGTTCAAGCGATTCTCCGGCCTCAGCCTCCCAAGTTAGCTGGAATTACAGGTGCCCGCCACCATGCCCAGCTAATTTTTGTATTTTTAGTAGAGATGGGGTTTCACCATGCTGGCCAGGCCAGTCTCAAACTCCTGACCTGAAGTGATCCGCCCGCTTCGGCCTCCCAAAGTGCCAGGATTATAGACATGAGCCACCACGCCCGGCTGAGAGTTCTTTATATATTCTGAATACAAAACTCCTTGTTGGATATTGCAAATATTTTATTTCAGCCTGTAGCTTGTCTTTCCATTGTCTTAAAGTGTCTTTTGCACTGAGAAGGTTTTCAGTTTTGTTGAAGTCCAATTTATCAAATTTTTTTTTTTAGATGAAGTCTCTCTCTGTTGTCCAAGCTGGAGTGCAGTGGCACGATCTTGGCTCACTGCAACCTCCGCCTCCCGGGTTCAAGTGATTCTCCTTCCTCAGCCTCCCGAGTAGCTGGGACTACAGGCATGCGCCACTATACCCAGCTAATTTTTGTATTTTTAGTAGAGACAGGGTTTCACTATGTTGACTAGGCTGGTCCAATCTATCAATTCTTTAAATGCAGCATGCTGCACATTTAAAGTGTCACATCGGAGAACACTTTGCCTAACCCCAAGTTATAAAGATTTTATCCTATATTTTCTTCTAAAAGTTGTATAGCTTTGTGGTTTACATTTCTATCCATGATCTATTTTAAATTTTATTTTGCATGAAGTATAAGGTTTAGGTTATGGTTTGTTTATTTTTGTATACAGATGTTCTTTTGTTCCAGCTTCTTTTGTAGAAAAGACTATCCTTTCTCCACTGAGCTGCTTTTGCACTCTCCTCAAAAATCAGTTGGTATATTTTTGTGGGTCTATTTATGATTTCTGTGTTCTGTTATATTGAACTATGTGTCTGTCCCTTCATGAATACCATACTGTCTTGATTCCTGTAGCTTTATAGTAGGTCTTGAAATTAGATAGTGTGATTACTCCAACTTTATTCTTCTTTTCCAACATTGTTTTAACTATTCTGGTTCTTTGCCTTTCTATATAGATTGAGATTAGCTTGTCTAATCTCAATTCCAAAAGAATTCTGCTGGGATTTCAATTGGAACTGTGTTAAATCTATACATCAGTATAGAAGAGAATGAGATCTTTATTATGTTAAGTTTTCAGATCCATGAATGTAATGTTTCCATTTCTTTAGGTCTTTTAAAATTTCTTTCATTAGTATCTAATAATTTTCAACATACACATTCTGTAGATGTTTTGTTAGACTTATACTTAAGTTTTGGCACAACATTTAGTTATAAACAATAAGAAACTTGAAGAAAATTGCTAGATATAAGATGAAGCTAAAATAGAATGAAGTCCATTTCACCATAATTATTAAATATACATTGATAGTTTAATATCAACAGAAAATACAAAGTACCCAGGAAATAAAAATAACAAAGGAGGTACAGAACTCTTATGAGAAAATTATCAAATTTCCTTAAATGACATGCAAAGAAGCCTTCCCATTTCAGTGGATGGCAACTCCATCCTTCCAGTAGTTTGGACAAAAACTTTGCAGTTATCCTTACTCCTCTTCTCAATGCTTACAACCAATTTTCGGAAAATTCTTTTGGTTTCGTCTTCAAAATATATTCAACATTTGGCTGTTTTCACCACTTCCATTGCCACCACTCTGGTCTAAACCATCATCTTTTCTTGCCTGGATTCCTGCAGAAGCATCCTCATTGGCCCTGTTTCCATCCTTGTTCCTCTGTAATCTAGTCTCTACATAGTAGGCAGAGTATTACTTTTATAACTTCAGCCAGATCATGCCAAACCCTTCACTCGAAACCCTGCAATTCTTCTGCTTCACACTTGTTTATCTTCATTGTCTGTCTCCCGCTTTAGTATGTAAGCTCCATGAGGGTTACAAACTTGGTCTGTTTACCGATGAACCTCAAGTGGCTAGGATAATGCAAATAATAAAAGAGGCAATTATTTGCTCTAGGAAAAATATTACACATAAAATATAATCACAGATCACTACTGCTTAATCAAGAGGTCAAACAATTCCCAAACACAGTGAAGCTTCTAGACTGACTTGCCACATCTCCATAAATCCAGTCGGTAAGGAAACAGTGGGTCCTTTAGCACCCATGGCACAGCAGGCAGCATGGGCTTAACAGTTCCCCTTTCCCTGAAAGTTCCAAGAGGGAACTTGGTGAGCGGTAGCAATGTTGAGTGGGCCTGGGTGGATGCTGAGCGCACAGTGCATCTGTCTCATAGCTGAGAAATGCTATGCTTAGGAAACCCCCAGTCTTATAAGGGGACCACTAGCAAGCCTACCCAATCTTTGCCCCACAGGGAGACATTATCTTTATTTTTCTGGTTAGCAAAGAAATCTCTGGGGAGGGAGAAGTGGGGAGATCTTAGTATTCCTTAATATGGCTGGAGGACCATGCCTCTAAATTTCTCCCAGAGGGAGTCACTGTCTTAATAAACAAATCTGCCCTCTGCAAAAGGAAGACACTACCTTTAGCTTCTAAGGCTGTTTGCTGCCCAAACATCCTGGAAAAGATAGTCTGAGATGTACAAATTCTTTGGAGAATTGTCCCACAACTACTTGTTCAGCAGTGAATATTTTACAAAAGCATCATAATGTAATCATTGATTTAACTATATTGAAAGAATGGGGCTGGGTGAGGTGGCTTACACCTGTAATCCCAACACGTTGGGAGGCCAAGGCAGGTGGATCACTTGAGGCCAGGAGTTTGAGACCAGCCTGGCCAACATGGTAAAACCTCGTCTCTACTAAAAGTACAAAAATTAGCCAGGCATAGTGGTGGGTGCCTGTAATCCCAGCTACTCGGGAGGCTGAGGCACAAGAATCGCTTGAACCCAGGAGGTGGAGGTTGCAGTAAGCTGAGATTGTGCCACTGCCCTCCAGCCTGGGTGACAGAGTAAAACTCTGTCTTAAAAAAAAAAAAAAAAAAAAAGAAAGAAAAGAAAAGAAAAGAAAGAATAGGAGAAAGATAAATGGATATTTGTTGACTTGGATAAAAGGACATGTCCTAACATGACAAGGAATTGTCTATAAAACAAACATTTTAAAATGGCAGTTTAAGTATGTTATTTAGAAAGATGGATGCAACACTAGAAGAAATAGTAGAAAGCCTTATAGTTATGTTTAGGGAACAGAACTAGGGCCAAGGGAGGTGGGGCTGTTTTTCTCTTTCTCTCCCCTTCCTCCCTTCCTTCCCTCCTTCCCTCCTTCCCTCTTTTCCTCTTTCCTTCCTTCCTTCCTTCCCTCCCCCCCTCCTTCCTTCCTTCCTTCCTCCCTTCCTTTCTCTCTTTCTCTCTTCCTTTCTCCCTTCCTTCCTTCCTTTTTTCTTTCTTTCTTTCTTTCTTTTCTGTCTTTCTACAGAGTTTCGCTCTTGTCGCCCAGGCTGGAGTGCAGTGGCGTGATGTCGGCTCACTGCAACCTCCGCCTCCCAGGTTCAAGCGATTCTCCTGCCTCAGCCTCCTGAGTAGCTGGGATTACAGGCATGTGCCACCTGGCTAATTTTGTATTTTTAGTAGAGATAGGGTTTCTCCATGCTGGTCAGGCTGGTCTCTAACCCCCAACCTCAGGTGATCCGCCTGCCTCGGCCTCCCAAAGTGCTGGGATTACAGGCATGAGCCACCGTGCCCAGCTGGGGCAGTTTTTCATTATAATCCTTTTGTTGCTATTTTTTTTTTTTAATCTCCAGTGATCTATGATCATGCCTCATTGAACCTGACCGATCAGCAGCCTTTGATCCAGCTAATTATTACCTGCTTTTGAAGCACTGTCTTCACAGTACACTCAATGGTTTTCCTCCTACCTCTGTATCTACCCTTTCCCACTCTCTTTTCTTGGTCCCCCTTCATCTGCTCTACCTCTTAATGTTGAAATGATCCAGGGCTCCGTCCTTGCTAATCTCATGGCTTTATATGGTGACAAATTGCAAATTGTGCAATCAGGAAGTCATTAGAAATCGTGACAAGAACAAGTTTGGTTGAGTGGTAGAGGTAAAATCTTGGTTGGAGGGAGTCTGAGAGAGAAGTTCATAGATTTATAAAATATAGGTATAATCCTTTCAAGGATTCAGATTATTTTTACACTATAAATCCCAAGTAAAACCTTATATTATTGACCAAACACAAATCTAAATGTAAAGACTTTACATTCATGAATTCTGTCCCTTATAGATATTTCTCCAGACATGTTTTATGTACCATGACTTATTCGTCAAACTAGTGGTTTTGCCTTTTGTGGTAGAAATAATTTCTTTTGACCTATCTGCTGTTTGAAAAATCTATTCTCTCCTTGCATCATTTGAACACTCTCTGCTTGTAGTACAATTGTTTAAATGTGGTCTCACCCTGTCACGAAAGCTGTTGCTGATTTATCAAAGAGCAGGGTTTCTCAACCTTGGTGCTACTGACATTTTGGGCTGGTCAATTCTTTGTTGTCAAGGGCTGTTCTGCCCATTATAGTTTGCTTAGCAGTATGAACGAAAAGTATCCAAGACAGGTCTCGATCAACTTAGAAAGTTTATTTTGCCAAGGTTAGGGATGCACCTGTGACACAGCCTCAGGAGGTCCCGACTACATGTCCCAAGGTGGTCAGAACACAGCTTGGTTTTATACATTTTAGGGAGACATGAGACATCAATCAATACATGTAAGATGTACTTTGGTTTGGTCTGGAAAGGCAGGACAACTTGAAGCAGGGGCTTCCAAGTCATAGGTAGATAAGAGACAAATGGTTGCATTATTTTGAGTCTTCAATCAGCTTTTCACTGAATATGCAATTTACATGTGAGGTGGGGGTAGAGGAATGATCACTTATGCCTTAATTTGGCTCAATGAATCTGCATTTTTACATAAACAAGAAGGCAGAGGGAGCCATCAGATGCGCATTTGTCTCAGGTGAGCAGGATGAGTTTGAGTTCTTTGTCCCGCACCTGTGAAGAGAAGCTATCAATGTACTTTGCCAAGGTGAAATTCAACAGAACTGTTTTAGGGTAAAGATCCTGAGGCCCACAAGGAATTTCCTTGCAGGCAAATTGTGAGGAAAGTATGTAGCTTCAAAAAACAAAAATCTTTGTAGCTATCTTATTTAGGAATAAAATGGGAGGCAGGGCTGGGTACGGTGGCTCCTGCCTATAATCCCAGCACTTAGGGAGGCTGAGGCGGGTGGATTGCCTGGGGTCAGGGGTTCAAGACCAGCCTGGCCAACATGGTGAAACTCCGTCTCTACTGAAAATACAAAAATTAGCTGGGCCTGGTGGTGGGGACCCGTAATCCCAGCTACCTGGGAGGCTAAAACAGGAGAATTGCTTGAACCTGGGGGGCAGAGGTTGCAGTGAGCCGAGATTGTGCCACTGCACTCCAGCCTGGGCAACAAGAGGAAAAACTCGGTCAAAAAAAAAAAAAAAAAAAAAAAAAAGGAGGGAGGCAGGTTTGTCTGACTGACACAGTTCCCAGCTTGACTTTTCCCTTTGGCTTAGTGATTTTGGGGTCCTGAGATTTATTCTCTGTTCACAGCAGCATCCCCAGCTATTGCACTAGATGTCAATAGTATCTTCTAGCTGTGACAACCAAAAATATCTCCAGACATTGCCAAATGTCCCCAGGGGGGGAAATTGCTCCTGATTGAGAACCACGGTTGAAAAAAGGACCCTGGAACAATGGAATGCAGGGAGGCTTGGAAGAAGGTATATGTAGGGCGATGGTAGAGTGGAAGTGGGGAAGCCAACTCAAACACTTCTTTATGGTCTCATTTTATTTTTGCTTTTGCTCTGTTCTTTGCCACTCTTTGTTGTTTAAAACAGCCCAAGTTTCAGCATCTGTTTTTCAGCATCTGCTTTCTTGCCATGGTAGAGGCTGGGGTGAGGAGCCAATATCTGGAGAGAATTAGTGCCTTCCATGGGCACAGAAAGAGCCCTGGAAATTATTGAGATTGATTGTTTCTTTCTTTCTTTTTTCTAATTGTTTTTTTAATCTTCGTTTTCCTGCCCACTACCCCTTATTTTGAGTGGTGCTGTGCCTTGATCAGTCTTTGCTAAGGACGTGGTCTGAATCAAGTCCAAGTTCTCCATGCCTCTTTGAGCCTTGTAATTTGTCAAAGAATAAAGGGAAAAATGGTATTCCAGGAAGTGAGTAGAGTGTAGGATGGCCAGTAGCAATGAGCTGGCAGACGTAGGCAGTGGCTAGATGGTATTCTTGTGAAGAATTAGGAGTTAACCCTTTAAATGATGATGATACTGATGGTATTAGCTAATATAAACAAGCCCTTAGTACATGCCTGCTACTGTTTTAAGTGTGTTTCATTAATTAAATCATTTAATTTTCACAACCTCATTAGTAGGAGCTATTTTTATTCCTGTATTAGAGATGAGAAAAATGCCCAGAGGGATCAAAAGAACTTGCTCAAGAGGCAGAGCTATGTTTTTTATTCATGCACTTTGCCTTCAAATCCTCATTCTTAAGGCCAATGATATTTACCTACCACATGGTCACTCTAGAAAATGCGTGACATTGAACAAGGTTCCTATGGAAGTTGGGGATGCTTTGTTAGATTTTTCTTGGTTTTGTTTTGCCTTTAGTAATATCTGTAGTCGCTGGATTGTTTTCAGTGGGGAGATTTCCTCAGGTACTGGGACAAGGTTTCTGACAAGCATGAGAGGTCATCAGGGCTCCTCATGTCTTGATAAGATACAACTGACACCGAGTACTGACCCAGACATTGAACTGCTTCCATCTCTTACCACACTGTATCTCCCTGATATCTTTTCTCCCATGCTTACACAGATTTAACTCAGTGTTGCATCCCTATAGTCATTGCCTTGCATATATTTTTAACTTCTTTGCTTCTCAATTCATTGTATAAGATTGGAAAATCCACAACACAGTTTAAATCCAATGGTCAATCTTCTCTATTTATTCTGAGCCTGCACCTATTTAGCTCACCATGGGTGGAGGAAACACACAACCGTGCTGACTGGCGTCATGTTGAATTCATAATCAAGAGCCTTGAGTAGGCCCTTAATGTTGTCTGTAATGCTTCCCTAATCCATTCTCTCTCATAATCTCATAGACAATTTCCCACCTTCTCTGTCCTCTAAGCCTCCCATACCTTTTCTCCATCCTCACTCTCAATTCATGACTTTGCCTCTTTTCTTTTCACTGAGAAATTAAAGTAATCAGAAGAGAACTTCTACAGACTCCCTCCACCATATCTACCGAGCCACCAGCTTTAGCACCCATATACTCTGCCTTCTCCACCTGTTTCCATTAGTTAATTTAAAATCACTCCCTCTGCTCAAGCACTGGATCTCATCTCCCTTCCTCTAATGAAGAACACTGCTATACAATTCTCCTATAAATAAATTACCAGTGATTTATTTACTGGCTTCCTTCCTTCATGGCAATCAAGTTTGCTACATTGACTGACGTTTCCTTTCCCAAAAGATTTCTCTGTGGCGGGTGACACTCACTGCTGGATAGCATTTTACCCATAGTAGAACTTCTTTCAAAATTGAAGTCAGTCCTCTCACATCCTGCTGCTGCTTCATCAGTTGTTTATATAACATTCTAAATCATTTATTGTCATTTCCATGTTCATAGCATCTTCACTAGCAGTGGATTCCATTTCAAGAAACCCCCTTCTCTGATCATCCATAAGAAGTAACTCCTTACCGGTTTAAGTTTTATCATGAGATTGCAGCAATTCAGTCACATCTTCAGGCTTCATTTCTAATTCTAGTTCTCTTGAACCAGAAGTACCACCTTTGCAGGTACTTCCTCCACTGAAGTCTTGAACCCTTCAAAGTCATTCAGGAAGGCTGGAATTGACTTCTTCCAGACTCTTGTCAATGTTGATATTTTGAACTCCTCTCATGAATAAGAAATGTTCTTAATGGATCTGAAATGGTAAATGCTTTCAGAGATTTTTCAACTTATTTTTCCCAGATCCGTCAGAGGAATCAAGCAAGTATCACCTCACTAGGCCGGGTGCAGTGGCTCATGCCTGTAATCCCAGCACTTTGGGAGACTGAGGCCAACAGATCACTTGAGGTCAGGAATTCCAGACCTGCCTGGGCAACATGGTGAAACCCCGTCTCTACTAAAAATAAAAAAATTAGCCATGCATGGTGGCGGGTGCCTGTAGCTTTAGCTACTGAGGAGGCAGAGGCAGGAGAATCACTTGAAACTGGAAGGTGGAGGTGGCAGTGAGCTGAGATTGTGCCACTGCACTCCAGCCTGGGTGACAGAACGAGACTCTGTCTCAAAAACAAACAAAACCGAAAAAACTATAGCCTTACTAAAAGTATTTCTTAAATCATAAGACTTGAAAGTCAAAATTACTCCTCGATCCATCCATAGATGGCAGAATGGACGTTGTGTTGGCAGGCATAAAAACAATATTAATCTTCTTGTACATCTCCATCAGAGTTCTTGGGTGACCAGGTGCATTGCCAATAAGCAATAATATTTTTAAAGTAATCTTTTTTTTTTTGAGCAATAGTTCTCAACAGTGGACTTAAAATATTCAGCAAACCATGCTGTCAACAGATGTGCTGTCATCCAGGCTTTGTTATTCCATTTCTAGAGCACAGGTAGAGTAGATTTAGCTATTTCTTTAGGGCCCTAGGATTTTTGGAATGGTAAATGAGCATTGGCTTCAACTTAAAGCCACCAGCTGCATTAGCCCCAAACAGGAGAGTGAGCCTGTCCTTTGATGCTTTGAAGCCAGGCATTGACTTCTCTTCTCTAGCTATGAAAGTCCTAGATGGCATCTTCTTCCATTAGAAGGCTGTTTCATTCACATTGACAATCTGTTGTTTAGTGTAGCCACTTTCATTAATAATCTTAGCTAGATCTTCTGGATAACTTGCTACACTTCAGCTCTTGCTGCTTTACCTTGCACTTTTATATTATGGGGAGGGCTTCTTTCCTTAAACTTGTGAACCAATCTCTGCTAGCTTCAAACTTTTATTCTGCAGCTTCCTCACCTCTCTTAGCCTTCATAGAATTGAAGAGAATTAGGGCCTTGCTCTGGATTAGGCTTTGGCTTAAGGGAATGTTTTGGCTGGTTTGATCTAACCAGACCACTCAAACTTTCTCCCTGTCAACAATAAGTCTGTTTCACTTTCTTATCATTCGTATGTTCACTGGAGTAGCACTTTAAATTTCCTTCAGAAACTTTTTATCTGCATTCACAGCTTAGCTAACTGTTTGACACAAGAGGCCTAGCTTTCAGCCTGTCTTGGTTTTCAACATGCCGTCCTTGCTAAGCTTCATCATTTCTGGTTTTTGATTTAAAGAGAGAGACATGTGATTCTTCTTTTTACTTTAACACCTAGAGGCCAATGTAGGGTTATTAATTGGCATAATTTCTTTTCTTTCTTTCTCTTTTTTTTTTTTTTTTTTGAGACAAGTTTCACTCTTGTTGCCCAGGCTGGAGTGCAATGGCACCATCTCGGCTCACCACAACGTCCGCCTCCCGGGTTCAAGTGATTCTCCTGCCTCAGCCTCTCGAGTAGCTGGCATTACAGGCGTGTGCCACCACGCCCGGCTAATTATGTATTTTTAGTAGAGATGGGGTTTCTCCATGTTGGTCAGGCTGATCTCGAACTCCTTACCTCAGGTAATCTGCCTGCCTCAGCCTCCCAAAGTGCTGGGATTATAGGTGTGAGCCACTGTGCTCGGCCTCTTTTTTTTTTTTTTTTTTTTTTTTTTTTTTTTTTGAGATGGAGTTTTGCTCTGTTGCCCAGGCTGGAGTGCAGTCAGTGACACAATCTTGGCTCACTGCAACCTCTGCCTCCCAGGTTCAAATGATTCTCCCTCCTCAGCCTTCTGAGTAGCTGGGATTACAAGCATGTGCCACCATGCCTGGCTAATTTTTATATTTTTAGTAGAGATGGGGTTTCACTATGTTGGTCAGGCTGGTCTCAAACCCCTGACCTCACGTGATCTGCCCGCCTTGGCCTCCCAAAGTGCTAGGATTACAGGCGTGAGTCACCACACCTGGCCAGTTGGCATAATTTCAACATTGTGTCTCAGGGAATAGAGAGGCCCAAGGAGAAGGAGAGGGATGGGGAGTGGCTGGTTGATTGGTGGAGCAGTCAGAACACACACAACATTTATTGATCAACTTTGCTGTCTTATAAGGGTTAGTTCATGGCACCCCCAAATAACATTAGTAACATCAAAGATCACTGACCACAGATCACCATGACAGATATAATAATAATGATGAAAAAGTTTGAAATATTTTGAGAATTACCAAAATGTGACACAGAGACATGAAGTGACACAGGCTATTGGGGAAATGGTACTGATAGTCTTGCTCAATGCAGGGTTGCCACAGACCTTCAATTTGTAAAACACACAATATCTGCAAAGCACATTTTAAAGTGAAATGCAGTAAAGCAAGGTATACCTGTATAATTTTCCATGCTGTTACCTCCAACTTTTTTAAAGTTATTAGATTCAGGTGAGCCTCTTATTGACAGGAAAAGCTGTATTTGTTTTCCAACTGAGTAAGACAGTCTGTTTTTGGCTAATGCCAAAATGTAGTTAATTTCTGTTTTTAATAGATTATATTTATATTTATGGATTTGTTTATCTCCAATGTGATTTATATCACAGCACATACCTTTTATTTTTATTTTTATTCCCTCTTTTATTGCCTAAAAAGATTGGGATTGGTTGAGTTTTTCTTTTCTTCCCCATTACATTTCTTTTTCTCTCTAGTTTGGGCATTAAACACTATTTCTAGCATTTGGAATTATCCTAAAAATTTAACACAAATATTTTTACTTAATGTTTATAGTTAATATGATTACTCTTCCGTTGAACTAGAAACTTAGAATACTTTAACCCTGATTAGCATCCCTCTTTCTCAATATATAACCATGTATACACACATATTAAATATATTTAAAAACGAACACTTCAGTATATAGTTATATATTTAGAAATCTATACACAAACGAGAAATTACTGTTTCAGTGTAAGTTAAAACAATTTTAGCTCCCTGTACATTTACTAATTTCTCTTTCTTTCTTTCTCTCTCTCTCTTTCTTTCTCTTTCTTTCTTTCTTCCTTTTTTTTGTTTTTTGAGAGGGAGTCTCACTCTGTTGCCCGGGCTGGAGTTCAGTGACACTATCTTGGCACTGCCAAGTCAGTTCCATCCTCTGTCTCCCTGGTTCAAGCGATTCTCCTGCCTCAGCCTCCCGAGTAGCTGGGACTACAGGTGCCTGCCATGGCACCTGGCTAATTTTTGTATTTTTGGTAGAGATGGGGTTTCACTATGTTGGCCAGGTTGGTCTTGAACTCCTGACCTCAGGTGATCCACCCACCTTGGCCTCCTGAAGTGCTGGGATTACAGACATGAGCCACCATGCCCAGCCAACATTTACTAATTTCTTTCTTTCTTTCTTTCTTTTTGTTTTGAGATGGAATCTCACTTTGTCGCCCAGGCTGGAGTGCAGTGGCACAATCTCTGCTCACTGCAACCTCCGCCTCCTGGGTTCAAGCAATTGTCCTGCCTCAGCCTCCCGAGTAGCTGGGATTGCAGGTGCGCACCACCACACACGGCTAAGTTATGTATTTTTTTTTTATAGAGATGGGGTTTCACCATGTTGGTCAGGCTGGTCTCAAACTCCTGACCTTGTGATCCACCCGCCTCGGCCTCCCAAACTGCTAAGATTACAGGTGTGAGCGACCACGCCCGGCCTTAACATTTACTAATTTCTTTTCTTTCTTTTCTTTTCTTTTCTTTTTTTTTTCTTTTTCTTTTCTTTTTTTTTTTTTTTTTTGAGTCTTGCTCTGTGGCCCAGACTGGAGTGCAGTGGCGTGATCTTGGCTTACTGCAGCTTCTGCCTCCCGAGTTCCAGCGATTCTCCTGCCTAAACCTCCTGGGTAGTTGGGATTACAGGCACATGCCACCATGCCTGGCTAATTTTTGTATTTTTAGTAGAGACAGGGTTTCACTATGTTGGCCAGGCTGGTCTCAAACTCCTGACTTCAGGTGATCCACCAGCCTTGGCCTCCCAAAGTGCTGGGATTACAGGTGTGATTACTGATTTTTGCTGTTAAGTCCCTTATTGCTGTCATCAATGTTTGGTTCATCTTATTATTCATACATCTTTAAAAGCATCCAACACTAAGTATGCATCCAGATATTTGCTGATTAGATACATGAAAGAATGTGTGAGCCTAACTTCTTATTTTCCAGTGGAAATAGAAAGATTCTGCTGTAAGTGACATATTGTTTCTTCCCTCAAGAAGGTTACAGCTGCTGGTTTAGATATTCTTAACTCTTTTTTTTTTTTTTTTTTTTTTTTTGAGACAGAGTCTGGCTCTGTCACCCAGGCTGGAGTGCAGTGGCGTGATCTCAGCTCACTGCAAGCTCTGCCTCCTGGGTTCACACCATTCTCCTGCCTCAGCCTCCCAAGTAGCTGAGACTACAGGCGCCCGCCACCATGCCTGGCTAATGTTTTTGTATTTTTAGTAGACACAGGGTTTCACCGTGTTAGGCAGGATGGTCTCGATCTCCTGATCTCATGATCTGCCCGCCTCTGCCTCCCAAAGTGCTGGGATTACAGGCGTGAGCCACCACGCCCGGCCCTATTCTTAACTTTTTAGGAGAAGATATGGAACATATCAATGCTTGAATGAAAGTAAAGTATCTTCTCCTTAGAAAAAATGCACATATGAGCCTACAACAAATTTTGCACATAGTTCTAGGAAATTAACGGATACTTGAAGCATCCATCTGAAACCCAGCTCAGCAAACTTTGCTCTGGAAAGGTCTCAACCTTGGTACATTGGAGGTTTGGGTCTACAGATGTGAACTAAAGTCAGTTCCACCCTCGTGAATATACTATTAAGACTATTGCCTACTCTAAATAGAGCAATAATTCCCTCAAAGAGAGATCTGAGGGCGTTATACCTGTATATAGACAAGAACAAGGCAGTTCATGGTGACACCTTCCCTCTCCCTGGTGCTTGGAAGCCAGAAGGATATTGTCTTGGCTTCACCCCTCATCAGACTGTGTCATCTATCTTAAAACTCATCATTAGGGGGACATTACATCTTATCTTGCCCGGGACAGTCCTGGTTTATATCTCTTGTTCTAGTGCAGTTTTTAAGAGTGCTTCCTTTCCTTTCACTTTCAAAAGTGTCCTAGTTTGGGCTGGGCGCAGTGGTTCACGCCTGTAATCCCAGCCCTTTGGGAGGCCGAGGCGGGTGGGTCATCTGAGGTCGGGAGTTTGAGACCAGCCTGACAAACATGGAGAAACTCCGTCTCTACTGAAAATACAAAAAAAATTAGCCAGGCGTGGTGGTGCATGCCTGTAATCCCAGCTACTCAGGAGACTGAGGCAGGAGAATTGCTTGAACCTGGGAGGTGGAGGTTGCGGTGAGCCGAGATTGCGCCATTGCACTCCAGCTGGGCAACAAGAGCAAAACTCTTCTCAAAAAAAAAAAAAAAAAAAAAAAAAACAGAAAGAGAAAAAGTGTTCTAGTTTGAGCAATAAATTGTATGACCACTCTACTAAAATGAGTAGCTTTTGATCGGTGCCTGAGTTTATTTCTTCCCAACCATGTAGATTCCATTCTCAGACCCAATTCTTCCAGAATCCCCATTGTGCCCTCTATCTCTCCTCTTCCTCAGGCTCAGTCCAGACTTTGATCTGCTTGATCAGGAGTCAAGACTCTTGAGATGCCAACACCAGCAGCCGGATACAATTCAACTGTTCCACAGACTCTTCTTCAGAAAATACTACCTGGTCCAAATTTCCTCCCACCAGTGGCCCTAGCAGGGCATAGCGAGCACAGCTTTTGGGATCCTCCTGGGGGTCATAGCCCGGTTCCACTTGCCCCTGCTGCAGTCGGTACCTCCCGACTGCTATCTGGGTGTTTTTTTGTGGCCTGTCCAGAATCACTGTCAAGTAGTTTCCTTTTAAAGGATTTAAGGTAGAGTAGCCCTCCTTGTTCAGTGTATAAGTGTATTGTAGAATCACAGCCAACATTGATACCATGTCAGTAAGGACAGTTGCAACAGGGTTGTCTGGTTCACCAAAGACCCTGTCCTTCTCCACAGAAAAGCACATGTCATCAAACACAGAATAATTGCCTGTGTGGTGGAAGACAGAGGGACTGAAATGAATAGGAATATTCTGGGCCAAGAGAAGACGAAATTCAGAGAGAAGCAAGTGAGTAGGAGTGTCCTTATGGAAGAGGAGGAAAAAAGTGTTCAGGCGGGAGAAGTCACTGGTGCAGAAAACTTTCCCAGAGATGCTCAGGTGGGAGAACTCCAGGATCACCCAAGGTAGTTCTTTCCAGGCTGATAAGGCCGAAGAGATGGCAGCAGCGAATTTGGGGGTGCAATGAATATGATCTTCCAACAAAAGAAAGTAATCAGAGAGGTTGCTAGCAAAGTTCATGAGGAGGGCATGATCTACTTTCTGTCTGGAATAGAGGGCTTCACAGAGTGATGAGTGATTAACGTCACTCAGATCTCCTGGGAGAGGGGAGCTATGATTGATCACCAGCAGCTTCCCGGCCCTAATCTGTGGTGTGAAGAGACCTGAAATAGTGGCAGCTGTTTGGCCAAGCCATTCAGGGTCAGGACCTGACAGGTGGACCAGCACCACGATATACTCCAGCTCACGTTATGAGGAAGCTTGGAACATGGACTGCAGGTTGTCCAAGAGGTAGCTCCCACGAGGATGCTGCATTGAGGCAATCCCCACGGTCAGCAGTCCTGGGGGAGACATGAGGCACATGAGCACTTCAGGATGGTGAAGCATTCCTAGGACTCTCCTCCCAGGTCTTCTCCTTAGGCTGATCCCAGTGACAATTCACATTCCTTTTCCTGGGACATGTAGTCCAGATAGGAGGTTAATATCTGATCAGAAATTGTGATGTGATTTTCTTTGGTCAAAGTATTTTGGTCAATATTTGGAAGGCTCTTGGGGAAGCTTTATGAAGGGCAAGGCTCTCTCTCATGGGCAAGACTGCCGGGTACCAAAGGCAAATTGCTGGCTTGGCAAAGTATCTTAGCCTGGCCTTGACCTTCAGAGTTATCTCAGCTACCACAGGTCAACCAGACCTGGATTAGAGGATCTCTGGAAATCTATGTAAACCCAAGGGTCCAATAGTCTACTGCACCGAGATCTGAAGTCCACATGGCCCTCTTTGCCTACCCTCTACCCAATGCCTTTTCCCGCGCTCCCTCCGGCTCCTCCCCCTTCCTGTTTTCCCCTCCCTGGGGGCCGACCATGACTGAGCTTCACTATGGGACAGCTCCTTCCCAGGGTCACTATGGCCCTTCTGTCCTGTTGGTCATTCAAGGGGTGACCAGGTGGGAGGAAAACACACTCAGGATCATAACATGGATCAAATTCCACAGCATGGCCCTGCCTCAGAGCACACACACTCTTTCCTTGCCACAGGCCAGTCAGTTCCCTTTTCAACCCTCCTTCCTTTTTCTGGCCAAAATACCCTGGCTGATCTTCCCCCAGTCAGGCCACTCCCTCCCAGGTACTCACTCTTTTCCTGGGGACAGGCTCCAGCCAGGGATTGGTAGCTAGCCTGCTGGAGAAGATGGGAGTCTCTCTGCATCTCCTTGAAGGTTCACAGATGGTTCTTGCTTTCAGAGTTGATTTGTTTGACAGCTATTTCCAAGCTATGTCCTCCTTTTCCTTCTGAGGATAAGATATGTCATTCCTGAGGTTCACCCCCAGATTCCCTGGAGACAATTGAGGAGCAGCCTTTGAGGACAGGCTGGGCAAGCCTCAGCTTCCTGTGCCCAGGGAAGCCGAGTGTGGGGCTCAGGGAACCACTTTCCCCACCTCATCATGAAACCACACAGGGCTTTCCAGCAGAGGCCATGGGTCCTGGGTTGGGAAGTGGGGCTCCCTGGTTTGTGTGGAGTGCCTGCGGGAAGGGTTAAGTCTTGTGCGGAGTAAGCACTTGCCTGCCCTCACCGTTGTCAGGCTGGCCAGTGTCGTCTACCTCGGCTTAGGCCTGGGCTAGGTTCTGTGAGATGTGCTGGCACCCAGTGCCTGGCCCTGTCCTCAAGGAACATAGGCCCCAGTGCCTCAATTCTAGAGTCCTTTCTTTTGCTCACATCTGACCGTGCACACATTTCTGAACCACTCCCCACACCTGCCCTGTGCTTAGCTCCAGCTGGTCTGAGATATTTTAGCAAAAATGTGGATTTCAAAGCCTGGCCAGGAACTGTGTGGGGTTTGGTCTTCTCACTTGCAGATGTTGTCCACTTAGGGAAGCTATTTCCAATCCTTCATGTGAGAAATGGAAAAAATCACATCTCCATGCTAGGTCCTGGTTGGGAAGTGGCCAGCACCCAGGTCCTCATTGCCTGCTAGTCCTGCCAGTCAGCCTGGTACTTTAGAGGTGGGTGTGCACTGCCCTCTCCACACCTGGAGTCCCCTTTCTTCCTCCCTGCTCCTAGTCAAATCCCGCTGATATATGAAGGGATAGTGGAAAGTGGCTGTTTTAAATTCAGGGATTTAGAAAGTAACTGTGAATCAAGCTGGTAGTGTTGGTTTTGAATGATTTTTTCAATAATACACAAGTCCTTTGCAGAGTTTTTGAAGGAAAGCTACAGGAAGTCTCTATCACTCCTATTCCATACCCCTCTGGCAAGCGAGTCTCCTAGTAACCACAAATTAGGCATCTCATTGTCAGTTGTCTCCTATGTCTTGTACTACTCTGTTTTCCCCTGGAAATGTCTGTTTTATTTTTATTTATCTATACTTCTCCACTGTCACCATTGATGGTTATAACAAATTACTCATGTATTTCTTTCATGGGTTAGCAATTTACAGAAAGTAAATTGCCTTTTTTTTTTTTTTTTTTTTTGAGACAGGGTTTCACTCTGTTGCCTAGGCTGGAGTGCACTGGTGTGATCTTGGCTCACTGCAACCTTTCCCTCCTGAGCTAAAGCCATCCTCCCACCACAGCCTCCCAAGTAGCTGGGACTACAGGTGTGCACCACCAGGCCTGGCTAATTTTTTGTATTTTTGGTAGAGATGGGGTTTCACCATGTTAGCCAGGCTGGTCTCAAACTCCTGATCTGACTACCTCGGTCTCCCAAATTGCTGGAATTACAGGCATGAGCAACTGCGCCCAGCCATCTTTTCTTAAGAAAAACAAAACAAAATTATTTCACTTCCTTTATGTTGATTAAAAAAGTATTCTGTCTTTACTTCTCTTTTCTGAGAACATTTACAGCAATTCTAGAGTTTCCCACATAGATGGGGCCTAAATGTTGACTTTTATTTAGCTATTTTCCTACTTAATAATTGAAAATGGATTCCACTATCAGGTTCTGGTACTCACCAACAGAAGTTTATATTCAGCATTTTGGATTTTCTCACGGAGGAAGAAGCTCAAGAGGAATAAGGATATAATTGCTGTGACATATTTTCCAAGGCAATGATGCATGCTGCCAGGGGTTGGATGTAGCTCTGCAGAGAAATGTGGGCAGCACATGGATTTTAAGTACCTCCTCCTAGAGAAGCACACAGGTGCCATTTTCTTACCCTTTCCCTTTCTGTTCGTACTTCAAGGTATCACTGGCTTATTCTTTCCTGAGCTTTCTCCCTCTGCATACTAACACCTCTCACCCCAAATTTTTGCTATCTAAAAACTGCAAAAATTGCCATCTAAATGGCCTTTTAAAAGGCCAAGGAGCTTGATTCTATTTATTCTTTACATTCTGTACCTTCCTCATGGGTTTTCAGATGTATTCTTATTTTCTAGTTTTTTTATGACAGGAAGTTAACTAAAGATACATTTATTCACCTGCTTAAGCCAAGGATACGTCTTAGGAGGATCATGCAATAGAAGGGAAAAACCCTCTTGGAGAAGGGATGCAACCAGAAGAGGTGTTGTACCAAGGAAAGGAAACCAAAATAGAAGGTAAAGGGCCCGAGTATGATCCTTTCAAATCCCACATCTCCACTAAACCTCCCCTCTCCTGTCTCTCAGCCATTATGCTGACTGATTCCTCAAGGCTTACCCTTCCAAACTCATGTTTGGTTGGGGCGGTAGAATTTTTGTAGGAGCTTCTACCTCAGAGTCAAGTAAAAAATCGATATTTGAATATAAGCCCTTCATTGCATGTGCCACATTTCCAAGGGAAATATTGAGGTAGCAAGGAAAATGGAAACTAACTGGAAGTTTCTAACCATGTGAAAATTCTCACCATAATCAGAGCAGTATGTCCACTGGAATCATTTAATCTGTCTTTGGCTCTTGGATCACACACAGACAAATATAATTTGAAGTTCCTCTGAAAGCAGGGTTTTTTCTGAAACTAAAAATAAAACAGCCTTAGTGTCTGAAGGGCAGGGCTCTGACTGCACAGAGTAGGTTGAAGCCACTGAATGTCTCCTATAAGACCAGCCAAGCCTGGTCAACACTCTCAGGAGACACTACCTAGCAACCACTGTTCTTTCTGAATGGGGAGCAGGCAGCTCACCATCTCCCCCATCACTTGTAAGTGAAGGTTAGATTTGGGTGGTGAGAAATGTTAACACCAGCTTTCTAGCTGTGGTAAACACAGTAAGTCTCTCTAAATATTCCATTTGCTCCTCTATTCCTGGCCCCCTTGCAGTTAAGTGAAGCCACAATACTAACTCTAGCCAATGAAAAATGAGTGGAAATTAGTATGTGTCCTTTCTGGGGTAAGACAGTAAAAAACCCACATGAAATTCTCCATTTTTTCTCTTCCCTTACTCTGGTGACTAAGTTGGCTATGCATTCCAGATGGCATAGCTGCAAGACAGTGGAGCATCTGTCAGCCTAGTTCCCTGAGTGACTATATGGAGCAGAGTCAACACCTGGATGAGACATATAATTTGGGGGAGAAATAAACTTTTATTGTCTTTAACCACTGAGATTTGGGGTTGTTTGTTACCACAGCATAACTTAGCTATCCTGATTTGACCCAGTATTTTAGAAATCGTTCAGAATGCAATTCCACCACTTTGAATTAAATTGGCAGGTTTTGAATAATACCTTCAACAACTTACAAAGCCCTCATGGAGAATTGTAAAGAAGAGCTACAGTGAGCTGTTGAGTCTTTCTTCATTACTTTCATTCCACATCCCCTTTCCAGGCTAAGATCAGGCCCAACGGGTAAGTAGATCTGTTAGTTACCACAAATTGGTCATTAAACCTCTATTCTTTCCTAGACCCCTTGATGTTAATGTTTGACCCAAGAAATTTCCATATTCTTCCTCTGCTCTGCTTCAGTTTTATCATTGATATCATCCCACTTTTCCCCTGGCCTTGTGGAATTTTACTGTATGTGTGCATGGCCCAGTAGTCTTGACTTGAGGAAACTCCCATGCAGATTTCTGGAGCTCTTTTTCCTGCATAGTTCTCTCCTTCCTGGAATTCTGCTCTGTAATGTCTGTGGTTCAGAAATTACCTCAATGCAGAAAGCCAGGGAAACTGTAAGGCTTACTTTGTGTCTGTGCTTTCTCTCCTGGGTTACTTGTTGTTCAATGTCCGAAGGCATTTTTTTTTCTTATATTTTATCCAATTTTCTAGTTGTTTATAATAGGAATTTAATACCAGTTCTAATTACCCCATAAAGATCCTAAATTCAACTTTTAAATCTAAAAACATCTACAATTATAGATGAGCTTTACTTAGTGATAGTATTATTTTGCTAAAGGCACATGTATAAAACTATAGCATTATGCTATAGGTCATGACTCACTTGAGACTAAATAAGCATCTTTTTCCTTTTCCTTCTCCTACCCCTTTCTACTTTTTCTTCTTAGTCTTTAAAAAAATCTTCCTCATCTTCTTTATTCTCTCTCAACCAAAATGCTTCTTTTAAAAAAATTTATGTAGAAGTAAAAATGAGCATAAAATTTCCGGTATAAAATACAATTATTAGTCTAAGAGCTAGTATTATTGTAACTTCAGTTTGAGACTCTGCATTTTGTTTTCTACATCATTTTAGAGACTAATACATTTTAAAAAACAACTATTAGTCTATGTTTTTGGACACACAATGTATAAAGATATTTTATGATATCAATAGCTGAAAGGGGTGGGGAGTCAGCAGTATAGGAGCAGAGTTTTTGTATCTATTGAAGTTAAGTTGGTATAAATTCAAATTAGAGTGTCATAACTTCAGGATGTGAAGTGTAATCCCCATGGCAACCTTAAATAAAATGGTTATAGAATATACACAAAAGGGAATGAGAAGAAAAGTAAAACATTACGCTACAAAAAACCCCAGCTAAACACAAAAGAAGACAGTAATGCAGGAACGAGGAACCAGAGTTATAAGGCATATAGAAAAACAATAGCAAAACCTATGTGAGATTTTCCTACATAGCCCTGGTATTTATATGGTTTATTTAAAAATTGGCCCACATTGTTATTTTTCAAAATATAGTTTTCTCGTATTCAGCTGTCCTTCCTTTACATTTTATAACTTGACAATTCTGAGTATTACAATAGTGATTCTTTCCTATTACCCACTGTTGATGCTTTTAGAGAACTTTTATATATTCTACAAATATTCTTTCTTCTTTGTTTTGAGGCAGTGTTTTTTTACTCCTGTTGCCCAGGCTGGAGTGCAGTGGTGCAATCATGGTTCACTGCAGACAACTTCCCTGGTTCAGGCAATCCTCCTGCCTCAGCCTCCCAAGTAGCTGAGACTACAGGTGTGCACCACCACACCCAGCTAATTTTCTGTATTTTTAGTGGAGACAGGTTTTTGCCATGTTGCTCAGGCTGGTCTTGGACTCCTGAATCCAAACCATTTGCCCACCTCGGCCTCCCAAAGTGCTGAGATTACAGGTGTGAGCCATTGTGCCCGGCAAAATATTCTTTCTTACCCCGAGTTTCTTTTTTTAATCATCCTACTGTATTATATTTTATTCAAAGTATTTGTTAGCTATCCTGACATTCTTGATCATTGGACCATTATCCTATGTACATTAAAAAAATTTTGTGACTGGCACATAATAATTGTACATATTTATGGAGTGTAATGTGATGTTTCAATACCTGTATAAATTGTGCAATGACAAAATTAGAGTAATTAGCATACCCATCACCTTGAACATTTATTTATTTGTGAGGATAACATTAACAAACCTCTCCTCTAGCTCTTTTGAAACAGACATTATTGTTAACTCTAGTCATCCTAGTATACAATAGACCACCAGAACTTATTCCCCCTATCTAACTACAGCTTTGTACTCACTGAACAATCTGTCATGATGCTTGCTCCCCAACTACTCTCCCCGTCCTGTGGTAACCACTATTCTAGTCTACTTCTTTTATTTTTTCTTTTATTTTTTGAGATGGAGTCTTGCTCTGTCGCCCAGGCTGGAGTGCCGTGGCGTGATCTCGGCTCACTGCAAGCTCCGCCTCCCAGGTTCACGCCATTCTCCTGCCTCAGGTTCACGCCATTCTCCTGCCTCAGCCTCCCGAGTAGCTGGGACTACAGGCACTCGCCACCACGCCCGGCTAATTTTTTTTGTATTTTTAGTAGAGATGGGGTTTCACCGTGTTAGCCAGGATGGTCTCGATTTCCTGACCTCGTGATCCGCTCGCCTCGGCCTCCCAAAGTGCTGGGATTACAGGCGTGAGCCACTGTGCCCGGCCTATTATAGTCTACTTCTATGAGAGTGACTACTGAGGTACCCCACTCGACATACTAAAATTTTGTCATAGCTTATCAGGAACTATATTCTAGGACCTCCCTTTAGAAGAGGAAGAAGAAATCACAGAGGGAAATTGGAAAATACTTAGAGATAAATGAAAATTAAAATACAACATACCAAAACTTAGAGGATGCAACAAAAGCCATGTAAAGGGGTTAATTTATAGCTATAAATTCTCATATTTAGAAAGAAGAAAGATCTCAAATCAACAACCTAACTTACAGTTTCAAGAACTAGAAAAAGATAACAAAGTTCAAAGCTAGCAGAAGGAAGGAACTAATAAAGATAAAAGCAGAGATAAACAAAACAGAGAACAGAAAAATAATAAAGAAAATACGATGACTCACACCTGTGATCCCAGCACTTTGGGAGGCCGAGGTGGGTGGATCACTTGAGGCCAGGAGGTCAAGACCAGCCTGGCCAATGTGGTGAAACTCTGTCTCCGCAAAAAATGCAAAAATTAGCTAGGTGTGGTGGTGCACATCTGTAATCCCAGCTACTTGGGAGGCTGAGGTGAGGGGATCACTTGAACCCGGGAGGCAGAGTTTGCAGTGAGCTGAGATTGCACCACTGCATTCCAGCCTGGGTGACAGAGCGAGACTCTGTCTCAAAGAAAAAGAAAAGAAACTAATCCAAAAGTTGTTCTTTGAAGAGACGAACAAAATTGATAAATCTTTAGCTAGACTGAGTAAGAATAAAAGGAGAGAAGACTAAAATACTAAAATCAGAAAGTGGGACATTACTATTGATTCACAGAAATAAAAAGGATTATAAGAGAGTATTATGAACAATTGTATGCCAACAAATTGGATATCCCAGATTAAACGGACAAATTCCTAGAAACACAAAACCTACCAAGACTGAATCGTTAAAAAATAGAAACTATGAGTTGACTCATAATTAGTAAGATCTAATCAGTAATAAAAAAAATCTCCTGACAAAGAAAGCCCTGGATCTGATGGCTTCTGTGGTGAATTCTACCAAACATTTAAAGAGCTAACATGAATCCTCAAGCTGTTCCAAAAAATTTAAGAGGAGGAAACACTCCCTAGTTCATCCTGTGAGGCTGGTTTTGCCCTGATACCAAAGCTAGCAAAGATACAATAAGGACACTACAGATCAATATCCCTTTTGAACATTCATATAAAAATCCTCAATAAAATACTAGCCAAAAGAATTAAGCAGCATCTTAAGGATTATATACCGTGATCAAGGGGGATTTATTCCCGGATGTAATAATGGATTAACATATGAAAACCAATGTAATACACCACACTAACATAACGAAGGGGAAGAAAACCACATAATTATCTCAATTGATGCAGAAAAAGCATTTGACAAAATTCAACATACTTTCATTATAAAAACATTCCACAACCTGGGAATAGAAGAAAATTACCACAACATAATAAAATCATATATAAAGAATTCACAGTGAACGTCATACTGAATAGTAAAAGACTAAAAACTTTTCCTGTAAGATCAGGTACAAGGCAAGGATGCCCGCTTTTGCCACTTCTACTCAACATAGTACTGGAAATTCTAGCCAGAGCAATTAGGCACAAAGAAAGACAGAAAAAAAATCCAAATTTGAGAAGAAGAGCAAAATTTTCTCTGTTTGAAGATGATATGATCTTATATGTACAAAGTCCTAAAGATTCTACCAAAAAAACCTGTTAGAACTATTAAACTAATTCAGCAAATTAGCAGGATACAAAATCAACACAAAAACATCAGTTGAATTTCTATGAAGTAATAAACAGAATAAACACTCTGAAAATGAAATTAATGAAAAAGAAATCTATTTCTAATACCATCAAAGAGAACAAAGTCCTTAGGAATTCACTTAGCCAAGGATGTGACTTGTACAATGAAAACTACAAAATATTGCCAAAGAAATTAAAGAAAGCATAAATAAATGGAAAGCCATCCTATGTTCATTGATTGGAACACTTAATATTGTTAAGATGTTAATACTTTCAAAGTCATCTACAGATTCAATGCAATACCCATCAAAATCCCAATGATGTCTTTTGCAGAAATAGAAAAATCCTTCCTAAAATTCATATGGAATTTGCCTTGAGTAGGCAAAACAGTCTTGAAAAAGAAGAGCAAAGTTGGAGGACTCACACTTCCTTATTTCAAAACTCACTACAAAGCTACAGTAATCAAAACGTGTGGTATTGGCATAAAGGAAGACATATAGACTAATGGAATGGAAAAGAAAGCCCAGAAATAAACTCTAACATACAGTCAAATGATTTTTGATAAGGGAGCCAAGACCATTCAATGGGAAAAGGACAGTCTTTTCAACAAATGGTGCTCTGAAAGCTGGATATGCACACAACATAAGAATGAAGTTGGATCCTTACCTTACATCACATACAAAAATTAAATTGATATGGATGAAAGACAAACTTGAGAGCTAAAACTATAAAACTCTTAGAAGAAAACATAGGCAAAAGCTTCACAGTATTGGATTTGGCAATGAATTTTTGGATATGACACCAAGGGGACTGGCAACAAAAGAAAGAATAGACAATTTAGACTTTATGAAAATTAAAAGCTTTTGTGCATCAAAAACACTATCAACAGAGTAAAACGGCAACCCACAAAGTTGGAAAAAATATTTGAAAATCCTACATCTTTTTTTTTTTTTTTTGAGACAGGATCTTTCTGTGCCACCCAGGCTGAAGTGCAGTGGCACAATCACAGCTCACTGCAGCCTCAACCTACCGGGCTCAAGTAATCCTCACCTCAGCCTCCAGAGTAGCTGGGACCACAGGTCTGCACCACCACATCTGGTTAATTTTTAAATTTTTTGTAAAGACAGGGTCTTGCTATGTTGTCCAGGCTGATCTCAAACTCCTGGGCTCAAGTAATCCTCTTGCCTCAGTCTCCCAAAGTGCTGGGATTACTGGCATGAGCCCCCACATCCAGCCCAAATCATGTATCTTATAAGGGATTAGTATCCAGTTTATATAGAGAACTCCAAACACTCAACAGCAGCAACAACAACAAAAAAACCTGATTCAAAAATGGGCAAAAGGAGTTGAATAGACATTTCTCCAAAGAAGATATATAAATGGCCAATAAGCACATGAAAAGATGCTCAATATCACTGATCATCAGGGGAGTGCAAATCAAAACCACAATGAGATTCCATCCCACACATATTAGGATGACTACTATTAAAAAGAAACAGGAAATAACAAGTGCTGGCTAGGATGAACAAAAGTTGAAATCCTTGTGCACTGTTTGTGGAAATGTAAAATGGTGCAGCTGCTGTGGAAAACTGTATGGTGGTTCCTCAAAAAATTAGAAATAGAATTGCCACATGATCCAGTAATTCCACTGCTGGATATATACCAAAAGAATTGAAAGCAGGGTCTTGAAATAATATTTGTGGACCCATATTTATAGCAGCATTATTCACATTAGCAACTCAAATGTCCCTCAACAGATGAACGGAAAAACACAATGTGGTGCATACATAAAATGGAACACTATTTAGCAAGAAAAAGAGATGAAGTTCTGATTCATACTACAGCGTGAATGAAACTTGAAAATTCCCAGAGCTCTCAGCTAATTATAGTAACTGCAAGTAGAGTGTTTATAGCTAGCATGGAACTCCATTTTTTTTTAATCCTACAGAGCTCCTATGTTACCCAGGAGAAAGGAATGGAGCAGGTATTCCCTGATAGAGGAAACAGTATAAAGATACTAAGGATTAGACTTGGGTCTGGCCCCCAAAATTGACTGGATCATGAAGTGTGGGATTATGAAGCTGAGGAAGATTGTGTTCACCCCCCAACTCATTCTGGTCTGCCCTTGGGACGTGGTACTTGATCAAACCTCTTCAGTTAATAGCAATTCCTTCTTACCTGGCCCCATTGCATACTAAGTCCTGGCCATGCCCCTTATAAGTTAGCAATCTGATTCCCAAACTTTGTTTTGTTTTGTTTTGTTTTTGTTTTTTTGAGACGAGTCTCGCTCTGTCGCCCAGGCTGGAGTGCAGTGGCGCGATCTCGGCTCACTGCAACCTCCTCCTCCCGGGTTCAAGCGATTCTCCTGCCTCAGCCTCCTGAGTAGCTGGGATTACAGGCACCCGCCACCATGCCCAGCTAATTTTTGTATTTTTAGTAGAGACGGGGTTTCACCGTGTTGGTCAGGCTGGTCTCAAACCCCTGACCTCGTGATCCACCCGCCTCGGGCTCCCAAAGTGCTGGGATTACAGGCATGAGCCACCATACCCGGCCCAAAACTTTGTAAGGCTAATAATTTGCAAAAGCAAAAACAGCATTTATCTGGACTGATGCCCATCTTAAACAGAGTGGAATAGGGAACACAGGTTATAGAAGGAGAAAAAAGAGCATTGTCACCGTGAGAGTAGCCAGAGAGATAATGAAGAGAGCTAAAAAAATGGAGTATCATCGTAAAGATGATTTCAAGAAGGATGAGATCTCATAGAAATATAAGAAAGAGAATGTAGAAAATGCAATGAAGAGGTCACTGGCTACCTTAAGAGTAGTTTCAATGGACAGGTGAATTTTGAAGCCCGAGTCTGGTGACACAAGAATTGTCTAGGTGCTGAAGAAACAAAGACAATGGGCAAAAGGTGTTCTTATTAGTCATGGTAGATAGAGGAGGGAACAGTGTTTGTCATGGAGGTTTTCAGGACAGAGTAGACTTGTGCATGTTTGTAAATTAGAGAAAGGAGCCTATAGGTGGGAAAAATATGTTCATTTCTGTAATTCCTGATGTGCAAATTTTTGTAGACTCAATTATCACGTACTGAGGCTATACTGCCCTCTTGTGGTGCAGAGTGCCCAGAAACTTTATTCTAAATTAGAAGTCTGCAAACTTGCTGTAAAGGGCCAGACGGCAAATATTTTAGACTTTGAGGATCATTCGGTCTTTGTCATTATTACGCCTTGTAGAGTGAAAGGAGCCACAGATAGCTCTTTGAGGAAGACCTGGTCCCAGCTGTACCGGAACTCTGGTCCACCCGCTCCTGCAACTGACTCGCCGCTGTTCACTCTCCAGAGGAAATCATGCCACAGACGCAGCTTTTAACAACATGAGAAAGACATCCCTGGAACCACAAGTTAATTCACTGAATTAGAATTACCCTAACCGGCCAGGCGCGGTGGCTCACGTTTGTAGTCCCAGCATTTCGGAAGGCCAAGGCAGGTGGTGGATCACTTGAGCCCATGTTCAAGACTAGCCTGGACAATATAGAGAGACTCTTTCTCTACAAAAAATACAAAATTTATTCGGGCGTGGTGGTGCGCACCTGTGGTCCCAGCTACTTGGGGGGCTGAGGTGGGAGGATCTCTTGAGCCCAGGAGGTCGAGGCTGCAGTGAGCTGATATCGCGCCACTGAACTCCAGCCTGGGCGACAGAGCGAGACCCTGTCTCTGAAAATAAAATTACCCTAACTAGCTGCAACCTGACATCCCTGGAGAAGATGTGTGCTGACTTGATCAAAAGTGCAAAGGAAAATAATCTCAAAGTGAAAGGACCATTTTAGATCCCTACCAAGATTCTAAGAATCACTAAGAGAAAAACTCCTGTGGTGAAGTTTGTTTAAGACTTGTAAGAATCCAAGATAAATCCCCATAAGAATCCACAAGCGACTCACTGACTGACACAGAACTTCTGAATTGCTAAATTGATTACTTTCATCAGTATTGAGCCAGCTGTTGAAGTCACCTCTGCACAGGATTAATCAATTTTCTTTAAGTGATTATCAGTTGGTTAAAAAAGAAAAAAAGTAGCCACAGATAATACATAAATAGGTAGGAGTATTTCAATAAAACTTTATTTACAAAAAATATGTAGGGGTCAGATTTGGCCTGCAGCCTCTGGTTTGCTGGCCCTTGATCTAAACCTGTGTTCTCAATATTTGGACGGAACATTAAAGTCATCTGGGGATTATTTTTGTTTGTTTTTAAGAGAATAACTCCTGGTCTTGAAGGATCCTCCCTCCTCAGCCTCCAGAGTAGCTGGAACTACAGGTGTGGCCCACCAGCCTGGCCCTCTAGGGATTGTTTTAAAATAATGCGAGTGCCCAGGCTACACCTCAGACTGATTGAATATGAAACTTTGGGTGTAGGGCCAGGTCACTAGTACTTTATAAAATGCCACCACCAGGGAGGGAGTCCATTGTGCAGTCATGGCTGAGAGCTACTGATTCAAATGAATATGCTTCTAGTTTTAAGTGCAGCCCACCTTTATTGAGTGCTTATTATGTGCCAGGTGCTGAGCTAAGAGCTTTCCATATATTGTATTATCTCATTTAATCCTTAAAGCAACTCTATGAATTGGGAATCATTATGAAGCTCATCTTATAGATAAGGAAACTGAATTTTTGTGAGATTAAGTAATCTGCTCCAGGTTATGTAGCTATTAAGAGAAGAACAGTGATTGAAACTGAGAACATCTGCCTCTAGAGCCTGAGCTTCCCAACGCTAGGCTACTCTATTTGTTACTATTATTTTTAACTGAAAACCACTGAGAACTATGTGAATTGAACTATTTGTATCATATACTATATTTTATTTTTAAAATTTATTTTATAAAATAGAGATGAGGTCTCACTATGTTGACCAGGCTGGTCTCAAACTCCTGGCCTCAAGCAATCCTCCTGCCTCGGCCTCCCAAAGTATTGGGATTACAGGTGTAAGCCACCACACCTGGCCATATACTATATTGTATTTTATTTTTTGCTTTTGAGACAGTCTCAGTCTGTCACCCAGGCTGGGGTGCAGTGGTGCGATCTCCTGGGCTCAAGTGATTCTCATGCCTCAGCCTCCCAAGTGGCTGGGACTACAGATGCCGGCTACAATGCCCGGCTGATTTTTGTATTTTTAGTAGAGATGGGGTTTCACCATGATGGCCAGGCCGGTCTTGAACTCCTGACCTCAGGTGATCTGCCGGCCTCGGCCTCCCAGAGTGCCAGGATTACAGGCGTGAGCCACCGCGCTCGGCATCAATATACTATATTTTAAATAAGGTGGGTAAAGTTAATCACAAGCAATTTTCCCTAGATTTAATAAATGCAATAAATGCAGTTTTTCTAGTGCCACAGCTGTTTTTTTTTTGTTTTTTTTTTTTTTTTTGAGATGGAGTCTCACTCTGTCACCAGGCTGGAGTGCAGTGGCGCGATCTTGGCTCACTGCATTCTTCTTATGAATCAGATTCTTCTCAGATCTTTTCCACAGCTTTAGCACATCATAGAAATTCATTGTTTAAGTACGCTTTCAGTTTGTTTTCTGTTACAGGTTTTCTCTTAGTTTGACTCCACGTGTACTAACTGTTACACGCATCTGTATAAGAGACCACCTGAGCAGGCTTAGTGTGAGCAACAAGGCTGTTTATTCACTTGGGTGCAAGTGGGCTGAGTCCGAGAAAGGAGTCAGCGAAGTGTGGTGGGATTATCATTGGTTCTTATAAGTTTGGGATAGGCCGTGGAGTTAGGAGCAATTTTTGTGGGCAAAGGATGGATGTTACAAAGTACATTCTCAAGGGCGGGGAGGATGTTACAAAGTACATTCACAAGGGCAGAGAGGACGCATTGTCACAAGGGCAGGGAGGAATGTTACAAAGTACGTTCACAAGGCGGAGGGGGAGACTGTATTGTCACAAGGGCGGGCAGGAGCGTTACAAAGCACATTCACAAGGATAGGGAATATCACAAAGTACATTATCACAAGGGTGGGAGAATGTCACAATGCCTTGACCATGGTGTGGCCAGCTCAGAGGAACTTACACTTAGACTACTAATATTAATCAAAGGCAAAAGTTCAGTATGACTCTTTTAATCTTAGAGGCAGTATAAGACAGTGGTTTTTATTTTTATTTCTTATTCTTATTTATTTATTTAACAGAGATGGTGTCTCACTATGGTGACCAGGCTGGTATCGAACTTCTGGCATCAAGTGATCCTCCCATCTCTACCACCCAAAGTGCTGGGAGCCACTGCACCTGGCCAAGACAGTGTTTTTTCCTGCCTCAGCCTCCCGAGTGGCTGGGACTACAGACATGTCCCAGCATGCCTGACTAATTTTTTTTTTTTCGTATTTTTAGTAGAGATGGGGTTTTACCATGTTGGCCAGGGTGGTCTCGAACTACTGACCTCAATCATCCACCTGCCTTGGCCTCCCAAAGTGAACAGTGTTTTTTTAATATATGAACTTTGGAGATAGTCTGAATTCTAACCCTGCCACTTGTATGTTAGGTACTAACTAGTCTTAGCATTTTAATAAACTGGAATGGGTTGCCTTCCTTCTGACTCTATGTATTCTGTCCTAATGCAGTAGAAGCAAAAAGGAATCAGTCACCTAAGGTGTTTTCAAATAACAACTACCACAACTTTTTCACCACTATAATAATAGCTGAGAGGCTTACTATGTGCTATTTTTAATGCTTTTTATGGGTTAATTCAATTAATTATTTCAACAACCCAGTGAAGCAGGTGTTTTTATTATCTGAAATTTACAGGCAAGGAAACTGAGGTTCAGAGAGGTTAAGTAACTTTTCCAAGGTCACACAGATAATAAATGGCAGAGGGAAGTTTTGAATGCAAGCAAGTCTGACTTCACAAGCTGCACTCTTGACTACTTTCAAAATATTGCTTTTTTATACTAAACTGCCTTCAGTAGGAAATCCCACTGTCATGTATTTATTTATTCAAACCGAAGGGATACTTTTCCAATACCTCCAAAGCAATGATTCCCAGGCTTTAGGGTTTCACAGGCTATTAAAATTTGAAAGAAAATTATGACAACCAACATAGATTTGCCATCTTTAAGTTTTCAAGATAAAGGAACCTTAAAAAGCAAACACCTCCTGTGAGCATTTACTATTAGTGCAAAATAAATAACAACCTTTTTTTTTTTTTTGAGATGGAGTCTCGCTCTGTCGCCCAGGCTGGAGTGCAGTGGTGCGATCTCGGCTCACTGCAACCTTCGCCTCCTGGGTTCAAGCTATCCTCCCAAGTAGTTGGGACTACAGTCACCCGCCACCATGCCCGGCTAATTTTTGTTTTTGTTTGTTTGTTTTTTAGTAGAAACAGGGTTTTACCATGTTGGCCAGGCTGATCTTGAACTCCTGGCCTTGTAATGCACCCTCCTCGGCCTCCCAAAGTGCTGGGAGTACAGGTGTGTGCCACCGTGCCGGGTCTAAAGGACAGTTTAATACCAAAAAAGTAGGGTGGACATAATCTAGAAATATAGCATTCGAATGCTGTATATATTTATCTGCTGTCCTTGAATTTCCCACTTTTCTGAGGAAAATATTTGAAAACAACATTTTCCTTTCACTTTCTTCCTAATAGCTAGGTTAAGCCACTTGCATTTAAACATAATAACAATTTTAGTAACTTTTACTTGTCTTCCTAGCAAGAACTTGTATCTTCTGGTCTGGAGATTAACAGTGCTATTAATTAAAAATTGTTGCTTTTTAATAAAAGGTGGAATGAAAGAGTAGGATCATTTGTTCCACTATATTGGCCCAAGGACTTAAGAGTCTCAGAGGATTTGCTTAAAATCTTCTCAGTCTAGAAATTTTGAAAGATGAAATAAACAGTTTTGAGGCCGGGCGCGGTGGCTCACGCCTGTAATCCCAGCACTTTGGGAGGTCGAGGTGGGTGGATCACAAGGTTAGGAGTTCAAGACCAGCCTGGCCAATTTGGTGAAACCCCGTCTGTACTAAAAATACAAAAAAATTAGCCAGGTGTGGTGGCACATGCCTGTAATCCCAGCTACTCGGGAGGCTGAGGCAGGAGAATTGCTTGAATCCGGGAGGCGGAGGTTGCAGTGAGCTGAGATCGTGCCACTGCACTCCAGCCTGGGTGACAGAGTGAGACTCCGTCTCAAAAAAAAAAAAAAAGAAATAAACAGTTTTGGGAACTAGCATTTCTTTCATCCAATGCATTAAAATAGTAATTATACTGCTGAAAAATGAGACAACATTCTTGTTAAAACCCAAGTTTTTTATAGTGACATTGTAATAGGGTTTATGTTTCTTGTAACTTTGATTTCCTCCAGAATCTGAATGCCTGAGTGTTTTCAACAGGGTGCCACATGAGTAGAAATCTACATCTATGTGAACCTTGTGAAATTTTTATTACACTTTTTTTGGTCTTTTTTTTTTTTTACCTTTTTGTGGAGAATGGGGTCTTGTTGCCCAGGCAGGTCTCAAACTCCTGAGCTCAAGTATTCTCCCGCCTCCACCTCCCTAGGTGCTGGGATTACAAGCGTGAGCCACCATACCCGGCCATGAATTTTTTATTGATAACGTTGTGAAATGAGAAGCCTCAGCACTTACCATCTGCATTTTGAACTGGACTACAAACATGAATTACATATAAATAGAAACCTTATTTGAAAGAATTTTCTTTTGTTAACAGCTTATTAGACATTTGTTTCATGTTGTAACTTTAGATAAATTAAATTTGAATATTTCATAATTGTAATCAATTCTCTTCAGCTTCAATTTTAATTCCTAATTGATTCAAGCCTATTAGCAAGATCCCTGGTGGTAGTCTGTTACATAATGTTAGTAAAAGGCCTGAGGTTTTTCTCCTAACAAACTTGGTGCCAGCTCGTTAGACTGAAAATAAGATACTCTCTGGTAGATCCAGCGGATTGGATGCCTGGGTCCTAAGTTTCCCAAGCCAGGGATTATCACCTTTTAGGAGCTGCAAGGAAGTTAGAAGGATAAAGGAGAATAACTTAGGAAACCAAATAACTTCTTATGTGTCGCGGTGATACTTTTCTTTTTTTTTTAATTTATTTATTTATTTACTTTTCATGCGCGTCTGTGTGAAGAGACCACCAAACAGGCTTTGTGTGAGCAATAAAGCTCTTAATCACCTGGGTGCAGGCGGGCTGAGTCGGAAAAGAGAGTCAGTGAAGGGAGATAAGGGTGGGGCCGTTTTATAGGATTTGGGTAGATAAAGGAAAATTGCAGTCAAAGGGGATTTGTTCTCTGGTGGGCAGGAGTGGGGGTCGCAAGGTGCTCAGTGGGGGAGCTTTTTGAGCCAGGAAAAGGACTTTCACAAGGTAATGTCATCACTTAAGGAAGGACTGGCCATTTTCACTTCTTTTGTGGTGGAATGTCATCAGTTAAGGCGGGGCAGGGCATTTTCACTTTTGTGATTCTTCAGTTACTTCAGGCCATCTGGGCGTACACGTGCAAGTCACCAGGGATGCGGTGGCGTGGCTTGGGCTCAGAGGCCTGATAATACTAGCCCAGGGTCCTGCTCCCTTACAGTTCTGTAATCTTCACTCAGTGACTCGCTTCTGTCTCAATACAAAGGAAAGACGTTATTTTTTCTTTTTCTCCTTTTTTTTTTTTTGAGGCAGGGTATCGCTCTGTAGCCCAGGCTGGAGTGCAGTGGCGCAATCATGGCCCACTGCAGCCTTGACCTCCTGGACTCAAGTGACCTTCCTGCCTCTGCGATAGTTTTTCATGGATGCTTCTAGTAGTTTTTTGGAGGTATGGTGTGTTAGGAACAAACTGCCCCAAAAAGCTTCTTGGTACTGCCGACACTTCCCCCAAACCTCTCCGTGCTGCTCACTCCTCCCCCTAATGCTCTGCAACTCTTCTCCTTCCCCCAAGCCTCTTTACACTTCTAAGTCCTTATGAAGCCAGCAGACTTCACTTATCAGACCTTGCTGCAATAAACAAACCCCAATTACAAATCATCCGGACCGCACAGGGGAAGGTGATGGGAAGCATAAACAAACTTTACCTACACCCTCCTGTAATAAACGTCACAAGCTAATATGTGGCAAAATTAACCAGCAAACAACCCCAGGGTCTCTCTCCCCCATATAAACCCCTCATTTTGTAAGCTCAGGGGTGCCTCCTCTGTCTGTGGTGGAGCAGCCGTCAGGTTAATAAACTTCCTCGGCTGACCTTGGGTCTCTCTTTCGTCCTTTCTCTCGGCTAACCTTATATGGTGATAGATTGGAAACTTTTTTTTTTTTGAGACGGAGTCTTGCTCTGTCGCCCAGGCTGGAGTGCAGTGACCCGATCTCAGCTCACTGCAAGCTCCGCCTCCCGGGTTCATGCCATTCTTCCGCCTCAGCCTCCCGAGTAGCTGGGACTACAGGCGCCCGCCACCACGCCCGGCTAATATTTTGTATTTTTAGTAGAGACGGGGTTTCACCGTGTTAGCCAGGATGGTCTCGATCTCCTGACCTCGTGATCCGCCCGCCTCGGCCTTCCAAAGTACTGGGATTAGGGGCGTGAGCCACCGCGCCCGGCCGATTGGAAGCTTTTAAGAACTCCTTCTCCTATTTTGAGAATTCAGAAATTTATTTATAGCTTTCGTAAAATAGAGTGAAGACTCTTACAGACCTATGTTAGACTAGCAGGCGCTCAGTCTCTGTGGTCCGAGATAGAGCACGAAGATGACAGTGTATATGCATTTTGGTGCTGAAGTGGACCTGGAGTGTGGACAGAGGAGTTACTAAGAAGAATCCCGGAGACCAGGATGTAAACTCTCAATTCTAATCAACACAGGTGTGGGCTATGGTTCTGAGACACCATTCATCTCACACGAGGTACGGCGATACGCGACACCACCCAGTACAACAGCTCTCTCTCCACCTGGAACCCGGACCCAGCTTGATTCGCGGGTGCCGGATGATGACGTATCCTTGCACCTGGCGATGATTGGTTCGCGTGGAGAGGCGTCGTCCGACAACGCGACTCGGAACCCGGACCTATGTTCTCGCGAGAGTTAGCGGCCTCCGGTGTGGGATGGCCGCGGAGCCGGGCGGAGCTGGCTTGCGGCTCCCGGGGCCGGCTCTCCGGCCGGAGACATGGCCCGGGGGCCCGGCCCGCTAGGCAGGCCTCGCCCCGATACGGTCGCCATGCCCAAGAGAGGAAAGCGACTCAAGTTCCGGGCCCACGACGCCTGCTCCGGCCGAGGTGGGCGAGGGGGGCAGGGGCGCTGAAACATTTTGGGGGCTGGCGGCTGGGAGGGGGCTGGACCGTGCCGAGGTGAGCGCTCGCGTGCCCGCGGCTGGAGGGCGGCTCGGTCCGGGGGCCTGCAGCGAGGAGGAGGTGTTGGCGGGGAAGACGCTGACGAGAGAAGGCCTCTTCCTTGAGGGTTGGTGCTGTGTTGCAGTGACCGTGGCGGATTACGCCAACTCGGATCCGGCGGTCGTGAGGTCTGGACGAGTCAAGAAAGCCGTAGCCAACGCTGTTCAGCAGGAAGGTAAGCTTTGCGCGAGCCTTTAAAGACTCATGCCGCGAAGACAGAACTAGGTATTTTATTTCTGTTTTTCTTGCAGTCCTTTAGTCGTCTTCCTGTAACCGTGTTTGCTTTCGTTAGTGTTAACTTACATATTGGGGTGGAGGAGGATTAGTCAAGAGTAGCAGTTTCTGTAGCAGAAATATTTTCTTTCTTTCTTTGCATTTAAAAACATGTTTGCATACTTTTTAGTTTCCACTGCATTCTTCTTGGTTATTAATCTCTTTGCTGTAGTTCACATGTTTTACTCTGCAGTTTGCTTCCTTGTTTAATAACCTTGGAGTGTTCTTTTCCTTTTCTGGTGTTTCTCTTGCTTTCAGTCTGTTTACTCATGGGTCTGAGACTTGTGTTTTATGACACCTACTGCCTCCAGCTCAGGACCAGGATTAAATTGGATTCAATTTGTCTCAAACATTTCTCTGTAGACCTTATGAGAATACAAATCAGCTTTTATCCTGCAGGGTTTATAGTGGAAAAATTGTACACACCTTTTTTCTTCAGGGCTGAAAAAAGGAGTTTCTGCAACTTTGGAGTCAGTTTGCCCATTGCTTTCCTTTTTTTTTTTTTTTTTTGTATTTAAAATACTAAAATCTTTATTTTTTTTGGTGACAGATTCTCACCTTTCTCTCTCAACGATGTTTTTTTTCCCCCCTTTCCTGAATGGATGCTGATACCTTGGCTAAGTTGTTTGTATTTCTGGGTGGAGCTGTGTGCCATCTCATTCTCCTTTTATTTTCTTCTAGTAAAATCTCTTTGTGGCTTGGAAGCCTCTCAGGTTCCTGCAGAGGAAGCTCTTTCTGGGGCTGGTGAGCCCTGTGACATCATCGACAGCAGTGATGAGATGGATGCCCAGGAGGAAAGCATCCATGAGAGAACTGTCTCCAGAAAAAAGAAAAGCAAGAGACACAAAGGTATGGAGCTTGTTCTCTTTTGGTTTATTAGACCTGCCTGTGGTGACAAATTGAAGATGTTACTTTCCCAGTAGCACAGGAGGAGATATAAGACGTGATACCAGGAGAGTTTAAAGAAAACTTGGCTCTCCCTAAGAACCTTGGTAGTGGGCCGGGATTTAATACACCTGGGCTTTCTTTTTTCTTTTGTCTGAATTCGAGAGGGAAAGAGATTAGTACGTGTTAGTAGAGTTCTGGAGCTGTGAACTGGACTCTAGTAGCCCTTCATTGAGAACATGTTATTATCAGGTAAAAACCCATAAGGCAATGTGAAAATAAAAGGCCTTTGCATTTCTGGATTTCTGAATGTGTAAGGAAGCAGAGATGTAACCAAAAAATGTTTTCCAAAGTATGTGGATTTTACGTTAACTAGTTTTGTTACACACAAACATAGACATTATCGTGGGCTTTTAAGTGCTCTGCAATTAGTAATGTCTGCTTTATGTCTAATAAGTATTGTGGGAAATAGAAAAGTAGGTGATTTTTTTATATCCTAATGGCAATGAAATGTACACAAATGAAACAAAGAATAATAAACTGATGATAATATAACGTGCCAAACCATCATTCAGATTCTGGGTTTTCCTTCAGACTTAATGAGTCAGAATCTCTTGGGGTGGAACTCAGAATTTTTATTTATTTATTTTTTTGAGACAGGGTTTTGGTCTCTTGCCTGGGCTGGAGTGTAGTGGAAAGATCATGGCACACTGCAGCCTTGACTTCCCAGGCTTAAGCGATCCCCCCATCTTAGCCTTTTGAGTAGCTGGGACTACAGGTGCTATGCCATCATGCCTGCTAATTTTTTCTATTTTTTGTAGAGACAGGGGTCTCACTATGTTGCCTAGGCTAGATTTGAGCTCCTGGGCTCAAGCAGTCCACCCACCTTGGCCTCCCAAAGTGCTGAGATTACAGGCATAAGCTACCATGCTTAGCCCAGAATTTTTAAAGCTAAAGTGGTTCTGATGATCAGCTACGTTTAGGTGAAAGCCGATAAATAATGGTGAGGCCAGGCATGGTGGCTCACGCTTGTAATCCCAACACTTTGGGAGGCTGAGGTGGGCAGATCACAAGGTCAGGAGTTCGAGACCATCCTGGCCATTATGGTGAAACCCTGTCTTTACTAAAAATACAAAAATTAGCTGGGCGTGGTGGTGTGCACCTGTAGTCCCAGCTACCAGGGAGGCTGAGGCAGGAGAATCGCTTGAACCTGGGAGGCGAAGGTAGCAGTGAGCCGAGATTGCATTGCACCACCACATCTCCAGCCTGGTGACAGAGCAAGACTCTGTCTCAAAAAAAAAAAGAAAAAAATAATAGTAAATGATGTATGTATTTTTGGTCTCAGATTTACCAGCACTTTCACCTGTACCTGAGAATCAGATAATAGATATTTTTATTTGTTAAAGTATATTGAAGTAATAAGTTAATGAAATTAATGGTATGATTGCTTTGGAATTATTCTAGTTATTGTTAGTCATATCCCTCTTTTTCAGGATCCCAAAATTAAAACAGGTCGAGCATTCCAAATCTGAAAAGCTCCAAAATTTGAAATTTTTGGAGCAATGACATGATGCTGAAAGGAAATGCTTATTGGAGCACTTTGGATTTCTGATTTTCGATTAGGGCTGCTCGACCAATAAGTACGGTCAAGATATTCCAAAATGCGGGAAAAGCCAAAATCTGAAACACCACTGGTCCTGAGCATTTCTGATAAGGGATACTCAACCAGTATTGACATTCTTCATACTTCTTTGTCCTTAATTTTTCACTTGAAATCGCTACTTATCACCATTCTATTAGGGATTTATCTTCTTGTTGTTTTGGACTTGTTCCACAGAATGGCTTTGACTTAAAACAAAAAATTGAGATAAAATTTATTCCTTTAAAGTGTACAATTCAGTGGTTTTAGCATATTCACAGAGTTGTGCAACCATCAACATGGTCTAAGTTTAGAACATTTCCATTACTCTAAAAAGAAACCCCATACTTATTAGCATCCCTTCTCATTCCAAACCCTCCTCCAGCCCTTGGAAACCACTAATCTACTTTCTGTCTCTACAGACTTACCTATTCTGACATTTCATGTAAATGGAATCATACAATATATAGTCTTTTGCATGTAGCTTCTTTCATTTAGCATAATGTTTTCAAGGTTCATCCATACTATGCATGTATCAGTATCTCATTCTTTTTTATTCCTTTTTATTTGGCTGCTATGAATAATGCTGCTGTGAACATTCATGGACAAGTTTTTCTGTGGACATAGGTTTTTTTAGTTTTGGTTAGATAGGAGTGAAATTGCTGGATTATACAGAAACTCTATGTTTAACTTTTGGAGGAATTGCCAAACTGTTTTCCAAAGTGTGTGCATCGTTTTATATTTCCACCAGCAGTGTATAAGAGTTCCAGTTTCTCTACATCCTTATCAACACTTGTTATTGTCTGACTTTTAAAATTATAATGGATGTGGATTGGTATCTATCTCCTTGTGGTTTTGATTTGCATTTCCCTGATGGCTAATGATATTTGCCCATTTTTAAATTGGGTTATCTTCTTCTTATTATTTTTTTATTTTTTGAGATGGAGTTTCACTCTTGTTGACCAGGCTGGAGTGCAATGTCGTGATTTCGGCTCACTGCAACCTCTGCCTCCCGGGTTCAAGCGATTCTCCTACCTCAGCCTCCCGAGTAGCTGGGATTACAGGCATGCACCACCACGCACAGCTAATTTTTTGTAATTTTTAATAGAGATGGGATTTCTCCATATTGGTCAGGCTGGTCTCGAACTCCAGACCTCCGGTGATCCACCTGCCTCGGCCTCCCAAAGTGTTGGGTTTACAGGTGTGAGCCACCGCACCCGGCTATCTTTTTATTATTGAATTGTAAGACTTCTTTATCTATTCAGATTACTAGTCACTTATCAGATACATGATTTATGGCTTACAGGCACTTAACCATAATTCATATTTTACTTCCTTATTCTACTTTACCTCCATTAGGTTTCTCCATTCCATCAGACTGGTCTTTTTTTTTTTTTTTCTTTTTAAATTTCTTTTTATTTTATTGTTTCAGCAGGTATAATGTATTTTTCTTCTTTTTTTAAAAGCCTTTTTTTTAATGAAACATGTAGAAGAAGAGAGAATAGTCTGATTATAACTCCATATAACTATTCCCTGCTTCAACAATGATCAACTCATGGCTATTAAAAAGTTTTTTTTCTCTTTCTTTTTTTAATTAACATTTTGTTTTTATATGCTGTCAACTCACGGCCATTTTTACTTCAACCATTACCCCCCACTCCATCACACACACACACACACACACACACACACACACACACGGTTATTTTGAAACGGCCATTTTTACTTCAACCATTACTCCCCACTCCATCACACACACACACACACACACACACACACACACACACACACACGGTTATTTTGAAACAATTTCCAGATATACCATCATCTTTGTAAATATTTTAGTAGTTATCTTTTTAAAAATACCATTATCACATCTAAAAGACTTTAACAGTAATTTCTCAATGTTATTAAAATCTTGTTAGACTTTTCTGTTTACTGTTCTCACATGTTTTGCTTTTCTGAGTCCCTTGGTTTCATGTTAGCACTTACTTGACATGCTTTTCCTCTTAACCTATGCCTATCAAAATTCTTCATGTCCTTCATGATTTATCTCCATGAAGCTTTCATTTACTGATTCTATTTCCTTCGTTTTGAAAGCTCTTAATAATTATGTATAAAACACTGACAATTCTTCATTATTTACTAAATTTTGTTTCTAAAGACAGAAAATTTGTAATAGCACTCTGCTTTGTAAAAGTCCTTATGGGTCTCAGTAGAGGAAATTTTTGTTTGTTTTTTTGGTTTTTGTTTCGGTGTTTTGAGACAGGGACTCACTCTGTTGCCCAGGCTGGATTGCAGTGGTGCAGTCATGGCTCACCGCAGCCTCGACATCCTGGGCTTGATTGATCCTTGCACCTCAGCCTCCTGAGTAGCAGAGACTACAGGCATGCACCACCATGGCTGGCTAATTTTTAAGTTTTTTGTAGAGACTGTGTTGCCCAAGCCGATCTCGAACTCCTGGGCTCAAGCCATCCTCCCACCTTGGCCTCCCAAAGCGTTGAGATTACAGGCATGAGCCACTGCACTCAGCCACAATAGAGGAAATTTTAATAGTCGTTTGCCTTCTCTTTCAAAGAGAGAAGAGGTAATGTGGGAGAAAGTGGGGCCTAGACATGGTAGACTGTGTCTTGCATGATTACTGGAGATTATAAGAAGGATAAGAATTAGAAAAGATGATGATGTTTTAGACATATTGGGTCTCTGTTGTGAAGAACCTAACCAAATAACCTGATCTAATCATAGAGCTGTAGGAAGCAGTTAGCTAGAAAAGCGGGGGCAACTTTGGGGAGATGGTGTAGGGGCTTTTTCCCCAGGAAGGAAGAAAGCTGGTCATTTTAGGATAGTTCTATGACTAGGTTTGAAATAAGGGTTAAGGTTAGGATTAGCTCAGATTCAGGTATCTTTACAAAGCATGTGTATTACCTGAACCTGAGAAGTATAGTGGACATCAAGGTCAAGAGAATTAATGCTAATGAGTTCTGGAGAATTAATGCTAATGAGTTCTGAAGAAGGAAGAGATAGGGACACTTTTTTTTTTTTTTGAGATAGAGTTTCACTCTGTCGCCCAGGCTGGAGTGCAGTGGCGCTATCTCGGCTCACTGCAAGCTCCGCCTCCTGGGTTCACGCCATTCTCCTGCCTCAGCCTCCCAAGTAGCTGGAACTACAGGCAGCTGCCACCACGCCCGGCTAATTTTTTTGTATTTTTTAGTAGAGAAGGGGTTTCAGTGTGTTAGCCAGGTTGCTCTCGATCTCCTGACCTCGCGATTCGCCCACCTCGGCCTCCCAAAGTGTTGGGATTACAGGCGTGAGCCACCGTGCCCGGCCTAAGTGCCATCTCAGCTCACTGCAACCTCCACCTCCTGGTTCAAGCGATTCTCCTGCCTCAGCCTCCCACGTAGCTGGATTACAGGCACGTGCCACCACGCCCAGCTAATTTTTGTATTTTTAGTAGAGATGGAGTTTCACCATGTTGGCCAGGATGGTCTCGATCTCTTGACCTCGTGATCTGCCTGCCTTGGCCTCCCAAAGTGCTGGGATTACAGGCGTGAGCCACTACGCCCGGCCTGCCTATACCATCTTAAAGTCAATTTTGTTTTTTTTCCTGACTGAAAATGTTTAGTGGGTGGAGACTTAAACCATGAGCAGGGCTTAATAGCATAAAGCTGGAATTCGGAGTCGGAAACTCTTGGTTCTATTTCCCTTGACTGAGTGGCAAGGTTTTGTTTTCTTATTAGTAAAATGGGCGCAATAATATTTTTCTTATTCCATTGAAGAATTATTAGAGTTGAATGATACAACGTGTGCAAAGGCACTTTTGAAACTTCAAAATGATGGTCAGGTGCAGTGGCTCACGCCAGTAATCCCAGCACTTTGGGAGGCCAAGGCGGGTGGATCACTTGAGGCCAGGAGTTCGAGACCAGCCTGGTCAACATGGTGAAACCCCATCCCTACTAAAAATACAAAAATTTGCTGGGTGCGGTGGAGTGTGCCTGTAGTCCTAGCTACTCTGGTGGCTGAGGCATGAGAATTGCTTGAAACCAGGAGGCGGAGGTTGTATTGAGCTGAGATTGCACCACTGCATTCTAGCCTGGGCACCACTGCATTCCAGCCTGGGCAACAGAGTGAGACTCTGTCCCAAAAAAAAAAAGTTAAACTTCAAAATGGTATCGCCAATAGTTGTTAAATAAAGGCCTTAAGAACAAAACCTATTTACTTGGGCAACAGGAGGTAAAAGTTTCCAGCAGCTAGGATGAGCAGGAAATGATAAGTTTGAGGGGTTTCCTTGGACCTATTTAAAACCATTTTCTTAACTGTGCAATCAATCCTTGGGAGAAATGAAATTATCGAGTATCTTTAGATATGGTGTAGAAGATCAGAGATTATTCTTTTTTTTGTTTCAGAAGAACTGGACGGGGCTGGAGGAGAAGAGTATCCCATGGATATTTGGCTATTGCTGGCCTCCTATATCCGTCCTGAGGACATTGTGAATTTTTCCCTGATTTGTAAGAATGCCTGGACTGTCACTTGCACTGCTGCCTTTTGGACCAGGTTGTACCGAAGGTGCGACCACAGAGAGCTCACTCTTTTATCTGTGTGGCTGATTTCATTACTGTTTGTGATTTGGAGCTACTCACTGGATGGTGACCTCTTTTCACTTTCTCTACTCCATGTCTGGGCATGACCCAGCTTTGGACTCCTTGAGCCCCTCTCTAATTTAAATTTGATATTATTAATTATCCAGGTAATTGTCTTCCGTGTGGTTGCCTCCTTCCCCACTCCAGTATCCACTTTCAGCAAAACGTCTTGCTTCAAGTCCCAGATAGAAGAGTCTTTGACTTTTCTTCAGAGGCTTATTTTAGCTAGAATGTTTAAAGCTACAGATGCCTATCTGCTCATCTTTCCAGCTGGATTAGGTGTTGCTTAGATTTGCTAGTTGTCTTTAAGTATTACACAGTTTTTGTATTTATGCAGCCTTATGTATAGTTGTAGTGGTGAGGAGTAGGCAAATTATATGATTAGTAAAAGGGCTAGTTTTTGATGCTAGGTATGGAAGTGTAGTGACAATTGTAAACTGTCAGGCTGTGGTGGGAAGGAATGTTGAAGTAGAAAGGAGTGGAGAACTCACTGTGAGATCTGACTGGAGAACCTGGTGGCTCTTCGCCAGTATAGGTTCCTCCAGGACAGGTTCTTTTTGAGCAGCTAAAGCATAATATACCGATACCAATTCAGAGTTTGCTCTTTTGTTCAGTGAAAAAGTGAGGACTTCAACTTTAAAAATGGATGGAGAACTGCCGGATTACAAGGCAAAGACGTAAAAGTCGCCAAGAGGTCAAGTAGCACTGGGGACAGGCTATCTACTGGCCAGTGGAATAGTGCAGTAAAGTTCATACAGAGACCAGGAGTCTTAGAAAACTGACCTAGAGCAGGAGAGACAGGTCACATATTGGTAGGAGTAATGTGTCATGTTTCAGGCACTACACGCTGGATGCTTCCCTGCCTTTGCGTCTGCGACCAGAGTCAATGGAGAAGCTGCGCTGTCTCCGGGCTTGTGTGATCCGATCTCTGTACCATATGTATGAGCCATTTGCTGCTCGAATCTCCAAGAATCCAGCCATTCCAGAAAGCACCCCCAGCACATTAAAGAATTCCAAAGTAAGTGAGAATTTGTGTTGGGGTTTGACTAATGAACTCTTGTATGGTAGGCCTGTTATCATGGCTTGTCTCCAGCTTCCTTGATGGGGAGGGGTGTAGGTCCCAGGCTGCTAGGGGACTAATGTAAACTTCAGGGCTCAGAGATTTCACTTCTCCAAGACCTTTCTGCTGTGCTGGCTGGCTTATCTTACCTTAAAGCTTTCTGGTGCTTTTAGTGTATTCCTTATTCTTTTTATTTTAATGTATTTGCATACATTGTACATTGGACCACTCTAGATATAATGGTTTTGATGGTTTGGGCTAGGAAGAGCATAACTCAAATGGTAGACGTATGCTGTAATTTTTAAGAGGGGCTTTAAATCACAGTACAGAGGTATAACATGAACATCTCACTATTTTTCTCTTTCTAATGCAACCTTGACATCAGGGATTCCCCTTTATTGTTGACCTCCTTAAGGATTCTGGTGTAGACTTGACTTCTGTAGCATTTGGAAGTGCCCTGTGCCAGGCTATTGCCCGGCTCTGGTAGGTCATCTCATAGACTATAAGGTACCCTGATTCATAAACCTTAGTTCTCTCAAGTTCTTTCTGTGTTCTAGGCTCTTTTTATCTCAGGATTTCCCTGATATTTTATATTCACATATTTATATTCAAGTTTCTGTCATTCTTCTGATTTGTAAATATGTCTACTAGCCTTTGGTCCATTCTCTCTTTTTCTCCTACCTGATGAAATTACTAAATCACCTTTGGCAAACAAGGTTACTCTGTTCCTACCCCAAATCTGATGTTCCATAGCATTTCCCATTCTCTTGTAGTTTGTTTTTATGGTATTGCACATTATATAATGATTCTTCTCCCCTAGTTTAGCTCTAGGGTGATCATATCCTACCTAATACATATTAATTAAAAGGGTACTTTTGATTTCGAGATTATCGAGGTTCCCCCCAGCCTTGTAAACTGAGGTGGTCAGGGCTGTTGGCTGAGCTCAATTTAATATCATGCTAACTGGTGGATTTAGAGAAGGAGTAGAATGCCGGGAGAGTAGAATTTCACCCAGCAGCTGCTTCTGCTTGTAATATGAGTGGACAGTGTATCTTCTCACATTTACAGTGTCCCTTTCCCCCAAAACATTTGATAGTATCAGATTAACTGTGGTGAGCATGGGGATCATCCCAAAGTTAGCCATGCCAGGAGTGAATCAATTGCTGGGGGCAGAGCAGCATTGGGCAAACTCCTCATGCTTGACACATCTTAGCGGCTCCAGTGCACAATGCAAGTGCTACTGCCTAAATTCTAAAATACCCCTATCTTCATATTCTTATCATTGTCTATTAATTTTTTTAAAGTGGACTGTAAAAAGCCAAAGTAGAATGAAAACTAAGGTCTTAATCCAGATAGTAAGCCCAGGCCATCTGGCTGCTGCTTTTGTGCCTTGTTAGAGATCTTCTGAAGAGGGTATGGGGCCTGCAGTGGCAGATATCCCGTGCATGGCCTTGCCACTTGTATACCCATGATTGCGTGGCATTCAGGGAGTTGCCAGCATGCCTAAAGGAAGTTGTCCCATGTTTCTGGACTCTAGCTTTTCGTATTTGATTCCCCCTCTCTCTCTTTTCAGTAGCATAGCTTGTGTGGGACACTGGAGCCGTTGTGATGGCAGCAGAAGTGTTTTCCCCTTAAAGCCAAGCCCATTAATTTTGATGGAACAGCAGGACGTACAGGGCATGTCTGAAGGGCAGGACAGCTGGCACGGCGGACGACCCACCCCTTATCCCCTGGGAGGTACTTCACTTCTTGTGCTTAACCCTAGCTGTAGCCTGACTTTCACTGAGGGGCTTATTCTAGACAGAATTCAGCCTAGCTCTGTAGTTTCCTTACTGGCTGTCTGCTCCCAGAAGGTCCTGAGCAGTTTGCTTCTATTATAGGGCCAGCCCTCTCTGCCTACCTTATGGCCTTGTATCATCTTGCCTGGTGGCTGCTGGCTCTCCTTACATTTTAATGTAGAGGATTAGCCTGCTGAATCAGAGAGGATGCTCCAGTCTCTAGATACCATGTTTCTGTCTTTGAAGATAAGACAATAGGAGTTGATGTCAGTAGCCTCTGAGGTTGACTTATATTGGTCCCTCCTGTCCTTATTGAACAGCCCTGGGATTGTCCGTTTTTATGTTGCACCAGTGTCAACTTGGGGGTCTATCTGTGCCAAAGTAAAATCTCAGCATTGGGACCGTGGCTGGCTTTAGAGCTGTCAAACAGAAAGGTTTTTGGTGATTATTTTGGTTGTAGTGTATTTTGATTTTTTTCTTTTTCTTTTTCTTGGTTTATTTTATTTTTACTTTCTTATAGTGCTTACTTTTCTGGTGCAGAAAGATTGTTGGGAACAGACAGGAACCAATGTGGGAATTCAACTTCAAGTTCAAAAAACAGGTACGTGGTCTTCTCTTTGTTTTTCAGATAATACCTTGTTCTAAGAGATTTCCCTAGATATCTTTCTTAGTCTGTTTGTGTTGCTATAACAGTACCACAGATTCTGGGTAACTTAAAAAGAACGAACTTTATTTCTTAACAGTTCTGGAGGCTGGGAAGTCCAAGATCAAGGTACTTGCAGGTTTGATGTTTGGTGAGGGCCTGGTCCCTTTGCTTCCAAGATGGTGTCTGATTGCATCCTTCAGAGGGGAGGAACACTTTGTCCTCACATGGTGGAAGGTGGAATGCCAAAAGGGGCTGAGCCTAGTGTGAAGACCCTCTTATAAAGGCCTTAATCCCATTCATGAGGGAGGGCCTCCCCAGTAGGTCACCTCCTAAAAAGGCCCTACCTCTTAATACTATTGTGTTGGAGATTAAGTGTCCACATGAATTTTGGAGGAGACACAAACATTCAAATCATAACACTAGGCATGAAATTGCCTTACTAAAACAGTGTACAGCCTAAAAATCCAAAATCTGAAATGCCTCATAATCTGGAACTTTCTGAGTGGCAACATGATGCTCAAAGGAAATGCCTATTGGAGCATTTTGGATTTTGGGTTTGTGGATTTCAGATGCTCAACTGGTATAATGCAAATATTCCAAAATCTGAAAAAATGGGAAACACTTCTGGCCCCAAGCGTTTTGGATAAGGGATACTCAATCCGAAGTGCCATGAAAACAAAAGGTAAGAGGAACTATGCTGTATTGAAAGACAAGGATAACAACCTACTGCAAAGAGTAAATCTTGAGTGGATCCTGGATAAGAGAACAAAGCTATAAAAGACATTTTGAGGCAATTTAGGAAATCAGAATGTGCTATGGATAAGATGAAATAATTGTTAATTTTCTTATGGGTGATAATGATAATGTGGTTATATGTAAGTGTATGCTGAATTATTTAAGATTGAAGTATAAATGTTAAGAGAACATATTAAGAGAATAGTTCCCAAAAGATTAATTGCAGTTACAGGATAGTGGAAGTCTTAAGTCACCTTTACTTTGTCAATATATTTATATATTATTTAAGCTTATTTACCATTAAAAAAAGCTTTCATTGTGGAAGGAGGAGCCTCATGTATTTCTGAACGTAAGCCTAAGAGACAGAGAAGACAAATTACATGAACTCTCCAGTTGCAAAGCCAATGAAAATTTTTTAAAACCTGGAAAAATTATGCCAGAGGCACATATATTGTTTACTAATCTGATTACTGTCCAAGCCTTGAACAGTGACAGTATTACTCAAAGGACACCTGTATTATTAGGTGTAATTATGATCACCCTATATTCTTATGTGGAATTATGAGCAGATATGGCAATAGGTTTATGGGTTTCTCTCTCACTATGCATATAAAACCCATAAACTCATTACAGAGGAGACAGGTGAAAACACATGGAATGGGGTGGGGTGGGGGGTGCGGGGATGGGGTGGGGAGGGAGATGTTTTCACTTGTCTCCTCTACTTAGTATCTCACTGATGAGACACAAATACTATGAATTATTCTCACGTGATGGCAGGTGGGTTACAGATAAGTTTGTAATTAAAGTAAACCTTATTTTCCTATTGATTTATTTCAAAAACATGGTTCTGGGGAAGAATTTTAGTTCTGATATCTTGCATTTAATAAGATCTGCACAGTCTGTGATATCCATTAGACACTGGTAGAAAGTCCACCTTTCTGAGAAGGGATTGAGAGGCAGTCTTAGTGGTGAAATGTGACTAGAAGCAGACACTAGGATTACTGCAGGAAAGTGAATGCCGAGATTTTCCTTTAGTTCCGAGACTTGTGATTCCTTTATTTTATGGTGTCTGGAATTAGGTGGCCACTTCTGCTTCCATCCCTTTTGTGCAGCAGATGTTCTTTGGAGTCTGACAAGTTACAAGGAATTTGCAGTCTTTCAAACATTGTAGAACCTCTGGTAGAGGCTGTAAGTTTCCATTTCTTGTCAGATGGCAAGGAATACCATCTAAACGAAGCATAAACCCATTGCCACATTTGCTCATCCAAATGTATTTACCCTTCTTTCAAAGGGTAGGTTTTCTTTGATCTCTGTATAGAAACATGTATAAAGAGAGAAGATAAAAGTGTATCTCACTAGCTTTAGTTGAGCCATAGGATTTTCTTTGGTGGACTCTTAGAGCCATATAATGTTTCTTCTAAGCCATTGGATTAATTCTCAGTTCTCTTCAGTCCCCTAGGTTAAAGAGCAAGTGTACAGGAGGATTGCAGCCTCCCGTTCAGTACGAAGATGTTCATACCAATCCAGACCAGGACTGCTGCCTACTGCAGGTCACCACCCTCAATTTCATCTTTATTCCGATTGTCATGGGAATGATATTTACTCTGGTAAGTGGGGACTCAGGATGTCATTCTCAGCTCCTTTTTTTTTTTTTTTTTCATTCTGAAAGGAGGTGAACCGCAGCTCTTTTTTTTTTTTTTTTTTTTAAGAGACGTGGTCTCACTCTGTCACTCAGGCTGAAGTGCAGTGATGGAATCATCACTCATTGCAACCTCAAAACTCCTGGGCTTAAGCTATCCTCTTGCTTCAGCCTCCCAAGTAGTTAGGACTACAGGTGTGCACCACCACCCCTAGCTAATTTTTATTTTTTGTTGCAATGGGTGTCTCACAGCGTTGCTGAGGCTTGTCTCAGACTCCTAGCCTCAAGCAGTTCTTCCACGTCGGCCTCTCAAGTGCTGAGATTATAAGTGTGAGCCACTGCATTCAGCTTTTTTATAGATTTTTGCTATATCTGAGGTTTGAAGGATATTTGTAAATTTAACCATGAAGGAAGGTATCTTTTTTCAAAAAAAAAGTTTGAACTCAGTCCTGTATATTAGCAACAGACAGATTTGTGGAGACATTAATTATATCTGAGAGTATTTTACCTTGTTTCCTTCTTTGTAGGAAAGGGAATGTTTTTGCATTTTCATGTGTAGTGATGATTAATGATTGAGAAACATTATCCTATTAGGAAGAATGATGAGATATATACATGGGCACTGTATGTCAGGACCTTGAGGCATGCATATGGGGTTACAAATGGGATATTAAAATACAGGGTGACCAGCTCAGCTCTGTCCTTTGTGTGATATTATCACTGTTCAAGGCTTGGCCAGTAATTAGTAAACAACGTATGTGCCTCTGGCATATTTTTCCAGGTTTTAAAAATTTTTCATTGGCTTGGCAACTGGAGAGTTCATGTAATTTGTCTTCTCTGTATCTTAGGCTTACATTCAGAAATACATGAGGTTCCCCTTCCACAATGAAAGTAGCTTTTTTAAAATGGTAAATGACTTCAAATAATACATAAATATACTGACAAAGTAAAGGTGACTTAGACTTCCACTATCCTGTAACTGCAATTAATCTTTTGGGAACTGTTCTCTTAATGTGTCTGTTAATATGTATGTACTCTCTCTCTCTCAAATAATTTTGTATAATTGAGATTGTGTCATATATACAGTTTTGTTTTGTTTTTTTTGAGATGGAGTCTCGCTCTGTAGTCCATGCTGGAGTGCCGTGGTGCGCAGTCTCGGCTCCCTGCAACCTCTGTCTCCTGGTTTCAAGTGATTCTCCTGCCTCCGCTTCCCAAGTAGCTATCTGGGATTACAGGTGCCTGCCACCACACCCAGCTAATTTTTGTATTTTTGGTAGAAATGGGGTTTGCTCAGGCTGGTCTCAAACTCCTAACCTCAGACAATCTGCCTGCCTTAGCCTCCCAAAGTGCTCATTAGGGAGGCTTTCTTTAGCATAGTTTAAACGTGAAGCTGAGAAGGCCTTATAAAATTCTCCTTAATTTTTTATATCTTTAAAGGTTGGCTGGGCGTGGTGGCTCATGCCTGTAATCCCAGCACTTTGGGAGGCCGAGGTGGGCAGATCACTTGAGGTCAGGAGTTTGAGACCAGCCTGGCCAACATGGCAAAACCCTGTCTCTACTAAAAATACAAAAATTAGCCGGTCATGGTGGTGCACGCCTATATTCCTAGCTACTTGGGAGGCTGAGGCACAAGAATCGTTTGATCCCAGGAGGCGGAGGTTGCAGTGAGCCGAGATCACATCACTGCACTACAGCCTGGGCAACAGAACGAGGTCCTTTCTCAAAAAAAAAAAAAAAAGGTGTTTGTTTTATAATTTAGAGATTAATCTTGTGGCCTAGCCAGTATAAATTAGTCTGGACTATTTCATTTCAGAGTGAGCTCTTGGAAACCAAGGTTGTGTAAGTTGGATACTGAATTTGCTTTTCCATTTCAGTTTACTATCAATGTGAGCACGGACATGCGGCATCATCGAGTGAGACTGGTGTTCCAAGATTCCCCTGTCCATGGTGGTCGGAAACTGCGCAGTGAACAGGGTGTGCAAGTCATCCTGGACCCAGTGCACAGCGTTCGGCTCTTTGACTGGTGGCATCCTCAGTACCCATTCTCCCTGAGAGCGTAGTTACTGCTTCCCATCCCTTGGGGGCAGCCTCGAGTGTAGTCCATTAGTAATCAGATTCCAGTTTGGACAGGGTGGCTGGATTGTATATCTCGTTAGTAATGTACATGCTCTTCAGGTTCTAGGGCTCCTGTTAGGGGAGGGAGAAATGTTGAATCAAGAGGGAAAACAACTACTATGATTTATAAACATATTTTAATGTAAAAATTTGCATTTAAAAGGAGTGGCCCTGTTTTCTGTGTTAAAACCCCATTTGGTGCTATTGAGTTTGTTCTTTATTCTTTTATCCCAGTGAAAATTGTTGATCTTGCTGTAGGGAAAAATTAAACTCTTTGAATCTCCAAACAAGGAAGTTTCAGCATTCCCTTATGGATCAGAGGAACCTTAGAGGCCTGAAATTGTTGCTTCCAGTTTAGCTGCCCCTCAAATTCAAGTGAATATTTTCCCTTCTCCCTTTACCCTTCTCCAGAAATAAAGCAGGTGACAGGGTTTTCAGAATCTTACCATATTGACTTGTGTATCTTTTTTAAAAAATAATTTGTGATATTTATTGCATACATTTTCTTTTGGCAGTTTTGGATTTTAGGTATTTTTTTGCATGAGGCTGATAATGGTGATGATGACTTTATACCCTTGGTACTATACTAGGAACTTTACATAGTATCTCTACTTCTCACAGTCTTGCAAAGTAGGTGATATTATTCCCATTTTATAGTTGAGAAAACGGAATTAGTGACTGTACCTATAACACCAGTAAATGCAGAGCCAAGATTCTGACCCAGGTCTTTTTGTTGTACCATAAGTTTAAAAGATGAGTCTCATTTTTCTTGTGGTAGATGGTGGTAAAAAGGAGTAGGCAGAGTGTACATAGATAAAAAAAAGTAAAAGGGTAAGTAAAAAATTGATTGTGGTATATGTTATTCTAATCAGCCAAAAAAGTTTAGAAGATTGATGAAATGATCTTTTAAATATGTATTTCTGAATAAAATGTAAAACCAAGAAAGTTATTTCAGGAAGGATAGTGACCCTTTCCTTGAACTGTTAGAAGGGCATTTATTAGGCTAAAACGTCATTAACAAAATGCATTGCATGTTGAAACCAGCCTCTTGAACCATAAGCACTTAGCGACTTTGCTCTGCCCTGTACTGTGCTGCTTCTGCTGTCATCCTGTGTGCCTACAGAAGCCTGGTCTTCCGTCCATGCAGAAATGCTTATGTCCTCCTGTTGTTTAGATGACTCCTATTGTTCAGGTGTACTCTGAGAAGAGAATCACGTTTTTCTGTTTTGCTAAGGAGAAAACCTTGCTGCTTGTCTCTCCTCCCACCCTCCACCATCCAAAATTAACCAGTGAGCTGGATATTACCTGGATATTGCCAGGAGGTGGGCATTAAGACAGTATTCTTTAAAAGTGAAAATCTTGTGAGGCAAACTGCTAAATTCACATTTTTGTTTTTTTTTTTTTACCATCTTCCCTAGGAATATTCCTAGAAAGCATCTGCTTAATTTTGCTGCTAACAGCTAACCTTATCCCACGTTGAGGGTGGTATTAAAACTGTTCACACAGAGTGAGCCTGGGTCAGTCAAAAACAGAATTTGGGCATTTGAGTGATAACAGACAACCTAAGGACAATGAGCACTTTGCAGATCTCTACAATTAAAAGTTGCCTCTTTGAGGCAGGAGGGGAGAAGCACAGTCCCTGCCAGGTTGCCTGAACTAAAGATGCCATGGAGCAGGAGTGTCTTGGTGCATTGTTCCCCGCTTAGGAGTACCTTTAAAAAGGGGGTGAAATAAATTTGGCTTAATAATTGTATTCTGACTCAGCTCTGAGTTTTTTGTGTCAAATTCCATGGTATGGTGACAGATACAGTACTAGATACTGCCTCAGCTCTCTCTCAGCATAATATTGACAAACATTTGGTAAAATGTGTTACCAGTCGTTATCTTGGCTTCAGCCTTCCTCTGCATTGGCTGAGTTGCCGTTTCTAGCATGATACATGCTTTATTAGTGACAGGATGTGAAGTGTCTCAGGGATTTCCTTTTGGTGAGGACCCCAGACCACCCGAAGAAGAATTAGAACTTTCTGGACTACAGGTTATATACTGTGATTTTGCTCTGTCAAGCAACATAAATTGATCCTTGAACGCTGTGAGAGTTATGGACACAGACCCTCACACAGTTGAAAATCTGCTATGACTTTTGACTGCCCGAAAACTTAATAGCCTACTGTTGACTGGAAGCCTTATTGATAACATAAACAGTTGATTAATGTGCATTTTGTATATGTAGTATATACCTTATTATAATAAGCTCGAGAAAAGAAAATGTTATTAAGAAAATCAAAGAAGAGAAAATACATTTACTGTTCATTAAGTGGGTCATCATGTTGAGCAGGCTGACGAGTAAGAAGAGGAGGGGTAGTCTTGCTGTCTCAGGGGTGGCGGGGAAGGAAGAAAATCTGCATGCAACTGGCCCTGTGCAGTTGAAGGCCCTGTTGTTCAAGGGTCACAGATTTAGCTTCACTTACCCACCCCTCAGATCAGAATTACTCAAGATTTCCCTGTCTTCAAAGAGACGCAAGGAAATTATGCCAAATGGTGAATATATTGGGTGGAAGATAAATGAGAGAAGGTTGTATGTGTCACTGATCTCAACTATAGCATTTGCTGCTGATATAGAACATGCTGTGTATATATCTATAAATACACACACATGAACACATTGCATGTATATAAAAATTGTTCACACTTTTAGTGGTGCTTACTGGGTATTGGTAAAGGATTGAGTAGGCACTGTGATGAAACTTCACAAAGCAGATGGAAAAGATGCATTAATAGCCACAGGGGGCAGGGTAAGGGAGCAATTCAGGAAAATGGAGAGGCTTAGCTAAAATTTGTCAGTCAGGAATTTTGGCATTTGAGACTTGTTTTCATACTATGTATATGTAATAGACAAACCCTTCATTTTGTAGTAACAGTGTTAGAACAGCCAGGTGCCTGAAGGCAAGCGACACAATTCACTGAAGAGCATACTACAGATGTAGTATCCGGATATCAAGTTTCCCCACTTAAAAAATGGGTGCGATCAAAGGAAAAGCAAGGAACGGGCAGGAGAGCAAGCGTGAAAGGTGACAAACTTGACAATTACAAGGCCGAGACTAAGGCCAATTTAGGGAACGGGCTGTTAGACTAGGAACAAGGGCGAGTTCAGAGGGAGGGGCAGAATGTGGGCAGCACTCCTGGGCCCTGAGACCCTTCTGCGGAATAAAACTCTGGCACTTCGCCACCTCCTAGGCTGAACCAAGATGGCGCGCGGCCTCAAAGCGGCGCTCTCGTCACGTGCCCGGACCCGAGGCGCTTGGGGGCGGGAGGCGTGGCCTCGGTCGCGGCAGCCCAGCCCCGCCTAGGGGGCGGAGCCGGGGGGGGTTGTCCGCGGAGGAAGGGGGCGGGGCCCCGCGGCCGCGCGCTTGGGCGGCGGAGGCTGCAGCTACCTCGGCGCCGGCTCGGCTCTAGGACGTGTCGGGCTGCACGGGTCGGGGGCGGCTCCCTGCTGCTTCCGAGCCTAGCCGCCTGGCCTTCGGCATTTGCAGGCAGGTGAGCGCCCAGAGCCTGGACTGGGGTAGGATGCGTCTTTTCCCCATCTCCAGCTCCCCTCGACAGTTTGGGGAGGGGTCTCGTCTATCGCACCTCGGGAAACAGCCCTTTTTGACTCCGTATGTGCTACCTCCGGCAGGCGTCGGTACTGCTTACCCTGCCGCCCCTCGCCCTCCTTTGCGGTGCCCTGTGCCCTTGGGGGTGAGGATAGGGGCGATGCCTGATCTGCGGGGAGGGCGTGGAGTGCGCCCTCTGCTCCATCGGCTTCAGGGGAGGGGGCCGAGTTGGCGAGTCTCCCGGTGGGAACGGAGCAGACTGCGCCCCCATTTCCCCTCCAGGAGAGTCAGAAAAAGCGCCTCTCGGCTCCGGGGCCAACCCCACTCCTTTGGGGACGCGATTCTGATGGGCTGAGGTCTTCGCTCTTCGCGGGGGTCTTAATCTTTCCCGAGTTGCTCATAGCACCCCTGTTCCTGTCGCTAGCTCTCCATTCCTCGAACTGCCAGCCTCAGTCTGTGCCAGAGATGCCCCCATCTCCGCAGTGCCAGGGCGGTGGGGTGGAAGGAGCGGCCAACCCGAGGCCTGGTGGGGGTGGGGACAGGGGTGGGCGCAACAGGAAAAGAGGGCTGGAATAGAGATGCCTGAACTGGGAGGGTGGGAGTGGGGCGCTGACTTACGTCCACGCAGTAGGGATGTTTTCCAGCGCAGATTTTGAGGTTTTGATGGTGGGTGGGAAGAGAGAGGTCGGGCTGGAGGACTTGGAGACATGGTGTAGGTGGTTTTCTTCGAGAAGGAGGAGGGATCCAGGACAAGGTGCCACTAGGAGCTGATGTCACCTTTGAGGAGAGGTGTGCTGGTAGTTTCCATCAGAGGAGCAGGAGAGTTGGGGCCGTTCTGTGTGGAGAGCAAGTGGTTAAGGAGGCGCTGCTTCGCAGGGAGATCCCCTCCTGGTGTGAGCTTAAGGGTCCCCTCCAGGAGCCAGGTTTCAGGGATTTCCCATAGTCCTTTCCAGAGTTCTTGGATCTGGTACCTAGTACTTTGCTCAACATCCAGCAAACATTTGTTGGACACCTACTATCTGCCAGATACTATGCTCGGTGCTAGGTCTTCTGAAGGCAATTTACAGCCACGGAGTAGCTGAAAGGTACACATAGGAGGCACACATAGCAGGTATTCTGTTAACACCCTTCTCACCGCCCATCCCCATTCTGTTACATTGCTGTTGGATTAGAAAAAGAAAGAACTGTGTCCACGTGCTTTCAAACAGCTGTCTGAATTAGACTCCAACCTACACACCCCCTACCACTATTAACTGGCCAGGTAGTCCCAGGGAAGCTGCCTAAGCAAAAGGGCAGCTTGAATGATTTCCCTTGGTTATTTTCTCAGATTTTGTCCTGAGGCTTGAGGAGGCTTCGTGGGGTAAACGGTATCTCAAAGTAAGGAGATAATGAATGACAAAATGGTTATTGGGGGCCAAGAATGTCCTAGACACTCTGTGTAGTGGGAGACGCCATCTCTGGAAGATGGAATAGTGTGGGGGAGGAGGGTGTAGAAGGGAATTCGCATCCAGTGGAGTTGGGGTTTGTGCTGCTGAGCATGTCGTGATGTCAGAACCGTGTGGTGCATGAGGTCTGGCTGCTGGGCTGTAAAGGAGGGCTGGAGGGGCAGGGCATGGCAGGCAGCCAGGCTCCTGGGTCTCATCTCTGAGTTGATTGCTGAAATCTTAGAGTTGGAAAGAGTTGTCAGGGATGGCTTATAGGTCCTCACAGAGCCTCTGAGGATGGCAGAGCTAGAGCTAGGCAAGAGAATGAGTAGTCAGGCTGTGGTGGTGATGAGGTGGGGATGAAGGCTCAGCAGGGCTGGGGAGCTGGGTGTTAAGGGGGTTTTAAGATATGGGCAGCTAGCCGAGGCCTTCGAATGCCAAGGACATTCTTCCCTGGGCTTTAGGCCCTACTGTGTTGGCTCCATAGGTGAGTTGCTGTAGAAACAAGGTGTGGCAATTGAGTGGTATGGGGTGTGTGTGTGTGTGCACACGCGTGTGTGAGTGTGTGTGCTTGTGCATGTGTTGGAGAGGAGGAGAGGTGAGGAGCAGGGAGGACTGAGGGAGTGAAAGCTGCCTCAAAGTCTGGGTCCTACGTAGGGAATTGAGAGAAATGGAGGGGAGGGAGTGGGGTCAGAGGGAGGGACAAGTGTGTATTGCAGCCACATGAAGTCACCATCTGTCCCCCTCTGGCCTGCTAGCTCACGGACCTATAATTAGCTCTGGAGGGCATACGGTGCTGGCTCACAGGAGCGTGGGACTTCGGGTGGCCAGCAGAGTGGAGGATTCAGAGGGACCATGGTCCTTGATGTACTGTGGAAGGGGCTGCTTCTAGGGGACCCTCTGCATTTGCTGTACTGGGAGGGGCCTGAGGCAACTGAGAATGTCACAGGGACAGGGCTGGTGGGGGAAACAGCAGTGGGGGAAGGAGCTCTAAGCGAGGATGGCAGGAGACTCCAGGGCTGGTCTGAGCCTGAGACCTCCCCGTTTGTTGCCTGGCTGCTGGCCCACTGCACAAGAAGCACGATTGCTGCCCAGCTCATTGCTCTGCCTTCAGAGAGGCTCGGGTGCTGCAACCTCGGGGCCTCCTTGAGGTGTCTCCATCCCCCCAGGTGAAGTCAGCTGTAGCGTGGAATAGCCATCTGCCTTTCACTTGGTGGCTGAGAGGCCTTGGCTGGGGATGCTTCGTTCTGAGAGAGTTGGAGGAGAAGCTGCCACCAGTTAATTCCGTTGGTCAAACTCCACGTGGTGCTCAGCACTGACCCCCTGGCTGTGCCAGAGACTGAGTGTTTGGTCACATGCTTCTCTGTACTGCTCTCCAGTGATTACATGTGTATCTGTGTTCTCTCAAGTAGCCTGTGAACTTTCTGTCTTACATGTCTTTTGCTTTCATAACAGTATCGGATGCATGGAAATCACTCAGTAAGTGATCATTGGATTGAATTGAAGAGGTCTGTCTTCTGATCCCCTGAGTTCCATGAAGCAGGGCCTCCTTGCCACTGGAGATATTTAACCTGGAGCAGCGAAGCCTCTGGGGACCCAGGACACTGGTGTTACATCCCTTTGGGGGCATTAGATTCTGTGGGCAGTAGATGAAGTGAAAACTTCCCAGTCTCTCATAAAGCATGGCATATGGGTTTATAACCCTGAACAGTAATATGAATGTATAGATATGGTATATATGTATTCTATATTATGTAAATAGATACTGTATATACTACTGTAGAGTGATTTTACAAAGAGTGCATACGCACAATATGATTTTGTAGTGAAGTGTCAGATGAAATAGCTGATTTGATTTTAGAGGCCTTTATTGCTTATTTCGCCCAGCTGTTAAGAGTTGAATTCTCATAAGTTAGATATATACTTGATGTGCCTTCATGGCCACTGTCTTCAGATAGATAACTGTCATTTCAAAGAGAGATGGGTTTTCCATTCAATTTAAGAAAAAGCTTCCTTAGAACGATGAAGCCTTCCTCATTTGATAGTGAGCTGCTTGTTCCTGAAGGATAATCAAGTCAAGACTGGGCTGCCAGGGATGTTGTGAAAGGAACTCCCACACAGGGTGGGAAGTGGCCTGTGTGACCTCCGAGAGCCCTTCTGAGTCCAGGTGTGAGGTGAGGCTGGATGGGAGAGGGCCTCAGCAGCTGCTTCAGAAGATGGCTCTCCTTTGGCCTAGAGGAGCGCTGCTGGGAGTGGAGGCCTGGGGAGTGGGGCCGGGCCTGGAGCTTTGCATGAGCTGTTCCGTGAGGAGTGGGCATTTTGGGACATGCAGGGGGGTGACCCCAGAAATCTCATGGACATGGAGGCCTGGGCTTGGGAGATGGTGCAGTGCATCCCTGATGGGTGGGGGTAGGTAGAAAGATGGGATGGCCCCAGTTCCATGACTTCAGCTTAAACTAGGCTAGTTGTGGAGTGCCCCAAATTTTTGGTCCTACTTTGGGGCAGAGCCCCTGGAGTAAGTGGAGCTTTCATTCTTTCAGTATCACCCCATCCCTCCCTCCTCTCTCGATTATACCTTCTCACATAGGTTCGAGGCCACACGTGGACTTACGCTGTCTCATGAGCAGCAATACACTTTCATGATCACACACGCATACTTGCACAAGCTCTCACAGCTCCCATGTGCTCCTGGGAGCATGTATGATGTTATGAATCCCAGATGCTTATGCATGTATGACCACACACATTTACTGTCATGGCTGTGTACCCACACATGTGTTCTCATGACCACAATTATATGCAGTCAAGATCCCTGATGTACTTATGACCACACACATCTACACACTGTCATGAGTCTATATACCTACTTGCTCTCATGCCTGTGCTCTCAGGATGCCATTCTTATGACCATACCTTTATACACAGACATACATACAACATATACTCTCTCTCTCTCTCGGTCCCCTTTTCCCCTCTCTCTCCCTATTGCCCAGGCTGGAGTGCAGTGGCATGATCATGGCTCACTGCAGCCTCAACCTCCTGGGTTCAAGTGCTCCTCCCACCTCAGTCTCCCGAGTAGCTGGGAATACAGGTGCATGCCACCATGCCCAGCTAGTTTTCATATTTTTAGTAGAGATGGGGTTTTGCCATGTTGCCCAGGCTGGTTTCTAAGTCCTGAGCTTAAGCAATCTCCCTGCCTTGGCCTTCCAAAGTGCTACTGCACCGAGGGCTTATGCCCGAGGCATGAACTACCACTGCACTGGCTTCTCTTCCTTTTTCATGGCCACACATATATACCATGCGTTCTCATGATCACACACACACTCTGTTGCATGACGACACATGACACCCCCCCATTCTCTTTTCGTACTGCCCGCCACTTCTGTGACCACATACTAATGCACATTTTTTATGATGCCTACATTCCTCCCTGCAGTTCTGTACTCTGGACATTTTACACCTGGTGCCTATTAGCACTCCGGACCCGTCCTCTTCTCTCCTCTGCGATGGCTCCCTAATCTGATGGGTTGATCTACGAATGCAGTGACTTTGAGCATTTTTTTACCACCAGAGGACCCTGTTTAATATTTGTCCCACATGGATCCCTAGTTTTGAAATATTTTTATTCTCCAAATTTGCTATGCTTATTACTTTGTTTCTTCTTCTGCAAACATTATTTGAGGACATTTGTGTTGATTAATGGCTCTGATTAGCAGAAGATGTCTAGGGTTTTCTCTGGGAATGTACTTAATGATGTAAGTTCAGCAAAAGCTGTGTCTGTATTCGGTGGTGCAGACTCATATTTTGACTTAGTAACTATATGATCTCTATTAGACAGTTAGAGTGTGGAAAATGGTTGGCTCCTGGTGTTACTTGTGTAGCATTCCCAGGGTTGTCACTGTTGCACTGATGTACAGCCTTTCTGAGAGAACGTGTGTGTGTGTGTGTGTGTGTGTGTGTGTTTTAGCAGGGGGCTTCTGTAGACAATATTTAAACTAGGGATTTTCTAACCTCTTCATGGACTTGGAATCCTTTTATACAATTGAAACCTTAATCAGATGTCCCATAAAACGGACAGATTAGGAGTTGATGGGATTAAAGTAAGAAAAGGGAATTTAGAGCCTTTTGAGTTTGTCACACCTCTTCACCCTCCTTTTGGCCTTGGACTGCCCCTAAAGGTACTTTGTCGTAAAGCCTAGTTTGCAAACACCAGTCTTAAGTTAAAAAGGTAGGTGTGATGTCTATAATTTTGGGTATTTCAGAAGAGGAACTATTTGCGGATGGGGGCCCAGAGGCTTGTAGTTCTCCCTTCCCCGCTTTTTTGTTGTTGTTGTTGTTTTTGAAATAGGGTCTTGCTCTGTTACCCAGGCTGGAGTAAGTAGTGTGATCTTGGCTTACTGCAGCCTCCATCTCCTAGGCTTAAGTGATCCTCCCACTTCAGCCTCCTGAGTAACTGGGACTGTAGTCTGTAGACGCATGCCGCTGTGCCCAGCTAACATTTTTTTTTTTTTTTTTTTTTTAAGAGAGGATGTCTCACCATGTTGCTTAGGCTGGTCTTGAACTCTTGGGCTCAAGCAGTCTTTCACCTCATCCTCCCAAAGTGCTGGGATTAGAGGCATGAGCTACCATGCCCGGCCTTCCCCATTAGTTTTGACATTAGTCCTACTAGGGTGGCAATGGCAAGGGTGACCATATGGCTAGGTGAAACCTGTGTTCTGGTGTGATTGTTAACAGTGGTTTACTGTCTAAACCATGACCCTCTAAACCAAGAGGATCATGGTTTAGACAGTAAGTTCTGTGCTCACTCAAGTGATAGGCCATGTCTTGGGAAGAGGTGGCCCATGTCTAACTCCTGGGGAGCAGCTGGAGAGCTGGGCTTCACAGACTCAGGCCCAGGGGAGCCTGTCTGAACAGATGCTTCCTTCCGTGTCCCCTGAATGAGCCTGGCATTAGGAGGCTGAGTGTATTCGGCAGCTGGTACTAACCTGTGCTTGGGCGGCATTTTATACTTCTCAGAACTGTTTCATGTCTGTTACCTCTTTGAGCCTCATGACAACCTGTGAGAGCACTGGAGCGTATTGTGTGTTATAATGTTCATTTTCCAGATTTGGGAACCTGATCACAGAGGGGTAAAGTCTCACTGCTAGTCGTGTTGGGGGCCCAGAGAACTGGATGCTTTTGAAGGGATCTGTGGCTAGCAGTGGAAACTCTTAAGTGGGGCTTTTCCAAGAGTTTTTTCTCTGGGAATGGCTTCCTGTAGCCAGAATAGATTTGTAATTTTCTTATTGTAGTTCAGTGGGCCCAGCCTTGAGGCGCTTTGGGAGCCTAGGGTGCTGAGAGTTCATGAACACTTACCGAGTTTTGCTGGGTGCTGATCTCAGCACTTTGTGTAGGCTGACTCTAGACATCCTGTGTCCCAGCTGTCTGAGGTGGGTACTGTTATCATTCCCATTCACAGAGGTTGGGGAATGGAAGCTCAGAGAGATTCAGGATCTTCCCAGGGTCACCTGCATCATCAGCTGCTCTGGAGTCTGCCTTTCAAGACAGGAGCAGCCCCCATCTTGCTCTCAAGAAGGTTTAATTTTCAGACCAGGTGTGGTGGCTCACACCTATAATACTAGCACTTTGGGAGGCCGAGGTGGGCAGACAGCTGAGGTCAGGAGTTCAAGACCACCCTGGCCAAAATGCTGAAATGCCATCTCTACTAAAAATAAAAAAAATAAAAATAGCCAGATGTGGTGGCGTGCACCTGTAATCCCAGCTACTCGGAGGCTGAGGCAGGAGAATCACTTGAACCCGGGAGGTGGCCATGTCAGTCCTGTTTTGGAGTTCCCCTTCTTTGAAGTCAGTCAGGGATGGACTGCCCTGGAACGACTGTCAGCACAGGTCTGTTCAGTTCCATGGGTGTTAGGGCCCTGTGTTAGAGTACTCAGAGATGGGTCTACAGATGAGATGATGTAAAGTAAGAGAAGCCCCTTGAAGAGAGGTATAACTAGAGGGCAATGCTGGGTCAGCGGAAGGGCAGATCTCACACACTGGAGGGATCAGAAGAGACTCCATGGAGGAAGTGGTGTTTGAGATGAGCTTAGCAAGGTGATCTAAGCTCATGAGACCAACATGGAAAGGGAGATGAGAGGCAGGCCAGTGAGGAGCTGGGCAAACAGGAGCTATAGGTGGGTCCTGGGAGCAGACCTCAGTGAGCAGGGCTAGGGAAGGGCTAGGGAGCAGCAGGAGAGGAGGTAGGGCTGGATTTCTGGAGGAGAGGATGGGTGAGGGCCAGGCTTCTGGGGGTACAAAGCTAGACAGGGAAGAAGGAGAAGCTTCTGGGCAGCCTGAGGCATGGGCAGCTGGGCTGCAGGCCCACGTTGGGGAGAATGTCTGAGAGCCCCAAGGACGAGGGCTCCGAAGAGTGTCTGTTTCTGCAGCGCCTATGGGAGTGGGGGGCAGTGGGGGGAACTCAGGGAAGCTGCCTACAACTTGGTGTGGAGCCAGCTAGGGGCTGGGAGCAGAGATTTGGGTGCGTGGAGGATGGGGCCTTCCAGTGGGGCCTTTCAGTCACCCATGGCCTCATGACCATGTTGGCTGCTCTGCAGAGGCCTTCCCCAGGCTGGAGGAGGAGGACAGGGAAGGCCGAGGGGAGCTGTCCTCCGGCTGCCATCACCCTGATGAGGGTGGGGAAGGTTTCTTGGAGAAGACATGAAGTCTGAAGGAGTTGTCTTTACCCTCTCTCTTCTTCCTCCTTCTACCCCTCTTTGGCATGAGACAGACAAATTGAATCCTGGTTCTTCATTTCACTAGCTGTGTAGACTTGGTTACATGACGTTGCATCTCAGTTCTCACTTCTGTGAAATGGGAAGAATAATTACATCTTCCTTGCAAATAATTATGAGGATTAAAATAAATTAATCCATACCACTTGGAAGCACAGTGCTGGGCACATGGTAAATGTGAGTGACTTACAGCAGCTCTGGCGACCATTATTTTTCTGGAAGACCCCCGCCCTCCCCATTTCTTCAGATCCTCCTCTCACCTCCAGCTGGGTGGGTGTCCGACCCTCCTGTTTTCCCTCGTGGCTGCCACCTGGAGGCTCCCTTTTTGCCCAGCTGAATAGCCCCTCAGACGCTCCTAGCGGCCCTGCCCCGGGCTGTGGTCTCCGCAGGGGCTGGCAACCTTGCCTTTGTCCAGCTCTCTCCGTGGCCAGGCCTGCCATCTGGTAGGCAGGAGGGAGCCAGGCCTGTGTGTGGGGCCAGCCAGAGCAACAGACCCAAATGCCCATCCCTCCTGTGTGTTAGGAAAAGGTGGGGGTGACTTTTGGGATGCCAAAGAGGCCCCCAAGTTACCTCTTTTGTGTTTCTAAAGGCCCAAGGCCTACTTTTTGTCCAATCCCCCACCCCCACACACGCACACTCACACCCACTCACTCTTGAGCCCTCTTCCTCTGTTTCACAGCCTGCCCACACTCCTCCCCGGCAAAGCCCCTTGCAAATGCTTGCTTTGGGGACTGGCAGCTTTCGCCTCTGAATCAGGACCTGTGAGTGTTACTTAGAAATTGTGCGGGAGTTGAGGAGGCTTCTGTTAGGCTGAGATGATAATTGCGCTATTTAAAGACGGCCCTGGAGCCAGAAGGAGCTGGAAGGAGCCAGGTGCCCCACGTGGCTGTCCTGGGGCTCCCTTCTGCTCACTGTTTCTGTGTAGCAGAGAGGACAGGGGCAGGAGGTCCTGGACAGTCATCTCAGGGGCATCTTGCCTGGCAGTCCTCTCTGGGCTATCTTCAGACCAGCTTTACATGATGCCATTTGGCCAGGGGAAGTGGAGTTGCTCGCTGGCACCTGGTTTAGAGAGAGGCCAGGAAAGGGCTAGTGAGAAGAGAAGCAACCAAAGCCAGCTTCTCAGTTGCTAAAATGACCAGGAGGATTTGGGGAGGCCAAGTTGGACCAGATAGCCAGTACCTCACAGTGGGCAGCCTGAGGTCCTGTTCTTCCTTCCTGAGAACTTCTCCAGCCCCTTTCCTGTAAGAAGCTTTAAAAACTCCACCCACAGGTGGCCAACACTAAGGTAATTCACATTCCCGTGCAATCACAGGGTGCTTTCTACTCTTCATTTGCTGCCCAGCCATGATCTCATCCCTCTAAGGAAGGCAAAACCAGGGTTGTGGGTTTTGTCTTGTAGCCGAAGCCTCAGTAGGTGATAACAAGCCTGAGATCAGCCAGCTGGTCTGTGGCAGGACTGTACCCCAGTCTCCTGAGTCCCTGCTCTGGGCTTCTTCCTTTATGCTATGCTACGGGCTGCCTGGGGATCTGCTGGGCTGGGGCCATTCCTGGGATACCTAAGCTCCTTCCTGGCACACTACAGTCTTCTCCAAAGTTAGCCTCTGCCACAAGGGGCCCCTTCCCTAGCCTAGTCTTCTCTTTTGGCCTCTCGTGGCATCTTGGTGTGTGTGGAGGGGTGGGGGAAGATGGGGAGGTGGGCCTGGATGTGGATGAGCTTGGGGGGGTAGGCTGGGGCCATATGGCCTTTCAGCCTCAGGGCTGGAGCATTCAGGGTGGAGGGACCTGGGCATGGTGGGTGGGAGAATTGGAGGAACGGCTGTTATCAGCATCAGGGAGATGGCAGCTCTGGACAGACTGGGGCAGCAGCCCCTCCTCTCCACTCCCAGCTGCTCTGAGGAGCAGGGAGGTGCGAGTAGGCTGCCCTGGCAGCAGCAGTGTTGGGGAAAGGAGGAGGCAGACCAAGCTTCTACTTTTTACTTCTGTAGCCTTCTGGGACCCTGCCCTCCACAGTGGCTGTCTGGCTTGGGGAAGGATCCCCTTGACCAGAGTTTGTGTCCAGTTTCTATGCATGGGAGTGTGTATGTGGCCACATGTGTATCTGTTCTAGGTCTCTGTGTTTCTATCTTGGGGCATGTGTGTGTGCATGCCCACGTGCCTGCTTGCACTACTGCGCCCCTCTGGGAAGGGCTGCGAGTGTGAGCTCTGAATTTTCAAGCTGGTGCACTAACTTTCCTCAGATCTAGACCCCACATTGCTCCCTAGTCTCCCTCTTCCTTTCCCCTGTTTCTGCCTAGAGCATCAGTACTCTGGGGAGGGGGTCCAGGTAGGAGAGGCCCGGCCCTTCTCTCTTTTCCCTGCTGGGTTCAGTCCTGCCACAGGCCTGTGCAGTGTCTGACCTCTTACCTCACACTGGGTCCTGATGCTTCTTGTCCACCCTGACCCTCCTAGTCTGCCTGTTATTCTCACCCCGAGGGTAGACAGAAGGCTTTCATTGTGTCTCCCATAAGATAAGAGAGAGGGGAAGGAGGGAAAATATCATTTTTGGGCCACCTCCAGTGTGCCTATTGCTGTGCTGAGGGCTTCACACCCCTTCTGTCCTGCAACTGGGACCTCTGAAGACAGTCCTCTCTGAAAAACGACTAAGGTGGTAGCTTTCTAACGTAGACAGGGAGGTTGGAATCTGATTGTAGGCAGAGAAATCCCTCGCTGCATGCGGCCTTTTTCTCATTACTTTCCTGTTACTTCATCGCCGGCTTCCTTTGCTCTGACCATTGGGCTCCTGTGCCAGGCTCAACGTATCAGCAGAGCCAGGCTATGCACATGCTGACTGACCTCACTGGTGACTTCTGCAGTGTCAGCAATGGGTAATGACGCCAAGAGAGCAGATTCTCAGCCATGATAGGGGCCACACTGTAGCCCCACCCTAGGAGAGTGGCACCCTGCACCTCTATATCACCCCTGGGTTCCTTTCCATCATTCAGTCCCTGCTCTGATGCAAAGGTAGGAGGCTGTGAACTCCGAATCCAAGCCTGCTGTCTGCTAGGCCTGCGTGCTGTCCTCCTTGGCAGGTTTTGGAAATGGGGAATGACTTGAGCCAGAGCCTCCTCCCTGAATTATGGGCAATGTAGCAGGTCAGGGCTCTCTGCCTGCCCCAGTACCCAGTCTGTGCCTCTCCAAACCCTTAGCCATGTTGTGCCAGTATCCAGGGCAGGAACTACTCTGCCCCTGTTTCCTAGGACCCCAAGAGTCCAGCCTTTAGGACTCACAGCCACTCCCACTAAGAGTCCTTTCTACCCATCTGCATTTGCCTTGGTTGGCTTAAGTGATGGGGAAAAGGTTGGGGGTGGCACAGAGACCCTATTTCCTCCCCTCCAACCCCCAGGTCTCAGGAGGACTCTGGGCATCCTGCCGGCTGCTCCCCTGCCGCTGACTGAATCATTTCTATATTTGGCCAGTGAGCCACGTGGGTAGGGGAACCACTGCCACTGCGGCTGCACTTCTGACAGCTGTGGGGAGCAGGGGGAGGCAGAGGCTGGGCAGTAGGCATGTGCATTCCTTGGGAGAACTAAGGAGGTGCCATCAGAGTGAGTAAGCCTGGAGAAGGGGCATGCGCCAGCACCTCCCTCTCCTCCCCCATGTTCTAGTTCAGGTCCTGTCTCCTCTGCTCCACCCCCTCCCCTGATGCCCTTCTCCACCCAGTTGGTACTCACAGCAGTCTCTTTTCCCACAGACACACTGCCCTCCAGAAACGATGGGTGTCGCTAGATCCAGCTGGGACTCTGCCAGCCTCCGGCACTCAGTCTAAGAGAAGGGCCATCTTCCAGCCCTGCTGTCCCTGCCTGTCATGGCCACATTCGGCTGCTGTCTGCATGTCTGGGGACACAGGGCACCCAGCCCCAGCCCTGAGAAGTTAAGCCAGGCCTTCTGGCTCAGTTCCACAGGGGCACTCCAGACCCCAGGCCCCTTTCAGAGCAAAAGCAACTGATGCTATGGGAGAAGCCCCTGCCCACCTGTCCACTCGCCTGGCACTGCCCACTCTGAGACCCATGCACTGGGTTCCCCTGGAGGTGCCAACCCTGTGAGTCCCTCCCTGTCCCCTGACGCTGAGAAGGCCCTGCCAACCCCCACCATGTGTGAGGTGATGCCCACAATCAATGAGGGGGACCGCCTGGGTCCCCCTCATGGCGCCGATGCTGACGCCAACTTCGAGCAGCTGATGGTGAACATGCTGGACGAGCGGGAGAAGTTGCTGGAGTCTCTTCGGGAGAGTCAGGAGACCTTGGCGGCCACACAGAGCCGGCTCCAGGATGCCATACACGAGCGGGACCAGCTCCAGCGCCACCTTAACTCCGCCCTCCCCCAGGTAAGGCCCGAAGGCCTGCGTCTCTCTTAACCCCTTTCCCTCCTCTAGCCCTGCTAGATCCACTGGGCCCTCAGCTCATCTGCATCTATTTGCATATCAATAATTGGAATTCACTGAGCATTTACTCTCCTTCATCTCTCTACGTGAATTCTTTCCCTGTCACTCCCATGCTCCTCAGTCTGGAAGGTGAAATGGATGGAATTTGATGTGGGTAGAAAAACGCAGCCATAGGTGTCAGCTACAGTGAGCTCAGGCGGCCAGTAGGTGGCACCCTAGACTGGAAAGAAACCTCCTCCCTGCGTACTCCTCTCCAGTGCCCTATTCTTGGAGGTGGGTGGGGAATCACAGACAGTAGAGATGGGTGAGTTCTTAGAGATCATCTCGTCCAGCTCCGTTATTGCATAGATCAAAAAAGCAAGAGACATCACATGGAAGATGATAGGCAGGGCTGAATCTAGCAGCCAGATGTCTCGACATCCTGTCTCACACTCAACAGCACAACCACCAGCTGTCCTGTAGTCCCGTGTACTGTGTCCTTTCTGTGGACCAAGCACTTTATAAGGATTCTCTCACTAAACTCTTACAACCCTGAAGTTGGTGCTGTTACCACCATCATCCCATTGTACAAATCACGGAACTAAAGCTGGGGAGATGAGTAAGTTGCTCGTGGCCATGCAGGTAGTGTGTGGTGGAGGCAGGAACTGAGCCTGGGGCTAAGTTTCTCACCACTGCACCTATTTCTCCCTCACTGCATTGGCCTGGGAGCTCCCTGCTGATGCCTGCTTATCACCCACTTGGTAGATATTCCAGGCATGGCGCATGCTCTGGGAATGCAGGAGGGAGCAGGAGCCTGGATGATTTGGTTCTTGGGCTGTTTAGCTGCTGCTTGTCAAAGAAGCTGTGAACTCTGCCTGATAACCAGACCCAGAGAGGGCTGGGGGTTGTGTGTCTGTGAGACAGTGCTCACAGTGACTGTGGGAACATCCTGCCCTCTCTGCCCCTCGTATGAGCAGAGAGATGGGTATTGAAAGCCAGCTGTGGACACATGGCATAGCCTACCCTGACCCAGTGGGGGCGCTGCTGGGGTTGGGAAGGCAGCCCTGAGGAGCCGAAGAGCTCAAGCCTCAGCGCCAGGCCCTTCCCAGTGTGTGGGGAAGAGAACAAGGGCTGGGCCTGAGTGGGTGAGTTTCCTACACAAAAGTGATGCTTGGTGGACAAGAATACAGAGCCCTGGTGAAGCAGTTGGGTGGGCAGGTGGGGACCTCCTCTTTCACTGTGCACGAGGCTCTGAAGTTGCCCTAGAGTGAATGAACTAGTTCCTGCCACCAAGGAGCTCATAGACTAGGAAGGAGATACACCACCCATGTGACCGGAGAGAATGCAGAGGAAGATAAGAGAGGCCCAAAAGGGTTATTAAGCACAGTATCAGTGATAAAAATAGCTGCTTTTGATGGGCTTGGGCTAAGTGCTTTCTATACATTGGCTCATTTGACTCTCATACCAGCACCTGGAGGGAGGACTGTTACGTCTGTCTTACAGATCAGAGAATGAGGCTCAGAGAGATTAGGTAACTTATTCAAGATCATACAGCTAACAGGGGCAGAGCTGAGATTTGATCCCAGGCCTACTTGACTTCCCACACTGAAGCTTCATGAGGTCAGGGGTTGTGTCTTTCTTGTCACTATATCCCCAGTGATCTGCACAGGACCTGGTACATGATAGGTGCTCACAAATATTTGTGGTTGAATGATGGACTCCCAAGTTGGTGTTCTTGACCACTCCTCCAAATGGCTTTCAGGAGAGGGAGAGAGCCTCCCCGTGGGGAGTCTGGACAGCTCCCAGCAAGGCTGTATCCTTTGAGATGGGCTTTGAAGGATGATTATGATTTCATCGGGTGGTGACAGAGGTTTTTCCAGGGGGAGGGAGTCCACTGAGCCAAGATGTGATATTAGGAAGGCATGCTGGTGTTTAGAAGCAGCAGGTGATCCAGGTTGACTGGGTCTTAGGTGATATGGAAATGACATGAGAGAGAAGTTTGAAAACCAGGATAAGAAGTTTGTATTTGTAGGCTGGGTGCAGTGCCTCACTCCTGTAATCCCAGCACTTCAGGAGGCTGAGGTGGATGGACTGCTTGAGGTCAGAAGTTCAAGATCAGCCTGGGCAATGTGGCAAAACCTCATCTCTACAAAAATCCCCAAAATTAGCTGGGCATGGTGGCAAATGCCTATGCTGCCAGCTACTCGTGGGGCTGAGGTGGGAGGATCGCCTGAGCCCAGGAGGTCCAGGCTGCAGTGAGTTGAAATTGAGTCACTGCACTCCAGCCTGGGTGACAGAGGAGACCGTCTCCTGTGTTTGTAGACAGCATTGTGCTTTGGGAGATTTGTAGACAGCAGGGTGTCAGATAGGTTAGAGGTGGAAGGGAGGGGACAGGTATCCTGTGGTGGGGGGAGATAAGACAGCTGCTGAGCTTGAGGCCAGGAGAGGGGGCAGCACCAGCCTTTTGGTGGTGGTGTCATGGTGTAGGGCTGGGTGGCAGGCTGTCAAGCCCTGTCTCTGGTTACAAGCATGTGTACATGACTGTGTGTGCCTGTGAAAGTGTGACTGTGTTTGTGCATAAGCTGAGGGGTGAGACAGCATCAGGCCTGGGCTTCTGGAGTATGAGATGCTTGACCTTGACCACCTTTGGCCATGGCCCTGACAGAAAGGCAGTAATTGAGTAATAATGTCAGAGGTTCATGGTTTCTCATGCTCTGGCATCTCTTGTCCCTTCTGCCCTCCCACAACCCTTCTAGCCCCTTTTGCCCTATCTGGAGTGATGAGAGGGGATTGGGAGTTCTTCCTTTGGTCATGAATCCTTGGTGTGTGAGGGAGGCTGCAGGTTAGGACAGGGATGAGGCCTGTTGCATCGCTCTTAGACCTTGGACATCCACAGAGTTGGGGCCACTCATTTGAAAACCTCCCTGGAAGGAGGTGATGTTTAGCTAAACAGGATATGATGAGCCTGGAATGTGGGAGCAGTCTCTCACCCCTGTATGCTTGTCCTGATGGGGGAGGGTGGGCTGGCAAGGTCTCTGAAGTTATCTGGGCCTGACAGTGTGGAAATGGGCCCCTCTAGAAGTGATACTTGGTACATGGATATTTGGTAAAGCCAGGGCAACTGCCTTGGCATCAGGAGCTGGGATGTAGCCCTTGCTTGGTTGAGCAGGGCTCCTAGAAAGCCTGACTGGGCAGGTCTGCATACTCTCTTGCTCCTATGTAGGTAGGTCCTTTGATCTGCTTATTTCACCCGCTACTTGCAGTTTGCAAAGCCTTGGGATGGGGCTGGAAGAGCTCCCTGGGGCACTCATGCAGGCATTATCTTCAAAAGCTCTTTCTCTTCCCTGTTTCTTTTATTTATTTATTTTTATTTTTCGAGACGGAGGCTCACCCTGTCGCCCAGGCTGGAGTGCAGTGGTGCCACCTCAGCTCACTGCAACCTCCGCCTCCCGGGTTCAAGTGATTCTCCTGCCTCAGCCTCTGGAGTAGCTGGAATTACCCAGGTGTGCGCCACCACGTCTGACTAATTTTTGTATTTTTAGTCGAGACAGGGTTTCACCATGTTGGCCAGACTGGTCTCAAACTCCTGACCTCAGGTGATCTGCCCGGCTCAGCCTCCCAAAGTGTTGGGATTACAGGCGTGAGTCACTGTGCTGGGCCTTCTCTTCCCTCTTTCATATCCATCAGTTTCTGTTTGGACCTTAATCCACCAAACCAGAAGCAGAATTCCCCTCCATCAGTTTCTAAAGGAAAATGTCATTGAATTCCTGGAGAAATGGAAATGCCAGGTGGGAGGGAGGATGTAATCTGGTCATATTGGTGGCTGGATGGGGAAGGGTCTGCAGAGCAGACTCAGTGACTTTCTCACTCTTGTGTACAACTCTGTTCCCTTGGATTCTAACACATGGAATGCATGGAGGACCCAGAGATGTGGACCCCTCTGGAGAAGCACATGCTAGCTACAGGTTTACTGACCTGCAGTGTGGATGGATTGGGATTTTGTGGGGGAGGTGGTGGAAGTAAGGGATGGGTGAGAGGATCCCACCACTGACTTGCATGTGCAGGACACTGCTTTGGGGGTGAATCCTGAAGCACTGAGGGGCCTTGGGGGTTTTCAGGAATTTGCCACCTTAACCCGGGAGCTGAGCATGTGTCGGGAGCAGCTTCTAGAGCGGGAGGAAGAGATATCAGAACTGAAAGCAGAACGGAATAACACACGGGTAAGTGGGGATGACCTTGTGTCGCGCGCGCGCACGTGTGTGTGTGTGTGTATGGGGGTGTGTTGTGAACACCTTGACCAAGAGAGCAGGCAAGAGTGGGGCCAGGCACAGTCCTAGCTCAAGCCCCATCCTTCCCTCTTCCTGTCTCCCATCCTGGGGTGAGAGTTACATCGTTTAACCACCAGTGCTGGGCTCTCCACCTGTAGTTGCTGGTTCACAGAAAGCTCAGGGTCCTGGGGAGAGGCCGGGGCAGTCACCTTGAGTAGTATCAGTTGGGGCGGGAGCTCTGTGCCCATTTGGAAGTATTTCAGTGTTTTCACAGTGGGGTGGCTGTAACTCATGTCTGCTCGGGGATCACATGGACCCTGCTTGTAGCCCCTGGGGCACATGCTTACAGCCCTCCCTCTCACCCTCCCCTGCTCTCCCTGCCAGCTGCTTCTGGAACATCTGGAGTGCCTGGTGTCCCGCCATGAACGGTCACTGCGGATGACTGTGGTGAAGCGCCAGGCCCAGTCACCTTCGGGGGTCTCCAGTGAGGTGGAGGTGCTGAAGGCCCTCAAGTCACTGTTTGAGCACCACAAGGCCCTGGATGAGAAGGTGCCCACCTGCCCGCCAGCCCCCACATCCAGCCAGGCTGCCCTGGAGCCTCCCATGTATCCCTTCTCTGAGATTTCCACATCCGGTATTTAGGGAGCACTGGCTCCCTCCAAACATTGTCTTAACTTCAAGGTCCTCCTGTTAGGCTCCCTCCTGCAAATGTGCTGCTTAGTAGGCCCTTCACTGTCCTCATGCTCAGTGGTGGTAGACCAAGCCCAGTCTCTTCCAGCCTGACTCAAGTGGGGTCCCCCTTTCTTCCTCCATCTCCCCTTACCTCGAGCAGGTGCGAGAGCGGCTCCGGGCAGCGCTGGAGCGAGTCACCACCTTGGAGGAGCAGCTGGCAGGTGCCCACCAGCAGGTAATCTGCCTGCTCACCCTCAGTCTGCAGCTCCTGGAAGTCCAGGCTGGTTCACCCCTGTGCCCTACTCTGTTTCTTGTCAGATTTCTCCCTGCCATGGCTGGAAGCTGCTAGGCAAGGCTAGGCTGAGCACCTCTTTCTAGGAGACATTTTTTAACTAAGACAGGGGCTTTGGAAGGGTCTGGAATGTATGGGAGGTTCTCTTCTCTTTGACTCATTGCCCTGGGGCTTGTGCCCTACAGGTGTCTGCCCTGCAGCAGGGGGCAGGGGTGCGGGATGGAGCGGCAGAAGAGGAGGGGACTGTGGAGCTGGGGCCGAAACGCCTGTGGAAGGTAGGTCATGGAGAGCTGTGTAGCAGGGGTCATGTGTTCCCCAAGGTGGGAGGTTGGAGGCCCGGCTCTGCCTTAGTTCAGTAGACTAACTGCTTGAATTAAATTTGAGGCTTTCTCTGATATTCCCCCTTCTCTTTTCTTCTTCTCCCTACCCCATCTGCAATGAAATCTGTAGATTTTTATTTTAGTGCCCAACACATGCTGGGCACATCATACGCTTGTCTGCTTGAATTGTTAGGCACCATCTGCCTCATGTGGCAGCATCAGGCAAGATTCCTTCTCTGTCTGAACCTTTGTTCCCCCAGTCACGCCCCTTTCTGGGTTACAAGAGGCTGGCATAGCAGATAAAACTAGAAACTTGTTTTCAAGAGAGACAAAGGATAGCAAGGTGTTTGGTCATTGTCAGGAGTGACCTCCTGGGGCCCAGAGGGAGGCAGTTGTAGCCAGAGGAGTGCTGTGATGTTGGGGGCAGAGCCTTGACCTGCTCTGGGTGTGCTGTTCCTCCTTCCACCCCTGGGATAGGGGAGTGGGGTGGGTGGGATGCTGCTGTGACTCACAGAGCTACTGTCCCTATCCCTGGAGGAGGATACGGGCCGGGTAGAGGAGCTGCAGGAGCTCCTGGAGAAGCAGAACTTTGAGTTGAGCCAGGCCCGGGAGCGACTGGTCACCCTAACAACAACCGTGACTGAACTCGAGGAGGACCTGGGCACGGCCCGCCGGGACCTCATCAAGTCGGAGGAGCTGAGCAGCAAGCATCAGCGGGACCTCCGGGAGGTGCGTGAGGGCGCAGGCCTGCTCTGTGACCTCATTGTGGAGCGTGTGGAGGGAGAGCCAGGCAAAGGCTCTGGGGCGTGAGACTGAACACCTGCCTCCTTGCCTGGCTCCATTGTTGGGGGGCGGTCATGGAAGGGGTGGGCCAAAGCCAGAAACTGACAGGAGAGTGTAGCTCATGCCCCTTAATGGGTTCCAATCAGCCAGGTGTGGGTGGGGAGGTGTAGACAGGATGGGGGCAAGGAAAGGCTGGTTACCGTCCTTCTTGTCCCCTCTTCTCCCAGGCTCTGGCCCAGAAGGAGGACATGGAAGAGCGGATTACTACACTGGAGAAGCGCTACCTGGCTGCTCAGCGTGAGGCAACATCCATCCATGACCTCAATGACAAGCTGGAGAATGAGCTGGCCAACAAGGAGTCCCTGCACCGCCAGGTACCTCCTCAGGGTGGGGTGGGGATGGGCATTGTACTTAGCCCTGGAGGTGTCCTCGTGAACCTACTGGTGATGGCTGAGGAGCCCCTGGGGTCCTGCAGGTCACCCTTTGAAAGGGGAAGTCAGGCGTCTCGGGCAGCCAACAACCAAGATTGTCCCTTGCTGCTTCTGACCTGTCATCTGCTCTCTGCTGAGGCTGGGGTGGGGGTGGGGGCTTCAGTGCTCCCTTTTGAATCACTTCACCACCCCCACATTGCTAGTGTGAGGAGAAGGCCCGACACCTGCAGGAGCTGCTGGAGGTGGCAGAGCAGAAGCTGCAGCAGACGATGCGCAAGGCAGAGACGCTGCCAGAGGTGGAGGCTGAGCTGGCCCAGAGAATTGCAGCCCTCACCAAGGCAAGTGGGCCAGGGGCCTGGGATCTGCCTCTGTCCCCCATGTTCTGAGCTCTCAGGGAGCCAGGCAGGGAAGGGAGCGCGTGGGAGGCGCACTGGGCCAGGAGCCAGAAAACTGCTTCCCGCCGTGTGATTCCAGGGAGCACACTGCCTTGTGCCTGTCAGTTGGAAGAGTAATCCCTGTCCTCATCACCCTGCAGGGATGTGACAGTCTCATAAGAAGGGGTGTAAAAGTACTTGAAGGAGAAGAAGCTATGTTGATGCAAAGTGTTTTTCTTTTTCTTTTTTTTTTTTTTTAATCCTCTACACCGTCGTGGTGAACACTTTCTTTCACTTGGGGCTGGAGCAGAAAGATTAGGACTTTCATCTCTGGAAAGGTGAAACCTTAGAAGAGAAATGGTATATATATCCCTGAAGGGCAAAGGGGTGAGAGTTAGGTTGAGTACATCTTTGATTGCCAAATTGAAGCTTCTAGATCTAGGGACTGCTCCTGGTTGTTTGAAGGCTGCAGTTTTAGGATGAAGAAAAAAGAATACAATTTTATTTAATGGATACTTTATGAAGTAGTAATTCCTGAGAGGTGTGCTGGCTGAAAACATAATAGGTTCTGGAAGAGCCAGGTAAATGCCTGGATTTAGACATGCAGGGGTTAATCAAAATAATTTAGGAGCGTTTTCAGCTGGTCAGCCTCATATGGGATCTTCGAACCCGTGGCGAGAAGAAAACCGGTGTTTAGGAAGCACCAGGCACAGTGCTCGGAAGGGAGAGGCTGGCCGGCCAGTGTGCAGCTCAGCTGCTTCGAGGACGGAACCTGCAGCCTGGCTGTGTCCCAGCAGACCCAGGACCAAGACTGCTTCTGCCACTGACTGTCTCTGCGACCTGGGAAAAGTCATCCCCTCCCTTAACTGGGCCTCAGTGTCCTTATCACTATGTTGGAGTTAGACGGGATGGTCTCGGAGGTCTTTCCAGCCTCGAGGAATGAAGGATTGGGTTGAAATCACAGCAGAGGATGTTATGTGTGGGCTGCTGAGCAGTCAGCCTTAGTGTCTCCCAAAGCTGACATGAAGGCACGGGCTGAAATGATTAATACAGTCAAGTGAGTCATCGCAGGAGGAGTTTAAGGAAGGATTTCCTGACTATAAGAGATGTGGCTTTCTAGAATATCTTGCCAGCAGAGACAGTAGGGTCTCCATCTCTGGACATCCATGACTGGAAAGGGAGACTACCCCACCTGGGCTGGTTTAACAGCAGAGCCGTAACCATGCGGGGCTAACATTTGTTGAGTGCTTACTATGTTCTCAGTGTTCGCCTTGGATTATTTCATTTAGTCTTTGTGATGGTCCAGTGGGCCTGGGTGCTATTATTACCCACATTTTACAGTTGTGGAAACGAAGGCACATAGAGGTTTGGTAACTTGTCTAAGGTCACACAGGTGGTAAGAGGGAGCCAGGATTTGAACCCAGGCGGTGTGGCATGAGCCCATGCTCTTCAGTGTGGTTCTATCCATCTGGAGGCGTAGAGGTTTATGGTAGCTCATGCTTTCAAGTGGAGCTTTTTCTGGAAGCATGGGGATTATTTACAGTCTCTTGAACTGCTAGCTTCAGGATGTTTTAAGGCTAGGCCTGAGCGAGGAGGAGGCAGGGGAGACCTGGCAGGTATTGAAGTACCTGGGAAGAAAGGCAATGGGGATGGTGGTCCTGCTCCAAGATGATAAGTGGAGGCTGAGCGTCACTGGTACTGGGGGCCATGATCCCCAGGGCCACCCTGGCACCAGGGTGCAGGGGATGCGGGGCCTGAGCAGGAAGAACAGAGATCTGCGGGCTGCACCGACCCATCCCTGCCCCTAGGCTGAAGAACGGCATGGCAACATTGAGGAGCACCTGCGGCAGCTGGAGGGACAGCTGGAGGAGAAGAACCAGGAGCTGGCACGGGTGAGGGCACCAGGCCGGGCCCTCAGGCCCCCTCCTTCCCGCAGGACAGGCTCCCAGGGCGGTCTGTGGAAGGGGCACGGAGGAAGGGCCTGGCCAGGGACACAGCCACAGAGAGTGGGAGGAGGCTGGCAGGTGAAGGGGGAGGTGGTCAGGAGACTGGAGAGAGTGGCTCCCAGAGGATGAGAAGAGGACAGGGGAGGGAGTCAAACCCCAGCAGGAGAGGGTGGTCCTCCCTGGGAGGGCGGCCTGGTGCGAGGCAGACGGCTGTGCAGGTGCGCCAGCGGGAAAAGATGAATGAGGACCACAACAAGCGGCTGTCGGACACAGTGGACCGGCTGCTCAGCGAGTCCAACGAGCGTCTGCAGCTCCACCTGAAGGAGCGCATGGCTGCCCTGGAGGAGAAGGTGCCCAGAGGGGCGGGGTTGGGATGCGAGAGGTTAGTGCTGGGTGTGGGGCGGGGGGAGGCGGGACTGTGATGGGCGCAGGCGGGGTCTCAATGGGGTGGGTGGCCAGCCTGGAGAGGTGGGGCTGAGACTGCACACCCAGAGGCTCAGGTCTGGAATGGGAGAGGAAGGCAGGGGCCTGGCTCACAGCTGCTCTCCCCCAGAACACGTTGATCCAGGAGTTGGAGAGCTCCCAGCGGCAGATTGAGGAGCAGCACCACCACAAGGTACCCGGCTGCGGCCAGCCCCGCCCAGCCTGGGAGGGCCGGGTTGCAGGGAGGAAAGGACACCCTGCTTTTAACGCTGCTGCTCTGATACCTGGCAGTGTTAGTGCATATGTTAGTGCACTACATACATTATTCCGTGATTTCTCACTAGAGCCCATCATGGTAGGTGCATTACTGCCCACAGGGAAAGAAGAAACTGAGGCCAGAAGCATAGGGCAGAGGTGGACAGCAGAGAGGCAGGGCCCAGTGAGGGGCTCCACCCCAGGATTTGGAGGGAGCTTCAAACCCTGGTGCAGCCAGAGCCTGGTGATTCTGGGAGGATTTGCCTCCGTCCTGGCCTCGGCAATGTCTGTGAGGTCTGAGGGGGTGCTGGGGCCCTCTGCTGCCCAGCCTCATCTGCTGTGCATCTGTGCAGTAGTGAGGGGTCGGCAGGCCTAGGCTAGCAGAGCCCTCCCCAGACAGACCCCCTCCTGGCCCTGCCCCTGCCCATCCTTCCACTCACTCTCTGGTTGGACCTCTTCTCTTTTGGTGTCATCTGTGGGCCTGGCCTGGGGCCCCTGGCTTTGGACTTTGCAGTACATTCTTCAGCTTCTCCCCAACTCTGCTGTCCTCTTTGTCCCTCTCTGACTCCCACCCTCCCTCTCTGCCCCTCCCTGGCCCCCACTCCCGCCCCCACCCCGGGTCTGCTGGCACAGGGCCGCCTGTCTGAAGAGATTGAGAAGCTGCGCCAAGAGGTGGACCAGCTGAAGGGCCGAGGGGGGCCGTTTGTGGATGGCGTCCACTCCAGGTACTGCAGCGCCAGAGGCTGGGCATGCCAGGACGGGGTCCTGATGGACCGTGAGGAAGGAGACTTCCTTCCAACAAAAGACTGCCCAGGACCTCAGGGTCCTCCTCCTGTTCAGGGTGGGACACTGAGGCTCAGATAACTTGGTCAGAGTCACCCAGCTTACTTGGGCAGTTTGGGAGGGAACACCTGTCCTCCGAGGGCTGCTGAGAGGCGAGTCATCAGACAGCCAGTGCTCTGTCCCCGCTGTGGTAGGACATAGGCCATGATTTCTGCTTCCTTGACAGAGGGCACACCCCTGAGAGAGGCCTGCACATCCCTTGCTTAGCCATGTCCTACAGGGCCCACTGGTAGGGAGAGCCATTCACTCCAGTTCTCTTGAGAGTCAAGGACCACCTGAGTTCAGGCAGCGGGCAGAAAGGCAGCAGGAGAGATTGGAATGAAGCATCAGAAACTTCCTTACTGGAAGTTGAGACGCCATGGCAATCCTATGGACTTGGCATCCCTTTTCTTGAAACCATTGTGAGAGATGGAGCTTATCTCCTAATGCTTGAATTAGGCCCATGTTTAGGGAACCTCGGGATTTCCCCCACATTTTGTGGAGCGATGGGTATTGAATTCAGACCTCGAGCCTGTCCTCAGTACCCAGGCCAGAGAGGTGGGGTGAAGACAGGGGAGACTGAAATGGATGGTGCCACTCAAGGTTCATGGCTCTTGGCTGTTTTCTCTCCAAACCAAAGTCTCTTAGATCAGAACCCTTGCCGTTCCCTTTGGTCATGTGCTTGCTGTATCAGGGAAATGGAGATGAACTACCATGAAGAAAGGTTAATGGAAATATCCATATAGATATGTGTGGAGGGGCAGTGGTTGAAATAGGGAAGGGGATGTTGAGCTTGAAGAAGAGAAGCCCACGGGTGTCTGGGGTGGTAGAGACTTAAGTGCCATCTCCACGCTCGCCAGGAATTATTGTATATGGGTATGAAGGGAAGCAGAGGATGGAGACAGGCAACAGTAGTTGGCATTTCTCCTACTTCTCCCATCCTGACCAGAAGAGACAACCCCTCAATTAGTAAAATACGGCCCACAGTACACCAAGCCATTTGCCACTGCTTGGCTTTTTTTTTTTTTCTTAATGGTTGGGAATGCTTGGGTTCGACTATAGAATCATTGGATTCATCGTGGAATTGGGGCTGAGTTGCAGGGAGAAAAGGGGAACATGCAGGAACTTCCCTCTCCCTCCAGTGACCTCGTATGGTCTGTTGTAGGCTCACTGTGTCCCTTCACTCTGGACTCCCTCAAGGGTTCCAAGTAGGAAGGCACAGGGAGGAAGTATCACTAGGGGAGGCTTCCAGATATTCCAGGGGATTGTTGCTTGGGTCCTAAAATCTCAGGGTTGGAATAGACTCTTGGGGCAAAGTATTTTCTCTGGCTTGTGTTTCTGACAGTGTTAGGGCCTCCTAAAGCTTCCTAGGCATAGGGGTATGCCTGGCTTGAATTTTAACCAGGGACTCAGTCCAGATTATGGGGAGACCCGAGGAAAAGTGCTGGGTAGAAGACCAAAAAACAAAGACCCTCAGAGTGAAAAGGGCCTCTAGACATCATCCCTTCCAACATCTCCCAGTGCCTGGAGCCCTCCTGCGCCACGTGTGTCAGATGGCCGGAGAGCCTCTGCTCGAATACCTCTTTGATGGGGAGCTCAACTTTTTAAAAGCCACCAGTTGCATCGTAAGCCAACTCTTGCCATTAGAAGATCCTTCTTATGCCAGACGGAAAACCGCTCTCTGGAACTTTCTCCCCTGGCTCATTCTGACCCCTGGAGCACCAGGGCATACGTCTGCTCTCTTGCTTACACGGCAGCCCTTCAGACATTTGTGACAGCTCTGTGTCCTGCTAAGATGTCTCTTCTCTGAGCTGAAGATCCCTTGACTCTTTGGGCCCACTGGGTGTGAGCTGGGGGTCTCAGTCCTCAGGGCCTGTCTTTTCTCTCCCCCATCACCGCTCAAGGTCGCACATGGGCAGTGCAGCAGACGTGCGGTTCTCCCTGGGCACAACCACACACGCACCCCCAGGCGTGCATCGCCGCTACTCGGCATTGAGGGAAGAGTCTGCCAAGGTGAGGGGGTGGAGGGATCTCCTCAGGGAGTTTGGGGTCAATTCGGCCGCGTGCCTGGCTCCAGTTACGCAGACGGCTGGTGTGTGGGGCAAATCCTTCCCCTTCCCTCCCGTGTCAATGACAGCTGCAGCCCTGGGGTTGAGGCCATCGTCAGCTGCAACAGCTGTGCCCCCCCCCCCGCTTGCCTTGGCCTCCTGGTGGGCAAGAGGTGGGGGCTGGCAGGCAGCCAACAGTCCCTGAGGCCCCACTGAAGTGTGTGTGCGTGTGCCTGGGCGTGCAGGCGTGTGTATCTGGTGGTCGGGCGTGGGGGGTGGGGGAGCTTCACGGGTAAGATGGAATTGGCAGACTTTCTGGAACAAAAGCTGTGGTTCATGGCGGAGACGAGGGAGGGATGACAGGTTAACTGGCCCTTGGGATGGCACCTGGAGTTTTCCGAGAAGCAGCTGTGAGTTCATGCTGTCTGAGTCTGCCTAGGGAGATTAGGGGAGAATGAGGAAAGATATGGGGCAGAAAAATGCCGAGTTTGATCTTTTGGGAAAGTGCAATTATTCGTCATGCTCTGTCCTGAATCCAGGTCCTCTAAATATCATTTAGAGCACTGGGGTATTAGAAGATATAGATGGAGAAAGAGGGAACTCCTAGTCTCAGGGGAAGATTCACTCTGCCCTTAAGAAATCCTCAGTCCGATGGGGGAGTCACAGTCTGAAGGTGCCTCTTTTTCTTTCTCCCCCGACTTCTTTGCTCTTTCTGTTTATAAGAATATAGCAGCTATCCAGGAGCTGAGAGGCTGCAGGAGCCTGAAGGGGAGCTAGGGGGCTTGGGTCATAGAGGATGGGTGTTAGAGTACCTTTCTGTCCCTGGCTCCCTTCCTTCCTTCTCTACTCTTCTGTTCTCCACCCTCCCCTCTTCTGGGCCTTTGTCCGCTGGATAGGTTTGTAGGATGATTTCAGAGAAGCTGCCGCCTCTCAGGGTTGACCAGACTGTCCTGTGATGATCTGAAACTCTGCAGACTGTCTATTCAGGCCTGCTTGGCCTTTCTGTTCTCTGGGTGTAGTCAGCCTTTGAGTTTGTATGGATGGAAACTGATAGCATTTATGTAGTGCTTGCTTTGTGCCAGGCACAGTGCTAAGGGCTTTACATGTATTTTCCTCATTTGATCCTCACAGCTATCTATGAGGTAAGTACTTTACCATCCCTATTTTACAGATGAAGAAACTGAGGCACAGAGAGGTTAAAAAATGTTCCTATGGTTGCACAACTAGTGTTTGGTGGAGATGAGATTCAAACCAAAGCCGTCTCTCTCTGGATTCTCTTCTTAACAGTTAGAGCAGTATTTCTTAGACTGTAATGTGCAAACAAATCACCCAGGGGTCAGCCGGGCACGGTGGCTCACGCTTGTAATCCCAGCACTTTGGGAGGCTGAGGTGGGTGGATTGCTTGAGCTCAGAAGTTCACTACCAGCCTGGGCAACATGGTGAAACCCCGTCTCTACTAAAATACAAAAAATCAGCCGGGCGTGGTGGCGTGCGCTTGTAATCCTAGCTACTCGGGAGTCTGAGGCAGGAGAATTGCTTGAACCTGGGAGGCGGAGGTTGCAGTGAGCCGAGATCACGCCACTGCCCTCCAGCCTGGGTGACAGAGGGAGACTCCATCTCAAAAAACAAACAAACCAAAAACCAAAAACCAAAAAACCACCCAGGGGTCTTGTTAAAATGCAGATGTTGAATCAGTAGGTCTGGTGGTGCGGCCTGAGATTCTGCATTTCCAGCAAGCTCCCAGGAGATGCCAGTGCTGGTGGGTAGAGGTAGGGAGGGTCCTGCTCTGCAGTTATCTGGGTGTCTTATTACGACTCCTTTACCCTCCTCCTTTGCTAAGGACTGGGAGACTTCTCCACTGCCTGGGATGCTGGCCCCGGCAGCTGGCCCTGCCTTTGACAGTGACCCTGAGATCTCCGACGTGGATGAGGATGAGCCAGGGGGTCTGGTGGGCTCTGCGGATGTTGTCTCCCCCAGCGGCCACTCAGATGCCCAGACCCTGGCCATGATGCTGCAGGAGCAGCTGGATGCCATCAATGAGGAAATCAGGTTAGGGCAGGGCTGGAGGGCTTGGGAAGTGCATTGAAGGGCAGGGGGGCCCTTTGTGTTGGAAAAACCCTATATGGGTTTGCCCAACTCTTATAGCTGCAACTTAGAGTACCACAGTTCAGGGACCCTCTGTGGGTCATCAGGCCCGCTGCCAGTGCCGGAGTGAGAGGAGCAGGGCCTCAGTGGACTTCTCAGGCTTCACCTCCCCTCTCAGGGCTTGCGATGTGGCTGGGCTCAGGAGGATGCATGCTGTGTTCCTGCAGCCCTGCAGCTGATCTTAACCACTAAGAGTGTAGCTCCTGCTTACTGAGGCTAGCTCAGGGTGAGAGCTTTGTAAATGTCACTGTCCATCTTACCACAGTGCCTGAGGTAGGCAGCATGATCCCTGTTTTACAGACAAGGGAACAGAAACTCAGAGAGGTTAAGTGACTTGCCCAAAGCCACACAGAAGTGACAGAGCCAGGATTCAAACTCAAGTCTGAACTTGGCCCACTGCACCATGCCTCCTGTCCCTAATAAGGCATCAAACAGAAACAGTGACAGGGAACGTTGTGAAAACCTTCACTTTGTCCTGCCTTTTTAATGAGTTTATTAATGTTAATGACAAACAGCAGGGCAATATCTGAGCTGGAGTGTATCAGAGCTTTATAAGCTGTACAGGACATCCAGTTCAATGGTTCAATGTATTGCACAGACCAGTTACAAAGAAGACACACACACACACACACACACACACACACATACACACACAGAGAGAGAGAGAGAAAGGTACAAACGTAGGACCACCAGCTTTTTATTTTGCAAAGTAAAACATTAATGATAATGACTATCTATTATCGCAATCATTTTGCAAAAGAAAGGACATTTTAACATTCCTGAAGTAAGAAAGACATACTCAGAATAAAGGCGAGTCCTTCTTTGTGAAAGGGAGTGGGCATCTTTACTGGAGCATGTGTGTGTGAGAGAGTGTGTGTGTGTGCGTGTGCATGCACTCCTTGCTGAGTGCCTCCCAGGCACACACGTGTACCATTTTTATTATTTCTCTCATTTTTCTGTGGAACAGGGAAAACCCCACCAGGGGTCAGCATCATTTAAAAGTCCTACACTTGGAAACTGCTGACTTATACCACTTCAGACATAGCATATGTTGGGAAACTGAGGCACAGACAGCAAAATACCTGACTCAAGGCCACCCTATAGTTAGGGGTATGTCAAGAATTCTGATTTTCAGGATGGTTTATGTTCCACTGACGAAAGTGCCTCCTTCCCCAGCAGCTGCTTTTGTTAAACGGAGGGAGTAGGCAAGCTAACAAGAAAGAGATGTGTTTCTAAGCTCCAGTGGGACAGACAAAGCCTGGCGGGTGTACACCGCATGTGGTCCTTGGTGGCGAGTGCAGGCATCGACCCGCACTGCCTCCTGCTGGTCCTGGCTGGGGCTAGTGGTGAGGTCTGGTTTTGCCTCCCTTCCAGGATGATTCAGGAAGAGAAGGAGTCCACGGAGCTCCGCGCGGAGGAGATTGAGACGCGTGTAACCAGTGGCAGCATGGAAGCCCTAAACCTGAAGCAGCTGCGCAAGCGTGGTTCCATCCCCACCTCTCTGACGGCCCTGTCCCTGGCCAGCGCGTCCCCACCACTCAGCGGCCGCTCCACACCTAAGCTCACCTCCCGCAGTGCTGCCCAGGACCTGGACCGAATGGGGGTCATGACCCTGGTGAGAGGCAGCTGAGGAGCAGGCCTGGCATCACTGGACCCTGCACCGGGGGAGGTTTTAAGGGATGGTAGGACTCACGTGCTCTCAGCTGGGCCTGCCATCTTCTTCCCATGGTGTGTGCAGACCCCGACATGTCAGGCCACCAGCCTGTCCTTCTGGGTTTGGGAAGGGCCTAGGTCATATCTTCTTTGCCCTCTCCCTTGGATGAGCCCAGACTGCTTAAGAAACTCACCCACTGCCCTCACCTCTTCCTTTCTTCCAGAGAAATAAGCCCTGGCTTGTTTTTCTAGGCCAGCTTTTTTTTTTTTTTCTGGCGTGATATTCTCTCCGGGCCTGTGTGAGGCACTGAATCCTATCTTCTCATCCTAAGACCACTGGGCTCCCCTGGGGTTGGCTCTAGGGCACCCAGAGGGTGAGTCTGAGCTTACCCATCCCTCTCTCTTGCAGCCCAGTGACTTAAGAAAGCATAGGAGGAAGCTGCTGGTGAGTGCTGCCTGATGGCCCAGGTACTAACGGGTTCACTGCTCCCATGCCCTTTCCTTTCAGCTTCCTCCCCCAGGGCCCTTGAGTCTGAGTCTGAACTCAGAGAGGCACCCAGGGCCTCCCCACTGCATTTCTCCATGCTCCGCCACCTCTTCTGGGCTGGGTAGGCAGGCCCGAGATCTCTCCCTCTATCCCCTGACGGCTCCACTGTCTGTTCAGTCGCCAGTGTCTCGGGAAGAGAACCGAGAGGATAAAGCCACCATAAAATGTGAGACTTCTCCTCCTTCCTCACCCAGGACGCTGCGGCTAGAGAAGCTTGGCCACCCAGCCCTGAGCCAGGAAGAAGGCAAGAGGTAAGTAGAGCAGACCCCACCTCCAGTCTCTCCATCCACAGGGTCCTCTCCTCCCTTCCTCTGCCTCTGCAGGGACCGCATCTCCCCTGTCCCAGTTTCTGAATGTCTTACTTCTCTTTGAAACACCATCAGGGAAGGGAGTTCATGTGTCTCCTTTTCCCCCATCCCAGTTCTGACTTAATAGAAGTTCTTCCTGAGGTCTAACTTCCATCTTTCCTGCTGTCACTTAAGTATGTTTCTTCTTATTCCGCCCCCTTCTGGCTGTCACCCTGTAGTGCCTTGGAGGATCAGGGCAGCAACCCCAGCAGCAGCAACAGCAGCCAGGACTCCCTGCACAAGGGCGCCAAGCGCAAGGGCATCAAGTCGTCCATTGGCCGCCTGTTTGGGAAGAAGGAGAAGGGCAGGCTGATCCAGCTGAGTCGGGATGGAGCCACAGGCCATGGTCTCTGTCCCCTTCCTAACGGAGGTCTGGGCGGGCATTGGGGCATCAGAAGCAGGAAGGTGTACTTGGACTGGCCTTCTCTGCCTGCGTCCCAGGGACCAGTTGGGGGAAGCCCCAGGCAGGTTACCTCAGATCTGCAGAAGCAGTTTTTGGTTAGAGCTATTCATGGCGGGGTGGATTGCCTTGTGAGGGGGTAAGCTTCTGCCTCTGCAAGCGTCAGGAAGTGGCTGGATGGCTTTATTTGGCATGCTGTGGAAAGGTCTCCTGTATTGAGTGAAAGATTGGGTGTCTGGGGTTTCTTTGAATTTGGAGATTTTCTGAGGTACTGTGCTCGGGACCTTCAGGAGAAATCTCTTGGTTGTTTCTTTAGAAGAGTCAGTTCTTGATTGGAACTTATTTCTGGGTACATCTGGCCTCTGGGACTCAAAATGTGATAACACCTAATTATAGCTTTGTAGACATTAAATTCAAGGAAGAGCTTAGGCAAGCGTGGCATCGTTATCACCTCTGTGATAGTATAAATGTCTAGTACATGCTTGGCATGTGGTGAGTACACGTTAAATGTTAGCTTTCATCTGCCCCCTCTCTTCTATTTCTTCTTTTCTCTTTTCCTTCCTGTTCCTCCACCTTTTCTTTCTGTCATCTATTCAGCCATTTGTTCCACAAACATTTATTGAGTAACTACTGTATGTCTTAGTAACAGGTGCTGACCAACAGTTCACTCCTTCAAGGAGTTCAGTGTCTAATGAAAAGGAAGAAGAGACAATTCCAGAACAACCTATTGATAGAGATGTGCCCAGGGTGCTTGTGGGACTCAGAACTCGGCTATGGAATGGTGGGGACAACAGGGGCGGCCTCCTTTGGTAGCGACACCTGAGCTAAAGTGTGAGGGCCACATAGGAATTAGCCGAGCCAGGGAGACATCTGTGTGTGGAGGAAGGGGTTGGTCTGGGAAAGGCAAAAGTTTGTGGGTGTGAGAGGTTGGTATGTACTTATGCATATTCTGAGTTGAGAAGGAGGAGGGTGGGCGGAGTGGGGAGATGGGACTGGACAGCTAGGCTGGGGCCAGCTGTGAGGGCCTTGCAGCATCTGTTTTAGTTTAAGAGTTCCCCTGAGGCAGTGGGAGCATTGATGAATTTCGTGCAGGGGAGGAACTCATCAACTAGAATAAAGGAACCTTTGGACCCAAATGCATAATTAGACCTTTCTGCAGCTCAGGAAGATGTGAATCAGAAGACAGCTAGCTGGCTGAGGAGGAGGAGGAGGGAGAGCACGCGAGGAGGAGGTTGGGGAAAGAGGAAGGAGAAAGAGGAATTTGCTGAGACAGGGAGAGGTCTGTGTGTGAAGGAAAGGGGTGGTCTGGGAACGGGGAGGAGGAACATGGCCACCTCTGCTCAGAATATGGGAGTGTCAGCCCAGAGAATGAGGTCCAGCTCCTTCTTCCCCAGTCCACAGGGGTGAGGGGAGTTGTGGAGCTGGCCACAGACAGGGGAAGCTGAACGGTTTGATCAGGGGAAGAAGCATTTTGGGTGAAGCCTTATGATTTTCGATGCTCTCCACACACGTTGGCACCTAAACCTGAGACAGCACCTCAGATTGGTTTCTGGATTACCCAAACTTGTTGCCTACTGTGCACTGTGGGGGGGTGACCGGGACTTAAAAGAATTCTAAGATTCTGCCTCTGGCCACGAATTCTGAAGGGTTCTAGCATCAATTCAAGGAGATGTTTAGTAGAAGACAGAACTCTGCATGTTCCCCTTTGTGGTTTTGTGCAAGTGAATGCACCCAGAGAAGGAGGCTCAGAGACACAGCTCTCAGTGTGTGGATTTCCACACCCCTGACCCAAGCCAGGGTCATCCTTCTCTCTGAGCCTTGTAGCCCACTTGTGTTTGGGGCTCTGGGTTTCCTTTGCACCTTGGCTTGGAGGAAGGACAGGTTCTGTCTAGGATTCTAGGGTCGATAACTTGGGTCCATCTGGCTGGAAAACACCCCCAAGGCTGAGGCTCCTGGGGAGACTCTCTGAACTGGGGATGACCCGCTTGATGCCATTCTCTGAGACTGCTTGGATGCAGGGACACTGAGCAGAAGCTCCAGGAATAATGGTCCCGTCAGGCCATGGGTTGTCCTCTGCCAAGGAGCCTCCTGCTGCTTCTGTTCCCCACCCCTGATCCAGGCAAGGGAGGAGAGGCAGAGGGGCTGGCTGACACACACATCTCTTTCCTTGTAGTTCTGCTAACAGACTCCGAATTCAGTATGCAGGAGCCTATGGTGCCTGCCAAGCTGGGGACCCAGGCAGAGAAGGACCGGCGGCTAAAGAAGAAGTAAGAGCCACAGGCCAGGGTCTGCCAGGGTGGGGCCCAGCCCCCTACCCACTTCCCTTCCCCTGGGCTGCTGTGAAACTGAGCTCAGAGACCCAGACCCCAGCAAGGCCCTTCCTGAACTGAGTTGGTCTGGTCCATGTGGGCACAGCAGGGCTGGGAGGAGGTTCTTAGGATGAGCCTAGGGAGAAGGAGGCAAGGGGGTTATGGGACAGTGACCTGGGTCCTCTGGGTCTCTGGCAGGGCAGATTGAAATCTCTAAGTCAATGTCAGGTCACATGCAAACAGAGAGCTCCTCGCCCTCTTGGGGTGGTCAGGTGTTCCTGCCCCATTTCTTGTTGTATTTCTTCAGAGGAAGAAGGAAGAGCAGAGCAGAGGAAGTCCAGGGTGGGGAGCAAGGGTTGTGGGTCTCCAGCTCTTGCACAGCCCAGTGGTCCCTGGAGCAAGAACAGTTAAGGGAGAAGGAAGAACTAGTGAGTCTGTTGTTCCTCTTCCTATAAGACACCAGCTGCTTGAAGATGCCCGCAGGAAAGGAATGCCCTTTGCCCAGTGGGATGGTCCTACTGTGGTCTCCTGGTTGGAGGTAAGCCTGAGCAAAGGGAGTCCACTCAGGGGTCTGGAGGGAAGGATGCTTGGGGTGGGCAGAGGGGTGGTGTCCTAGAACTTTTACAGTGTGTTTCTCCCCTGCCAAGTGGAAGTGTGCCATACCTAGCATTTAGCCCCCCTCCCCCTCCCCAACACACACACATACCAGTCGCAGGAGAGAGTTGATGCTACTTTTAATCTGTAAAATGGGAGAGTGAGGGGTTTGATGACCGCCACATTCCTATGATCTGTATTTGCTATTCGAGTCCGTGGATGAGGCCTGGCCCTTGCCCCTTGCTGTTGCCAAACTCTTGGTGGTAGGGCCCAGGCCTTGAATTACCTCCCTGTGCCCGGTGTCTGCAGCTCTGGGTGGGGATGCCTGCCTGGTATGTGGCAGCCTGCCGGGCCAACGTCAAGAGTGGTGCCATCATGTCCGCTCTGTCGGACACAGAGATCCAGCGGGAGATCGGCATCAGCAATGCCCTGCACCGGCTCAAGCTCCGCCTGGCCATTCAGGAGATGGTGTCATTGACCAGCCCCTCTGCCCCACCCACCTCCAGGACTGTGAGTGGCCCCTCCTTTGCCCAGGACATTTTCAGAGGTCCTGGAACATAGTTTGCAAGGTCTCCTGTTGGGCTTTGGGAAGATGGCAGCATTGAGCCCTGCCCCTTCCTTCCCATCCTCACAAAGGGCTCTCCCTGGTCTTCAGGAGGATATGATGTTGATTCTAGGAGGATACCAGCAGCCTTGGTTCCCTGCCTTTCACATACCACCCATGGGGCTCCATCTCCCCATCCCTACTCTGCCAAAATTTCCACGTCTCTGGGCAGTTTCCAGGATGGGCTTTCTGGGGTTTTATATGGTTGTCAGGTTGGGGGAAACAAAGGGAAGAGGGCATTTGTGAATATTGTCTTGGTCCTCTAACACAAGAATGCGGACTGCTCTGTGGGCCCCTGGGGTGGAGTCTTTCATTGTCGGCCATCTCCATGATTGAGACCAGCCCCCATTTCAGAGGACTCAGGGAGGGAGCTTTGTCCTTGTCCTTTGGGCTCCCAGCCTGATGGGGATCCTGGGGACCCACACCCAGGACCAGCTAGGTTTCCTCTCTGCCTGCAGTCTTCTGGGAATGTCTGGGTCACCCATGAAGAGATGGAAACTCTGGAAACATCTACTAAAACAGTGAGTCTGGCCCTTGGCCTTTGTCCCTGGGCCTGGGGTTGGGACTGATACTCCCATGAGGATGAGGGGAAGGCTGTGGGCAGTCAGAGTGGGCTGCCATCGATCTCACGTGAGGTTGGTATCCCTGAGGTGTGATCTGCTGTCACGGTGGAGGGTTGTCGGGAGAGGGGTGAGGCTGGGAGCGGAGCAGTTTGTATGTGTGTGATCCTTCCCAGGAGGTCACAAGCTTGCCCTGGGCCACTGGTGTGCTACAGCGGAGGAGAGTTGGGCTGGGGAGGGCTTTGCCCTGCTATGGACCTGAGCCACAGAGTCTCTGCCCTTGTGCTTCCTCCCTGGTGGAGGAATGGGGAGTGTTGGGAGAGCTGGGCATCTTGCCTGGCTCCCAGTCAAGCCTGGGAGGTGTGTGTTTTTGCCACACACACATTTGCCCCACCTCAACGCAAACATGGGTGCACACACCAACCTTGTGTTCTCTCTTAACCATCCTGACGAGCTTTCCCCAGTCACCCAGCCAGATACTGGGATGTCTTTTTCCTCTCCTTGATGGGGCCTAGGGTAGAGCTGATGGGTTTCTTGACTTTGCCTGTTTCCCCTAACACGCTGCACTCGTTCCTGCTAGGACAGTGAGGAGGGCAGCTGGGCTCAGGTAAGACTCCCTACCCTGTCTAGAACCAGCTCCCAAAACTTCAGGACAGTGTTCTTCTGGTAGGTTCTCTCCGCAGCAGGAATCTCTGAGTCCTTCATATGAAAAGCCCTGGACATAGGTTCTCTGCTCCCATCAGAGTGCCCCCCGCCCCCACCCAGTTCCCTCAAACTGCTTGTTCTGGTTTCTCAGGGTGGCAGGTGAGGAGCCCTGGAGGACTGTGGCCCCTGCATTCCTGGCCCTTCTCCTCAGTCTCATTCTTTTCCTGGGAATAATCAGACCTAGATTAGTATGAGTCTTCTTCCTCTCCCTGTCCCTCTCAGGGGCACCCTGGTGAACTGAGCGAAGGTCTTTCATCCATTTCATGAGCAAACGTTTATTGAGCAAATATAAGGATTAGGCCTTTCCTGGCTCTCTGGATATAGAAGTAAAGAAAGCAAGCCCTCATGGAGGCAGTAAACAAATAAAGGAATAATATCAGTAAACAAACCATGTCAATAGGGATAAAAAAGACAGTCTCGGCTGGGCGCGGTGGCTGACACCTGTAATCCCAGCACTTTGGGAGGCCGAGGCGGGCGGATCACGAGGTCAGGAGATCAAGACCATCCTGGCTAACACAGTGAAACCCCGTCTCTACTAAAAATACAAAAAAAAAATAGCCAGGCATGGTGGCGGGCGCCTGTAGTCCCAGCTACTCGTGAGGCTGAGGCAGGAGAATGGCGTGAACCTGGGAGGCGGAGCTTGCAGTGAGCCGAGATCACACCACTGCACTCCAGCCTGGGTGACAGAGCAAGACTCCGTCTCAAAAAAAAAAAAAAAAAAAAAAAAAAAGATAGTCTCAATAAGTAAACAAATAAAGGGACAATATTGGATAGTGATGCGAGCTGTGAAGAATGAAGCAGGGAGCAGCACTGTGTATATCTGCTCAGGGAAAACCCCACCAGCAGGAGACTGGCTGAATCATTCATGCCATAAAACACCCTTGGCAGAGGTGATGGGTCGGGGGGGATCCGAGCCATAGGGTGTGAAATGAAGAATGCAGATCCTAAAAGATGCATGGAATTTGATCCCAAAACTCAAAACCAAACAAAATTAATAATATGTTGTTTAGGGAAATATACATGGATGATTGTAAAAAGTGTAAAACAGTTTTTTACAACCAAAGGAATAGTCAGAAAACTCAGCATAGTGGTTCCCTTTTAGAGGGGCAGTAGGAGATGTGTGCTGACAGCGAGCATCAGTGTGCAAACAGTACAGTGTGGGTAATGCTCTGCTGCTTAGCTTGGTTGGTGTCCACTGTTGCTAACTTCATTTATATGCTTCATAATGGGCACATTACATATAGTCTTATATGTATCAGCTATTACATTGTAAAAGAGAACAAAATAGACTTTTTCTATCTGAAAACATCAAGTAAGGGTAAGGAAAGAGTGAGGTAGGGTCGCTATGAAAACTAAAGCTTTCTCAAGTTGGGTGGTCACGGAGCACCCTGCCCAGGTCAGGAGGCCACGTCCACATGGCACAGGCCCTGCAGGACCACACGGCAGGGTGTGCGTGGGAAAGCAACAGAGGACCTGGAGTGTTCTTGGAGCAGAGGCTCAGGCCTTAGAGAATGAGTGCTGCTGGCTATTCAGGCACAGGCCACCACCCTTTATTTTTTTCAGTCTTCTGCCAACATTTAACTTCCTTGCTTCCTCCATGAAGCCAGCCTTGTCCCGGAGTGAGACAGGCTTCCTTTGCCACGCTGCAGGTCCTCTGTAACACAGCCTCTCCCCTGGGCTCAGCGGGCTTGAGGCTCACTGAGAGTCAGGAAGGCACGTCTGCTGCACAATACCGCAAATGCAACCCAGAGTCAACAGGAAGGATTTCATATTAGCTGCTGCCGGGATAGCTACTTCTGTTCATTAGTGTAGATAATTGATATGTGAGTGGAACCGTATCATTTCGAGATCTTAAAAAGTTCCATTTAAAATCCTCACCTCCCACCACTACCAGCCCCCTTATTGAAGATAAACTGAAATTGTATTGGACTGCCCTTCCTCCCTCATGGGTGGAGGATGGATTCATGTGTCTCCCGACCAGCTATACCAGCCTCAGCCTGCTGGCTCTACCTTCCTCCCCCATAATAGCCTCCTGCATCTCATTTCCCTAGACCCTGGCCTATGGGGACATGAACCATGAGTGGATTGGGAATGAATGGCTACCCAGCCTGGGGCTCCCGCAGTACCGCAGCTACTTCATGGAGTGCCTGGTGGACGCCCGCATGCTGGACCACCTCACCAAGAAGGACCTGCGGGTCCACCTGAAGATGGTGGACAGCTTCCATCGGTGAGCGCGGCTGGGACCCAGGGCCACCTCCCTCGTGGGGGCCTCCCCTAGCTCTGAGGGTCTGCCTCCAGGAACAGAGGTGCCTCCATCTCTTTCCGTGGTCTGTTCTGAGTGGCAACAGGTCTCCCCCTTGGGAAAGTCTCCCTTGTCAAATCCTTGTCACATCCTGTAATTTGAGGATTCGATCCTCAGATTGACCAGGTTTCTGTCCTTATAATGACTAGGTCATTGTGTCTAGTCCTAAAGACACAAAAAGTCATTTTTCTTTAGCTTCACCTCCTTTGAGATTTTTCCCCAGGTCTGAATTTTATTGCTTGTCTTTGGGCTTGCTGAATTTGCTGTGTTTACCTGACAAGACTCAAACTGAACCTGGTGTTCAATTTAGGTGTCTCATTCCAAGTTGAGAGGGAAGGTCTTCCTGGGCCATTGCCATGCCGACATCCCAGATCGGAACCTCTCCGCTTTGGGCTCACATCCCTTTTTATAGGATATCATCCAGTCCTCTCCTCCTCTTTGCTGAAAAGATCTTCTGTTCAAAAGTGTCTGCGGCGCAGGTCCCAAACTGGCAGCCTGTGGGCAGAATTTGGCCCACAGACTTGTTTTTGTTTGGCCCACATAAATCTTCACCACTCAAATTGAGCTGCCAGTATTTAAACAGTAGATTTTATATACAATTCTGGATTTCTGGCTTCTTTTGAAAACTTGAAAGCTCTGTCAACACATTCTAGCATGGAAGCAACCAGCTGGAGCTGAAGAGTGGAGTCCACTCAGGATGGGTGGGCCTGCTCCAGGGCCTCCCAGCCCCCCAGCCTGCTTCTCTCACTTGTGTTACCTGCCTGTTCCCAGCAGGCATTTGTGCTGGAGAATGCAGTAGGTGGCCACGGTTCTAGGATTTGGCAGTTTTTAGGAAGTCCTTCTTAACATCCAGCTTCAAGTCGTGTGGGTGGCTCTTTGAGCCAAGTCTTTTGTCTTGACTGGATAATAAGACCAGGAGTAGGGGTCTTCGAGGTTCTCTCAGGGCTCTGTGGATGTCCTGTGGTCTCTCCAACTCAGAAATCTTATAGAAAGTTAAATCTGGAAGGGATCTTGTTAGTGTCCCCATTTTATGGATGAGAACATTAAGGCATGGGGAGGAGCAGTAGCCCAAGGTCACTCAGGGATGATAGCAGAGTACAGGGGAACCCAGGTACGCTGACTCAAGTCCAGTGCTCTTGGCACTGCACAGAGCCTCCTGGCTTAGAACCCTTGGCCTATGTGACCCCAGCATGAGGGCTGACTTGTGAGGGAAGACCGCATCCTCCCCTCTGCACCCGCCCCCACCCAAATCAGCTAGGGCTGAAAAGGAATCGTTTTTCTCTGCCCGGAGGCTGCCAGGCCCAGCTGCACCTGTCCCCTACTCAGTGATTGATAGGGCTGGGGAGAGATGAGCTGTTGCCCCACCAAGCCGGGATGTGCCTGGGCTGCTAGAGGATCTGTCAGCCTGGCCCCAGCCAGGACTATGGAAATCCTCCCCGCAACCCCTCTGCCCCATCCCCAGGAGAGAATTGTGACCTGAACATGGGGTTCTAGGTTCAGCTCTGAATCTTGAGTACTTCAGAGTTTCTAAAGCATTTTCACATCTCACCGCCAAACTATGTGTCTACCTGCTTTTATTCCACGTAACATTTCACAAGCATGTTCTTACGTCTTTAAAATTTCTTTTAAATCATGATTTTTATGACAAGAAAGGGATATTTTAAAACCTTATTTTACAGATAAGGAAAACAAGTTCAATAGAGGTTGATTTCCATCAGGTCACCCAGCCAGGTGATTACAGAATGGGGCTCAAATCCTTGTCTCTTGACACCCTACTCAGAGCTCTTTTCCTTGGGACATGGTGCTCTATTGAGCAGGTCTTCTAGAAGAGCTCCTGTTTTGGTAGGACAAGCATGCATGATAGTCATAAATGTCACCCTAATAGTGCTGCCACTACTGAGTGCCTGTAATGTTCCCAAGGGCTGGCTAAGCCCTTGTATTTATTGTCACCTGCAAGAGAGGTGTGACCCCATCTCACATTTGCTGGGTGCCTCTCAGCTAGGAAAGGGCAGAGCTTAAGGGCTTTGTATTTTTGCCATGGTATGCAGCAGCTTTGAAAGGAACTGGACTGAAAATTATAGTGAGTGAGATTGAAATTAGACAGAAGGCATTTCCAGTCATGAGCTGTGTGTGCGCATGCCCCTTCACAGTGGACCAAAGCTTAAACCAGCGGCTTGAGCAACATAAGGGTGGCTTGGGCCAGAAAAGGGTTCCTGGAAGTGGCATCTCTGAGCTCTGTTCTAGGCAGAAGAGCCTCCTGCTGAGAAGTGAGGGGAGAAAAGGAGGGAGCAGTCTGCACAATTTAATCTCACAAAGCAGTGCCCTCAATAAGAGTCAAAAGCAGGTAGAGTTGGGAGGGACTTTCCATTCTAATTCTCTAAAGATGGGAAAACTCAGAGAAGCTGAATGACAAAGTAGCATTCAAGGAAGGAAGAACACTACAGCTCTTCCAAGATGGAATGAGCTGCCTTGAGAAGTAATGAGTTCGCTGCCCCTGGAGGCATTCAGGCACAGGCTCAGTGACTACTCTGAAGGAAGCTGTAGGGGTGACTCCTGCCTTAGGTGGGAGCGTGGACTGATGGCCTCCAGGGTTCCTTCTGACCCACAGAATCTGTGGTTCTATGCCTGGCTTAGTTACTGAATGCTTGCTCTGCACCTGATACTGTTTAAGTACTTTTAGTAATTTATGCGAATTAATTATTTCCTTTAATTCATCAAGCATTTGTAGAGTCCCTGCTCTGTGCTAGGGGTTTAGGATCAGTGAACAAAACAAAGATCCCTGCCCTCATGGAGCTTATGAATTCTAACTGGAAGAGACAGTCAAGGAATAATAAATATATGGTATGTTAATAGACAAAACATGCTAGGAAAAAATTAGACCAGGGTGAGAGGGATTGGGAGTATGGGCTAGGGGTGGTGATGGTGATAATTGCAATTTTAAATCGGATGAACAACGTGACTAGTGAGTTGGACTGAGAAGGTGACATTTAAGCAAAGACTTAATGGAGGCAAAAGGAGTAAGCTACACAGCCAACTGGGGGAGGAGTGTTCCAGGCAGAGGCAGCCACCAGTGCAAAGGCCCTGAGGCCTGCAGGCCCAGTGAGCCTGCTGTGTTTGAGGAGCAGCAGGGGTGTCAGTGTGGCTGCAGCAGAGAGAGCAAGAGGGAGAGTGGCTGAAGTGGGTGTTAAATGGGTAGTGGAGCAGATCATGGAGTATCTTATAGGCCATTGTAAGGACTCCGAGTGAAGTAGGGATACAAAGGGGTATCTTGTTTTTGCTTTTCCTTCCACTTGCAGGTGGTAGGGGTCTTTGTCGTTCCAGTGCCTGGAGAGAGAGGGACATGTTGGATTCATTCAAAGAACTTTTTTTCCCATCAATCCATCCCCAGGCCCGCTCCCTGACTGAGAGGGAGGATATGGGTTAGACAGAGAAAGGGAGTAACCTCGGGATGGGTCGCAGGCAAGGCCCTGGGGAAGGAGGAGCATGAGGAGGCTGGGGTGCTCTTTGTGCTGGAGGCAGTAGGTCTGGACATGCTGTGGCTGATGCTGGATGTGAGACAGGTGGTGTGGGAATGTGGCCCCACTGAGGCTCTGGCTTGGGGGCTGTGTGCCTGCAGAACCAGTCTTCAGTATGGCATCATGTGTCTGAAGAGGCTGAATTATGACCGGAAGGAGCTGGAGAAGAGGCGAGAGGAGAGCCAGCATGAGATCAAGGGTAAGCTCGTCAGGCTTGGAGAGGGTTCGGGAGCAGCCTGCTTGGCTGGTCCCTGCCTTGGGCCAAGTGGAGGGGAGGCATTCTGTGTCTCAGGGAATCTTCCAGTCTGAAAAGGAAGATGCAGCCTCACCTTAGGGAGCTCCCAGTCTGATGGAGGAGACATAGTCCATGCCAAGTTGTCTATAATTCCCCTCCCTCAACCCCACATACCAGATAGCAGCCACCAACTGGACAAATGCAGTGAATCCTCTGGGACGGTGTTATAGACTGGTGTGCCTGTGGAACTTGTTGATCTGGATGGGGCTGGATGGGAGATGCAAGTCTTAGAGGAGACCTTGAAGGTGGAAAGAATAAGAAGGCCATTCCAGCTTGGGTCAGGGGGATGACCCGTGCAAGGGTTCTGGGGAGAAAGCTTGGAGCCTGTTGGCCTGACCCCGGGTCCTGTAAACTGGCAGGGATGGAGTGAGTGGGGGGTTGGTTCCCCAGGCACCCAGGTGCCAGGGAGGAGAGAAAGAAGATATGGAAATTTAGGGATGGAGTGGGGGTCAGAGAGCAGGGTGGACTGCGGCTCTGGGTTTAGGGAGCTCTGCTTCTGTCCTTGGAGGGCCCTTGATGAAACGTAGTATCTCCTTCCGTCCCTTTTCTTCCCCCACACTCCAGATGTGTTAGTCTGGACCAACGACCAGGTGGTTCATTGGGTCCAGTCTATTGGGCTCCGGGACTACGCAGGAAACCTGCATGAGAGTGGTGTGCATGGAGCCTTGCTGGCCCTGGACGAGAACTTCGACCACAACACACTGGCCCTGATCCTCCAGATCCCCACACAGAACACCCAGGTGGGCAGCCTTTTAATCAGTCAACTTGAGTCTCTCCCTGTATCCCTCACTTGCTCTCTTTCTTTCCCTCATACACAAAGGCTTAGGTATCTTGGGGGGTGGGGAGCTTTTCTAGGGCCTATGCCAGAGGGGATCGCAATGTCCTCAATTCTCCAAGTGATCGCTGTGCATAAGCAAGCCCTCATGGGAACACATGGCCTTCACATACAGAGCACACCTAGCGTGGGCCTGGCACACAGTGTGCTCTTACAATGCGCATCCCCGTCCTGCCCTGGGTACCTCTATCTCCTCCTAACCCCACTTCATAGCTGAGACTCTGAGCCTTCCTTTTCATCCTGCTTCTCTGATCTGACTTTTCTTAGAGGGGAATGAGCCCCAGGGCCCCTAGGGACCAGAGAGCCCATATCACCTTTGTCTACCACCCTAGGGATCTGCTCCTGGGCCCCCAGCCTTAAAAAAGCTAAATATACCAAATTACACAACCCAGAGCCTCTCCACACCAGGGCTTTGGCTCTCTGTCAACAGCTCAAATGATTAAACATCTCATGAAATTACATTTCATCATTTTTATGGAGCTGTCATCTAAGAATATATCTAAATTCTCTTGAACCTATTTATATTTTTGGCCTTTCTAACTTCCTGTGGGTAATAGATTCTAGAAGTACTGCTTGTTGTGTAGAGTACTTCCTGATTTTATTTGTCCTGAAAATGCCCCTGTCAGGCCCCTGGGGAAGGAACTACCTCCTCTTGATGGTTTAGGTTTGGTAAGGATATTTGTATTTAACTAGTTCTCACCTTTTATGATTTCATAAACTCTGATTGTATTGCCTCTGGGCCCAAGCCTTTGTCTCTCCAGACGGAGTGTTCTTAATTCTTTTAGGCTTTCCTCATATAGACTCGCCTCTGTCCCCTGATTGTTTTAGCTGCCCTTGTCTGGACTGTTTGCAGCTGTCAGATCTCTTTTGAAATTCAGCCACCAGAGCTGCACAGGCTATTCTGGGAGCAGACACGTTTTGGCTTGAATGAGGGTAGGGCTGTGTTGTCTCGTAATTCTGGGCAGTGTGTTGGCCTTTTGGGGGTGGTGGCAGTGCACAGGGCCATTGTGTCCTGTAGGCATTCTGCAGTGACCCCCCCGCCCCGCCCCCACCCCAACCAGTCAAAATAGATAGGACAGATCCCTTCATTCTCCAAGAGGAGCCTGGATTTTTCCCCCAAGTGCGTTCTCTCCACTTGCCCACTTCGGGCAAGCCTCGTCTGCCACTTTGCTGCCCACTCACCTCTCTTTGTGAGACGCTTCTGAAATTTACACCTATCCTCCTCACCTTTCACTGCCCAGAGGAGCAGTGTCATTTGGATACTTGAAATTTACTGTGCTTCTCCTTTCAGATCATTTCTAAAAATGTTATGTTCCCAATACTGGCACAGACTGTCCTTATGGAACTCTACGCTTAATATTTTCTACCTAGAAATGGACTTTTCTCTTTCTTTGATTTCCTATCTCTAATGCATTCAGTTTTGGAGGATAGCAGTAATTCTGTAAATAGTAGCAGGGACACCTCCCTATGGCTTTCTAACCTTTCTTAATTTCCTGACCCCGTCATTGAGCTTAGCTGTTGGGAGAAGTAGTGTGTGACCCAATACGGAATCCCTCATTTAAAATGGTTAAAAATGGCTCGGTGTGGTAGCTCAGGCCTGTATGCTCAGCATTTTGGGAGGTCAAGGTGGGAGGATTGCTTGAGGCCAGGAGTTTAAGACCAGCCTGGGCAACATAGTGAGACCCAGTCTCTACAAAAAGTTTAAAAAATTAACTGGGTTTGGTAATGCGTGACTGTAGTCCCAATTACTCGGGAGGCTGAGGCGGGAGTTTTGCTTGAGCCCAGGAGTTTAAGGCTGCAGTGAGCCATGATTGTGCCACTGCACTCCAGCCTGGGCAACAGAATGAGACCCTGTCTCCCTCAAAAAAAAAAAAAAAAAAAAAGGTTAAAAATATCTGGTAGCAGTTTTGAAAACTTTTCTGTTTTTGGCATTTCTGAAAACTCTGAATGAGTTAATCTCCTGGGAGGCCTAGAGAGAGTCTGTATGCACACAGCCCAGGGACAACCAGTATCCACAGCTGAGCAGGCTTCCTAATTTTAAGTTTTTGATGTGAAAACTTATCAGATATATTTATTTAATCCAAATCAGTCATGTTCTGGTTATCCATGGTTTACATGCTTACTTACCCCTCCAGAAAGAGAAAGACAGGCACAATTTTCCCCTTTCAGACAATTTTTTTTCCAAGTAGGTGACGTCTCTTTATCTATGTGTTCTATGATCCCACTTTTTTGTTTTTTTTTTTTCTTAGAGACAGGGTCTTGTTCTATCACCCGATCTGGAGTGCAGGTGTGATCATAGCTCACTGTAGCCTCAGACTCCTGGGATCAAGCTATCCTCCTGCCCAACTAACTGGTAGCTGGGACTGTAGGTGTTCACAACCATGCCCAGTTAATTAAATTTTTTTTTTTTTTTGAGACAGGGTCTCAGTATGTTGCCAAGACTGCTATTTTTTTTTTTTTTTTTGAGACAGAGTCTCACTCTGTCCCCCAGGCTGGAGTGCAGTAGTGCCATTTCGGCTCACTGCAAGCTCCGCCTCCCGGGTTCAAGCAATTCTCCTGCCTCAGCCTCCCGAGTAGCTGGGACTACAGGCGCCTGCCACACCATGCCTGGCTAATTTTTTGTATTTTTCGTAGAGACGGGGTTTCACTGTGTTAGTCAGGATGGTCTTGACCTTCTGACCTTGTGATCTACCCGCCTCGGCCTCCCAAAGTGCCCGGCCACTACTTTAAAAAAAAAAATTATGTTGTTCTAATTTGCTGTATATGAAAGAATCCTAGGCTTACAGCTTTACTTATGAGTTTGCTTGAAGGAGCAGCTTCAAAAAGGTGTGTAAAGGCCTCTAATGGGCTAAATGCACTGGAGCCTTGCATCTCTGACCTTGGACCCTTGGAAAATGGTGAAAGATGGCATAAAGGTAGTTAACTATAGCCCTTCCCACCTTTCCCTCTCCTGCTCTATGGACTGCAGGCACGCCAAGTGATGGAAAGAGAGTTCAATAACCTGTTGGCCTTGGGCACAGACCGGAAGCTGGATGACGTGAGTACCTGGCCATGAATTAGGAGCCTTGGGGATTTGGTCATCTTCGTTGGATTGAGGTTCATGAGTTCTGCCTTCCCTGGGCTAATTGTTGGAAGGCTAGTCTATGGGAGGAGAGCCAGAGGGGATGGGGATAATGTCAGGGGGTTGAGGAGGTGGACCAGCCCTAGAAGAACTTGTCTTGGGTAGTAATAGGCTGTCGAGAAGTCTCTGTGAAACTCCTGTGCAAAAGCTGAAGGCCCATGTGTTGTACTTCCAGCATCTTCCAATTCTGTGCCCCGCCTTCCTATCCACATAGGATCAAAGATTTTCCCCAAAGGCCATATCTTTGGGATCACACCTTTTTCTTAATCTCTCAGACCATGTATCTTCAGTGCTGAGCTCAGCACACCTCCAGCTTGCTCAGTAAGATTCCAGCCTGTCCTCCAGGAGTGTGGGTGTGTGGAGGCGGATGCCCTGCTGAGGTTGTTAAATGACAGGTTTGCTCTCTCGCTCCCAGTGCAGTCTGCACAGTTAAACACACGCTCGGGCTTTTACCATCCCAGCTTTCTCTAGTTTCACCCTTGGGTCTACCTTCACACCAAGTTAAAGTTTTCCTCTCTCTGCCCTCCTGGTCACTGAAGGAACAGTCCCTTGCACTTGATTTCATCAGGCATTCCCCTTGAGTTGAGGGAAGACCCTGGCATTCTAAGCCATATGGTCCCCTTTGAGATGCCAACCTAAGCATCCTACTGTTTTGTTTTGCACTGGTTTGCTGAGGTCATAGCCCCTCCTTGGCCCCCGCCTCCTCTTCCTCCCTCCTCACTTTCCTATCACTGCCCTTGCCTGTCAGGTCTGCGCTAGTTGATCTGGCTCCAAACAAGTTAAAAGAAAGCCCAGAGTGTGTGTGTTTTTCGCTGCTCTGTCTTCAGTCCAATCACTGTTTCTTAGTAGGGTTTAACAGGGCGAAAATCCACCTTTGTAGAAGGATTGCTCTGCCTCGGGGACACAGGGCACTATAAGGAATACACAGAATTTGTGGAAGTGTTTTCTTCACAGAGGTACCTTGAAGTTTGGGAGAAAAGAATAGACTTATATATGTATTTTTTTTGGTTATTTAGATACTTTAAAGGGGCTAAACTGGCAGCCCCCCCTCCCCCGACCCAGAGCTGTCCCAACTCTGATAGATCTGTTTTCCCAATGCCCCTGTGATATTGACCCTCCCACTAATTCCACATGCACTCAGGATCTCTGCTTTGTTTGTTGCTGTCTGGAGAAATGACTCCCATATATCTATTAGTGTGGTGCTGTCTAATTTAGAAGCTATGTAGTCCTTCAATCCTTACAAAAATATTCTTTGAATGCCTGCCCTGTGCCAGGCATTGTGCCAGGCATGGTGGTTAGTGATGACGATGTCTCACTTTATGGTAATGATCACCACATGAGATAGGTTATGATGCCCATCTTACAGATGAGGAAATTGAAGCTCTAAGAGGGAACTTACCTGCTGTGGCAGAGCAGGACCGAAGCAGATGCGAGTCTGATTTCTGAGCTCTTCCCCCTTGTTCCACTTCCTCTGGGAAGCTTGTGGAGCTATCTGGCCTATCAGCCTCCAGACATTGGGGTGGAGTTATTGTTTAGACATTGGGGTGCACATAGAGCTGTGCAGTGGAGTTTTTGGGATTCAACTAGGTGTGGGCTAGAGAGGAGGGTTTTTGTGGGAAGCGTAGAGTAGAAGCCAGGTCCTGAGAATAAGGCAAGATTTAGGGGTGAGGGGAGGGTCTGGGGTCCAAGGAGACTGCTTCCTGTCCAACTGTCTAGCACATCATCAGCAACCTTGAGTTGTCTCTTGCAACCACACCCTCTGCTGATTTTGGTACTTAGTGTCCCTTCTCAAGCTTCAAGGCTCTTAAGGGCGGTATCCAGTTCTCCCTGCATATGGAGATGAGGACTCAAGGGAAATAAGGAAGAGGGGAGCAGGAAGGAATAACATCTGACTGTTAGGGGACAGGGGAGGAGTGCAGAAACAGGTCCTTAGGGTTGGCTGAAGGTGGAAATGGAGATAAGGGGAAGGCGGGAGAGAGAAAAGAGGCTCTGGGCTAGGGTAAGAGCAGGATCATGGGGAGGACAGCAGTGACAAGGGAAGTTCCTAACAAACTCAGGAATGGGACTCCTGCATAAAGAGCCAGCTGCCACCTATTCATTTAATGAATATTTTTATTGAGTGCCTAATGTGATCCCAGGCACTGCTCAGAGGTTGGTGATACATTGGTTGGAGCAAAAAAGGTTATGGTTTCTGCCCCATGGAGCATAGAATTTGAGAGAAAGAGCGAGAAAGAAAGTGAAAGGCATGGAGGTAGGGAGAAGGGAAGGAGGTGAGAAAAGGAGGAGGAAAGAGATACAGTCATGCATGGCTTAATGATGCTTAGCTACGGGGATAAGTTCTGAGAAATGCATCATTAGGCAATTTGATCACTGTGTGAACATCACAGAATGTACTTACACAAACCTAGGGGGTATAGCCTATTGCACACCTAGGCTATATGGTATAGCCTGTTGCTTCTAGGCTACAAACCTATACAGCTTGTTACTGTATTGAATACTGTTGGCATTTGTCAGTATTTGTATATCTAAACATAGAAAAGGGACAGTAAAAGTATTATAATCTTATGAGACCACCACTGTATATGCCATCCATTACTGACTGAAACATTATGTGGTGCATGACTGTATTAATGAAATAATCTCATAAATATATATAAAAATGCTACTAGGATGAGTGCTGTGACCGAGAGGTACATGGTGCTGAGAATTTATCAGAGCATTTGACCCACTTGGCACACACAACAAACCCTAGCGGGGAAGGGCTGGGAGGGGTTGTTGAGGCAAGAACAGGTGGGTGAATGTCCATTGTTCCTGCTAGTCCCACTCTGCCTGCATCAGCTCTGAGAACATGGGGTGGAGGGAGATTGGGCATGGCTTCCAAGCAGGGTGGATAAAGGCTCTGAAGTGTGGGGTGGGGAGGCCTGTGCAGAGGGGGATCCTGTAGGGTTGTGGCCCTGGGTGCCCTGTGGCAGAGATGGTTATTTTGGAGACATGGCTGGCATGGGTGAGGGGGGCAGGTGGCAGGGGGCTGCCTGCCATGTCCTTTGGAGGAGACTGCATCTGCTTGGTGGTCTGCCTGACCCATCCCTGTTACAGGGTGATCTCATCTGATCCCATTAGTGGTAGGCAGCCTGAGAAACAGGTAGGGCAGATGTTATTATTCTCATTTTACAGATAAGGAAACTGAGGCTCAGAGGGGTCACTCACCTGGTACAGGGTCACATAGCCAGTAAAATGGCAGAGCCAGGATTAGAAGCCAGGTGTCTGACTCCCGCCCGACATAGTACTCTTCTGGTATACTGGGCTACAGCCATTCGGAGGCCCCAGAAGGACAGGACAGTGTGTATAGGGACCGGCTGTCACCTCCCATGGGCTGAGGCAGAGGAATGCCTTGAAAGGTGAATGGTCATGCCAAGCCTACTTTGAGAAGATTGCGGTGGGCTGGGAAACAGTTCAACTGCAGGATGGCAGACCCAACAAGACTCTCCCCCGCCCCACACACCCCCTCCATCCGCCACCCAGAGACAGGGAATTTCAGAGTCGCAGGGTTTCCCGATTCACTGTACAGATGGAAAAACTCAAGGCTAGAAAGGGGAAGTGACCTCGCTCCCTCTTTCCAAAGGGGTGGGAGTGGTGCCCCTTGAACCAGCAGCGACTGGCCCCCTCCAGGCAGGGCGTGAGGATGGCAATTCCAACAGGGCCCTCGGGCCTCTGGTGTCCCCCATGGTGCAGGGGGATGACAAGGTGTTTCGCCGCGCGCCCTCCTGGAGGAAGCGCTTCCGGCCGCGGGAGCACCACGGTCGCGGCGGCATGCTCAGCGCTTCCGCGGAGACCCTCCCGGCGGGCTTCCGTGTGTCCACCCTGGGGACCCTGCAGCCCCCACCGGCCCCGCCAAAGAAGATCATGCCTGAAGGTGAGTAACAGGCGGGCTGGGCATGGCCGAGGCCCAGCCGAGCGCGGGCTTCTTCCTGGCACCCCAGGGCCGGGCCGGGTGGAGAGGGGCGAGGCCGAGGCTGGTGCCCCGCGCTCCTGCGCTGCAGCTGCACTAACGCTCCGCGGGGAGCGTGTGTGCGCACTAACCCGCCGCTCTGTGTGTTCTCCCGCGGCTGCCGACTTCTCCCAGCTGGGACGGCGGGGTCGCAGAGACTGGAGACCTCCACGGTTCGGACCTACTCCTGCTGACCCCCCATCCTCCCGCCCCGGGTCTGACGGGGGAGTGCCCGTGGCTCGGGGTAAGTGGGCCAGGCCCGGGGACGCGGGCACCTTGCTGCTGGCCCTCGGCCCCACGCACCTGCCCTTGGCTGCCGGCCTGGCCCTGCCGCTCCAGTCCCGCTTACCAGCACTGCCTGGCTTGCCCCTTCCTGCTTCGTCTGGCCTGGGGCGCTTTGCGCTTGGAGCACGCTGCGTTGCCGCTGTCGCACACATCCTACAACCTCTCTCGCAGATGCCCTGCAACCTGCCTCACAGTGCGATGCCTGTCTCTCTCTCTCCCTCAGCTCACTCCCACTATCTCTACGGACACATGCTCTCCGCCTTCCGGGACTAGCCATGGCCCCCAGGGCTGGCTTCCTCCTTCTGGGTTTCACAGGCTCCTCTGGCCCTGACCCCTCTTGCTCGTTCCCCTTCCTTCCGCAGCTCCTAGTCTCGTCCGTGACTTTCCGGTTGCCCTGGATCTCAGAATATATTCGTCCACCCCCTCGGCACCCCATTACCCCGAGTCCCACCGTGTGTCCGTTGTAAGTCCGGTGGATGTGGCTGGGGTTTCCTGGTATTGTGGAGGCACCCAGGTTGTCCATGCTTGGGATTCTGGGGGAAGGAGAGAAGGGCAGCTCAGGGTGGATGTGAAGCCACCCTTCCTCTTCTGGACCCAGCCTGGTCTGCACTGCAACCTCCACCAGGACCAGGATCCTGGGCCACAGGCTGGGATGGTCCTTCCAAGAAAGGGTCATTTCAGACGCAGCCCTGCTTGGGCTATTCAATCTTAGGGTGTCTATCCACGTCTGGCTGTGCCAAATGGTCTGGCAGCTGGTTTTGGCATCCCCAGCATCACCACTCTCCCAACCCATCACCGTGACTGCAGTTCCTGCCCCCATTCTCTTGGGGTCAGGGAGGGGCTGGGAAGGGCTACTGAAGGCCCCATTCTCCCACAGGATGGTGAGGCTGGGAGGAGGAAGACTGAGGTAGAGATTCCAGGCCCTGGCATAAGCTGAATCCCAAATTTGAGTTTGGGAAGAACCAGAGAGAAATGGATCCCTGAGCTCTGAGCCAAGGGTGAGGATGGGGAAACTCTAAGCTCCCACCTAATAAGAAGCATAGGCAGACCAGCCAGAGGGAGAGCCAATGGCCTCTGGTAGCCTTAAGCCCAAAGGGCAGTGGGAATGTCCCCTGCCCCAACCATCGGGTGGAGCTCCTGCTGGGCTATGGGGAAGGGAGGTTGTGCGGATCTTGACTCTAGGGCAGAACAGATCTAACCATGCATTGCTAGCTCTGCTCCCAGCATCCCTTCCCCTTCTCTCCTCCTCTGCCTCACTTCTTTAGTAATCCCAACCCTATAAAAATGAACCTAATGGGTGGATTGAATATACATTGAGCCCAAAGTCAAGTTTGGGGAAAAGGCAGACTAAGGCCTCCTTTCTCTGACCTCCCAGGAAGAAAATAGCTTCTCCTACAGTGATTCATGTCCCAGGTCCAGGAAATCCAATGTTGGTGAAGGCAGCCACTCTCTTGCTTGTCCCCAAATCACCTAACCCTCATCCAGGGCTATTTTGGTGGGCAGGGACTGCCTCCTCCCGGAATTCCTAAGATCCGCCCAGCTGCCACCATTTTCATTGCTTTCCCCAGCAGCATGATGGGAACCCAAGCTGAGGGATACAGGTCCTGATTTGGTAGGAATATTATTCCCAAGAAATACCCGCTCCTCACCTACTCCCTCATCCTACCAAGGTGCCTGAAAATGTTCAAGACTTATGTTCAGGGTGGGATGATGGAACCGAGGGCTTCATCAAAGTGAGAGGAAAGGAAAAGCATCTGGCATGTGTTTCTTGGATAGGGGCCAGTGCAGTGCCATCCTACAGGTGGCTGGAGCAGCTGCTTTGCAACCTGATCACCTTGAGTTCTGAGCAGGGACTAGGCTTGCAGGTGAGATAATGGGCCAGGGCACCCAGTCCAGAAGGAGCAATGGCACCTGGGCAGTGCCAGGGCTTAAAGCCCGCTGCTCCTTTTCGGTAGAGGAGAGGCCCATCACTGGTGTGGTGGGGTGGGCTCTCCCTTAGGCTTGGGCAAGGCAGCCACCTGCCCTTGCTCTCCCTTAGTGTTCCCTGGCCTCCCTGCCATCAGGTTGCTGGGAGTGGAGATGGAGGGATTATTGAGCAGAAAATGAGTTGGATGGAGATAAACAGCTCCCATCCCTGGGTAATGGATGGTAAGATGATGGAGATTCCTAAGATTGGTGGAGTTGGGCAATGCATAGCCATCTGACTCCTTCAGGGTGCTCTTGATGGGCTGGCTGTAAGGGAGACTCAGTCCCAGCCTCTCCCCTCTACAACTCCTGCCACTGTTGGCCATGTCGTAAGGCAGCAGCTGTGCCAGGATAGCTGGGTCCATTCAGAGCACCTTGAGAAGTGTTGCAGGGAGGTGTTAAGAAGAGAACTCTGTGCAAACAGTGATGGAAGGCTGTTGTCTTGGTGTATCCCTTGCCTCATAGTCAATATATTTTTTTTTTGGCGAGTCACCAGTGACCCGAGCCCTCCACACCAGCCTCCTGTATCTCATCAGGTCCCTTCTCAGTACTGTATTTGCTCAGTGCATCAGGAATGGGTGTATGGGTGTGTGTGGGTGGGTGTGAGTGTGGGTGTGTACGTACCAATAAACAACCTGGTTTTAAGACAATGTACAAATGGCCTCCAGTCTTTTTTTTTTTTTTTTTTTTTTTTTTTAACTCTGAACTCACCTGAGATTTCCAGCTTCTTTCACAGTTGTAAAGGCTGCTGTACTCTGGAAGGAAATGTCACAATTTTCAGAACTTGTAGTCAATAACTATTTATTTATATAAGCACAGGACTGATAGATTAATGTTTGGGTTGCATGTGCCCAGTAGGTAGAGGACCAGATAAGGAGAGAGGAAACTGATGTCTTCCTTCATCTCGCTCACCTGGTCAGGCTGTCACCCTTTCCTGCTGCTCCTGGAGTTCCTTCTCCTGAATGCCCCTTGGTCACATCACTCCACCGTTCCCACTTTCAGCAGCTGCCAGCACCTCTAGATCAGAGTTGCAGTTCCTCCTCAGTGTGGCCTAAGAAGCCATTCATGACTTGGCTCCTTCACCTCTCCTCCTCCCACCAGTTTCAAGTCCACCTAACTCAGAAACATGGTGTCCACCCAACCCCATCACCAGAAGGCAGCATGACTGCTTCTGTCCTTACCTTTGTAGTTTTAAGCCATCAAGACCACTTCAAGCATCACTGGGGAGGCATCACCTACCTCTCCCCAGCAGAACTAGTTAACCAGCAACCTCTGCTCTCCAGACATTCTGTACACTGCACAGGCTGGGCAGTGATTGCCTCCCACGCTGGGCTGTGAGTTACCTCCTTTAGGGCAGTCTTGTTGATCTCTCCATCCCTAGGTGTATATCTTCAAATGAATAAATGCACCAGCCTTCTCTCAGAGGGTTGTATAAGGATTAATATTAGTAAAAGCTAAAAATTACTGAGTACTATTGTTTGCCAGACACTGTTCTAAGCATGGTAAATATATTAACTCATGAATCCTCACAATTCTGATATATTCTCAGCATTTTGTAGAACAGGACATTTTAAGACTAAGATAATACAGCTGGTAAGAGACAGTTGTGGGTCTCAAACCTAGGCCTTCCTGACTCCGGTGCCTTGTCCTTAACTATGATATGTATGTTCAAACTCCTGACCCAGTGCCAGGAGTATTTATCATTTTTTTTTTCATTAGGAGTAGCATGATGAAAAGCAATGCTTATCGAATGTTGCTAGCTTCTCTTTTAAGTGAACTCAAGTCCCTGCCCCTCAACAAGCCTTCCCCAGCTACCCAGCTCCCTTTCCCTGACTCCTTTGTGTGAACAACTCATGTGGTCTTTGGCTGCTGTGAATCTTTGGGGGGCTGTGTTTCCCCTGCTCCCCTGAGTGGTGAACTCCCCTTCGTGTAGCACAGTGCACCATGCATCCTGTGTCCTCTTTAAGGCTGATGGTGCCCCAAACATGGATGGAGCAAGGACAGCAGAGTCCATGGGCACAAGTGACAGGAGGGAGTGGGACAAGGCACCCTGGACACAGCCCAGGGAGGGAAAACAGAGGTGAGGGAAGGTACTGGCCCTGTGCCTGTAGGCCTCTGGGGGTCCCTTGCTACCCTCTCCAGGATCAAAGGTAAAATTGATGAACCTTGGTGACTGGCTGGCTATGGGAATGAGATCTTCACTGAAGGGATCCAGGAAAACTATGACTTCCTTGTGCTGCCTTCCACTGGGACAGGAGATATAGACGGAGCCGACTTATGTGTAAATGGGAGTTTGATTTTGGACATCCTGGGCTTGAGGTGAGAACTGGACATCATGGTTCCATCCGCACTTGTAGGAAAGAAGAATCTAGGTGTCTTTCCTAGAACCCTTTCCTTTGCTCCCTCTAGGAATGCTCCAAGCAGTGAGGGGCAGGGAGTCTGGATCCGAGTGGGGACCTGTGGCAAAGGGGGACAGGGATGAGGCACAGCCAGAATCGTGGAGGGGCTGTGATTGGAGTTTCTATCCAGGACTGGGTTGAGCTTCCTTAGCCAAAATCCTGGCTCAACCTGAAGTCTTCCAGGCCCACCCTCAGGCTTTTCTGCCCAAGCCTGGGGCCCAGAAGCCCGGGGAAGCCCAAGGAACCTAACATGTTGGGGTGGCGTTTTACCCAGGAAACAGATACCTGAGCTGAGGGGTATCTTTTCCTCTCACCCTCCACCATCCCTCTGCCGCCTCCCTCTCCAGTTGATCCACCCCATCTACACCTGTAGCACTTAAGAAGGTTTTCCAGTCTACCAAATAAATTACTCTGGGAGGTTAGATCCCTAGGAATGCTTATCGGAGTGCCACAAGTAGTACTGTAAGCGTTCAATTCACACCAATTATCTAAGCACTCGAAGAAGTTCCTATTTACACACCAACAATTGGTATGCCAATTTTAAGTAATATTTATCTTTTCATTGTAGTGGATTCCCTAAAGTCCATTATTAAGCAACATTTGATTAATACAGTTTGATTTATTGTAGGTGCTTCCAACTAAAGAACAAATTTGAGCTAATCTCCCTAAAGAACTCCAACTCATTATTCATTAATTGGAGTCTTTTCTGTAATTCTGTTGTGAAGATTAAGCATTTGCTAATTTAAGAAAGTCCCCATGCTTCGATAACAATTGTTTATTCTGTGAAAATAACGAGTGAGGCTGGCCTGCTGCTTAGCAGAGTTTGCCATTCACACCTGTGGAATTCTAGCAAACTGTTTTTCCCTTAAGGACTTAAAGACATGAAAAAGTAAGTAGACAGTGACTACAGTGCTGAGGACTGTTCATTCTTTCCCGAGTCTGAATGTGACCCTCACTGTCTAATTGTCAGGATAACTGAAGAGGAGCAGACTTAAAAAATATATCCAGCAGCCCCAGAACCTGTCCTTCAGCAGAGCTGAGTGCCTTCCTTGGCCAGCCCTTCTTATCCCAGTAAGAAGGAGGGCAAGGGATGGGCAGGTCATAGCTGCAGGGGAGAGGGTGGTTTCCACCCTGGGAGTGTGGGAGGTGCCAGGGGCAGAGGAAATGAACTTGAAGGGAGACGATCCTCCATGAATGTGTTCTGAGTATTTTCGGAGGGTAATAAGGGAGTGAATGTAGATTCCAGAGCCAAGGCACTGCAGCCCACCCAGTTGCCCTCCTCATTCCCCAGGGCAGTGAATCAGGGCTAAGAGTCATGGAAATGACCTTGGTCTTCCTCTCCAGCCCCTCCAAGGGGGAAAGACTAAACTCAGTGATACCAACTTGAAAAGAAGAAAATCCCACCAATGGGAGCAGAGTAGGCCAATTTGCAATTCCCAATAAGCCCTGCCTGACTGGTTTGGGACAAGCAGGCAGTGGGGGAGACCCTCCCTTCTGCACCCTCGCCTGAGTTCTGGGAGCCTCCAGAGGCTTCTTCTGATTCTTTTCCTTAGGCAGAGTTTCTGAAGAAACTCGGGGGGCACAGTGGTAACTCTCCTCTCCAGCAGTAAGGTCAGGAGGGTGGGTGTGGGAGAGATGGCCCAGCTGAGCCCGGAGCTGGTGCAGGGTGGTCGCTAGAGCCTCAGGCAACACTGGGTTAAGTCCGTTGTCAAGGGCCCCGAAGGATTAAGCAGGGCTGGAACGTACCATGCTCTGAATCCCTGCTTCGGTGATGATTCTGAAACTTATAATTTGCAATAAATCTGATGAACTTAGCCCCAGGCAGTTGGAATTAATAAAGTTTTCAGTAGATGTCCATGTTCCGTTTGAATTCTAGCTCCTGTTAACTCCCCAGTTAATCCTCATGTAATGTCTACCCAAAAATCTCTGTTCTCAATTTCCCACCCACCTTCTAACCTCAGGAAGCTAATGTTTGAAAATAGCACCCCAAATGAAGAGAACCCCAGCTTCTCTTCGATTGTTCTTTGTGGACCCCTTTACCCTCCCCGAGCTAAATCTGAATCTCCTTCATGCTGGGAGCTGCAAGCAGGAACCACAATCCCCTTCGGCCTGAAGGGAATGGAGGAGAATGGGGAGGGGCCATGCTATTTGGCCCGCAAGGAAATGACAGTGTCTGATCCCCCTTCCTCACCTCCCACTTCTCTACAGGGCTCCTGGTATTGTGACACCAGGGCAGAGGTGGGGACTAGGGAAGGGAAACCACAACTTCTAGCTCTGCACCTTGGCTGTGGGCTGAGCACTGGGCTTACGAGGTGCTCAGTTAACTGAAACCAGCGGACCTGTTGGGACATAACACAGAGCACAGCAGCCTGTGAGCAGTGGCTTTGAAGTATAGTCATAGCCAGTTGTCCTCCGTGTCCCACAAGGATGTCTGTGGAATCTGGTCTCCACCTAGACTGAGGTCCAGACATGCTCGATTTCCTTTATCATGGTGAAAAGAGCAGGGGTCCCCAGTGCCTAGTGACCACCAGCAAGATGAGGCCCTTAGCGCTGTGGAGCCCCACCCACTAGGGTGTGTCTGGACTGCTCAGTGGGAAGGGGCAGGGCTGTCAGTCATTTCCCTCCCTCTGCATCATCACCGACACTCTTCTGGCAACCAGTCTTTATTCATTTTTTAAAAAAGGAAATCCAAATAAGTTAGCAAAAAAAAAAAAAAAAAAAAAAAATACAAAACAATGGCAAAACCACACAATGCTTTGTTAACAAAAGAAATCACCCCCAAGAGGCCCCAACCCCTTTTCCCTGCCTGTCCCCGGCAACTTCAGCACAGGAGACCTTGGTCGGATGGCAGCTTTACAAACAACACACGAAACAAAACAAAACATAAAACCACTGGAAGGTTCCCAATATTCACTGCAAAAGTTTGGCCCCCCAGGGACTTGGGAACAGAGGGCTGTTCCTCTCCCCTTCTTCTCTCTCAATTCAGGGCAGGCCCAGCCCAGCCACTGGCATCGGGAAGAGACCAGAACAGGAGACGTGCACAGCTTGTCCAGGTCAGGGCACTGCGTCTCTCAAACCGTTTCACTTGGGGGGTGGAATTAGAGGCCGCGTTATGATAAAAAGGAAGCTCCTGAGTTTGCCCCCTGAGCTGGGGCATACACGAGGGGGCGCTCTGGTCCCCTGCTTTACCTCCCTGGAAAGGGGATGCCCTCTCCTCTAAGGAGGCAGCTGAATGAGGGCGTCCAGTCCCTTGCTGGGGGGTGGGTTAACCTTACATGGATGAGGAAGGGGATAGTCTGGCCTATGGCACCCCAGAGCTGGCTTCCTAGCATCAGGGCAGCCTGGCTTAGGAGGCCCCTGCTACAGAAGTAGTGGCATCTGTGGCCAGCTTGGGGGGCTCGCAAGGATGCCCGGCTTGGAAGACAATCTCAGTTGGGCATGGTTTCATCTGGGAAGGCCACAGACACATCTTCCACTGTGATGCTGTCCACGATGGAGGTGAGGGAGTGCAGGTTGTGGGCATCTGTAGGGTCAGCCGTGAGCAGATGATCTGTAAGGGGAGGTGGGAAGGTGGTACCTGGGTGAGCAGTGGGGGTTCTTGAGGCCCAGAATAGAGGATGGGACCCTTGGGGTGACAGAGGTTTTCCAGGACAGATGAATGACAAAGCTCCGGAGTTCTACTCCCTAGTCCCTGCCTTTCCCCATGCTCTGTGAGTGTGTGTGTGTGTGTGTGTGTGTGTGTGTGTGTGTGTATGCGCCTCTTTTCTGAACTCCCCTAGTAGGTAGGGTTTGGAAGCAGCCACTCAAGTTGGAGCAGGATGGAGCTCCCCAGAGACTGGACCTGCCCTTTGCTCGGCCCAGTTTTGCAGCACTGACTCAGCACTTCACAGGGACCCCTGGGGCAGGGACATTGTCCTCTCTGTGGAGAAGGTCAACCACCAGGCATCAGCTGGGGAGCTGCAGGAGCTACTATCACTCCTTTGCTGGTCAAGACTGCAGGGGCACACAGAACCTCCCAGCCCACCCTTTGGGCCTTGGAGTCAGCAGGTCCCTAGAGAGACCCAAGGGAAGAGGACCGGAGCAAGGAATAAGGTAAGAGGGGAGAACCTGGCCCAGGGAGGGACTGAGGGATTGGAGCCAAGGTTACCAGTCAGGCCTTACTTACCCCCTGGGTTGGCGCTGAACTCCAGTGCACTGCCCCACTCTGGACTGCAGGAGGCGCTGTGAGAGCTGCATTCGCTGGGCACCTGCAAGACAGGGCGAAGGCCCAAGGTCGGGGCACAGCCATTCTTTGATGTCTCTCTCTGCCTAGTCCCAGTGGGCAGAAGTACCTGTGGTGGGGTTGGAGGGTGGGCCACAGGCTGTGGCCTTCCAGCCCAGGCCATCCCCAACCCCAGAATCTTTGTAACTAGCTCCTCTCACACCCCAGAGGCCCTGCTTCCAGGCCTTCCTGGCTTCCATCCTGGGTGGTGGTTCTGCTCTCACAGGACACCAGCTTAAAGGGGTCCCTGGTTCTCCTGACTCTGGCGATAAGGGTGATGGAGACAGATTTTGTGGCCCAGTGAAGGTCGCTCTGTGCAGGCCTGCTGGAGTTCCAATGAGACTGAGTGGGTTTTCTCTCTGCTCAGCCACACCCAGGATGGGGGCAAAGCAGTCTTCTCTGGTGAACTTGGCCTGGCCTTTTAGGCTCTGACTCAGGCGCTGGGATTAATCCTCACCCTCACCTGGGCTGACTGTGGCCTTGCTCCTGATCTTTCTTCAGTCCTATGTTCCCCACCCCAACCCCTTCTGCACTTCCTCCCCACTGCCTTTATCTTGTCTGGAAAGAACACAGGACACAGGAGGTCAGCTGGATAGCCCAGCTCTGACCAGGGAAGGGCTCCTGCAGCCCCTCGACCCTGTCTGGCACCTGCACCAACCCTCTGAGCCCCTCTTGGGGTCTTGAGGCTGTCCAGGTGCCTCCCTCTGGCCCCGTCCCCTTGGGGCAGGGGGATGGGATGGCCACTTACCCCTGGCTGGGGCCCGCCCCCGCCCCGGTAGCGGAGGTCACGCTCCTCCTGGTTGAGGGAGCTGAGCAGGGCCTGGAGGCGCTCGATGTACTGGATGGCACTGCGCAGGATCTCCACCTTGGGCAGCCGCTGGTTGGGGTTGAGCAGGGTGCTTCTCTTCAGGGCCTCGAAGGCCTCATTCACCTTCTTGAGCCTGCGCTTCTCCCTCAGTGTGGCCGCCCGCCGCCGGTCCACGGACACCGACTTCCTCTTACACACCTTACACGCCCACGGCAGGCACTGGCCTGGACAGTGCTCGGGGGTCCCCAGCCCCTTGTCCTCAAGGGGCCCTGGGGCCTCGGGGCTCAGGGTGAGCTCCGTCCGCTCGTAGCCTGGTGGTTCGAAGCCCTGGAGGTGGACAGGCAGGTAGTTTTCCCCATCATAGAAGCGGGGTTCCTGGTAGAAGTAGGGGGATGTCTCATACAGCTCCATGGGGTCGGAAAAGGCTTGTTCCTGCCACCAGCCCCCAAGCTCCAGCAGCCCCTCACGCCAACTGCTGGGTGCCATTTAAACCCTCCCCGCTGGCATGGAACCAGAGATAAATATAGCCAACGCCACAGAAACCTGAGCCCCCTCTAAGCTGTTGCTGCACATCAAGGCGTTTACAGTGGATTAGATGTGATTCCCCTTCTTTCTCCCGCATGGCCCCCACCCCACCCTGCCAGCCTGCCCCTGGCCCAGGCGGGCTCCTGTGCACGGGTCGGGAGGCCGTCGGGTGTAATTTGATTAGTTTTCATTTCTCAGCAGCCCCTGTGGGGCAGGGGCGTTGGGGGAGGACACATTCCCCTCTCATCTGCTCCTTTCAATTACTCCTAGCTGGGCGGCCTGCCTGCTGTCTCCTTGCAGTCCCGAAGAAGCTGGTGGGTATAGGGGGAGGAGGGAACAAGGAAGGGTAGGCTTAGGCTGGAAGGGGCCTTAAGAGCCAACTTATCCATCTCCTTGCTTCCTGACAGCACCTTAACCACACTACATCAGTCGATGAGACTCTTTTAAAGACTTCCCTCCGGAAAGAATGGGACTGCTTCAGATTCTGGGCATTCATGGGCACTCAGTATCCAGGGATAAGAAGGATCAAGACTCAGAGCAGCTAACAGATTCCACTTTTGGGGTTCCCAAGCAGCTTTGAGCTGTATGTTCTCTTAGGTCTCATCTGGGGGGGTAAATTGAGGCAAGAGAAATTATTTGGGTTTTGGTTTTCTTGGCAGGGGTAAAGAGAAATTTCCTCTTTAATACAGCAGCCGTGGTCAGAGCAGAGATTAGAATTTACAGCCTACACGTTGCCACCTTCCCCAGAGCGGCAAGGTCAAGATGTCCTAAGCTCCCTGTCTCCTCCCTGTCTCACTCCGGACCATTGATCTGTCCTTCTATGTTACCTCCTCAACTCTTTTTCCAACACCAGAATTTTCCTGGCTCATTAATGTGGACGGGGGTGAAAAAGTAGAAAAAACAGAGCCCTTCAAACTCAGTTTAAATCTCCTCTCTCCTTGGCCACCGGGCTTGGTTGTTCTGCCTCTTACTGTCTGAGCCATCAATTTTACACGTATCATGCAGGTCTCAAATGTCAGGTAGAGCAGGGACTATTTAATCTTCAGGCCTCTCAGGCCATGGTCACCTCTCAGTAGGTGCCTCAGGGTCTGAGAGGACAAATTCCTTCCAATGCAGTGGGCAGACCTTAGACACTAGCAGTGAACAAGGCTCAGTCTTAGGGCTGGGGATTATAGGGACACCCCAGACAGGATCCCTGCCCTCGAACTTACCATCTGATAGACAACGGTGATCACCTCTTTCTACCTAGCCCCTGATGCCCAAATCTCCTCCGAGGCGGCTACTGTTCAGCTTCTGCTCACGTCAGGAGACAGCCCGTTCCATTGACGTGTAGCTTTGGGCTGCAATCTGCTCCCTCTATCTTTTATCCTTTGTTCCCAGTTTTTTCCTCCCCATAGACTAATGTCCTGCTCCTTATCCTACGACAGATCAAACTGACAAGTTCAAGCCAGTGGCAAGGACAATAAGAGGAAGGGGAACCCTGCTGGGGACTCATGGGAGACTTCACAGGGAACATGAGATCTGCGAGGCATGTGAAGAACCAGTGTTCCTTCCTCTCATTATTCACAGCAGGGAGCCAGGAGAATTCTGATGTCCTTTTGGGACAGGAAATGGAGGGAAGGAGGGAACATAGCTGGACAACAAAAGAACCCTAAGCATGTTGAGGGAGAGCAGTGAGGTCTTAATTCTGTTCTTGGCCTTACCAGCATGATAGAAAGTAGCAGCATAGGCCGGGCGTGGTGGCTCATGCCTGTAGTCCTAGCACTTTGGGAGGCCAAGGCGGGTGGATCACGAGGTCAGGAGTTCAAGACCAGCCTGGCCAAGATGGTGAAACCCTGTCTCTACTAAAAATACAAAAATTAGCCAGGCATGGTGGTGGGCACTGTAATCCCAGCTACTTGGGAGGCTGAGGCAGGGAATTACTTGAACTCAGGAGGAGGAGGTTGCAGTGAGCCGAGTTCGCACCACTGTACTCCAGTCTGGGTGACACAGCGAGACTCTGCCTCAAAAAAAAAAAAAAAAAAAAAAAAAAAAAGTAGCAGCATAGGTACTGTGTGGGTTCTAAACTTTGCTTTCCCCTGACCAGCTGGGCTGAAGAAGAGTCTCTATTTCTAACACATCCCCTGCCAAACAAAAAAGAAAAAAAAAGCCTCAGTTTACCCTCCAGTCCTATGAGCCCTGAGAAAAGAAGTCATGTTGAAGCCACTATAGGAACCCCCATATTTGCATCTTTTGTTATTCCAGGATCCAGTGTGACTTACCTCTAAATAATGTGTCTTCTTCCTCTAAAATGGAGGCAGAGCTGGCTTGCTCTATGGTGGTTTCCAGACCTTACTGTCTAGTTGGTGAGCATGGGTTGACATGTGAAAGCTGGATTACAAGACAAGGGAGAGCTATGTTGATTCTACAGCAAACATGGGGGCTTTAATCAATTGCAAACCAGTAGTTTCTTCAAAAGCGTTTTGGGAATTTTTGGGAAGCCAAAACTGCTGAAGACTGGTGCTCTGCAGAAGGCTTGGGGAGCATGCTGGGCCAGCTCTTGGAGAACTGGTAGGATTCAGATGAGGAGAGGGGAGCAGGGGAAGGGGACGTTGGGTAGGCTGTTTGTATGGAGCTTGGGGTTCAGGTAAGGGGGTGATTTGAGACAAACTTGCACAGAGGGGAGGAGGCCCAGCTGGGCAGGGAAGGACTTGAGAGCTGAGGCAAGGAGACCGCACAGAACAGTGTGATGGTCATCCAGGAATGAGATGATGAAGGTCTGAACAACCTCTTCAGAGGCAGGAGGATGGATTCGACTGGGAGAGGGTGCATGTTTCAGGCTAGCAAAGGATGGCGAGTATGCAAGCAATAGGGGAATGGCTGTATTAAATGATAGGGTACTTGGCACATGGATACACCTGGTAAATGTTATTCCCTTTTCTTGCTTTGTCTTCTCTTCTACTTCTGTGTGCCCTGCAGGGGACCACAGCAGCAGGAATGGAGGAGGGAAAACCTGGCTCCACCCCGAATGTGTTTATTCATTCATTCATTTTTTTTTCTATCAAGTACTGTGCATTCAGCACCTTGTGCCAGGTGCTGGGGTTACTAAGACATGCCCTCTCTGCCTTCAGCATGTTCACTGATGAGTAAGGAGAATGAGTACACAAAGTCATCTAACCAAGGTAGAAACAGCAGGCTAGAGAAAGTGCTGACGTAATCCAGAGAAGGAATTTATTAATTCACTCCTTCATCTGCTCAACACATATTTACTGAGAACCCACTCTGTGTCAGTTCCCTGGCTGGGACCTGACCTGGGGCAAGAGCAGTGCCTAGACTCGGCGCTTGCCTGCAGAAGCTCTGTTGGGCATGCATTTGGCCTTGTGTCTGGATGATGTTTGCCTCTGACCAAACATGAGGGCAGAGCCGGGAGGTTAGGGTGACCTTGTGTGCCTGGTTTCTGTGAATCCCTGTCTCTGTGTGTGTTTGTGTATGTCTGAGTACAGTGGTTTGGGGACCACGTCAAAGCCCGATGTGGGGCACAGACCCTCTTGGTCTGAGCTGATAGAGTGACCCAGGTGTCTTTGACCTGTCCATACCCTGATGGGGGGGATTGGCCCTGTACCCATCTTGTTCTTCTCTCAGAGCCGAGCTGTGGAGACGCCTCATCTAGAGGCTTGGTCCTCCTCCCCTTGTACACCCCTCCACCCCCACAAGCTGCCCTCTGATGGATGGGAACACATTGGTGCCAAGCACAGAACAGCCTTTGTGCTCCGCCACCAGCGGCAATCCATCAGCTCCAACCTGACAGCAGGGCGTCCGGCCCTAATCCCCATCCCTGCTGGCTTGGGCACACAGGGCCCCCTGCCCTGACTGTAGCCTCCTCCTCCAGCAGTCCTGCGCCCTCCAGAGGAAGCCCTTATCCCCTACTGGGGCTCCAGGGCCACATTGTTGGCTCCCCAACCCTGACTGTTTCAACTTGATTCTGTCTATTTGCACGCTGGGCTGATGTCATTTGCATGGTAGCGGCTGGATTTCAAAATGCTCAGAAATCCCCTTCACCTGCTCCCTGCTCCTTACTACCCCTTCTGCTGCACACCCAGTCACAGCCCTCTGGCCTTCAGCATCTTCTAGTCCCTGCTGATTTTGCAGGTGGGCTGACCTGGGCTGCCATGGTGCTTGGCTAAAATCAAAGCAATTTTTCCATTCTGGATTCTCATGTGCTTGGGAATAGAGGAGCAAGAAGGAGAAGGGTCTGGAAGGGTGGGGGCCTCTGGCTGCTCCAAACAGGTCTCACCATATATTTTCCTAGGCTGGGTCTCTGGGTATTATTGATGAGGATGAGGTCGGGGGTGGGGGGGGGTGGGGGGGGGTGGCAAATGCTTGTGCATTTCAATAGGACATAGATGCATAAAAATTACATGCAAATCAGCATTGATTATTTGTGGGGCAGTAGCTTTGCAGCAAGATGAGAACAGATCACAGAATCACAGAAAGTCAGAGCTGCAAGGCAGTCTAGAATCCACTAGTCCACCTTCTTCCTCCACATATGGGGAAATGGAGGCCCAGAGAAGGGAAGTGACTTGCCCAAGCGTACAGAGGATGAGTGTCAGAAGTGTGAAGGGTGCCTGTTCTGAATCCCAGAGCCTCCTCTCCCTCTGTGAGGCTGGCAGGTGAGGAAGGGTAAGTAGTAAGCAGCAAGTGAGTAGATATTTCCCGGTGGGCCTGGGGCCACAAGTAGGCAGACAGTGAGGGGTTGGAGAGTTTGAATGGAGGGTTTAGAGAGACATCAGGAGAGGTACTGCTGGAGAGATGAAAAGAAGATACAGGAGAGGTGTGAGAGAGAGAGTGGGCTGGAGGTGCCAGGCAGAGGCCTGAGGGATTGAGACAGGGGAGATTTGGAGGCAGATGCCAGGATTGAGATGTGAGGAGGAAGGGAGGGTCCCCCCTCCACCAGGCCTCTGAAGCCACACGTTGTTTCCATGGAGGACTGAGCATCGGATGACCACTGGGAAATCCCGTCCCTGCCTGGAATCTGATGCTCAGAGCCAGGATCATTCTTCAAGAATTTCTGGCTTTAGGGTGTGGGAAGGTGCAGACCCGGAGGTGGAAGGGGTTGGGTTGGAGGAGAGTGGGTGAGGGTCAAGGGGAGGTGATTGGTGGAGACAAAGCAGAGAGCTGGTTTTAAAAATAACCAGAACTAGGCTTAGCACTGTGAACTGGGGACCTGGCTCTGGTGGGGCCTTTGGAAATACGGGCAGGGATTTCTTACAAGTATCCTACGTTCCTATGGGAACAGGGCCTTTGGGCCTTCAGCTCCTGGTTAGGACAAATACTATCAGGACACGGAGGGAAAGTAGAAGACGGAGCCCTGGATAAGGCAGGGCATGTTGCTGTTCTGTCTCCTCTCTGGTTCTCAATTTCCCCATCTGTAAACCAAGATGCCGAACTGACTGGTCAGGATGCCTTTTTTTTTTTTTTTTTTCTGACTTAGCATGTGCATCTGGAGGAAGTGCTCATGGAGTCAGGGTAGGAGGACTGTTTTGTATGAACCAGGTTTAGCTCTGAAGACTCACAGGATCAGAGAGGGTAGATTTCTAGAGATATTTTGTCCTTTTCCCATCTCCACTTCGGCTCCCAGGTTTAACCTCACTGGAAGGTAACCAGATGGTTCTCTGGACCCATTTCCACCTACTTAGAACTGCTCGGCATATATTTGTCATACTCACTTGTGGATTTGCCCCCCTGGCTGTCCCCTTCCCTGCTACTCCCTCCCACCCCCCAAATCTGCCCTGTCTGTGGGTTCAGAAGCCCTAGCATGCCACCACCCCCTCCATTCCCTGGACTGCATCTATTTCTGCCTGTTTGACAAGTTGTAACATATTTGCAAGCAGCTGCTGCCTGGGTGGAGATGCCTTTGCTTTCCTCCCAGCTCTGTCCTCTCCTCCCCAGTCCCTCTCCGGAGAGCCACCCCTTCCCAGAATGTGCCCTATGACCCTCCCTACATTCTCCTCTCTGGGACTCAGACATCCACCATTTCCTAGGTTTCTGCAGGGGTGGCCAAGGCTCTACATTGATACAGAGGGAGTCTTCTGGGATAGAAAGTCACGTGGCCAGTGGTGGGGGGTGGATCTCTTCTATTAAGTCCCAGGCTGTATGGTTTGAGGCAATTCTCTTTCACTGTGGGCTTCGTTTTTCTATCTTTAAAGTGCGGTGACGAATCATGTCTCTTCCCTACCCGTCATAAGTAACTTTGCCACCTATTAACTGTAGAGACTTGGGGAACTCTGCCAGTGCTATTGATCCCATTACTCTTATCTCCTCTGAGGACTTCATTCCGTTGTTCCTGTCTGCTGGGCTTTCCTAAGAGCCTATAAACATGCTGAAGTCTGTCCTGTCAAAAAAAAAAAAAAAATTCCTTCTCTTTTCCATGGAGCCTCCTCAGCTAGGGCTGGAAAACTAACCTTCCCTTCTTCACCAAATTTCTAGAAAGAGGAGTCTACACTTACTCTTTCCACTTCCTCACTTCTCATTTGCTTGTCTACTTATTGGCTTCTACCTTCCCAAGTTACTAAAATGGGTCTTCCCAAAATCAGAGACCCTCACTGGGCACCATCGCCTGGATATTTCTCAGTTTTAATTTTACATGATTGGTCTGTGTCATTTGACAATGTTGACCATGCTTCTCGTGAAACTCTCTGCTTTCTTAGCTTCCACGACCCCTTCCTCTCCTGGCTCTTCTCTAACTTTTCTCACCATTTCTCCTCCTCTCTTTGCTTCCTCTCTCCTCTCCTCTTTGTTCTTTTCATGCACTTCACCCCTGCCCACCCTTTAAGAAGGATTTTTAATTTTTAGTCTGCTTTTTTACAGTTTCCCTTTGTAATCTCGTTCTTTCACCTAGTTTAACTACCATGTGTATAAATGCTTGATAAATGTTAACGTCTCTTAACTTTATGTACTAAATTATGTATTTATGTTATGTATTAATTACTCCCAAGTCTATATTCTAGCCTCTGCCTCTTCCCTGAGCTGGATCACATATCCAAGGTGCTAGTAGACTTCTCTACTTCCATGTCATGCGGACTCCTAAAATTAAATTTATCTGATAAAGAATTCACTCACTCTGTCCTCCATTCCAATATCCCCCTTACTGGTGACTGATGCCACCACCCACCCAGTAATTGCTCTTCATTTCTTATCCTTCCACATCTAATTGTTCAACAAGTCCAACAATCCCTGCTGTCTTCTTCGTCTCAACAATTCCTAGGCCAGGTATGGTGGCTCATGTTTGTAATCTCAACACTTTGGGAGGCCAAGGTGGGAGGATCACTTGAGTCTAGGAGTTAGAGACCAGCCTGGGCAACATGATGAGATTCTGTCTCTACAAGAAATAATTTTTAAAAATTGGGTGAGCATGACGGAGTATGCCTGTAGTCCTAGCTACTCTGGAGGCTGAGGTAGGAGGACTGCTCAAGCCCAAGAGGTCTGAGGCAGCAGTGAGTCGTGATCACACCACTGCACCCCCAGCCTGGGTGGCAGAGTGAGACCCTGTCTCAAACAAAACAAAACAAAACAAAACTACACAAAACAAAAAAGCCCCAAACAATTCCTAGATTCACATAGGGCCAGGGATTTTTTCAATTCCACCAGCCAAAGTGAGAGGCCTCATTAAAGACATGGGGCATTTAACTGAGATTACAAAAGGGTCACACCTTAGTAATAAAAGCTACTCTAGATCTGCCTTCAAAAAGTTTCAAACAAGCCTCAAAAGCATCAAATTAATTTAGCTGTCTTCCAAAACAAAGTCCAATACTTTTTAAAGGATTATAACAAAATCTAACCACTCAGTTGTGTAAAATTCACAGTGAGTCACCCAATAAAAAATTAGCAGACAGCAAAGAAGCAGGGGAAAATGTGACTCATAATCAGGAGAAAAATCAATTAATTGATATAGACCCAGAAATGGTAGGAACGTGCTATAATTAGCAGATAGGGGTCTGGGCACAGTGGCTCACACCTGTAATCCCAGCATTTGGGGAGGCCAAGGTGGGCAGATCACTTGAGTACAGAAGTTTGAGACCAGCCTGGGCAACATGGTGAAACCTGGTCTCTATAAAGAATACCAAAAAGTTAGCCAGGCATGCTGGTGCATGCCTGTAGTCCCAGCTACTTGGAAGGCTGAGGCTGAGCCTGGGAGGTTGAGGCTATGGTGAGCTGTGATCATGACACTGTACTCCAGCCCAGATAGTGTGAGACCTTATCTAAAAAAAAAAAAAAAAGAAAGAAAAAAAAAGACTTAGCAGATAGGAAGGAATCCTATAAAAAGGAATCAGACTTTCACTGGATAGTATTACTTATTAGTCTGCTCAGGCTGCCATAACAAAATACCTAAGACTGGGTAGTTTAAACAACAGACTTTTATTTTCTCACAGCTCTGGAGGCTGGAAGTCTGAGATTAGGGTGCCAGCATGGTCAGATTTTGGTGAGGGCTCTCTTCCTGGCTTGCAGATGACTACCTTCATGCCCTCATGATTACCTGGCCTTTCTTTGGTGTGTGGATGGAGAGAGAGAGAGAGAGAGAGAAAGAGAGAGGGAGAGACAGAGAGAGAGATCTTAGTGTCTATGGTATCTCTTATAAGGACACTAATCCCATGAGACCAGGACCCCTCCCGTATCATCCAGTTATCCCCCAAAGGCTCCATCTCTAAATACTATTACATTGGGGGTTAGGGCTTCAACATATGAATTTTGGAGGACACAAACCCTCAGTCAATATTAGATCACTAGCAGATTAGACATTGCAGAAAAAGTTTGTTGAATCTGAGTACAAAGCAATGGAAACTACCCAAAATGAAATACAGAGAAAAATACCAAAACAAAAAGAGCTTCATACCTGTGGGATAATATCATATCAAGTGGGCTAACATATGTGTTATTGAAGTTCCAGAAAAGGGCAGAAAAGCCTAGAAGAAATAATGTTCTAGGTTCCACATCTAATAAAAACTGTAAACTCACAGATCTAAATAATTCAATAAGTCCCCAAAAGAATAAACACAAAGAAATCCACACCAAGGCACATCATCAAATTGCTGAAAGCCAGTGATAAAGAGAAAAAATTTTAAAGCAGCCAAAGAAAAAGAGACACATTATGTATATAGGAACAGATAGGAAAACTGATGATTTCCCATCAGATACAATGAAGGCCAGAAGACAATGGAGCAACATCTTTAAAGTGCCAAAAGAAAAGGCTGTCAACCAAGAATTCTATATCCAGTGAAAATATATTTCAGGAATGAAGGCAAAATAACTTTTTCAGACAACAATATGCTGGGAGAATTCATCACTAGCCATTCTTCACTATAAGAAATGTCAGAGGAAGTTTTTTACACAGAAGGAAAATGATACGAGATGGGAATGTAAAGTACATAAAGGAATGAAGAGCATCAGAAGTGGTAAACATATGGCAAATATAAAAAGACTGTTCCCCCTTGTTTTAAAATGTCTTTTAAAGATAGTTGCCTACTTAAAGCAAAAATAATAATGTGTTGGGGGGTTTACAGCATAAATAGAGATAAAATGTATGACAACAATAGGATGAAGAATGGGAGGTGGGGACTAGAAGTATACTGTTGTAAGTTTCTCACATTATATGAGAAGTGGTATAATATTATTTGAAGGTAGACTGTGATAAATTAAAGATGCATATTATTAACACTAGAGCAATTACTAAAAAACAAAACCGTTACAGCTAATCAGAGATAAATTGGAATGTTTTTAAAATACTCAGTTAATCTAGAAGAATACAGGAAAAGAAGCAAGAAAAGGAACAAAGAGAAGATGAGACAATTTGAAAACTATTAGCAAGATGGTAGATTTAAACTCAGCCATATCTATAGCTGCATTAAACATAAATAGACTGGATTTAAAAGCAAGATCCAACTATTGGCTGTCTGCAAGAAACTAATTTGACATATAAAGATACAGCTTAGAGTACAAGGATGGAAAAGTGTATGCCATGCAAAAACTAATCATAAGAAACCTGGAGCACCTATATTAATATCAGAAAAAGTATATTTCAGAAGAAGGAACATTGCCAGGAATAAAGAGACACATTACATAATGATAAAAGGGGTCAGTTTATCAATAAGACATATTAATCCTTCATTTATACATACCTCACGACAGACCTTCAAAGTCCACAAAGCAAAACTGAAAGGAGAAATAGACAAATCCAAAATTTTAGTTAGAGATGACAATGCTCCTCTCTTAGTAATTCATAGAACAAGTAGATGAAGTCGTTATGGAAATAGAAAACCTTATCTATCAGTTTTACCATTTGACGTTTGTAGGCTATTCCACTCAACAATAACTGAATAATCATTTTTTTTCAAGGACACATGAAACATTTGCCAAGATCATACACTGGGCTATAAAATAATTCTTAATAAAATTTAAAATACTGATAATAAAGAATATGTGCTCCAATCACGATGGAATTAAATTAGAAATCAATAATGGAAATTTCTGGAAAATCCCCAAATATTTGGAAGTTAAAATTCTATATAACCCATGGGTTATTACTTACTAAGCTAGGTGAAAATAAAGCCCTGAGTTAAGTGCTACATAATCCTCACAATAATGCCATAAGGTAATTACAGTGATCACTGTTTTGCAGATGAGCCCCCAGAGCTCAGAGAGGCAGCTGGTAGGTTGTAAACCTAGGAGCAGAAACCCAGATCTGTCTCATGCCAAAGCCCAGCTCATGATCAGTGTGTTATTCCAAAGGCAACTAGTTACAGCATTCAAGATGGGCACCCTGCAGAGAGCTGTGCTGAGTACCCTGTTGGGTATGAGGGGTGAAGGGAATGTGCTGTTGATGCTGCTTGCCTTCTTGCCAACTCCCTGTCCACAATCTCACCCCTAGGCTTGGTGCTCAAGAGCCTTCCCAATGGAAACTCTACCATTGGGTGTTCTCTTATGTTCTTCCCCACTCTCGTTCTTCTGTTGTGAGATTCCTATGTCCCCAGTGAGCTCTTTCCTTGGCAGGGTCACTGGCTTTTCCTGGGTGCTTGATCCAAACACCTCATAAGGCCTTCTTCCTCTAAGGGTCTTATCCTCACTGCTTTTACTTCTGGCTCCCCCATGCTGATCTCAGCAGGCCTGCTTTGTGATTCAGGGCTTTCTGGACCCTCATCCAGAAAGATGTGGATCCAGGTCCAGATGTTGCAAGACCTGCAACACTATTCTTCTGTTATCCTTAGGCAGCCTTATCAGACCAAACCAACTGTCATTGGCCCACCTGGAGTCCACCAGTAGCCAGAGGATCCCCAGAGTCTCCAGAACTGCCCAGTGGCTCACTTTATCTTTCTCTTTTATTTAAGAGATCTTTGAACCAGACTGCCTGGATTTTAAATCCTGGAATTATCACTTGAAAGCTTTGTAATTTTATGTAAGTCATTTTACCTCTTGGTGCCTCTGTCTTCGTCTTTATGCTGCTATAACAGAATACCACAGACTGGGTAATTTACAACAGACAGAAATTTATTTGGCTCATGGTTCTGGAGGCTGGGAAGTCCAGGAGCATAGCACCAGCATCTTGCAAGGGCCTTTGTGCTGGTGAAAGGTGGAAGGGCAAGAGAGGGCAAAAGCAAGAGGAAGAGGAGGGCCAAACTTGGTTTTATAACAACCCACTCTCATGATAACTAACCCACTCCCAAGATAATGACATTAATCTATTCATGAAGGCAGAGCTCTCAAAACCCAATCACCTCTTATTAGGCCCCACCTCTCAATATTGTTGCATTGGGGATTAAGTTTCCAACACATGAACTTTGGGGGATACATTCAGACAATAGCAACCTCCATTTCTTCATCTGTTTAATAAGGATAAAAATGAGATGTGTCTCACAGGGTTGTTATAGAGATTGAATGATTTCATATTTATAAAGTGCCTGGCACTCAATAAGCATTAGCCCTATTATTATTATTATGAAACAGGGCCTCACTCTGTTGCTTAGGCTGGAGTGCAGTGGTGCAGTCATGGCTCACTACAGCCTAAGCCTCCTGGGTTCATGTGATCCTCCTTCCTCAGCCTCTGGAGTAGCTGGGACTACAGGTTCATGCCATCATGCCCAGCTAATTTTTTTGTTTTTTTGTAAAGATGGAGCCACACTATGTTGCCCAGACTGGTCTCAAACTCCTGGGCTCATGCAGTCCTCCCACCTCAGCCTCCCAAAGTGGTGGGATTATAGCATGAGCCACCATGCCTGGCTCTGTTATTAATTTACATCCTTTTGTCCTCGTCTCCTCCATCACACTGGGAGCTTCCTGAGAGCATAAGTAGTGTTTCTTCAATCACTCTATTATCCTGGGAGCTCTCTGGCAGAGTAGGGCTGCATCTCCCCTAAAGAATGGGGGCTCCCTGAGGTCAGGGATTGTGTCTCCACCATTAGACAGGGACTGCATCTGCCTGTCAGGCTCTGAATTTTTTTGTTTGCCTGCTTCTCAGTTCTAATAAGAGGACTGGGAATATGGGAAGCGCAGTGGAGCTCTGGGCAGTGAACATGTTCTGGGAGGGGCCTGGGAAACTCTGTCTGGTGGATAGATCTGGCCTTGGTGAGGGAGCCAGGAGATCCTAGGCAGATTCCTCCCCAGAGCAGCTCCAGAAACAAGATCCCAAGGCAGCTTCCAGGAGCTATTTCTACCCCCAGGAAGGGGCAAGCTGGGGGAGTTCTTCTAAGAACCCTTCTGTCTATGCACACCATGCACACTGTTCTGAGGGAGTTCAGCCTTAGCACAGTTTTACCCCTTTCAGTCTATCAGAAGACAGGAGATGCAATATGGCATTGGGCAAAGAGCAGACTAAGATAGCATTGAATTCTGGCTCCGCCACTTGCTAGCTGCATGGAATCTTCCTGTAATATCTTGGGACCTTCGTTTCCTCATAGGCAAAAATAATAATAAGAAAACCTTGTTCTCAGGTCATATTATGTGCTCAATGAATGTTAGTTGAGTGAAAGAATGCATATTCATTTCCTTTCTTTGGAGGAGTTTAGGGAGTGGCATAGCCAGCCCTAACTCTGGTAAATTGAATTCTACCATCTGTGGGCTGAACAGGTCATCAAGATGACATTTAGTTCATTCCCAGCCTTTAATCCATCTCAGGCACACACTTAAATAAGCTCCCAAAATGGAACCCTTGGTAATGCATTCCCGTGCTTTGGTCATGAGAAAATCCCTTCTAACATCTCATTGCCCTCTCCCTACCCCACCCCCAGTGGCACATCACAGGCATGTCTTTTCTTTGACTCTTTTCTGTAACTGGAGTAAGGAGTGTGGGAAGTTCGGACGTTGGATTCTAGTTCTAGCTCTGCCATTAACCCGTATGTGACTTTGAGAATTGGAAGCCGGTATTTATTGAGGCTCTGCTCTGTGCTGAGTACCTCACTCCCTTCTCACGGCATGACTGTGGAGATGACAGGGTCCCCATTTTACAAAAGACAAACCTGAGGATCAGAGAGGTTAATAAACTTGCACCAAATCACACAGCTATGGAGTTCACATCTCCCTGACTCTACAGTCTTTTTCCACTGCACAGTGCTGACTTCCCTAGGGACCTGTTTCCTGATCCATAAAATAAGGGAATTGGATTTATTGTTCTAGAAAGTTCCTTCTGGTGTTGGCATTTTGTCACCACCTGCTCAGGGCCTCTGGAAGGATCTGAGGAAATTTCTGCTCAGCTTCCTGGCTTGGCTTCCTTGCCTTTCCCTGACCTTCTCTTTTGTTTGTCTATTCTCAGGCCTTCCTTACCATCCTTTCCAGTGAGTTGGTGTGAGACAAGGAACCAAATGTTTCCCTGGAGTCAGTGCAGTTCCATCTGCTGCGTTCCCTGCATAGCGGGCCGTGGGAACACTGTGTTCCACCCTCCAGACCCTGGTGCCTGGAGTGTTTTCCCTGAGCCACCCTGCCTGTCTGCATTCCCCTTTCTGTGGGGGCTTGGGCCAGCCCAAGTCAGGACCCATTTGCTTTTCTGTTTCTGAAAGCAGATGGCTTCCTAGTGGTAGGGGCAGGGTTGGGTGGACTTGCTTCCCAGGCACAAGGATTTTTATCAGCAGGCTGTTCCCATTTCTAGAGTGCCAACCCTTGTGTCCTCACACCACTGAAGGAGTTCATGCAGCCAGACATTTAGTGATTCACTTGTTCCACATCGTCAGCCCATCTTGGCTCCCCCACAGTGGAGACAAAGCCCTGACTTCAGATTTCTAGCTGTGGCTCATCTCACCTGTGGTTTGCTTTCCTGAGCTTACAGGTGAGGAAGTAGAGGCATTGGGAGGTGGGTCAGGGGCCAGCCTGGGATAGGAGCTCAGGAACCTGTCCTTCCCTGATTCGGGGTCCTCCTACCCTGCCCTTTCAGGAGGGCTGCGGCCACAACACGGGCCTCATCTTTCTTGGCTGTTACTAGATTTCTGAAAGCAGCTGTTTGTTTGTTGGCTTGTGAGCTCTCATACTTCCTGGTCCAAGGGCAAGGAGCAATGGTTTTGTGGTTTGTTTGTTTGTTTGTTTTAAATTCTTGAACCTAGAGCCAGCTGCATTCTTCATGTAATGTCACCTGGTAGGGGTTGGATGGTCAAGGAAGTACCTGGGTCCAGAGTAGGATTGCCTCAGGGGGACAATGTGACCATCATCACCATGCCATCATCAACAGTTGCATCATCATTTAGGACCTTCCTGTTTACTGGGTACTGTGATAAATGCATTAGGCACATTAACTATTTTGTCCCTACAATGAGTCTATGAGCTAGGTATTATTACCAGTTTTCAGACTGGGAGTCATGGTGTATTAGTCTGTTTTCACACTGCTGTAAGGAACTACCTGATACTGGGTAATTTAGGAAGAAAAGAGGTTTAATTGACTCACAGTTCTGCAGGCTGTACAGGAAGCATGACTGGGAGGCCTGAGGAAACTTACAATTATGGCGGAAAGTGAAGGAGAAGGAAGCACCTTCTTCACATAGTGGCAGGCGGATTGGGGGAAGTGCCACACACTTTTAAACAACCAGATCTCAGCCGGGCGCGGTGGCTCATGCCTGTAATCCCAGCACTTCAGGAGGCCGAGGCGGATGGATCACGAGGTCAGGAGTTCGAGAACAGCCTGGCCAACATGTGGTGAAACCCCGTCTCTACTAAAAATACAAAAATTAGCCAGCTGTGGTGGTAGGTGCCTGTAATCCCAGCTACTTGGGAGGCTAAGGCAGGATAATTGCTTGAACCTGGGAGGCAGAGGTTGTAGTGAGCCGAGATCATGCCACTGCACTCCAGCCTGGGTAACAGAGCAAGATTCCATCTCAAATAACAAACAAACAAACAAAAAACAAAAAACCCAGCCAGTTCTCACGAGAACTCTATCACGAGAGAGCACTAGGGGGATGGTGCTAACCCCTTAGAAACTGCCCCCATGATCCAATTACCTCCCATCAAGCTCTACTTTCAACAGGTGGGGATTACAATTCGACATGAGATTTGGGTGGGGACACAGAGCCAAATCATATTGTATGGTTAAGAAATTTGCTGTGGTGCAATTGGAAGATAAAGGCAGGATTAGAACCCAGCCTGGCTTACTCCAAAGTCAGTGGACAGTCTTCTCCATTAAGATCTATAGCCATTAAGGTTGACCTTGGACAACCTTGGTGACAACTCCTCTTTAGAGTGTGTATACAGTAGATACTCAGCAAGTGCACATTGTGGATATTCGCTACATACTCACTGAGTAGTGAAACTAAGCAATAAAGTCCATGTCATTGAAGCAAGTCCCTTCTGTGGCACAGAGTGAGAATTCAGAGATCTGAATCCTGTGAATAGCCACGTGCTCTATGACCAGGGGTGAATTACTGGCCCTTTTGACCTTGGGAAAAAACAAGGATGTAATTCAGAGGAACGTAGAACTGTAGACTGCTTCCGGGGGCTGGATGACTTGACCTTCAAAAAGGTTGTTGCAGCCGGAAGAGTAGGTGAGCTGCATCAAGTTGCCTGGGGCTTTGTTTATCCTGAGACAGACAGCCTTGCTCCTGGAGTTGTGAATTTCTGAGCATTCCATCCACCCATTGGTGGGGTACTTGGCACCAGTGCCTGGAGCCCTGGGAGTGGGTGCTGGCAGGATCAGTTGTGCTTGTGGCGCCTCACTCCCTGCACATGCTGCTCCTGGGCTCGAGCTTGGGGAGCAGACAGTGCCTCCTGACTGGTTTTCCTTTAGCTTTGATCTTGCTGGCTGTCCTTGCCAGGGCTTGGCTGCCAGCCTTGGTGGTTGATAGCCAACCTTTGACCTTTGACATCCAGCCTTCCCCCTCCTCCACATGTGCTAACCACAGTGAAATCACAGATGCACAAATTATCAGAACTGGGAAGAATCTTAGGCCAACTGCATCATTTTAAAGAGGAGAAACTGAGAAGTAGGGAGGAGGAAGTCCTTGTCTAAAGTGACAGATGGCAGAATGGAGTAAGCCACATTGGACTTTAGCAGCCTGCCTGCCTTGTCTTCAAGAGCCAGGAAATATTCATTTAATATCTTCTACATATAATCACACCACCTTTACCTAGGTGATCACTTAGGTACACACACACACACACACACACACACACACACACACGTTGTCTAGAGTCTCCCTTCTGGACCTCTGCCTGCCCCAGATCCTTCCAGATTCCTGTCACTGCCCCCCTATCAAAGATCCTTGCCCAATTTTCTACCCCAGTGATCTTGCCTCTGTTGGGTGGCAAAGGGCTGATGTGACATAGCTGTGACATAGATGTGATGTTAGGCCCTTGGCCTCTCCTCCTTCCCATACAGAGCAGATAGAGAGCTTCACTACTTATGGATATGAGGCCTTAGGTTGGTTCCTTACCCTCACCAAGCCTCAGTTTTCTCATTTTGGAAATGGGGATAATAACGCACTTAGCTTATTGCCTGGCACCCAGTCAGCTAATAAAATGTTAGCTATTATTTATTATTATTAATGGGACTATGATTATTCCTAAAAGCAGTAGCTCTCTGGAAGACTTCTCATCTAGCCTGTAGGAGGGGGCTTTGGCTCCATAACTTTTCCATGGTGGTACCCCCATCCCTAAAACAAAGTCCTGCATTCTAGGAGGGCTTCTGGAGGTCTCAATCCCTACCCTGGCCCCAACCATTGTCAGCCAAGCCTCTTGCATTTCACCGATCTCAACTCTGCCTGTTGCAAGTTATAAATAACCCTGGCCATCTGTGCTATGAAACCCCAATACTGAGACCAAAGCAGAAGCTTCCTAGATCCCTGCCTCCTTCCCCATCTTCCCCTGCTTCTGGCAGGAGTTTTGTTTTCTCTGCTTTAGAATTTAAAGCTTCTTCCCTTTGTGCTGCCTCCCCCATCCCAAAGCCTGTGCGTGGACTCTCCATCACTGCAGATGTCGAGGAACTCTCTGGGGAACAGTTCTCTTAGAAGGAAGTGCCCATTTCAAGAAATTGCACAGAAGCGGTGTGCTCCCTCCTGAGCCATTGGCTGGACAGGGCCAGCAGCTGCCAGGCAGATGAAATGTGCACGGAAAACATGAGGGTACCAGAGGCAGGCACCACTCACAGCAGAGGGGCTTCAAAGTTTCAAAGCCAAGCAAATCCTCAACCTCGTTGGGGGTTGAGGGGAGAATCCTTGGGCTCTTTCCTCACTGTCATTCTCACCCTCTAAGAAAACATACTTTTGATAAGTCCTATGCACTTTGGCCCCTCTCAATCTGCCAAAGTGATAATTAGCTAATCTGGGTGGCTATATGTTAGGGACTAAATGCTTGTGTTCCCAAAATTCATGTGCTGAAGCCCTAACCCCCAGTGTGATGGTCTTTGGAAATAAGGCCTTTGAGAGGTAATTAAGATTACATGAAGTCATGAGTGTGGGGCCCTCATGATGGGATCAGTGACCTAATGAGCTTGCGTGCACACGCACTCTCTTTCCCTCACTACCCGTCTGCACCCACGGGCCATGCATACATCAAGAAAATGCCAGATGAGTGCACAGGGAGAAGGCAGCTATCTGCAATTCAGGAAGAAAGCCCTCACCACAGTTGGACCATGCTGGCACACTGATCTCAGTTTTGGCCTCCAGAACTGTGAGAAAATAAATTTCTGTTGCTAAAGCCACTTAGCCTATGATATTTTGTTATGGCAGCCCAAATTGACTAATAACACTATATAAACAGAATGGCCAGGACATTCCCTCTTCTTAGGAAAAACATGTCATCAGGGGCTTCCTGCAGACAATGCCGATGACTGATGGTCTGCTGGGTTAATGAATTCTAGTACAGAGGCAGCCATGTTTTTTTCCATCTTGAGCCAGATGATCCGACATCCATAAAGTTATAATTGTTGTACCAAATTTTACTAAATAGAAGGAGATATTTACAAATTATAATGTATAAAATAATCCAACAACATTCATATCCCTGCCAATCCGGTTTAAGAAAGATAACCTGGCAGCATTTTCTTTGAATAATCTTACCCATTCCTTCCTTGAGCTGAGCTAAGTCATTGTTAATTTCATGCTTCTAATTTCCTTGCTTTTCTTTGTAGATTTATTATTGTTTATTTGTATCCTTAAATGATATGTGGTTTGATTTTATATGTTTTTAAATATTTTGTTAATGGAGTCAAAGTATATACATCTTCTTTTGTGACTAACTTCTTTCATCTGTGTTGTGTGTGTTGCAATTCATTTTCTTTTCATTGTAGTGCAGAATTCCATTGTATAAATAAACCACAACTATTCCTCAATTTTATTACCAATGGAAAGTATTTTTCCCCAGTTTGGGAGTACTAATTACTATGCTGCAATGAGTATTCTACTTCATGTCTCTTGATTTCCTACACAGAAAAGTTGTTCTAGGGTATATATAATATATAGAAGTGAAATTGCTGAGTCACAGAGGATATGCATTTTAAATGTTGCTAAATAGTGTAAAAATTCTTTTCTAAAGTGGTTGCACCAACTTATACTTCCAGGAATGGTGGTGTTGTCAGACTTAATTTTTTAAATTGTTTATCTGGAGGTAATAAAATGGTATCTCTTGTGTTAAAAGTTAAATATTCCTGATGACTAATGAAGTTGAACATTTTTTCAGATGTTTACTGGTCATTCAGATTTCTTCATTTGTGAAATTCCTGTTCAAGTAGTTTGCCCATTTTTCTATTGGATCATTTGTCATTTTCTCATTGATTGCAGAAGTTCTTCAGATATTCTTAATGGTAGTCTTTTGTAATGTGGTGTGTGTGTGTGTGTGTGTGTGTAACTACAAATGTCTTCTTCTCCTCTGGTTTGCTTTTTCACTCTCTTAAGCATGTCTTTTGGTGAACAGAAAATTTTTATTTAAATGAAGTCTAGTTTGTCAGTCTCTTACTTTAGGGTTAATGCTTTTCATTCCTGTTAAATCTTTGGTCATTGTAAGGTCACGCAGATACTGTTTTTCTGTTTTCTCCCAGAAGTTTTATTGTTTTATGTTTCACACATATGTCTTCATATGCCTGGAACTGAATTTTGTATGTGGTTTGAGGTGGAGGAATAAACATTTACTTTTTCCCATCATATGGATGTTCAACCGACATCATATGATTTATTGAAAAGATGATTGTTTCCCCACTGCAATGCGATGATATCTTCGTTGAAAATCAAGTAACTATATATATGCATTTCTGGACTATATTGTCTCCCATCTACCCTTGCACCAGTTGTTTTGTTCTTCTTCAAGACTGTCTTCTTCATTTAGAACCAGCTTGCCAATTTCTACCAGAAAACCAACCAAGCAAACAACAAACAAAAAGACTCCTAGAATTTGGGAAAGGACTAACATCTTCACCATATTGAGTCTTTTAACCCATGAATTTGGTGTATCTCTCTATGTGTTTAGATTTTCTATAATATCTCTCAGTAATGCCCTGTAGTCTTCATTGTACAGAATTTTAATATTTTTCACCAGATTTATTCCTAGGTATATGATTTTTGATACTGATATATATAGGCTCTGTAAGTTTTTTATTTTAAAATTGTGTATTGCTAGCATATAGGGATACAATTACTTTTTAATATTAGCCATATATCCAGTGACCTTGGTAAATGCACTTCTAAGTTTTAATAGTTTACATATATAAGTTCTTTTGGACTTTTTATATTCACAGTCATGTTATTCTCTAATAATGACAGATTTTTGGTTTTACATTTCTTATTCATTTTAATTTTGTATTGCCTTATTGTACTGGCTATATCTCCAGTGTAGTGTTGAATTGAAATCATATTAGCAGACATCCTTATCTTGTTCCTGATTTCAAAGGGGAAATCTTTATATATTTTACTACTTAGCATAATATTTGGTGTTATTTTAAAAACATTTTAACAAAATCAGATTAATGGAGTTCCTTTCTACTTCTAGTTTTGAAAGTATTTTACTATAAATAAGCATCGAATGCATTTTCTGCATCTATTGAGATCATTCATTCTTTTCCTTTATTCTGTAAATGTGGTGAATTACATTGATTGGCTTTTAAATGTCAAGTCGTTTTTATATATAATTTTTATATCATTGTATTTGATTAGCTAATATTATGTTTAGACTTTCAATGATGTTCATGAGGGAGACTGATATATAATTTTCCTTTCTTAACAAAGTTTTGTCAGGTTTTAGTACCACATTTATAAATACTATCCTCATAAAACAAATTGGGGAGTGTTTTTCTTTTTCTATTATCTTGAAGTATTTGTGGAAAATTTATGCCCAGTTCTTTATTAAATACTTAGAAGAGTTCAACTGGGAATCCATGTAGTCCTAGAGTTAGGAAATTTTAAAATTACAGATTTAATTTCTTCATTAGAAATAGGACACATAATAAGTTCTATTTATCTTAGTGTTAATTTTCGTAACTTGTGTATTTCAAGAATTTTTCCATTTTGTGAAAAGTTTCAAATGTATTGGCAGTTCTTCATAACGTCCCCTTACATTTTTAACATTTGTAGGATCTGATTTGTAGTGATGGTCCTTTTTTAACTCCTGATGTTGGAATATATGTTTTCTCTGTTTTGTCTTTGAAAAGTTTTTGATTAGTCTTTACAAAGAATCAACTTTTGGCTTTGTTGATTTTTTTATTCTGTGTTTTTTTTTTTCCAACTGTTTCATTGATTCATGCTCTTATCTTTATTATACTCTCTCTTGCATTTCTTTGGGGTTTAACTTGCTCTTCTTTAATAGGTTCTTGAAATGGATGCTTTGATTATTGATTTTCATGCTTCATTTCTATTGTATGTATTAAGGCTTTATTTCTAATAATATGAATATAAATTTCCTTCTAAGAACTGCTTTAGTTGTGTCTCTCATGTTTTGATATCTTGGGTCTCTATAACCATTTAGTTCACAGAATTGTCTAATTTCCATTGTGAATTCTTCTGTCCTCTGTGGGTGATTTAGAAGTATGTTGTTTAATTTCCAGACATTTGGTGATATTCGAGTTTTTTGTTACTGGTATTTTGCTTAGTTTCTCTATGGGCAAAGGACATACTCTGTATGATTTCAGTTATTTGAGGGACGTTGTCTGTCTCGTTCCTCAATGTATACCAGTTTCTAGTGCAGTGACCAGAATATATTAGGAGCTTAATAAAGGGGTGGTCCAGTTCTTGACTTCAACATGGGGCACAGCAGTGATCTGATTTGCCCCCTGTGCTACAAGTGAACCTCAAAATCTGGAAAGATTTCACACCTGAACACATCCTGGGATTTTGAGATTTTGATTGAAATTGCATTGAAACTACAGATTAATATAGGGGAGAATTGACATCTTTATAATTTGAAGATAATCGACATATTTATAATTTTATGTATTTCAAACTATAAATAGGATATCTCTTTCCACTTATTTAACTCATTATGAGAGGCAACATAATACAAGATTAAGAGCATGGATTCTTTTCCAAAGTTGAATCAGTAATAAAAACCTGCTAGCCAAAAAAAAGCCCTGGATCAGATGGATTCACAGCCACATTCTACCACACATATAAAGAAGAGCTGGTACCGATCCTACAGAAACAATTCCAAAAAATCGAGAAAAAGGGATTCCTCCCTAATTCATTCCATGAAACCGGTATCATCCTGATACCAAAGTCTGGCAAGACACAGCGAAAAAGAGAGAACTACAGACCAATATTCCTGATGAATATAGATGATCAAATCAACAACTGAATTCAGCAGTATATCAAAAAGTTAATTTGCTACAACCAAGTAGGCTTTATTCCTGGGATACAAGGTTGACTCAACATATGCAAATCAATAAATGCGATTCACCACATAAAATTAAAAACAAAAACCATATGATCAACTCAATAGATGCAGAAAAAGCTTTTGATAAAATCCAGCATCCCTTCATGATAAAAACCCTCAACAAAGTAGTCATCGAAGTAACATACCTCAAAATAATAAGAGCCATCTATACCAAACCCACAGCTAACATTAAACTGAATGGGCAAAAGCTGGAAGCATTCCCTTTTAGAACTGGAACATGACAAGGATGCCCCCTTTCACCACTCCTGTTCCACATAGTACTGGAAATCCTAGCCTGAGGGATCAGGCAAGAGAAAGAAATAAAAGGCATACAAATAGGAAGAGAGGAAGTCAAACTCTCTCTCTTTACTGCTGATATGATTCTATACCTAGAAAACCCTCAAGACTCTGCCAGAAGGTTCTGAGACCTGATAACCAACTTCAGGAAACTTTTAGGATACAAAATCAACATACAAAATCAGTAGCATTTCTATACACCAATAATGTTCAAGCTGACAGCCAAATCAAGAATGCAACAATAGCCATGCATGTGCACCTAGGGATATATCTAAACAAGGAAGTGAAAGATTTCTACAAGGAGAGCTACAAAACACTGCTGAAAGAAATCATAGATGACACAAACAAATGGGAAAACATCCCATGTCCGTAGACTGAAAGAGTCAATATCATTTAAATGTCCATACCACCCAAAGCAATCTACAGATTCAATGCTATTCCTGTCAAATTACAAATTCTGTTTTTCACAGAATTAGAATAACCTATTCTAAAATTCATATGGAACCAAAAAGGAGCCTGAATAGCAAAAAAAAAAAAAAAAAAAAAAAAAAAAAAAAAATCCTGAGCAAAAGAAAAAAAAAGCCAAAGACATCAATTACCTAACTTCAAACTACACTACAAGGCTACAAGTAGCCAAAACAGCATGGTACTAGTACAAAAATAGCCACGTACACCAATGGAACAGAATACAGAACCCAGAAATAAATCTGCACAACCTACAACCAATTGATCTTTGACAAAGTCAGCAAAAAGAAGCAGTGGAGAAAGGACTCCCTATTCAATAAATGGTGCTGGGAAAACTGGCTAACGATATGCAGAAGAATGAAACTGGATCCCTGTGTATCACCATATACAAAACTCAAGATGGGTTAGATACTTAAATGTAAGACCTCAAACTATAAATATCCTAGAAGAAAGCCTAGAAACAGTCCTTCTGCACATCACCCTTGGCAAAGAATATGACTACGTCCTCAAAAGCAATTGCAACGAAACAAAAAACTGACAGGTGGGACACAATTAAACTTTAAAAAGCTTGTGCACAGCAAAAGAAACTATCAACAGAGAAAACAGACAATCTACAGAATGGGAGAAAACATTCACAAACTATGCATCTGACAAAGCACTGATATCCAGAATCTATAAGGAACTTAAACAAATCAACAAGAAAAAAAACCAAATAACCCCATTAAAAAGTGGGCAAAACATGAACACTTTTCAAAAGAAGACATACATGCAGCCAACAAGCATGTATGTCAACAATCTCAACATCACTGATCATTAGATAAATGCACGTCAAAACCACAATGAGATACCACTTCACACCAGTCAGAGCAATTATTATTAAAATGTCAAAACAGATGTTGGTGAGGCTGTGGAGAAAAGGGAAAGCTTATACACTGTTGGTGGGTAGGTAAATTAGTTCAGCCACTGTGGAAAGCAGTTTGGAGATTTCTCAAAGACTAAAATTAAAACTACCGTTCAACTCAGGAACCCCATTACTGAGAATATTCCCAAAGGAAGATAAATAGTTGTACCAAAGAGACACACGCACTTGAATGTTTATCACAGCACTATTCACAATAGCAAAAACCTGGAATCAACCTAGGTGCCCATTAACAGTAGACTGGATAAAGAAAATATGGTACATACACACCATTGAATACTACACAGTCACGAAAAAGAATGAAATCATGTCCTTTGCAGCAACACGGATACAGCTGGAGGCTATTATCCTAAGCAAATTAACTCAGGAACAGAAAACCAAATACTGCATGTTCTCATTTATAAGTGGGAGCTAAATCTTGGGCACACATTTATATAAAGACAGGAAAAACAGATGCTAGGGACTCCAAAAGGAGGGCGGGAGGAAGAGGGGAAAGGGCTAAAAACTTTTCTATTGGGTACTGTGTTCACTGTCTGGGTGGTGGAATCAGTAGAAGCCCAAACTTCAGCATCACACAATATGCCTTTGTAACGAGCCTGCACATGTACCTTGAAAACTGAAATTAAAAGAAAAACAAAACTGTATCTCTGGGAATTCTCTGATGCCTGGCTTAAAGATATTTTCCTTTCCTCCAGGAGAGTCTTTCATTTGCATCAGCCAGTCACCTGAGGGAACTGCCAGCCCTGGATCACAAGAAAGCAAATTATTGGCTTTAGGTTTCTAGAACCAGCAAGATAGTGTGAATTTGTACAGCAAAGCTACATAAGGGCTAGCTGGTAGTTGTTAATTTTCAGGGGAGATGTTTTTCTCCCTTCTATTCAGTGTCAGGTTTAAGGCAGGCAGGTGGGGCACTGATTTATTTTGAATTCACCATTAGACTGAATTGTAGCCTTTGGGTTTCAGGTTTATGGGTTGATGCTGGGGGTATGGTCCCCTACTGGACTTCCCACTGTTGACAAGCCCCCTCGGTTTGTGGAAATTGAAGCTCAATGTAAAGGCTGACATCAGTATAAGGCTTACCTCTCTGGGTGCCTGCTTCTCATGATTTTAGGCTTTTGAATTTACCTTTCATTCTTTTCCAGTTTATTAATGCATTTACAAAGAGGTTTTAAATCTTTTGTCTGAATATTTGTTGTTGTCTTTACTGAGAGAACTAATCAGTAAACTACTCCACTATACTTCATAACTGAAGTCTGTAATGTTTGAAAACAATATAGTTTTCTATATTAGTGAAGCTAGCTGAACAAATTTATGGTTTGTTAACAACAGTACAAAAGCAGTTGAATTAACACAATTTATGTAAACATGCACTCTTACTGGCCCATGCTAGATGTGGGTCAATTTTGAGAACATCAGTGAAGTCCACAAGGACAGGTACTTAACAAATGGCGCCATGGAGTGTGCTTAGTCGGGGTACATCTCAATACATGTCCCACATTTTCATCACTGTGATGGTTCTCAGTGCTGATCCCAATCGCTTCATGAAAAAAGAGAAAATGGACCCAAACATTCCCAATGTTAGACCACTGACCACTACGACATTTCGGGCTCTGGGATTTATCCAGTGCTTTGTAAAATTCTAGGAAAACTGAGTCTTCTTGGTGAGCGTAATTCACTTTCAGCTTAGTAAGTTCCCTGGAAATGAGACCCCACTGATAGGGAGGAAGCCTGGTTATTTATTATAAATACATTCTCAAGTTTATACATAAAGTGGTTAAGAGCACTCAAGCCAGACTACCAGACTTGGAGTCTAGGCTCCCCCACTTAAAAGTGGTTGCCTCTTCCCTGTGCCTCAGTTTTCTCATTTGTGAAATGGGGATAATACTAGAAACTATCCCGCAGGTTTGTTGTAAGGCTTGAATGCATGAGTACGTGTGAAACACCTGGAATGTACCTGGAACACAGAGGTGAACTTCAAAAAGGTAAGCATACAGAAACTTAGAGCAAGATTCAGACTTAACAAAACCTGAGAATTTATCCTAAAATATGACTTTATGTCCATCACATAGCATTGCATTCATTGCATTGCTTTCTTTTCTTTTCTTTCTTTCTTTTTTTTTTTTTTAAAGACGGTCTCACTCTGCCACCTAGGCTGGGGTGCAGTGGCACAATCGTAGCTCATTGCAGCCTTGAATTCCTGGGTTCAAGCAATCCTTCTGCCTCAGGCTCCCGAGTAGCTGGAACTACAAGCACACACCACCATGCCCAGCTAATTTTTAAATTTTTTTGTAGAAACAAGGCCTATGTTGCTCAGGCTGGTCTTGAACTCCTGGCCTCAAGTGATCCTCCTGCCCTGGCTTCGCAAAGCATTGCAATTACAGGCATGAGCCACCGTGCCTGGCCTGCATTTCTTTATGATTAGTGATTTTATTGTGCTCAGAATAGTCAAACAGTAAGAAATGAAAGCAGGTTCCAGTAGTCAGTCACCTTGTCCATGTGGGCAGCTTAAGTTCAACCCGGACATCGACATTGTTTCAAACAAGATTAGAGTGTTTACAAGTCTTGTCACATCAGTAAGACCTGAGGTCTGATGTGTTGGGGCCTTCAAAGCCTTTTAATTCTCCATGGTCCTTCATCTGGGGAATTAGTTCAGTAAATATTTCTAACAAGTTTCCATGACTACACCACCCAACAGCATCAACATAAACAATGTCTCCACACTCTGCTTCATCTTCCAAAATTTCAGTAAACACAATAGTTGAAGCATGAGAACAACAACAACAAAAAACTTCACAATTTTGGTGGCTTCCTTTATGATATGATGCAATGAACGTGATTTGCAATGTGCACAGTTTATACTCTTCAAATGAATAATATGGTGCAAACTCTTTGCATGGGAAGAAACTGCTGAGACCCCTCTTCCCCCATCTCTCCCCTCATTGCAGGTGTCCTATCTGCTAGCAGTGAGCTCAGTTTTTGCATGTTTATAGCCACACTCTCTTTTTAACAAGCTCTTCTTAGTTTTGGTTACGTTCTCGTTTTGTCAAGTCTCCTGTGACCTGCCTTTCAGGGCCAGGAGTCGCATGTTCCTCCCTGGTCTCATGGAGGAAGGGAGAGAGGCACCTTCCTAAGTATGAACCTTGCTTTACGTTTCTGAATTTTTCTTGTTTTCTTTGTTAATATTTGTTGAGCATTTACTATGTGTCAGGCACTATTCTAGGTGCTTTTCATGTAATTCATTCTGTCGGGAAGGCAACAAGCTCCTTAAGCTACATTTGCCTTTTTTGAATGGGTCAGGAGCAAAGGAAGAGTGAGAGGCCCAAATAAAAATTATTATCTGCCTCTAGACATGTGCTGGACATGGCCTTACTCTGTGCCTCCTGTCTCTGTGGATGGCTCCACTCTTCACTCACCATGGGAGGCAGAAACTTAGAAGTCATATGAGACCTTCCTCCCTTCCCACAGCCCATCAATTCCTGGTCTCACGGCCGCAGCCCCATTGGCTTATCTCAATCATAGCTATTTTCACATTGATCTGTAACCCTCTGTCTTCCCTGTTAGGACACAGACTCTCTTTGATCTCTGAATACCCAATTCCATAGCAGGCCCTCCAAAGACACTGGCTGAATGAATGAACGAATGAAGTTCTGTCGTTTCTACCTAAGAATTTCTTGAGTTATCCTTCTCCCCTCACCCCATTGACTGCCCAACATAGGGTCCTACTCTTCTCAACAGAACTCTTACAGTAACTTCCTAACTGATGTTCCCTCTCTCCACTTTGCCCTATTCCCACTCACTTTCCTCATTGTCTTGAGGGTTATCTCTCTAAAGGACAAATCAGAGTGTGCCTTTGCTCTGATTAAACCCTTCAGTGCTTCTCATTGCCCTGGGGATAAAGTCAAGGCATCATCTCTTGTCTCTGTCTTTCCTGAGCCCTGTGTCTAGCCATATGAATGGTAGTGTACGTGGTATGGGTGTGTATTTAGGCCCCAGTTCCTCTGCACGTGTGCCTTTTACCTAGGATGTCACTGCCTTTTCTCTGCCTGGAAATCTCCTGTCCATCCTTTGAGCCCCAGCTCAAATGTCCTTTGATCTGTGAAGACTTCTGGGACCCTACAGCCTCCACCTTTAGAGGATTAGATCTCTATTTGAGCATTTGTGGGCTGGCTGTCATAGTTTGCTCACGTATCTATGCCTCCATCTCTCCCCACCTGACTAGATTTTCAGTCCCTGAAGAGCACAGTCCTGAGCTCGGTATCCCTAGCTCCTTGGCAGGCTTCAAAGAATACAAGAGGGAAGGAGGAGGGAGATCCCATCTTCTATGAACAGTGAAAACTGTTGTCGATCCAAAGGGTCTGGAAGAAAAGCCTGCATCGACCCTGTGACTGACAGATCTGCTGAAGACAGCCCAGCCCTCAAACGTAGGCTTGACGCCAACCTCCTTCTTCTCATCTCCCTTCTTCAACCCTCTCCTCTCATTCCTTCCTTCACGCCCTTCTTCCCTTCCTCCCTTTTCCCTCTTTCTGTTTTATTCACTTTCCTTTCCTGCCTTCTTTCCATTGCTGTTTCACTTTGGCATTAATCATATATTGCACAAACCATATTATAGCAATATTAATGGAAGTAAGTAAATAATAGTGCCCCCACAATTCTGCTACTCCAACAAATCAGATTGGTTTCATTTGTCTATATTGCCTTCCCATGTCTGTATGCCCACATCATTTTGCATAGTTGTCATCATAATGTAGTTTTAATTTTGTAGTCTACTTTGTAACTTAATATCAGAAGCATTTTCCATGCTCCTGCATAATCTTCACAATTATTATTGTAATGGCTGAGTAATATTCCATTGAATGGATATGCCAAGTTTTACTTAACTGTTTCCTTTCTGTTGGACAGTTCCAGTTTTTCCCTGTTGCAGAGAGTGCTGTAATAAATAAGCATGTTCTTTTACTTCTTTCTCTTTCTTGCTCCTTCTGTTCCCTTTTTTTTTTTACCTTTTTCTCTCTTCACTTTTTTTTCTTGTATCTCCTTCTGCCTCCTTGACTGCAGCTCTCTCTCCTACAGCAATAATTTGCTTCTGAGTGGATACAGAAATCATCATAGTGGGACCTAGGGTTTTGAGAAAAATTACTAAAAATTTGTAATAAAATGTTCCCAAGGACACTTTTGTTACATTTGTGCCCTTAAAAAGAATTAAATGATAAATCTTTTTGTTCACAAGAGGTAGGAACACAGGACCAGGTGGGACCAGGTAAGACCAAATTGGAGAAGGCTAAAATCTGTGACAGGGACATGTTTATTTGTAGTGGGAGAAAATGAGACACAAATGCCTATCAATAGGGAAATGGCTAAACAAACTATGATGTGTTTATGCTAGAATTATGTATCATTTAGAGATTGCAGAGCTAGATGTACTGACTTGATAAGACTTTTTTAGTGAATCTAGCTGCAGAATATTTGTAGTTTACAATTCATGTAAAAAATAACAAAACCCAAACCCATGATAGTACTACATTTTTTTTGAATATATATATATTTGCATATATAAATGTGTGTATAGGGGTATATACATACTCTTATTTATATGTAATGTAAACATACTTGTGTGTAAATGTACATATACACACACACTTATATTATGCAAATACATAGAAAAATTCCTGGAAATATACACATCAAACTGGTAACAATGGTCACCTCTGCGTTTAGATGAAAGGGTCTTGATTTAGGGAACTGGTTAAATGGAATTTGAGCCTGAACTACAGTGGTTTCACTTTTTTATCAAGGAAAGCGCATTCACATATTGTTTGTATAATGAAACATTAATTGAAAATGTTGCCACTGTTGTGTCTTTCTGCTTACCATCTTGCACTGACCAGCTTCTGATTTAGGGGCTTGCCATCAACAAGTGAAATGTAATAGGAGAATGCTATTAAATATGCAAATGTCCTTTGGGAAGTGTGGGCTTTTTGCTTTTTCAGTTGTAATGTTGGTCTTTTAAGACAGTGCTGGTGGGCCTGGGGCAGGGGAGAACAAGGCCTGCTCTTCCAGGAGATAAGGAGCCCCCCAAATCAGGCATCATCCCAGCCAGTCCTTCCCGCCCTCTCCTGGCAGGTGGAAGTTGGCGGGGGTTGAAGTGTAGTCCCTTGCACTGAGTCCTGGCTGGAGGACAACAGATGGGGCCACACAGCCCTGCTGCTCAGACCGAGGGGAACAGGTGGAGGTTCCAGGGTCAGAGTGTGAATGCTGGCGATTCATGAGTGGTGCAGGTGGGCAGAGTGCCAGCTCAGGGGCAGCGACAGCTGGGCAGCATGTGGGCAGGAGAGGGAGTTGGGCAACGGGGCTGGGAGACTGGGTGGGTCCAGCCATGGAGGAGGAGGTACTAGAGGCCAGAGAACAAGAGAGGGAAAGAGGGGGAAACCCCCTCAGGCTGGACAGGAGTGAGGTCAGAGGTCCCTGGCTGACCTGAGAGGCTTAGGAAGCTGCAGGGTGAGTGGACATGCTGGTAGAGAAGGGTGCCCCTGCTCTGCCTCCTCTCACGTCTCCTTTACCCCCAGCTGTCCCCTACCTAGCCCTAACCTGAGGCATTTGGGCCATTGCAGCAGCTGTGCCAGCCCTTTGGCACTGTCAGGGCATGGGCAGGGGAGGGACGCAGCTGCCACCCACCCCCTTGCAGATAGGGGGTGGGAACGCAAGGAGGTGGCCAGGTTGGAGAAGACTCAAGCACGTGATGGGGCACTGCACTTTTCTCTCCAGAACTACCTGCCCATGTACCCTTCACCCCATTCTCTTTAGTTAGGTGTTAGGGTAGGAAAGGTAATGATCATTATTAGCATTTACCAAACACTCGCTGTAATGCAAGGCACAGTGCTGTTGATTGTATAATGTATCACTGAATCCTCCCAACAGCCCATTAGGAAAGTATTATAATTTCTATTTTACAGATGAGAAAACGGAGGCTTCTTGGTTCAGTAATGTGCACAAAGTCACACACTAAGAAGAGACATAAGTGAGATTTCATGCCAGATTTTTTGGCACTAGAGACCAAACTTAAAACCTTTGAGGAGTATTGAAATAACAGAGAGTTCCATGCCCAGTCGAGGGCCAGCCGTCCCCCAACAAGGGGTAACTTCTGGACGTGGTGGATGGGTCTAAGTTAGCCCTCCTCACTGTGGGAATTGTAGAGCAGCCAGATGAAGTGGGGTGAAAGTAAAGGAGCTGGAAGCCCGGGCCCGGTGACTCACGCCTGTAACCCCAGCACTTTGGGAGGCCGAGGCGGGTGGATCACCTTAGGTCAGGAGTTCAAGACCAGCCTGGCCAACGTGGTGAAACCCCGTCTCTACCAAAAATAGAACATTAGCTAGGCGTGGTGGCAGGCACCTGTAATACCAGTTATTTGGGAGGCTGAGGCAGGAGAATCGCTTGAACCCGGGAGGCGAAGGTTGCAGTGAGCCAAGACCACGCCATTGCATTCCAGCCTGGGCAACAAGATCCAGAGAGGAGGGAAGTGTTCTCTTGGGGCTGGGTTAGATTTGCCTGGAAACGGGAGGAGACAATGCTATGGGAACAAAGCACTTTGGACTGGACGTCAGGAGAGCGAATCTGTCTCTTCCCTCCAAGGGAGCGGGTCTGCTGGGCCTTCTTAGGCGCCGTCCCTTTTGGCCTTTCTGCAGGTGAGCTCAGGAGAGGCTCGGGCAGGTGGGGAGCTGAGGCGCTGCCTGTTTCGTCTGTTCTGGCCCATGATGTCGGGTGAAGCATCTCAGCTGAAGCCTTGCGCAGTGCTCCGCCAGGCGCTATAATGCTGAGCCCAGCTATGGCTCCTCCTTCTTCTCCCTTCCGCGGGAACCCAGCACCTAGCGCGGCGGAGCAGGGAACTCAGGCTGCGGGACTGGGGTCTGGCCCTGCCCAGCTCCTCGCCCACGCCCAGGCTTCCGTTAGGCCAGCAGGGGGACCCCGAGCCCCGGACAACAGCCCTGAGCTGGGCGGCTGCTTCTGGCTCTAGATCCCGCTGCTCAGCCGATCCACCTTCCCCACCTCCCTCCCCCCAGCCTCAGTTTCCTCCTCTGAGAAATGGGAAAATGATTATACTTATTTCACCGGCAATGCTATGATAGTTAAATAATTCTAAACCATAAAGCGTTGTGAGACTTCCTTCTTGTACTCTTGAAGTGTATTATTTTGAACATTGAACATTCAGTCAATGTTTCTTGAGCTCTATGCCCCGGGAGCTATTTTAAGCCCTGGATGAAGTCTGTCCAACTCGGGCCGGGGATAGTGATTGAAATAGAAAAGCTCAGTAAGTGAAGGGCTCCTCTGTGTCTCCCACCCCACTTGACGAGCCAGATGGAGTGAGTGGCTTTTAACTGTAGAGTGGACCCCTCTAGCAAGCTGCTGTTTGCTTTTCTGGTGTGGAAGGTAGGACTTTGGGATGAGCCCACAGAGGACCAGGGAGCCCAGGCCATCCACTACCTCTTTATCCCGACCTGAGGAACGTGCACTTAGCGCAAATTCCCTTCCTTCCATGCCCAGTGCTCGCTGGTGACAGGGTTCAGGGCAGAGGGGGTGAGGCAGATCTGAAGGGAATGATTCTAGACTAGCACTTTGAGTTCTGCTTAACATCAGGGAGTTGGGGCCAGGATAAGACTGGAGCTGAGGGAATGGGCTGAAGCCGGAATCAGTGGCCAAGCCTCTGTGACCAGTTCTGATTCCTGAGTATAATGAGTGAATGCCTAGTGTTTCCACACCTGGCTTCCATCGCTGCTGGGAGGGGCTTCACTCAGAGAAATAACTATGAGAATGTGTACATGGTGGGCTCTCCTGCAGGCTCTCAGGGGACCCAGGGATACTGGCTGAGGACAGGGGCCATTTCATCCCAGTTAGCTTTTTACTGAGTGGAGCAAAAACTCGTTCCTTCCATGAAGCCTCTGGCTTCAGTCTCAGCCCTTACACCCCAGGACATGGTCCATGAAGCACCTAGTTAGGACTTCAGAAGGATGAGGTGATGGTTCACGTGGAAGATGTTGCTTTTCAGTTCCTTCTGTTTCGTTCCCTCAGTGGGCTGCAGACTCTCTGAGTGGGCTATTGTGATGAACTGGAAAGAACCTTGGAGTGGAAATCAGGAGGCCTGAGCTCACGTTTCAGCTCCAGCACTCAGTGGTTTCAGGCCTCTCCTTGAGCCTCAGTGTTTTAATCTGGCAAAGGGGAGCATAATAGCTTCCCACCCAGGTGGGGTGATGATACAGGGGATAAATGTGAGAAAGGGCCAGACATGTGTTCTGCCTTTTCTTCTGTCTGTATCTACCCTAGAAAAATGAAAACACATCCTCACACAAAAACCTGTACGTGGGCCAGGTGTGGTGGCTCACGCCTGTAATCCCAGCACTTTGGAAGGCTGAGGTGGGTGGATCACCTGAGGTCAGGAGTTTGAGGCCAGGCTGGCCAACATCGTGAAACCCCGTCTCTACTAGAAATACAAAAAATTAGCCAGGTGTGGTGGCTCACACCTGTAATCCCAGCTACTCAGGAGGCTCAGGCAGGAGAATCGCTTGAACCTGGGAGGCGGAGGTTGCAGTGAGCCGAGATCACACCATTGCACTCTAGCCTAGGCAACAAGAGTGAAACTTCGTCTCAAAAAAAAAATAAAATAAAAAAACATGTACACGAATGTTCATAGCAGCATTATTCACAATAACCTAAAAGTGGAAACAAGCTAAATGTCCATCAACTGAAGAACGGATAAACAAAATGTGGCTTGTCCACAGGATGGAATACTATTCAGCCTTAAAAAGGAATGAAGTATGGATACATGCCACAGTTCAGATGAACCTTGAAAACATTATGGTAAGTGAAAGAAGCCAGTCACAAAGGACCATGTATCCTATGTATCATATGATTCCATTTATATGAAATGTCCTGAATAGGCAAATCCATGGAGGCAGAAAGTAAATTAGTGGTTGCTAGGGATGGGTGGTGGAGGGAAGGGTTGGGAAGTGACTACTGATGGGTGCAAAGTTTTTTTGGAGGAAAGGTGATGAAAATGTTCTAAAATTAAATGATGGTGATGGTTGTACAATTCCATAAGTAACTCAAACCACTGAATTGTGCACCTTAAATGGGTGAACTTTATATTATGTAAATTGTATCTCAATAAAGCTGTTAAAAGTTTTTAATTGGGTGTCCTGAATTTAGTCTGGCAGCTTCACTTCTGCCCCTCCTTCCTTCTTTTCTCTAGTCTTGACAGCCTTCTTCTCCCTTTTGGAACATATAGAAGATAGTGGGGGTATTTGTCTTTCTTGAGGGACAAGGACACCTCTTGATGGGTGGGGAGGAATAAGGGAGCGATTAGGGAGTCAGATACCAGGCTGCCTCACCTCCAACAGATATCATCATCTCCCCTGCCTCAATTTCCCCTTCTGCCTAGTGAGGGGAGGGGAAACAGAGGATTGCTTGCCTTTGAACCCTTGGAGGTGCTGTCGGAGGAGTCCAGGAAGGTGGGGTGCATTTGCTGGCTGGGATGGGGTGGGCTGCACAGGACAGCATGAGCGCTTATGAGTCACATGGTGGATCTCCCAGACAGTGGTGGGGTGGCAGGCGGATTGCCCAGAGGCACCTCTTTGGCCGCAGACAGGGGCAGAGAAGCCAAGAAATCTGTGACTGGTGCCCCGTGGGCTAGGGTTAGGGGTAGGGGCTGGGCCACAGGCTGTCAGATGAAGAGGAGCTGGTGCTGGGAGAAGGCTGAGTCTTTAATGGAGCTGCAGCATGGCTGGCCAACTGCTGGCCTTGTGTCAGGTGGGGGGGTGGAGGGGCTTCAGGGAAGGGCTGGGTTGGGGTTGAAGACCTGGGAGCCTCTCCTTAGGACCCAGTGGCAGTGGGGGAGGGCTTGGAGCTGGTGAAGAGCTAGATACTTCCAGGTCTGGGGACATCCAGAGCTCTGTGCCCAGCCAGCTGTCATTAACTGCTTAGCTCCTTGGGGTCTGTGCTCAGCTTCGTTTCCCTCTGATTCATCTCTTCCTTGCCACTGCTTCCCTCCCTCAGACTGTAAGCATGCTCAGAGCTCCCCATCTAAAACCAACCTCTTTTTGACCCCTCTCTCCTGCAGCTCACCATCCATCTTTTGTTCTCATCCCTGCCAAGTTCTTTCAAACTAGACTCATCTGCACCCACGGCCTCTACCTTGCTTACCTGCTGCAGCGTCAACCTTTGAGAGGCACTCCTACTCCCCCATCCCCTGAAGCTTCTTTGAGGTCTCCACACCCTTCTTTTCATGAAATCCACCACATCCCCCTCAGACCTATCATAGCTGCCCTTCAGCCCTCAGCCCCGAACCACTCAGCACCCCTGCTTCCTGAAATGTCTGGTAGCCTGCTCCTCCCCTTTGGCTGCCCTCCCTCTTGATTACTGTGGGCACAGCCCAGCTTCTCCACAGCCTATTCTCTGCATCCTCTCCTGGGTGGCCTCATCTCTCCCAGGGCCTTGACTGTCACCTCCATTGCGATGACCCAGCTCCAGCTCCGATCACCCTTTGGCCATTTCCAGAAGGCTGCTGGACCCCTCCCATGGGCACAGCCAGCCCAACCTGTCCAGGAGTGGACTTCGTATCCCATCCCCCATCCCCCCAACCAGCCTGTCCGTCAAATCTCCCTCATCCTCCTCAGCATTTCCCTGGGAACTCAGCTTGAAATAGAGTCATCTTTGCCTCCTCAGTCCCCCAGCCACTATGCCCGGAAGTCCTCCCACGAGACATCTTTCCTGTCCATCTTCATCTCTGTTCCCACTGCTTCCTCTTAGGTTTAACTTTTCGTCATCTTTGACCATGATTGCTTCCTGGCAGTTCTGCCTGCTCTCACCCTCTCCTCCTCCCCTCTGCACAGCGTCTTGGATGATCTTCCTATAGCATCTTTCAGGTCCTTCAGAAAATCCTCAAAAATCCTCAAAAGCTTCCCATTATCAACAGAGTAGACTGTATATTTGTGTAGTGATCTACAATCTAAAAAGCACTTTCACATAAAGTCAAAGAGGTAATGTTATTCTTCTTCTTTTATGGATAAGAGAACTGAGGCTCAGGGAGGTATGGGGAGTGGTCAGGCTTCACCCAGTGCTACAGAGCAGATCTGGGACTGGGGCTGAGGCCTTCTGTGGGTGAGGCCTTTCAGTGGGTGCATCGCCCACTACAGTCCTCTCAGTCTGCCCTGGGGACCTCAGCAATGTAGCCCCTAGTTGTCACCCTGCTGCCCAGCCTGGATCCAGTGCCCCTGCTTAGCCCCTGGTCTTGCCCAGAACACACTGGGCAGTTTCCCATGCCCCTTGCTCAGGCTGCTCATTCACTTTCTGCCCACAAAGTCCTCCTCCAGGCCACTAGCCCATCTCTGCAAGCACAAAGCATCCGGTGCCTCCTTCAAGGCCCAGGCTATGTGTTGCTTTCTCCAGAATCCTTCCCAGCCCCTGCCAGCAAGGGAGTATGCTCCTCCCTTGTCTGGGACCCCTGGAACACACCACCAGGAGCTCCAGCTGATTCTGAGCAGGGATTGACACAGCCGGGCCTCCAGTCCCCATGCTTGCAGCTCTTGGGGGGTGTCTTCATAATAGGCCCTTCACAAATGCCAAAGAAACAAATGGTGGATGGGGCTGCCCAAGATTCTCCTCCTTGAGGAGGCCCTTTCAGACCAATTGGCCCAGCAGTTCCAATCACCTCCCGAGCGTCACATACACCTTCATGGGTAAAATGCATCACACGGCTGGGTGCAGTGGCTCACACCTGTAATCCCAGCACTTTGGGAGGCCGAGGCGGGCAGATCACGAGGTTAGCAGTTTGAGACCAGCCTGACCAACATGGTGAAAACCCTTCTTTCCTAAAAATGCAAAAATTAGCTGGACATGGTGGCAGGCGCCTGTAATCCCAGCTACTTGGGAGGCTGAGGCAGGAGAATCACTTGAACTCAGGAGGCAGAGGTTGCAGTGAGCTGAGATCGCGTCACTGCACTCCACCTTGGGTGGCAGAGTGAGACTCTGTCTCAAACAAACAAAACAAAACAATCAAACAAACAAACAAAAAGCCACACATCAAACCTGGCTCAGTCCTCGGACGGTCCAGGTTCTAGTGTTAGCTCTGCCATGTGGCTTCCCTTGAACCTCTCTCATCTGTGACCAGGGACTAATAACACCTGCTTTGCTATCTCCCTGGTGTATAGTGAGCATTCAATGGGATACTGTCTGTGAGAATTTCTGTATTTTTATTATACCAAGAAGAATGAGCTTGAAGGGAATTCTTTTATAAACACTAAACTTTTGTGCACCCGTGAGGGGCTTTTATAATTATATACAGGTGTGTCCACCTAACACTGCCTCCCTCTGCTGTAAGGTGGCGAGGGTGTGAAAGCCCAGAACCCTCACTTCATCAAGTTCTAAGATTAAAGGGCTGATGCTTGAGGGATTCTCAAGGGATTCCCTGAAGGGTAGGTGGGACCAGGGCTCAAAATGATGCTCACCTCCAGGACCCTCCTGGGTACCAAGCCCTGCCCCTCACTGCTGGATGGGTATGGCTAAGTTCATTCCTTCTCTGGGTCTCAGTTTCCTTATCTGGAGAGGTTGGATTGAAGCTCAGATGTTCACTTGTTTTTTTTTTAAGAGCCACAATGTTCAAAGAAAGTCTTATACCAGGAACCCATACATGAAATAACCAGAGCTGCTTCATCTAAAACAGGGTGGCTCCCTGAGCCCCCAAGACCTGACCCTCCTTCCCAGCCTTGGAGGTCCCGAGGCTCCTCTGTGGAGCCCTAAGGGGTCCTCAGTGTATCAAGACCCAGGAAACATGTTCTGATTCTCACTGGAGGGATTGTGTATTGGGGCCCTTCATGCCTTCCTTACCTGAGTGTGAACTCTCTCTGGAGCCTGCAGGAGAGACTATGGCTTTTTTATGCCTCTACCCACGATGCTCAGCTCACTGTCTGATACACAAAAGGGGCTCAAGAAATGTTTACCCAACAGAATAAATGAATGAATGATGATGAGATTAGGAAAGAAATGCGAAGGACAACCTTGCTTTAGGAGGTAGGAACAGTTCCATGCTGTCTGGAGGAACGGGAACTAGATGGCCTTGACCTACCCCATGCCTCCCCACCGCCTCACAAACACACAGGGAAACACGCAGCCTGTGTTCTTCCCGTGGGCCCAGTATCTGGCACAGAGAAGCCCTGACTGGGAAGAAGTGAGCTGGAAGGAGGGAGGGAGAAGGAGGCAGAGACCCAGGGTGCAAATCTGAGCAGAAGGAGGGTGGTAGAAAAGGAGAGGAAGGGAACTTCCAGGAAGTCACTGCAGGGGCAGACAGGCATGGTTATGGGCCCCTTGGGGGAAGGGCTAAGGGCTTTCCTGACACCCAGAAATCTTTTTGTCCCAAATGCCTGCTCTTATCCAACAGTTCTCCTCCTTGTGCACACACTGGCCAGAGCAATGCTGAAAAAACAAGACAGGGACCAAAATATCCTTCTGCCTGCTGGAAAGGACAGAGAAAAATTCTGAAACCCCCTCCAATCCCCAAGCTCTCCCCACAGGGCTGAGCCAAGCCTTAACAGCCAGTACTCCTTGCCTTCCTTCCTGGGCTCTGGAGGGGTGTGCTGGGATACTTCAGCCTCCTTGGGCAGCCCTTTCTGACCTGAGGAGTATAGCCCAATTTGGAGAGTTCCAGGGAGAAAAGAGCAGGGCTGCTCAGCAAGGTTCCCCTCACCCAGGAGTGCTTCCCCTTCAGCCCTCCCTCTTCCCCACCCACCTCTGCCCACAGTGGGGAGGCTGCAGGTGCAAGGGGCCAGTGGAGAAACCCAGGACAGGGGCTTAGGAAGAAAAGAAGTAGGATCAAGCGGTAAAAGGACCACAGGCGATCTTTACATTTACTGTGGCATTATCTCACCCCCTGAGTCACATGGAAAATAGAAGCTTTGCATTGGGCATCTTGGAGGGCACCTAAACTTGGTACCTGTGGGATTTGGTACCAACATTAGCATCCCTGGCTGTGCAGGGCAGATTTCATAATTTTGCATTCTCTTTCCCTTTCCACCCCCACGCTTCACTGGCCTGGTGCTGCCTACTTGCCTTTTTGATAAAATATCAGTGCTGGACGCTTTCCAAAAGCCAGCTCATTATGTTCTCATAACCATCCTACACCGAGGGGTATTCCTACACTGCTGTTACAGGTGGGGAAACCAAGGCTCAGCTTTTGAAGGCAGGTGAAGCTTGGAGGGTTGCATGGCTGCAGTGTGTGAGGGGACCCTGGTGTGGGGAGGGTCATCTTGTCTAAGGGTCCTGGACACACTGTGAAAGCCAGAGAGTTTTGACTCAGGATACATTCCAGACACCTTGGCTCCATCTGTTCTGCCTACAGCCTCCCTCATTGTCCTTTCCTCGTTATAGATCTGTGACCTTGCCTCTTCCTCTACTCGCCTCCATCACAAACTTCCCCTTCTCTCAGCCCTGCTCTCTGTGCCTCACAGGGGAGCTGGGAGTTAGAAGACTTCCAGGGGGAAGGACCAAGTTCTGTGGTCTCCATCTCAGCCCATCTCTCGCACCTTGGAATGGACTTACCAGCTGTTGGTGTAGGATGGGTAAACTGAGGCCAGGAGAGGAAAAGTGGCCTGCTTGAGGTCACGCAGCCAGTGAGTGGCAGAGTAGAGCCTAGAAGCCAGCTTCCAGCTCTTCTGACTCTCGGTCAAGTGCTCTTTTCACCGCACCAAATGACCCTGCTGCCCAGGAGATCTCAGCACCGACCCTCCTACCTCCGTGTCAAGCCAGAGGACTGAGGAGACCGTGTGCTTCCCCCAAGGCAGCTTTCTGGAATAGACCCTGCCTTGGCCAGTTCTGTTGTCAAATAGGCTGGTCTAATCCCTGAGGCTGGGAACAGGCAGGGGTGGAAGGATGGAGAAGATAAGGGAAGAAGATTTTGGCTTATTTTGCCCAGAACTGAGAAACAAATTACCTACAGGCATTATGCAAATGCATCCACTACATGTCAGCAACCTGTGGTAAGATGAATCGGAGGTGGGAGTGTATGTGTATGGGAGGTGGTGGTGGGTGCTCAGTTGCCCTCCAGAGCTGAAGATGCTGTCAATAGTTAGACAGGGTGACCCCACTCACCCATCCCCGTCCCCAAGCTGGGCCCATCTGGGTCTTCACAGTCTCTTCTGACATCTAGTTGAGTGACCATTGGGAAGCTGAGTGTAAACTGAGAGAGAAAGCCTTGAGCCAAAAATGGCTTAAGTCAAGCAAAGGGTGGAGAGGCAGGGGATGGTCGCAAAGGCCTGCATGTCTGGGTGGCAGGGGGAGTAGGCAGGACGTCAGGTGCTGTTGGGCGTGTTGACAAAGTCAGCAGGGGAAGTGCAAGGGGACGAGGAGGAAGGAGAGTTTACACTTCCTAATTTCTCCAACTAGCTTCTAGGGAAGGAATGTAATTTTGCTGTCTGAGGCACTGATTCCTTGCTCCCCCTAAAGGCAGAAATGGAAGTTATTTTTCCCCACAGAGGGCTTCCCCCTCCTCCTCAGAAGACTCAACTGCCCTTCCTCCCTGCCTCCCAGCTACCCAGGTTCCGGGTCCCACATCATTCCTCACTGTGATTCAGTGCAGCCCCCAATGGGAGCAACGTGCCCACCCTCCTCTGGGCAGAACCCTTTTCCTTGCATTCTGAGATCCAGTGAGGGGGGCAGTACCCCCAGAGGCCAGGTTGGGTTGTGGCTAGCTAACATTGGGGTCCCCAGCCTGACTCTCTTTGCCTTCCTAGAACCCTTGCCCAATACCCACAAACAAGGATTTCTCAGGTTGGGATCTCTGCGAGGCATCCATCCATGTCCAGGGTCTGGTCATTAGTTAATATCAGTGGACTGCCTAAACCGAAACTGGCAGAAGGTGGCCAGGGGAGGGGTCTGGACCCAGTGGAGAGAGTCAGGAGCCTGGGATTCTTATTTTGGTCCTGTTAGGATTTGCCCTGTGACCCTCCGGAAGTCCCTTGCTTCCCTGAGCCTGCTTCTTTATCTGTAACATGAGGGGATTGGACTGGATGCCTTATGGCTTAGCGCTGTGCTATGAAGAGGAAGAAGGAGGAAGGAAAAGGAGCGCAGAGCGGGTTACACTGCCAGGAGATCCTGGGAAGCTAGGTCACTTCCCTGAGCCTCAGCATCCTTATCTGCAAAATAGAAATTGCTAATAGACTAAAAGGCAATTCTGAAAGATGGATGAGAAAGGAATATAATGACTCAGGGTAGAGCCTGCAAAACAATATGGGATGAGAAGATGCAGGGACTGGTTTCATGGAGAGAGCAGGGTTTTAGGATTGGGGGAGGGTGCCAGGGCTACCGACTGCTTTGGGAGATCCCAGAGGGGGCATTCTGAAGTCCTGCAGAAGAGATGCTGTGCCGTGAGGGGTGAGGGGTCGCTGGAGGCCAGACCAGGGCTCCCAGGAGTCCTGCATTGAGAAGGGAGAGAGTGGACACAGGAAGGATGCGCCTCTGTCCAGTCCTGAGGCTGGGCGCACACACCAGGCCCTTCGAAAAGCTCACATTTTTTCCAGCTTTTCTCACCCAGTATCACTTCCTTTGTTAAGAGGAGGGGGTGGGGGAGGAGACGGAGGATGAGGAGGGAGGGGCTGGCGGGTGCCGCCGCCGCCCCCGCCCCCTCCCGGTGTGCGGAGCCCGATTGTCACTCAGCTCCTGCGCCGGGGGCGACAGAGCCGCAGGCGCCCGAGTCGAGTCCCAGCCAGCTACCATCCCTCTGGAGCTTACCGGCCGGCCTTGGCTTCCCCAGGAATCCCTGGAGCTAGCGGCTGCTGAAGGCGTCGAGGTGTGGGGGCACTTGGACAGAACAGTCAGGCAGCCGGGAGCTCTGCCAGCTTTGGTGACCTTGGGTAAGTCTGAGTCTCGGTTCACCCCTGGGGCTCCCCAATGGGGGTGCAGGAGAGGGTTGAAAGAAGAGACCGGAATGCCCCCTTGGGGCAGGCCATGGGCAAGGTTCCCCGACAGAGCTGGAACGGGACCAGAGGACTGCTAAGATCCAGGCACCAGACGGGTCTCAAGTGGGTGGGCGCAGGGCAGGTGCGGGCACGCTGGGGAATAGGGAGAAACGCCCCAGCCTTGTCCTGGGCTCCGTCCCCAGACCCACGTCTGCCACCCCAGTCCCAGGTGCGAAACAGGGGCGCTACCTCTTTAAAAGCGTCCGGGGCTGAGTCTCTGCCGTACCATGTGATTGCTTGAAAGGCCGGGCTGGGAGCGCTGCGGCGGGAGCCGGAGGACTATGAGCTGCCGCGCGTTGTCCAGAGCCCAGCCCAGCCCTACCGCGCGCGGCCCGGAGCTCTGTTCCCTGGAACTTTGGGCACTGCCTCTGGGACCCCTGCCGGCCAGCAGGCAGGATGGTGAGCTCCCTGCATCCTGTTCTGTGCACAGGGGTGGGCAGAGCCAGTCATGGGAGACCCCTCTGTGCGTGTGTCTGTGTGTGCGCGCGCGCTGGGAGCTGCCTCACACCTGATAAAAAAGCCAGTGGAGGAGTGAGCGCTGCTATTTTAAGTTGCTGAATGGAACCTCTGGGAATGATAAAGGGAAGGGACAAAGATTAGGCAGAGAAGGGTCCGGGTGCCCCTCCAGCCTGGGTAGGAGCTGCATGTGACAAGTGGGACACATCACAGGGTACCTGGAGTTCCAGGGCAGCCTGAGCTCCCTGCCCCTCCCAGACGGGTCTCCCCATCCCAGGCTTCCCTGACCACACAGGTGCTTGCCTCGTGCCCCTTGGTGCCCGTCTGCTGATGTGCCCAGCCTGTGCCCGCCATGCCGCCCTCCATCTCAGCTTTCCAGGCCGCCTACATCGGCATCGAGGTGCTCATCGCCCTGGTCTCTGTGCCCGGGAACGTGCTGGTGATCTGGGCGGTGAAGGTGAACCAGGCGCTGCGGGATGCCACCTTCTGCTTCATCGTGTCGCTGGCGGTGGCTGATGTGGCCGTGGGTGCCCTGGTCATCCCCCTCGCCATCCTCATCAACATTGGGCCACAGACCTACTTCCACACCTGCCTCATGGTTGCCTGTCCGGTCCTCATCCTCACCCAGAGCTCCATCCTGGCCCTGCTGGCAATTGCTGTGGACCGCTACCTCCGGGTCAAGATCCCTCTCCGGTGAGTCCACAGCGCCGAAGGTACTCGCAGCACCACATGATGGCTGGCTTGAGGGCCATCTAGAAAGGAAAAAAGGTAGAGCATAAGACCCCAAGTAAGCCAGATGTTCTTTGGGCCATCGTGCTCCAGTCCTCACTCTGCCTTTCCGTGCTCCGCTCTGCAGGGCCAGAGAAACAGGAGGGGGATGGGTGGCTGGAGGACTGTACTGTGAACTTACCAGTGCCCATGACCTCAGAGCTGAAGCTCTTGCAGCCAGGGAACCTGAGGCTGCCTGTCAGGCCTGGGGTGGAGGTGGGAGATTTGGAAGAGCCACTAAGATGGGGTCACAGTGAGTGCTGGGTAGGAATGAGCTGAGCTCTGCCAGTCCCAGGGAAGAGGAAGAGGAAGAGGCAGAGAAGAGAGTTAGGGTGGGGTGGGAACATACTGAGGGTGGCACAACAGGGGCAGGAGTGCTGCTTCTCCAGCCAGACCACGGCAGGCTTCCCAAAGGCACGCTTTGGCTCTCTCATTCACCAGGTATCTCTGTGCTAGCCAGCTGTTCCTTCCAGGGCTTTCCAGCTGAACCCAACAGTCTGATTACCTTTGCCTCACTCCCACTTATGGGACCTCTGTTACAGACAGGAGGAAGGAAAAATGCTGGTGCCTACTTCTCATATTGCTGTTCTGTTGCAAAACCACCTCTTTGCTGGTCACAGTAGAGGTGCTTGTGCTGCTCCCAGGCAGCACTGGGATGGGTGGCCTGCTGGTGCCGTCCTCAGTGTGGGTGTCCAGCCCATGTTGGAGCTCCCTGCCAGGCCACAATCTCATCACCAGGCAGTGCCTTGGGCCACCAAGTGCCAGCGAGTGCCTGGGCATATTGCCAGGGACTGGCCCTGCTGGGACGCTCTTGTGAGGCATGCTTGCCCCCTCTTTGAATTCTTGCCCCCAGTAGATTCCTTTTCTCCTGGGGAGCTCTGGCCATCTCCAGCACCTGCCACCCCCGGCATAGCTTCTCTGGGATGTAGGGCCTCTGACCTCACTTGGCCCCTTGCCCGGGCAGGCCTAGGGACCCATGTTTCTCCCTTTGTGTTACATTTGTGCACATTTAACTTTTCAAAGCCTTTCTTACATGCATGATTTTTTCCTGTTATCATCACGCCGCTGTAAGGGAGGTGGAGCAGGAGCTTTTAAAGGGGGAAACTAAGACTCAGAGGGTCTCCTTGAAGCTCACTCAGAAGTGTGATCTAATTATCTGCCTTCCTTCCTGATTCCCCATGCCCAGTGGCTTGATGCCAGTCTCTCTGCCCTGTCTACCTCCCTCCACCCTCCAGGTTTTCCAGGGAAGGTGGGGTGAATAAGGGAACACAGCCAGAAGCCCCATAGGCTCATCCACTGAGGGGCCCACATGCTGCCATTAGTCCCAGGTTGCTGCTGGGCTGCACATATAAAGCTGGTCTCAGTGCATTAGAAGAGCGGGGCCTCTGAGCCTGGCCATTATAACGAAGTGTTGCCACATTTGGAAACTCATGCAGATGTCCAGCTGTAGGAAGGCTGCTGGAGAAATTCTGTCTGCTGAGTGAGTGTTAAGGTGAGCCAAAGGTCCCGTCTTGCTGTGACAGAATGCACCCTACTTGCCCTGTGGGGCTGGGATGGCTGCACTGGTGGGAACAGCAGACTTATTCCTTCAGGAGGCAGCTGCTGTGGCTTTGGAGCTGGGGTCCTGGGGAGCTGTCCTTTGAGGGTGGAGGCAGGGACCTGCACAGAGGCTGCCATGGGCCTGAGTTCAAATCCTTGCTGGGAATTTCTAGCTGTGCAAAAGTCACTTACCTAACCGCTTTAAGCTTTAATGTCCTTATGTATAAAAGGGAACATTAATAATAGTGCCTACTCCCTAGGGTTATTGGAATAATTTAATGAACTCATATATGCGAAGCACTTGTATTAATATTATGCCTCATATATGCAAGCCATAGGGAGGTCTTATTTGTAGTTTTATTGTCACTATTAACATATGGCTCAAGTGTGGCTGGATAGGTGAGCCCTACTCCTGCCACTCACGCTCTTAGGTGTCATTCGGTGTCAACACATACACACGAAGAAACACGCACACAAACACATACGCAACACATCTCCCAGGAGGTGTCTAAGTACTGTGAAGTTATATCTATACATGTTTCTACTCCTCTGGTGCAGTGTTGGTGCCTCAAGGCAGCATCCACATCTTATCTATTTCTGCAAATTCTTCAGAATGCCCAGCTCAGTGTCTGGCACATCACAGACCCTCAGTAAACGTTGATTGAATTGGCCAGGTTTACGGAACACACACAGTTGAGCCTCAAGCCTATCTTCCAGAAGTCTAACCTCTCACTTTCTTGCTGTGGGCTAGACCTGTCCCCACTTCTGATTCAGGGCCATGACCACAGATGCCCCCACTGGCTCAGCGTGGCTCCTTGACAGCCACACACCAGCAGTGCCTGGGAGTGTCCTGCCCCATGGAGAGGAGCCTTTCTCCTGAGTTAGGGAAAGGCTGCTGGGGCCTCACTTCTCAAGCAGGGATCCTGGCTGAGGTGTTGGGCCATTCTGGGCTCCTGCGTGGCACTGCCCAGGTCCCTTCCAGGAGGAACAGCATGCTTTGCTCCCCTCTACGTGGCTGGAGTCAGCAGGCTGCTGGGTCTACGAAACTCCTCTTGGCCAGAGGTCCCCAGGCACCAGGCTTGCTGCCCTGACATGCCAGTCAAAGGTAGATGTGGCCCTGGGCACAGAGAGTCGTACTGACCGAGCACTGGTGAGGCGTGTCTGGGGCACCCGGATACAGGTGTCTGCTGGCTATCACCAAGTGGGGCATGGTTTGGTCAGTCAACCACAAATTTTCTTTCTTTCTACTTGGCAGAAAACCAAGAGAGAAAAGAGATTCACACCATATAATATGATCCAGTTACAAAATTTTTTCTTTTTAAGCTCAAATTGTTGATTCATCAGTAACCTGTGGTCATTTGCATATAATTTGCACGCTATTTGCATAGCACCTCCCCATGCTTGGTAATTGAAGCCCTATTCCCCTCAGCTCCTGGTTCTAGGGAATCTCTATTATTTGTCCCTTAACCCCTCACCCAGAGCTTTCTTGGTGGCAATTTGGTGCCTACTCCCGAGGGCTAGTTGTAGGGAAGTGTGCCAACAGAGGGCTCCCTGACCAAACCTCTCTGTGGGAAGGAGACCCTAGCAAGGGGGCTGTCCATGGCCAGCTGGGTTGGAGTGGAGTGAGGGATGGTGGGTGTTTGCGAGTCAGGCAGACCTGAGTTTGAACCTTGCTCTGTTACTAATTAGCTATGCAACCTTTGATAAGTTATTCAGCCTCTCTGAGCCTTTCCCCTTCACCATCTGTTAAATGAAGGGGTTGGAGGTGGGGCATGGTGGCTCATGCCTGTAATCCCAGCACATTGGGAGGCTGAGATGGGTGTATCCCTTGAGACCAGGAGTTCGAGATCAGCCTGGACAACATGGTGAAACCCCATCACTACTAAAAATACCAAAAACAAATAGCTGGGCGTGGTGGCACATGCCTGTCATCCCAGCTACTTGGGAGGCTGAGACAGGAGAATCACTTGGACTTGGGAGGCGTATATTGCAGTGAGCCGAGATTGCGCCACTACACTCTAGCCTGGGCAACAGAGCAAGACTCTGTCTCAATATAAATAAATAAATAAAAAGAAAGAAATGAAGGGGTTGGATTTGAGGTCTCTGAGGTACCTTTCAGCTCTAATTCTGTGGTTCTTCCTTATCCTGACTCCTGCCAGTGCTGTGTTGGGATCCCGGGAGGGTTTTGTTGTGTTGTGTGTTTTAGCTCCTAGTGAGTGTATGCTAGGAACAATGCTATGTTTTTAATATATTTTATCTCATTCAATGTTCATAGTCTCACTAGTAGAGCTTATTGTTACCCCCATTGTATAGACAATTCTTTTTTTTTTTTTTTGAGATGGAGTCTCATTCTGTCGCCCAGGCTGGAGTGCAGTGGCACAATCTCAGCTCACTGCAACCTCCACCTCCCAGGTTCAAGCGATTCTCCTGCCTCAGCCTCCTGAGTAGCTAGAATTACAGGTGCATGCCACCATGCCCAGCTCATTTTTTGTATTTTTAGTAGAGATGGGGTTTCACCATGTTGGCCAGGCTGGTCTCGAATTTTTGACCTCAGGTGAGCCACCCGCCTTGGCTTCCCAAAGTGCTGGGATTACAGGCGTGAGCCACCTCGCCTGGCCTCTCTATAGACAATTCTTTAGCTAAATTGAGGGCTGAGGCTTGGGGAGTTTCAGTAACTTGCCCAAACAGCTTGTCAGGGGCAGAAGCAGGATTTGACTCTAGGCCTAACAGATGCCTTTAACCAGTAAGCCCATGTGTATCTTGCGTCAGCCCAAGAAGCTGTAGGATTTTTGGAGGAGTTTCTATGAAGTTGTCAGTAGGGTGATTTTTCTCCTCTGATCTTTGCCAATGGCCTCTGCACTCTGCTCAGTCCCCGCCCAGCATCTTCCCCTCCACCTTCACTCCAGTGGGCAGTTGAGCCCTTGGCAGTTCCTGCCTCTGTCCATAGCTTGAAGCCTGCCCCACTGGGCTGCTGACCCGGGGAACCACAGCAAGGAGTGGTGGAGGAGCTCGGCGTGCTGAGCCAGAGTGGGGAAAGAAATCTGGTAAATTAGGGCACGTTTGCGTTTAGGCATCAATTTAGCTGTCCCCACCCTGGCTAGCCTGGGCTTTTCTTGACAACCCTGAAATGCCTTGTGTGCCGTCATGCCCCCGCAGGTGACTGTCTGTGGCTTCTGGGTCCCAGAACAGTTGCTCTCAGGTCATGCCTTCTGCTTTCAGAGAGGTAGGCCGTCTTCAGATCCTGTATCTAAGGATGGATTAGTCATAGGCCTGGAGTGTCTAAGAGGGAAGAGGAGTTGGAGGAAGCCCTGAAGCTCAAACTCTCACACTTGCGGACTGAGGAGGAAACTGAGATTGGAGAGAGGAGGAGCTTACGCAAGATTACTTGGCTGGGAGTTCTTTCCTCCTCCCATCTGGATGCTTGCTCCCCCGCCTCTGATGTAAAAAGCTTGAGCAGAAGAGCTCTTTGCAGTCACCCGCCCCTCAAGGAACAGAAAAGGAAAGTATGCAGCCTCAGTGGGTGAAGTCAGCAGATCAGTGGCAGGCTTAGAGGGGAATGAGGCGGAGGGAAGTTGCTTTGTGATTGAGAAGATAATTTCTCTGAATTAGGGATAGCCTTCAGGTGTGTTAGGCCAAGCAGCTTGCTGGGCCAAGGGAGAACATGGCCTTTAATTGAAGAGGCATCTGGACTCCTTTCAAGTGTGAAAGCTTCCCCCAGCTGGCATCGGGTGGCTTCCCGGAAGTTTCTGAGTGCTTGAGGGGCAACCTGCCGAGGTGTCAGCTCTGCGTGGAAGCCGGAGAATGGCCAGGATGCCTTTTACCCAGAGGCAGATCTGTAGGGGCCGCACCCTGACATTTGCTATTTATTTCCAAGCATAAAAGCAATCCATGTTGATTGTGAAAAATGGAAGAAAGAATAAAGATGGTAAAATCACCAGTAATTCTACCACCTACAGAGAACTACCGTTAACATTTTGGTGTTCCAGAAAATTTTTCCACACACACACATATATATAGATATATTATTTTTACATATTGAGAACATCTATATATACATGGTTTTATATCCTATTTTATTCACTTAACATTATAAGCATTTCCCTGTGTCAACTAAAATGATTTTGTAAGGATTTTTATGGCGGTATAATATTGGATTGTATTATTACTCATCTTTTGGGTCTCAGCTAAAATGGGCTCTCCTTAGGGGGGCCTTCCCTGAGCCCCACCCCACCTGGACCAGTTTCCTCTGGTAGACACTCAAGTTGGATCTCCTTCTCCTTCCAAGTCCACCACTCATCACCTGGGTAGCTTTCTAGTCAATGTCGCTCTTTCTGGGCTTGGTAAGTTCCCAAAGGCCAGGGACACATCTGCTTACATACCCCCATTTCCCCATGCCTGGCACAGAGCAGGCATGCCGGAAAAATTTTTGAATAAATGAATATTTGAATATCATATTTTATTTATGCATTCTTATATCACTGGCTACTTCAATTGTTTCTGATTATTTATTGTTATGAAAAATGCTTTACTGTGTAACAAACCTGCACATGTACCCCTTAATCTATTAAAATAAAAGTTGAGGCTGGGCGCGGTGGCTCATGCCTGTAATCCCAACACTTTGGGAGCCCGAGGCAGGCAGATCATTTGAGGTCAGGAGTTCAAGACCATCTTGGCCAGCATGGTGAAATGCGTCTCTACTAAAAATACAAAAATTAGATGGGCATGGTGGTGCACGACTGTAATCCCAGCTACTTGAGAGGCTGAGGCAGGAGAATTGCATGAATCCAAGAGGCAGATGTTGCAGTGAGCTGAGATCATGCCACTGCACTCCAGCCTGGGCAACAGAGTGAGACTTTGTCTCAAAAAAAAAAAAAAAAGTTGAAATTATAAAATCAAACAAAAAAACACTTTAATGATTCACAATGTTCATAGGGTCAGAGCCAAGTCAGAACCTGGGCTGTGTCACCCAGTAAATAGTGTAGGTGCTATCTAGAAAGATTGCCTTGTGAGGTTAAATATTTCCCAAGTCCCTTTACTCCAACTCTCCCTTCTCCCTCCCCAATTTTACCCACACTGCAAATCCCCCGGGGGCATTTGGCATTCTTTAGCCCACTTCCCCTTCTGGGCTGGGTTGGGCAGGACTGTATGGGCCCCAAGTCTAGTCCTTATTGCCTGGTCTCTTTCCTGAAGGCCTCGGCATCCTGAGGGTGAGGAAGCAGTGTCCCTGGGAGAGGACTTGGGGTGAGGCACATCTTGGTTGGCCTCATTCGGCAGGTGGGGACAGACACATAGAGCAGAGAGGAAGGAAGTGGAGAGACACGGCTCCTTGGGCGGCATGAATCACTCCTTTAACCTCAGCCTTCTTAATTCAAGCCCAGAGGGAACTATCAGCTGCCGCAGTCCAAAGAAAAGCCTGGCAGGCAGGTGGTCGTGGGGATAAGGAGAAGAAGGAGAGGCAGATGGGTGGGTCTTGGCATACACGTCCTCTTAGAAATACTGGTTTGAAGGTGGGCAGGGAGATGGGGGCAGCTGGCAAGGGGCTTCCCTGACCCCAAGGGAGAGGACATGGGGGTACCTTCTCCTGCCTTGCTCCTTACCTTGGAATTTTATTCCCCAGCAGAACTGCAGAGAGGTGTGGGGCTGAGGGGCTGGCAACATCCATTTATCTATTTTATAAGTGTGCTTTGAGCACCTGCTATATGTCAGGCACTTGGCCAGGCCTGGGGATACACAGATGGGCAGGCTGATCTGGTCTCTACCTCTGTCTGACAGCTCAGAGTCTCTGCTGAGATGATGGATTCCCACAGACCAAGGTGGCCAAGGAGAAACTCTCACCCCACCTGTGGTGGGAGTGGGGATGGCAGGAGACTGGCAGCTGATGCCTTGCAGAGCTGGGCTGGGCAGCTGGATCCCACTCCACACTCACTCCATGCAGCTCAGGTTGTGTAGGAAAGGCTCTTTGAACTTACCTTCTTGCCTCTTGCTTCCCCTTTGAGAGAGAAGGGCAGCTGATTTGTCCCTACACCGGGCCCTGGTACAGATAGACCTACTCATTCATTAATTCATTCATTTGTTCATTTATTCAACAAATACTTATTGAGTGCTCATATGAGCCAGGGTCTGTTGGGATACTTTCATTAATAAAACAGAGATCCTCATGGAGACTGAATTCTAATGAATTGGAAATCAGATGCTAGATAATAAATGCAATACCTAAATCATGTAGAGTGTTGGAAGGTAGAATGTGCTATTGAAAAAAGAAAAAGGGGGCAGGGTAAATGGGATTGGAAATGCCCCAGCCCAGAATGGGGCTGGGAGAAAGGGTTGCAACTTTAAATAGGGTGGTCCGTGAGGCTTTACTGAGAAGGTGCCATTTGACCAAAACCCTGGAGGTGAGGGAACACACCATGCAGATATAGGGAGGGCATGCCATGCAGGGGAAAGAACTAGAACAGAGGCCCTAGCATAGGAATGTACCTGAAGGGTTTAGGGACTAGCAAAGAGGCCTGTGGGGCTGAGATGGAGAGATAAAGGGAGAGAGTGGTCAGAGATAATGGGTCACTGGCCCAGGTACAGCATGGAGGCCACTGGAAAGACAATGGCTTTTACTCTGAGGGAAATGGTGAGCCATTGCAGGATTTAGAGCAGAGATGTGACATGATCTGACTTAGGCTTTAAAGGATCACTCTCGTTGCCGTGTTGAGAATGTGCTTTAGGGACAAGGGTGCAAACGGGAGTAGTTAGGTGCTATTGCAGTGATTCAGGTAAGGGAAGACGGAGGTGGCTCTAATCTGAACAATAGCAGAGGAGGTGGTGAGAAGTGGTTAATTCTGGATATGCATTTAAAATTTTTAACTTTTAATTTACTTTGTATCAAAGTAAAAATTTTATCCAGTAAAGTGCATAAACCTCAAGTACTCAGCTCTATAAAATTTTGCATATGTATATACCTATATACCACTACCCCGATCAATATTTAGGACACTTCCAGCATTGTATGGGGCTCCCTCCCAGTCAGTACCCTCCAAAAGGCAACCTCTATTTTGATCTTTATCCTTATAGATTGATTTTGGTTGTTCTTGAACTTTTATATGTGGAGTCAAGCAGTTTGCACCCTTTTATGTCTGGCTTCTGAAGCTCAAAATTCTTGCCAAGATTCATCCCTGTTACTGAATGGGACTTTTCCCCTCATTGCTGTTAGAATTCAATTGTATGAATGTACCATGATTTGTTTAAATTCATGATGTATTTTGAAAAAAAGAGCCAAAGAATTTGCTTATGGGTTGGATGTGGGAATTTTCCTATAGATTGGATGTGAGAAAGAAGAATCAATATGACCAGACTTTTACTTCTAAGCAACTGGGAGGATGCAGTTGGCATCATCTAAGGTGGGAAAGGCTGCAGGTGGTGGAAGGAAGAAAATGAGTTTGGATTTAGACATGCTGACTTTGGCGTGTCTAACAGACATCTCAGTGGAATGTTGAGCAGGTGGTTGGATATACAAGAATGAGAGGCCTGGGCGGGTGGTTGTAAATGTGAGAGCTATGGCATGTAGATGGGTTTAAATCCATGAGGCTGGATGAGATCCCCAAGAGAGACAGTGCAGATACAGAAGAGAGGAAGACCAAGAACCGAGCATTGAGAAAGTGGGAAAAGAGGAGGCACCAGCAAAGGAGACTGAAGGAGAACTCCAGACATAGGAAGAAAACTCAGACCCAGTGTGGTACCTGGAAGCCAAGTGTAGACAGTCTACCAAGGAGGGTGGACAAATGGGTGAAGTGAGATAAGGACTGAGAATTACCAGCGGATTTTGCAAGGCCATTGGTGACCTTGACAAGGGCAATGTCAAAGGAGTGATGGGGGCAACGCCTGAATGGAGAAAGCTCAAGAGAAAAGAGGACTGGGATTGAAGGCAGGTGGTATCGAGTACTCTTGAGGAATTTTGTTGCAAAGAGAGCAAAGGAATGGGGCAGTAGCTGTCAGGGGAAGTGGAAACGAGCTGTCTTACTCTGGGATTTTATTTATTTATTTATTTACTTTGAGACAGAGTCTCACTCTGTCACCCAGGCTGGAGTGTAGTGGCATGATCTCGGCTCACTGCAGCCTCCGCCTCCCGGGTTCAAGTGATTCTCCTGCCTCAGCCTCCCAAGTAGCTGGAATCATAGGTGCATGCCACCATGCCCGGCTAATATTTGTATTTTTAGTAGAGACAGGGTTTCACCAAGTTGGCCAGCCTGGTCTCAAACTCCTGACCTCCAGTGATCTGCCCGCCTCGGCCTCCCAAACTGCTGGGATTACAGGCGTGAGCCACCGTGCCTGGCCCACTGTGTTGTTTTTAAGATAGAAGGGAGGTTAGTGCATTTGTGTGCTGACAGAAATGATCCAGCAGAGAATAAAACACTAGTGATGAAATAAAGGAGAGAATTTCTAAAGTGATGTCCTGGTTTAGGCTAGTGGGACATACGTGGAGAGACAGGCTTTAGACGGGATCCTGGAGGCTCTTCTGTGGCAACATGCGGCATCTGTGGGCGCAGATGCTGGTAGGTGAAGCTCTCTCCTGATTCTTCCCATTTTCGTAGTGAATTGGGAAGCAAGGTCACCAGCTGAGAGTGAGGATGCAGTAAGAGGTGGTGGAGAGAGCAGCAAGCGTGAAATAATTCTCTAGGAAGTGGGAGAGTGACTAGGCTCAGGAAGTCTAGTATAATTGGGGGCAGCATGAAGGGCCCCCCTTAAGTTTGCAGTGATGAATTTGAAGTGCAACTCAGCAGTGTGGTTGTGTGTTTCTCACCAGCCATGTTCAGCTGCATGGGCACAGGCATGGAAGAGGCAGATAATTTATTCCTTCATTAACTCAGAATGGCAGATTCATGATGAGATTAAGGACCTTACCACGGGCAAGAAGGGGGCTCGGGTCTCTGCCCTCATGGAACTTATAGGCTAGCAGGGAGCGAGAGCCCATGGACATGCCAGCAAGCAGGTGGCTTTGACTGCAATTTGTGAACTCAAAGGGAGCCGTGCTGGTATTCTCTGGGGCAGGCCCTTGTTGGTTTCTCCAAAACCCCACGTCGATGTCCAGAGAGACCCACAAGGGCTTCAGTAAGGCCTTGGAGGCCTTGTGGTTCATGGTCAAGAGTTTGGATTTTTTTCTAAGTGTGCTATGAAGCCTCTGAGTGGTTTAAGCAGGGAATCACATAATTCAGATTACATTTTAAAAAGGTCAAAAGTCCTTGAGAAAATATTAGCAAATCAAATCCGGTGATATAAAAAGGATAATATATCACCACCCGAAAGGGTTCATTCCATCTAGGCAAGGGTGGTTTAACATTTGAAAAAAATCAATCAGTGTAATTCATCACACCAACATAAGAGGGTCACTCTGCCTGCTCTGTGGAGGATGGGTTGGAGTGGGGTTACAGAGGATGTAGGGAGGCTAGTTAGGATTGGGGAGCAGCAGGCGGGGCTTGAGGCAGGCAGGGAGTGGAGGAGGCTGTGGAGATGGACAGAACTGGAAAGATTTCAGGCATGTTAGAGTTGGAACCAACTGGAAATAGGTTGAGGTGCAACGTGGGAGAAGGAATCCAATGTGACGATCCGGGCTTACGGCTTAAGCCACTGGGTGGATGGTGATGCTGTTTCTGGGGATGGGGAAGGGTGGGGAGGAAGAAGAAATTGGAGGACGATTCAGATCCTATTAGGTATCCAAATGGAAGCACTGTGATGGCAGGGTCGCTGGTGTCTTCTCTCTTACCACTCCCCAGCTCTCCTCCCCTGGTGTGGTCAGGAGGAGGGGCTCTCTCTTACCTCACACAGCCTCATAGAAGGGTCTCTTAAACACCCAGCAATCCAGACATTCCCAGGTGCCTTCAGCCACTCCAGCTGCTCTCTTTCCACCTTACTTCTCAGGAAGCCATTGCTTTCTCAGGCTGGGACCACAGCAGTAGGAACATGAGGCTTCAGGCTCCCTGAAGCTTCCAGAAGGAGACAGCAGAGTTGGGGGGCTCACTGGCTAGGCTCTTTCAGAATGTGGCACAGTGGCTTCTGGGACATTAAGGCCTCTTTTCCCTACCCCAGGCCTCTGCCTCTCCCCAGGAAGCCTTTGGAGAATCCTGGCCTCTGCATGCCTCCAGGGTCTCATTTCTTATCATTGCTGGAATGCAGCCAGTGGTCTGCATTGTGGATTGTGTTAACTCGTGCACAGTGGTTCCCACTCTGACTGGCAACAATCAGGGTCCTCTCATAGCTGCTGTAGAGCACTGAGTGGCCCCATTTCAGCGAATGCAGCTGAGAACCTGGTCAATCAATAAGCAGGCATCACCAAGTGTCAGATTTAGCCCAGCCCTGATGGCAGAGCAGGTGGGATGGGGGAGCCCCAGGGCTGGCATGGGGGCACGCTGTGTCCCAGTCATCCTGGCCTGCTCGTGGCAGCCCCATCAGCTCCTACATGCAGAAATCATCTCCTTTTGCCTCATGTAGGAGAGAACACTTTGCACTGCAGTTGGCAGGGTTGGTGTGGGCGGTGAGAGCCAGACCTCTCAGCTCTCACCATGCACCCTGCTCTCAGAGGCTACCAGTTTCCAGTTCTCACTTCCCCACCTCTGGGAGAGCAGGGGCTGGGACTCCAGCATGGCAAGAGCTGGTTCTCAGCTCCTTTTCTCTATTCCAACAGAACTGAGGGCTCTGAGGCACACCCACACTGCTGGAATGGTACCTCACCAGTGATTCTCTTGGGGGCAGGAGAGGGGACGGTCTGTTTGAAAAAAGCTCCTCTAACCTGGATTTTTTTTTTTTTTTTTTTTTTTTTTGAGGTAGAGTCTCACTTTGTTGCCTAGGCTGGAATGCAGTGGCACGATCTTGGCTCACTGCAACCTCTGCCTCCCGGGTTCAAGTGATTCTCCTGCCTCAGCCTCTCGAGTAGCTGGAACTATAGGCTCATGCCACCACGCCCAGGTAATTCTTTTCTATTTTTAGTAGAGATGGAGTTTCACCATGTTGACCAGATTGGTCTCGAACTCCTGGCCTCAAGCGATCCATCTGCCTCGGTCTCCCAAAGTGCTGGGATTACAGGCATGAGCCACCACACCCGGCCTAACCTGGATGTTTTTAATGATCCCCCTTTCCAAGAGACATCTTCCTCCTGCTGCTTTACAGAGACACTCTAATGAACTGAAGGGTAAGAGCAGTCTCCCCAGGCAGTCAGACTGGAGTAAAAATCCTAGTTCAGGCACTTAGAGCTGTGTTGTCTTGGATAAGTTGCTTAACCTTTCTGAGCTGCTTCCATTTCCTCTTCTGTAAAGCAGGATTCGTAATACCTCCTTCCTAGGGTTGCTGTGAGGCTGGGAGATAGTGTACGTTCAAGGGCTGGCACATAGTAGGCACTCCATAAGTGGGGCTGTTACTGTTGTTAAATAATCCAAAGTTTGTTTTTTATTTACCACTTGATGTTATGTGACCACTGTGATCCCTGTGGGTTCCGGTCAGTGGCAAAATGATTTGCTTGCACTATGAGGGCAGGGCGTGGTACTGTCAACTCTCCTGCCCATCGTAACCAACACCTAACACGTGTCTGACTGGCACTTAGTAGGTGGCTTAATCAATGTCTGTGGAGTGAAGAAATGAGGGAATGCTCCAATGGAGGAAGGACACCTTAGTGGGGAAGACTGAGTAAGCCAGGTTGGGAAGATGTCATTTGGATATTTTATATTCGCCTACAGAAGACAAAGGCAGGTAATGGAGAAGGAAAAGTTATTTAATTAAAACATCCCTAAGAGTTTAGAGGGTGGGGTGCACAGAGGGGTGAATGGGATCACCGGAGCTTGTACAGCAAGTTAGGGTGTGAGTATCCTGGTCTCCTGACTCTCACCTTGGCTCCCTGCTGTCCCCATGCTGCCTGTTTGTATGTGGGGAAGAGTGTTGACATGACTCTGCTTCCAGGGTGTGAATAGTTCCTCCTGATCCCCCCGTCTCCTGGAGGCCTTGTCCTGTGCAGCTCCTGGTGGGGAGCTGGCTCTGAGGGAGCTGAAGTGAGGGCTCCCCTGGGGCCTGGCAGCTCTGTAAATTGACTCTAGGGAGAAAACCGTTCAGTGTGTTTGGGGACTCAGCAGGCTGTGCCCAGCACACACACCTGCCGCAATGCCCTGTTCTCTGTAAACACAACACCCCCACTCACCATTACGGTCCCCTGGGGCCATAACTGGGAGAGCTGATAGAGTGGCCTGGATGACAATGATGCAAACAACATTCAGAGTGGCTGTGTCAGGTCCCAGGGGCTAATAACAACTTAGAATGAGGGGTGTTGTCTTAGTCTGTTTTCTGTTGCTGTAACAGAATACTACAGACTGAGTGGTTTACAAAGAAAGAAAGTTTATTTGGCTCATGGTTCTGGAGGCTGGGAAGTCCAAGAGCACAGTGCTGGGGTCTGATGAGGGCCTCCTTGCTGCGTCACAGTGGAGGGCATCACATGGTGAGAGGGCAAGAACATGCCAGCTCAGATCTCTTGTCCTCTTCTTATAAAGCCACCAGTTCCACTGGGGGGACCCCTACCTTGATGACCTTATCTAACCCTAATTACCTCCCAAAGACCCCACCTCCAAATGCCATCAGCATAAGAATTTGGGGATTAAGTTTTCAACACATGAAATTTGGGTGACACAGTCAGGTGTGAAGGCATGAAGCCCCCTCCCCCCACCCACCACCACAGTGGCTTCAGGTTCTTAGTGGGGTGTGTGTATTCACATATGCACACCTGTGTGTGTGTGTGTGTGTTTGTGTGTGCAGGGGGTTATAGCTTTTTAATCTTTATTTGTAAGTCAAAAAATAATATTCTTGGCTTCCAGACCTTTCCTTCAGTTCTGCTTGCTCAATTCCATGCAGCCCCTGCCCCCAGTCCCTCATTCTCCATGGTCCAGACAAAAGTCTGAGCCAAACTAATCTGTTTCCTGTTTGTGCCCCACCCATTCATCCTTCTTGATGTAGAACGAAGTTCACATGTTCAAGTCAACAAGTGTTTTCTGACGGCATAAGTCTGTCCTCAAGGGCATAGATCCACAGTCAGTGTGGAGACAGACACGTTTCCAACGGCCACGGTGGCAGGAGGCCTGAGCAGGCCTGGCCCACACCCAGGCACACAGCACGAGGCCACCTCCCCGGCTTGGAAGCGCAGCGCCATACCTCCTTCCACCTGTACTCAACACTCACTTTCCTTGTCTCCCGGTCAGTCTCTTCTTAACCTGTCTAGGAGTTACGGAAAATGATAAAAGAAAGGGATTTAACATCAAGACTACCTCTTACACACACACACACACACACACACACACACACACACACACAGCTGTTCCTTTCTCTTGTCTAATTTCTACTTAGTCTGTAACACTCAGCTCAGATGACACCTCCCCCAGGAAGCCTTCCTTGTTTTGCCTGCATGTTCCCACAGCTCCCTGTGTTCCCCTTTAATATAACCCTTATCAAATTGCACTGGCGTGTGAGCAATTTGAAAGTGGGGTCCAAGCCTATTCATCTCTATATCCACAGTGGTGGATAGTTTCTGCTGTTTCAGTGTTAATGAATCACTGAATGAATGGTAATAGTAGTGACGCTTGTGTGCTTAGGATTGCTAGGCCCTGTGCTAAATACTTTATGTGGATTATCTTGCTGAAATCCTTGTGCAATTTTATGAAGAGGTCCTAATAGTATTTTATACTAATAAATTAAATAATATATCCCCATTTTCCACATGAGGGAGCCGAGGCTCAGAGAAATTAAACTACTAGGTAACAGCCACACAGCTAAGTATAGCCAGAATTGTTGAATGAATAATTGAATGCATGAATGAAAAGATCTGTACTTGAGCCTTGACTCCAGTGCTTGCTGCTGGGTGACCTTGAGGAAATCACTTACCTCTGCGGGTCTCAGTTTATAGGATGGGCGCCATTCCAATCCCCACTGCGGAGCTGTCTGTGAGGCAGTGCTCTTGGAACAGGAGGGAGAATGGCTTCATTGTTCAGGGGCGAGTTGGCTCTGAGTGTGCCTGTGGAGGGGGTGCCCTGACAGGAAGAGTAGGGCCTGGAGAATGTCCCCTCCCTGTCTGTGCAGACTTCAGCTGTGGGAGAGACACCGACTCACACTCACCTCCTGTGCAGAGGCCCCAGAGCCACCTCATCCTCAACGGGTTCAAGCCCAGTGCCAGTGTGCAATTCAACTGCTGTGGGTTCCCTCCCAGCCATCCCCAAGGCATGGCTCCCTACCTTATGTGCCCAGGAGTTTGAATTCAGTCCAGTCAAGGCTGGAAGAAAAAATGTTCAAAGGAGGAGAATAAAGGACAGGAGAGCCCCTCACCCCCCACCAGACTTATAAACCAATGTGTATAAGAGGTGGCTTTGATGTCAAATCCCTTTCTTTTATCATTCTCCACAACTCCAAGGCCTAGAGAGGTTAAGAAGAGACTGGCCAGGGGACGAGAAAAGTGAGTGTTGAGTCCAGGTGGAGTGAAGTGATCCCCCAATCTGCCCAGCACAGGGGAGACTTGGGGCTGGGAAACAGGATGCCTGAACTCTGGGCCTGGGCTGCCATGGTGCCCACTTGGAGGCCACCTTCCCCGCTGACCTGCACCCTTGTTAGTAAATGGGAATGGCAGCTCAGCCTGACTTCTCAGGGTTGCTGAGGCAGGTCCGGCCGCCTGTAAGGATCCGGTGAGTGGTGTGTGCAGGGGCTGACAGAAGGGAAGGGGCGCTGAGAGGCACAGAATCCTGAATGCAGCCTGGAGGGACACAACACAGCTTGGGCTTTGGAGTCTGGCTGGCTGAGCCAGTCTCCCAGTCCCAGCTCTGCCACCTGCTTGCTGTGTGCCCGAGGCTGTTCTCTCTGAGCCTGGGCTTCTACCTCGGTGAAGTGGAACTAGTATTATATGCCTCACAGGACTGTGGGGAGAACCAATGTGTAGCCACCATCTCTCTCCAGTTTCAGGGGCTCATTCCTCTTTTCCTGCTGTTTGGTGGGAGGGAGGGGGATGGATGGATAGTGGCGGGTGTGTCTGTCTGTCTCTGTTGCGGTTGGGGTGGACAGTGTGGCCTGAGGAGTTCCTTTACAAGCCTGCCAAGGCCTGAATTTGGCAAACCCGGCCTTGGGGAAGCGGCTGTGGCAGGGCAGGGAGGTGTATAAAGCCCTGCACTCAGGTCAGAGTGTGTTCTGCCACTGCTCTGGGTATGGTGCCCGGGGCATCTGCCTCTGAAATGTCGGATGGGCACCTCCCTTCCTCCTTCCAGCTCCTCTGGGAGCCCAGGGGCTGCCTGGCACTAGAAGTTCTCAAGGAAGGAAGACTTGCAGTCTGGTGGGGGAGGGGTGCCTACATGTTGGGCATCTCCTCAGTGTCAGGGGTGGGGGAGGGGCCTACATGTTGGGCATCTCCTCAATGTCAGGGGTGGCACTGCGTGACTTCTTTGGTAGCAGATTTAATTTTATTTAGTCTTGCAAGGCTGGTATCAACTTCACTTTACTTCCCTTCGCCACTGTCTTCAGGGAGTTTCTAGGCTGAGGGCAAGACAGAATATAAGATCTTGGCCAGGCATGGTGGCTCATGCCTGTAATCCCAATACTTTCGGAGGCCAAGGTGGGAGGATTGCCTGAACCCAGGAGTTTGAGACCACTTGGGCAACATAGGGAGTCCCTGTCTCTAAAAATAATTTTAAAAATTAGCCAGATGTGGTGGTGTGATCCTGTGGTCCCAGCTACTTGAGAAAGTGAGGCAGGAGGATCGCCTGAGCCTGGGAGGTTGAGGCTACGGTGGGCCATGAGTGCCACTGCATTCCAGGCTGGGTGACAGAATGAAAGCCTGTCTCAAAAAAAAAAAAAAAAGAGAAAGAGAGAGAATACAAGATCTTGCAGATAACAGAGAAATCAGCACTGGCCAAGCTAAGAGGTCTGAGATTTCTGAGATGGAGAGTGCTGTGGGCACGAGCCAGGCCCGGTCTGGCCTGCTGCCTGGGTTCCTGTCGGTCCTGCCGGCTTTCTCTCGGCCTGAGTCTGCTGCCTCAATCACAAGTGCAGGGGAGCTACCTCAGGAGGTGTTGCTAGCATCATGGCAGCAGAAGTAATCCCACATGGTCCACAGAGGTGAGAATGGTGGAGATGGGCTGGAGAAGCAGCCCAGTAGGCCCCAGGAGTGAGGCATGATGAAGGGCCCAGGGAGACCCTCTCTGCCACCATTCCATAGGTAGAGTGCTTCACGCAAAGAGCACCAGGCCCAGAGGCAGAGGAGACTGGGTTCAGTCTCAGCTTAAACACTAACCATCCAAGTTGTAGCCGTAGGCAGGCACTGAACCTTCCTGGACCTCAATTTTCCCACCTGTAAAGTGGCAACCACAGAACCTGCTCTTCTTCGCTCACAAGCTGGGGTGTGCATTGGGTAGGATCGTTGGTTTCGTTGGTTTGGAAGTGCTCTGCCAGGGGTGTTGTGATGGACTGCTATCATTTTGCTGAGGCAGGGAGCCTCTTTGCCCTCTCTTCTCCCATCCTGGTTCCTGGCCTTTTTTTTCCTCGTATCGGGGGAGGTGGCTATCCATTAAGAGAAACTGGTCACTCTGGTGAATCTGTGACGGACCCTGCAGGGATTTGTGTTCCTATTTCCTTCATGATCCAAAACAATGCCTTTCTTTTTCTGGGCTTCCTCAATCACTCTCTTCCCCAAACAAGGTTGGAGAGAGCTCCTTTTGTGCCCGATATTGGGCCGAGTGCCACTGGGCCTTGCTACTCAAAGCGTGGTCAGGGACCAGCAGCCTTGGCATCTCCTGGGAGCTTGTTAGAAATGCAGAGTCTCAGTCCCCAGCCCAGATTGTCTGACTCATCATCTGCATTTTAAAAGGACCCCAGACGATTCATATGCACATTACAGTTTGAGAAGCTCAGACAATGAAGGATACTGGGGAATATAAAACCACAGTCCCTGTCCTCAGTTTCTTCACAGCCTCATGGGAATGGCAGTGCATGAAATACAAAATTGACTTTAAAATCTACTCTTATAGTAATTTAGAAAGCTGGATTTGCTCACTCCACAATGTATAAATGTTTTGAAACATTACGTTGTACCCCATAAATATATACAATTAATGTTTTTCAGTAAAAAGAAATAAAATTCCATGAAATAAGCAAACAAAAGGCATGGTAGCTCATGCCTATAATCCCAGCACTTTGGGAGGCCGAGGGAGGCGGATCATTTGAGGTCAGGAGTCTAAGACCAGCCTGGCCAACATGATGAAACCCCGTCTCTACTAAAAATACAAAAATTAGCCAGGCGTGGTGGCGGGCGCCTGTAGTCCCAGCTACTCGGGAGGCTGAGGCAGGAGAATCACTTGAACTGGGGTGGCAGAGGTTGCTGTGAGCTGAGATCCCGCACCACTGCACTCAAGCCTGGGTGACAATGAGACCCTGTCTCAAAAAACAAACAACACAAATACATGCTTTGGAGGCAGCTGGCCTAGGTTGCAATGACAATTCTGGCCACTAGCTGTATGACCTTGGGCAAGTTGCCCAGTCTCACCTGTGGAGATGGATCCCTTCCTCCTAGGATGAAGAGCAGAGGAGGGCTGTATGTGAAAGCTCAATGCTAAATGGTAGCTCCAACATCACGGGCGGAGCAATCGGCTCCATCTTATGGATGAGGAACCTAATGTTCTGAGAGGTGATGTGATTCGCTAACAGCAGGTCTGAGTCTGATCCCAATCCAGGTCCTCTAATGCTGTCACAGTGTTTTGCCTGTCACAGTGTTTTGTCACCCTGAGCCTTGGCCCCCCTAGCCAGCCAGTGTGCTCTATTGGAGACAGTGGGCACCAGCTGAGGAGGTTGGGAGGGGAGAGAGCAGTGTGGTTGGTCAGGCGTTTGTGGAATTGGAAGTTGGAGGCCCTGGGGTTGGACCTTCCAAATGTCCCAGACTGTCAGTGTTTCTATCAACTGGGTGAAGGAAGCCACTCTATGCCTGTTCCCCCACGTGCCCTCTGTGCCACTGCTCATGTGTCCGCCCCTCCCCTGGCTGCAGTGCATGTCCTACCCGATTCTTGCCTGGTGGCGTTCCCCAAGGCCCGTTACTACTGTCTCTCTGCATTTTTTTTTTTTAGACGGAGTTTTTGCTCCGTTGCCCCAGCTGGAGTGCAATGGCATGATTTCGGCTCACTGCAACCTCCGCCGCCCGGGTTCAAGCGATTCTCCTGCCTCAGCCTCCTGAGTAGCTGGGACTACAGGTGCATGCCACCAAGACTGGCTAATATTTGTATTTTTAGTAGAGACAGGGTTTCACCATGTTACCCAGGCTGGTCGCGAACTCTTGACCTCAGGTGGTCCACCCTCCTCAGCCTCCCAAAGTGCTGAGATTACAGGCGTGAGCTACTGTACCAGGCCTGCATTTTCTTTTTCCAGCTCTGAGCACAGCACCTGGAAGTTTCCATGAATGGTGGATGGAAAAAAAAGGCTTTGATTTGATAAGCTTCTTCCTCCCCCACACACATCATGAGTTTCCCCCATCCAGGGTTGTGGCAGAGCGGAGTGATTTATAGGACTTTGCAGAAGTGGAAGAAATGACGGAAATTGAGTTTATTGATCAACCCTCAGAGAAGCTGCCTGGCAGGCTCCTGGCCTGGGATACTGCCAGCAGCTAACATGCTGCTCTGTTTTACCCGTGCAAATGACAGGGGCACAGACCAGCTCCCAGAGGAGGAGGAGGACAGGCTGTTCCCCACCTCCACCCAGGCCGGGAGTTGAGGAGAGGGGCTGGTCTTGCAGTTGGAGGAAGTGTGTTAGACTCCTGTGAGAACCACCTAATTAAGTGGCTTGAGATATCGGGGCTGAGTGGTTGAGGCGGGACCTTCGAGTGGAGACCCTGAGCATTCTGTAGAAGGCCCCTCAGCTGTGACTGTTGGGAGCAGAGCTCTGCTGCCTGCCAGGGGGGATGTTGTTGTTGAGATGAGCAAGAAGGCTCAGAATGGCTTCCTCTTACCAGTTTCTCCTACTTTCTTCACATTTAAGGTGATTATTGCAATAGTTGGCTTAATCTCTGCCATGTTTATAACTGTTTTCTAGTCATTATATTTGTTTTCTTTTTTTTTTGCTTCTCTTTTTCTGCCTCTCTGGTTTTAATCGAGCATTTTATATGATTTCATTTCCTTCCCCAAATATTATTGAGTGCTTACTGTGTGCCAGGTACTGTGGTAGGTGCTAGGAAGATGATTTTGAACCAGACTTCGTCTTCGCCCTTCAGGTACTTGCAGTTATGTGCTCTGAGAGAAAAATAAAGAATTTTTCTGATTATCCCACATGGGGAAGGGAAGGGAAGGGAGCCAGCCACCAGATGATCTAGGAGACCTCACATTCCCACTTCCTGCTGCATGTTGTTCTGGGGAGGGGGATCTCTGGCTCACCTGCACCCACTGGGTGAGCCTGGGTGCTCCCCACCTCCCACTGCATCTGTATGTCTGGGCCCCTCCTCCACAAAGCCATCCCTGGAGCTGGGGCAGAAGCCCCTGAGCACATGCAGTGGAGCAGGAGGGCTGCAGCTGATGCTAAACTCTTCTGTGTGCTCTGCCCTGGCCTGGGTGGCTGCTGGCTGGGGAGGACTGGTTCCCGGATTGGGCCTGGCCTGTGGCTTCTGTAGGGACTCTGTACACTGTGGGCTTGGTGAGTGCTTATGTGGAGGGACACAGGGCAAAGAGAGCATCAGGAGATACCAGGAGGGTCAATGGAAAACTGCTGGGTCCTGGGGTCCTTCCTGCTGTTATTTGGGCTCTACACCCCTTTGCCTGGTTGCAAGGTGGGGAGAAAGGCCAGGATCGGGGAGAATATGACTGTACTTCTTCCAGGTCCCAAAAGTGGTGTCTTCTTGAGTTCTGATGCAGCAGGAAGAACTGAAGTTAGACTCTGGGAAGGACTTTCTAATGTGGAAGCACAAGCTGTGGAATGCGGAGCTGAGTGTGGGGGTGGACTCTTTCTTTGGAAAGATTTCCAAGGTGGTGAGCTCTTCCTGTCTTCTCTGTCCTCCCCCTATCTGCTGTCTGTTGAATCTTTTCCAGGGCAGGGGGCTAGGTGCTGTGAGCTTTAGGGGGCCCTGACAGCCCAAGCTCAGTGACAGCAGCTGCCTCCTCAGAGCACAGCATCCCAATCTCCCTGGCTCAAGAGGCACCTCCTCTTGTCACTCCAGACTGTCAGCAGGCATCCAACCTGCTTTCTAGGTCCCAACCCCAGCGGGTGCCTTTGGGCTGATCTCGAGTCTGCATGGGATCTCTCCAGTGGGGGTCGGATTTACAGTTCCTTGGTGGAAACAGGCCTTCAGGCAGATGCCCTGTACCCTGCAAGCGTTCAGGGTTCCAGGCAAGCCAAGAGATACTCTGAAGGGAGGTGGGAGGAAAGGCGTGGGCTCACCCTGAGTCCGCCTCCCATATCTCCAGTATCCTCCCTGGCCACTTCCCCAGTGGAGCTTTACTGGGGTTCTCCAGGGAGCGTGACTTCTCCAGGACCCTGTGTAGGGTTTAGTGCTGGGCTGAGCAGGTTCCCAAACCCCCACCCCAGACTCAGACACTTTCATCAGATAGATCAGGGAACACAGACCCGTTCTGTACGAAGGTTGAATTAGGTAGGAGAGCTGGCTGTGAAATAGATATGGAAACCATGTGACTGGCCTTCCAAAGTGAAACAGAAGTAATTTTTTGTTTATCTATGTCCTTGCAACCTGTTTTGTATCTCTTCAAGGGTCGATTGTGTATTCCAGTAGAATCAGGGGTGTGCTCCTGGTGGAGATAGCAATGGGCACCTGGTGCTACTGTTCATTGAGTGCCCAGATAAGTTACTGCGCCAGCCTCATCCTCACAGGGGGCCTGCCAAGCCAACCTTCTCCTCCCATTGTGCCCAGGACAAAACCAAGGCTCAAGGAATTGTTACTTGCTCCAGGCCACAAGCTGTTAATGGTGGAGTCACAGTTTGAACTCGGATCTTACCCCACAGCACACTTCATGCATGCATGCATTCATTCATTCATTCATTCATTCATTCATTCTTATACTCAATAAATATTTATTTCTCTTTACATTCCATCTTGCCCCCCATCTTCCTCTCCATGGGGCACAGAGCTACAGCATGGAATCCTTTCAGAAGGGACTCCCTTCCGGGGATGTATGGGTGCCCCTCACCACTGCCCCTGGGCTCCTCCTCCCCACAAGGAGTTCCGTGTTCAGTGCCCCTCCCTCCTTTCTGCTAGCGCTGAGCTCAGCTCTCTATAGAAGATGATTTGACACATTCCAGAAGAAGGGAACCGTGACCTGCTAGAGCCCAGAAAAGATCTCATTCAATCCCTCATCATCCAGACAAGGACACAGAGGCCCCAAAAGGGAAAGGGTCTCCCCGAAGGCCAGCTCACTCCTGGCACAGCCTGGACCAGAATGGGGGTCTCCCATTTCCCACCACAATGAGGTATTCCAAGGGAGGACTGCCCTTCTTTGGGGGTCCAGCATGGGCCCCCTCTGCTCTCCTGAGCCTGCAGAATTCTGCTGCTTCCTGGCTCCCTCCTGCCTGGGCCCTCCCCATGTGCCAGCTGGGCTGGCGGATTCTCTGCTGTTCTCCTAAGAGGCCACAGTCTGCAAAGACCAGAGAGGCCTATGGGAAGCCGCATAAAGCCATCAGCTCCCTTCCCACCATGGCGGACCTTTCCACTTCACTGGAAAAGGAATTTTGCCCCTTTTAGCACCCTGGCCATCCCAGTGAGGCCTCCCTGCAGCAGCTACTCACAGGTCATTAAGTCTGAATGCAGATGGGATGGTTTTTTCCTGTCCCACGGGATGAGTCAGAAACAGTCACCCATAGCAGGTGGGGCTAATTGGCCTTGCTCCTTTTGCCATCCCGGTCTTCCTTGGAGAGATGGAGAGAATCAAATCTCAGTGCAGAAAGAGCTGAGAATGCCAAGGTCTGGGTCCAGTTTTCCTGCATTTACTGTCCAGGTCAGACACCCTCCTCCTTGAGGACCACCGCCTCACGGGGATGTGGGTGCTGTGCTTGACTTTGGGAGGGGAGGAGGTGGCTGTATTGTGAAATCGCCCAGGGCATTGTCTCAAAGTGTGATACCTTGGCCTTCTGGCTGTGGAAAAACATTCCATAGGATATGCCCTGGACTGGGAGAAAGGGATGAGGTTCAGAGGCAAATATACTTTGAAAACATGCCTCCTCCAAATCTGAAAGCCTCCCACTTTGCACCCCACCCTCTGAAGCCCCCTCCGGATCAGAACCACTGAGCAAATCCAAACTTCTGTTTGTTGGGATGAGAACGCCCACCCAGAGAGAGAGAGAAAAGAGCTCTCTGCAGGCACACAGGTCTGGGGGGAGCTTGTGCTGTCAGTCATGCATGAAACCTTTGAGTGGGGGAGCTGGCAGGGAGCTCTGCCCTGTGCTTTGCAGCACATGCCGCTCTCATCACACTGGGGATCCCTTTGCTCAGGTGCTGGGCCTCTCCTGTGGACTGAGAGTTCCTTCATGGTGGGATCTATGTTTATTCTGCTCACGTCCAGCGCTCAGAAAGGGGCCTTGAATCCGAAGGACAGACAGTTGGGGAGGTTGCCAGAATAGAGGGTGTTACTGAGTCACACACAGGAACCTCATTATTTTCCCCACCAGGCTGTGGAGTTATTTGTCCTCAGCAAGTGACCAGGAGTGATTTCCAAGGCCCATTACACTAATGACCTAATCAATTTATCCAGCTCTTTTCTTTCAAGACACAGAGTGTCTGCCCTCCTCCCTGTAGCCCTGCAGACTGGCCCTGGGGTGTCAGCCCGAGTCTCCTTTTGGGGATTGGTGGGCACTGATGTTTTAGATGGTGAGTGATGCCACAGAGCCCCTCACAGCGGGATTCAAGGCAGGATTCTTAGGCCTGACATCCTGCCCCCTCCCCAGGGCCCCTGAAGCAGACTCCCCTGGGCAATGTTACTGTTAAATATTTGGCCCCTGGAGTGTGCCCAGCACCTTTGATTATATCTGGTTTCCTGTTCTCCTTGGGGAGGAAGAATTTCTCCACAGGAAGTAGTTTAATAGTCTGAAAGCCTTACTTTCCTGCTCTTGAGATCCAAGTTTCCAGTTACAAGTGGCTGAGATCCTTGATAAGAGAGGAGGCGGGAAGGAGGGGACCAGAGCTATGAACTGTCACTCCCTCCCAGCCAAGAGTGAGGGAACGGAAGAGGGAAGATTCAATCCCTGACTATCCAAACCGCAGGATGGTGGAAAGACGTGGACCTCTGCCACCCCCCGGCCCTCCACCTCCCTGCTCCCATGTCCAGTGCTTCCATGAGGAGCAGGTGATGAGAAACAGGGACGGCCAGGCCTGAGGACCCTGCTCTGGTCTCAGCAGTTGACAGGACACTGTGTCATCCTGCCCTCAGGCAAGCCATGCTTAGCATTTTCCAAACCCACATGTGGGTTCTCTTGCCTCTGAGTGAAGGCGTTTGTAAGAGTTGGGTGGCTCACTCGTACCTATACCTCTGGCAGGGGGTTCTTAGGGATGACTGAGCTCAGTTCTTCCTGATGCAGCTTTACTCTTGAACTGTCTGAGTCTAACCAGGAACACAAAAATCATTTTAGGTGTTTACAGCCGAGGGCCTTATACCAGGAATTGGTGATGAAGCAGCCGAGACACAAACAGGGAGAGTGAAGTAACCCAGAGATGAGTAACAACAGGAAGCTACCCCAAGGCAGAAGGACAAAGTGAGGAGGCGGTGATCCCGGAGCCCAGGGGCTGCAGTTGGCTGGTAGAAGCCGCACCCATGGTGGGCTTGTCTGGTGTGTGTTGGAGCCATGGAGGAGTCATAACCACTGCCTAGTACACAGCTGGGACAGGGAGGTAGACAGCTCCCCACCACCGCCCCATCCCCACTGCTCCAGCACTGCAGTATTTCCCATGGACCTGGATAGCCCCAGGGCTTGGGAAATGCAGCCTGCCGGGGTCAGCCCCATGGTGATACAAAACAGGGCAGGGCCAGGAGAGAAAGCCAAGGACAGACAGCTTCAGAACCAGCACACTCCAGTCTCATCCCTGCAGTGGTGGCTGGCTTCTTTGCACCTTTCTCAGTTTGGCTGTTCTGCATTCACCAAAGAGAATTATGTAGGACGTCTATGCCCACCCCCTCTTCCTTCTTTTTTCTCTGTCAGATGTGTCTTCGCTGGTTGGTCCCATGGTGTGTTCACCATCTGATGGCATCTGGGCTCTTCCTATTTATTATTATTATTATTATTATTATTATTATTATTATTATTGTTATTTTGAGACGGAGTCTCGCTCTGTCACCCAGGCTGGAGTTCAGTGGCATGGCTCACTGCAACCTCCACCTCCCAGGTTCAAGCGATTCTCCTGCCTCAGCCTCCTGAGTAGCTGGGACTATAGGTACCCGCCATCACACCCAGCCAGTTTTTGTATTTTTAGTAGAGATGGGGTTTCACCATGTTGGCCAGGGTGGTCTCGAACTCCTGACCTCAAGTGATCCACCTGCCTTGGTCTCCCAAAGTGCTGGGATTACAGGCATGAGCCACCGTGCCCAGACAGCTCTTCCTTTTCTAAAGTGGCTTATCGTTTATGTTCTCTGAGTCAACCTAACTATCAGTCCCCAATGGCATCCAGAAGGAGTGCCCTCTAAGGGTGTAGACAAGGAGAGGCCACCCCTCTGTGCACAGTCGGGTCTCCAACTAGAAGTGATCTCATCCCTGAAAAGGACGATTCATGAGGCAAAGGACCAATGAGGAACTTGGGCATTCTCATGACGACTGCTGGGAATTAGCATGAGATGAAGGCTTGCTTTTCTGGGATGCAGGCTAAGAGACTCTGGGGAGGTGAGTTCTGGCCAGGGAAGCCTCTGCTGGTCTCACAGTGTGCAGGGCAATGCTGGGACTCCAAGCCACTATGGACATGTTGGTGGCTGGCTGGTGGCCTGGTGGCAGTTTCTCATACATTTCATAAGAGGCCCTTGTCATAGCGGCCTTATGTCGCAGGACCTAGGTAGGGGACCAGGAGTTGTCTGATTCAGCAGTGGATCCCCTACAGCTCCCAGCACAGCAGGGAATAAACCAGGGAATGATTTTCCTCATCCAGGGCATTGTAATTGCCTTCAGGGCTAGGGTCATGCCTTTCTAATCTGACTGTCTCTAATTGAGCACCTACCATTTAATCCTTATCTCTTGTTCCCTGAGATGTACTCACGTTGCAGGTCCTTGAGCAATCATTTCTGAATAAGTGGATGTATGGTTTCATTAATCCATTTTTACATGTATTTATTCATTCATTCAACAAATAGTTATTGAGCACTGATATAGGTACTGGGGATGCAGTGGTTAACATGCCAAAGGTTCTGTCCTACTGGGGCTTACATTCTACTGGAGCACTGGAGAGAAACTAATAATAAATGTATAGATAGATAGATAGTTAGATAGGGGGGAAGAGAGGGTGTGAGAGAGAGGGAGGAGGGAGAGAGTCAGGAAATGCTATCAGGAAAATTAAATATGGCAAGAGGAGACAGTGATAGAGACTATTTTTCAGGAGAGTCAGGAATCTTCCCTTAGGACCTGACATCTGAGTGGAGACCTGAATGAACGGAGAATGAACCTTCCCAGACATTTCAGGAAATGAACAGGAAGTGCAAAGCCCCTGAGGTAGGAGAGTGCCCCAGGTATGTAAACAAAGGAGTGTCCACTAGCATGGTGATAGTAGAGTGGAGTTCAGGGAGAGTGAAGTGGAGTTTAAGGTAAGGGGATGGGCCCTTCAGGGAAAGAAGGGTCAAGGAGACTGGGGGAATGACAGTGCCCTCTGCTCAGTGGTCAGGATAAAAACCAGACAGAGTCATCTTGTTGACTCTTTCTCTCACCTGGACATCTGTCTTACTTCATTTTCTGCTGCTATAATAGAATAGCACAGACTAGGTAATTCATAATGAACAGAAATTTATTTGGCTCACAGTTCTGGAGGCTGGGAAGTCTAAGATTAGAGGGCCATGTCTGATAAGGACCTTGTTGCTGCCTCATACCATGTGGAAGGCATCACACAGACAGGAGCTGAACTCATCCTTCAGAAGGACCCCACTTCTGTGGTAACAAAACTAATCCTGCAGTATTGGCATTAATCTATTCATATGGGCAGAGCCTCATGACCTAATTACCTCTTAAAGGTCCCACCTCTCTACACTGTTGCAATGGGGATTGTTTCCAATATATGAGCTTTGAGGGACACATTCAAACCATGGCATTCTGCCCTGGCCTTCAAAATTCATGTCCTTCTCGCATGCAAAATACATTTATTCCATCCCAGTAGGCCCCAAAGTCTTAACTAGTTCCAGCATCAACTCAAAAGTCCTAAGTCCAGAGTCTCATCTAAATCAGATATGGGTGAGGCTAAAGGCAGGATTCATCCTAAGGCAAATTTCCTTCTGGTTGTGAGCCTATGAAATCAAAACAAGTTACATGCTTCCAAAATACAATGGTGGGACAGGAATAGGATAGGTTCCCCATTCCAAAGGGGAGAAACAGGCAAGAAGAAAGCAGTAACAGGATCCAAGTAAGTCCAAACCCCAACAAGCCAGACAACATTAAATCTTAAGATTCTAGAATAGCCTTTTACTCCATGTACCACCTCCTGGACATATTGGCTCTACTGGGCTCAGCCCATGAAGCAGCTCTCGTGGATTGGAGTCTCATGCCTGCAGCTCTCCCATACTGGAGTTGCATGCTGGTGGTCCTACAGTGCTGGTGTCTGGGCAGTGGCCTCACTCCCATGGCTCCAGGAGGCATTGCCCTGGTGAGGGATCTCTGTGGTGGCTCTGTCCCTGTGACAAGTTTCTGCCTGGGCTTCCAGGCTGTCCATGATATCCTTTGAAATCTAATTGGAGGCTGGCATGACCCCATGGCTTCCACACTCTGTGCACCTGCAGAATCAGCACCATGTGGACACTGCCAAGACCTACCTACCACTTGTGCTCTCTGGAGCAGCAGCACAAGCTACATCTGGGCCTGCTTGAGCCATGGCTGGGGCTGCCAAGGAGCAGAGTCCTGAGGTGGCCCTGGGCAGCAGAGGCCTGAGGTGGCCCTGGGCAGCAAATGCCGAGGTCCTGCCTGGTGTCTCTGGAAACCTTGCTCTAAAGGTCCTCAGCTGCCTTGAAGATCTCTGAAATACCTGTGTAGTCATTCTCCCATCATCCTGATGAATAGAACCTGGCTTCCTTCTATCCATATTATTCTCTTTAGCAAATGGTGTTTTGGCCACATCCTTAGTATTCTCTCCTGAACACACTTTTTAATTCTGTACATGGCCAGGCTGAGAGTTTTCCAAATCTTTCCATTCTGCTTCCCTTTCGATGATAAGTTTCATCTTTAAATCATCTCTGTCTTCCTTCACTTTGCTATAAATGGCAAAAAGAAACCATATAGCACCTTGAATGTTTTGTTGTTTGTATATTTCTTCTGCTAGATATCCCAGTTAGTTGCTCTAAAGTTCTGCCTTCCACAAAGTCCTGGGACACAGACACAATTCCACCAAGTTCTTTACAACTATATAACAAGGATGACCTTTACTCCAGTTTTCAATATCTTGTTTCTTGTTTCCATCTGAGACCTCATCCAAAATTCTTTACTGTCCAAATTTTCTGCTAGCATTGTGATCACGACCATTCAAATCATCCCTTAAAAGATTCAGTTGCTCCTTACAGCTCTTGTCTTCTGAGCTTTCACCAGAATTACCCTTAATGCTCCATTTATGGCAGTCTGGGCATTTTTTAGCCTGCTCCTCCAAACTCTTCCAGCCTATACCTGTTACCCAGTTCTAAAGCTGCTTCCACATTTTCAGGTATTTGTTAGAGCAACAACCCCACTTCTGGTACCAATCTTCTGTCTTAGTCCATTTTGTGCTGCTATAACAGAATGCCTGAAACTGGGTAATTTATAAAGAAAAGAAGTTTACTCAGCTCACATTTCTGGAAGCTGAGAAGTCCAAGATTGAGGGTCTGCATCTGACAAGGGCCTTTTTTTCTGGCTCATCCTATGGCTGAAGGGTGGAAGGACAAAGAGCACACTCCCTAGAGAGAGAAAAGAAGGTGGCCAAACTCATCTTTTATAAAGACTCCACTCCTGTGATAATGAAGCCACTTCTGCAATTAATGGCATTAATCCATTCAAGAGGGCAGAGCTCTCAGGATCTAATTACCTCTTAAAGTCCCACCTTTCAACATTGTTGCATTGGGGATTAAGTTTCCAACACATGAGCTTTGGGGGACACATTCAAACCATAGCAACATCCAAACTCAGCAGCAGGTCCTTTTGGCCCTGTTCCTAAATACATCTCAAAGCCATATGCTTCTCCTCAATTCCCATGCCGCCAGCTACAGCATCCCACCCTCATCTGCCTGGATGGCTAAAATAGCCTCCTGCTGGTTTTCTTGCCTTCCATCATTCCCTGCTGCAACACATTCTCCACACAGCAGCCTGAGCTATCTTTTAAAAACAGCAATTCGATTATATTATTCCTTTGCTTAAAATGACTTCCCCTCGTACTTAGGATAAACCCCAGAACACTTGCTGCAGCCCTCTCAGCCCTAGGTCTCTTCTCTGACTGAGCCGGCCTCTCTCGGGCCTTCACCCCTGAGGCTCCTTCACACTAGCCCTCTCTTGCCACTCTTGCCTCAGCACCTCTCCCCGATGGTGCCTTCTGCCTAGAAGGCTCTGTCCCAGATCTTTCCCTGGCTGGCTCGTTGGTGGTCCTTTGGCTCTCGGCTCATTTTCTCATCCTCAGAGAGGCTGCCCTGCCCACTCACTCTCTCCTGGGGTATCCTCTTATTTCGCTTGGTAGGTCTTTTCACTCTCTAAAATGATCTGGTTTATTTGTTTGCATATCTATTGCCTGTTTCTCTGTCTGCAGAATGATATTTTCATGAGTCTGTTCTCTTCTATATTCCTGAACCCTAACACCTAGAACCTGGCACCTGATAGGTGCTCAATGAATACCCCTTTAATAAATGAAAGGGTGAGTCTCAACTGCCTGATTGCCCCCAGCAAGAACAAGACAGCAACTAAATACCTAGGCAGCACATGCATGTGAACAGGTCATTCTGATGGCTCAGAAAGAGCTCAGACTTTGCAGGAGGAGTGAGGCTCCCAGGCAAAGCACAATGGCATCCTCACAACTACTTAGTCCAGGGAGATTTGCCTGGAGCAGGAGAGGCTTGCCTTCTGGGCCCTAGCCATGGCTCCTTTCTCCTGCTCCAAGCTTCCATCCCCCAATCCTCACGTGTTCTCCATCTCCCAGAGTGGCAGAGCTGGGTCCAATATGGGCTTTGCACTTGGACATACTGGAGTCTTAGAAATTCTTTTCCTGCTTTTTCCTGGCAGAGTGGCCTTGGACATGTTTTCTAATCTCTCCAAGTCTCAGTTACTGCAATTAGGAATTGAGAATAATGACACAGGTTGAGTATCCCTTATCCAAAATGTGTGGGACCAGAAGTGTTTCCAATTTTGGATTTTTTCAGATTTTGGAATATTTGCATTATACCCGCTGGTTGAGCATCCCTAATCTGGAAATCTGAAATGCTCAAATGAACATTTTTCTTTGAGCGTCTTGTTGGCATTCAAGTAGTGTTGAATTTTGGAGCATTTGGGCTTTTGGATTTTCACATTAGGGATGCTCAACCTGTAGTATCTAAGTGATAGGGTTGCGCTGAAGTATCAATAAAACCATGTCTATAAAGTCAGTGCCTAGGGCTGGGCGCAGTGGTGCACGCCTGTAATCCCAGCACTTTGGGAGGCCAAAGCAGGAGGATCACTTGAGCCCTGGAGTTTGAGATCAGCCTGGTCAACATAGTGAGACCCCCATCTCTACAAAAACACTTAAAAATAGCTGGGCATGGTGGCACACACTTGTCCCAGCTACTCAGGAGGCTGAGGTGGAAGGATCTCTTGAGCCCAGGAGTTCGAGGTCACAGTTAACTGTGATTGTGCCACTGCACTCCAGCCTAGGAGACAGAGTGAGAGCCTATCTCTTAAATAAATAAATAAATAGTCAGTGCCCAGCACATAGAAATAAATGTTAGCGCTTACCAGCATTTTTATTGTTGTTATTATTGATCAGATAACTATTATTTTCAAGCTCCTTCCTCACTTAGCCCCCAGAATCTCCCACCCCTCCTATGGCAGCCCTGCCAGGGTGTCCAGGGAAGAACCAATGGCTTTCTCTGCCCTGCCCTATTTGGACACAGGATTTGCAGACTTCATTCCCTCATTTCCACCTCTAAACCATACTGACACTCTTGCAGCAGCTATGATATGAAATCCTTTTCTGTTCAGCCACCGGCTCTTGCCAACACTGAGAGGTTCAATGGGAACCCTCTTCCATTTCTCTCCTCAAGTGATCCCTTTCCCTCTCAGGGTCTCTGTAGCCCATTGCTCCGGGGACTCAGTCTTTTCATGTTATCATCATCAATGAGAAGTTCCGACTAATAAACTAATTCATACTATGGAGTTCATGTTATTTCAGCTTTTAAAAATAACACACAGGTGGGCGTGGTGGCTCATACCTGTAATTCCAGAACTTCAGGAGGTCGAAGTGGGAGAATTGCTTGAGCACAGGTGCTCGAGACCAGCCTGGACAACACAGGGGGGCCCCTGTCTCAATAAACTAAATAAATAAATAGCCCACAGAGAAGGCAACTCTTAACCCAAAGGAACGTCTCATTCCTTGTGGGATTTTATGCACTTTGAAGGAGATTCTGGAGGTGGGGCTCTCCCTGGTTCCCTCAGGGCTATTTTTTTTTTTTTTTTGAGACAGATTTTCGCTCTTGTTGCCTAGGCTGGTGTGCAATGGCGCGATCTTGGCTCACCACAACCTCCGCCTCCTGGGTTCAAGCAATTCTCCTACCTCAGCCTCCCAAGTAGCTGGGATTACAAGCATGCACCACCACGCCTGACTAATTTTGTATTTTTTTTTAGTAGAGATGGGGTTTCACCATGTTGGCCAGGCTGGTCTTGAACTCCCGACCTCAGGTGATCCACCCGCCTCGGCCTGCCAAAGTGCCAGGATTACAGGCGTAAGCCACCGCGCCCGGCCCCCTCAGGGCTATCTTTAAGGTACTGTCTGCCCTGCTGGCCTGTGGACGGGGCCCCTCTTGGTGTTCTCCCGTCTCTGTTCTGTTGCTCTCCCATTTGTGCCTGCCTGAGCTGCACACTCCTGAGAGCAGCATCTCCCTGCTTAGCTCCCAGCACAGCCCTCGGGGATGCTGTGGACTTGGGAGGGGCATTCCCAAGAGTCAGAGGCACCTTCCACACACCCTTACCCCATGCGTGCCCCAGGACTTGCAGCCTCTGTTTCCTTTCCCACGTGTAAGGATAGGTGAGCTTCTCTCCTGGCCTTGGGAGGCAGCCCTTCCTGTGAGAGCCTGCCCCACCTCAGCCAAGGTCTTGGGTCCAGCCCTTTCCCACCAGGGAGAAAATAGCAAGAAAAACAGATGAGAGCTGATACCCTAAGCTGCAGGGTCTGCTGGGACTGGGTCCTGGAGGAGCCCCAGGAAAGCTTTAACCCCGGGGGCTCTGGGTGGTCAGAAGGGTGAGGGGTGAGGAGAGAAGAGGGGAGGGACCCACTTCTGTAGCTAGAAGTCTCCTCCCTCTCTCCTGTCTAGGGCTATCACTGTCTACCTCTCCTCTCTCCATAGGTCATCACTGCCCTGATGTCAGTCCCAGGCTAGATCCCCCAATCCATAGGCTGGACGGCAGCACCAGAGGTCACCTACCCCACCCCACTGACTCTGGGTGGTGCCTTCCTTGGGCAGAGTCTTGAAGTTCCCCTTTTAAATCTCTTAGGCAAGGGATATTTTCAACCTGCCAATCATCTGCATCTCAACAACCCACAGTCAGCCTGGCACCCTGAAGAAGAGCTGGGCTTGGAGTCAGGAGACCCAGGCCAGTGGAGCTTCTAATTTATGAAATGGGGATTCCCTTATCTGCTGTGCTCACCACAGCAGCAGTTATGAGGATTACCTGAGACAGGACTGAGAAAGGGATTTGTAAATGATAAATGTGGTATAAATGGCAGATGTGATGGGTGGTGGGGGTAGGCAGGACACCTGGCCCCGTCCTCTCTGCAGTGGCAGCTCGCTTTCCCTGCTGAGGTTCACCTGGGGATCTGGCCCCACTCTCCGCTGTGTGGCTGCTGAGACAGCATCCCTCAGCCTTCAGAATGACCTATGTTCCTTTGGTCTTTGCCCGTAGACTCATGCCCAGAACTTTTTCCACCATATCTGAGAGGACACCATATCTGTGGGGAACACATTGAGATGGTCAGGAACAAGATGTGAGCAAGATGTTTAAATAGCCCTTAGGCTGTGTTTGCTGAGCATCCAGAGATACTGGAGTTTTCCAGGTGGCCATTTGTCTGGGAGCTTGGAGGGGTAAGAAGAGCTCAGGCAAAGGAATACTGGTCGGATGTTTACAGAGTACTTGCACACGTAGTATCTCATTTGATCCTCCCCCTCTGAAGTAGGTCTCTTTTACAGAGGAGACATTGATCTAGCAAGTTGCAGACTGGCAGCCCGAGTTTGGGTCTTCTCACTCCCAGTGTCTGCACCAGGCCTGGCCATTCTGCTGAGGGTACAGAGGAGGGAATGGGCTTCAATTTCAGCAAGAGAGTGAGGATTGTATCTAAGAAAACTTCAGAGGCACAAGTGCACTGGTCACCTCTCAAGGCCCCTTGGTGGTGGTGGTTTGGGGCACAAGAATCCTATGATCACAGAGTAGGAGAGGGGAACTGCTCCAAAGGTGTTGGAGTCATCTAGTCCTCAATTTCTTCACTGGGACAATGAAGGGATAGAAAATGAGATTCCAAAGGTCTCTTCTAGTCCTTATCTTCTAGATGGGGTGGAGAGGGGCATCTGGTTCCTCCCACTGGGCAAATTGTCTCCCTTCCTACCCCTATAGCCTTCACAGAGCAGGTGGGCTTTGATGGATGGTGAAGGATCTAGGAGAAGCGTTGTCCGGGGCGAGACAGACTTTAAGCATCATCACCATGCAGGAGAAAGCCGCAGATTCTGCATCCCTGGGGCGGAAGGAAACAGTCGGCAGCCTCTCCCTTCACACTCCTGGGTCTCAGGAGCTATTTACATGCTCAGGAGGGCACTCCATCCATTTCAGAAGCCGCATTGGAAAATAACAACTGGGCAAGCTGCTGCTGCTCAGCTGGCTTCTCAGCACAGAGCTGGGTGAGACCCAGCCCTTGGCACTGTCTCCAAGGCCAGTATGTGGGCAGAAGCCATGATGGCTGCTGGCTAGATTGGTTTAAAGGGAAGTAGGAACCCCTGAGATATGAAAACGCCCAACCCTTGTGGCTCACGAGCAGCCTCGTCATCCAGATGTTTCTATCTTCTTTGTGGGTCATGACCTGAAAAAAGTTAGAAAGCTCTGGCCCTTGACTCAACCTATTTCCTTTAAAGGACATATCATGATCTATAGTTGTCTTGTTTATTTTCTTGCTTTTGTGTTATCTGTCTCTTCACCCAAAATGTGAGATATGTAGAAGCAGGGATCTTTTATCTTATTCTCAGCACAGGGAGCAATGCCTAGCACAGAAAGCACTCGACAAATGCTTGCTGAATGAATGCATCCACGTATGCATGCGTAAATGCATGAATGAATGACTGAAAGTATCTAGCATGTAGTAGATGCTCAGTGAATATCAGTTTTCTTTCCTGAGCATCATTCCCAGTTAGCTTGGGAGTGCAGAGCTGGTTCTTGAGATCAAGCCCTTAGGAGGTAAGTGCTGCACAGTGATTGGAAGGGGAAACAGGAGGTTCATATGGAGGTGGGAGATGGGGCATGGCAGGGGAGTATGGGACAAGGCCAAGGGAAGGGGGGTTGTGTGAAAGATTTTTTAAAATGACAGTTGTGTCTGCTGGCCCAAGAGAAGGGATGGTTTGTTAATCACTTGGGTGTTTCGGTCAGTGTAGACGTGTTTTAGGAAGCACGGAACAGCACTGCCACCTTCCATGTGGCCTTGGGCAGATCCTGTGATTACTTTGAACCTCAGTTTCCTCATCTGCCAATTGGGCAGTCCTCATTCTGCCGGTGACTTCCTACGCGACAAAGGCTGTCATGAAGCAATGATGAGATAACCAGTGGGGGCATGCTGAGCACATGGGAGCAATTTTTACTGTGGTCATTTCCTTGAAATTCATAAAGGAGCTCCTCTGTGATTTTCTATTATTATTTTTGTCATTAATCAGGATTTCCTCTCTCTGTAGGAGAATAAGCCAATGCATGGCAAGCACTAAATCTTAGATCCTGAAGACTCAGCCCTCGAGCAAAAGACATGCACCTCCCCACTCACCGGGCCCTGGAAGAGGAGGGTGCTCCTCTTAGAGGCCCCTGGAGGCCAGGCGTGCCTCAGAGGGGCCTTTCGAGGCAGCTGGGAGGCAGATCCTCACACTCTGCCCTCCTCTCCCCCAGGTACAAGATGGTGGTGACCCCCCGGAGGGCGGCGGTGGCCATAGCCGGCTGCTGGATCCTCTCCTTCGTGGTGGGACTGACCCCTATGTTTGGCTGGAACAATCTGAGTGCGGTGGAGCGGGCCTGGGCAGCCAACGGCAGCATGGGGGAGCCCGTGATCAAGTGCGAGTTCGAGAAGGTCATCAGCATGGAGTACATGGTCTACTTCAACTTCTTTGTGTGGGTGCTGCCCCCGCTTCTCCTCATGGTCCTCATCTACCTGGAGGTCTTCTACCTAATCCGCAAGCAGCTCAACAAGAAGGTGTCGGCCTCCTCCGGCGACCCGCAGAAGTACTATGGGAAGGAGCTGAAGATCGCCAAGTCGCTGGCCCTCATCCTCTTCCTCTTTGCCCTCAGCTGGCTGCCTTTGCACATCCTCAACTGCATCACCCTCTTCTGCCCGTCCTGCCACAAGCCCAGCATCCTTACCTACATTGCCATCTTCCTCACGCACGGCAACTCGGCCATGAACCCCATTGTCTATGCCTTCCGCATCCAGAAGTTCCGCGTCACCTTCCTTAAGATTTGGAATGACCATTTCCGCTGCCAGCCTGCACCTCCCATTGACGAGGATCTCCCAGAAGAGAGGCCTGATGACTAGACCCCGCCTTCCGCTCCCACCAGCCCACATCCAGTGGGGTCTCAGTCCAGTCCTCACATGCCCGCTGTCCCAGGGGTCTCCCTGAGCCTGCCCCAGCTGGGCTGTTGGCTGGGGGCATGGGGGAGGCTCTGAAGAGATACCCACAGAGTGTGGTCCCTCCACTAGGAGTTAACTACCCTACACCTCTGGGCCCTGCAGGAGGCCTGGGAGGGCAAGGGTCCTACGGAGGGACCAGGTGTCTAGAGGCAACAGTGTTCTGAGCCCCCACCTGCCTGACCATCCCATGAGCAGTCCAGAGCTTCAGGGCTGGGCAGGTCCTGGGGAGGCTGAGACTGCAGAGGAGCCACCTGGGCTGGGAGAAGGTGCTTGGGCTTCTGCGGTGAGGCAGGGGAGTCTGCTTGTCTTAGATGTTGGTGGTGCAGCCCCAGGACCAAGCTTAAGGAGAGGAGAGCATCTGCTCTGAGACGGATGGAAGGAGAGAGGTTGAGGATGCACTGGCCTGTTCTGTAGGAGAGACTGGCCAGAGGCAGCTAAGGGGCAGGAATCAAGGAGCCTCCGTTCCCACCTCTGAGGACTCTGGACCCCAGGCCATACCAGGTGCTAGGGTGCCTGCTCTCCTTGCCCTGGGCCAGCCCAGGATTGTACGTGGGAGAGGCAGAAAGGGTAGGTTCAGTAATCATTTCTGATATTTGCTGGAGTGCTGGCTCCACGCCCTGGGGAGTGAGCTTGGTGCGGTAGGTGCTGGCCTCAAACAGCCACGAGGTGGTAGCTCTGAGCCCTCCTTCTTGCCCTGAGCTTTCCGGGGAGGAGCCTTGGAGTGTAATTACCTGTCATCTGGGCCACCAGCTCCACTGGCCTGCCCGTTGCCGGGCCTGGACTGTCCTAGGTGACCCCATCTCTGCTGCTTCTGGGCCTGATGGAGAGGAGAACACTAGACATGCCAACTCGGGAGCATTCTGCCTGCCTGGGAACGGGGTGGACGAGGGAGTGTCTGTAAGGACTCAGTGTTGACTGTAGGCGCCCCTGGGGTGGGTTTAGCAGGCTGCAGCAGGCAGAGGAGAGTACCCCCCTGAGAGCATGTGGGGGAAGGCCTTGCTGTCATGTGAATCCCTCAATACCCCTAGTATCTGGCTGGGTTTTCAGGGGCTTTGGAAGCTCTGTTGCAGGTGTCCGGGGGTCTAGGACTTTAGGGATCTGGGGAAGGACCAACCCATGCCCTGCCAAGCCTGGAGCCCCTGTGTTGGGGGGCAAGGTGGGGGAGCCTGGAGCCCCTGTGTGGGAGGGCGAGGCGGGGGAGCCTGGAGCCCCTGTGTGGGAGGGCGAGGCGGGGGATCCTGGAGCCCCTGTGTCGGGGGGCGAGGGAGGGGAGGTGGCCGTCGAGTTGACCTTCTGAACATGAGTGTCAACTCCAGGACTTGCTTCCAAGCCCTTCCCTCTGTTGGAAATTGGGTGTGCCCTGGCTCCCAAGGGAGGCCCATGTGACTAATAAAAAACTGTGAACCCTGTGGAGAGCACATTGCTGGGCGCCCATCCCCACCACTGTTGAGGGCAATAAGACAGCTTCAGCAGACAGGAAGCAATGACGGGGGCTGGGAGGAGCTGCGAGAGGGGGCACGTGGAGGCGTTGGAGCAAGGAGGGTTCCAGAGAGGGTGTGTCTGTTTCCATAGTTACGCACTGGCGGTAGCAAACCCTGATCAGAAAGGGAGATCCTGAAAACTCACAGGTCCAGAACACCCCCCATCCCCCCACCTCCCTGCCCCAGCCATGACATCCTGAGACCTCTCCCATTGGCATCTTCCTCTTGGTGACATATCTGGAGACCCCCTCATGGTGAAACATTCAGACACCCCCCCTCCTCGTGACACAGCGCCTCCCCCAGATGATGTCGCTCACTGGCACAGAGGCCCCGCACTGTTAACACCACGCATCTTTATTTGAGTGCTTCCCACCCAGAGTGCAACTCCGCAGGGCACTCCAATCTCTGCGCCTTCCAGCACCCCTTGAGCCCAGTTAGTCTGGCCTGGGGCCTACCAGGCCCATTCCTGAGTTCTGGACACCAGCCTCTGGGGAAGGGAGGCCAGCAGGTACCAGGGGCGGTTCCATCAGCCGTCGCTATGGAAGCGGGGGTCTTGGGCATCTCTGGAGTTTGACTGTAGGCCTGGTGGACCTGGCCCCTCAGGCCTGCAGCACCTGGAGGAGGACATGCTTCCTGAGCCCCTGGTGTGAGCAGAGCTCGGCTGCAGGCCAGAGAGGTGCAGAGTGGGGAGGGGGAGCAGCATCCTCTTCCTCACCAGGCCTCCCTCCCTCAGGTGCAATGCCCAGGTCTGAGCTCTGCCCACTGCAGTTCTAGATACTTCCGTACTTATGCAGAGCCTCAGAACCACCAGGGGAAGGAAGGCAGGGAAAGGTTGTTATCCCCAGTTTTCGGATGAGAGAATGTGTCCAAAGAGAACACCCTTGCTGAAGATCACTCAGAGCTGGGAGTAGACTCTGGTTGTGTGGCGGTCCACGGAATCACCCCCCTTCCAGGAGACACCGGCATCGCCTGGCCCTGCAACATCACTGTGAGTCTCTGGACATGCGTGCTAGTTGCCTGTGTCCACAAGTTTGTGTCCACAGAGCTGACCACCACCTTCCCTTCTCACCCCAACCCCCTGCTCCTGGCCTCCTCTCTGCTTCTGTGCTGCCCACAGAGGTAACAGAGTGGGTGGGTCAGGCCATTTACCTGGCTCCTCATCACAGCCTCCTCCCGTGACTTCAGTGTGCGGCTGAGGCTGGAAGAGATGCTGCAGTTAGAGCTTGGGGGAAGTGGCGGGGAACTGGAAAGTTCACGGTTATACACCCTCTTCTACACCTGTCCACCCTGCCGCTTGGAAAGTAATCAGCACAGCCTGACCCCAGTCTTACCACCCCTTCTCTTCGGCCTTGATTTTAAGCTGTCTGCTGCCTCTAGTCCAGTTCCAGAGAGGTGCTTACTCCTGTTCTCCCGTCCTCAAACTCTCACCTTTGACCTCCAGCCGGCAGTCCACAGATGCCTCCCCCAGCACATTTATGGCCTTGCAGGTGTAGACCCCAGAATCAAAGGGGCTGGGTTTCCGGATCTCTAGGGTGCAGACGCCTTGCTCAGAGAGGGCGCGGTATTTGGGGTTGCCCTGGATCTCCATCTTGTTTTTCATCCAGATGATCTTGGGCTGGGAGACATGGTCAGAAGAGAGCTGGGGAGGTATGGACTGGGGCGGGGCTCTCAACAGCTATCCCCAGGCTTAGGTGTGGACGCCCGGAGGATTCCTCAGCCCTGCTGTCCCCACCTGCCCCCACCAGCCCAGGGCACAACAGGGCCTGGCCCCTCACCTTGGGTGAAGCTCGGACACTGCAGAACAACTGGGTGCTGTAGCCAGGGGTGGAGGTGTGGTCAGCCAGGGGCTGGGTGAATGAGGGGGCTTCTGAGAAGTCTCGCTCAATAAACCCTTTAGGTTTGGCAGCAATATCTGGGTTCAGGGGAGAAAGTCGGGTGCATCTGAGCTTACAGGAGTGAGGGAGACCTGTCAGGACTGACTATGATTCAAGATCTATGGATAGCAAGTCGTGGCTTATTTGCAGGAACTTGGACAATCTCAAAGAGGCAGAGAAAGCTGAGACTGTAGCTGGGTGGGTCAGGGTGATGAGTAGAGATGAGAAGGTGGAAAAACCAGAGATAAGAGCATCTTGGCAGAAGATGGATGCTAGCAACTCAGAGGTGCCACGTTTCCTTTGGGTTTGTCGTTGGAGACTTGACTGGCTTTCTTTTTTTAAACAAAAGTTTCTTCCTAATTCTGTGCAGTTCAGGCTAGTGTTAAAAAAAGTTTGCCTTCTGGAACCCACACAGACTGTGGGTCGGAGAGGGCCTTGGGGCACACAAGGGACAGGGAAAAGGGCCCGGGGTTTAACATTTGACGCAAGAAGGTCAGGTGCCTGTGTGGAGACAGTAAATACTCCTATCTCTCTTGTCCATCTATGTGGTATGTATTAGGGTTGGGAGGCTTGTTTTAGCACACTACCCAGCCATGCGCAGGTCACCCTTTAGGTTCCCTTCGGACACTCACTGCCTGAGACTCGGCGGCTGCTGTGATGCTGGCAGCCACACACCTCTTTGGAATAAGCACACAGCCTCCAAAGGGGCATCTTTCATTTGTGTGGATTTGCTCTGATGTGTTTGTTAAAATCAGCCAACCACATTCACTACTTTGCAGCCACTCCATGTGTGTGTATGCATAGCCGTGGAGTGAGGAGACGGCAAGTGTTCCAGGGGCAGACGCCCAGGAGAAACCCAGAGAGAGGGGTGCAGAGACGCGGAGGAAGAAGCAGAGACAGGGAGAGAGTTAGCACAGCCAGCTCCGGGCCCAAACCCACCTGCCTTCTGGATGTGGGCGAGCTCCTTGGTGACGGTGGCCGAGGTGCTGAGTCCACACAGGTTTTCTGAGAAGACCCGGAAGGAGTACGAGTTGCCGATGATGAGGTCAGAGATGGTGCAGGTGGTTGGGTGGTAGCGCTCCAGCACTGTGAACCATTGCTGCAGGGCCCCGGGTGTCACCCTCATTTCTCACCCCTGTCCTCACCCTCCCTGCTTACCCTGGAGACCTTTCCTCACAGGAACTCATTCCATGCCCCCAACCTTAGGATGCTGAACCATCCAGCTTTGGGCCTCAGGGACATTGAATTGGAAGAAGGGGCCCCTGGGTCACTCAGGTGACCTCTGTAGGGTCCTCAGAGAATCCTAGAGCCTTTGTGTGCAAAGTGTGGCCCATGGATGTGCAACTTCAGCATCACCTGGAAACGTCTTAGAAATGCAGGCCCTCAGCCCCCACCCTGGACCTACTGAGTCAGACTCTGCCTCTTAGCAAGCTCCCCAGGTGACTCATGTGGACATTAAGATTTGAGAAGCATGGCTCCAGAACTTGAAAGGCTTCAGACAGCCCGGGCCAGCCCTCTTCACAGTCTTCAGGAGGCATCTGAGGTCCAGAGAGGAAGAGTCTTGCTAAGGGCCTCCTAGGGAGTCAGGTTAGCAGTGGGCAGACCAGAACTCGATCCCTAGACTCGGTCCCTAGACTCAGTGGGATGGGCCTTCCCCACCACCTTGACCACTTCGTACCCCGACCCCACTTTGCCTCAGCCAGCCTCACCCCTGTCTTTTTGTCTGCCTTCTGCACCATGTAGCCCAGGAGCTCTGTGTTGCCTGTGTCCTGGGGTGGCGTCCACTGAAGAGCAGCATTGCAGCCCCAGACGTCCAGGAGCCTGATGCTGCTGGGGGGTCCAGGTTTCTCTGTAGGCCCAGAGTGTGAGAGGAAGTGAGTGTGAGGGCCAGGCTGGCCACAGAGCCCCCACACCCAAAATTTGGCTCTTGCCACACTCCCTTGGCCTGCTCCCATCAGCCATCAGCTCTGGGATAGGAGGTTGGGGGCTCCAGGTCCCCCATGAGACAGCACTGTTCCCCTGGCTCCATACCAATCACCAGGATGTCAATGACTGCCTTGGCCTCCAGGTCTTCCACGCGCACAGTGAGCTCGTAGCGGCCAGAGTCGGAGCGCTGGGCCGAGCGAATGAAGAGGATGGAGTCCTGGTCCCCGGTGCGCATGCTCACCCGCTGGCTGTCCAGGGCATGGCCGTTGTGGGTCCATGTGGCCTGAGGCTTAGGCTTCCCCTGGCAGGGAGGAGCCCCCAGGGTGAGTGTAGGGAGGTGCCAGAGTCCCCACACCTCCTTAACTCCAGGAGTCTCTGGAGCTGTTCTCGGGGAAGCCTGTCCCACTGGCCCTTCTCAGGAGGGGCAGCAGAGGCTGGAGCCACAGGTGCTGCCCACAGCCACATCTTCCAGGTGTCCATCCCGCTCTGGGGGCCCACCTGCCCATCCACAGGCTGAGAATCACCAATGAGTCATGTGCATGATTGCGGAAGGATGAAGCCGTCTCGCTGGGTCTCAGCTGGACCCTTGGAGACCCTGCCATCTCCCAGGCTCCCCTTAAATGGGGGCCCTGGTTCCCACCCAGGCTGTTACCCTTGGTGGGGGTAATACCCACCTGGAAGGGGATTTGCAGGTTGACCGTCTCTCCCACCTGGCGGATGTAGGTCTGACGGAGGTGGCGGGGGACACGGATCTTGGGGGCCTCTGGATCAAAGCAAGAGTCTGGGCTTAGCAGTGCAGTGGGGTGGCTGATTGGGGTTTCTGAGATGGGGCAGGGGACAGCTGGTGAGGGATGCTGGCTGGGAGGAGGGTCCTGGGTGTGCCTGGCTGCCATGGGGTCCCTCCTTGCAGGAAGGGTGAAGCTCTCACTCCTGAGGTCTAGGGGCCCAAATCCCTTAAGGGAGCAGGAGGTTTCAGGAGGTCAGCGCCTCCATGGTGTGAACTGGTAAGCATCCTGGGCACTCCCTTGGCGCCTCGACTCTGCCAGGATGGGATTTGTCCTGCAGCCCAGGCATTCCCAAGCACCAGATGGGCCCCAGCTGACTCTCTGTCTCCCCCTGCTGGGGAGCAGGTGCTGCACCTGTCAGGCTGCACTTCTAGGAAGGGGAGGCCACTGCCGTCTTCCTGCTCTAATATCCCCAGCTCTCCACAAGCCCAGGACTTTCAGAGAAGCCTTTGTGAAACCCTGTTTGTCCATTCCTCTGTCTCCAGGCCCTATTGAAAGGTTTAGGATCTTTCTCTTCCCAAGTGAAGCCAGGGCGGGTATCCCCCCTTCTTCCTCTGTCACCCTCCCAAAATCTGTTAGTCTCAGAGCCGGGAAGTCCTTCTTGAAGTCCTATTTCAGCTGCCTGCTATGCTAAGGAATGACATTCTGACCCTCATCTGGTCAGGGGCAACCACTGAAGCCCCTGGGCATTCTAAGGGAAGCTGCAGTGGCCACCATCCCTGTCCCCTGGGGTGGGTGCTGGGTCCATGACTGAGGCTCCTCAGCAGCAAACAGGTGGCAGCAGTTGGTTGGTGGCATGCAGGGCGGAGGAGGACAAGACAGTGAGAAGGAACACGGTGTCTCTGAGGATTAGCTGAGTGGGCACTTGGCTCTGGGAGCTCAGGCATGGAATGCTCTAGGGACAGCTGCAGGGGGTCAAGAATGCTTGGCAGCTCCAGGTGGCCAAGGAGAGACAGCTGAGCAGCCAAGGATCCTGGACAGGGCCCCCACTCTGCCCTGTGATAAGCCTGGCTGTTCCCCACTTGTTCACAGCCTCCTCTCCCTCTTCTCTCCAGGAAATCCCCTTCTCTCCTGCCAGAGGAATTTGAATGGAGAAGTGGGTGCTGAGTCTGGCTGGGTCCATCAATGCTGGGCCTCAGGGGCCTCTCAGAGTCTGAGCTCCCTGGTTCCCTGGGGAAGGCCCAGCACCGTCCCAACCAAGAAGCCTTCCTGGCACCTCCAGGACTAGGGTCGACACAGCCATAATGCAGCTGCCTGGTGGGGCCACATCTCACCTAGAGCCAAAGGCTGGGAATTAGGGTTGGGAGGCTTGGGTTTTGGGTGCCACCAGAGAAGATGCTCTGCAGTGCAGTGGGACATGAGTGGTCCTGTGTAGGCATCAGACTCTGGGACTGCCAATAAAAGGCTGGGTGACCTCAAGGGATGCCCTGGGCTCCTTGGGATCTCCTTGGGCCTTGATAATCTATGAATCTAAGCTCCCTAACCCCATGGTTCCCATGTCTCTCAGGCCTCAGAGCTGAGCATTTCCTTTCGAATCCAGACTTGACCCCTCCTGTGGATCCCCTCTCCTTCTGGAGGCCTTGTCTAGAGCTACCAGAAATCATCCATCCCCTAGTGGAGGAGCAAGAAGGAAGGTGGAGAAGGCTTCAGGCCACCTGCCTGCCTGTGTCTCTCCTCACCCTGGGGGACTGTGCTGTCCCCAGAGACCTCAGATCAGACCAAATGACTCACTGTCATTAACAGACTGAAACCCGATCAGCTCCGGGAGGGGAGCGAGGGGAGGATTGAGGCTAATGCACCTTGCAAATAGAAATATTAGCAATGGGGATGGCAGCTGGCCTGCGGGGCCCCAGTGAGGTATGCCCTCTGCAATGGAGAAGTCTTCATGGGCCTTTTGCAGACCTTCTTTTTCTTTCCACTAGGGCCATGGTGGAACAAGGGGCAAGCAGCGCCTTCTCTCTGTTTCAAGACCTTTGAGAGAATCTGGAACCCAGGCCACAGGAAATGGGCAGAAAATGAGCATTTATGGCCACTGGAGAGATTGAGATTAGATGGGAGATAGAACAGATGGACTCTTAGCATTGAGCAGGTGACCCAGGGAACTTGACCTTTTGTTTCTGAGCCCCTTTCTCAAGGCGTGGGGGCTGGACCACTCAGGGAAATGGCTTCTTAGACCTCCAGAGGCCCCTTACTGCTGAGGAACCTGGAACTTTCTTAAGGCAAGATGGTGATAGCGTGTGGCTTGTGCATGTGAGCGTGGGACGGGGGAAATGACTGCCTGGTTCCCTCTACCTGCTGGCCTCAGTTTCTCCATTAGATAAGGTGTTTGGGAAGGGCTGGGTAGCTGAAGGCCAGGATGGGCTTTACCAATGTTCTCTCGGATGTGGATGGGCTGGTCCAGCATGGCCGGCGGGCCAGCCCCTGCAGAACTCACTGCAGACACGCGCAGGAGGAACTTGTCTCCCAGAGCCAGGTTCCGCACAGTCTGCTGGGTCACCATCATGGGCCGGGCACTCACAGGCACCCACTCCGAGGCTGAGGGGATGGAGAGAGTGTGAGGTCTTTGCAATGTGGCCACAGGCGCCCCTCTCCATGGGGCTTCTTTTCCTGCTGGTGATCTGGGGAAATCAGCCTCCCTCTCTGGGCCTCATTTTCCCCTTGTTTGCCTTCCCTGACTTCTTGTCAAATGGCATCAAAGACACCTGATGTTAGAGCCCTGAAATTGTGGCTAGAGATGAGGTTGTTGAAGCCCAGAGAGGGTTGGACACATTTGCAAAGTCACACAGCAAGGTAGGGGCAGAGGCAGAGGCCAGGCTGGACTTGGGCCATGGAGGGGGACAGTGGCAGCAGGGATGTGGCCCCCACACCCCCACCCCATTCCCGCTTTCTCCTCACTGTCTCTTACGCTAACATTCCCCTCTCCAGCTCCTCCCTTTCCACTTCCTACAGTTCGGGGTCCTCTGAGACTTAGCACTTCCTTCCCTTCTCACCAAAGGAGAACCCAGTGTCCCCTTACCCTTCCCTTACTCAGAAGCTCCTTGGAGCTGAGGACAAGGGAGCCCCTCAACCCACCCACCTACCCTTTCTTGCTCTCCTGCTGGTGGAGCAAGAAAGGGCAGGTGGGTGGGTTGAGGAGCCTACTGCTCGCATCCCCTCCTTCTGTATCTCTCCCAGACTGACCAACCACAGGGCCTGTGCACTTGTCCCTGCAGCCCTCCATGACAACCTCCCCTGGGTGTATGCAAGACTTAGCCCAGCACTCACCTCCCTCTCTGCAGAGCTCCAGCACATAGCCCTGGAGGCCCAGCCTCCCCAGCCTCTCTGGGGGCTCCCAGCTCACAGTCACAGAGCTGCTGCTCACATCATCCAGGGTCAGCAGCAGTGGGGCACTGGGGACATCTGGGGAGATGAAGAGGTTCATGGCCAAGAGCTCCCCTCCACCCCTGACATGCCTGCCTCCCTCCTCCCCCTGCCCCACCTTCAGTCACCTTCACTTGGGGGTGCAGGCTTAGTGGCTGTGGAGGCTGTAGGGGCCTGTGGGGCAGGGGCCTGCGGCTTGGGCACCTGCTCTTCTCTGGTGGACTCTGATACTGCCACTTCTCCGGGAGGCTCTGCTGTGGGCACCTTGGCAGATTCAGATGCGGTCTCCTCTGGACTGCAGGCAGGGCCCTCGGAGGTGTTTTTTTCCATCATTGCTGGACTGGCTGGGGGGCCAGGGTGGAGTGTGCAGGGGTCAGCCGTTGGGGGGCCTGGGCCTCTAGGGTGCCTGGGACACCTAGGTCCAGGCTTATATAGTCAGGGGCTGCCCCACCCCCAGCAAACGATTCCCAGCTGTGGGGTCAGGTCAAGCAGGAGGACTGGAGGGTGGAGAGGCGCCCAGGCCAGGAATAGCTCTGGGGGAGGAACCACAAGGGCCCCTTGAGGAGTCACTTCCTCATCCATCTCCCCGACTGGCCTTCAACAGCCAGGGTGCTGGTGCCCAGCTGGGGGAGGGCGCAGATGGGTGAGATGGGACATCGAGCAGGCCGCGTGCCAGGTGTCAGGGCAATAGGAGGAAGAACTTCTATCTGGAGAATGAGCCCAGCTCAGGCTCTGTGTGTCTGGCGTCTATGGGGCCACTTGTTCCCAGAGCTTCTCAGACTGGGTGCTGGGGCCCTGACAGTTTGGGACAATCGTCCTTGTGAGCACTCCCAGCTTTGCCTCTGGGGTCCACATTCCCTGGGCTCCCACAGTTCCCAGGGACTCTCGCCTGTGCTGTATGAGGCTGAGGGCCCTAGAGAGGGAGGGAATTGAGATGCTGAGGGTGGAGCTGCTCAGAGGATGGTCCTCCAGCATTGGAACCCCAGGAAGGGGCACTAAGTCTCCTGGCTCCTGTCTCAGTTGGGCGGCTGGTAAGGAGCTCGTCTCCCCTGATGCCTGCTGTGGGCCTCAGTTTTCCACCTGTTACAGAGAACCCCTCGCCCTTCGGGATGGGTTGCAGTTGTAGGCAGATCTGGAAGATGCCCTAGTGGAGGAGAGCACTCTGAAGCTTCTAGACTCTTCCAAGCAGGCTGTGGGCATGGGCTTTCTCAGTGTGCCAAAGGAGGCAGATATGGCCAGATTTCTAGTCATTGATTCATTTGTTCGATAAAATGTTAAGACTGGGAATCACTGGAAAGCCAGAAAATGCCATGTGTCAGGAAGGAGGGAGAACATTAAGAACTTTTATTGCTGGTATTGGAGCAGTCACTCTGGAAAATGTGAGAGTTTTACTAGTGCCTAGTAAAATGGATGAGGTGCCTACTCCGTGACCCAGCCGTGCCGCTCATATAACACCCACACATGCCCCAGGAGACATGGAGAAGAAGGTTCATGGCAATGTTATTTGTAATTGTTGAAATGTGGGGGAAAACAGCTGTCCCTCAACAGTGGGATGGATAAATAACTGTGGAGTGTTTATGCAACTGTAAAGCAAAATATGGGGTCAAATGAGCAACTTCAGCTACTCACAGACCCAGTGATGAGCAGAAGAGCAAGGCACACAGAAATGTTGCGTCTCATCTGTCTCATCTACATTAAATCCAAATGCAGTCAACACCAGGCTCCCTTCTTCAAGGTACATCCGTAGGCGGTAAGGCCAGAAAGGAAGATGAGGCCAGTACAAAAGTTAGGATGGCGATTGCCTCTAGGTGGAGGAACAGGGATATCTGTGATCGTGAGGGCTGCAGGGGTGCTAATGAGGTTTCCTTTCCTGACCTGGGTGGTGGTTACACAGGTTCTTACTACATAGTTATTCTTCAAATTAAACAAATACATTTATGCACTCTTTAGCACGTAAGATGTGCTCACAATTTAAAAATAAGTAAAAGTGATTTATTCAGGGCCCTCAGCAGCATGCATGCTCTTCCCTTTCCTGAGGACTGGGGACACCAGGGTGTGGCTGCCTCTCAACCCTGCTGTCTCTGCTGGGGAGTGGCAGTGCAGGGCCTGGGAGCCTCTGGATCTGGCCCTCCCTGGATGCCCTCGCCCTCTGCTAGGTGACTCCACGTCTTGCCAGGCAGGGAGTGGGTCCTGGAGACTGGATCTCCATCCTTGGCCTCTGACTCTGCAGCTATAAGTGAATGTGACTAACCCCACAGGACACTGAGTCAGCCCTGGAGAGCCTGTCCCCGGCTGGGGGAAGGGTGGCCCCAGGGGAGGGCAGTTGGCTGCCCACAAGGGCTTGCAGCCCTGGGGTTTCAAAGATGCCTGTGTGGTGGGGTGGGCAGTGGCAGGGATTAGGGAATACTTGGCCCCACCAGCCAGAGGTGAAATGCCGGGTACCCCCTCCCCACACCCCACTCCACGCCTTGCCGAGTCCTTGTTTTCTTCGCCTTCAGCAGGGCTGTGACCTTGGGATCAGTAGCATCTGCCCAGCTCCAGCTGGTTCAGATTTCAGATATTTCCTCCTTCCCTCCACTTCAAACCGGCGTCACAAACCATCAGGCCAATTTGTGATTATCCTAAGTCACAGATAATCCAAACATCAGAGAATCCACAAATCAATTCTCTTTAGTTCTGGGGTGAGTATCTGGAGCCTTTTTGGATAAAGGCATTCCTGGGGCCCTGGGAATTCAACAGAAGCCTGATGAGAGCGTCTCCACCTCATAAAGGCTGAAAATCTGTCTATTCTTCTGAGTCACCCCATCACATCCTCCCGACCTCCTATCTCAGGCCAGCTTGAGCAGAGGTACTTTGATCTCTGAATGGGTGGAGGGATGAGTGTTAGGGGAGGGGTGAACAGAACAAAGGGCTAAGCCCAGCACTAGGACTATTGACAGATTTCAGCCCAGCCACGGAATGGGTTGCTTCCAAGGTAATCGGCTGCCCCTCACTGGGAGGCTGGAGGGCCATCTCTCAAGCACTCTGCAGGGACTCCAGTCCCGAGAGGCAGGAAGGGTGCATGAGATGACATCTGCATTTCCTGCTGGCCCTGAGGGTCCAGGGTTCAGGGCTTTCTAACCTGGTCCTGTGATGAGCTCCCACCACCTTCCTGTGGATCAGAAGAGAGGGAGTGTTGGGATGAAAAGCCTTCTTTCCCAGGGCCTGCTAGCCTTCAGGAAACAGAAAACGTTTCTTTCAACAGGGAATTTAATTTAGAAATCTGGATGGCAATGACTTTAATATTTGGAAGGCCATCAGCCATGCTTGGGTTAAGTCCAAGGCAGGTGAATCTGAGGACGCTGGCCTCCCACTGGGGCTCTCTGCGGCTAGGCAGAGGACATGGCGGCCTCATCTCTGCAAGCTCAGGGGTCCCAAGGCTCAGAGGAAGGAACCCAGAAGAGATGGGGGAGGTGAGTCCAGTGGGTCTAGTGGGCGCTCAAAGATAGACCAAAGCAAAGCGCCAACACACTGTTAAGCTCTTGTACTTTATTGAGCAGCTGTGGAATTAGGAAGGGGAAGTAGGATAGGGGACACGATTACGTTCCTAAGTGAAGGTTTCAAGCTGGGCTTTGCAGGGGGTATAATTAGTATGGTCACTGTGTCTTGTAGGATGTTTGGCTCCTTGGTGATAGAGCTTGCCAAAATGGTGTCCTTTGATAAGGAGGGCTGGGGGGCAGGGAGTTGAAGAAATTCCCTTGCCAGGCTTGGGGATCTGTAAACATTTCCATTAATCAACAAGTGTGTACTAATCCCGAGTCTTACATTGCGATGCCTCACTATCCCCACAGCCCCATCCCTACCTCTCTGCCCACCAGGGCTGAGCTCAAATCTGTGTGTTGTGGACCTCTGCATAGGCCCCAAGGGAGGGAGACTGAGGCTCAGCCTGGGACTCAGCAGGGCAGGTGATCAGGCTCCCGGCCAGCTGGAGCCAGAGGGGGACGGGGCATCCTTGGCCCCCGTGCTGTGTGCAGAACAGAGGGCTACGTTGCAGCGAGTGCATCCTTGATGGCATTGGTGAGAGGGAAGCGCAGATCCTGGCCACAGAAGGAGCCCTGGAAGTCATCCAGGTCCAGGGCCCATACCATGGCGCCCGCCAGCTGCCTGTCCTTCAGGTACTGCACCTGGCAGGGGAGGCCCAGAGGAGCAGGGCTGGGTTCCCTGACCCAGAGTGTGTACAGGGCACATGTGCTCTGTGAGCCCAGCCCAGACCTCAGTGCAAGGGACAGGAATCTGGCTGCTGGGAGCGGGGCCTCCTTCTTTCTCTTTGTCCTGAGGTGTGGCCTTGGGGAAACCTACCTTGCTTTTGACGCTTTCCTGGTCGTCGTATCCTACCCACTGGTTGCCCTTGGTGGCATAGGGGACCTGCTGGCCGAGGATTCTATGGACTGTGGCTCCGCGGAGGAAGTCACAGATCTGAGCAGATAACAGGGAAAAGGCAGTGTGGGGAGTCGTGCCGAGACCTTGCAGGTCACCAGGAGACGCCACTCTCCAAATCTCTTTTAGCTCCTGCTCCATCCTGCAGCCTCACTCTCTGCAGGGTCTGCAGGCTGCATGCATCACACAAGTTTATACAAACCAGAGGCAAATGACCCAGAGATGGTGGCTGCCTTGGCCCTGCTTAGCTTCTTCCATTTAAACAGAGATGTGAGGCCTGCTGGTTGACACTGAGGACAGGCCCAAGGCCACACAGAGTAGCAGAGGCTAGAGTGAAACAAAAAATCTGCCTCTTGACCTCTGCTCTTTCCTGGGCTGGAAGGAAGACCTCAGCCCCATAGCCAGAGGGCTATCCCAGGTGCCTAGTGGTGCAGGCCCATGTGCCTGTACCTGCTGGAGATTTTCAGCAACAAATGTCCTAACCTCTCCCTTCCACTTCCTCAGGCATGCTGGGGCAACCGGACATTTTCTTTATTCCCAAAGGAGAAAAAGCAAGAACGTGGTGGGGAATCACCTTCCCCAGGGCTGCTGGTGGTGTGGGGGAATCCTACCTTCTCCCCAACTCCATTACCTCATAGTAGGCAAGGGTCCCTGCCTCCTTGGTGAACCGGCCTGGAATTCCCGGTCCTGAGATTGGGGCTCCAACACCAGTCTCAGAAGAAGCCAGAGTGAAGCTCCTCCCGAAGGTGGGGATGCCCATCACCAGCTTACTGGCAGGAGCCCCCAGCCTCAACATGTACCCCACAGCATAGTCCTGGGTGGGGTAGGGTGGGAACAACGTGAGCAGTTAGTGCACAGGTGCGGAAGGTTGAGCAATTAATACTGCTGCCTTAGCAGGGGTTATTGGTGTATGGTGCACTGGGGATTCCCCTGTCCCTCCGGGAACGGATCATGTCACTTTAAAGTGAATTTTACAGTTTCATTCTTGAAAAAAATCCTTTGAGGCATAGGAAGGGGCTATTACTATTTGACAGATGCAGAAATCAGGTGGTTGGCTCTGAGGGCACAATGACTCCTACCTCCTCGGCTCCCAGCCTCTCCCCATTCGGCCCCCTGCCCTCACTCCATTTACCCTGCAGATCACCTTCCCAGAGCAACGCAGCATGCCCAGACTTTGGGCCTCAGTTTCCTTATCTGTGGAATGGGCCTCATGACCCCCCTCTTGCAGGACTGTACTGAGGGCTAGAGAGATTGGTGTGTGAGCACTGGCAGATGGCAGGTCTTGCGGCCCCCTCCTGGCCCTCCCTCCTTCTGGGAACTCACAGTGTTGCTGAATCTGTCAGGACTTGCATCCTCCTGACCTCGGAACAGGGGACTGTGATGGCCTGTGGTCCCACGCCAGGCTCCATGAAAATCGTAGGTCATGATGCTAATGAAATCCAGGTGTCTGAGGAGGAAGGGGATGGAGGGTGAGGCAGGAAATTATTAATAGAAAAGCTTTAGGCCGGGCGTGGTGGCTCATACCTGGAATCCCAGCACTTTGGGAGGCCGAGGCAGGTGGATCATGAGGTGAGGAGTTCAAGACCAGCCTGGCCAAGATGGTGAAACCCCGTCTCTACTCTAACTACGAAAATTAGCCAGGCATGGTGGCAGGCACCTGTAATCCCAGCTACTCGGGAGGCTGAGGCAGGAGAATCGCTTGAACCCAGGCGGCAGAGGTTGTGCCACTGCACTCCGGCCTGGGCAACAGAGTGAGATTTTGTCTCAAAAAAAAGTAAGAAAGAAAAGCTTTTGGGCTCCTATTTAAGGCTCCAGCAGGATGTGAACGAGGGAAGCAGACAGCAGCCAGACAGGCCACTAGCCCGAACCCCAGCAGTCCCCAGTGACCTCGGTCCCCATTGCTGGCACACCTCCCTGTGCCACTCCAGGGCACGGGCTCAGGGTCCCACAAGGGCACTTCAGTCAAGAATGGGTCTTCTGTTATGCCCAGCACACATTTGGGAGCTGGCCTACAGCCCACCTTACCCCCACCACTTCTGCCAGGCTTATCTTAGTGAAAGCAGATTAAAAGTAGCATCAACAGACAGCCTGGCGGGGAAAGAGCAGGACCAAAGGATGACCTGAACCTAAGATGACTGGGGTGGGAGGAGGTTTTGCACACCCGCACCGGTGAGCCCACTGGGGGTGGATTGCATGAATACGGGTATGTGGGGCAAATGGTTGACATCCACCTGTTTCCCACCCTCTAAAGAATCCATTTAATTAAGCACTGAGTTTACACCTCCCTGGGATCCTAAAGAAAGCTCTGAAGTCATTTTGAAGAGTCTTTGTTCCTTACTCCTGGGTTTCCCGAGACCCATGGCTCTGCTCTCAGGAGAGATGAGGCTGCTTGGCTGTTCCTTGTTCCTCACAGGCATGAGGGGTGGGGTGAGGATGAGGCGTGGGGCCAACAGGAAAGGGGGAGGCCTGTGTGTATGAGAGAGCCTTGAGGACTCCCCAGCACTCTAGAAAGAGGCTGCTGTGTGGCCTCTCCAGGGCCCAGCACTCTGCTCTGCCTGGTGTGGAGAAAATACTCTGCAATAGCTGGAGGGTTTGAATAGCTTTTTCCACTTCCCTTTCCAAAATACTTTCATAGCAGCTCTCTCAACTGCTCAGCCAACAGCCCAGGTGAAAAAGGAAAGGCAAGGATTGTTATGCCTCATTTGACAGATGGGGAAACTGAGGCACAGGGCAGGGAAGTGACTTGCTCAAGGTCACACATCAAGGCTTTGGAAGAACTGGGACTGGAAGCCCAGTGTCCTCAGTCTACATGGAGTGCTAGGGCTGGGGGTGGCGGGGAAACAGGAGTGTTGGCAGAGGTTCTGGGGAGGCTGCCTGGGGCAGGAGACTCACTGGGATATCTTGGCAATGTCATAGCTGCTGTCAATGGTGACCTTCCCCGCAGACAGTGCTGCGCTGAGCAGGAGCTGCTTTTTCCCTGGCTGGGCTTCCTTTATAAATTCGGCCTTCATTTCCTAGATGGGAGACAGGCAGGTGAGAGAAAGGGTCCCAAGTGGCATGAGAGGTAGACTCATCGAGGGCGGACTAGGTCTCTGCGCAACCCATTTGCTGTACTCCCCAACCTGCCTGGGGCCTAGTGGAAGTGATAAAGTGGCTCATCAGTGGTCCCATCCTCAAGTCACCCATCCTTTTCCTAAAAAACTGACTAATCTTCTCCCCAAACCCATGCACACCCATCAGCACTCAATTACTCCCTGTCCTGGAGGGAGCATCGGACAGTGGGTGACCCCTATTGGCCCACAGATGACTTTGGGAGACATTTGCCTTTCGGTCTGTGCTTTGTTCTAGCTGGTGCATGAAATCCCAAAGTTAAAGTGATTGCTGCTGGTATTGTGAACAATTTGTTTAGACTCTCCTTCTGCCCCTGGTAACTGGAGATACTTAGGCTGCCCCCAGGCAGAGCTGAGAGCTGCTGGACACAGTGCATGCTGGGTATGGGTGGCATCAGTATGGGATTGAAGGGTGGGCAATGGGCAATGCACTAAGTGGGTAGTTATAAGTGGGTGCTCTGCTCAGTCACAACCTTCCACCTCTTAGAACCCCATTCCCACCTCCCACCATGGTCACAAGAAGCCTTCCTTGCTATGTGAGATCTTCAGGGCACAGGGTCCCAGGACACTGCCCTGAGGCTGAAGTCCCTCTTTACCTGTCCTCAGGAGGACAGCAGCTGACGCCGGCTTCTAGCCCACCCCATTCCCTCATGCCTGCCCACCTCCCTCCCTGTCCCTGACCTGACCAGCACCTTGATTAGGGTGGTAAAATGCTGTTTGTCTCTCCGTCCAGGGTAGAGCCAGGCAAGGTCCAGCCCATCAAAGCCATGGGTGCGCAGAAATGGCGGTACTGACTTGATGAAAGTCCGGCGACTCTGGGTGTTGGAGGCTATCTTGGAAAATCTAGGACCAAAATCAGCCCTGTAGCATGCTCAGCACTGATATGCTAGGTGCCTTGGGCCTCTGGTGGGGTTTCCAGGACCTGCAGAGCTGGGATCCTGAGGCCACACAGCTCTGGGAGGGCATGATTGGGACAGGGGTCGCCTCCAGGCATGCATGTGCCTTAGAGCCAGGCATTCCAGGTTTCCAAGTCTGGCTCTATCACTTACTAGCCAGCCACTGTGAAAGGTTATAACCTGAGTCTCAGTTTCATCATCTGTAAAATGGGGACAAATATAACAGCTCACCTTGCTGTTGTGAGGACAACATGGGATCATGGGGAGACAGGGTGCTGGACACAGAAAGAGTACCCAGCACATGGGTGCCAACGATGGCCATAACCACCCCCATTTCAAGCCCTGCTCCAACCCCACCTAATCCAAAGACTCCTCCCAGGGTCTCCCCACTTCTCAATGTCCCCATTGGTTTCCATCTCTCTCTTTCCAGCCCTAATGGTGGTAGCCCCAGAAGTCCCATATTTTCGGGCCTGTGAGGTAGTAAATAGAGCATTGGCAGGGAATTGGGAGATCCACTGTTAACTTGCTGTGTGACTCTTGGCAAGTCCTGCTCTCTCTCTGGGCTCTGCTTTCTTTGCTACACATCAGGCAGGCCCTTGACAAACAGGTAGGCCTTGTACCTATCTAGTCTGGAGCCCCTGGAACATCCATACAGTGGATGCGGGAGACCCAAGCTCCTCACTCCTATGCCATCATCCTCTGCCGTCCTGCCCCTGGGGAGAGGCTCCTACCTTTGAGACCCA